>NC_000018.10:63287528-64537528 GCF_000001405.40 Homo sapiens
TGAAATATGTTTGGGGGGTGACTGACCTGTTCTGTATACTGATTAGAGTAGTGGTTACCTCTCTGTTCATTTATCAAAACCCACAAAGCTACACAAAAATGATGAATTTTACTGTAGGTAAACTTAAGAATAATTTTTGAAATGACAGGAAGACTGGCTAGGAGGTTACAGCATATGCAAGAAGGAATGAGAGGTTGAATTAGAGCAGCAGCAGCAGCAGGATAAAAAAATAATAAAATAATTTTAAAAACCTAAAAACCAGAGATCTAGGGAAGAGAGACTTTTAGAAGCAGGATTCAGATATGTGGGGAGTATGAGTGAAGAACTCAGATATGCAGACTTTCAGGGCTGGAAAGAATCTTAAGAGATGATCCAGGAAAGCTCTATCTCACAGATGAGAAAACCAAGTTGAAAATGATTTAAGAGTTTGGGGCTCTGTCTGGGTGGACAGTGATATCATTAAGCAGACAGAACAGACATAGATGAGCAGGCGAGAGGAGGAAGTTGATGAGTTCATTTTGGACATTTTGATTTTGGAACATTTATGTCACCAAGATTTCTTTTTTTAGTTTTTAGGAATTTGAAAACAAAATTGTTGGGTTTTGGCATTGAGTGCAATATCTTTCCACAAATACTGTTTCATTACAGCTACAATGAAAAAGAACTTTGAATACAGATCCCTACATGAAGATGACACATTAGCTTCTTCTGAGTTGTTTTTGTTTTGTGACTTTCCTTCAGCATCACAAAGAGGGAATGACACTGACCCAGCAAAGATTTTAGGCACATTATCCATTAACATACTTGCCACGAACACTACCATATTTTCATGTGTTTATATAACAAAGCTTTTCCTTCCTTATTAAAAACAATACAAATCAAGCTTTGAAAAGCAGTTGTTTTCCATTCTTACTGATGCTAGGCTATAATTCACTGCTGTTTTGTTTTCGTTTTAGAATATTTAGCAAGCAACCAAGGGAAGATGGGCATTGACTTGCTATTAGTCAGTAGGCACAGCCTAGTGAAAGTTTCCATGCTGCACATAGGGCTGAAATCAAGGAGTCTTTTGTCCATATTTCAGAGCAACTTGGAAAATGATTTGGTTCAGCAGTCAAGGGGAGAAAAGAAGTAGAGTTTTCAACACCATCACAGCCATTGGGATATGCAACCAATTTTAAGAATCAGAAACTCAAGTTGCAAACTACCAAGAAAGCATAATGTTCTTGGCAGCAAAGTTTAATCACAGAAGAACAACATAAATATAAAGCTAATAGTATTTACAATAACTGTCTACTGTTTCTTTAAGAGCTGAGTAAAGTGAATGCAAAGATGGTGAGTCTAAGGAAGAATCTAGAATGCTGGCACATTTAGGCAGGGATCTTGTTTTGCTTGCTGATAAACCTACATGCGTAGCACAGTGCCTGGCACATAATAGGCTCTCAATATGTAATTGTTGAATGAATGAATGAATGAAGCTAGGAGAGAAGTGAACAAGTAAAGTAAGAGATAGCAAAGCCACCATACTTCATTCATCCATTCAGCAAATGTTACTGAGCTCTTACTAATGTGAGGCCTTTTTTTAAGGCATGGTGGTGGATATACACAAGCCTAAAATAACAACTTAGAAAACAGCCCCGGGCCTCAACATGTTTATAACCTGGAAGAGGAAGAAGGAAAAGTATAGCAAACATTTGTATATCAAAGTAATATCAAAGAGCATGTGACAAGGCCTGGAAAAATGGCACAAAAAAAAAGAAAAAGGCTGAAAAGGTGGTAAAGATTTAGAAATCAGCGGGGTCACTCCCAACAGGGATACTGTCATCCTGAAGGTGAGATCAGATCTGGGCCTTAAGGGATGGAGAATTCTGATGGGAACAGAATACTCTGGGATGTAAAAACAGCAGGAAAAAGATCCCCAGAACAGAGAAGGCAGGGCGGGTTCAGAGCATAGCAATCTTGCTAAGGAGTAGCAGGGAATGATGAAGAAAATGTCACATAGGTTGCAGTGAAAGATGGAGAGAGGAATTTGAACAGCTGGATAAAGGAAAATGAAGACTTACCTAGGAAAAGAGGAGCCTTAAAATAAAAAAAAGGGTGGCTCATGCCTATAACCCCAGCCCTCGAGGAGGCCAAGGCAGGTGGATCACTTGAGGTCAGGAGTTCAAGACCAGCCTGGCCAACATGGTGAAACCCCGCCTCTACTAAAAATACAAAAATTAGCCAGGCATGGTGGTGCATGCCTGTAATCCTAGCTACTTGAAAGGCTGAGGCAGGAGAATCACTTGAGCCTGGGAGGCGGAGGTTGCAGTGAGCCAAGATGGTCCCACTGTACTCCAGCTGGGTGACAGAGCGAGACTCCACCTCAAGAAGAAAAACAATCAGGGAAGAATTTTAATTAAATCATCACAAAGTATAAGATAAACTGGAGTGCGGAGAAACTGGAGCAGGTGAATGAATTCCCCTAGGGAAGAGTTAAGAAGGTGGTGGCAGCAAGACCAGTGAGGGAGGAATGGAGGGCAGTGAAGGATGCTGGGCTCAAAAACCTGAGCAGAAGCTGGAAGAATGCACCCTAGGTTTTGAGCCTGGGTGATCGGAATAGTGATGAGAGCAGGAAGAGAAACTGTTGAGTCCAAGGAAGGTTTTGGAGGGATGACGATGAGTTTAGTCTTGGATTAAATATTTTGATTATGTGTTTAATTTGAACTGCCAACAGGAAGTCCAGATAGAAAGGGTCATCAGGAAATAGTATATAAGCAGAACTGGAATTTGCAGAAATACCCATTTGAGAATCAGCTGCATACAGACGATACGGAAGCTGTGGGGATGAAAAAGGTCCCGCACAAGAGAATCAGGAAAAAAAAAGTGAGACAATGAGTCAAGACAGACAGTATTAAAGGAACTTCCCAACCATTTGCTCAATGTAAAAATGGAAATGAGGCGAGGTTTGTTCCCTTAGAACATGTTTTTCACAGCAAAAGAGAATTCATTCCTAAAACTGGTTTTTATCTCGAGCTAAAGAAAACACCTTAACACTCCATTCATAGTAAGGACCATCACAGTAATCCTGTGTGACAAAGCTCAGGATAAATGCCATGGCAGGAATTTCACTTGAATGAGATAGCAGGATGGAAGGAAGGAAACAGGAGCCCTTGCTTTGGAGAGATCACCTTTCATGGGCTCAGTTCAGGCTTCACTCAGCAGGAAAAAAATCTGCAAGGCTTAAATAAGTACTTCTATTTGGTAGAAGGCAATGGAAAAGAATAACCTAATTCATTTAATCTGCAGTTGCCACAGATACAAAAACAAGAGAAGATATGAACACTGTGTGGGCCGAATGTTTCTTTCCTACTCCCACCCTCATCCCACTCGGCCCTCTTTCCCAGGTCATTATCAACATATTTCAAAAGCCTCCGAGATGGTGATAAAGCGGCTCACCATCTGTGAACTCCTCCTCCACAGAAGAGTGATAGGTCTCAAGAACAAACCTTCCTACCTTAGCATGGAACAAAAGCCTGACTTCAACACCCGGCACCCACAGCTGTTTTCCACGAATAGAAAGAACACAGCCAACCCAACTGGCTCTTTGAAGGTACGCCATCCTTTTCCTGTGGCCTAATTTATGCTGCAGATTGAAAAGTGCAAAAAAGCAAAAAATGGATAAGGTTTTCACAAGAGTTACTTAGTAGATGCTGATTTTCTTCCAATATCAAATGCTTGAGGCGCATATGATTGGCTTCCATTTCTCTGTATTTGTCGAAAGAATCTCTAAATTGTTCCCCAAATGAATTATTATTTTGACTGGGGACACTGAAGTTCACGGTTATTTTTAAAAACTACATTTTGCAAAAAGTTATCACTCTTCTTACCAAAGATTCACAATACAGTGTTGATGGGAACGTGACCTAGTTGGACAGCTACCTTCAGATATGCCTGATGCCCTTCAACAGGTCATCATTTGCACTAGAAACCAATACTCATCAAGTGTCAACAGGTCCACAGCCCCGTCCTGAATCATTCAGAGGAAGTTAAATACAAGAGTTTGCAATTTAAACCAAAGTGTACCATCCCAATCTGTAAAAGACTCGGGAACACATGAAAGAGTACAAAGATAAAGCAAATAGCCTTGAGTTACTTAGTTTAGTTGGAACTATTTTTGTCACACTATCAACCGAGGCCCTGGAGTACTCATGAGTATTTCTTTTTTTTTTTTTCTCAATAAAGCGGGAAAAAATGCTGAAAGAATTTTTTAGATGTATTCCTTTCTTGTGTTGGAAAGATAATCTTACTGAAACAGGAATGGAATCTAGCTTATGTCTCTCTTTCCTATTCTTAGAATCCTAAACAAAGAAATGAATGTCTACAAGGTGGTTTGGGGAAACAGTTAGAAGATTCCCATGGGAAGCAAGTTAAATTGAGAGTCCAAGAAGACTAGAAACCACTTTATATCAGTGCTGGGCTCACAGGAGAGCTAGGTGATAGGAGAAAGGGCCAGTGATGTGGACAGATCATGATAGTGACAGTGAAGAGAGTCCAGGTAAGACCTAACGAATGACTTAATAGATCAACTGGAGTGGTTTTAGTGGATAGGTTTGCATGTTTCTAACGACACAGAAACCTACAAAATAGTTCACTGGTTTTCAGAAAAATACTGGAAGGATTCATCACAAACTCCTAGCCCCAGCCAACCCCAGTGCAAAAAAAAAAAAAAAAAAAAATCATGCCCAATCCTTCAAAAGATTCATATGTGCAGGGTTATTACTCTAGACATCAGCTTGCCTGGGACCATCCTGGCCTACCCTATTGTCCCAGAATAATGATTAATAACAAGTGTCTCAGCTTGGATGAGACATGTTATGATCATCTTAGATATGAAAGAATGGCAATCTAATAGGTTAATGAATATCAAGACAAAATACCTTTAGAAAGGCTTTCCTTTCTAATTGTGGTTCCAGACTTTATACAGCGCACTCACACGTACCATGCTAGCTGGGATCTGCACTCTGGTAATAGAAAGGGGGGGCTTGCGCACAGAAGGAAATGGGTTCATGTTGGCACCACCCAGGTGCTCAGCAAATGGACAGCAAATAAACCGTCGTTGAAGAAAGGCAATGAAAGAACCCTCTTCACCAATGTCTTGAATGAATGGTTCTTCAGCCATGACACATCGTACTGAGGAATGGCTTAACAGTTCTCCTTGATTCTGGGAGTGAAATAAGTATGGGGGTAAAGAGCATCAGGAAGACTCCCACTGCAGGAAACCCTGTGAAGAAAGTGCTGAAGAAAGCGCTCTCCCACCACGCATTAGGGAAGGAGCTCAGGAGCTCTCTGCCAACTGCAGTAGGCACGGGCCCAGAGACAGAAGATTTCTGTGGTCTGGGCACCCTTCCTGCTGCTGCAGGTGATGAGTAATAATAGCGACGGCTCTCATGTCACAACCTGGTGGCCGCTGGACCCTCACTTTGGTTGGAGGGTGTGTCCCCACAGGGGAAGTTCACAAGAGCCAAGCTGGGCTCTGAGCTTCATGCAACGTGCAAGATGTGCACCAAGACGACCTCACCCCTGGCTGGACTCAGCCCCGGGACAACACTCCCACCCCGCAGAGCCCAGCCAGGTTCTCAGTGGCCCCAAGATAGCACACAAGCAGCTGGGATGGGAAAACAAGGTTTAGTAATATGAAACCAAAATACTCCTCCAGCCTGACTGCACTGCCCAGGATGAAATTCTCTCTAATTCCACTGAACATCTTAAACCAAAACATATTCAAACCCTGAACATCAGCAGCACTCGTACTTCTCTTTTTTGGGGCTGTGAAGGGAGGGTGGAGTGCTGCAACAGAATAACAATTTTCAGCATAGGAAAATCCCCAATATGCAGGTTGTCACCTGCTTGATCTATTTTCCTCCCAACCAAGTTAAGCAATCACCAACAGTTCTCTATGAGATATCTTCCACTGAGATTAAAGGAACGACCAGCAAGAAACAGTGTATGTGTTGTGGTAGTGTGAGTGTGGGTTTTCAAATGGGTACATTCCTAGAAGACGGGACAGCAGGCTCTGAGGAGGCAGCTTTGTGGAAGAGACTGGGGTGTCCAGAGGACCTTGGATATCTGGAATACTCACATATGGTGCTTGTTCTGGGGCTGGGGGGAGACAAGTACATATAGAAATATCATAACCAGTTTTCTCCAGTAAATACACCAAAACAAAGGAAAATGGGATCAAAGTATAGCCAGCAACGTGAAAAGTCCCATTTCAAAATCTAAAGTAAGATTCCAAAATAGAACATGTTTTAACAGAGTATGTAAATTTATGGAAACACTTCCTCACCCGGCTCCTGATCTTTTATAGGTACCTCTCATGCAACAGTTCAGCTTTAAATCTTTTTTAGGAAGCAGCTGGCTACCAGAGATCTTCACTCCTGTGCTTTTTTTCTCTTTTTTTTTTTGCAAATCTAGCATCTCCTTTCCATGTGATGCACTATGCTTGGAGCTGGCAGAGCAAAAGCCTGTCATTCTTAAAACATGAAGAGAATAATTCAGCGCCTTATTTTGTGATCACAGAGAATGCAATTAATACTTTGGCTGCCTTGGTATGTAGACCAAACCTTCTGCCACAGTGTTTTGCAGTGCTGTTGTCCAGGGCAGCTCTGCCAATCTTTTCATTCCAACAGAAACGATGCCAGACTTCTCGGTGCTAAGCAAAGTATAATGAGGCGGAAGAGGTGGCTGGAACCCTCAGTGAGGGAATGTGCTCCTGGGATGATTCTCTACAAAATACAAAGCTATCTCAAGATCCAATAGCTTTTGTATCCCTGCATTTACGAAACCCAATTAAAATAAATTCTTTAAAAAGAAAAAGTAGGCTGGGCAGGGTGGCTCACACCTGTAATCCCTGCACTTTGGGAGGCCGAGGCCGGTAGATCATTTGCGGTCAGGAATTCAAGACTAGCCTGACCAACATGGTGAAACCCTGTCTCTACTAAAAATACAAAAAATTAGCTGGGTGTGGTGGCACACACCTGTAGTTCCAGCTACTCAGGAGGCTGAGGCAGGAGAATCACTTGAACCCGGGAGGCTGAGGTTGCAGTGAGCCAAGATCACACCACTGCACTCCAGCCTGGGCGACAGAGTGAGAATCCGCCTCAAAAGAAAAGAAAAAAAAAAGTAGTTAAATTCTTATGTCATTCATCCATGGTCCAAAAGCTTTTTAATTCATAGAAGGTATAAGACAGGGAAAATCCTTCTAAACCGAGAACATGCAGTGATTTACTAAATCATATGAGCAATGTTGGAGAATTACTATCTGTGTAACACTAGACTCTGAAGATAGGAGATAAGAAATAATTATAATTTGGCTGAGTTCGGTGGCTTACACCTGTAATCCCAGAACTTTGGGAGGCCAAGGTGGGTGGATCACGAGGTCAAGACCAGCCTGGCCAAGACGGTGAAACCCCCATCTCTACTGAAAATACCAAAAAAAAAAAAAAAAATTAGCCAGGCATGGTGGCGAGTGCCTATAGTCCCAGCTACTCAGGAGGCTGGGGCAGAGAACTGCTTGAACCTGGGAGGCAGAGGTTGCAGTGAGCCGAGATTGTGCCACTGCATTCCAGCCTGGGAGACAGAGCGAGACTCCATCTCAAAAAAAGATAATAATAGTAATAATTATTATTATTATTATAATTCATAGAAAGTGTAGGGACAAGGAGAACAGAGAGAACCAAGAAAGACAAGTAGGTATAAATGTTTTTAGATATTATACTACAATATGTATGTATTGGCTATAGTTGCAAAGAAATCCTAGACCCAACTTGTGTCTGTCAAGGGCCAAGTGAATGGTCCAGGCCAATGATCTCATTTGCCATAGACCTCAGTGCCCCCAGCACATCAGACAGCAGAAAGAGCAGCAGTGAGAAGCAAAACCTTTATACCATCATTGATAGCTTATTAATACAATTCTTGCTGATTCTCTGGCCTTCGAAACTCATAGAATCACAAAATGTTAGTGAGGGACCCTGTAACTCAACTTCCCCATTTGCAGATGAAGAAATGAAAGCTCAGAAGAGTATATGACATGCCCAAACAGCAAGTGCCTGGCGGGTCAGAAGAATACAACCCAAGGCCCGTTGCCCTAAATGTCCTCAACAACTACACAGCTCTCACCCATATCCACCTCCTCTTCTTGATCAATTCTCTCTTCTTCCTTAGAACTGCACCTCCCCAACCTTTTTCCTAAGCCATCCCCAATGCTGGGTGACTACCTGGGTTGGATCCCTTGCCTCTTTGGTCCAGGGTACCTGCCTTGTCCTTCCATCCCTCAAGGACTAAACCCAGTCTCAGGATTTTCTGACAGGTGGGATCCACCAACCTTGCTCCACGCTGCCAGGAATTTTCCCTAACAGTAGTTGACTCCCAACAGAAGAAAACGCCCCCTGGTTGTGACCACATGCTTGTCTCACCCTGACCCTGCCCTTCCCCAATGGGCCTCAAAATTCAGCAAGTCTTACCTTTACACTGAATATCCACTATAGGCTTTGATTACTGTGTTTTATTAGCCAGCTGCAGAGCATGTTTGTGTGTATTTACATACACATGCACACAGAAATACTTCTAAGTGGGCTGTGTTCTATCATCTTTGGTACAGAAATAAAAGTAAATATTTCCATGCATAAATTTTAGTGTATTTTTAATAGACACTAGAATAGAAGTCGAAAGTTCTATTTCCAACCTTCCCAACCCAGCTGTAATGGTCCAGCCTGGCAAGAGTTAGAAACTACTGAAGTCCTTTTTTTTGAGACAAGGTCTCACTCTGTCATCCAGGCTGGAGTGGAGTGGCACAATCATGGCTCACTGCAGCCTCAACCTCCCATCTCAGCCTCAAGGGATCCTCCCATCTCAGCCTCCCAAGCAGCTGAAACTACAGGCACACGCCACCATGATTGGCTTAATTGTTTTGTGTTTTGTAGAGGCAGGGTTTTGCTAAGTTGCTCAAGCTAGTCTTGAACACCTGGGCTCAAGTGATCCTCCAGCCTCGGTCTCCCACAGTGCGGGGATTACAGGCATGAGCCACCACGTCCACCCAGAAACTACTGAAGTTTTATTCTTGGCTTAACTCTTAGGGCAGGCTGGCAACAGTGACCTCTTACACTTCAGTATGCTCACCTGTAAAAGTATGGTGAGGCCTTCCCTGCCCAGCTCAGCAGACTGACAATGGGAGCCACAAGAACATGAATATGAATGAACTTTAAAAAGGGCTACACAACTGTAGCTCATTGAAGAAAAAAGGAAAGGTCTTTCTATCCTCCTATATAGTAATATCCAACTATGGGAATAAAAAGGTGACCACATTGTGCAATAAATGGTTAGCAGTCTAGACCAGTGCTGTCCAATAGAAATATAATGGGAACCGGCCCCGCACGGTGGCTCACGCCTGTAATCCCAGCACTTTGGGAGGCCGAGGCGGGCGGACCACGAGTTCAGGAGATTGAGACCATCTTGGTTAACACGGTGAAACCCTGTCTCTACTAAAAATACAAAAAATTTAGCTGGGGATGGTGGCGGGCGCCTGTAGTCCCAGCTGCTTGGGAGGCTGAGGCAGGAGAATGGCATGAACCCTGGAGGCGGAGGTTGCAGTGAGCCAAGATCACGCCACTGCACTCCAGCCTGGGCGACACAGCGAAACTCTGTCTCAAAAAAAAAAGAAAGAAAGAAATATAATGGGAACCACATATGTAATTTTAAATTTTTAGTGGTCACGTTTAGTATATTTTATTAAACTAATACATCCAAAATACTATCACTTCAACACAAAATTCTTATAAAAATTATTGATAAAATATTTTGCATTCATTTATTCATACTACATCTTTGAAATCCAGTAAACCTGGTGTGTATTTTACACTCCAATCGCATCTCAATTCAGATTGGCCACATTACGTGAGCCTGGTAGCCACAGCCACGGCACTGGAGAGGGCAGGAGTAGATTTTAGACACAATGTTATGGTGTCACACCTTGGTGGCACAGAGCAGCCTTTTCTCAGTGCCTAGCACAGTGCCTTTTAGTGACTAAATGCCCAATCAAGATGTGTAGGATGAGTAAATGTTTGGATATATACTGTGATCGCAGAAAATCTGTAGAATAAGAGGAAGAATAAAGGACTTTTTGAAAAAGCATTAGTCTGTGTTGACCTTTTCCTGTTCCCAAAACACAGAAGTCTTGGCTCGCAGACTGCCAAAGGGAAAGCCGCTGCTCATAATGAAATTCCAGGCGTGGCATCGGCTGATGGGGTGAGCCATTCCTTCGCAAGCCACCTTTAACCTGCCTCTCTGTGGACTTGCCTGGCCTCTCAAGTGGCTGCTTCTAAAAGCCCAGGAACACTGCTGAAAACAGATGAGCACGTGTCCCTGGGATCCGTATTCCTGTGAAATCATTTGCATTCTATTAGGCAAATTTGCATAAAATTGGAGCCAAGAGAGCTTGGCTGGGTTTCCAGGCCGGCACTCTCTCTCTGTGCTGCTATGGCCACCAGTATTTATCACCATTTACCAGGGTGGTCGAGCAAGACAGACCCCCAATTAGAATCGGCAGACAAATGGAATCTCTTCCCTATGCTGACATGAAAATCAGTGTCCTCTGGGGTAAATGAGTGAAGGAACTCCGAGCTGCAATCTGGCTGCCGCATCCTTTGTTATGACAAGAGTTTATTTTACACGACTCTGACCTATGGCTTGAAAACACAGCTCAGTCGTGGTTGTAATGATCCAGAACGGCACACACACCTGAATGCCAAGGAGCTCAGATTCTGGCCCATGGGCCATCTGGGAAACCAAACTCACCACCCTTCATTCCAGAAAGCCAAGGGCTTCGACTCCTAAAGCAAGGTTTACCCTCAAGGGCCTCTCCTCCTTTTAGCTAGCTATGTTGATGGCAAGCTCCAGGCAAGGTGCAAATAGCTACCTCTAAATGCACACACTCATCCCTTTCTTTGGGACAAAGGACAAAAGTCAAATCACAGTGATGCCCAACCTACCCATGGCCAAGGGAACAAGGTAAATTACACAACAGAGAAGGACAAAGGTGGAAGGAAAAATACACAGAAAACAATGCAATGCTATTTTATATTTTGTTATTTTTATCTCAACTACCTATCTCTTTCTAGGACTATTCCCCAGAGAAATTCCATTTTCATTACAAAACTAGTTTCTTATGCCAGGGAAAAGGCTGCGGAGCTGTTATCATTGCCATTGTTATTTCTACTAAGGTCATCTCAGATGGCATGTCTACGTGAGATAAATGGTTTCCTAAACAGGCTTCTCTGCATCCTGCCACCACTTAGGTTTGCCCCGAGTCATCACTTCTGGGGCCTTGAAAGCAGCAGCTTCCTGGAAGGCTCAAAAGCTGGGCGGCAGCAGAGCAACAGAATTAAGGGCTCCAAGTACTCCAAAACCGCCTGGGTTCAAATTCCAGCCCAGCCACCCAAACAGCTGTAATGGGTCCCCCTCTGCAAGCCTCAGTGTTCTCATCTGCAAGACAAGGATAAAAACACCACCACCTCCCAGTACTGTTGTAAGAAAGAAATACACGAATAGTGATAGAACGTTTAGAAAGAGTTGGGCAAAGTACAGGCCATGTGAACCTCTGCTTTATCACTGTTGTGAGTATAGCTGGGGTGTCACTTTAACACTTGCTTGTACTGCTTGTCATGTGTACCCAGCTGCCTGTGCATTCATTCATTTAGTCAATATTACTGAGCATCTATTATGTGCTTGCCTTGCGCTAAGCACTGAGTGTTCAGCGATGATCAACTGTGCACAATCTTGTTGATTCTACCTTAGAACACCTTTTCAGGTAGTCCCATCCTGGGAGTTCCTACTGCCCATGCCTTGGGGCAGCTGCCCAGCACCTTCACTTGGGCACCTGACCCCACCTTCCCATCTGGCCTCCTTGCTGCCCTCAGTGCCACCAACACACTGCTACCAGCAGTATTTTCATCAACAAAAAAATCCAGCCATGTCACTTAGTATCCTGCTAGAAACCTTTTACTGGCATTCCACTGCAGGAAAGGTCTAATCAAACTCCTTAGTGGGGCACATAGAGCCTTGGAGAGCGAGCCTCCACTATCTTCCCGCTTCATCCCCTTCCATTCCATCCCCAACTGCCTCTCTTCTGGTCACTCTGGCCTTTTTGCCATTCCCAAGCTTGGCAGGCCCTTCAATTACTCTGCTTATTTGCATATGGTACCCTTTCACATTCTCCAGAGAGCAAGATCTCTTGCTTTTTTTTTTTCTTTTTCTTTTTTTTTTTGAACAAACTCTTATGTATCCTTCAAGCCCAGGCCAAACGGCACCTTCTCTGTGAAACCATCCTTAACTTTCCCAGGAAAAAACTCACTGGACTGTAATAGATCTGTTTGTGTGTCTGTTTCCCCAGGAGACTGTCCCCCCCAAGGCCAGAGATCATGTCCAGAAACCCAGTAGGCACAAAGAATGTGGAACAAACAAATGACCACGTTTTATTGTACAGTGGTTTCAAAATGAAGTCAGGAGGCAGAGTTGAGGCTGCAAAGCAGCTCCTCACAAAAACCACTCTATGCATCCTGCAGTGGGGGAGGTGGCTCTTCTAAATATGTGTACAACTTAATTTATGCACAGACAGAATAATTTAGATGCAGTAAGACAGCAAAAACTCCCCCTAGAAATTACATCCCCGTCCACTTGAGTCAAGTTCCTACTAATTCTCTACTCTAGAAAGGGAGGTAGGAGATGAAAAAGAATGAAAGAAGTCAGCAAACGCCCCTGAAGGTCTCTCTGCCTATTTAACACACACACATTCACAGAGAAGGTGCCATTTGGCCTGGGCTTGAAGGATATGTAAGAGTTTGTTCAAAAAAAAAGAGAAAAAAACAAAAAAGAAAGAGATCTTGTGCTCCTTCTCTCTCTCTCTCTGTGTGTGTGTGTGTGTGTGTGTGTGTATTTTACTTTGATATTGCTGGGATTCCTCTCTTTCACTACAGTCTGGACTGAATCATTTCACACAAGTAAATTTTTCAGATGACTGAAGCCTAAACTTTTAAAAAATTTTAACCATTTGGAATGGAGATATTTCTGTAACTTACTACTCACTTTCCCTGAACTCTTTGACTCTTCCTACAGAAAATAACTCTGTCTTGATGACTCAGTGGCATCATTAGGAATCACTAAGATTGTCCTGTGCTACGATCCAGCGAGAACTCCAGGAGCCGTAGAGATCTTTGTGACTGCCTGCCCCACGCAGAAGAGCCTCAGAGACTCCTGAGCTGGTTTTAAGAGCATTTTTGTCTTCTTCCTTGCTGTCAGACTCTAAAATAATTCTTTGAATAATTTACAGGCCTCCATTACCTCCTCTGTCAGGTCAATTCTAATTTAATATATTTGCTGTTTCTATTGGCTGGGTGGGGAGTGGAAATGACAACCAATTTTTTGAGAAAATGGACTTTTAAAAAAGCAAATGGTATGGAATATTATTCAGCCTTAAAAAGGAATGAAATTCTGATGCATGCCATGACATGGGTGAACTCTGAAAATATGTTAGATAAAACAAGCTAGACACAAAAGGACAAATATTGTCTGATTCCACTTATGGGAAGAATCAAATTCTTCCTCGAAGAGTCAAATTTATAGAGACAGAAAATAGAATAGTGGCTACCTAGGACTGGGGAGAAAAAGAAACAGGGAGTTATAGTTTAATGGGTAGAGTTTCCATTTGGAATGATGAACAAGTTCTGGAAACAGATGTCAGTAATGGCTTACATAATAATGGTTTATGTAACAAAGTAAATGTGCTGAAAGCCACTGAACTATACATTTAAAATTGGTGGAAAACGTAAATTTTATGTATATCTTAACTCACACACACACCACATACATACATACGTATGCATATTTATACAGATATATTTTTACATGAACTGGTTGAGAAGGTTGGCTGAGCTCTTATGAGCAATGGGTATGAACTTTAGCATATGTACTTCATGACATCCCTCTGCACAGAAGGGGCTGAAATGACTTCCTAGTTCCTAGTTGTGATTCACACCGTCATCAAGAAACAATGATCTCCGAAGGCGCTAATGTATTTTGCAATCATAAAGATCTTTTACTCACAAATTACAGTACTGGCGACAAACAGGCACTCCGAGCTTCTTGGAGAACATTATGAATAATCCCAAAGAGAACTGAGCTCCAGAAGGGGCGGGGCTTTGTCCTTTTCACACGGGAAACCAGTGCGCCTGTCCACGGCACAGAATCCAAATCTACTCTTCCCTTCTCCTGAGATCAAACTCTAGAACTAAGAGGTCACATGTAAAGCTGTTAAAAGAACAAAAATACTGATTATCTGAATTCATTAGGATCTTAAGGATATGTAAAAACTACATAATGCAGTCTTTTAAATATTACAATGTTGGGTTATGTCTTATAAATGAAATATTTTAGGTAATATTGGACGAATATTTTTAAAGTAGTCTGGTCTATAAAAGAGAGGAGGCCAGGTGTGGTGGCTCACGCCTGTAATCCCAGCACTTTGGGAGGGAGGCCGAGGCAGGTGGATCATCTGAGGTCAGGAGTTCGAGACCAGCCTGGCCAACATGATGAAAACCAGTCTCTACTAAAAAAAATACAAAAAAATGAGCTAGGCGTGCTGGCAGGCGCCTGTAATCCCAGCTACTCGGGAGGCTGAGGTTGCAGTGAGCCGGGACTGCACCACTGCACTCCAGCCTGGGCAACAAGAGCAAAACTCCTTCTCAAAAAAAAAAAAAAGAGAGAGAAAGAGAGAAAGAGAGAGAGGAAATAGTTGGTGGCTTGTTCAGTTCAACTAACACAGAGCCTGGGGTTTGGGGAGCCTGATGGTGAACTCTGTCTTGCTTAATGAAAGGTCACTATTGTCCCTCTGCCCGAATAATAATTTCCCTTCCTTTTTGGCTTCCTTATGAAATACCACGAAGCTCTACTCTAAAAAGTCATAACATGTTGTGCCCAGGGAAGATGTTGAATTGAAATTTTTTAATATGTGCTTTATTAAACAAACCACTTAAAACATTATTTTTGTCCTTCTGAAGAGTGACTTATTCTGCACATGAATTCAGAGTGAGTTAAATATTCAACCTATATATGTTTCATAACACAAGAGATATATAAATAAATGAGAAAGTAGGGGGGAAAAAGAGGTTTAGTAAGGATGCAGTAAGAGTTTCCTATCTTGTCAGAATTTCGCGTTTAAGTTTCTTTTAAGAAAGTAGTTTCCTGGCCCATGCTGAAACTCCCTTAGCCCTGCAAATAACACAAGGGCATCCTGTTCAAATGTTATTATGGAAACACTGTGCTGTTCTGGGCCAAATGTATCCAAATTAAACTGAGGGGGATGGAAATAACTCTCCCTTGATACGCCCTGGTTGCTGAAGGTGGGTTTGTTTTTAAGTAGAATAAAATGTACAGCTGAATATAAAAACAGATACATCCTCATCTTGTAAACCTGAGTGACATGTCATTCCACCTCTGGACTCTAGAAGAAAAAAAACACTAAGGTCATGCCTAAAATAAAAAGAGTGAAGGGAAAAGGATCATACCAGAGGTAAAACCGCAGACTTTCCCCACCTTTTTATTAAGGTATTAGGCAGGTTACAATTTGACAGTGAGATCATTTCTCTGGAACCAGGAAGGCACTGTGGGTTTGTTTTTCCAACGCACACTCTGACCCCTGTAAGAGCTTCTGAATCAGGTGTCTGGTCTTGGTAGGAACCAGTGATTAGTACTTATTTTTCAAAGGCTATTTAAACAGACTCTAGGAGTCAAAAGGGAGACAGAAAAAAAAAGTTGTTTCATTTATTTTTTAACTATGAGAGAACTTAAAATTACATGTTGTAGGAAAGATTTCACCTTCTAGTTATTAAAATAAAGATGACTAACTGGCTTCCTAAAGAACCCAAAAGGTCACATGCATAAAGTTGTTCTTTTGTAATATGTTTCTGTTTAAATTTTTGTTTTAAAAATTTAAGTTCCAGAGGACATGAACATCACTTGGATTGCCTAAATAAAGGATGCTGGTTTTGCCTCTTACCAGGCAAAGTCAATTGACTTTGCAGAACCTCTGTTTCCGCATCTATAAATCCACTTCCTGCCCTCAGGGAGAGGTTATTGAGGTTAAATAATCTCCTATCCCTAAAAGTGTTAAATCCAGGGTCTGGCACATATTGGGGTTCAATAAATATTCATTTCCTTCCTTCCTCCTGACTTTCGGTGACTGAGGCCAATGACCAATGTTGTCATAAATGGAAATGGGGAAATGAGAAGGATGAGTAGGTAAGGAAAAGATTGCGCTAAACATTTTAGCCAAAAATAGTAAAAGTCTCTTTAAGTTCATATTGTTCATGGTAACTCATTTTAAACTGATGTAAGGGCTATATTATACTAATACATTTATTATTTTTAAGGTACAACACTGTTTTCAACTATTAATGAAGAAAAACCCATTAAATCTCCTCTGTGTAAACTTGTAGTACTGCTTGAAAAATCTCAAAGACCAAGGAAGAAGTTAATATTGTCCCATCAGCACCCTTGCACTGCATTGCCCTGTTTTCATTACTTTGTGGCCCTTATGTTATATTGTTAATTTTTAAGTTGTTTACTTTTCTGACTTCCTCACAATGTGGGATTCACAAGAGATGGGAGAGTTCTTAACCTGTCATGTTTTCTGTTATAGCTCCAGCCCCTAGAACAATGATTGGCCCAGAGTAGGCTCTTTACAGTAAACAAATATTTATAAATATTTGTTGATTGAATGAACTTGCAGTAACATGCCCTTTACTACTGCGGAAACCCTACTGATGAAGGCTCCACCATTTTCAACATTCAAAAAACATGTACCAAATATTTTTGGTCACCTAAAAAGAGGAGCCCAGTGTTATTTTTTTAATTTTATTTAGTTACTAAAGGAGATAGTGTCTCAGTCAATGCTCTATGAGCAAATTTAAAGACTCTGAAGGACTTCTTCATATTTATTAGTGTTTGTTCTTTTAATTTTTTTGTTTCACATCCTTTTTAAATTTTTTAAACTTTTAAGTTCAGGGGCACATGTACAGGTTTGTCACATAGGTAAACTTGTTGGATGTTGTTATACAGATTATTTCATCCACCCACGTATCAAGCCTAGTACCCATTAGTTATTTTTCCTGATGGTCCAATGCGGCATTTTCTTGGGAAAAGAAAAAAGAAAGATGGAAGAGCAACATTTACAGGACTACACTTACGGGCACTTCCGATTAAAGCTAATTACAACCTTTGAAAATAATAAATAAGGACTCTGAGGAATTCAAAGAAATAAAGGCAGCAAACAGCATGCTAACATAACACCGTTGCTAGTCAGGTGTCAACAAGCAAAAACAGTCACACATGTTCATCTAATTCCAATTGGCCCCTGTTGAAAGGGGCTGTTTTACAGGGCCTTCAAGTGTTAGAGACCTCGCACGTCAATCCTACTACTGTCCCTTCAGCTCATGTCCAAGCCCGCCTGGCTCATAAGCGCATCCTCACAGGGTCTTGAGCTGATGGTAGGCACCAAATGGAAGCAGCTAGATCCCCCTCTGCTGCAAGCATGAGAAACGCTGCAAAGGCTGAATCGAAGAAGGGAAAGTAACCAGAAACAAAAGACTGCATTCCAATTTCCCTGAACATTTTTGACACAGAAAGCAGTAGAGTATACTAGTTTTCAAAATGCAATATATTTCAGTCTCTACTAAGCAATCTTGTGTCTTTATGAACACATATCCAGAGAAGCAGCACAGGATAAAGAAATATCTACGGGATTCCCAACCCAGGGAATGAATATCAGCTCTTCCTGTGCTTATTGGCTCGTACACACCTTTGTTGGGCGAACTTTCTTCTTTACATGGGCATAAACAAATAACTAACAGTGTGTGTGGGGAGGAAAGTAGGGAGAAGTTGGAATACAATATCTGCCTTGCTTAGGGTTGTTGTGAAGATCAAATGGGCCAACAGATATGGAATTTTTTTTTAGAAACTTTAAAATCCTACGTAAAGGCAAGAAACCACTGTCATTTTTTTCACCCGGAAAAAAATTCTATGAAAACTGCCTTTCATAATTGAATTCTTTCCTCAAATATACTTTTATTAACTGATAGTTAATAAAGATTTATCACACGGTGAATTCTAACAAAAATAGTTTTTAACCAGACAATTTTTTAAAAGTGAAATAAGAAAAAATATATATTTGTATAAGGTCAGGTGAGGTGACCCATGCCTGTAATCCCAGTACTTTGGGAGGCGGAGGCAGGAGGATTGCTTGAAGCCAGGAGTTTGTGACCAGCCTGGGCAACAAAGTGAGATCCTGTCGCAAAAAAAGATAAGACAGACATTATCTAGGTGTGGTGGCATGCACCTGTAGTCCCAGCTACTCAGGAGACTGAGGTGGGAGGATCACTTGAGCCCCGGAGTTCGAGGCAGCAGTGAACCGATATGGTGCCACTGCACTCCAGCCTGGGCAACAGAGCAAGACCTTATCTCCAAAAACAAACAAATAAACAAACAAACAAAAAACACAAAAAAGCATTTATATATAACCAGAACAATGACCACATTCTTTCCAAGTTGTACAGAAAGACCAGCAAAGCTGAGGAAGAACTGAGCCATGTTCTAAAGCATTCAGTCAATCATTACCTCTTCCAAAAAATCTCTCCACTCTAGTCCTAATCATTGTGCAAAGCTAGCAATTTCTTGCCGTTCCCACTACCATTCCTCTAGGTCAGGCACTTGATCTCTTGCCCGTTTGCTGAAAGAGCCTTCTATCTGGTCACTGATTTCTCCCCCGTCTCATTAACGGTCTGGAGTGGAGTCAGGGTGACGTATCTGAAACAAACTCTTCCAGGGTGGGCCACCTCTAGCATCATCTTTCTGACCCACCCACTTGCACTCTCCACTCCAGCCAGGCTGAACTCCTCAGCTCCTGCAGTCCACCATGTGGCCGCTTGCCTCTGGCCTTTGTTCCTGAAGTTCTGCCTGGGGCCACACTTGGTTCCTCCCACCCACTTCACTACATTGATTCCTGCTCATCCTTCAGGCTTCAGTCCCCTTCCTGGGAAGACTTCCTTGACTCCAATAAATGCCACCACTATTGCTGCATCTCTTCTCATAGCTTTAAACATGCTCTCCTGCAGCTGATGTTGAATGGTCTTCACTCCCCCAGACCAAGCTTGTCCAATCCATGGCAGGCTTTGAATACAGCCCAACACACATTTGTAAACTTTCTTAAAATATTATGAGGTTTTTTTGTGCTTTTTTTTTTTTTTTAGCTCATCAGCTATCATTCGTGTTAGCGTATTTTACGTGTGGCCCAAGACAATTCTTCTTCTTCCAATGTGGCCCAGGGAAGCCAAAAGATTGGATAGCACTGCCCTAGACTATCAGCCACGCCGCTCTGGCTCTCACTTCCCACTTCCCCAGGGCCTGGCTCAATATTTTTTTAAAAGTATGGTATAAATGAATAACTGATCTCTTGTTCTGTCTGCTTTAATCATGTGACTGAGTGCAAAAAAACAATTACCCACTTAAAAACACAGAGATGCAAGTGAATCCTTTGCCATAACAATGAGCCCACTCTTTATCAATACCCTGTTGTGCCAAACAGGTAGAGAGGTTTTAAAAAAGAGTCAAGTATCCCAACTCATATTAAATTTCCCCATATTCTCCATATTTTAAAAGCACTGGTTTAGTCATGGGTGATGCCCTTTAAGTATTCCGTACAAAAGGTATTTTCAAATTCCAATGACATGTACTTTCATCGGTTAATTTTTAATTGAGCCAAATATTAAATGTTCACATTAACCAGACAAAGCATTTTTAGCTACTGATTTGCAGTGACAGCTTGTGTTATTCTCACACACAGGCCAAGCATGAAATAGAAAACTAATAACCCCTTAACTGTATTCTCAAAGTATCATTTATGGGAAAGAAAACTACATTCAAAGGAAACTTGTGCAATGGCTGTCATTTTTTTCCCTGAGCCACAAGCTGTTACAAAGCAGGAGAGCTCATTTTCTCACAGATACGGACAAGCTCAAGAATCCCACTGTCACTGGATGTATTCATTAAGAAGGAATCTGGCAGCAGCACAGGGGACAGATACTTTGGAGAACAGGCCAATTATCTGGGTGTCCTTTATAATTTGAAGTTTCTGAATTCACTCATAGATAAGCTGCTTGAAGAGGGCCTGGCAATGGGAACATAATGCACAGATGGCCACTGAAGAAACAAGAGGGAGGAAGGGAGGCTGGAAGAGAGAAGAGAATTTGCTTGTGGTTTCATTCATGGGGACAAATCTACAAGCTGACACATTCATCTTTTTAAAAAGCCCCTGGAGAAGTATGGTCAAGCTTCACTACAAGTAAACAAATCAAAATCTTTCTCAAACAGATGACAACTGATGAGCAACAATGCTTTGAGTTTGCTTCATGCTAACGGATGAGGGTTCTCAAAATACAAATTCCATCAGTTGTTAAAACCACAGATAGGCTGTGATGCTGGCTTGAACCAGAATAGAGAACTCAGCCAAAAGCTGCCAGGCCAATGGTTTTATGTAAGACATCCCAGGTGGTCTTCTTGTTGAGCAGTGTCTTTAGAAATGGAATCTTAGGTTCTGTCGCCTCTGGGAATGCCGCACTGTACTGACTTCCACCTTCAATTGGCTGCTTATTTTTATGGGAGAAGAACGAGGGGATCATTTATCCTTGTGACTTTTGTGCTGCAGTTCTTTTTATATTTGAGCTACAACACTGATCAGAGTTAAAATCCACCTTGCTCCCACTGTGAGAACCTTGGGCCAGCCCTGCTTTCTATAATGATGGGGTGATGAATAATCTCAGCCTTCAAAACCTTTTCAGTCTGGGTTAGGCTTGAGATGTGAAACAAAAGGAATGAGAGCAACTAGGCATATGTACATACACTGTGTGTCTACAACCTTCGTATAAACAGATAGAATGTGACAACCAGCAGGCTGGTATCTATATTAGCATTAAGGACCAATAAATGTCAAATGTTTAATATAGAGCAAAATCTAGATTTCTCTTCAGGAATAAATGATATACTTTTTCAATTCAATGAAAAGGATGAAATCAAAACACTTAATAGGTATTTTTCTTCTTTCATTTCTATTAAATATTAATGAACCTGTAGGATGGGACATTTCAGACACACACACACACACACACAAACACACACTATAATAAAAGAAGTAGGAGAAAATTAGCTGCTTAGGATGAATTGCTCAGAATGCCCTAACATAATCATTTTATTCATTCATTCAATAAACAGTCATTGTGTGTGCCTATTACCTACTATGCTTGGTGCCAGGTTGAATTTAATAGAAGAAATATTTTATTAATAAGGAAGTCTCAATGAGAAAGGACACCTTGATTTTGTAAGACCTAGAGTCACACATAGAGGATACTATTAGGATATTTGGAACAATACTAATTTGACTCAAGTTGAAGTACTCATTAAGTTGGCAAACTGGTAGTGGGAAGCCAAGCTTTGAACAGCAAAGCTGCAGGTTAACCACCTTAACCCAATCCATGCAAGTCTACAGATTACCTTTGGGAAAAGGTGGGGTGCAAACAACAGTCGCAAACTAAGACAGCATCAGCAGTAGCATTTAGGACCACTTAGGGCAATGAAAGAAGGCAAAAGAGAAACCTACATGATTCGAGGGGAAAGACATATTATGGTTCAACCTCAATTTTTCTCTTGAGATCCAGATCCTTATGTCTAAGGCTTACTGGGCATTTCCACTTGGATATCCTACTGGAATGTCCAAAATGAAATTCATCACATGTACGCCACAAAGCAGTAACTGTTGTTATCTTTCCTTTCCCTCTGGAAGACAGTATCATTTTTTGAGGCAGCCAGGATGGCACTTGAGTCCTGATTCTTTCCCTCCCTCATTCCTCACATTCGACCTGCTGTCAGTCCTTTGATTCTACACGTGCAGTGTGCCCACATCTGTCCTGTCCTTTCTGTTCCAGGTGCTTCAGACCTCATACCTGGTCTCCCCCGTCCAGGCTCAGTCACTGTCAATCTTCCTCCCACGCACACATCCTGCCTTGTCTGAGAACCTTTGCAACATCCTTTCAACATCCCTGGTACAGTTAAACGCAGCCATCCTTCAGTAACCTCAGGGGATTGGCTCTAGGAACCCCCAGTGGATACCAAAATCTGAAGATGCTCAAGTCCCTGATATTAAATGAGTAGTACTTGCATATGCACATCCTCCTATATACTTTATTTTATTTATTTGTTTGTTTATTTATTTATTTTTTGAGACAGAGTCTCGCTCTGTCCCCTAGGCTGGAGTGCAGTGACACGATCTCGGCTCACTGCAACCTCCGCCTCCTGGGTTCAAGCAATTCTCCTGCCTCAGCCTCCCGAGTAGCTGGGATTACAGGCGCCCACCACCACACCTGGCTAATTTTTCTATTTTTAGTAGAGAAAGGGTTTCACCATGTTGGCCAGGCTGGACTTGAACTCCTGACTTCAAGTGATCCACCCACCTTGAGCTCCCACAGTGCTGGGATTACAGGCCTAAGCCACTGTGCCTGCCCTACCCCATATATTTTTGATCCAAAGTTGGTTGAATCCATGGATGTGGAACCCAAAGATAGGGAGGGCTGTCTATACAAGTTTCACAACTTAGTATGCAGTGGTAAGTTCTCAAAACTATGGATTTATCTCAGGAGAGTTCTCCATGCCCCAGTCAAATCAGACTCTCCACAATTCCCCAAACACACCTCCCGCATTCATGCCTGCTTTGACGCCTCCAGTTTCCACTACCTGAAAGACCCTCTCCCCGTATCGCCTGCCTGTTCTCTAAAACTTGTCTCAACATTATCTCCGGCATGAAACTCTTCAGATACCACTGTAGCTGGGTTGGGCCTCTCTGTCTACTACACATTGTCCAGGATTACAGTGATTTGTATCCTTGTCTTGGTCTCCTACTGATTGGTAAGTTCCTTGAAGGCAAAAGTTATCTTAGACATTTTTTCGCTTAACTAAAACACCTAGCATAGAGCTTTGCATGGTGTAGGGCCTCAATAAATGTTTTTTTCAATGAAACAAGTTAGTGTGCATGTTTTCCTAAATAACCAGATTCTAAAACCCCTCTCCATGACCATCACTACCCCGGTTCCTGGGAACCCAGGGTTAAGTTTTGTGGACAATTGCTCATTTCCCTCAATTAGGACTTCTTCAAATCATTTTCTTCTTATACTATCACTTTAATGTTTAGTAAGTGGCTTTGTCTCCCTGTTCTTATAATTTTGTTATAAAATACCTCAAAACCTCTCTGTGTGTCTTCAGTGTGTGTGTTTTTAAAGATGCTGGCAGGAATCCATAAAGGATATGGCTAGGAGATAGCCCTGAAATTTTACATCCAGAAATGCCAATGCTGCCATCCTTTATGGACTCGCTTTTTTTTTTTCAAGAAGATAAATCAATATTTAAAGCTGATGATATAATTTGTACTTAATTTTATTCCTATTTTAATTGTAAATCAGATATCAATATATCTGAGATATAGCATTGAACTAAGAAGACTAAGTTTATGTGTCTCATGTTCTTTTAGAAAATTCTAATGCAGCTGAGAGGAATATTTGGCTGCAATTCAATTTCAGAGTTAATATAGAGATATAGCATTCATCATGTTGTAAAGCAGAAAAAATATCATCCTGGTTATCTGCTAAGGAGAGCTGGAAAAAGTCAAGAAGAGACAGCCTGCAACACTGATCCTTTGTTTGGTGCTTCAAGTATTAAAATTGGTAAACTCACCATACTCTGTTGCAGCTTAACTGTCTTTTCGACAGTTAAAAATAAGGAAATATGGTAACTGGATCTGTCACAAGAAAAGATGTATTGGTCTCAATGGAGAAAACCTCCCCTGAAAAATTAAAGCTTCACTTGACACAGTGGGTTCTCGGGTTGTTTTTGGGAGACATGATAATGAGCAGAGTGGAGTCAGTCATCAGTTTCTGACTCATTACATGGAAGCCCCAGAGAGCTGATTATTAACTAAAAATGGAATACGCTTCTATCCCTGAAGTTGTGAAGGCAAAACAAGAAGCAGAATGGAAACACAAATTTCCCCATTGACGCATGTGGCCCAAACGCGATGCTCAAGGGCAGGTGTCTTCCACAGTTAACCTGCTCATGGAATGTGGTTGATCGCCCCAGAAAATCACCCAAGTCACTCTCAGTATATTGCTACAAATGGCCATACCAGTATGTCAGGGAGATTCCCTTTCTCACATGTTTAAAAGGGCGTTTGGGGAAGTAGTCCTTACCCTAAGCTATTTTAGTTTAGTTAGTCAAACATTTATTGAAGTCTCAGGTATAACCCCACTATAATCTTGCACTAGAGGAATCAAAGTAAGTACAAATTTTGCCAGCAGATACTATCTTTTCTCTGCACAGGTTAAAGTTTATAATCACTAGAGGAAAAGGATAGTGTCTGGTCACAGAATTTTGACCTGCCCAGCTGCCTGCAGCAAGTTTGGGGTGAGGGTTATCCTCTCACTTTGATTAGACTCCCCACTTCTGCTCCCTTTTGCTAGTATCTAAGCGCATTACGGTTTTCTTCAGGTAAATCCTACCCATCACTAATTGGAAGTTAACAAGGAGCTACACCTGAGAGGTCCCTCACCGGTGGAATGATAAGGCAGGTAGGGGATGGTCACAGGGGTGGTGGCACCTATGAGAAAGTCCCATGGCTTGGAAGAGAGAGGAATAATCATTCAATCCTTATTCACACTGAAGGACAGATGGGTGTATCTTTTGTCTGGCAAATGGAGGGCAGAGAAATAGTGCTATAGCATATACAGAATTGGGCATATATAAGAACAACAAGTGACAATCTATAAAAATATGTTTTTAAGTGAAAACAGCTTTGTTGGCATTTTGAAAGTTTTACAGTCTCCATTTAAACGAACAGACCACAAGCCCAAAAAAGTCCGAAGGCAAATGCCAGTGTTACAATGGACTGTGAATTTCTGTAACTAGCATCGTAGAAGTGTCTTGATAAATAGAACAGTAATATAACCTCAAACCAAAACAAAACAGAAGCTTTTTTTTCCCCTGCTCAAAGGAAGAGCCCCCGCTCTGGTTCAAAACCTACTTGTATTTTTTGGCATACAAGAGTTATTTAAGAAAGATAGTTCTTCAAATTACCCTGTTCCAGTCAGTCTAATCGGAGCCTTGATTGTCTTTTACTTAAAAAGAATTAATGAAATGCTTTAGAAATTGTAG
This sequence comes from Homo sapiens, assembly GCF_000001405.40. NCBI lineage: Eukaryota > Metazoa > Chordata > Mammalia > Primates > Hominidae > Homo > Homo sapiens. Next base: position 63,312,858 of record NC_000018.10, read on the forward strand.
ACTGGTGTTTATTAAGTCTTCTTAGTATGCATAAATAGTGCTTAGTGGGTTAATATTTAACAAGGGAACTCCCCCTGCCTTTCAGTTCTCTTAAGCATATGTCTACGTTACACAGTATTTTTTAAAGTATCTACATTTTGGCCCTGTTTAAATTAGGCCTAATGCACACATGAACAGCCATATGGTCAGAAATAACGTTCTTAGACCAAGGCTGAAGTACATGCAAAATAACTTATAGTTATTTGCTTTTTTCCTCTAAGTCTCTGAGTCTAGGATCATGCTTATCAGGCTGTATGATAACTACGAGTTTATTAAGATGCCTGCAACACTAGCCTGTGAGTTTATCCAGGGCAGAAGCAAAGCTCTCCTTGCCGTGCCTCCAACCTAACCCAAGGCAGGACTCATGTAAGACTGGCAATCACATCTGTGGAATAACTGTCAGTCCTTGGATGATTTTCATCATTAATCCTGCTTAGACATCAAACATTAAGGTTGATTAAGCCAAACCAAGAGGGATGAAAGAGAAAATTCACAGTGGAGTAAATTCACTGAGTGGTCTCCTACATGTGGTTGACAGAAAGGATGACCAGATTGACAAGTTACTGTTATACCTGAATAAGGTGATATTAGATTACCTTAAAAAGGTTGAACAGAACCTTTGAATCTCAAATACAATATATCTCTGGGGGAAAAAGAAAACGTTCTACTTGTACACTACAAAGACAGTGTTGTTTTCTAGCACAAATGCACTTCTGCTGAGATACTGCTTTGCTAAACTACTGCTAAGACACAATGAGTGACCTTAGAAAAGGGTGCGGAGGTATGTTGGGTGGGAAGAACCACTGTTAACATGCAGCACCCACACACTCGCTCATGAGTGGGCGTATCATCCCTCCAAATAGCGCAATAGGACTGGGAACAGAGATAAGAAAAAACAACAAGAATTTTGCTTGCCTTTTTTTTATTTTTAATTTATGGCTTTCTGTTACCTGGTATGCTGTGTGGCCTGATGACATTTAAGTAATCTGAAATGTACCAGTTCAATCAAAGATTGCTAAAAAGGGCAATCCATTCTTATTAGAAAGTACAGCTGAAAGTAACAGAATGCGCAAAAGAAAGCCATGTTTTCAATGGACGTTAAATAGCAACAAAACAGAAAAGAGAATTCAGTTAACTATAAAATTTTATGAATGTCCAGAAACAATCACACCACAGCACATGACTGAAAACTCTATGAGAAATAGTGTGTTTTTCTCTACTACATAAATTATTGAAAGGGGTCATGTGATTCTTGTAGGCAGAAAGATGCACTTTCCCAAGGAAAGTTCATCATGAAATATATTATTTAAGACTAGATCATCTTCAAGCTATTTTTAATCCTATCGTCTTGCTGCCAAAATTGGCCATAAGCAGCCAATCCTCAGACACTAGAAAAATGATGCTCTTTCATGTAATTTGTACACTGGCATGAGAATGGTATTGCTTTCCAGTTAATCAAATGTTTTGCTGGATGTGGACTGCCTTGAGAAAGGAAAAACTGCTTGCTGACTAATGAAAAGGCAGCTGAACTCTACCGGGTGTGGAGAAGTTCCTGTCTTCCTAAACCACCAACACCAAAAAACCAAAAAATAAGTCGGATTACCATCTTGTCAACAGAATAAAGCCAATCTCCTACAATCTCTTGTCTGAATCATCTCATTCTTCTAGTGGCTCCTATCTCACTCTCTCCTAAGACATGAAGCTGAATGTCGTCACAGTTCCCAGTTTAGAGGGTCACTCTCCATCACCTGCCCAAAACTCAATCCCTTGCCTGCAAGAGTCCCTTTGTCTTAAAGAAGCTGCAAGGTCACTAAAGTCATTTACAGAATTTAAACTGTGTTATGAGGGGATAAAATAATAACTAACAGAGCTATTAAAAGAGCTAATTCTCTTGCCTTTAATTGAAGAAAAGCTATCTTACTTTTTAATGGGACCAGTGATGCCAATATAAACTATATAACTACTACGAAAAATATTCATGAGAAGACTGGGCTTATAGTTGATCTACCTGCTTGCTATCTCTCCTTCATCCAATTTATGTCTTCCTAAAGTCAGATCACAATAGTGGACACCTGGGAAATACTCGGTATTCCAAGTAACACTATAGATCTTTAAGGCCACTGGAAGGGGACAATGCAGAATCCATCCCAGGTAGCAACTCTTCCTAAAAGATGCCACCAGGAACCAAGGATGGTAGCCAGCATCGCTAACTTTAACGTGCACACAAACCACATATTCTGACTCAGTAGCTCTGGGGTGGGAGCTGAGCTTTAGCATCTCTACAAAGCTCCGGGGGATGCATGTGCTACTGTCTATAAGCCACACTGAGCAGCAAGGTATCCACATTTTCTAGAATTGCTTCTCTCTCACTGCTTCCTCTGTCCTGCCTCTCTCTGGATGCCACACAATGCCTTATTCAGACCTAGGAATAAATCCACACTCCACTCTACAGCCAATTACTTCTTTAGTCTTTATTTAATTTGTAGTCTTCTGGGACAATCTATCAGAGGCTGATCATTCCAAGGACCTGATTTATCCATGTTATGGAACACAAAAGTCAAACAGATTTCCTCAGCCTCACAAGGTTCCAATTTTCTACGAGCAGCAGCAAAGAAAAAGAAATGACTTGCAGTCTAAAGCCTGGAGTATTCAGTGTAGTATTCAGGAGATGGGCTAATCCACGGAGCCCTGGGGACAGTGCAGATTATTGTCACATGCCAAGAAAATATGCTAGCTCTCTTCTGAAGCTTTACCATTAAGACTACCTTACACTATAAAATACAACATATTATTAGAGATGTAACCCCAATTGGTGTAAATGTGAAGAAAATCTGTCTGTATGCCAAATGCCTAAAATGACTTTTAGATTAATAATGCACATTTGAAATGATAGGCAAATCATTCATCATTCTCAAACACTACCACTTTTATTCCAAAGTGTCCTATGAGTGCATTTCCTGGTATATATATATATTTTTTCTCTAAATTCCTTTGTTTTCCTATATAGTCACCATCTATGCATTGTTCTGAAAGCTATTACATATTTTACCATCAACCATCTGTGCTTCTACATGATTTATTTTTACTAGAAGCAGTTTTGTCAAAAAATTTTTATCATGTTCTATGGTATGTCATTGTGGTTTGGCATCATAAAATGTAGCCTCTACATTTATCAACCTCAGATACCTGTTGACCACAAAGATAGGTCTACTATGAAAACTCTGTTTCACAAAAAGAAAAAAGTGAGCCTTTACTTAAAAAGAAACTTCAGTTACATGAGAGGGTAACACACTGAAATTCAGCAACAAATATCAAGGTTGTATCTTAATTTCTGTCATAAACATGTGTCTCTGTTTCCCACATTTTTATTAACTTATTTGATAGACAGATACCAGTTACCACCTTGGATTTATTTCAAGTAGAAAGAAAATTTGTAAGTGTGAATTTTTCACAAAAATGTGAAATAGTAAAACTATTAAATCAGTTTTACTTTGGTTTAAAAGGATCCTTTGGGAATCTGGAAGTCCCAACCCCTTTAGTTATAGTGATTAAAAATCAAACCACCTACTTAACCAAATATTTAACAAAAATATTCTTTTCACCCTTTAGCAAATTCTTCCAGAATTACTAAAGATCTGATAATGTGAGATCTCAACAAACAAACAATTCAAGAAGAGGATTTAAATTTTAGAAATTTAAATTGGGGCATTTTAGTTAATCTTACTTTTAAACACCAAACAGTGGCATCAATATTTTGTCAACTTTGGTCAAATAAGATCAGATGTTCACATCAATCATCTACTTTTCTTGGCCTTTTCTCTATTTGGCCTCCTAGTATGAGCACACTTTGTAAAATGTAATAAAAACATGTGGTGTGCTTCTTGACATCTAATCCACTTGCAGTAATTTCTAGGCTTTTTGCTCCTGTTAGGTCCTATAAAATAATGACATTAGTCATTCTCCCAAGAGGCTATAAAAGGAAGCACTGAATTGCATCCTGTTTTTCAAAGATAACTCTTCAGATTAAAACAAAAAGTGTAAAAAAAAAAAAAACTTCACACAAGAATTACTTTTTCATAAATTCATCATTTTAGATATGAGATATAGATCTCCATTACAATCCTTGACTCTTAGGAACTAAACCCCCTCCAACAAAGAATCTCAGAAAAGTACAATTGTATGGTATAATGATGAAAGCTCTATCTAGCACAGTACGAGAAAAAGATCATCTCACAAATGTTCTTCAAAGCCACAGGTATCAATCACTTCAACTAAAGTAAGGGTAAGATAATCCACAGCTAAGAATCAATTCTTCTACACTTTACATAGATACCTAGATGCAAATTTTTTTCAGCCGACCACAAAATTAGGTCCACTCTGAGTGGTGAAAAACAAAAGATTCTAACATTCTAGCAAACTGGTAAACCATACACAAATTATAGAATACAAAGAATGCAGCCGATGCAAATTCTGTCACTGACAAGGTAGCAAAGCCATAGCCTGATACTCCTCAGGACACCTCATCACGCCCACTGGGAACATGGCACACACTGGAGATTCCAGTCCAAGGACTTTGGAATGTCAACTTAGCTCTTTACAAACACAACTAAGTTTTTCAGGGAAAAAGACTTACATTGGTTTTCCTCTTTTGGAAAATTTTACCGATTGATGATGCCCTTGGTCTTCTGTGGAGTCTATTCTTCTAATCGGGTTGTTCTCCAATTTTAGTGTACAACGGGCTTGTTTCAGGGGAGCTTGTTTGGGATGCAGACTGTCAAGACCCAACCTGGTATCTGGTTCATAAGCAGTCCCTGAAACCTCCCTCCGGTTCCAACAAGCTGCTCAAGCCAGGAAACGGTGGTCCTGGGGACTCCTGGACCTTCAGCTTGAGAAACACTGAAGGGGTACCATTTACCACCACATCCTACTGGATTACAAACGCTAGATCTTTGGATCTCCACGACTAGCAAGCAAGTTAAAGACTTTTAGATGGCAGGCGTTATCGGTCAGGTTGGGAGTGAACGCTTTGTCCAGAGGAGGAGGTAGGGACGCCGGGAAGCAACAACTCTGATTTTATTTCGCCGGCTCCACAGCCTCCCATTGCCCCAGGAGCCCACCCGCACTCCAACCCCCGCATCTCGGACCTGTGGCCTCAGCCCAGACTCACATCACCAAGTGCACCTACCCAGCCTCCGTTATCCTGGATCCAGGTGTGCAGGTGCCGGTTCAGGTACTCAGTCATCCACAGGGCGATGTTGTCCACCAGGGGCGACATCTCCCGGTTGACGCTCTCCACACACATGACCCCACCGAACTCAAAGAAGGCCACAATCCTCCCCCAGTTCACCCCGTCCCTGAAGAGCTCCTCCACCACCGTGGCAAAGCGTCCCCGCGCGGTGAAGGGCGTCAGGTGCAGCTGGCTGGACATCTCGGCGAAGTCGCGGCGGTAGCGGCGGGAGAAGTCGTCGCCGGCCTGGCGGAGGGTCAGGTGGACCACAGGTGGCACCGGGCTGAGCGCAGGCCCCGCGGCGGCGCCGGGGGCAGCCGGGGTCTGCAGCGGCGAGGTCCTGGCGACCGGGTCCCGGGATGCGGCTGGATGGGGCGTGTGCCCGGGCTGGGAGGAGAAGATGCCCGGTGCGGGGGCGGCCCCCGGGGGCGCGGCGCCCACATCTCCCGCATCCCACTCGTAGCCCCTCTGCGACAGCTTATAATGGATGTACTTCATCACTATCTCCCGGTTATCGTACCCTGTTCTCCCAGCGTGCGCCATCCTTCCCAGAGGAAAAGCAACGGGGGCCAACGGCACCTCTCGCCCCAGCTCCCACCCCACGGCCCCCAGAGAAAGAAGAGGAGTTATAATCCAGCTATTTTATTGGATGTGCTTTGCATTCTTGGACGAGGGGGTGTCTTCAATCACGCGGAACACTTGATTCTGGTGTTTCCCCCTTGGCATGAGATGCAGGAAATTTTTATTCCAATTCCTTTCGGATCTTTATTTCATGAGGCACGTTATTATTAGTAAGTATTGTTAATATCAGTCTACTTCCTCTGTGATGCTGAAAGGTTAAAGAAAAAACAAACTAATAAGTAAAAAATCAGGTGCGTTTCCCTGTACACACTGAGTGAAAGCAGGGCATACACACTACAAGTAACACGGCTAAAAAGAATGTATTAAGCTGCCTGGAAATTAAATTTACTCGAATGCACTTTAAGTAAAAAATCTCAAAGGTTTCCATTGAAAGTTACATTAAACCAATTTCCTGTGCAGAGAACTTACTTGTATTTTTTAAGTACAGCATGATCCTCTGTCAAGTTTCCTTTTTGTAAAACCAAAACAAATGCATAAGGCAACGATCCCATCAATCTTCAGCACTCTCCAGTTATAGCTGATTTGAAACTTCCCAATGAATCAGGAGTCGCGGGGAGAGGGAGTAAAAATTAGGAGGATTTCCAGATCGATTCCCAGACTTCTGCTTCACAGAAATGTCAATCCGCAGGAATCCCAACCGGAGATCTCAAGAGCTCGAGAAAAAAAAAAGGCAGCGGCGGCGGCAGATGAATTACAATTTTCAGTCCGGTATTCGCAGAAGTCCTGTGATGTTTTCCCCTTCTCGGCAATTTACACGCGCGCACACACGCGCGGGCACAGGCATGAATCTCTATCCACGGGACCGCTTCACGCCTCCCCAGGAGAGAGACAGGGGAGAGGGGACGATGAAGGAGCCGGGGACGGAGGCAGGAATCCTCTTCTGATTAAACTCCGAACAGCAAATGCATTTTCCGAAAAGCTGCTGGATAAATGAAGGCAGGACGCGCCTGGCCCGCCGGTGCCGAGCGCTAGAAGCCCGCGCTGTGTGTGGTGCGGCGAGGGGTGGGGAGAAGGAGGTGGTGGGGGAGGGTTTTATTTTTTCCCTCTTTTCCTAAAAAGGATGACTGCTACGAAGTTCTCCCCCCTGGACCCCCTCTTCCGCTGCACCCCACCGGCGCACCCCGCCTCCGGGCTGCGCACCCTTTCTCCTCCTCCTGGTCCTGCGCGGCGGCGCTGGCTACGGCCGCCTCCCGGAGCTCCCGCCGCGCAGCCCGCTCCGAGCGCTGACGGCCGCCGGCAGGGAGGGCCCGGAGCCCCGGCACCTTCGCTGGCAGCGGCGGCGGCGGCAGCGCGGCGGGGCCACGGAGAGCGGCGGGCGGGAGCGCGGCGGGCGGGCGGGCAGGCGGCGCGGAGGGGCGGGCGCGGGAGGAAGGGGGCGGGAGCGGGGCTGTGGTGCCTGTCCTCTTACTTCATTCTCTGCACAGCCCGACCGGTTTCCTGTGCGTAACGTCACACGGTTCATTCAAAAAAAGAAGAAAGAAAGAGCCCTCCTCTGAGCCACCCGACCGCCCCCTCCGCCCCGCTCCCTGGCCCGGGTTAAAGGCGCCGCGGCAGGCCCGGGAGTGGCGCGTCCCGCCGGGGGCACATGGCGCGCGGGGCCGCGGCCGGGGAGGGCGCGTCCGGGCCGGCCACCCGCCCGCTCCGCTGCGCCCGCGGGGCCCGGCCAGTGGGTGGCGCGGGCGGCACAGGCCTCCCGCGCGGCCGCGGCGCGGTGGGTGTGCGCGGGGCCTTCTGCTCAGGCCTGCGGCAGGCCGCGTGCGGACTTGGTGGTCGCTGGGGTCCGCGACGGGGTGGGGGCTCCCGGGGAACCGCACGCGGCCGGGCCGGGCGGACGACGGAGTGCGGAGGGGGGCGGCTGGCGGGAGGGTGCGCCATGAAAACAAGGGCTGGAAAAGCGCCGGGAACCGCCTGGACCCTTTCTGGCCGTGTGAGTGTGTGTGGAGTGTGTGTGTGTGTGTGTGTGTGTGTGTGTGTCTCGCCTGGACCTTTTCTAGCCGTGTATGTGGGAGTGTGTGTGTCGCCTGGACCCTTTCTAGCCGTGTATGAGAGTGTGTACACGCGCCTACACACACACACGTTGTGTTACCGGCGCTCGGCCGCCGGGGGAAGACCCAGGCCAATGCCGCCCCCCACCGCCCCCAGCAGTGGGACCTCAGCGCTGCCCTGCTGTGAAGACAGGTGACTCTGCACGTTTTAAGCAATGTCTAGGGACGCCCCGAGCGTGGTGTTTACTTTCAAGTAGCTTCCTAGGTGTCCGCGCACTACACACGCACGCGCATCCCCGCCCGTGTCCACCTGAACACCTAGTCCGTGGCCCAGGCCATGCAGAACTCAGCGCTCCAGGGAAGGGGTTTATCAAGGGCTTTACGACAGTTTAAGTCAATGTTTTCCCTCTGTCCCTAACACCTTTTACACTGGTTTAGTGCTACACGATGAGGACTTCCATATAGTAACTTTCAGGCCCACCGTCCTAACGCTGGGGTGGGTGGGCTCCTAAAGGTCTCCACCTTTGCCTCGTAGCCAATCCTAGTTGGCCGCACTTTCTCAAATGAGGTACATAGATACACACATACACATTCACACTCGCAGACGTGTGTACGCGCAAGCAGACAGTTTTAAATTAATCAGCATGAATAGCCCCTAGCAAAAAAGGACAAGAGGACAAACAAGTTGCACGTGTGTATTTTTATCTCCAAGAGTCTTTGACAAAGCACCAAGAAAAGAAAAAGGTCTTCTAGAAGCACAGCGGCTTACTTAATAGGGCTCGAGTGCAAATATATAGGGACACTGGATTATTGGGGTCAAGAAAGATGACAAATGAGTACTACAATGTGTACAAATATGCTATGACTTTTTTTTTTTTTTTGAGACAGAGTCTTGCTCTGTTGTATCTTGGAGGCTGGTGTGCAGTGGTGCGATCTCAGCTCACTGCAACCTCTGCCTCCCAGGCTCAAGCAATTCTGCCTCAGCCTCCTGAGTAGCTGGGATTACACGTGCACGCCACTACGCTCTGCTAATTTTTGTATTTTTAGTAGAGACGGGGTTTCGCCATACTGGCCAGGCTGGTCTCGAACTCCTGACCTCGTTATCCGCCTGCCTCAGCCTCCCAAAGTGCTGGGATTACAGACATGAGCCACTGTGCCCTGCCTGACATCTTTATTTTGTCTCATTCCTACTCTAAAATCAAAACATTCTTTAAAAAGCCAGAAAAGCACACCAAATTATGATTTTTTTAATTTTTACTTAGTTGGCCTTTTTTTTTTTTTTTTAAGAGATGGCTTTTGCTATGTTGCCCAGGCTGGACTCGAACTTCTGGGCTCGAAGGATTCTCCCACCTCAGCCTCATGAATAGCTGGGACTATACGCACTGCCATCTCTCTTGGGTGTTTTTATTTTATTTCTTCATTTATTGTATCCCATCAGCCCAACAAGCCAACTTCTCTCACATAGGAATGGGGGCCTGGGTACAAATTTCTTATCCAGGCAAGAGGGGATGAAAGGAGATCCTCCTTCTTGCCCTTCTGATGGTTGGGACAGAGTCCCTTTTATGCGCGTGGGAGGTGTTTTGGTCTGGATAGACACTGGGTATAGATTGACCTAGAATAAATGTTCTCACATAAATTCATACCAATTGCACAACAGTATGGTTTAGAAATCTTGAAAGCGTATTTTAAAGCCCCAAAATTACCTAAGAGGAATTGAAAGGCTTCAAGCTCCTAATACTCAGCATATGAGTGAGGAAATGATAGGACAAACCTGCAAAAGAAACTGTACTTCTGCAAAGGGGGCAGCCAGAAGGAAACGGATCCCCTACTTCCAGAGAAAGAAAAGCTGACTGATTTTCGTCTTCCTTTGCTCCCACAGAGCCTCACTCTATGGATTTTCCCAGACTGATTCCTTATGTGGCATCTTGGCTATAATCAGTCTTGAGACAGGTCTGTATTGCAGTCTTTGGCTAGGGGTTATATTTTCCCTGGGAATGTTCTAGATACTCTTTCAAATGAAAGAGTGAAACCATTCCTGCGTTCAGATTCCATGTTTATTAGATTCCATTTTAAAGCATAAGGGCAAGTATTCCCAGGAAGTATGTGACATTGACTACTCGTCTTTGGGCAATGCTGAGGTGGGGGAGGGAACACCAGCCTGAGGCAGGAGTAACTGGATTTGAATCCTAGATCTATGCCTGAGACCTTCCAACAACCTTACAAACATATGCACAGTGGACTTTTCACTTTCCAAGATGTTTTCTACTTGTAAGAGCCAATGGATGACCCTTTTGGCAGCTTTACCTGGTTGGATTCTACAAGTAGCGTGGCACCAGGAAGAGAAAAAAAACAAGATGCAGGGAATGGAGATTGTATCAAGAGTCTGAATGGCCTGTGTTTTCTTTCCGTCTTCATTCCCCAGGCCACCAAACAAAAAGCTTTTGATTGCCAGTTTTCGCCACCTGCTGGTTGTTTCACAGCGTTACTCTCTTCATCCATCCAAGAAAGTTCTTTCATCCATCATCAATATAAATATTCTCCAAGTTTATGAAATTCAAAAGGTACATTATTCTAACATGAACATACTAATGTTTAATATAGGTATGTATCGGCCAGGTGTGGTTGCTCATGCCTGTAATCTCAGCACTTTGGGAGGCTGCGGTGGGTGTATTGCTTGAGGCCAAGAGTTTGAGACCAGCCTGCACAACATGACAAAACTCTATCTCCACAAAAAATACAAAAATTAGCGGGGCATGGTGGTGTGTGCCTGTAGTCCCATCTACTCTGAAGGCTGAGATAGGACGATCACTTGAGCCCAGGAGGTGGAGGCTGTAGTGAGCTGTGATCACACCACTGCACTGCAGCCTGGGTGACAGACTGATACCCTGTCTCAAAAAAAAAAAGAAAAGAAAAGAAAAAAAAAATCATGTGTGTGTATCAAATCTTCCCAGCTAGTAAACTTTTTATTGAAAATGTGGGTAGAATGAGACTATTAACTGAGGATATTGATAACTAATAGGTCAGATGGAAGAGTAAACCATGGCCCCAACCTGAAATGGAAATTAATCCATAAATAAAATGAGCTGACTAGAGAGAATAAAAACAAGTAGTCCATATAGTTTGCATAAAAGAAAAATGAGGCCGAGCGCAGTGGCTCACGGCTGTAATCCCAGCACTTTGGGAGGCAGAGGTGGGCAGATCACCTGAGGTCAGGAATTCAAGACCAGGCTGACCAATATGGTGGAACCCCGTCTCTACTAAAAATACAAAAATTAGCCAGGCGTGGTGGCGGGGACCTGTAGTCCCAGCTACTCAGGAGGCTGAAACAGGAGAATTGCTTGAACCCGGGAGGCAGAGATTGCAGTGAGCCAAGATCATGCCACTGCACTCCAGCATGGGTGAGAGAGTGAGACTCCATCTCAAAAAAAAGAAAGAAAGAAAGAAAGAAAGAAAACTGCTTAAAAAATAACTTCTCAGCCGGGTGCAGTGGCTCATGCCTGTAATCCCAGCACTTTGGGAGGCCGAGGTGGATGGATCACGAGGTCAGGAGATCGAGACCATCCTGGCCAACATGGTGAAACCCTGTCTTTACTAAAACTACAAAAATTAGCTGGGCATGGTGGCAAGTGCCTGTAATCCCAGCTACTCGAGAGGCTAGGCAGGAGAATCACTTGAACCAGGAAGTCAGAGGTTGCAGGGAGCCAAGATCGCGCCACTGCACTCCAGCCTGGAAACAGAGCAAGACTCTGTCTCACAAAAATAATAATAATAATAATAATAATAATAATAATAATAACTTCTCATAGGCTTAGATTAGCAATCCAAAATGCCAGTTTCCAATTTCAAGAATCTTATACATTATAAATTTGTGTGGTAGGTAGTGCCATGCTCTTTCAAATGGTTTGCATACATTGCCAGCAAGCATTATATAAGCCCCAGTCATGCTTTTTTTTTTTCCCAATCACTTTTGCTTCAGAGCCTGTCTTCTGCCTTAAGTGATCACATCCAAGTCATCCACTCTGTGCCTGAAAGTCATTCTTGTCATAACCAGGAAACTCTCTTGGTTTCTAAGTTAAGCCTTGGTTTAACTTAGAAATCCACCTAACTTAACTCACCTAACTTAAGTGGAACCTAAACCTAAAAACAAGACAAAAAAAATCGGAATAATTAAGCAATAATATTTGAAGCTAGGCAATGAGCTACAAATAAATCATTCTGCTGTACAAGTTTAATAGTGGGCAAATAATATTTACTTTTGGTTTACAATGGAAAGCATAGCAAATTAACTTGTGATTTTTTTTTCCATTTCTAATCAATAACTTGGTGTTTAAAGTGAAATAAGCTAAGGGTAGGAACTTGTCCATTTTTCAGATGCCTACTGCTCTCGTTGGACTGAAACTGCAGTGATAGAACCAAACAAGGTATAATACCATAGTACCGGGAGGGCTGGGTGAATAATTTACATTCTTACGTGTAATAACTAACTTTTATTCTCTTATGCTATTTAGCACACAGCACGTCTCCAAGGTATTAATTGATAGTGAACACAATTCTAAACTTTAAGGTTAATATGTTTCCTAGAACTGCCATGACAAAATACCACAAATTAGGTAGCGTAAAACAACAGAAATTTATTCTCTCACAGCTCTGTGGGCTGGAAGTCAAAAAGCAAGGCGAAAGCAGGCCCACGCTTTCTCTGAAGCTCGGGTACAGTCTGTTCTTGCCTCTCCCTAGCTTCTGGTGGTGGCCGGCAATCCTTAATGTTCCTTGCCTTGCAGCCTAATCACTCCAGTCTCTGCTTCCGCCATGACCTGTGGGGTTCTGTTTTCTCCCATTCTTCTGAGGTCTCCAGTCATAATACTGGATTCAGGCCCATCACAGTCACCTCATCTTAACTTGATCGCATCTGTACAGACCTTATTTCCAAATAAGGTCATATTCACAGGTGCTGGGGACTGAATTTAAATATGTTTTGGGGTGACACAATTCAATCCATCACAATATGTATCTAATATGACATTTTTAAAACTAATGAGGATCATTGACCCCAAGGCCTAAAGACTCAGCAATATTAGAACTGAGTTTCAAGGGCTACCGTGACCTCTCTAAAGCTAAAATCTGGCTATTTCATATTTCCACTCAAAGTTCTTGAAAACCTAAAAATCTTAACTCTTCACATGGCATGATCTGGCCCAATCCTTTGCCACCCCCCTCCCTACCCCTCATCTCTTCCTTTTCCCTTCTTGCAACTATATCCACTTTTTGTGGTTTCTGGAATATGCCAAGGTCTCTCACGTCTTTCGCTTTTGCACATCTGCCGGTCTCCCTGAATGGTACCCAGCTTTTTCACCTGACAAATTCATTTCTTTAGTTTTGGCTGAAGAATTTCTTCCTCTGTAAAGCCATCCCTGCTGTTTCTGGGCCGTCTTAACATTCCTTCTGTGCTGCTAGAAGACATTTAGTACGGGGCTAGATGCCTAAAAATCAGAATCAAGATTCTCATCCTGGCTTCACCATTGAGTAGCTGTGACCTTGAGCCAAGTATTTAAGCTTTCAGTGCCTGTTCCCTCATTTATAACATGGAAATATAAGTAGTACTATTCTTGGGGTTAGCTTGTGATTTCATTGAGTTAATACATGTAAAGCACTCACAAGTGACTGGTACCTGTTTTCAGTGTTGGTTATGGTATCTTAATCACCGCTATTCTCAGATCAGTGTAATCTCTGGCATATATCCTTCTCACTAGATTATAAACTATTCGAGGGCAGGGATCCTATTTTTCCTTGGAGTCTTTCCAGCTTAGAACAGTGCTTAGCATACAAAGATTTGAAGCCTAAAATTCAGAGGCTCCAAGCCAAAGAAGAAAATGGGGAATGGTTCCTCTTTGTCTAAGAGACTTGTAAGGATATAGCAGAGCCATCTGAGGGATGAAGGATGGGAGAAGGTGAAGAAACAAGAAAAGTAATTGCCATGAGGAAGGAACAAGTTGTTGATATATAATTGTATCCCCAGCACCTGATACCAAGCTCATCATTAGTACCCAACAAATATATGATGGATGAGGCAAAATGGAGGTTATAAAATCAGGAGTGTAACAGAAATCAAAACATAATTTGGGGTTGGGCGTGGTGGCTCACGCCTGTAATCCCAGCACTTTGAGAGGCCAAGGCGGGCAGATCACCAGGTCAGGAGTTCAAGACCAGCCTGGCCAACATGGTGAAACCCCGTCTCTACTAAAAATACAAAAATTAGCTGGGCGTGGGGGCGCGTGCCTGTAATCCCAGCTACTCAGGAGGCTGAGGCAGGACAATTGCTTGAACCAGGGAGTCGGAGGTTGCAGTGAGCCAAGATCATGCCACTACGCTCCAGCCTGGCGACAGGGCAAGACTCCATCACAAACAAACAAACAAACAAAACACATAATTTTGTCCTTTAAATATCCAAACAAAAATTACAGATATAATATCACATGCCATTTATGTATATAAATTGCTCACATGTAAAGAAAGATTAAGCTTGCAAACCACGATGTCCAAGAAATCTCTTCTCAATGTTCCAAAACCTTTCTGTTTACGAACTGATAAATATCGAGGCATGTTCTTTTCCATATCAGTCTTGTATAATTTGCTGCCCATCAGGATCTGGGAGATATTACATGGTTGGAATATCAGGTTTTCGTTTAAAGTATGAGAAATATATTTGTATAGAAAACGTACTTGTTTAAGAAATTTTGCTAAATTCACATTTCTTAAACTTTTACTCGTATATCCCACATCATAGTGATACGAACAGAACCTACTTGACACAAGAGCTCAGAATACCAAGTATTTACTCCACAAATATTACTTCCTAAAAAATGATAAAAATCAGGCCTGGTGAAATGCTTAGGATGCAAAGTCAGGATAACATTATAGAAAACATTTATGTTTTGCCCAAATGGTCTCTTAAAAAACACAAACTTCTAGATAAATAAGTTTGCAAATCTGTAAGTCTTGTTCCCCATTTATTTTTTTGTTGTGATTCAGAAATACAAGGTATGAAAATTAGATTACAATTCTGCCACAAAAGCTTCTAAAGTAGCAAACACAACTTTGTGTATCAAAATAGCCATGTGCGCTTTTATCAGTTAAAAAGTCTTTAGAGTTATCACATCAAGCAAGTGTAAAATATAATAGCTACTATCTCCCCTTCAAAATTGCAAATCCACAGTTACTGCACTGAAGTATAATCCGAAGAGCAAGATTTAGTCCAGAATATGGAAGGTTCTGGTTGGCAGGTACTTTTTAAAGCTGACTTACTAAGAACTAAAAGAAATGAGAAATATACAAAGCATCTTATGTCAAAGAGTATGAATATTTAAAAGTGGCCTCAAGTGAGTAATACATGTTTAAATTAGAACCTGATGTAATTAAATGTTTATGTAATTTAGCAAAAATATATATATAATTGCTTTCTTCTAGAAAGATAAAGACATAAAATTCTTTGAACCAAAGCAATATTACCAAATGTTTTCATCACCTAAATACTAGAAACAATCTCTCAAAATTTCACTTGCAATGATCAATAATATATGGTTTAACAGATCCAGATAAAGATTTTTTTTCTTTTTTTTTTTTTTTGAGACAGAGTCTCGCACTGTCACCTAGGCTGGAGTGCAGTGGCGCAATCTTGGCTCACTGCAACCTCTGCCTCCTGGGTTCAAGCGATTCTCCTGCCTCAGCCTCCTGAGTAGCTGGCGCCCGCCACACACAGGCGCCTGCCACCGTGTCCAGCTAATTTTTTGTATTTTCAGTAGAGACGGGGTTTCACCATGTTGGCCAGGCTGGTCTCGAACTCCTGACCTCGTGATTCGCCTGTCTCAGCCTCCCAAAGTGCTGGGATTACTGGCGTGAGCCACCACGCCCGGCCCAGAGAAAGATTTATAACTAAATATATAGAAAAGAATAATTCCCATGATTTTGTTTTTGTAAAAAGAAGTAAGGATTGTTTTCTATATATTTTTCAATTATGAAGTCCTTGAACATATTTGGGGATTTTTATGGCTCAATGTTAATTTTTTAATATACTTGCAAATACATTATAATAAAATAATACAACCAAATCAAAAAGCAGCCACTTAAAAACTGAAATTCACAAAATGAGCTGTTCTTGGCTACATACAGAAGGCCAACATTTAAACTGAATGATAATTAAACGTTTACTACCATAGGTAATATTTACGCACTTCTGGGTCCAATAGAAGGTGTTGAATCAATGTGATCCTTTAAAAACAAAGTCATTAGTTTCCGTAACAATCACACTCAGGGTTGGTTCTTTTTTTCTTCCCCCAGCAGAAAAACAAGTTGTTCAAGCATTGAACCAAAAAATATAAAAAATAGAATTTGCCTTGTAATATTTTCATGTTTTGGATGAAGTCAGCCCATTATGTGAGGCTGCTTAAATGCCTACAACCCCTTATCCAAAACCCGCTGGGCTGGATGTGTTTCAGAATTCATAATCTTTGGGGTTTTAAAAAGGCAATATGGGCATATTTTGAATATTACAAAACACCTCCACAGCATCTAAGGGAAAACCTATAATCAAATCCATGGATATTTCTTCAGGGAAAATTAAGTCACAATGAAGTAGCATAAATATAAAGTACAATACTCTCACATCAGTTCAAGTCAGATTTTGCTGCCAAATGAATTACGGTATCAAATTTAGAAAAACACAAACCAACTTAGATTTCGAAGTTTCTTTGCTAAGGGACTGTAGCCCTTTAACATCTCTGACAAGGAAATTTCTTCTCTGACATGATGGTCTCTGCAAATCTGCTCTCATATTTCAGTGGAAATTGGGATAGGGACAATTGTCTTCTACCGCAAAACAGGGGCTCTCAACAGGTGCTCTTAAATTTATTCGGGTAGTAGATTACCATCTCACTGGAGGCAACAGGTTCTATGAGGATAATTTGAAAAAATATATTGAAATAACTATTTAATGTTATTAAATCAGACACTTTCTTGGACTAGATTCTAATATAGATCAGCAGTAGAAGGTGCCAACATTCGAGGAACATTTATGAGAAAAGAATAAAACTGAGAAACATCCAGACATTAATGCAATTGTTTTCTGCAAATTATAAAAAGCTATGATTCCATTTTAGCAGCTGCACAACGCAACTCGATATAATCTGCAAACTTTGGCTCTGTAAGACTGAAAGATTTATGAAACCATTCTGGCATCAACCCATCCTTACAAGCTGCAATGAAATCATTCCAAGCAATTTATATATTAAATAATAATTTCTTCTGTATCTATCAGTGTTTAAAATATGCTATTCTCAGATCTTAATAAAAACATGGGTTAAAGCCATAAAACATCTTATTTTTTAAAAAGTTAAGTCATTTAAAGTCAAGAGCTTCAAAAACTCAAGAGCAAAAAAAAGGTATGCTATAATTTTTAGGTCTTCAATTTTTGTATAGAGTTTTTATGTTTTTTAAGTTTTATTTTACAATTTAAGAAAGTTTCCTCTTCAAAAACAGAGGTCTTTTCTCACCGAAGTGATCTGGAATGTGCTACCGTATATGCAAGGAAGACAGGTTACAAGATCAAGGTGAAGGCAGCTCTCCTCAAGTCAGAGGAGTGTGAACAATGAGCAGGATGCAACGGGGAATGTTGGCTAAAACTCATCAGAGGCACTTGCTGTCAAAATCCACTAATGAACACAGATCCTATAACCTGGAAACAACATTCAGGGGCCAAGAGGGTTTCCAGGGCTACAGAGTTAGATGAGTGGGCTTCCTTAGCATGTGGTATAAAAATAATGTCTGCAGGTTCAGTGGGAGAGTCACATAAAGAACAGGTGATCATTTTATTTCAAAAGCAACTCTCTTCAAAATCAGCCTTGTCTTTTTTTCTTAATGAGCAAACTTTATACCATCATCAGCCTTTCCTAAAAGCTACATATATGCTCCGAGAAAAAGTCACACTTTTTAATTTTTTCATTTGCTTTAATTAATTCATGAGTTAAGTTAAAAAGTCAAGTCGAAAATTTTAGCTGGTCTTTTTTTTCCTTTTTTTTTTTTTTTACAAAAATATTACAGCAGTATAAGCAAAATTGGAAAGGAAGAGATGGGAAAAACAAGTAGATGCTAAAATGGGATAGGTGAACTTCAGGTCATCATGGTTATTGAAGGAACTGTAAATTCTTAAGCTTCTAGATTTTACCGCTCTTCAGAAAACATTTAAGGAGGCTGCCTTTCCCCATGAATGAGAAATGAAACGTTCCCTAAGCATTTGAGTCTAAAGACAAGAAAGCATTGCTTTTCCTACTGGAAAATATCTCTTTACTTCCCATTGCACTGCCCTCTCCCGTCCCCCTCGTAGCTTTATGGGATCAAAGAGAGAGAGAAGCCATGAGTTTCCACCAGCAGCAGAGTGAGTCCTGAGCACAACACAGGGCTGTCAGTGACATTCAGACTCACTGGCAATGGGTCCAACTCATCTTGAATAAAATACACAAAGAAAGAAAGAGAGAGAGAGAGAGAGACAGAGAGACAGAGAGACAGAGAGACAGAGAGACAGAGAGACAGAGAGAGAGAGAGAGAGAACCCGAGAAACCGAAAATTGTTTTTTTATGGAAGGTTTAAACAAAGTCCTCAAGATTTCTTTATGTGCCAGAAAGTACATTTCTGGACTTAATCTCTAGGGGGGCAAAAAAGAATAAATAGAAACAAATTTAATGATCATTCTGGAATCCTGTTCTTTACTTTGTTCACACGCTATTAATTCTCATACCTTCACCTCTCTACCACAAAGCCTAGAAAATCAAATGGTCTCCTATTCCATATTTGCATAGTATTAATAATACTGTCAGGAGGTGAACTTCTAGCCCCTTGCTTGCAGCCACATTCCTGAAGAGCACTGGTCCAATCTGACGTATTCGAAAACAATACATAAGTGTCTATAGGCCAAAAATTGGGTCCCATTTAGCAGCAAGCTGTTCAAATTATTTGGAAACAGTCTTCTTCCAAGGGGTAAGAAGATTAGGCAGTTTTGTCTGCATTTTCAGATTTTTCTCTCTGCATCATGCAGCGACGAACTATGCTGTCAAAACTTCCAAGGTAAAACAAAGCAATAGTGCGGAAAAGGCCCATGGTGACCACCTGCAAGATAAAGAGAGAGCTTTTAGTGCATCCAACGGTACAAGACTATTTCAAGGTACCTAGGTCTCTAACAAACAGTTTCTAAGACAAATCTTCTAGTCTGCTCTAAGGATGAATATAATGAAAACTCTGTAAATGTCAGTAAGCTGTGAGAACAGAATGTGTGTGCTCTGCACCGCTGGACAGCCCAGATACATAACAAAATATTTGTCCAATTAATAAATTCAAACCATAAGCAGAATAAAATATATATTGCTTGCAGTCTTAGGGTTATAATAGCTTTAAAAAGACCCACTGCAGCATCTCAAATAGCCAAACTACAATCAAGGCTTTTTTGGTTTGCAATTTATGTTCTGAGCATGAAAGCGAGACCCTATACTAGGTGCTGTGAACACTGTGGTGAGAGACACAGTCCCTGCCCTCAATGAGCTTATTCTCAGGCTGGAAAGACAAGTAAAATTGAAACTACTGCCTCAGGGTTGAGACCCGTGATTACTGATATCCTGTTGCTCAGGATGGAGTGCAGTGGCATGAACGCGGCTCACTATAGCTTTGACCTCCCAAACTCAAAGGATTCTCCTGCCTCATCCTCCCAAGCAGCTGGGACCATAGGCATGAGTCCCCGTGCATAAGAGAATGGAAAAATCAGGCCGGGCGCGGTGGCTCACGCCTGTAATCCCAGCACTTTGGGAGGCCGAGGCGGGTGGATCACGAGGTCAGGAGATTGAGACCATCCTGGCTAACACGGTGAAACCCCATCTCTACTAAAAATACAAAAAAATTATCCGCGTGTGGCGGTGTGCGCCTGTAGTCCAAGCTGCTGGGGAGGCTGAGGCAGGAGAATGGTGTGAACCCAGGAGGCAGAGCGTGCAGTGAGCTGAGATCGTGCCACTGCACTTCAGCCTGGGTGACAGAGCAAGACTCCGTCTCAAAAAAAAAAAAAAAAAAAAAAGAGAATAGAAAAATCCCTTTGTTTTTTTCCCTACACCCTCAGAGCACTGAAGCCAGTCCTTGGATCTTCCGGAAAAAACAATATTTAAGGTGAGACCTGAAGGATTAGAAGTTGGCAGGACACAGAGAAGATTCCAAAAAGAAGAAGATGGGTAAAGAAAGAAAGAAAAAAAAGAGCCTGGAAAGGTACGTGGGGTAGGAGATCAGGTGGTTTATGGCATGCGATGGAAATTTTTTTAATTTTTAAATCCTTTTTAGAGACAGGGTCTTGCTCTGTCACCCAGGCTGGAGTGCAGGAGTATGATCACAGCTCACTGTAGCTTCAGACTTCTGGACTCAAGCAGAAGTCTCCCAGTTGCTAGGAATACAGGTACACACCACCACGCCTGGCTTTCTTTTCTTTTACATTTTTTTGTAGAGACAGGGTCTCACTATGTTGCCCAGGCTGATCTCAAACTCCTGAGCTCAAGCGATCCTCCTGACTTGGCCTCCCAAAGTGCTGAGATTATAGGCATGAGCCACCATACTCAGGTGCAATGGAATTTTTAAAGCTTTATCCTGATGGTATCAAGGAGTCATTGAATGTTTTCATGCAATGTATAGTTGCAGTTTAGAAACAACTGGTGTGGAAAATGTGAGGGTACACTCAAACGCATCCAGGGGGCCTGAGCAGGGGGTTGCAGACCATAGTGGTTGCAGGGACTGTGCTCCTCCCTCAGGAGCAGCTGCCACCTGTGCTTGCTGATGACTGCCAGGTAAGAATGCAGACTCTGTGCAGCTAAACCTTCTGATTTTCCAAGAAAAGTCTGAAATCTGGACCTTTTATATAAAACCTAATTTTAAAACTATTTTAAAATCTTAAACACACACACTCACACCAGATGGACCCAACAAAACTGCTTTACAGGCCCATGGGAATCGTTTACAACCTCTGGCTCAAAAAGTGTGTAACTCAAGCAGGGGGCCTGCTGCGGCAACCCAGGCCTGGGCTCCAGAAGCACTGCCAGAATTGCAGAGAATGGAAGAATGTGAAGAACTGAGTGACAAGGATGACAATGATCTCTGACGTGAGGGACAGAAGCAGGGGAGTCCAGGACAACACGCCAGGTGTGAGCCACCATGCCAGCCCAAAAATTAAAACATAAAAGAATTCATGCATTTGTTCAGCTCAGGGATTCTGGAGTTCCTACTAAGTGCCAGGCGCTGGCTGTTAGGGGTACAACGGCAAACAAGAGGTGTGGGCCTGGTCCTCAAAGAGCTTACATCTAACACAGTGTCAACCTCTAAGAGAATGGCAAAGACAGTAGGTACATTACAGAATGAAAAGAAAAGAGGGCTTGGGAAAGACCCTGAAGAAAACCAACAACTAAGTCATTTATATAAGTCTGAATGTGGTTGACTGCACAGAATTTAGTACTTGTTAACAACTATCCCATGGCTTTGTCTTTCCAGAGCATTCCCTCTATTGTAACCCCTACTTCATTACACTGCACTACTATCTTTTTTTTTTTTTTTGAGACAGAGTTTTGCCCTTGTAGCCTAGGCTGGAGTGCAGTGGCTTGATCTCGGCTCACTGCAACCTCCACCTCCCGGGTTCAAGTAATTCTCCTACCTCAACCTCCCGAGTAGCTGGGATTACAGGCGTCCGCCACCATGCCCAGCTAATTTTTGTGTTTTTAGTAGAAACAGTTTCACCATCTTGGCCAGGCTGGTCTCAAACTCCTGATCTCAAGTGATCTACCCACCTCAGCCTCTCAAAGTGCTGGGATTACAGGCGTGAGCCACCGCGCCCGGACTACTATCACCTTTTTGGTCAGTGCATTCCACTTGACTGTATGCCCCTGAAGCTGGAGAGGTCGCCTTCCATCTGATTCCCCATGAGCAAGTACAGTGCCTAGCACACCAATGAAACACTGTGTATCTTGGACAAAATAATACATTCTATAAGCGAAGCAACTGTTTAATCCATGATTCGTGTCTCACTAAATTTAGCTGTGTGTGACCTGATTCACCTAGAAAAGGTTTTCTAGTCTAATATCCCAGTACTTTTTAAGCAAGGCTACCCCTTACTCTAGAGGAGTATTCCATTTTCAAAACACATTGGAGCAGTGGTTCTTAGGTGAAAATCCAGGTTAACACCTCAACAGCAGATACGGTGTTTTATTTCTCTATCTGCAAGGCCCGGCACTGAAGACTTCTTGCCATTCTAAATTCCTGAAGTTATATCTTTAACCTATTTACTCATTCCTGGTGGAGGAAGAGGAAAAGTTGATAGCTCCATAAAAATACATTGTCAAATAAAGTTACTTAGTTTTCCCTTAACCTCTTCTCATCAAGGTTTGATGAAAGGCAGTTTTTCTCTTGTCCATCGGCCTGTCTGATTGCTAGCCTAGGCAGAGCTTACCTGCTGGAGCCCCTCAGTAATAGAAGTTACTGGAGCCATCCCACAGGTCAGGGCCGAGAGCATGTACCCATCTGAGCCAAGGGAACTGTTGAAATTTCCTTGCTAAAAGAGAAGAAAAAGAAGAGAAAGAGGGAATCCTAGTAATGTGGACAGAAATCAGTCGGACACATCAGAAACAGTGGAGTGTGCTCGTTCACTTTAAGTGAGATAAAATGGTCACAAAGCATTGATCAGCACTCAGAAATGGACGCACGGCCTTGGCAGATGGCAGTTCTCAACAAGTGAGTCCACGGACCCCTGCGGGCCCCCAAGGACAAATGATTGTCCTAATAACACTAAGACATTCATTGTCTTTTCCACAGTGTGTTGTATGGAAAATACAGTTTTGCCTCTGCAAAACTGCAGAGACATGGGCAAGAACCACGGGGTTCTTGCCAAACTGTACTAGGAGTCATTGTCACCTCTACTACCACACGCACTCGCAGTAATAAATAATACACAAAGAAAATACAAGTTCTAAAATTCTTTTAAAAATCAAAGTGTCAGTTTTGCTTTAAAATCCTCTTGATAAAGCAGGAAAATTCATCATTTTGTTCAATGGCAACCCTCGAGGACATGTCTTCTTAATACTCTGTGTGACAAATGAGAATGCGCCCAACGCGCTTCCGCAGCACTGCATTCCAGGGCGGGACAACTGCCTGGAACAAAAGTCCTTGTGCAGCTCCTGAAGTCAAGGGCTAAACTGCCACTTCTTTCATGGAGCATCATTTGTATTGTTTATTTATTTATTTTCGACAGAATCTCACTCTGTGGCCCAGGCTGGAATGCAGTGGTGTGATCTCTGCTCACTGCAACCTCTGCCTCCCAGGTTCAAGTGATTCTCCTGCCTCAGACTCCCAAGTAGCTGGGATTACAGGCATGCACCACCACACCCGGGTAATTTTTGTATTTTTAGTAGAGATGGGGTTTCACCATGTTGGCCAGGCTGGTCTCAAACCCCTGAGCTCAAGCAATCCAGCCGCCTCGGCCTCCAAAAGTGCTGGGATTACAGGCATGAGCCACCGTGCCTGGCTGGAGAGCATAATTTTTATATGAAAGACCATTGACAGGAAATCTATAGTAATTCAGACTTAGGTATGTGGCAGATGTGCAGAAAGCGAAGCAAGCAAGTGTGTCACTTCAGGAAAAACAACTGGCCACGTGTCATCAATGTGAAATCTGAGCCTTCAAGAAAAAATTAAGATTTGGAAAAACTAGTATCCACCATCACGAGACTGTCAGCTGCATACTTTTATGATAAGATCAGCAGTAATACTGATGAAAGCGATTTTTCTGATCACTCAGTCAACCCATATTTTCCAAATGACTAATGCATAATGTTACGAAATCATGAATGGTTAAAAGATCCATTCAAAGTACAAGACGGACCAATGGAATTTAATGTAACAGAGAACAAAACATTCATTGATGTAGTTTCCAATTCTATACTGCAACTAACCTTTAAGAAACTACCATTTGTTGAGTTTGGGTTTGATATCAAAAAAGAATGTCCATAATTATCTGAAAAGCCTAGTAAAATAGTCTTCCCTTTCCCAACTCCGTATCTGTCTCAGGCCAGATTTTCTGTATATCCTTCCATCAAAACAACATTATTACAACAGATGGAATGCAGAAGCAGCTATTTGAATCCAGCTGTTAATGCAGACCTTAAAGCAACTGGTGAAAATGTGAACCAATGCCACCGTCCTCACTGAACTTTTGTTTTGAAAAGTAGTAAATTTTGTTTAAAAAAAGTCACTTTATATATATGTGACTTTATATATATATATATGTGACTTTATATATATATATATGTGAATATATATATATATATATATATATGGAGTTTTGCTCTTGTTGCCCAGGCTGGAGCACAATGGCTCAATCTCAGCTCACTGCAGTCTCCACCTCCTGGGTTCAAGCGATTCTCCTGTCTCAGCCTCCCAAGTAGCTGGGATTACAGGCGCATGTCACCACACCCGACTAATTTTTGTATTTTTAGTAGAGACGGGGTTTCATCATATTGGTCAGGCTGGTATTGAACTCCTGACTTCAGGTGATCCGCCCGCCTTGGCCTCCCAAAGTGTTGGGATTACAGGCACGAGTCACTGTGCCCAGCCATTTTTGTTATTTTTAATGAATCAATAAATATTACAAACAGCTTCCATTTCAAATATGGCAAATATCAATAAATATAGCCATGTAAATAAACAAAAGTTCTCTGGGGTTGTTGACAATTTGTAAGAATGTAAAGTGGTCAAGAGAAGAAAAGTTTGAAAACCACTAAACTAAATGAATACTGCCAAAATACTAAGAGCTATTTAGCATCATTAGAAACACTGAATGGGCTGGGCACGGAGCTCACGCCTGTAATCCCAGCACTTTGGCCAAGAGGCTGAGGCGTGCGGATTACCCGAAATCAGGAGTTCGAGACCAGCCTGGCCAACATGGTGAAGCCCCATTTCTACTACAAATACAAAAAATTAGCCAGGTGTGGTTGTGAGCACCTGTAATCCCAGCTACTCAGAAGGCCGAGGCAGGAGAATCACTTAAACCCAGGAGGCAGAGGTTGCAGTGAGCCAAGATCGTGCCACTGCACTCCAGCCTGGGCAACAAGAGCAAAACTCCGTCTCAAAACAAACAAACAAACAAAACAACAACAACAACAAAAAACACCAAATGCATTTGCTTTGACCCGAGATAAGCAGGAAAAATAAAGTCTCACTTGTGCCATCTTCCTGAGCCTTTTAATGCACTCAGGACAAAGTTCTTCACACATGTATATATTTCAACAGAATTCACTATTCTCATTCTGCTCAGTTCAGTCTAATGTGACAGCATTTAGGCCACTTCAAGGCTGTCCACCATGTGCTGACACCTCTCATTCCAATGGTCCTATAGATTTTCCAAATTCAGTGTGGGTCTGTGGTTTACAGACATCCCTCATAAATGTGCATTTTTCCGCATTAACAGAAATGTTGTCAAAAAGCATGAGGCACATATGTTGTTCTTCTACAAAACAGCACATCATTTCTTAAAATACCATTTTTGATTCTGAATTAAAAAACATATCAACAGGGAAGACAGGAGGACAGGCCCACGGGGCTGGTGGCACTTTCTCGTTAGCTAACTTTTGGGAAAATGATACTGGGAAGCAGGAATGGGAGAGAAAGCAGCCAGGTGTATATGGGACATAGTATATATCGTTTACACTCATAGGAAAGTCTCATTTTCTTTTTAAAGAACCGGTGTTTCCAGACATCCTTCTAGTAAACCTGTTCCTCAGATTAAGGTATACAATCAGTTTTCAGGAGGCTACTCACTAATATGGAGTCAATAAAGCGTCTAAAAGAAGAAAAGTTGAGTCCAATATTAGATATGACAAATCTGACAGACTAAAAAATTCTAATAATTGATGTTTTGAAGTAAGTCCTTGGACAAATATCTTTTCAGAAATATAGTACTACAAACACAAATAGTACAGAAAACAAGGATTTTACTTACTATGGCATCTTTAACAATTTGTTTGGCCACCTGTTCTGGTTTGCACACAGATGTGGTCTCTGAAATAAGTCGAGTCTCCAAAGGCTAAAAGTGGAAAAACATGTACATAACAATATCATGATTGCCCATTACATTAAAAATAAATTATTCTTACAGCCTCCTGATTTACAAATAATTCCAATTTTCTACCTTTGGGCAGATTCCTATTTCTAGAATAAGGTCCATCTGGATTCTAAATCAGTGTCTACCTAGTTACTACGTAAAATTCTACCCAGTAGCTAACACAAGACAAGGAGGCCTTTGCCATTCTCTTAGAACATACGGAGTCTTGGCTCCACTGAGGACCATCAAAGCTAGAGTGAGAACACATCACTGGATACAAGTTCAGAAAGACCCCCTTTGACTCCTCAGTGCTGGCCGGACACCTGAATGATGGTGCTTTTCTGTAGAGGCTAGACCTGTGTCCAGAGCAAGCCTGCTCCCAAGACCAGCAACTCCATTCTGACCATATTCCCAGGTCAGCAGAGGGCTGATCCCTGGGGATGAACCTGGCGCCCAAGGCAGGGACAGTCGCAACCCAGCCCCCATTCAACAACTGCAGATGCTTCTTAAAGGACTTGCTGAGGAGGCAAATGCACAGGACACTGAAACAGAAGGAGCCACTTAGGAGATAACCCTGAGTGGTCCCTAGATGGGCTGCATGCTAGTTACCAGGCTGGAGCTGCAGACCCCAAATCTTAGCCTTTTCTTCCTCAAAAGGTCCATCTCAACTCTTACCTAACTCAAAAAGCCTTCCCTAAATACCTAACTGGCAGTAACCTCTCTCTTTCTTCTGTGAACATTTCTGTTTTAATACACATTATAGCTACTTGTGCATTTGCATTTTACCTCCTAAGTTTCTTGTGGGCAGGGCCTTTTTTGTAAGAAATTATTTATCTTTGGCTTTTCTTTGCGATGTCTTGCATATGTGTGCTCAAAAATTATTTCAGTTAGTTTCAATTAGAAGTGTCAAATAATTTCAAGTAGAAGTGTCAAACAAAAGCCTTAAACTGCATGAGACTGTAAACTTTACCACGTAAGCTTGAAGGAATTAAAGAAAATAAAAACCAGATTATATTTTCTTAAAATAGGAAAGTAAAGTATTTCATAAAGATCAAGTATTTCTTATGAACCTTTCTTAAGAGAAAGGCTGTTTTGAAGGAGCCACGATTCATTCTTCCAGACCCCCAGGCTGGCATAACCACACTAAATACACATAAGATTCTAAAGTACTATGGCGCCCCCTAAAGGGCCCACACATCAATGTAGAATTGTATTTACCCCCAACAAGTCTGCCCAAAATTTTACTGAAAAAACCCCAACTTAATCAACATCAGAATCAAACCTTAACAGGGAAATCACCACCCTTTGTCAGCTCTGGCTTCAAACTAAAAGACTGCATACCGAATGTTGCAAAGCTGCTTAGAAGATCTCTGCTTATTCTAAGACAGGACATTTGGCTTAAATTTACTTCTTTGAAATAGCAGTAATTT
Source organism: Homo sapiens (assembly GCF_000001405.40). NCBI lineage: Eukaryota > Metazoa > Chordata > Mammalia > Primates > Hominidae > Homo > Homo sapiens. The sequence continues at coordinate 63,340,332 of NC_000018.10, forward strand.
TTAAAAAGGCAGAGCCAAAGAGAAAAGAATAGGGGGAAAAAACCTAAATCACAAACATCTTTCTACAAATATACAGTCTAGGGAGTTTAAGTGCCAATTTTTATGCTGCAGAGATTCACATTTACAAAGTATTCGTATAAAAGAGAAAAAAATATATAAAACTAAAATTGGCCACAGTTCAAGGTGGTAAGTTCTGATTAATTCCTTTCTTCCCGCTTCACCTATTCATTTGCTCAAAAAAGCAACTACTATGTGTCAAGGCAAAGGGAATATTCCATTGAAAAAGTGTGAAGCTTATATTCAGCTCAGGATGACTGGCAGTCATTTTATATAAAAGATATGTCTGTTTTAAGTGCTATGAGAAGCTTCTGTTATAAGCTGTGATAAGTGCAATGGAGACTCAAATCATCAGACCCCAAGTCATCTCCTCTACGATGGCAAAAGATTAGCAATTTACTAACCAGATTCTTAATTCTCACCACTAAGAGTAGTTATAAGGCACTTTGTAGAAACAGAAAAATTAAGCAAAAGTTGGCACGTAGGTGGTGAGCTCCCCAGCCCTCCTGCCCTGCTTGCCTCCCACAACACAGACAGCAAGTCTTACTCTCCCAAAGGCAGAAGAAGACATGATTCCTCAGTAGGGAAACTGATCAAACCATGAGAAAAGTGAGCAGATGCTGGCATATGAGAATCTTCTAATGAAGTGGCTGCATCCCCTCCTGATCATCCTATAGTAAACAGCTGAGAAGCTAGAGATTTACAATTGGCATTTTAGTGCATCACTCTTAAATATGGACAATCAAGGATCAACAGACATTTCAGGAAGCCGGAAAAAACAACAACAGAGAAAAAGAAAGTAGGAGGAAATAAATAATACAAGATATAGAAGAAATTTTCAAACAAAACAACAGCAACAAAAAAACAAGGCTAAACATCCAGAGTGAATATCCTTAGACATAAGAGAAAATATGAAATCCATGAAATAAGGCAAGAAGCTATTTTTAAAAACTGTTTTAAATATTCAGAGAAAAGAGATCTAAAGTAATTTTTATGTAACCCAGTAGAAATAAAGATTTCAACAAAAAGGTTTAAGGATAAAGCGAATAAAAACCTAGAAGGGAGAACAAAAGGCCCAAGAGATTAAAAAAAAAAAGAGAGAGAAAATAGAAGGAAATTAGAGGATCAGTCCAGAAAGTTCAAAAATCTGAATAATAAATGCTCCAGAGAGAATGAACACTTGAAATACTTTGGGAAGAAAGAAGTGATAAAAGGAGTAATATAATAAAATGTCCCAGAACAAAAGTTGATAAAATAAAAGGGCTCATATGAAATGAGAAGATTTCATGCCAAAATCCATTAAATAAGGATAAAAAGGGACACAAGGTTTCCAAAAATAAATGGAAAAACAGGTTCTATACAAAAGGTTGGGAATCAAAATAGCACTGGATTCCACAGAAATTCTGGAAGCTGGAAATCAATAAATGCTCACAGAAATCTGAGGAAACATTATTTCCAAACTAGAAATCTGTACTTAACAAAACAATACATAAGAATAAAGAAAAATGGCCAGGCACAGTGGCTTATGCCTGTAATCCCAGCACTTTGGGAGGCCAGAGTGGGCCAGGAGTTGGAGACCAGCCTGGCCAACATGGTGAAACCCCGTCTCTACTAAAAAAAAATACAAAAAATCAGCCGGGCTTGGTGGCACGCACCTGTAATCCCAGCTACTCAGGAGGCTGAGGCACGAGAATCTCTTGAACCCAGGAGGCAGAGGTTGCAGTGAGCCAACATTGCACCACTGCACTCCAGCATGGGTGACAGAGCAAGACTCTATCACAAAAAAAAAAAAAAAAAAGGTTAAAATAAAAATAAAGGCATTTTCAGACATGTTGTTTCTAAAACAATATTACCTCTGATGTGCCCTTTCTCAGAAAATTGGTGGAAAATATTATAGCTCCACCAAAATGAGCAGATAAACCAAAAAAGTGAGAGTCATGGGCTCCGTCAAAGGGAGGGGAGAAGGGAACGTGCAGTGTGAGGTGAAGACAAGTCCTGACACCACCGCTGGGTGGCAGAACTAGAACAGACCAGGAACGGGGACGACCCCAGGAGAAATGTCTGAGGAAAAAAGAATGAATCTAATAGAATGTCCAATGTGCTCACATGGATCAAAAGGAGAATCTCAGTTCTGTTTGAATCTGGGACTGAATTAGTTATAGATAATTACAAAGCTAAGCAAATGAAAAGGCAAGAAAGGAAATGTCACTATAGAATGGTCCAAGTGTGCATAATATTAATATGAGCACTAAACCTGATTTAACTAAAGAGATGGGAGGAGTACACAGGGAATGGGGAACAGATATGAGTCTTAATGTTTTTGTTTTGAAACAAGTCTTACTCTATTGCCCAGGCTGGAGTGCAGTGGCGCAATCTTGGCTCACTGCAGCCTCGACGTCCTAGGCTCAAACTATCTGATATGGTTCGGATCTGTGTCCCCATGCAAATCTCAGGTCCAACTACAATCCCCAATGTTGGAGGAGGGACCTGGTGGGAGGTCACTGGATCATGGGGGTGGATTTCCCTCTTGCTATTCTCGTGATACTGAGTGAGTTCTCACGAGATCTGGTTGTTTAAAAGTGTGTGGCACCTCCCCTCTCTCTCTTCCTCCTGCTCCGACCACGTAAGACGTACCTGCTTTCCCTTTACCTAAGACTGTAAGTTTCCTGAGGCCTCCCCAGAAGCAGCAGACTGTACAGCCTGTGGAACTGTGAGCAAATTAAACCTCTTTTACGTGTAAATTACCCAATCTCAGGCATTTATTTATAGTAATGCAAGAACGGACTAATACACTATCCTTCCACCTTAGCCTCCTGAGTAGCTGGAACAATTCTAATTTTGCTTATTTTTTTGTAGGGAAAGGGTCTTGCTATGTTGCCTAGGCTGGTCTCGAACTCCTGGGCTCAATCAATCCTCCTGCCATGGCCTCCCAAAGTACTGGGATTACAGGTGTGAGACACCATGGCTGGCCTTAAATTTTTATTTTTTTATTTTTAATTTTAATTTTTTTTTTTTTTAGATATTGGTTCTCGCTCTGTCACCCAGGTCGAAATGCAGTACTACAATCATGGCTCACTGCAGCCTCAACCTCCCTGGCTCAAATGATCCTCCCACCTCAGCCTCCTGAGTAGCTGGAACTACAAGCATGTGCCACCATGCCTGGCTAATTTTTAAATTTTTTGTAGAGACAGGGTTTTGTTATGTTGCCCAGGCTGGTCTTGAACTCCTGGCCTCAAGTGATCTTCTTGCCTAGGCCTCCCAAAGTGCTGGGATTACAGGCATGAGCCACACTGTGCCTGGCCTGGTCTTAAATTTTATCTTCCACGGTAGAAAGTCAATAAATAATTTCTAAATCTTAAAAAAAAAAAAAGCAGTATAAACATGTTAGTTAAAATAAATGGCTACCTCTAGGGAGTAGGAATTGGGAATGGGAGAGATGAGGCAAAGGATTGATATTGGACTCTAAAACTGTGTGACATACTTCTTTGATAAAAATGTGCTGGAAATGGCTGGGTACAATGGCTCATGCCTATAATCTCAGCACCTGGGAGGCTGAGGAGGGAGGATCACTTGAGGCCAGGAGTTTGACACCAGCCTGGGCGACATAGTGAGACTCCATCTCTACAAAAAAATTAAAAATTAGCTAGGTGTGGTGGCACATGCCTGTAGGCCCAGCTACTCAGGTGGCTGAGGCAGGAGGATTGCTTGAGCCTGAGAGTTTGAGGATGCAGTTAGCCACGATTGTACCACTGCACTCCAGCCTGGATGGCAGAGTGAGGCCCTGTCTCTATAGAGAAAAAATCTGGTAGAAATTTAAACTTTAAGAAAATAAAGTGAGGGAAAAGAGGAAGGAAAGAAGGAATATTTGCCTGGAGAATCTCAAGGTCATCAGAAACCAGCTAGGCACTCTACCCAACAAACATTGTTGATTGGTGAAAACGAGTGTGAGCTGAAGAGTAGAAAGAAAATCAGAAAAGCAGTAAACATTAGAGGTTCAAATTGGGACATGTAGGATACTGACCTTTGTTCTGTTTTCTTCGGCAAAGCCAGGTGTGTCTGTGTCTGGTGGGTAAGCAACTGTGATGTAGACATTATATGGCTTCACCTGCATTTCAAAACAACACGTGTACCTTCAGTAAACAAGACACACTGAGGTCCTACACTGCCAACCTGCACTGGCTGCCCTGATTCCCAAAAAGCGGTGAGAACAATGGGGTGATTCTGTTAGGCGGGGAACTACACCAATTGCATTGAGAAACCCCTCTCCATGATGATTCCAGAATGTAGGCAAAAAGCTCACCCTAACCTGGACCCCAGAAAACAGCTGGCCCTAAAGTATGGCAAGTCACCTCCTTTGCAGTGTCTTCCACTCCTGCTGCCCAGACAGAGGCCCTGGGAGCCGTCCGACGAGGGCAGTGTTTTAAAAAGAGTCCAGTTCCCACACGCACTGCACAGCATCCAAGCCCTTTATCAAGGCAATGGGACCAGTCTGCCCCTCCTTTCTTCACCAGACTGTACATCTGTTTTTCCTTCAGACTGCTTCTGATACTCTTGTGTTGATTTCATCCACAAAATACATTGGGGTCATTAAAATCTGCTGCCCTATCCCTTTCTTGTGCCCTACTCCAAACCCAGTCCAGAACTGTCCCTGAGAAGTCTGCTTATTCCAGAGCTCCCTGTATAACCGGCCTCTGCACATTAGGAGGTCAAGAGTCACTTCCTCCTCCACTGAACCAACAAGAACCACTGGGTAGAACCTCCAAGTCAGACCAGCCAAGTACCTCCCCTGTGGACAACCTCAACCTGCATTCACATAGGGAAAGCCCTCTGCCTTATCTGAAACTCTATGTGGCTCCTCTAAATCTGACACTTGGAGCAGGTTGTTACACTTGTGTGCCTCACCACCATGCCTGCACACTTCACGCTTCACGACCCCACTCATACACACACCCCCAACAATTCCAGCAGATTCTTCTGCTGTTGGCCAGGACACCCCCTCCCACAGACTGCTCAGCCACAGCCCTGCTGCACATGCTTATCTTGCCCTGCTAATTAGCAACTCTAAGAGCAATGGTTCCTACCATGAAAATCTCTTTGCCATGATTTTTATTTGGTATTGGCTCACTTTTTTGTCCCTAGGAAACACCTAAGGGATCTGGAAGTGGAGAGGCAGCTGATAGATCAGCCACTGCACATCTTCAGAAGGGTACCCTAGGCTAAAAATCAACACCACTGCCTAATGTGACGGCCTTTAAGAGTAGCCCAGGGGCCGGGGGCAGTGGCTCACACCTGTAATCCCAACATTTTGGGAGGCCGAGGGGAGGGGGTGGATCACCTGAGGTCAGGAGTTCGAGACCAGTCTGGCTAACATGGTGAAACCCTGTCTTTAGTAAACATGCAAAAATTAGCTGGGTGTGGTGGCGGGTGCCTATAATCCCAACTACTTGGGAGGCTGAGGCAGGAGAATTGCTTGAGCCCAGGAGGCGGAAGTTGCAGTGAGTTGAGATCGTGCCACTGTACTCCAGCCTGGGTGACAAGAGGGAGACTCCATCCCAAAAAAAAAAACAACAAAAAAACAACAAAAAAATAAAAACAGTAGCCCAGAGTCTCATCTTATGCAGCCCTTTTTCGCCCTGGTTCCTTCAGTGAAGCACAGTTTTGAGGGCTTTAAGGGGAGCTTCAAGGGGAAGGAGAAGCACGCACAGGCCTGCAAGCAGAAGATCCAGGCCAGCCATCCTGGAAAGTGCAGTCGTGAAAGTGAGATGTCTTTGTGGGTTCCATTCCAGCACAATTAGGGTGTGGGACAGCCCATCCACCGGGCATTGCCAGGGCATGCAGCTTCACGGCCCAGCCATGCTCATAAATAGCTCTGGATCGGGGCCAGGTAGTAAGGCAGATGAGCCAGAAACTCGCTTCCACTTGTTTTTGAGATAGTGACTTATAAAAACCTTGTCTCCCCCAGCCTTGCCCTCTGCTGTGCATAGACCAGAGAAAAACACCACAAAAAATCCAACGAGTGGTCATTAGGCAGCCCACATAAAGACTGACATCGACTGCCCAGAAACTCACGTCTGTGCTGCCCCTCTGCCTTCTCTCTCATGGTAAAGAAGGATGCTGGCTCCAAAGCTAATGGAAGACAGGATTTCAGAGCAGTGCTTCTCAAACTCAAGGTTACGGCTGCATTGCCAAAGGTTAAAACAGAGCTTTTCAGAACAGCTTCCTCATGAGGAAGGAACACAGATAGCTGGGGTTGGGAGAAACCAGTCCAGTCGCTTCCTAGATTGGTATTCTCGCTATGCCATCCAACCAAATGACTCTCCCAGTCTCTGGCTGGATACCTCCAGTGGCTAGTCACCTCACCATTTACATATTATTTTATTTATTCATGCAACAACGAGCACTTACTGAATTACTTCTACATGCCAGTATCGTTCTAAGAACAAAGCATAAGGTTAAGATTCTAGTTTCCTGAAACTCTTGGTCAAATAATTTGCTAAAATCTGAATATACTAAACCACATCTACATCTTCTTTTAATCTACCAATCTCATAACCCTGTCATAAAAAAAAATGAGGGTAGGCTGGCTTTACTTGTTCTTATGAGACAATGCTAGCTCCCTGAGATCACCACTCTTTCTAAGAATGGATGAGCCAGGTCCTCACTAACTGAGTCCCCTGCTGCCCGGCCACTGCTTCTCCTCATCCCTGTTGCCTGACCATTCTCTGTGCCCCCGACTCTGCCCCACATCCATCCTACTATTACTTCTTCCCTTCTCCCTGGCCTCAACCTCAAACAGAAAGACAACTGACCACTTGTTCAAGAACCGATTTGTGGGCCGGGTGCAGTGGCTCACATATGTAATCCCAGCACTTTGGGAGGCCGAGGCAGGCAGATCACCTGAGTTCAAGACCAGCCTGGCCAACATGGTGAAACCCCATCTCTACTAAAAATACAAAAATTAGCCGGGCATGGTGGTGGGCACCTGTAATCCCACCCACTTGGGAGGCTGAGCCAGGAGAATCGCTTGAACCAGGGAGGCAGAGGTTTCAGTGAACCGAGATCACACAACTGCACTCCAGCCTGGGCCACAGAGTGAGACTCCATCTCAAAAAAAAAAAAAAAAAAAAAAAAGAACAGATTTGTTATTAAAATAATCCACATAGGATGTGCTGTTCCCTATTCCATCAAAACAAAGACAGGGGATGCTGGAAAGAAGATCACAGCTGTTTACATGAAACTCCAGAATTCAAGCTTTAGCTTACTTTCAGACCACAGAAGGAAGAGATGGGAGGAGAGGGGCATGATCAGGGTAAGAAAAGCAGAAAAGGGAGCATCAGTTTGTTTTTTTTGGGCTTGGTCTCTGCTACCACATCTTTAGCTATAACCCACCTCAGAAGTCTGCTTTCCAAAAGAGTAACTTTTAAAATCTTTACCTTTCTTCCTAAAAGACTGAGTAAAAAAAAAAGACTAAAAAATGCCAACAAAGCATTCTTTTAAAATTACTCATAGTACCCTTAACAATGCCAGGGTCCTACCTTAGTTTGGGGGCAAAGGGAGGTGGACAGGGAGACTTCAAAGTTAATTAAACCAAAGAATTGTCAAAAATATTTACAGGCCAGACACAGTGGCTCACACCTCCTGTAATCCCAGAACTTTGGGAGGCCAAGGCAGGTGGATCACCTGAGTCCAGGAGATCAAGACCAGCCCAGGCAACATAGCGAGCGAGACCCCATGTCTACAAAAAATAAATAAATAAAAAATAAACAAAAAAACGGTGAGGCATGGTAGTACACACTTGTAGTCCCAGCTACTTGGGAGGCTGAGGTGGGAGGACTGCTTGGGCCCAGGAAGTGGAGGCTACAGTGAGCCAAGATCAAACCACTGCACTCCAGCCTCGGCAACAAAGCAAGACTCTGTCTTCAGAAAATAAAAATTAAAAAAAAAAAAAAAAGTATCTGGAGTTTGAGCAATTACATAAGATTTCATTGACAGAAAACACACCTACCTTGACCAAATTATCCAGGTTTCAAAAAAAATGCTACTATAATTACTGTAGGGACACAATAATTGGTTTGATGCAAGTTCTACTACGAACAAACTACATTTTGATGACTGCGTTCGTTTTCCCCAGAACCTATTTTTCATGGGATAAGTTCATTTTATTTTCTTTTTTTTAAGTGAGGGTATTTTTAATAGAGTCCAAATAAGGACAGAAGTCATACAGACTTGAGCGTGCAGGCCGGCTACTCGCAGTATGCAAATCACACTTGTCACAGAGGTTGGGGGGCTCTGTCTGTACCAGCAATCCACTTTCTTTTTCCTCTTTTTTAGCATCTCTGTTCTACTTGAAGTGAAACCAGGCCACCCAGATTATATACTTTGCTCTAAATTAGTGAATGCTGACACAGCTCTGCAAAAAGCCCTAATGGGCAGATTCTTCATCCCGCAACCACCCCTTCACCTACAAGGATTCTAAAACCAAAGTAAAGGGCCGGGGCAACTAGCCAGGTGAAGCAACTAGCTGGATGCATCATCTGCTGCAAAAGGGCAGCAGACCTGGGGTCAAGGCTTGGATCGTGTTGTGATTTCTGTCACTAAGTAACTATGTGACTTTGAGCAACACACTGAATTTACTGAAAACTGGGTTTTCCTCTCATCAGGTGGCATCACAACATCTCCCTCACATACTTTACAAAACTTTATAAAATGGTGGCTGGGTGTGCTGGCTCACACCTGTAATCCCAGCACTTTGGGAGGCTAAAGCCAGAAGATTGTTTGAGCTTAGGCGTTTGAGACCAGCTTTGGCAACACAGTGAGACCCCTTCTCTACAAAAAATTTTAAAAATTAGCCAGGCATGGTAGTGTGCACTTGTGGTCTTAGCTACTTGGGAGGCTGAGACAGGAGGATCACTTGAGCCAAGGAGCTCAGGGCTGCAGTGAGCTATGATTGTGCCACTGCGCTCCAGCCTGGGCAACAAAGAGAGACGCTGTCTCTAAAAAAAAATAATAAAATAAAAATAAATAAAACAGTTATTCACAAAAGGACTTTTCAAAGTTAAAAACTTCAAAAGAAACACCAGTATTCTTGTTTGAAATTTCACAGACATCAGTGTCCTATTGGCTAAGCATATTATCACGATATATTATTAAGAGTATTAGGCCAGTTGATAACAATAAAATCTGTGGCTGGTTCCTATGGTATGAGAATGGCATGATCTATCAGTCCCTACGCGGCACATCAGGACTGTCGCTGTCCCAGCAGCTCATCTGTACTGCAACGCTCGTCCCATATCTCACCAATGTGGTGCTCTATCACACACCATCAAGGTCTCTTATGGGGTCTTCTAAACAGGGGTCAGCAAATTATGGCCTATGAGCCAGATCTGGCCCTCTGCCTGTTTTTTATAAGTAAAGTTTTATTGGAACACAGTGACAATTGTTCATTTACACATTGTCTAGTAAGGCTGCTTTCCTGCTATCATAGCCTACTTAAGTAGCTGTATTAGGCACCATTCAGCCTTTAAAACCTAACATATATACTGTCTGCCCTTTGGTGAAAGTTCTGTCAACCCCTGATCTAAATCATCAACCAGGATTCCCAAAAGCACACTCTTACTATAAGAGGGTTGGCCACAGTGAATACTCTTCTGGGCTCTTAACATTTTAGGCATCCACTGGGGGTCTTAGCTCACATCCCTTGCGGATAAGAGGGGATGACTGTACACAGCAATAGAAAGAACTTTCCCTTGCCTTTTTCAGCATGTGATTTTTGGGTAGATACGTATGTGATGCTCTCTAAGCATTCCTGTGTGACAATAATGTGGAAGTCGGCTTCAAGCAGCTGAGGTGTAAAGTTGCACTCATCATGACAGACGCTATTTTGATGCAAATCCTAACTACATCCTTCTTCCACAAAATGTTCCATTAACTATGTAAATAAAAAGCATTCATTTTCCCAACAATTCTTTAAGATATAAAAATATAAATATTGGGAGAGTCAAATTATTGCTTTATTCCAACCCTCCCATTTTACAGATGAGGAAACTGAGAGCAAGTTAAATGACTTGTCTAAAAGCTAAAAATTAGCAGCTGATTCAAGCTCTTCCCTCAAACATATACTAATTTCACGTATTATTCAGTCATAAGGACAAACTTCTTGTTAAAGAAAAATCTCTATAAAATAAAATATCTGGTTAACCTTACTCACATTCACACAGTATTAGACTAATAACACTATGAAGATATCACTAATATTTTGTGTATTAAGTTAAACAAGCAAAAATCCCATTACCATTTTGCATCTGTCGTTAACTATAGTCTTCATGCAATGAAAAATGTTAACTGCAAAACTCAGGGTTGAGCCAATTCTCTTTCACCAATGTCAAACCTAAAAATCTCTAATTTAATACAACAACACATGTAAAGAAGCTATAAAACTAAAGCGGAATGTATATTGCTGAGCGGAGAGGAATAAATACAAAAATGAATACAACTTTTACCTCCATCTGCAAAGCTTCTGCCAATCCCCTTATGGCAAACTTGGATGCAGAGTAGGCTGTGAAACCGAATAATCCCAACTGTCCTGCCTGGGAGGACACAAACACGATCCTGCCCACCCGGCGCTCCTTCATGGTGGTGATCACGGCCCGGCTGGGGTACACGCTGCCCAGGTAATTGATGCTCATTAACCTCTGCAGGGAACAAAGAGGCCACATGAGGTCAAAAGCCTCAAGGCTGTGCACATGGAGAATTTAGTCTGCTTTCTGGATTTCAGTTCTTCAATGCAAGCTCAAGTGACTGGGAAGCCCAACAGGCTTGCTGAATGAATGAATGATGACATGATGATATAAATGAAATGTGATTTGAGACCTAGCATTTGAAGACTCAGGACCTACCATTTGAAGACTGTTTCAGTCTAGTCTTGCATTCTGACCATGACAGCAGTTAATGTTTTTCCTGAAAACTGGTCAAAGTTAGTTTTCTCCTTATAAAAAGTATACTGCATGTTTGTGGGTAGTACTTTCTGAAAGACAGTTTTAGGAAAGAGGTTCCAAGTATTTGTAGCCCTATTAGTTCTAAGCTATAAGAAAAACACAGAGTAGGAGGGTGATTTAAAGTTTTGGTTTCAAGCCTTGGGTCTCCCATTTATTGCCTATTTGATGATGAATAAGAAAGTCAGACATTCTACTTATTTTCTTGGCTGTAAACAAGGTCAACAAGGGTATGACCGCATAGGGCTGTTGCAAAGATTAAAAGAGAAAACACAAGCGCTAGCACAGTCCTGGACCTCAAGAACCACTGGCTCTCCCATTATGATGGGTAAGAGTACTAATAGTGTATTTTCTCCTTGTCTTGGAAGCTTTTAATTTTTATTTATTTATTTTTTGCTTTTTTACTATTATCATTTTTTTTAGAGACGGGGTCTCACTCTGTCACCCAGGCTGAAGTGCAATGGTGCAACCTTGGCTTACTGCAGTCTCAATCTCCTGGGCTCAAGCAATCCTCCTGCCTCAGCCTCTTGAGGACCTGGGACTACAGGCACATGCCACCACGTCCAGCTAATTTTTGTATTTTTTGTAGTAACAGGGTCCTTTTATTTTGCCTAGGCTGGTCTTGAACTCCTGGGCTCCAGCAGTACTCCTGCCTTGACCTCCCAAAGTGATGGGATTACAGGCATGAGCCACTGCGCCTAGCCTGAGCTCTTAAAAACCTTAAATTTTAACTCGAAAATTTAATAATACTTGCATTAAAATGTTTCAAATATTCAAATATTTGTAAAAATATTAGATCATCATGTAAATAAAAACTAAATACCTCAATTGTGGAACTTGAGATCAATCATAATTTTTTTTCATATTATGAACAGAACATGAACATACAATCATAATATCTTAATTCAAGAGAATATTAGATTTTTTTATTGTTGTTTGTTTGTATTTGTTTGAAATGGAGTTTTGCTCTTGTCACCCAGGCTGGAGTACAGTGGTGTGATCTTGGCTCACTGTAACCTCTGCCTCCTGGGTTCAAGCGATTCTCCTGCCTCAGCCTCCCAAGTAGCTGGGATTACAGGCGCCAGCCACCATGCCTAGCTAATTTTTTGTATTTTTAGTAGAGATAGGGTTTCGCCATGTTGGGCAGGCTGGTCTCGAACTCCTGACCTCAAGTGATCTGCCTGCCTCGGCCTCCCAAAGTGTTGGGATTACAGGTGTGAGCCACTGTACTTGGCCTAGATAATTGTTTTAAATGATGACCAGAAACACTGGGAGTGACAGGGAAAAATATCTATGCTATTTAAGTTTAAAAAGCAGAAGCTAGACTGTATATATGCTGTAACTGTAATTACTTCAAAGGTTAAGTAAAAGTACACATGCTCAGAGGGAAGACCAAGGAAATACAGAAGATCATAAGTGACTGAGTTAGGATGCTGGGATTCTCTTTTTTTTCCAAAAGTGTGTTTTCGTAACATAATATTGTTTTGATAATAAAAAATGTTCTAAGCCGGGCACGGTGGCTCATGCCTGTAATCCCAGCACTTTGGGAGGCCAAGGTAGGTGGATTACCTGAGGTCAGGAGTTCGAGACCAGCGTGACCAACATGGTGAAAACCCGACTCTACTAAAAATACAAAAAAAAAAAAAAAAAAATTAGCCAGGCATAGTGGTGGGCAACTGTAATCCCAGCTACTCGGGAGGCTGAGGCAGGAGAATTGCTTGAGCCTGGGAAGTGGAGGCTGCAGTGACCCGAGATTGAGCCACTGCACTCCAGCCTGGGTGACAGAGTAAGACTCCGTCTCCAAAAAAAAAAGAAAGTTCTAAAAGAATATCTGAAAAAAGACGTCACACTGAACGCCTGTGTTTACTTTGGCTCCCTTTAGAAACCTTACTAAAATCTCCGTAAAGAGATGTTTTTTAAGGCAAGAACACACAAGAACAAAGAAAATAAGAATAAAAATAACAGCAATAACCTTTTGGAAGCTGAAGAACAGGTTGAGGAGGGATAACTAACTTAGCAGACCACAAAAAACTAAATGCTAAGCGGGGAGTGGAGAAACTAAAAAGCCAGATTCTACTACAGAACCCCAAAAGGCTCCAGCTGCAAGAGTCTCTGGGGTGGAGGGAAGGGTGGGCTGGCATGGGGCTGAGACAGGAGTAGGGACTAAGAGTCTATTTAATAAGCAGTCAGCTAGACACAGCCCAAATGGCCATCGATGATGAATAGCTAAACAGAATGTGGTCGATCCATACAAAGGAATATCACCACCCTATAAAAAGGAATGAGGCACCCATATATGCTACATGTGGATGAGCCTCAAAAACTGATGCTAAGAGAAAGAGGTCAGACACAGAAGTGCACATATCATGATTCCAATCATACGAAATGACCAGAGACAGAATACAGATTGGTGGTTGTCAGAGATTGGGTGTGGGGGTGAGCAGGGATGGGGAGCAACTGCTTACCAGGTGAGGGCCGCCCTATGGGTGATGCATATGCTTTAGAACTAGGCGGAGGGGGTGGGTGCACCTCATTGTGAATATGCTGAATCCCTCTGCATGGCTCACTTTAAAAACAGTTAATTTTATGTTATATGAATTTCACTTCAAATTAAAAAAATAATGTAGGACAATGAAAAAAAAAGGCAGTTAGATCTTAGATGTTTTTCCCCTCTCCACAGGGTAGATCTGTACCCCTCTTCCAGCCTGGCAGGAGACTGGAGGTTCTGTTTCTAGGGATAGTAAGTCTAGATAAAGAGAGAGGTTTAAGGGAAAGTCTGTCTAGACGGCGCACACGAAGACACCAACACACTCCCCAGCTTCATCCTCACAGGAGGCTGGAGGACACTCCGCTTGAGCCCGGGAGGCAGAGGTTGCAGTGAGCCGAGATCGTGCCACTGTACTCCAGCCTCAGCGACAGAGCAAGACTCTGTCTCAAAAAAAAGGAAGAAAAAGATTGTTGATGCGATGGCAACTAAAAAACGTTTTCCATTTTAAAAACATTTCAGGCCGGGCCTGGTGGCTCATGCCTGTACTCCCAGCACTTTGGGAGGTAGAGGTGGGCCAGTCACCTGAGGTCAGGAGTTTGAGACCAGCCGGGCCAACGTGGCGTAAACCCATCTCTACTAAAATAAAAAAAATTAGCTGGGTGTGGTGACATGTGCCTGTAATCCCAGCTACTAGGGAGGCTGAAGCAGGAGAATCACTTGAACTTGAGAGGTGGAGGTTGCAGTGAGCTGAGATCACGCCACTGCACTCCAGCCTGAGTGACAGAGTGAAATTCCATCTCAAAAAAAGAAAAAATAAAAATTTCAAATCTAGTGTTCATTTCTTTGGTGCTGAAATAAATTACCAAGAGAAGTTCCTTGGTAAACCTGATTAAAAATAGAAACATCAATAAGATGCAGTATCTTTTTATCTTGATTTGAGAACTCTAGTGAGTCTGTCCTTCAACTTTTTTGGTTTCTCCTTGTTAATAATACTGATGTTTGATAGGAACATCCGGCATCTCTTAGGTTACAAAGTGTTCTCTTGAAAATATGACCTCAGTGAACTGCTACAGTAATCTGTGTCAGATTAGAAGGTCCATTCCCATTTTAGCTGGTTTTCTCAGCTGTAAAATGTCTAAACTCTTAAGCTTCAATGGTCCTGACACTGGGATGAAAACCTTGTTCAGCTTCACCTTGTTCAGCCTTCCTCTAGAGTCTTCTAAAGCTTCCATGGACATCTGAATGCATTCATCTAATTGATTCTTAAAGCTTTTACCCGTAGCTTGCTCTGCTTTTAGCATATGTGCTACTGCAGTGAGCAAACATTTTTACTTACTTCAAAGGTACTAACTTCAAGATCTTCAAATTTTCCTGACACTGCCATTCCTGCACAATTTACCAGCATGTCCACTGGACCCAGTTTCTCCTGTGCCTAGAAAAATGTAGCAGAGCAGGCATTAAGAAACAGAGAAGAAAAACCACTCAGCAGCAAATCCATGCTGATAAATAAAATTTACAAAACTATTAAACCTATAGAGAAGTTGTGTCCATTCCAAGCCACATAGCAAAATGGCAAGAACAAATCAAAAGTCAAGCACATTGGTGAATTCCAATTAGCCCAACCTCTTACTTGTTTTATGACATTCTCTACTTGGTTATAGTCTTGAGATACATCAACTGATATGCAAAGCACCACCTGTTAAAAAAGAAAAAAAGTGATCAAAGTTTTGCAGGTACCAAACTATTTCTTAAAGATATTTTTTAAAGAAAAGACAGTTCATTGAATACAGAAGGAAGCCAATATTGAATGAACAGATTTCAGTGTTTGCTGATGATGCAATTAGCAGAATCTAATTTTCTTGGCAGCTTTTGGAGTTAAAACTCTGAGGAATCTTTTTAAAAATATATAAATGCTCCTCTTGAAATGCCACTAATCTATAGTGACAGAAGGCAGATCAGGGGTTGCCCACAGCCAGGCATGGAGGATGGAAGGAACTGTGAAAGGGCACAGGCCAACCCTAGGGAGTGATGGAAATATTCCATATAAGGGCCTCAGTGCTGATTCCTTTCAAGAAGGAATCCTGTCCAAATGATCAAAATTCCTAAGAAAAGGAAACAGCCCTCTTTGCAAATATAACCTGCAGCATTCTAGTCTAGAGGGGTTGCCCTTGGTTGTAATGTATACCTAGAGTGGATTTTATCCCAACATCCTCAGATAGAAAACATTGTTTTAAAGGTAGTAGTAATCGGCCAGGCGCGGTGGCTCACGCCTATAATCCCAGCACTTTGGGAGGCCGAGGCAGGTAGATCATTTGAGGTCAGGAGTTTGAGACCAGCCTGGCCTACATGGTGAAACCCTGTCTCTACTAAAAATACAAAAAATTAGCCTGGCGTGGTGGTGGGCACTTATAATCCCAGCTACTCAGGAGACTGAGGCAGGAGAATTGCTTGACCCTGGGAGATAGAGGCTGCAGTCAGCTGAGATCATGCCATTGCACACCAGCGTGGGCAACAGAGTGAGACTCCGTCTCAAAAAAAAAAAAAGGCAGTAGTAATCATATGATTAATTTTAAAACAAGCCTTTTCATGCAGTATTAGATCAGTTACTAATAATAAAATCTATGCCACAGACAAGTGAAATCTCAGAACAAAAAAATGTTAACAAGTCACACACACACACAAAAGGTCCCTAGAAGCCTGGCAGGGCAGAAGGATCAAGCTCATTCTCGCCTGCCCCAGCCCTATCTCCCTTCCTTGATGTGAAAGGTAAGTTTTCCACCTGACCTAAAGTCCTTTGGTAGATGAAGAGGTAGAAGGTGTCATGATGAGGAAGCCCAGAGCGGAGACAGTGTTGGCAGCAGGCAAGACTGGCCTTGGCCCTGAACACTGACTCCATGACTTCACACCATACTCCTTCGTCTATCAGATATTACAGGAATACGGGAAAAAACGGGGCAATTTACAGAGCTGGTGTTTTTCCAATGCTTGTGGGCTTCAGAGAAGGGGGTAAAGACCACAGTCTTAGAGAAAAACTCACATGTGCAGAAGATATACACAAGGATTTTTACTTGCAGCACAGACTGCAATTGCAAAAATAAAAATACAAAATAAAATAAAAAGAATGGAAACAGCTCAATAGCAGGGACCTGACGGAATAAGCTCTGGTGTACTTCAATCCTAGGCTGCAGCAATTTAAGGCAAATTTACTTAATGCACATGGAAAGATCTCTAACATTCTAGAAGGGAAAAAGTCAATGAATACCACAGTGAAATACTATTCAAAACTCATCAGAAAGGCAAAAAGTAAAAAGTCTGTCAATACCAAGTATTGGCAGGGATGTGGCGCAACAGAAACCGCATTCCTACTTATGGGAGCTTAACCACTTTGGTGAGGTTGAAGAACTGCATACACTACAGCTCTGCAATTCCATTTCTGGGTATGTACCATTCTTGCACACGTGCACAAAGAGAATACTGAAAGCTTTTCTAATAGTAAAAAACAAAACAAACTAACAAAAATACTGGGAACAAACTAAATATCCACCAATTGCTGAACTGATGAACAAAATGTAGTCTATACATACAATAGAATACTACGCAGCAGTAAAAAAAAAAAAATTTACTCCAACTTTTTGCAGCAACATAAATGAATTTTTAAAATTATATATATATATACACATATATATACATACATACATACATACATATATATATATATATATATATATTTTTTTTTGAGATGGAGTCTCCCTCTGTTACCCAGGCTGGAGTACAGCGGTGCAATCTCTGCTCACCTCAAGCTTTGCCTCCCAGATCCAAGTGATTCTCCTGCCTCAGCCTCCCTCCTGAGTAGCTGGGGTTACAGGTGCAGCTAACTTTTTATATTTTTAGTAGAGACAGGGTTTCACCACTTTGTCCAGGCTGATCTCAAACACCTACCTTCAACTGATTTGCCCGTCTCGGCCTCTCAAAATGTTGGGATTACAGGCATGAGCCACCGCACCTGGCCTAAAGAATAATATTGAGTGGTCTGGGAATGGTGGCTCACACCTGTAATCCCAGCACTTTCAGAGGCTGAGGCGGGCGGATCACGAGGTTGGGAGTTCGAGACCAGCCTGATCAACATGGTGAAACCCTGTCTCTACTAAAAATACAAAAATTAGCTGGGCGTAGTGACGCGCGCCTGTAATCCCAACTACCCAGGAAGCTGAGGCTTGAACCCAGGAGGCAGAGGTTGCAGTGAGCTGAGATTGTGCCACTGCACTCCAGACTGGGCAACAGAGCGAGACTCCATCTCAAAAATAAATAAATAAATAAGAAATAAATAATAATAATATTGAGTGAAGAAATCAAGTTGCATAAGAAGCATAAAGAAGGAAGTTATACAAATCTATAGAGAAAGAAAGTAGATGAGTGACTGCCTAGCTGAGAAGAGGCTGGGAGGAAATGGCAAGTGACTGCTAATACACATGGAGATTCTTCACGGGGTGAGGAAAACATTCTAAAATTGATTTTGATGACAGTTGCACAACTCTATGAATACATTAAAAATCATTGAATTATATATTTTAAATGGGTCAACTGTATGGTATATAAATTATATCTCATAAAGCTGTTAAAAAATAAGAATGATATAATAAAAGAAGTAGAACTAAGTATATTGGCCAGGCATGGTGGCTCACGCCCATAATCACAGGACTTTGGGAGGCCAAGGCAGGCAGATCACCTGAGGTCAGGAGTTTGAGACTAGCCTGACAAACATGGTAAAACCCTGTCTCTACTAAAAATACAAAAAAAATTAGCCGGGTGTGGTGGCACACACCTGTAATCCCAGCTACTCAGGAGGCTGAGGCAGGAGAATCGCTTGAACCCGAGAGGTGGAGGTTGCAGTGAGCCAAGATGGCACCACTGCACTCCAGCCTGGGTGACAGAGAGAGACTCTGTCTCAAAAAAAAAAAAAAAAAAGAACTAAACAATATATTATTATTTAGAGTTATGTGCATATATGGTAAAATTAAAAAGAAAAAGAGGCAGGGCACAGTGGCTCACTCCTATAATACCAGCACTTTGGGAGGCAGAGGTAGGCGGACTGCTTGAGCCCAGGAGTTGAAGACCAGCCTGGGCAACATGGCGAAACCCCATCTCTACCAAAAATACAAAAATTAGCCATGCATGATGGCACGTGTCTATAATCTCAGCTACTAGGGAGGCTGAGGTGGGAGGACTGCTTGAGCCCAGGAGGTCGAGGCTGCAGTGAGCTGAGATCGCACCCCTGCACTCCAGCCTGGATGACAGATTGAGACACTGCCTCAAAAAAAAAAAAAAAAAAAAAAAGGAAAGAAAAAAGAAAAGAAAAAGAAAGGATTAACACCAAAAATCGGGTTGGCATTTGCCCCTCTAGGAACAAGAAAAGAGGGACAAGGCTGCTGTGGGGGCTTCAGAGACCCTGATCATTTCTACTTCTTAGGCTGGGTGATGGGTGTGTGATTATTAATTTGCTATTATGTTTTATACTGAAATATAAATAGCATTTTATTCATCAAAAATTCCATAACCAAATAAATTTTAAATATTCCTTTCCTCTTAAGCATTTGTATAAAGTTCATTAAAAAAAAAATTAAAATGAAATTATTTGCCAGTAAAACATTCTGTTATTTGACCATTTGTAGATATGAATGTGTGTGGGAGTCTATTCATTTTGCGTGTGTGTGATATTCTGAGTTACTAGACCATTCAAACAATTCCACCTTTTAAAAAACAGTACATATATGCTTTCAATTAACTATTCACAGGTGAAGTAACTCTGTTTTTCCTTTATACAGCTGTGCTGAGTTATACAGAAAATGCATTCTGAAGACAGAGATTTACCTGTTTGTCATTAATAGAGTGCATTTCAATTTCTTTCTTTGCCTGCAGCAGCTTATCCTGAAAGCAATACAGAATAATTAGTCGTGATGACCGTCTATATGCATGTCCGTTTATTGCAAAGGAGAGAAAAAAAGCAATTATTTCTATATGTATGTATTAAATTCCAGAAAACACACAAAACAGTATCTACATTGCATAGACAGACTGGGCCACAGCCTATGAAAGAAAGAAGTTGTGAAGTATGTTAAGCTATGAATAAGTGATAAAAGTTTGAAAATTAATTAGAGAAAGATAGTAGAAAACAGATAAACCTCAAAATCCCAGTTAACAGTACTAATTGCTGAGGCTGACTCTACAGTTCTAATAAATGTCTTATTATTTAGTTGTGATATAAGACAAGAACAACTCTATTAATATGTACTGCTCCCCAAAGTTGAGGGTATGTGTGACTCCCTGTCAATACTGCTTTTTGTCCAATATTTTCTTCTTCTACTATAAACCCAAACATAGTAAGAATCACTTTCTGGATAGACTGGGTAAACTAGGCCTGGCTACTATAAAATACTCTTAAGCAAGGTTACCTGTGTAATTATGTAATTCTTCCAAGGTCCTAATTTTGTTTGTTTTACTTAGTCTCAAGAAAACAGATATCAGATTATCTTAATTTGCTGTAAAAAGTAACTTAAATAATATCATGCAATAGAGAGGAACCAAAGGAGAGGCGAATTCTTCCAAAAGGCATGCAGAGTTTCTAAACCTGAATATGTCTATAATGAAATAATATTGTCCTATGACTAAAGATACATACAGCTTGACTTTGCAAAGACTGGAATTAAAAATTACATTAGAAAAGAAAGAATTTCTCAGCCAGGCATGGTGGCTCACCCCTGTAATCCCAGCACTTTGGGAGGCCAAGGTGAGTGGATCACCCAAGCTCAGGAGTTTGAGACCAGCCTGGGCAACATGGTGAAGCCCCGTCTCTACCAAAAATACAAAAACTTAGCCAAGCATGGTGGCGAGCACCTGTGGTCCCAGATACTCAAGAGGCTGAAGTGAGAGGATTGGTTGAGCCTGGGAGGCGGAGGTTGCAGTGAGCCGAGATTGTGTCACTGCACTCCAGCCTGGGTGACACAGTGAGGCCGGGCGCAGTGGCTCACGCCTGTAAGCCCAGCACTTTGGGAGGCCGAGGTGGGTGGATCACTTAAGGTCAGGAGTTTGAGACCAGCCTGGCCAACATAGTAAAACCCTGTCTCTACTAAAAAAAAAATATATATATATATAAAATATATAATATATATAATAAAAATATATATTTTATATATATGTAAATATATATACACACACACACACACACAAATCAGCCAGGTGTGGTTACACACACCTGTAATCCCAGGTATTCCGGAGGTGGAGGTTGCAGTGAGCCAAGACAGCGCCACTGCACACCAGCCTGGGTTACAGAGCAAAACTCCGTCTCAAAAAAAAAAAAAAAAAAAAAAAAAAAAGAATGAATTACTCAACACCACAGGTTCTTCATTCAGTTCATTCATTTCTAGCAATGCAAGGGCCCCATATGAGCTCCTGGGGGCCTGAAATGCTGGCCTTCTCTGCCTCCACTTTTATTTACTTGCATCAAAACTGGTGTTTAAAACTCACAAAATGCCATTTCATCAAATTTGTGTTTTCATTTATGTAAGGTGGCTTCAATGCCAAAGCAAATTCATTGTTAGAAAAGTCAAGCTATAAATAAAAGGTAGCTAATTTTGTCTTTCTTGGTTTGCAAAAGAAGTTATAGACGTCCAGGCCAGGTGTGGTGGCTCACACCTGTAATCCCAGCACTTTGGGAGGCCAAGGCGGGCGGATCACAAGGTCAGGAGTTCCAGACCAGCCTGACCAACATGGTGAAACCCTGTCTCTACTAAAAATACAAAAATTAGCCAGGCGTGGTGGTGGGCGCCTGTAGTCCCAGCTACTCAGGAAGCTAAGGCAGGAGAATCACTTGAACCCAGGAGGCAGAGGTTGCAGTGAGCCGAGATCATGCCACTGCACTCCAGCCTGGGCAACAGAGTGAGATGCTGTCTCAAGAAAAAAGAAAAAAATAAAAGAAATTATAGAGGTCCAAGACTAAGTCTGCGACATTATTTAAATTTTCCCCCAAGGCCCTTCCTGGCCTACCATTCCTAATGGGTCCTGTCCAGCCCTCCACCCATTTGAGGAGTTACCATACTATCACCCTCCTTGCACATGGGTGAATCCAAGATCCCCATGGAAGTATGCCATGCTGACATTCCCAGGCACTCCATCATTCCTCCCTTCATTTCTTCATTCAACAAACATGTCTGAGCATGTACTACGTGTCAAGCACTAGAATTGCTGCAGCGGACGAGCCAGCTGTGTGGTCACTTTCCTCCAGTCCCCATATGGGGAGCAAGAGGACGTCATGACAGTTCACGTGCACAGTGTCACTGCTTTGTGCTCTAAAAACAACTTTGGCAAGACAAAAACAAACCCTGACAAAAAATAAAAACAGATTCTGTGTTGACTTAATACAGAAAAACACATTTTGCTAAACTTCTAAGGAGGGACGAGGTTCCTCTATGGTGTATAGATTTCACTAGAGATATATATCATGTCCTAAGCAAATCGTAGTGAAAAATTATAGAGAAACACCTACACACCTTCAGGTATCAGCTCCAGAATCACTGCTTCCAGCACTTCTGACCTGGCCAAGGGCCCTCCCTGGCTTCCAATGGCCAGGTGTGCTCCTTCAACTAGACCTTGGCCTCTCCCATCTCAGGATCTGCAGTATCTATGATGATGTTGCCTAATATGCCAATGGTACTAAATAAATACTTGTGGGGCCGACCTGATTTCAACAGAGAAGTGTTTGGCCTAAATACTAGAGAGAATCAGTAGTTCAGGAAACACATCTCACATCAAGGAAGAAGCGCTTTCTAGGTGTGAATGCTAAGATGTTTAGCACAGCCTCTTTGACTAATTTCAAGTCGAAGAAGCAAGTCAGTAATAATGAACCTAGAAGCCTTACCTCATTTCGTGCAACCAGAGTTATAAAAGCTCCTTGTTTATAGCACTCGATAGCAATGCACTTCCCGATGCCACTGGAACCTCCTGTAACCTAAAACAAAATCATAAAATATTCTTAGCACTTGAAATCTCCCCTCTGTAGGAAGTTTTTATAAAAAACAACTATGACAGGCTCTTAAAATGAATCTACAAGAACTAAATGATTAGCTGTTGTTAACTTCTTCATCCCAAACTTAATGACTGGAGTAAGTGTAAGCATGAAAGATACTATCAGCAAGGCCTGCTGCTTTGACTGTTTTCTTATGGAACCATAAATTGCACACCTATAATATTTTTCTGAGTTCACTGGTGGAAAAGTGCCCTATAAGTCTAGCTCATAAATAATACATTAGTCTGCCTCTGATTCCAAATCCAAATGAATCTTATTTTCTTTTTTTTTTTCTTTTTTTTTTTTTTATTATACTCTAAGTTTTAGGGTACATGTGCACATTGTGCAGGTTAGTTACATATGTATACATGTGCCATGCTGGTGCACTGCACCCACTAATGTGTCATCTAGCATTAGGTATATCTCCCAATGCTATCCCTCCCCCCTCCCCCGACCCCACCACAGTCCCCAGAGTGTGATATTCCCCTTCCTGTGTCCATGTGATCTCATTGTTCAATTCCCACCTATGAGTGAGAATATGCGGTGTTTGGTTTTTTGTTCTTGCGATAGTTTACTGAGAATGATGGTTTCCAATTTCATCCATGTCCCTACAAAGGATATGAACTCATCATTTTTTATGGCTGCATAGTATTCCATGGTGTATATGTGCCACATTTTCTTAATCCAGTCTATCATTGTTGGACATTTGGGTTGGTTGAATCTTATTTTCTTAATGCACATTTATGCAAGATTAGCTCTACAACAGATGAAAAGAATGGCCACCTGAATATTTATTTGAAATGACTGCTTAGTATAAAAGTAATATACAATCACAAGGAAATCCTGAAAAGTAAAGCTCTTCTTGCACTATTCTACCCCTATCTACAGTTCAGCTATACTGGCTTTCAATTATGGAATTATTCCTAATATTCACTGTTATACATAAATCATGCTGGGAGGAAGATCTCTGACTCCATGTTAGGATTTTAACATCATTGGGAAGTGTCTCCTACGCAAATGCACCTATCTCTATGGGACTCATAGGCATCCCTTACTTCTTTTTAGCTTCAACCTGCCACCACTGAAGAGATTTATTTGGTGGGTAATCAGCCAGTTATCAGCAGAAGATTACTGTAAAAACCCTCCAACCACAGTACCTTGGCACATCCTACTTCCCTTGCAACGAATGCTCTTCTCCCCACTTCATCTGACACCTACTCGCCCATCAAATCTCAGCTCAAATACCACTTCCTCAGGAAAGCCTTCACTGTCTCCCCTGCCCCCACACTGACACACTTTTCAGCACTGTATTTCTTCTTTATGACATGCACATAATAAACAGCTCTAGATTTATTTGTGTGATTATCTGATTCACAACCACCTCTCCTATCACCTACCCATAAACTCCATTAAAAATACCAATTATTTTTCTGTTCTCCACTATATTCCTAGCACTTAGCCTGGGGAGGGCTCAATATATATTATATATTTCACTGAATAAGTGAACAATGCAACATTATTTTTCTTTTTTTTTTTTTGAGACAGTCTTGCTCAGTCACCCAGGCTGGAGTGCAGTGGCACGATCTCAGCTCACTGCAACCTCCGCCTCCCAGGTTCAAGCGATTCTCTTGTCTCAGACACCCAAGTAGTGGGGATTACAGGCGTGCGCCAGCACGCCCAACTAATTTTTGTATTTTTAGTAGAGATGGGGTTTCACCATGTTGGCCAGGCTGGTCTCGAACTCCTGACCTCAAGTTATGCACTCTCCTTGACCTCCCAAAGTGCTGGGATTATAGGAGTGAGCCACTGTACCCGGCCATATCGTTCTAGTCACTGTCCCTATGCAAATTACATAATATTGCATAGTATTGTCTCCTGTTTTTAAAAAATTATATTGTAATGTCTTATTTGTCAAAAAACGAAAAGGTTTCACAATACTTCATCAAATAGCTGCATCAAAACTTCAACGTTTCCCTATAACCAGACATTTAGATTTTTCCTAATATTCACTGTTATACATAAATCATGCTGGGAGGAAGATCTCTGACTCCATGTTAGGATTTTAACATCATTGGGAAGTGTCTCCTACGCAAATGCACCTACCTCTATGGGACTCATAGGCATCCCTTACTTCTTTTTAGCTTCAACCTGCCACCACTGAAGAGATTTATTTGGTCGGTAATCAGCCAGTTATCAGCAGATTACTGTAAAAATATAGCTGTTGTTGGCCGGGCGCGATGGCTCGCGCCTGTAATCCCAGCACTTTCGGAGGCTGAGGTGGGTGATTTTCTGCTTTTTTCCTGCAATTTTACTACCGTAACTAGATAGAAAACACTAGTATATAAAATTGTTTTAAAAATGAAACAATTGTTATAAGTTTGTTCTTAATTATGTATGGGCAGACAGTTTAACCATCAGCTCCCTCTCCCAACAATACCACAGTCAACTCCTAACAAATCTCAAGAACAATTACACTTTTCACTCTTCTTATGACATTAAAAAAGAAGACAGATGGTGACACCATGTGAACTATTCATGTCATTCTCACATTACTTAGAGTGTGAAATAATAATCCTGCGTATTAAAGCGGGATGGTAAAAATAAATTCTTCTTGGTCCACCTGAACAGACACAGCATTTATTATCTCACCTATGACCTGCCGCGGGATGGGGCTGGAAGGACTGGAGTCAAGGCTCAGTGAAACTGTCTTACAAATAAGGAATTCCAATTTTCATTCTGCGTTTAGCTTTAGTTTTTGCAAAGTTATGCTCTATAAACTCAAGCTCTGAAAGGATCCAAGGTTTAAAGCCACGCTTTTGAGGCAGCAGTTCTCTTGCGGATGTAAAACTTTCAGAATTTAGAGTGTCAAGTTTTGCCTTTCTCTTATTTATTTTTTGTAATGAATCCACACTCTTTCCCCATTAGGAACAGGAGGTGTTGGAAAAAGCTAATAGCTTTACAAAGGAGAAATTAAACAGATACATTTTCTCATTCACAAACCCTTGTACAGATTTAAAGCATACTAAGAAAAACGACCATCTTATTTTATACCAGCTCAGCGGGGAGGCTCGGATCTCCGGTGCAGAGATAGGACAGGAAGAGGTGTGCGGCCAATTTTGTAACCAACCCTCCTTACTCCTAACTCCTCGCCTCACTGTGCCTCGGGTTTGGGAGATCCAAACGAGAATGCTCGTGAGAAAGCCACTGCAAACGGGAAAGTGCTGGGCGCAGGCAAGGAGGCATTCTCTCTGTTTAAGAAAGGTGCCACATTTGCAGAACAGGGATCGCTGAATATGCGAGCTTCCGCCAAGAAATAAATCACACCTATCCACCTCTCCTTCATTCCTCGCACACAAGCCTTGTCGTTTAGCTCATCCTTCCCACTAGAAAACAGCAAAGGATTGCATTGGAGCAGCAATCAGCAGATGCCACGCTGAGCTCAGAGACAAGCAGTGTAGACGGGACAGGCGTCCCAATACCGCTAAGCCACCACCGCCAGCCCGCTGGGTTCTGAGCAGTTTCCCCAGGTGAGTCACTTCCTGGAATCCTCTGGCAGCGGCTCTTCCCGTCACTCGCACAGGCCATCTTCCAGTTCCGAGCTGCCTCGGCGGGTCCCGGCGGCTGGGACCCCACTTCCCCGCTGTCTGCCCCCGCCCGGGGCCGCGCGCCGCACCCTGCACACCACCGACCGCTGTGTCCTTGGCAAAGTTTCTCAGCCTCTCTGTGCCTCAGTTGACTCATCGGAAAAACTGAGGACAAAACATCCACATCCCAGGGATGTTGCATGGATTCACGAGCAGCCACAGAACCCCTGGGGCCCCGGGAACCCTGCGGCCGGCGGGGTCCCCCGTCGCACGCTCTCCGGCCCTAGGAGGAGCCCGAGGCTGCGGAGGGCGGGTCCGCGAGGCCGGGTGCCGGGGCCGGGGGAAAAGCGCCGGGGTGGACGGCGGCAGGTGACCTTCCCCATTTGGCCATGCCTTCCTGGGGACCGCGGCCTGGAAAAAGGGACGTAGGCTACGCGGCCTCGGCGGCGGAAAGGCCGCGCGGGCCGGTAAGTCGGGGGGCAGCAACAGGAGGCCACTCACCACCACATGCGCCCCGGGCAGGGCGAGGGGCTTGGGGCTGATGAGCGGAGACACCATGTACAGCAGCAGCACGAAGGCCACGAGGAAGGCGGCAGCCAGCAGCAGCATCGCTCCGCGGGGCCAGGGGCCCGGAGCGGCCGGGCGGGGGCCGCCGGGCAAGGCGCGCAGGGCTGGGCTGCGGCGAGGCGAGAATCACGCGCGGCGGGCGGGCGCCTGGAGTGTTTGGGTTTGCGGGCCGGGGCGGGCCGCGGCGGAGGGGAAGAGGAGGAGCCGGCGCGCGCGCCACCCAGGCGGGGCGGTGCTTCCAGGGGGCGAGTAGGCCGCCACCGCCACCGCCACCGCCACCACTGCCAGAATCGCCTCTCGGGGGTCGCCGGGTGTCTCCCACTCCCCCGGCCTCGGGACGGGGCCCGCAGTCCGCAGCCTCTCCCGTGGAAACCGGGCCTCCCGTCCCTGTGCGTCGCGAGCGGGCTCCGGACAGCGCCAGATGCGAGCGCGCCGGGAAGGGCTGCGAAGACTCGCTCTTCGGGAGCTCGAATGGCTTCTTAGGACCCCGCAGGGCGGGTTTCCAGGCCTGCCACGGCCTCCAGTGTGGGCGTGACGAGCGCTCCTCCCTGGAGTTCAGCCCTCGGCTTGGGACTGCCCGCTGGGTTGCTCGGAGGCCCCGGAGCATCGGAAAGGGCGGCTGGAGGCTCCCGGAGCGGGCTCAGCCTGGGAGCCCAGCGACTACGCTCTGAAATCCCGGGCTCCATTCCATATTTTTTGGCGTTTTTAGAAGATGGTCACGGCCCACTTTCGCTTTTCAGAGGACCGGAAAGCCTTAACAGGGAGTTTTGAGGAATCACTAAGGTAATTCAATTTCATTGAGTTCAGAGTTCATCTTTACCAAGCAGGTTCAAAACAAATAAATAACGCAAACAACTCAGCTTTATTAAGGTCTCATTCACGTACTATACCATACAATTCCCGATTTAACGTGCGTAATAGGCCGGGCGAGGTAGCTCGCGCCTGTAATCCCCGACCTTTGGGAGGCTGAGGCGGGCGGATCTCTTCAGGTCTGGAGTTCGAGACCAGCCTGGCCATGATGGTGAAACCCCCGTCTCTACTAAAAATACAAAAAATCACCCGGGCATGGTGGCGTATGCTTGTAATCCCAGCTACCCTGGAGGCTGAGGCAGGAGAATCGCTTGAACCCGGGAGGCAGAGATTGCGGTGAGATCGCGCCACTGCACTCCAGCCTGGGTGACAGATCAAGACTCCGTCTCAAAAATAAATAAATAAATAAAGCTTATAATAAATTGTCTTTAATATAGTCACAGTTGTAGACCCATCACTACCATAAATTTTAGAACATTTTTGTCACAACCCCCCAAAATCCTATACTCATTGGCAGTCACGACCCATTTCCTCCCAAGCCCCGCCCAAGCCTAAGCAATCCCTCATGTTTCTGTCTCTATAATCTTGCCTATTCGGGATATTTCACATAAATGGAATCATATAATATGTAGCCTTTTTCATCCTATCTTTCACTTACTGTAATGTTTTCAAGGTTCATCCATGATATGAAGTACTACATGTTAATACTTCATTTATTTTTATTGCCAAATAATATCCCATTGTATGACTATACGACATTTTAATTTTCCATTCATCAATTGAGGAATATTTAGGTTGTTTCCACTTTTTGACTATTAGAATTATGCTAACTGTAAATATTCATTTACCGGTTTTTGTGTGGGCATTATGTTTCATTTCTCTTGGGTACATGCCTAGTAGGGGAGTTGCTACATCTTACGGCAACTCTATGTTTAACTATTTGAGGAATTGCCAGAAGTTTTCCAAAGTGAGTACAACATTTTGTGTTCCCACCAGCAGTGTATGTGGGTTCCAATTTCTCTACATCTTCACTAACAGTTGTTATCATCCGTCTTTCTGATTATAGCTTTTTTAGTTGGTGTGAAGTCTCATTGTGATTTTAATTTGCATAGAGGCACATATTTTTGTTTGCTTACTTGCTTTTCATTTTTGTTGTTGTTTCTAGAAATACTAGGGAGCGAAGGAGAAAAAAAAGTTTTTCTTTTCCTTTTTTTCTTGACTTACAGCAGTTAGCCAAACTGCAAAATTTGAAGGCATAATGTCCAAGACTTCTGATATCAATGCAAGTTTAGAGGTTCCTGAACCACCCTCAGGTTTGATCATTCACTGGAAGGACTCACAGAACTCACTGAAAGCCATTATGCTCATAGTTATGGTTTATTATGGGGAAAGAATACAGATCAAAGTCAGCTAAGGAAAGAAATGCCTAAGGCAGAGTCTGGAGGGCTCCAAATGCAAAGCTCCTGTTGTCATCTCCCACGGAGTCAGGCTGTGTTACCTTCCCAGCATTGGTATGTGACAGTATGCTTGGAGTATTGTCAACCAGGGACACTTGTCTGAGCTTCTGTGTCCAGAGTTTTTACTGGGACTCCAGCACATAGGCTTGATCAATTGTCCACTTGGTTGGACTGAGACTCCAACTAGACTGATAGTGCATGACAAAAGCCCCCTAATTCACATACTTGGTCTCTCTGGAATGGCCAGTCTCCACCCTAAAATCCAGTTTGCCCAGTCCCCATCTAAACAGAGGTACTCCTATCAGGTATGACGTAGATAACCTCCCATAAGCCAAGGGCAAAAGTCAAACCTTCTCTTTGGGCAAGACTGAATCCTTTACAACACGGCTGCCACCTGGCCTTTGGCCAAAGCTCTCTTACAGTAAAATGAACATATATCTGACATTTGGAGGAGCCAGTGTAGAGTAGGAGGCTTTTAACTCAATTTCTCAATACATTGGCCATCAGTGTGAACATTAAAACCTCACTTACAATCCCAGAGTTACACTGTATTATGATATGGTAGTAAACATAATTTGAAAAATTAGAGTCAAAAGATAGTGGCAGATAGATATAAGACTTCCACTCTGCCATCAACAACTGGTCCAGTTCATCATCATATTGTATGACCAAAATGTCTCCCAGAGAAATGCCACTCAGGCTTGAAAGTTCCCATCTGATGCTATCAGTTTCCAAAAACAGAAGTGGCCTTCACCCTTTAGGTACCAGACTGTCTTTTTAACATGTTTTGTCCACCAAGTATCCTATAGTTTTTAATATTAACAACTTGTGTGGGCTCAGCAATCTTACTGGTTCCCATTTAGCATGTCCAATCAATATTGTCTGAAGGGCAGGGCCACCTGTCTTGTGTTTTACATTACTAGGTAAAGGAAATTTTCCTCAGGCAATATCCATCCCCATAGTACATTCATGTAAAGGGGATGCAACCACTCCAAATAGAGTCTCTTCAGACATTCCAGTTTCTATCCAAACTTTCATTTTAATCCCATCAAATGTATTTTCATATCTTTCCAATCTGTTGCCTTGGTTAGAATTTCACTAACAGAAAAACAGTGCATGGGGCTCCCATGTCAAAGAATTTTAGAAATGTTTCTTTTCCACCCCTGACAATTTACCCATTCACGTACATTTGGTCTTGGACCCCAGCCAGAGATTAGGCCAATGGGCCTAGGTTCTTTCTTCAGTTTTTGTTTGTTTTGTTTTGTTTGTGTGTGTGTGTGTGACAGAGTCTCGCTCTGTTGCCCAGGCTGGAGTGCAGTGGCATGATCTCGGCTCACTGCAACCTCTGCCTCCTGGGTTCAGGCAATTCTCCTGCCTCAGCCTCCTGAGAAGCTGGGATTATAAGCATGCACCACCATGCCTGGCTAATTTTTGTATTTCAGTAGAGATGGGGTTTCACCATGTTGGCCAGGCTGGTCTCAAACTCCTGACCTCAGGTGATCCACCCACCTCGGCCTCCCAAAGTGCTGGGATTACAGGCATAAGCTACCTGCCCGGCCTTTCTTCAGTTCTTACCTTGACTACTTTGCATATCTTCACCCCAGGTGATTGGAAGTCAGGTTTCTTACAGTCATCTTTGCTTTGCAGCTTTTAAAATTTATCCAAACTAGGTTGAATAAAGTGGATTTGTTTAGCGCCCTTCAATGTTGGGGGACTAGTAAGGGTTTCCATTTGTCCATCCAACTTCTGAGAGTGCTGCATTAAGACTTTTGTTTCAACACCACCAATGCCCACTTTATTTATGATATCTCTTAATAACTATTTTTAAATTTCTATCCATTCTCTCTCCCTTTTCTCTTTCCTTAGTCTCTTGGAATAAGTCTGCTCTCTGTTGTTTTAGCATAACTTTTCCCTTTGGAGGTGGCCCTGAACTAGCAGCTATGGCTCAATGGCTAGAATTCCAGCTTGGCCCAGCATCAGGTTCTGCCCCAACACTATCCCTATAATTTAGTGATTACAGATAATAACAATCAAGAGATTCCATGTTCAGCTTTCTGACGTTGTTGTTCCTTTGCATTTATTTTGGCCTCCAGTGAGCCAATTCTCTATGAATGAGACCCCATGATATCTAAATTCCATTGGTAAATTTACTTCAAGTAAGATAAGTAAACCCTATGACTACCTGGGATTTATTTCAAGGATGCAAGACTGTTTCAATATTTCAAATTCAATCAGTATAATCTATCATATTAACAGGTGAAAGAAGGAAAATCACATGATCATACATCAATCAATGTAGAAAAGGCATTTGACAAAATTTGACACCCATTCATAATTAAAATTCTCAGAAATATAAGAATATAGAGGAACTTCCTCAACTTTATGAAGAACATCTGTAGAAAAACCTACAGCTAATGGTGAAATACTGAATGCTTCCTCCATAAGATCAAGGACAAAGCTAAGAAACTTGCTCTCATCATTCTCATTCAACAGTCCTAGAAGTTCTAGATCAATAAGGCAAGAAATAATAAGGCTAGAAAAGGAAGTAAACATCATACAGATCAGAAAGTAATAAGTAAAACGACTCCTACTTGCAGATGGCATGATTGATTATGCAGAAAATCCCTAAGAATCTTGAAAAAAGAAAAACACCTAGTAGAATTTAAGCATCTCCAGAAAATTTGCATAATACAAAAATAAAAGAATATACAAAAATAAAATGCATTTTTATATACTAGCCATGAACTTGTGGACACTACAATTAAAAATATGATTTCATTTATAATTTCTGAAAGAAATGAAATAGGTGTAATCTAACAAAACATGTACAGGACTTGCATGTTGAAAACTGTGCAATGCTGATGAAAGAAATCAAAGATCTAAATAAACTGACATACTATGTTCATGAATTAGAAGACTCTGTATAATAAAGATGTCAATTTTTTTCCAAACTGATATATTATTTTAATGCACTGCCTATTCAAACTATAGCAATATTTTTGTAAACATAGACAAGATTACTATAAAATTTATATGTAAAGGCAAAGAAATTAAAATAGTGAAAACATTTTTTAAAAGCAGAATAAAGTGGAAGTAATCAATCTACCTGCTTTCACGACTGATTATATAGCTACAGCAATGAAAACTGTGTGGTACTGGCGGAAAGGCAGACACATAGATCAACAGGCCCCAAAAATAAACCCACAAAAATACACCTAACTGATTTTTGACAAAAGTGCAAAAGCAATTTAATGGAGGAAAGATACCCTTTTCAAGAAATGGGACTGCCAGGCTAGGCATGGTGGTTCATGCCTGTAATCCCAGCTCTTTGGGAGGCCGAGGTGGGTAGATCACCTGAGGTCAGGAGTTCGAGACCAGCCTGGCCAACATGGTGAAACCCCATATCTACTAAAAATAAAAAAATTAGCTGGGCATGGTTGTGAGAGCCTGTAATCCCAGCTACTCGGGAAGCCAAGGCATGAGAAACACTTGATCCCAGGAGGTGGAGGTTTCAGTGAGCCAACATCACACCATCGCACTCCAGCCTGGGCAAAAAGAGGGAAACTCTGTCTCAAAAAAAAAAAAAGAAAAGAAAAGAAAAAAAGAAATGGGACTGCCACAACTGGACGTCCATAGACAAAGAAAAACAAACAAATAGAAAAAAAATACCTCAACCAAAAGTTTATACCATCTGCAAAACTTAAGAAAGGGTGATGGCTAATTTTGTGTGTCAACTTCATTGAGCCATGTGGTGCCCTGATATTCAGTCAAACATTATTCTGGGTGTTTCTGTGAGGGTATTTTGGATGAGATTTATCATTTAACCTAGAAGACTGAGTAAAGCAGATTGTACCTCCTACTGTGGGTGGACCTCATCCAGTCAGTTGAAGGCCTGAATAGAACAAAAAGGAAGATCCTTCCTTTCATAAGAGAGAATTCTTCCTGTCTGATGATCTTTAGACTAGGACATTGGCTTTTTCCTCTGCCTTTGGCTTGAACTGAAACATTAGCTCTCCTGGGTCTCTAGCTTGCCAACTCGCCCTGCAAATCTTGGGATTTTCCAGCCTCTATAATTGCATAAGCCAATTTCTTATAATAAATCTCTTTGCTTATGTATACATCCTATTCATTCTATTTCTCAGGAGTACCCTAAATAATACAGAGAGGATCATGGACTTAAATCTAAAACTATAAAATGTTAGGAAAAACACACTTTGAGAGCTAGGATTAGATAAAGACTTCCTAGATTTGGCACCAAAAGCACAGTCCCTAAAAGAAAAATTGATAAATTGGGCTTCATCAAAATTTAACATTTTGACTCTGCAAAATACCCTGACAAAAGGAAAAAAAGGTAACCTGCAGATTGGGAGAAAATATTTGCAAACCACATATCTGACAAAGGACTAGTATCCAGGATATGCAAATAATTCTCAAAACTCAACAATAAAAAAATTGAAACCTTCAGGTGCAAAGGCTCATGCCTGTAATCCCAGCACTTTGAGAGGCAGAGGCGGTGGACCACATGAAGTCAGGAGTTCGAGACCAGCCTGGCCAACATGGTGAAACCCCATCTCTACTAGAGATACACAAAAAACTAGCCGGGCATGGTGGTGGGTGCCTGTAATGCCAGCTCCTCAGGAGGCTGAGGCAGGAGAATCTGGGAGGTAGAGGTTGCAGTGAGCTGAGAATCACACCATTGCACTCCAGCCTGGGCAACAAGAGTGAAACTCCATCTCAATAATAATAATAATAAAACCAATTATAACATGGGAAATTTACATGAGATATTTCCATGAGGAAGACACACAGATAGGAAATAAACACATGAAGAAATATGTCCAACATCATCTGCCATTAGAGAAATACAAATTAAAACCACAATGGTCTGGGTGCAGTGCCTCACGCTTGTAATCCCAGCACTTTTGGAGGCCAAGGCACGTGAATCACCTGAAATCAAGAGTTTGAGACCAGCCTGGCCAACATGGTGAAAACCCGTCTCTACTAAAAATACAAAAATTAGCCGGGCATGGTGGCATGCCCTTGTAATCCCAGCAACTCAGAAGGGTGAGGCAGAAGAATCACTTGAACCCAGGAGGCAGAGGTTGCAGTGAGCTGAGATCACGCCACTGCACTTCATCCTGGGTGACAGAGTGAGACCTTATCTCAAAAAATATATATAAAATAAAACCACAATGATATATCAGTATATGTTGATAAAAATGGCTAAAACAAAAAATAGTGACAACACCAAATGTTGGTGAGGATGTGGAGAAACTAGATTACTCATACATTGCTGATGGGAATGTAAAAAATGGCACAGCCTTTCTGGAAAACAGTCTGGCAGTTTGTTGAAAAAAAGAAAAGCAAAAACTGAGCCTGCAACTACTATGTGACCCAGCAATCACATTCCTGGGCATTTATCCCAGAGAAATGAAGACTTATGTTCACACAAAAACATGTATATAAATGTTTATAGCAACTTCATCCAAAATAGTAAAAAACTGGAAGCAATTCAGATGTCCTTCAACAAGTGAATGGTTAAACAAACTGTGGTACATATGTACCGTGGAACTCAACAATACTCAACAGTACCATG
The DNA here is from genome assembly GCF_000001405.40 of Homo sapiens. Classification (NCBI taxonomy): domain Eukaryota; kingdom Metazoa; phylum Chordata; class Mammalia; order Primates; family Hominidae; genus Homo; species Homo sapiens. The sequence goes on from NC_000018.10 coordinate 63,374,940, forward strand.
CTACTTGACAATAAAAAAGAATGGATGGCAGAGTACAGTGGCTCATGCCTGTAATCCCAGCACTTTGGGGGACCAAGTCAGGCAGATAACTTGAGTCCAGGAGTTTGAGACCAACCTGGGCAACATGGCAAAACACCGTCTCTACAAAAATACAAAAATTAGCTGGACGTGGTGGCATGTGCCTGTAGTCCCAGCTACTCAGGAGGCTGAGGCATGAGAATAGCTTGAACCCAGGAGGTGGAGGCTGCAGGGAGCCAAGATTGTGCCACCGCACTCCAGCCTGGGCAACAGAGCAAAACCCTGTCTCAAAAAAAAAAAAAAAAAAAAAAAAGGATTATTGATACACACAGCAACCAGGATGAATTATGCTAAGGGAAAAAAGTCAATCCCAAAAAGTTGACAAAAAGTCAATCCCACAGTACATGCTATGTGATTCCATTTATCTAACATTCTTGAAATGGCAATATCATAAATAAATAACAGGCTGGAGTGGTGGCTCACACCTGTAATCCCAACACTTTGGGAGGCTGAGGCGAACAGATCACTTGAGCTCAGGAGTTCAAGACCAACCTGGGCAACGTGGTGAAACCCTGCTTCTACCAAAGGTACAAAAACTTAGCCAGGCATGGTGTCCTGCATTTGTAGTCCTAGCTACTTGGAAGGCTGGAGGTGGGATAATTGCTTGGGGGTGGGCAGGGGAATGGGAGGTAGAAGTTACAGTGAGCTGAGATTGCACCACTGCACTCCAGCCTGGGTGACAGAGCAAGATTATCTCAAAAAATTTAAATTTTTTTTTTAAAAAACTAACATCATTGGCCGGGCACGGTGGCTCACACCTGTAATTCCAGCACTTTGGGAGGCCGAGGTGGATGGATCACCTGAGGTCAGGAGTTCGAGACCAGCCTGACCATGGTGAAACCCTGTCTCTACTAAAAATACAAAATTAGCTGGGAGTGGTGGTGCATGCCTGTGATCCCAGCTACTTGGGAGGCTGAGGCAGGAGACTTGCTTGAACCCAGGAGGCAGAGGTTGTAGTGAGCCAAGATTGTGCCATTGCACTCCAGCCTGGGCAACAAAAGTGAAACTCCATCTCAAACAAAACAAAACAAAAAATCAAAAACTAACATCATTTCTAGGGGTTAAGGAGGAAGTGGAACAGGAGGGAAGTAGATGTGGCTATAAAAATGGGAGCATGTGATAATAAGAATGTTCTGTATCTTGACTATATCTATGTCAATATCCTGGTTGTGATATAGTGGTATAATTTTGCAGGATGTTACCACTGGGGGAAAGTGGGTACAGGGGATCTCTGTTTTGTTCCTTACAACTACATGTGCATCTACAATTATCTTAAAGTAACAAGTTTAATAAAAACAGAGAAAATTAAAGTGAAAGAGGACAGCAGGAGAGTGGGTGGGTGAGATGCAGCAATGCAAGAAGAGGCAGGAGAGATCTTAAGCACAACTAGGACTCAACCCACCATTGCTGCTTTGAAAGTGGAGGAGGGGGCCACAAGCCAAGGAGTGTAGGTGGCCTCGAGAAAGTGGGAACACCTCTCAGCTGACAGCCAGCAAGAACATGGGACCTCAGTCCTACAACCACAAGGAATTGAATTCTGCTCACAACCTGAATGACCAAGGAAACTAATTCTCCCTAGGCTGGAGTACAGTGATGCAATCATAACCCAGGCTGGAATGCAGTGGTGTGATTACAGCTCACTGCAGCCTCAAACTCCTGGTCTCAAGCAATCCTCCCACCTCAGTTTCCTGAGTAGCTGGGACTACAGGCTTGCAACACTATCTCTGGCTGACGTCCTGATTTTAGCCCAGTGAGACCTGTACTGGACTTCTTACTGACAGAACTGTAAGATAATGCATCTGCATTGGTTTAAGCCACTAACTTTGTGGTAATTTGTTACAACAGTATTACGAAACTAATACAAGTTCTTCTTGCCTATTCAGATTCACACATACCAAAAACACAGAATGCATATAACCTAAATTCTGGCCACAACCTACTCGCCATCCATGAAAACCCTGCAAAATACAAACTCAGAAGCACTATATTGGGTGACTGGCTCTCAGCCCCTCAGAACCCAGCTGACAATGCAGGTTCTTCTTGATATTTTTATCATCCTGGTGATACTGTGTCTTACAGAAAGAATTTTTTTGGTCTCTATGGCATTATACCCAAATTTTCCTGTATTGGTCAACCTGATGCAGTTCATCAGCAATGTCTTTTTTTCTAAAAGTTCCTCACTCTACCTTCTGCCTTGTGAGCTGGTTTATTTATCAAGATTGATTTCAAATGTGTCAGTGGCTCAGTGAGGTTTTCCCAAGCAACCTAAGAAGAGTATTTTTTCTCTAATCCACATTTTCCACATTTTAATTATAACATTTATCACATTGTATTATAAAGTAATCACATGACTTATAACTCTTTGACTCAGAAGATTCTTCCACAGTGCCTTGCTGAATTCTGGACACCTAAGTAGGTGTCCAATAATTTATTGTTAAATTGACTGATGATTTGGTCCTCAGGAAACTTGGAGTTAAATAAATGCATGGGTTATGACAAAGCAGAAATCTAAATAACTCCCTTCCTTCCTTCCTTCCTTCCTTCCTTCCTTCCTTCCTTCCTTCCTTCCTTCCTTCCTTCCTTCCTCCTTCCCCCCTTCCTTCCTTCCTTCCTTCTGTTCATTCCAGGTCTTTAGATAATAACTCTTTCAACCAATTGCCTATCAGAAAATCTTGGAATCTGCCTATGACCTCCCAGTTTCCAGTTGTTCCACCTTTCTGGACCAAACCAATGTACATCTTACACGTATTGATTGATGTCTCATGTCTCCCTAAGATGTATAAACCAAGCTGCAGCCCAACCACCATGGGCATATGTTCTCAGGATCTCCCGGGGCTGTGTCATGGGCCATTGTTCACTCATATTTGGCTCAGTATAAATCTCTTCAAATGTTTTAGAATTTGACTCTTTTGGTTGACATGAAAAAGTTGAAAGCAGGAAATAAACAATAAGAACCATTAAGCTAATTTCTAATCTTATCTGATAATTTTTTTTAAATATTTTTTGTATCTTGTTGAAACCATTAAAAAGATATTTTGGATTACCTTAGAATAGCAATATTGGCATTCTTACTCTTCTTACATTCTTAAAAATGAACAAAATATAGAAAATTAAATTAAAAACACTTTTTTTTGAGATGGAGTCTCTATCTGTCACCCAGGCTAGGGTGTGGCATGATCTCAGCTCACTGTAACCTCCGCCTCCTGGGTTCAAGCGACTCTCCTGCCTCAGCCTCCCGAGTAGCTGGGATTACAAGCATGTGCCCCCATGCCTGGCTAATTTTTGTATTTTTAGTAGAGATGGGTTTCATATGTTGGCCAGGCTGGTCTTGAACTCCTGACCTCAGCGGATCTGCCTGCCTCAGTTTCCCAAAGTGCTAGGATTACAGGCGTGAGCCATTGTGCCCGGCCTGAAAGATACATAGTTTCTTTTTTTTCTTCTTCTTCTTTTTTTTTGAGACAGAGTTTTGCTCTTGTCACCCAGTCTGGAGTGCAATGGCACAATCTTGGCTCGCTGCAACCTCTGCCTCCTGGGTTCAAGTGATTCTCCTGCCTCAGCCTCCTGAATAGCTGGGATTACAGGCACCTGCCACCATGCCTGGGTAATTTTTGTGTTTTTAGTAGAGATGAGGTTGCACCATGTTGGCCAGGCTGGTCTCGAACTCCTGACCTCAGGTGATCTGCCTGCCTTGGCCTTCTAAAGTGCTGGGATTACAGGTGTGAGCCACCGTGCTCGACTTGAAAGGTAAGTAATTTCTTTTGAAAGGAACTGGCACAATCCTGATACAGAGGTATTATGAGAGAAAAAAAAAAAAAGAGGGGAAAGAGCGGTGAAGAGCAGAAAGACTCCTCAATAGATTTACACTCAGGGAAAAAACAAAACAAAACAAAAAATCTTTTATTTGGATACTTAAATATTTCACCATGATTTAAAACATTTGGTGAAGCAGTTATTTTATGAAGGAAGACTACAAATGCAAGGACTCAGGGAAGAATGATGAAACAACAAGAGGAGATAAAAGTTACACTGGCAGAAATCAGGAAAGAAGTAAAAGTAAAAATCATCACAGATATGAAAATGAAAGTGAACGCAGGAGGAGAATAGAGTGAAAAACACAGTAAGGAACAGAAAGGAAATAATGAGTAAAGCAAACAAAATGAAATGAAAACAAAGAATTTAAAAGACAGAAAAAAAGATAAGAAAACAGACAAAGGATGTGAGTCGACATATGTAGAATAGGAATACCTGAAGAAAAAAAACAAGACATTAGAAATATTTTTAAAAATTTCAAATACACTTTCCTAAAATACTAAAGCATTTGAACATTTATATGTGTGTGTACACACATACACATAAATAGATAGATAGATAGGTAGATAGATATGATATTTTACACCAGGGAAAACTGACTGAAAATAATCAACATTGAGTCATTCTCTAGTAAGTATTGGATTTTAAAAGAGTGAAGACTTTGGTCAGTTAGACAAAATCATCAGGTCAGTTGTCTTAAAAAGAGATCAGGCTAGTTTCAGGTTTCTCCAGAGTGACATTCAACATGAGAGAACGATGCAACATCTGTCAGATCCTCAAGGAAGGAATGTTGTGTCAAGGTTTCACGTTCAGCGAATCTGTATTTCACCCATAAAAGTTTCAGACAAATAATTTTGAACATCTAATAACCAAGGAAATCTTTTTCCCATAAGCAGTTCTTGAGGAAATTATTAAGACTACAGGATGACTCAGCCAGCCAATAGCTGACTGGGAAAAGCATAGTAAAAGAGCAATCTTTTGAAAATTGAATCTATTTAACAGTACACCAAAGCCTAAAGCAAATGTGAGATGTAGGGTAAAGAATAATATGTATGTACATGTTATATGCAAAAATAATACAAAGGGCAAATTTTGGGAGAGGAAGGAGAAAAACGTGAAAGATGTGTGGGAAGCACTGAAGATCAGTTAGTCATTGATTCTTTTTTTTTCTTTTCTTTTTTTTTTTTTTGAGACGGAGTCTCACTGTGTCGCCCTGGCTGGAGTGCAGTAGCACGATCTCCGCTCACTGCAACCTCCACCTCCCGGGTTCAAGTGATTCTCATGCTTTAGCCTCCCGAGTAGCTGGGATTACAGGCTCCCACCACCTCACTCGGCTAATTTTTATACTTTTAGTAGAGACGGGATTTCACCATGTTGGCTGGGATGGTCTCAAACTCCTGACCTCAAGTGATCCGCCCGCCTCAGCCTCCCAAAGTGCTGGGATTACAGGCTTGAACCACCACGCCCGGCAGTTAGTCATAGATTCTATCACTAGATATTTTTTAAACTGCAGAAACGATTCTTTATCCTTCAGTGTTATTTATTTAGACATGTTTGCTTCATGTAGTGTTTAAGTGCATGTGTGGGTTTTTTTTCCCCGAACCATTTCAAAGTAATTTATAGACATCATGGCACTTCCTCTGCATCCCTGTATGAGCACACTTAAGCATATGTCTTCTAAAGTGAAGGGTACAATGCACACTAACATTACCTACAATACCATTATCGCACCTAAGGCAATAACAATTCCATAATATTACCTACAATCCAGCCCATATTCATATTTCTTCAATTGCCCCCCATTTTTTTTTCTAGATGGGATTTCACCATGTTGGGCAGGCTGGTCTTGAACTCCTAGCCTCAAGTGATCCACCTGCCCTGACCACTCAAAATGCTGGGATTGCGGGCGTGAGCCACTGTGTCCAGCCCAAATTGTCTTTTATAGCTTTTTTTTTTTTCCAAACTAGGATCCAAGCAAGGTTCATATATTGCATTGAGTTATACATCTCCAACTTTTTTTAATCTAGAAGAATAGAAGAATCTTCCAACCTTTTTAGAAAAATGACATTAACTTTTTTGAAGAGACTGGGTCAGTTGTCTTGTAGAAGACCCTGCATTCTCTTCTGACTGATTGATTTCTTGTGGTGTTATTTCTCTCTCCAGTGAATTTTCTGTAACCTGGCATTAGGTCTATGGCTCAATTAGATTCAGACTACACATTTTTTTATAAGAATACTTTGTAAGTGGTTTTCATGTTGCATCCTACCAGGTGGCACATGATGTCTGGTTGCCATTGTTAGTGATACTCAATTTGATTTCCTTGGCAAGGTGGTGACAGCCATAGCTCTCCATTGTAAAGCCAGTGTTCTCCTTGGCGGTGAGCAAGTAATCTGAGAGGACACTTCTGAATGTGGGTGGGTCATCACCAACAGTTCCTCCCTTTCCTATCTGCATATGCTGGTCCTCCCATGAAGAAGTAGAATTTATTTTTCATGCCGTAAATCTTGACTGGTCTTCTAACTTGTTTATTTCTTGGTCTGGGCCTTAAGAGGCATTGAAGCTTCCGGGATTGGGAGTAAGCTGCCATGGAAAGAAACTCAGGCTGGACTACTGCATGATGAGAGATCACATCAAAGAGAACAGTCCAGCCAGCCCAACTTGAGACACCAGACATGTGATGGAGCCATCTTGGATTCCTCACCCCAGCCAACACCATGTGGAGCAGAGGCAAACCCTCTCCATGGAGTTCTGCCTGAATTGCAGACTTGTGAATAATAATAAATGGCCATTTTAAGCCGTTAAGATTTTGAGTGGTTTATTATACACTCATAGGCCATGTAAATATCATCTCACTCAATAATTTTAACATCCATCAATGATCTTTGCCTGAATCATTTCATCGGGCTTGGCAAAGGGTATTTTAAATTCTGCTGTTCCCTTCACATTTATTAGCTGGCATTCTTCTGGAGAGAAAGAGAGAGAGAGAGAGCTTTCCCTCATCATCTAGGTATCAACTGCTATTCCTCTTAAAGAGGAAGAGCAAATGTTCAATGTCTCCCATAATTCCTAGCTTTCAGACTAAGAAGTTGTGTGATATTCACCACCAGTGGTGGCAAATGAGGCTCTCCCCCTCCACTTTTTCCCCTAGTCTTTAGCTGTTCCTCTTCAATGGCTGTGCGGTGCGCTTTGCACATCTGTCCTTGATCTCAAAGTGTTGCACTATAATCATTGATTCACTTGACTGTCCTTTTAACTGGACTGTAAGTTTCTTGAGGGCAGGGACATTATAGGCTCAAGGCCAGTATATATAAAGTTCTGACATCTGGATAGATGGTACTAGATTTCTACCATACTTCTTTTAGTTTTATTTTGGACATACATTTTACATAGCTTAGATAATACTTACAATTTTTTAAATCCTGCAATTATTTTTTTAGAGGTGATCTTGATACTTTAGTTTTTATTTTATTTTACTTTATTTCATCTTTATTTTTTGAGACAGAGCCTCACCCTGTCACCCAGGCTAGAGTGCAATGGCACCATCTCAGCTCACTGCAGCCTCCGCCTCCTGGGTTCTAGCTATTCTCCTGCCTCAGCCTCCTGAGTAGCTGGGATTACAGGTGCCTGCCACCACACCTGGCCAATTTTTTTGTATCTTTAGTAGAGATGGGGTTTCACCATGTTGGCCAGGCTGATCTCGAACTCCTGACCTCGTGATCTGCCCGCCTCGGCCTCCCAAAGTGTTAGGATTACAGGCGTGAGCCACGTGCCTGGCCCATTTGATTTTTTAATCAAAAGAATAGCTGTGTGTGGACAAAAAAATAACAGTACAGTGGGCTAAGATCTAACTTCACAGTTCCCTACCCTCAAACCCTCCTCAGCCCTGATTCCACTCCCCAGGGGCAATGACTTCCAGTCTTTTTTTAGGTTTGATTCCTGTGGATGATTTTATTTTCCAAAAGTGGCCACAACAACATCTGCCAACTCAACCGCTCCTCTTACAATGTCACCTTGACATTCCTTCCAGGGATGGGGGAATCCATGTCCCCTCCCCTCAAAATTGGGTTGGCTTCTGTGAATATTGTGATCCATGGAATATGGCAGGAGAGACACTATGTGACTTCAGAGGCTAGATTGCTAAAGGTGGTACAGCTTCCATTTTGGTCCCTGGAATACTTGCTCCTGAAGTTGCAGTCATCAGTCACCATGTCAGCAGTCAGACTGCCCCGTGGCAGCCATGCTGTGTGGAAGCCCAAACATCCTACGCAGAGCAGCCACTTGGAGCAACCCCAGGTCTCCATGAAGAGGGCTATCCAGCCAGCGCCCAGTTGCATCAGCTGTCCAGCAGCTGTGGGACTGCACCTGTGCAGAGCTCTCCTAGCCAGAAGCACCTGGCCAAGCCCTTCCTGAATTCCTGACCCACAGGAACCAAGAGAAAATAATTGAAACCATGAAGTTTGGGGATGACTTCTAAAGCAGCAATTCCAAACAAATAATTTTTCTGAGTTACCTCCCTGTCTGCTTATCGTACTACATCTCAATTTACTGACCTTATACATGATTGCTTCCTACTTTGAGAGATGAGACTTTAGCTCACTTGCATTAACCCCTCACTTGTCCCTTCCAATTTTTTAATGGTTTAGAATTTTATCACCTACCTTTGAAACTGTTTTTAAACCTCCATTTCTTGCTCCACCAACTTTTGGAATCTCATATTACTATCCATTTGTAAGATTAAGTTTATATAATGTCTATTCTTTCTTCTACATCTATTTCAATTCTCAACTTACCTTAGATATATCTTCATTATTTTCTTAATTGTGAAATACCAGGCCAGTGGAAGAACATGTAAAGTATGTATTCACTGTTATTCTCTAAAATTCATTTATTTTCTATACTGTCCATCCTGCAGAGTTAAACGGGGCCCTGGTAGGTAAGACCATACCTACACTTCTCATATTCGGGATGGTGGCAGTATTTCTGTGATTTCCTCTAGTGTTGTAACAATTGTTTATTATTTACTGTTTCTGTAAGAGGGGAAAGTTCCAGGGGGTTCTCCTAGACCCTTCTTTTTACATTAACCTTCACCCCACATGTCAGAGAACTGCTCTGGTGACTGATCATTCCCGGAGATATTCATTCAGCTTAACCAATGCACACTTTGGTTAAAACTCCACCTCATTTATCACTAAACCCCCATAAGTACCCTCTTGACCAGTGGACCATGTGACTTTCTGATTCTCCAGTTAAGATTATTAGCTCAGAGCCAGTGTCCCACAGTCCTCTAAAGTCTTCATATTTCTGTTTCACTATTTCCTAGCAGCTTTGGTAAGTAGCCTCCCATCCCTTCGGGGAAGGCCGAAAGGAAGGTACTTGTGGTATTATTGCAGGATCCTTCCTCAACAATACCAAGCTTATGCTTGTTTCAAGTGGTACAAAATCAATGCTGTGCTTCATGCTTTGCCTATTATCATGATGGTTCTGGTCAGGTATCCACCAGACTTGGGTTTTGGTTAGGCTAATGAAGTAGCCCCTTAGTGAGCTGAACAGGCATTTGTTTTTGTTGCAGGGATCCCATCGCTCATGAATTGTTGCTTAAGACTCTGTGGGAAAGACCTTTCTGATGATCACACTAGCCTGACATGGTACCAAAGTCCATTTGGCTTGTGCTAGCCCCGGTGCCACTGCTGGGCTTCTGCAACCCAAGTGGATTGCTTTCTGGCCCCAGTGCAATCAGATGACAAGAAAAGCACATTAGAAAGCATTTCTTCAGCTGGGCGCGGTGGCTCACGCCTGTGATCCCAGCACTTTGGGAGGCCGAGGCAGGTGGATCACTTGCAGCCTGGCCAACATGGTGAAACCCTGTCTCAACTAAAAATACCAAAAAATTAGCTGGGTGTGGTGGCGGGTGCCTGTAATCCCAGCTACTCGGGAGGCTGAGGCAGGAGACTCGCTTGAACCCTGGAGGTGGAGGTTGCAGTTAGCTGAGATGGCACCACTGCACTCCAGCCTGGGTGACAAGAGCGAGACTTCACCTCAAAAAATAAAATAAAATAAAAAGTAAGAAAGCATTCTTTCCACCTACCAAAGCTTGGATTAAGGAACCAGATTCTAGTTCTCTAGGAACACTGTGGCTTTGTGGATAGGTCTTATGTGGTAAATCCACTAAAGCTTTATTTTCTAAAGTTGTTAGCTTTTTTTCTTTTACATTATATGTTACTGGAGTTCAGAGAGGGTCCACTGTCAAGTTCAGTTTCTTCAAGCAGTCAGGCAAACAATGAAAGTCACTCTCAGTGGCTCAAACCAAAAACTGAATATAGAATTTCTGTTGACTGAACCCATAGTGATAAATCCAATCATATCTGAAACTTGATTCCTCTGCTTTTTGATCATCAGCATAACCCACTGTCACATATGTTCCAGATAGTTGCTGATATTCAGAATCCTCCAAATTTTCACAAATATACACATTCTAATACTACAGGGCCTGCTGTTTTCCTACTAAATTTTCTTCCTTTCACATACAAAATGTGGTGAATCTGTGAATTCAACTGATTGCCAGCAACCTGCAAGATCAAATACTGAGTTTGGCTTTTGATTACTTAGGCACTGGCTGTAAGAAATTATTTTAGGACAGTCATAGAAGATCCCTGGTTTTCCTTCTCTGCCCTGACCAGCCGTTTGAAGTTCTCATGCTCTGTATTTTGTTCTACAGCAGCTGCCAAGTGGCTCTCCAATGTCTTGTCCTCACTGGGCACTTCATTCCGTGTGACCATAGGTAATAATATAGTCAGCTATCTCACTAGGAGCTACCAGAGTCCCATCCAGTTAGATGCTGGTGATGCTGCTATGATTCTATTTTAAATGTCCTGCCATCTCTGTTACTTGTTCAAGACTGAAGGACCTGAGTGGCAGCACCTGATATGCCAAGGTTACATAAAGGGCCCAGGTACTGGCTACCAAGTGATGAAGAAAAATAGGATCTCCCCACTTTGGTTCCTGTGTTGGGAGGCCGGAAGGCATTTGGATGAATAGTGCCTCTCCAGAGTACATCTGTTTGATGACTGTCTGACTGTCCTGGTCTTCTCTTTTTAATACATTTCCTGTTATTTCTTGAGTTCTAGAGGGAGAGGAGTCCTAATTCCTGTGATTTGCTGTCAACCAAATTCTTCCTTAAAATTCCCTTTTTTTTTGAGATGGAGTCTCGCCCTGTCACCCAGGCTGTAGTGCAATGGCATGATCTCAGCTCACTGCAACCTCTGCCTCCCAGGTACAAATGATTCTGCCTCAGCCTCCTGAGTAGCTGGGATTACAGGCGCCAGCCACCACACCAAGCTATTTTTTTTTGTATTTTTATTAGAGACAGGGTTTCAACATGTTGGCCAGGTTGGTCTTGAACCCCTGACCTCAGGTGATCCGCCTGCCTCGGCCTCCCAAAGTGCTGGGATTACAGGCCTGAGCCACTGCGCCCAGCCCCTTAAAACTTCATTTTGAGAAATTAAAAATAAAGATAAAATATAAAGAAAAGAATAAAAGTGTCCATATTTCTATTCACCAGAATTTAGTCACTTAATTTCTTGAGGTATTTTCAGTCCTAATTTTCTTTTTAGAAGAACACTGGGGGGTGGGGGGCAGAAATTATACATGCTGATTGTTCAAATTTAGGAAGAATACAAAGTAAGTTTCACTCACTCAACAAACACTTGTTGAACACCCATCAGGCACCAGCACTCTTCTAGACACTGGAGATACAGCAGAGGACAAAACAGACAAGAAACTCTGATTTCATAGCATACCTGTTAGTGGGAGAAATCACGTAAGGAAAATAGTAAATTATATCGTATGTTAGATGACAAGCACTATGGGGAAAAATACAGCCAGGGATGGGGATAAGGAGCATCAGGAGGGTTTGTCATTTTCAGTAGGATGGCCAAGGAAGGTTTCACTGAAAAAGAGACATCGGAATAGACCTGAAGGGGATACAAGAAGTAAAGTAAGTTAAAAAAAAAAAAAATCAATCTAATAACATCATGAGCATTATGTGGAAGTCATTCCAGATGTCTGTGTGAACATGCAGATTTCTGGATGAATGATTATGGATGGATGGACAGAAAAATCTACTTAGGAGACACTATCATAAAAACAAACTAGAAAAGATTTTTAAGAATCAGTAAATTATTTAGTGCCTATTTCTGGATATCTATGTATCTGGATATAAATGCACAGCGTAAAGCATATGAGTTTTCACACACACACACACACACACACACACACACACACACACACCCTTTGTATCAACCACCCAGATCCAGATTTGGAATTGCATTAAATCTATAAATTGATTTGGTTAAATTGACTTTGTTTTTTTAAGTCATCTATCTCATAAACAGGGTCGATCCCTCCTCTTATTTAGGTCTTCCTTAGTGTCTTTTGGTAACGTTCCATGGTTTTCTACAAGTCAGTCTCACCAATCTTTGAGCAGATTTATTTTGAGGCATTTGATGCTCTCTGATACTATTGTAATTAGTATTTTCCTTTTTTTTTTTTTTTTTTTGAGACAGGGTCTCGTTCCCTCACCCAGGCTGGAGTGCAGTGGTGTGGTAATAGCTCACTGCAGCCTCGAACTCCTGGGCTCAAGTGATCCTCCCACTTCAATTCCCCAATAGTTGGGACTATAGGCACACACCACTCTCATAATTTCAATTTCTAATTGTTGCTAAGATAATTTTGACTTTGTATCCTGCAACCTTGTTAAATTCACATTATTTCTACGTTTATATCAATTTTCTACAATCATGTCATCTGTGAATGACAATTTTATTTCTTATCTGTAAGCCTTTCATTTCTTTTGCTTGCACTGGCTAGAATCTGTACAAAGTTGAGAAAAAGTGGTGATAGTGGGCACCTTTGCCTTTTTCCTGATCTCTGGAGGAATACGCTTTTCAAAAATTCACAATTAAATATGTTGGCTCTAGGTTTTTTTTGTAGAACTTCTTCTATTAAGAAGTTCCCTTCTATTCCTAGTTTGTGCAGTTAAAAAAAAAGCAAGTGCTGAATTGTATTGCTTTTTATGCATCTATAAAGAACTTGTCTCCTTTATTTCCATAAATGCAGTAAATAGTATTAATCTTCCTATTTTAAGTTACAGGCAGTCCTTGATTTTTTACGGCTAACTGAACTCTTGCTGGTTTCTATGGTATAAATATTCCCATCAGAGCAGACTTTAAATTACTAGTATGAGGTCACTGAACTCGCAGCTGGGAAAGATGTACTATCGGTTTTGGTGGGCCAGGGTGAGCTAGTTTGAATACATTTTTGATTGTGTAGTTCTCAATCACCGAGACAGAAATTTATCATAACTTCACTAGACCAGTAAGAACAAAGCCACTTTATAAACTTACCTATTTTATAAGTCTCTCACATAATCCATGAGGTAGATCAAAATAAAAATATAACTCCCTTTTTTTTTCCCCAAGTCTTTACTAAGTACCTAAAAGCACTCAACACTATATTAATTGCTGGGGAAAATGTAACTCTCAGAACTTACAATCTAAATGATCTAAACATGATCAATAGAACATGCTCCAGAGAAAAATCTTAACACAGCAGCAGCAGCAATTTAACTGCTAAAGAAACCCAAAAGTAGGGTGGGGGTAGTTTGGGTGGTCTTCCTGCAAGAGGTTACATGGTTCATCATCATTAGGTTTTAATGGAAATACGTGATGTGGACTAGCAAAAAAAAGAAAGATACCATATTAAAATAAGAGGAGGATACAAATGAAGGGATGAAAGTAGGAAAGAAAAGGGCACCTGTGAAAACTCACAAACTTAAAATAACATTAGTGTCAACAATGGGCACTGTGTTGCTTCACTTGCAACATACAGCACCATCAGGTAGGTATGCCTCTTTATCAACTCTGAAAGTGGCTAAATGGTGCTTCTGTGGCACTAATCAAGTACACTCATTCTGTTTTTCTGCATGTAGTTGACAGTGGACTCAGAAGTCAATTCTCTATTGACATGTTTTATAATTATAGAGTCCTTATAGATTTCTCAGGGTGAGACAAAATGCTTTCAAATATCCAGGGTGTAAGTCATAGAGATGCTTAACAACTATGATCTACTTGCTGGCTCAGAAAATGTCTACCTAAACTTTATAATTACTGGTCAAGAGCCAGAGAAATAGAACATGCCCATTCGGATTCCTTTGAGTATCTGTCCATAAAGAACACACAGCAGTACTGTATAATTCTGAGGCTGATAAACAGGTAAGATGTATAAATTATCTTATCCACAAAGAATTCAGTGTTAGTTTACTAAGTTAGTTCTCAATCCTCACATAAAAGTCATTGAAAAACAGAATTTTCATATATACATTAATAATTTTAATGATTTCTTTGTATCTAACCAATTTAGGTAATATTTTCTTTTACACAGAAGGTCCCAAAATAAAGAATAATACACAGAATACAGTCAATAGGTTATATCAATTTACTTCACATAAGAGCATAATTCAGGCCTTTTCCATTTAATAACAAAAACAATCTGTACAGAAAACCCAAAGGCAACCACATAGCATATGTAAAATGTGCAAATACACTTTAAAATGCAAGTTATTCTATAGCATTTGCAAGATAGAATTTCACTGTAATTAGGGAATCTAGTTCATCCTAACTTAATAGTCTTTTGCATGTATAGACAATGCAATTCTACAAGGCACAACTCAGCGTTGATGCTAAAGTATGAAACACATCCTCAGATTATTTATTTGAAAATATTAAAATAGCATCGTTTATTATTTTTTAATGAGTCATGAGCTCATTTCTAAAGCTTCATAAAGCATTACACTGATAACATATGTGTGGTCAGGACAAACTGTTCCCTGAACTTAAAAGGTGAAGGACAAGACCCCATATTATTATCCTGTATTAAAAAAGGAAATATACATATATGTACACAGACACCCCATATCACAGACAAGAAACTTCCCATAATTCAAAGGGAGACCATTTCCTTATTAGCAAAGGTGCGCATTACAGTATTTCATGACAGTTAAAAATTACACACCTACCACCTGTTTTGGTCAATCTTGCTAAAAAAGACACTGAAATAGACAATTTTCTTCTTTAAGGTAAAGACAATGTCTAATTTAGAAAATCTTCCTCTTGAGATTGCACAGTGAAAGGTATCAGTTAATTAAATATAAAAGCTTACCGTTTTTGTTTTTTTTTGAGACAGAGTTTTATTCAGTCGCCCAGGCTGGAGTGCAATGGCGCTATCTCGGCGCCCAGGCTGGAATGCAGTAGCGCGATCTCAGCTCACTGCAACCTCTGCCTCCCAGGTTCAAGTGATTCTCCCGCCTCAGCCTCCTGAGTAGCTGGGATTACAGACACTCGCCATCATGCCCAGCTAATTTTTGTATTTTTAGTAGAGACGGCATTTCACCATGTTGGCCAGACTGGTCTTGAACTCCTGACCTCAGGTGATCCACCCATCGTAGCCTCCCAAAGTGCTGGGATTACAGGCATAAGCCACCATGCCCAGCCAAAGCTTACGCTTTTAAAGAAATTATTTAAATCTACACAGAAAAAAATATCAACTTATTAAAAACTATTAAGAGCACTGTCTATAATTCAAAATCTTTCAAACCCAATCACAAAGCTCTTTGCTGTTTTATTGCCCATCCCTGAGTAAAGATTCTATCATTTGTAATTTTTTAATAACGTAAATTTTACATTGATAAGAATGATGTTTAACAATTTTTTTGAAAATATAAAATAAACCCTATATCATTTTAGTAAAAAAAAAAGAAAATATAAATGCTCTTTGCAAAGACCACCATTCATAAAAATTGTAAATATTTGTATGTCAATTTCTGACATCCTTTTTACTGGGTAATTTCTGTTTTTATGCCGTTCATATATCGCTCATTTCCTCATAACCTGTTATTTTGTACCTTTTGTTAATAGGAGTATTTAATAAGTAATGGAGGAAAAGTACAATATAAAACCTAATGGAACTCTGAAGTGAGATGTGTATTTCCCTGTGGTAAAAGAGTTTTACTGGAAACAATTAATGCGATCCAAATAGACAAAAATATCTATGAAAGAAAGAATACATATGGTAAGCATCTTCCTTGTCTTTGGCTTAGCCTTCTTGACCAAAATCTTCTGTAAACTTCTTTAATTTCAACAAGTCATGTTCATTGACTGTAGGTTTTGTGTTAGATAGTGACCGCAACATATCCGACTGTCAGGGAAAAAGAAGGGTAGGGAGGATATTAATAATAGAGTTAACAAAATAAAAAACCGTCATATTATCATTATTGCTATGAACTTTAACCTAAGTTTAAATATGAATATTTGCAGTCTGCCATAAGATACTAACGATAAACTCCCTATTCTTTTTTTTTTTTTTTGAGTTGGAGTCTCACTCTGTTGGCTCAGGCTGGAGCGCAGTGGCGTGATCTTGGCTCATTGCAACCTCTGCCTCCCAGGTTCAAGAGATTCTCCTGCCTCAGCCTCCCAAGTAGCTGGGATTACAGGCACCTGAAACCACACCTGGCTAATTTTTGTATTTTTAGTAGAGATGGGGTTTCGTTTTGTTGGTCAGGCTGGTCTCGAACCCCTGACCTCAGGTGATCCGCCTGCCTCTGCCTTGCGAAGTGCTGGGATTACAGGCGTGGGCCCCTGCACCCGGCCCCTATTCTTTCACAGATCTTTCATGATCTTTGATCATGTTATTCCTTTGTGTAGAAACGTATACTTTCTTCCCCTGAACTGATCAAATGGCTCCCCAATACTTATCAGAAGGACAATCCCCTTAGTCTGAGGATCAAGGCCTCCAAAGTATGTTCATGATCTAATTTCTGGCCTTATCTCTTTTTCTTAAACGAGATCAATTTTCCAAGTCAGTATAATTCAAAAGGAAAATATCATTCACTTACACTTAAGTGAAGCAGAATACCATTCTATGAAAAATCTACTAACCAGAATTTTAAAATAATTAGTTACAATTAAGATCGAAATGGTTAGAAAAATATGCTAATATCAGAGATTCATTAAAAAACTAACTTCTAAGCCTAGACTCCTGTAAAAGGATATGAAAAATAATGAAAAGGACCACTCTAAGTTACTAAAAATTCTTCAAAGCTGAACAAAGTACAAAAAATAAAAAATAATACACCAAGGATTAAAACAAAGGGGTTTCTGAGTAACTTCTCAGATAAGCATTATGGTTAGTTCACACACAAATATATGGGTGTATACACATTTACATGTATATCTATGTACCGTGTAAAAGTTTCTCCTCTGGAAGTTACTATTAAACCTGCCATTAAAGGTCTTTGAAGATCTGAAACTGACAGAAAATTTTGAAAACTGAGAATGTTCTTCTGTAAGTAAACAACTTTTCAATCACCCTAAGTTCCCTAAAAATAACATGCCTTGCAAAGTAAGTCTTGTAGATTATTTTAATTCTTCCAATATAAACTATATTAACTGTAATTTTTAAAAATAAAAATAGAACTACAATATTTAAACTTTCTATGGAGCTTTGAGAAGTGAAATAGAAAACACTATAAAAACAATGATACAAGCATTAGTATTTCTGGTTTTTGTTTTTGTTGTTGTTGTTTTTTGAGACAGAGTCTCGCTCTGTTGCCCAGGCTGGAGTGCAGTGGTATGATCTCGGCTCACTGCAACCTCCGCCTCCTGGGTTCAAGCTATTCTCCTGCCTCAGCCTCCCAAGTAGCTGGGACTACACGCACGTGCCACCACGTCTGGCTAACTTTTTGTATTTTTAGTAGAGATGGGGTTTCACCGTGTTGGCCAGGATGGTCTCGATCTCCTGACCTCATGATCCACCCGCCTCGGCCTCCCAAAGTGTTGGGATTACAGGCATGAGCCACCGTACCTGGCCCTATTTTTTGTTTTTTTTTTGGAGACAGAGTCTCGCTCTGTTGCCCAGGCTGGGGTGCGGTTGTGCAATCTCGGCTCACTGCAACCTCTGCCTCCCTGGTTCACGTGATTCTCCTGCCTCAGCTGAGTAGCTGGATTGCAGGTGTGCACCACACTGCCTGGCTAATTTTTGTATTTTTAGGAGAGATGGCATTTCACCATGTTGGCCAGGCCAGTTTCAAACTCCTGGCCTCAAGTGGTCTGCCCGCCTTGGCCTCCCAAAGTGCTGGGATTACAGGTGACTTCTGGTTATTTTAAAAAATCTGAGATGCAGGGGAAAAAAAATATTTCACCAACCCTATTTTTTAGTTAGGTCTTTACAATAATTATACTATATATGAGCATTTTGGAGATATTCTAGCTATAAGACCTGTAAAGTCAGAATCTTGTGCTTTAAAAAATAGCTTTTTCACTTAAAGGTTCCTCTAAACCCAAGAAAATAGTTTAAAAATAATGACTTTTTATATTTTAAGTTCAATTAACTTCATAATTTTTAATGAGTCAACAATATTAAGTAAAATACACCTGTTTATACTAAGATTTTCCAGCAAATCTTATATAACTGAAAATTATGAAGTATAATGTTTTAAAATATTTTCTTAAAAACAAACAAAATTTCAAACCATGGAAACAACTGGCTCCAAAAGTTTATCTCCAGGGACATCCATCCATGTCATTTCAATGGCACCAGGGTCACCTGGAGAGCAAGGTGTTAGCAGATCATCTACAAGATGGTTAGGATCAGCTCGGGAAGGTCCGCGAACCTGAAATAAACAGTAATCTGAAATATGTATTTGAAACAAAATTGAACATTAAGACTTAATCCATTACCAGGAAAGTTAAAATGTATAATAGTTTTGTATGTTTTATTAGAATGTTTACTTTTGGAAAAAAAATTAAGAATATACAACAAAAAGTAGTTATCCCCTGGGTAATGGGATAGATTTTGGTTGCTTTTAGTTTTTTTTTTGAAAGGGCGTCTTGCTCTGTCACCAGGCTGGAGTGAAGTGGCACGATGTCAGCTCACTGCAACCTCCACCTCCTGGGTTCAAGGGATTCTCATCCCTCAGCCTCCCGAGTAGCTAGGATTACAGGCATGTGCCACCACACCCAGCTAATTTTTTTTTATTTTTAGGAGAGACGGGGTTTCACCATGTTGGCCAAGATGGTCTTGATCTCCTGACCTTGTGATCCGCCAGCCTCGGCCTCCCAAAGTGCTGGGATTACAGGTGTGAGCGACTGCACCCAGCTGCTTTTAGTTTTTTTCTTGATGCTTTCTATATTTTGAAATTTCCTACAATAAATTGCTTGTATGATCACACATAGAAGATGAGTTAAAAAAAAAATAGTTACCTGTGGCTTTCTCTTTTTCCCCTCTAGTGCTTAATAAGTGGTAGTAATCTTAAAGACCAAAAACAGATATATTAAAAAATTCTCAGAAGTTGCTCTATAGCTGAGAAACTTCTGTAATATTTGGAACTTTAGTATGAAACTACTGAATCTCTTTCAACAAAAATGCTCTCAAATCTAAGTGCAAAATTGTATGCTAAATGCAGTATCAATGCCATTTTATCATGTACAACTTATTTATAAGTTTTAACAATATCCAGAAAAAGAATCTTTGTGACATAGTCACATGTAAACATTTAGATGGCAATAGTCTGCATCAACTTGGAGGCACTTCTTTTTTTTTTTTTTTGAGACGG
Source organism: Homo sapiens (assembly GCF_000001405.40). Lineage (NCBI taxonomy): Eukaryota > Metazoa > Chordata > Mammalia > Primates > Hominidae > Homo > Homo sapiens. The sequence continues at coordinate 63,394,492 of NC_000018.10, forward strand.
AGTCTCGCTTTGTAGCCCAGGCTGGAGGGCAGTGGTGCGATGTCAGCTCACTGCAACTTCCACCTCCAGGGTTCAAGCAATTCTCCTGCCTCAGCCTCCCGAGTAGCTGGGATTATAGGCGCCCGCCCTGACGCCGAGCTAATTTTTGTATTTTTAGTAGAGATGGGGTTTTATCATGATGGCCAGGCTGGTCTCGAACCCCTGACCTTGTGATCCGCCCACCTTGGCCTCCCAAAGTGCTGGGATTACAGGCGTGAGCCACCGCGCCCAGCCAACTTGGGGGCACTTTCACATCTGTTTCACAATAATCGACTTTAAATATTATCTCAGTATTAGTGTAGATGTGAAGAAATACATGCTCTCACCTTATTATGTGTATTTTACTGTCTTTACTCACTAATATTTTAGCTGCATGAGGTCAGGGATTTTTGTCTTTTTTGACTGCTCTACTTTCTGATCTACCACCGGTCCCAGATTAGTATTTTAGAAATAAAATACTAGTAAATGCAAAAAATAAACAGGGAATCTTCTTCTTGTTAACTGAAATAATCAGCTTTAAAAGAAGTAAAGGATGGAGCCGCTGAGAGGTCTGCTGCAGCTGGTGATCCCCAGCTGCAGAGATAAAACTCATCTGGCTGTGTCACCTTCATCCCACTAACAAGGACCTGGCTTCAGCGTCATGTGAGCTCACCCTGGCAGTAATATGCAGAATTGAGTGACAAACTCTCAGTAGGAAAGGACTGAGTTCCTATGCATTTATAGTTTCTAAATGGCAAAGAGAATTTAAGAAAAAACATAATGGCTGTGGCATAAACTTAACAGTACTTCAGTAATGAAATGGCTGAAGAAGGGTGGATGAGTAACATTCCCTACGCATCTGAAGTACCACGACTGGTGTTTTATGAGTATTATATCACTTCATTATTGGAAAGGACTTCAAAATAGCATTATCACATCCCCATTTTAGAAATGATAAAAATGAGCTTTAAAGAAGTAATAGAATTTGCTCAAAAAGGTATAACAAGTAAATGGTGCCAGGCTTCAAATTCAGATTTTAATTCAAGCTTGTTAACTTAAAAAAATCTTATTATGGTACATGATAAATATACGTATGTGACTTAGTCATATTAGTCTTGACATACATTATGAGATTAGGTTTGCTAATAGTTTTTCACATGTATGTTCATGAGTAATACTGGATACTGTTGTTCACAGCAAAAGGGTTGGTCCAGATTACCTAGTTCATTGTTACTCAAACTGGGTATCTCAAGACCACAGCCTTCTTATAAAACTTTATCTCAGCCACAGATGCTTAACTTGTTCTTGCAGACAAAACAGAACACAGGAGGGGCAGGATAGCAGAATGGCTGAGATTTCAGATTTGGAAACACACCTCACCTCCAGGCAAATCACATGTCTGTCCCACTCTAGCTACTGTGTTAGCACCTACGTCCAAGACTAACCACCATTAGGTGGCTGGCTACATGTACCTCTCTTGCTGATTTTTGTGAAGACCAAATGAAATAGTAAGATAAAAGACAGAACACAGTGCCAGGCATGTGAATATTTAAAAGATATTAGCTATTATTATTTTTACTTTATGAGGTATAAATGCACCAGATTCTACTCAAAAATATTCTAGATGTGTCAGAAGCAGCCTTACATCTGTACATTTAAGTTTCTATACTTATATCAAAATAATACACAAATACTTCAAAAATCATTTCATAGGAAAATTTAAAACACATTAGGATGATTAATAAGGCCTTTTCTTTTTTTAAGACAGGGTCTCACTGTGTCACCCAGGCTGGAGTACACTGGTGCAATCTCGGCTCACTGCAACCTCCACCTCCTGGGCTCAAGAGATTCTCCCACTTCAGCCTCCCAAGTAGCTGGGACTACAGGAGTGTGCCACCACATCCAGCTAATTTTTGTATTTTTTACAGAGATGGGGTTTTGCCATGTTGCCTGAGGCTGGTCTCTCCTGAGCTCAAGAGATCTGCCCACCTCGGCCTCCTAAAGTGCTGGGATTACAGGTATGGGGCACTGCACCCAGCCAAAAATGGCCAATAAATAAACTTTATTAAAGAACTTGTTTCAGTGACACAGAAATATGTCTATTATGTAAACCCACTTATGGTATTATTATACAACACTGAAATCCTCCCAAATTCTTTGAAGACAAACCAATGACGGTCTTGAAACTTGATTTTAAAAATACAGGAAAAGGGCCAGGCGCAGTGGCTCACGCCTTTGGGAGGCCGAGGTGGGTGGATCACCTGGAGTCAGGAGTTCGAGACCAGCCTGGCCAACATGGTGAAATCCTGTCTCTACTAAAAATACAAAAAATTAGCCAGGCGTGGTGGCACACGCCTGTAATTCCAGCTACTCAGGAGGCTAAGGCATGAGAATTGCTTGAACCCGGGAGGCGGAGGTTGCAGCAAGCCCAGATAGTGCCACTGCACTCCAGCCTGGGCAACAGAGTGAGACTGTCTCAAAAAAAAAAAAAAAAGATAGGAAAGGATAGATAAAAATGACTTACCTTTTTAAAATGAGTAGCTGACTGTACTTTCCTAACAGGCTGCATAAGGGCATCACGTACAATGATACTTATATCTGCCCCTGAATAACCATCTGTTTTCCTCCCAAGTTCCCGAAAGTCTGCTTCCGTGAGACTGTTCTGAGTGGTCCCTAGGTGCAGTTTAAACATTGCTGCTCGGGCATGGGGTTCCGGCAAGGGAATATAAATTCGTTTCTCAAATCTTAAAAGAGAAATTACATCAAGAATATATTTAATTGAAAATTAGGATATTTCCAAGAAGAAACAGATACTAAGTTAAGTGGGCCTGTATGTGCCAAGGTTAAACATATATATTTAGGTTAAAGGGATAATATCCAGAACACATTAAAAACAAACAAATAAAATCAAAATAGCCTGGGAGCCAGTTTGAAGTGGCTGAATCTTTCGTGCATTTTTGGGTTATTTTGGCCACAGTGTTCCTATGTCTGGAATTCATGAAATAAAAAGAGGTCCTACAGGGTTACAGTTTCCCACAAAATTGTACTCTGAACTCTTGATCAAGGGACTAATGATTAACAATATAAAACAGGAGTAGAGATGACACAGTAATTCTCTACATTCAAAACAGAATTACCTCACAATCTTATAGGATATATATTACACAAAATGTCCACTTTAATGAATACATCCAGAACAATCCTATATTATAAAGAATAAACACTATGTTTCATTAACAATAATTTTGCTTGCTTTCTTAGAATTTCGGTATTTGGAGACAGAGAAGCAACGATGAGGGATAATTTAAGTGGTCTGAGCAGACTGTTTTTTCTCCAGGTAACTCTCTGTGACAATGAAAAGAATTTAAAGTTTCCGTTGCCTCTAGAGATGGGTGCAGAATAAGGCAATTTTTCAAAAATACCCTGCACATTTCCTTTCTTGGTACTGGATGGTAAGCTAGAATGCTGGCGCAAATCATCAAGTGAATGGGATAAAAGTGGCAAAAACTGAAGTGCTAATTTTTACCATACAAAATAAATGAATGTAATACAGAACTGTGAAGAGTGAAAAGTGAAGAGTCCGTATACCTTTCCTAGAACTGAAGTTTCATTTTCAACTTAAAAATTAGATAGATAGATGTGTGTGTGTATACATATATACATATACACATATACATATATACACACACACACACATATATATATATATATATATTTTTTTTTGAGATGGAGTCTCACTCTGTTGCCCAAGCTGGAGTGCAGTGGCACAATCTTGGCTCACTGCAACCTCCGCCTCCTGGGCTCAAGCGATTCTCCCACCTCAGCTTCCCGAGTAGCTGGGACTACAGACAGGTGTGCGCCACCATGGCCAGGTAATTTTTTTGGATTTTAGTAGAGACAGGGTTTCACCACGTTGCCCAGGGTGGTTTTGAACTCCTGAGCTCAGGCAATCTGCCTACCTTGGTTTCCCAAAGTGCTGGGATTACAGGCATGAGCCACCACACCCGGCCTGACATATAGTTTTTACTAAAAAAAAAAAAAATCTTGGCTGGGCACGGTGGCTCACATCTGTAATTCCAGCACTCTCGGAGGCTGAGGCGGGTGGATCATGAGGTCAAGAGATCGAGACCATCCTGGCCACATGATGAAATCTCGTCTCTACTAAAAATATACAAATTAGCTGGGCGTGGTGGTGCATACCTGTAGTCCCAGCTACTTGGGAGGCTGAGGCAGGAGAATCACTTGAACCCGGGAGGTGGAGGATGCAGTGAGCCGAGATCGCACCACCGCACTCCAGCCTGGCAACAGAGTGAGACTCCGACTCAAAAAAAAAAAAAAAATCTTACCTGGTTATCTTATTTTGACTTATAGAATTGCCATTTTGCTAAAATTTTATATAAATGGTTTTTACTGAATTGTCAAACTATGTTTATAAATTTTTGAAGCATCAGTGCCCACCAAACTTAATCAGAATGAAAGGTAAGCATTAGGTAATATATTTTCTAATATGAAAGACAGAAGTGTGTGGAAATCTTGTATATTTGATAAACTAGGGAAACAAACAAGCAAATGACCACCCTTCTCCCACTCAAGGCAGGGGAGCAACAGGGTTAGAGCACATTACAAATCTTTTGAAAAGTTGTTAGAATGCTTCCTGACAAGACAAAAAGAGAATTATCATCTACTTGTTACATCTGCAGTGAGAAATAAGATATTTACTATATTATCCTACCTTCGCCTAATGGCAGAATCCAGAACCCAGGGTATATTTGTAGCTCCCAGAACCAAAATTCCATCATTGTCTACACCAACCCCTGCATTAAAATAGGTAATGCTTTAATTAATTTGTCATTTTGGTGTTCTTTAAACTTCTTCCATATATTCTGTTAAGAAATGTGGTGCTTTACCATTAAAGTGCTTCATCTTGAGAGTCTGTCTTTGGAAAAGAACTGTATTTAATCAAATATCACCTTACGGCAATATGATCCAAATACACTATGATGCAATATGATGCAAATATATGAATCAAATCTCCCAGATTGTGGAAAATACTATTAACATTCGTTTCAAAATATTTCTTGAAAAATTTCATTCGAAGTCTACATATTACTTTTACTGAAGTTGTTCCTGGTACATTATAAATGAATACATTAAATCTCTTTTCTATTTATGTCAGTGAGTCCTACAAGATAATTACAATTGAGTAAAAATTATGTATGCATATGGAAGACAATTGGAATGAAACATGGCAAAATGAAACAGTTTGTTAGAATGGAGAAATTCTGCTTGAATTTTTCATTACTGTTATAAAAATTGTTATAAAATAAACAAAAACGACTTTAAAAATCAGTAACATTAAATTAGCCGGGCATGGTGGTGCGCGCCTGTAATCCCAGCTACTCAGGAGGCTGAGGCATGAGAATTGCTTGAACCTGGGAGGTGGAGGTTGTAGTGAGCTGAGATCGCGCCACTGCACTCCAGCCTGGGCGACAGAGTGAGACTCCGTCTCAAAAAGAAAAAAAAAATTAGTAACACTACCTTGCATTTGCACTAGGAACTCCGTCTTAATTCTACGTGCGGCTTCACTTTCATTTTCACTTCTTGAACCACAGAGAGAATCAATTTCATCAATGAAGATAATGGAGGGCTTGTTCTCTCTGGCAAGTTGGAATAAATTCTTAACCAGTCTAAAAATAAATGAAAACTTTTAAGTCTCTAAAAAATAGTAAAAGATTAAAACAAAGTAATATATCAATATTACAAGAACTCTGTAGATTAAAAAGCCTAATCATGTTTCAGGTACAGAAAATAAGAATGCTACAACTGGATAATTCACTTTATGATTCACTAGGTTGTAGATATATGCTATCTTTTCCCACAAAAGAAATTCTAGATTAGAGACTGATTTGACAGAGAAGTGAGTACCTGTATTACATGACTTCTCTGAATATCTATAAGTGATGTAAGAAATCTATTAAGGAGTGATACAGTAATTACAGGCAAAGAAAAAACTTTAAAAAATTGATTTACTACTTACTTTTCACTTTCACCTAGCCACTTAGAAACAAGATCAGAGGAAGATATTGAAAAAAATGTTGAGTTGTTGGCTTCTGTTGCTACAGCTTTGGCTAAGTAGGACTTTCCTGTTCCAGGCGGCCCAAATAATAGGATTCCCCTCCAAGGTGTTCTCTTGCCTAAAATTTAGATTTAGAAAAATGTCATGAGAATTTTAACACTTAATTGTATCATCTATACTGAGGAATACTCTGGAAAGATTTTCACTCTAAACCTCTAAGGATCAAAACAATATTTTAAAAATAAATCAATCTAAGGTATGTCTTAAATATATTTTGTTTCTTCTAGAGACTACTTTATCAAAAAGAGACTTGCATAACATAAGCCTTCTAACAGGAAGTACATTTGTTTGCTCATTCATTCAACCAATATGTATCAAAACCGTAACATGTGCACAGGCAAAAGGATTTCTGCCCTGCGTGGAGTCTAGTAGGGGAAAAGAGTTCAGTTAAAAGGTACTTTCTGATCATCTACTGTGTACACTGCTTGATACCAGAATATTGTACAAAAATTATATCCATAAAAAATGGGCAGCTGGAAGAGATTTTCTTTGAATATTTATGCTCTTTGGAAAAGTGAACCTAACAAAGTTTGGATGACTTGTGAGTTTCTGCTGAATTCTTGATTCCACAGGAAAGCACAGGTTAGTGTTATAGGTAGCAGACTTTCTTTTATTTTATTTTTTTTGAGACAGAGTCTCACTCTTGTTGCCCAGGCTGGAGGGCAGTGGTGCGATCTCGGCTCACTGCAACCTCTGCCTCCTGGTTTCAAGCAATTCTCCCGCCTCAGCCTCCCAGGTAGCTGAGATTATAGGTGCCCGCCATTACGCCTGGCTAGTTTTTGTATTTTAGTAGAGACGGGGTTTTACCATGTTGGTCAGGCTGGTCTCGATCTTCTGACCTCAGGTGATCTGCCCACCTCAGCCTCCAGCTAGGTAGCAGACTTTCATGGTTGGGTAACAAAAAGGTGATACTACTTTAAATCCTAGTTTTGCCAAAATATAACCAGTGAATACATCAACTCTTCGAGCCTCAATTTTGCTAATGAGCAATTATAATCCTGCCTAAAATAAAACAGGTGGGTTACAGCTGGCAGTAAACTATCAAACATACATTTAAAAAACTATGGCTGGGCATGGTGGCTCATGTATGTAATCCCAGCACTTTGAGAGGCTGAGATGGGCGGATCACCTGAGGTCAGGAGCTCGGGACAACTGTGGCCAACATGGTGAAACCCTGACTCTAGTAAAAATACAAAAATTAGCTGGGTGTGGTGGCAGATGCCTGTAATCCCAAATACTCGGGAGGCTGAGGCAGGAGAATTGCTTGAACTCGGGAGGTGGAGGTTGCAGTGAAACGAGACCACGCCATTGCATTCCAGCCTGGGTGACAAGAGTGAAACTCTGTCTCAAAAAAAGAAACAAAACAAAACAAAACAAAAAAAACTGCTAGGTGCAAACTATGGATGTGTACACAGTATCTGCAAAAGAATGATATGCAGATGAATAACACTGTTTCACTTAACTGTTATGAAAGCAACTGTTACTTGAATTTCATTTTCCTATTTTACATGTATACATTTACAAGTCAGTGTCTGAGTATGGTACATATACCACTGGTATAACATGAAGTACTTTTAGGTGGTATATACTTTAAATAATTTTTTAATGTGTATTGGAAAAACACTTTTTTTTCCACTTATAAAGGCACAAAGCAGTCTTTTCAATAACGTTACTAAGTAAAAATATGTGAGATGATTTAAAGTTCAAATACAGGCAAAATAATCTCTGGCGTTAGAAGTCGAGAGAGAGAGATGACCTCTCGGGAGGAATGAGGCAGAAGGCTCCTGCCAGGTCCCTGGCAATGCTGTTATTTCTGGATCTGGTTGATGACACTGGCATGCTTGCTTTGTGACAATTAAGGAAGCCCAACACCCAGGGGCTCCTGTATGTCTCTGTATATTTATGCTATACTCTAGTAAAAATGTTGTTCTAAAAAATAAGCAAAGAAAAATATTAAAAATTAGTAATGGTACACATACATGGAAAAATTCATGAAGATGATACATCAATGACTCATGTTTGAGAAAAAGTGGTATAAGTAATATACCATAAAATGAGTTCAACCATATTTTTGTGCTTTTATAGGATTATGATGTCAACTTTTATGCTGTTAAGTTTCATACTCCTGAAGTTGGGTAGTAAACTGCACCTTGAAGCTAGGCGGACAGTGCGTGGCCTACAGGCTTTTTGCTCTTCATCACTGCTCTATACGATACGACTGTCTGGACTCTTCAGTCTGAGGCCAACATTGCAGATTTGCTGTTGACATAAACCAACATGTTTGCAAAAGGAAAAACCTCTGACTGTCAGACTGTGGGTGTGGCCATATTACAGTCAAGGCTATCAGTCACAAGAAGGATAATATAAAGGAATGGTTTAGCACAGACATATCACTTACTGCTGGAACTAGAACTTGTAAGTTTCCCCAGATGGTAGGTCAGCAATATTCTCTTCACAGTGATAATGAAATGTCCTTTTGCTACTAGAGGTTATGCACTTCCTCTGAAACTGTTAAGTGATTCTTACTCCTCTTTTTAAGAAATACTCTTTAAAAATCATAACCATTGCAAAAATTCAGATGAAAGTCAAAAGTAAAAATCTCCTATAATCTTATCCCCTAGGCATATATTAATATTTCTATGTGAATCTAACTATACTTACTTCTCAGCATACACATTTAGCAAACATGGAATCATACTATTCAGTTTATAACTGCTTTTTGATCTTTGCAATAGATGTGGACATTCTTCAATAAAATACAATGCAGATTTCAATTTATTAATGTAGATGTACACTCTATTTTACTGAGTGCATAGTATTCCACTGCATGTTGGTGAATTACCCTACTGGTTGACATTTAGGTTGTTTTGCAATATATATACACTGCAAATATGGATATGTATAAGAAATAAAACATCTTGTATAAAGATATATCACCACCTTTTAACAGTCACAATTTATTTAAGATAATTCATTAGTGACAAGAATGACAATGCTTCACCTCAGTCATCAATGAACTTTTACAAACTCATGAAATAAAATTATTTAAAAGTTATGTCACCTGTAAAAAGATGAGGAAATTTAATAGGCAGTATCACAGCCTCTTTCAGTGCTTCTTTGGCTCCTTCAAGTCCAGCAACGTCACTCCATTTCACATTTGGTCGTTCTATAACAATGGCACCTGCAAAAAATTACGTTATCTTTAAATTAAGAAAGACTATTTCACCAAAGTTAGAAGACAACATGAAATAATGATGTTAAAGAAACGCATTATAAAATTGGGAAAGTTTTATGTACTAACAACCTTTTTGAAATAGCGTGAGCAGGAAGCAGGTGTTAGGGAGTAGTCAATAGGACTAGGAACCAGGTGGATGACTAGACAACCTGGGGCATGTTACTTTACCCTTCTGTTTCAGCTTCCTCACTTGTGAAATGAAAATAATACCATCTGCCCAAACTACTTAGATAGGTTGGTGCGAAAATCAAATGACATAATGAATATTAGAGTGTTTGGAAAAGCACCAAACGTTCCATAAGGTGGTTATATTTGAATACATTGATTTTGGAGTATCAAAAGTACTTGTTCTACCATTTCTCCTGTTAACCAAAAGAAAAGGTGATCTAATCCTCTCCTCAACCACTGAAAAAAAAAATATGCTTAACAAATTTAACTCAAGATAGGCAGACAGACAGAAGGGAGAAGGAAAAGGAGAGAGGAAAGGAAGGAATGGAAGCAGATGATGGGAAACCGAGAAAAGATACCCCTGCAGATTTGCAATACTTTCCTAAGATTTGCCCAAGTTTCTATTTGGCTGCTAAATAGATCTATTTACAACTTTTGTTAATTAACAAAGTTAACTTACAGGGAAGATTTAGCTTCTGAATGCAGTATATTCAAAAGCCAAAGCAATTATTGCAGTAAGAGTCCAAGAAGGATGTCTTTTAATATAGCCTACTGACAAATTTTCTAGTTCTCTTTTATCAAAAGCTTTTCTAATTTTCTAGAATATGGAAACTGTTCCACTATAAACTATGAAGCAGCCTGTTCTAAGATGACATGTAGTTAGTTGTTTTAAGTGTAACAGAACACCACCACTTATACAATCTATTACTTTATGAAATCACTGCTACTGATTGTTTCTTCTTGTTAGGAAAGATAATCTGTTACTCTAAGACTAGTTACTAGCAACTTACTTCCCTAAATTATGAAAATCTTTAGCTACTAGATTAAAATTACATGAAACCATAAGCATTTTGTATTCCAAAAGTTCAGACTACTATAAAGTAAGAAAAAAGTAAATTCATTTCGTCTTTTTTATGTTTCATTAAGATTAGTAATCCTAGGATTTCATGTCAGTTAAACAAAAATAAACTTTATTTTATATATGTATACCGTCTGACTCAAGATTTCTGCTATAAATTTTAAAAATGTGTCATGATTTGTTTTCATATATAATACTTCTAAGTTAAAAGGTGACTTTGGAATGTTTACTGATAAACAATCTCATACTAGACATGGTTTGCAAAATTAAAAAGGGGGGATGGGATTATGAAAAATGCTAACAAATGGAATGTACTTCCAATGATATAAATTTATCCGGTCTTTGACTATACTATTTACTAGTATATTACTTAATCACAAAAAATTCACTGAATAAAATTAGCTAACAGAAAACTCAAATCACAAACCGATTTTTAATTTTAACAAATATACACTTAATATCATAATCTAAAACAGAAGTAAAAGATTTAAAATACTGTTCAAAAAACAAGGAAAAATTCAAAAAAGATACAATAGTATGAAATCCAGCAGCAAACCATTAAAAAGTAGAAAAAAAAGGATATTCAAATATAAAAGGCTAGGACTCCTTTCATATTCTATTTCATCCTGAAATTTCAAATACATTTCCTCATTTAAATGTTTTAAGTATTTGGTTTTTTTTCTCTTTTATTTGTTTGTTTTACATTTCTGGCCTTTATTGTAAGTGATAGGGAATTTAGAGAAATCCCTATTAAAAACTGGTTGTATCGGCCAAGTGCGGTGGCTCACAATTGTAATCCCAGCTCTTTGGGAGGCTGAAGTGGGCAAATCACTTGAGCTCAGGAGTTCGAGAGCAGCCTGGGCAACATGGCCAAACCCCACCTCTACAAAAACAAACAAACAAACAAACAAACAAACAAAAAAAAAAACTTAGCCGGGCATGGTGGTGTGTGCCTGTGTTCCCAGCTACTCAGGAGGCTGAGGCAGGAGAATCCCTGGAACCCAGGAGTTCGAGGCTGCAGTAAGCCGTGATTGCGCCACTGCACTCCAGCCTGGGCAACACAGCGACACCCTTGTCTCAAAAAAACAAAAAAGAAAAAAAAAATGTATCTTTTCGAAAATTAAAGATATGCAACTGATTTTTACCTGGGGCAGGGTAGGGAGAGGGAAACAAAACCAAATCCAATAGAGCAGACAAAAAAAGTGTCTTGCTTTACAACTGGAATAAGGCCACTTGGCACAGACCCACTGGGTTACCCAATAAATGCCAACTGAGTGCGCAGTGTGTGCCAGTAGTTTCAGGTGGTGGGGACACCACTACGCTTGAGTGTAAACTCAAGATTTTGCCCTTGGACTATATCTACCACTGAAGTTCTTGGCATCTAAAGATGTTCTCTATTCATTACCTGGTCTGTTGTCAACACATTATCCTTACAGTGTTTTCCTAGACATCCCAGTAGGGTAGGCAAGACAAAAATACTACCAAAACGAAGACACTAGTATAGCAAGGCTAAAAGTTTGGCTCAGGTAAGTATTTTCACTATTCAGTAACCAAGGCTGAACCTATAAAATGGAAATCCTTCCCAGTTATGCATTCTATTTGGTAAGATTCAAATGAACAAAATACATACTACCAATGGGTGAGCAAAAAATTCAATCTGAAAAATTGTTAGATAATTTATTTCGAAGAATAATCAAATCTCAGTGATTAACAAAGCCAGCCAACAAATAGATGCCTTTTTAGATAAACAGTGCTACCATTTATTGAGTCCCTAGACTTCGTCAGATATATGAGGTAGTTTTTACACTGTCATTAATCTTAAAAGCCCTGAAAGGAAGCTATTGCTCATTTCTATTTTAGAGATGGGGGACGCTGGTTCTGAGAGATTCAGTCACTTGCCCACAATTAGAAAGTTCTAAGTGGCAGACCCTTGAACAGAATCAAGATCTGAATGGAGCCAAAAACCTATGTCCCCTCTGTTATGCCACTGTGCTATAGTAGAACAGAATGAAAGGGCTTTACAGGTGTGGATGGTAAACACAGAAAGCTTAAACAATTAAATGTAAACAGGAACACTGAAAAGCAGATGAAGAGCAGTTAAGAAACAAAATAAACCATCAATAAGTGAGCTACAGCAACGGCAATAAAAGCCACGTGTAAGTCCTAACTTCTCCCACAGTAGTAAATTTTAATACCATCAAATTTTGCAGTGTGCTAATAGTATAAGTGTTACCTTCTCTAAAAGGCGGCAAATAAACAAAAAGAAAGAGCAAGTTGACTGAGAGCCTTTTAAAGGCAGATGTGAAGCCAACAAAACTATTACATAAAAAAGACCAAACCATGATCCTAGAGGGCAAACCCTAAGAAAACACTCTAAACAAAGCCAGCACATGACTATTGGGAACCAAAGCCAGTTCTTAAACTTCATTTAAATATAGAGGGAGAACAAAAACAATTCAAATAGACAATTCACTTTGAGTCTTTTTAATAGGATAGTAAATTTAAAAATGAAATCTAAAGCAACCTTGAAGTTGATTCTGTAGTTTCTTTTTTTCAGGATCATCAGATTCTCCTTCCCCATCACTGTCATTCCTAATAAAAAGAATTTAATATATTCAAATGATCACTCATTGCTATCAAATAAGGCAAAAATGAAGGAAAAATTAACCTGAAATATTTGTAATTTCAGTGGCAAAATCAGACATTTACATTAAAAGTTATGCTTACTTATTTTAAAGAATGTAGTAAATAAGAAGCAGTCACGTTATCATCAATAGAGAATCATGTAAAAGAAAGGGACAAAAAGACCAGAATGAAGTCAGGAACTAGCTCCAAATTCCCATGACATATTTAGGTATGTATTAATTCATAAATGCATGCCCCACACATCACTCCATGAAGGATTCAAGATGAATCACAGGAGAGCTGCAAACAACAACAGTAAAAACATCAGGACTGGGCAAGATATAAATTAGAACAAGAGGTCATATTAGGAGGAAAAAAATCTGGAACACTAAGGTACAAAGGTCTACAACCCTTAGTCTGGGGATTCCAAAGGACAGAGGAAGCTTCCTGATGACAATGAACTACACCCAAAGAACAAGTAGGTCGATCAAGGCATTTCATTCATATCTAGGGATTTATCTTGAGGAAATAATTTTAGACAAGTTCAAGCATTTGACCATAAGGATAATCACACCCACACTGTTTGCAAAAGGGGAAAAAGTAACTCATATTATAGGGACTAGCATATGACAGGATACATTGCAACATTTAAACGTGATGTAGAAATAGTTTATTGGAAAGATATTCCTGATACAATGTTAAGTATAAAAGTGATAAAGCCAAAAATAAGGCATTATATCATTTTTAAAACAATAACATATAAAGGGAGATAAAAGCATGACATGTTTTATGCCAAAATGGAATTGCCTTGGTTATCATAGGACGGTGGGGCTGTGGGTGAGGTAGACACTGCAAAAGATTCACATGACACTCACTCCAACCTCTTTCTATCATGCTGTCCAGTACTATAAAGGCTGTCCTTATTAAAAACAAACAAACAAAAAAAACCCTGCCGTTTCTCATCTCCCTTGTAGCTAGGGTTCCACATGAGACCTAAATTCTTCCAAGAAGGTGGGGGCTGCTCACAAGGAGACAGAATCTTCAGGCGAAGGCACTGGTTTTGCTGAGGGAGCTGCGCAGAGGATTTACTACCTGCTCCCAAGCACCATCAGTGCTTAGCAGAGGAGTTGGCAACAGTGGGATCCCTACTTGAACAACCCTGGTACTGTTGGCCATTTCTCCTGATTCCCTGGCCCCACTATTCTGTAAGGTAATACCCTATAATATATCCCTTTTTGCTTAAATTAGCCAAAGTGGGTCCTACTGTAAACGAAGATTGCTGTTCAGTACAAAAGAAAAACTGGCATCGCCTTGTCAGGTAATCATCTCAGAAGAGATCCTTACAGGGTTTTCAAGCAAGAGAGAAGAGCTTCTATGGACAAGGGAAGAGAAGCTTCTGCTGTCAAGGGAGTCTCAGTGACAGCTGGAGGTCCTGGGCAGTCAAGGTCAACTAAATTCTTCCCAATATTTTCACTTCATGTTTGGAGTCCCTGTTTTATACCAAATGTCCTCACTTTCATATAAGAAACCCTAAGTTGGAATTCAGTAATTTGTAAGATCAGACTATCATCTGATTTTTGTTAAGTCAGTGCTATCGATGAAGAAGATAACATGTTCTTAGGGTGTCACAGAAACTCCCTGGTTCCCCGATCACATCTTGAACAGAGAATATAAAACCTTGAGCTTAAGCTTATCATTTCCTTCAAACTCTGCCACATAGTTTGAAGCAGCCAAGTCAACACTGGTTCTTATATTCCTCATGTACTTCCAAATGGTCTGTGGTAGCAGCCACGAAGCCCCAAAGCACTGCCTAAAAGGCACTTCATTCCTTGTGACCACAGGGTATTGTCTAAATAACCTGCGCCACTGCATACCATGAACAATGAGAACCACATCCTCTAAAGCTGAGCAGAATCTCGCTGTTTTCAAACCCAAGCAGGCCAGATAACTCCATCCCAGAGTCTCATTTTCTTAAGGGTGTGTTACCTGGAACTACTGGCATCAATTAATAGGACAGCCAGAGAGGATGTGGTTAGAATATGTTCCCAGTGCTGAGCACAAACTTGGCACGCATATGTCATGTACTGAATAAACAAATTCTGCATCTAGAAGTGATACATCCCCCATCTAGGAAGACATGCCAAAAATCAGTTTCAACGTTTATAAGTTATGCTGTGTTGTTTTCTTTACAATGACAACATAAAGCAAATCTAACACAAATTCACATCAAAAAATTTTGCATAAGATATCCAAAAAAAATTTACATTGTTGGAGTTACTTTTCATTTTTTCCATGTGGTCAAAGGTTTAACTCTCTGGTCACTCCTATAACCTTAAGCTTCCATATTAGCTAATGGCCAGAGAGTAACTGAGTACTATTCCTACAAGCATTCTCTCCTCCTACTAGCAGGCAGTCAGGAAGGGTTGTTTGAGGAATATTATCCATTCAACTTGGCAAACTAGGGGTCAGCAAACTTTTTTTTGTAAAGGACCAAACAAGTAAATATTTTAGGTTTCGTGGGCCATACGGTCTCCACACAACCACACAACTTTGTTGTTACGGCACGAAAGCAGCCCTAGACAACAATATGTAAAAGAATGGGCACGGCTGTGTTCTGATAAAGCTTATTCCAAAAACAGGCAGCTGGGCAGCTTTGGCCCATGAGCCATAGTTTGCTGACACCTGTTTTAATCAAAAGAAATTTCACAAATCGAAAGCAAAAAGCCACAATAAAATTGAACAATTTTAAACACGTACCCCTTCTCATCTGCTGGACTCGGCTGTCCTTCTTTCACTGGCTTCTGTGCTTTTTTCTCTTTATTTTTCAGGTACTCCTTTAGTTTTTCTGCTCTATCAAGATATTCTGTACACTTTGCCCTGATACTTTGCTTGGCTTTATCACCCTGTGCTTCATCTATTAAAGGGAAATGAGAGAGATTTTTTTCCATTAGTATTCTATGTAGAAAGGTTTGAACTCTTAAATATGTATTTTTTCAGACAAGGAAATTCTATGTTGGAAGAAGGAGGGAAGATCATCTCTAACTCATCATAGCCAATGATTATCACCTCTTTTCTACCCCTTCCTCCAGCAGGGTTGGAGACCAACAGTGGGTCTGAATCAGAAACAACCTAAGCAAGACAGCAGGGTATATTAAGTTAATGTTAACTAACAGGAAATTATTTAATATTCTGAAGCTTTCATATTTTTCCCTTACATTTTTGCAGATAGTTCAAAGTTGCTTGTCTTAGACAAACCCAATTATAAAAAAGACAAATAGAAGGAAAGCAGTATTAATCATTTCTATGAATGTCTACAAAAGCTTTATTTCAGAAGAGTAAAGTGATGGAAATCCCATATATTCTGTGTAATACCAACATCGTAAATTTTACTACACAAAGGCCTCTGTCAGAGCTGTTTTCAAAGTGAACTTTGGCAACACGTGCAATAGATGGGATGAGCCCCACATAGCTTACAGGTTATGACTCATTCTTAGTCTCACTTTAACATAAAACCTCAGAACTAAATGGGAGAAGCTCAAAAGAACATCTTCAATCATCTAACTGCATTCCATTTAAGAGCTATGAGGGCAGGGGTCTTAACCATTTCTTTCCATTGTATCCCCAGTGCCTGCCACGTGGTACACACGCAATACATATCTGTAAAGACACAAATAGAATGTCTCCTAACCTATTTTCCACTGACTAGACTACATTTTAAGATGTTTACATATACAAAGTAATAACTATGATGGCTGTCACATTTGCTAGCTACATCTCAATACTTAAAAATCACTAGAAAGAAAGTGGAGTATTTTTTTTTTTTAACAAATGGATCGTTTAGAATTGTCTGGCATTATATTTCAATTTTTTAGAAATGAAACAGAATAAATTTTCCTTTTCGTGTTTTTAAATAAAATATAACCTATGGCCTCACATTTAACGACATGAAGAAAATACTGCACAGCATGCTGATAGAGCTGAAGGGCTTCTTCGTAGTTCCCAGCCTTGTCTTCTTGCGCTGCTTTGCTAGCCAGATCTATCGCTTTCTGTTTGAGGGAGGCAAAATAACAACATTTAAATCAAAGCATAAACATAAATTTGAAGTAAATAATCATACTGAAAGTTTTTTTTTTTTTTAAAGCTTCTCAGCTTGCTGGGCTGTGAAAGAAAACAAAAATAAGTAAAAAATAAACAGTAACTAAAAAATCATTTTTTTCTAACTCACAACTGTATTTTATTATAAATTACAAGTTGAAAAGATGCAAATTACATGTTATAGGAATAAATGCTACTGAATGTTACTTTAGTACCAATCGCTAACATTTACATGTAATTTTCACTTAGCTAAAGTTAAATTTAGGGCTAATAAGAAATAATAGAATGTGAAAATTCAAACTAAACAAGCATTTAGAGAAATTCTCAAAAATTAAATGCTGCTTTAATCTAAAAGATATAACAATAGTGGAAATGTAAATGGGGTGAAACCTCTTCAGAAGCAATGGGGCAATGAAATATCAAGAATCTGAAAAATACTCATATATTTCAATCCAGTAATTAACTAAAAGGTTTACTGAGCACAGATATTATCAGAGAGGTCTTTTAAATAACAAAAACAAAACCTGGAAACTTAAATCATAAAGGATGCCACAAAACAGAACACCAAAGGATCACTAAAATAACATTAAGAAATATTTGTAATAATATGGAAAGTGTTAATAATGGGCATTTTTAAAAAGCAGGACACAACTTTTTATATGTAGCAGGAATTTATTTGAAACAACAGCAGAAAAAAGCAGCACAGGAAAAAGATGGGAAGGAAATTGTTAAACAGAGTTTATCTTTGATAAAACATATATTTTTCATTTTCTACTTTTTCACATCTTCTAAAAAATGTCCATAAGGAACATGGACTACTTTTGTGGCATTTTTTTAAAAAGTCCCAGAAATAAATCCATACTAATAAAGCCAAGAGATTTTTGAAAATGATGCAAAAAGCCAGTCAATGGCACCGAGTCAGGCTTTTTAAGAAGTGGTGCTAGAGGAACTAGACATCCATAAGCATACACCTAAAAGAATTCTGACTTAAACTTAATACTTCCTACAAAAATTAACTCAAAAATGGATCATAGAATTAAATGTAAAACTACAAAACTTTGATTCTTATTTATTTGTTGAGACGGGGCTCCATCTCACTATGTCGACCAAGCTAGCCTCAAACTCCTGGGCTCAGGTGATCATCCTGCATCAGCCTCCCCAAATAGCAGGATCACAAGTCCACACCACCGCACCCAGCTAAAACTTTTAGAAAAAACATGGAAAACTTAGGATCTGGGGATGCGCAGAGTTCTTAGATTTGACATCAAAAGCATACTATATAAAAGAAAAAAAAAGGTAACTGGATCTTATGACAAAACTTTTGCTCTCTGGAAGATTTTGTTAAAAGGATGAAAGGACAATCTATAGACTGGGAGAAATATTTGCAAAACATATCTAACAAAGAACTAGTATCGAGAATACATAAAGAACTCTCAAAATGTAACACATATCTACATGTGATAAAACTGCACAAACAACCACACCCACACACATAAAAACACATAAGGACAAGTAAAACTGGGAAAATATGAGTAAGAGTGGTGGAATGTATCAATATCAATATCCTGGTTGTGATATTGTCCCAGTTCTACAAGATGCTGCCACTGCAGACAACTGGATAAAGGGAATGCTGGATTCTCAGTATTTCTTACAACTGCGTGTGAATCTACAATTATCTCAAACTAAAATTCTCCTGAGCTCAGGAGTTTGCGACCAGCGTGGGCAACACAGTGAAACCCCGTCTCTACTAAAACACAAAAAATTGACCAGGCGTAGCGGCATGCGCCTATAGTCCCAGCTACTTGGGAGACTGAGGCAGGAGAATTGCTTGAACCCGGGAGGCGGTGGTTGCAGTGAGCCAAGATCATGCCACTGCACTCCAGCCTGGGCAACAGAGTGAGACTCCACCTCAAAAAAAAAAAAAAAAAAATTATGCACAGATACATACAAATAAAGGGCAAACATGACTTATTAAAACATTCCAACTGGGTTAATTTAGGTAGTAAAACTATTCAACAGAAATAGGTGCCAGTAAAAAAAAATGAAAATTGACAGTTGTTAGAGATATTAAAAAGTAAGTATATAACATAAGCAAAAAATCATTCAAACAATGCAAAAACCAATTATGTGTAAGAATATTACATTTTGGGGCAGTTGAGCATGGATTGGATATAACTGGGCTGAGATCTGTAAATGGGAGGAACAGGTCTCCCGCTGGAAGACCATGCTTCCTCTATTGTAGCAGGGAAGAAAAATAAATGGTTTACTTCAGAATTGATAAAATGTAATAGTTACGTATCTCACAGGTCAAGTAGCCTAAATTCAAAGCTAAATTTTCAAGTTTTATCAGCTAGTATATGAACATAAAACATGGAGTCACACAGTCAAGTGGTGGTTAGGTCAGACTGGTCATATAAAAATGCACCACAGCCAAGATTGTGCCACTGCACTCCAGCCTGGGTGACAGAGTGAGGCCAAGCACAGTGGCTCACGCCTGTAATCCCAGCAGTATGGGAGGCCGAGGAGGGCGGATCACTTGAGGTCAGGAGTTCGAGACCAGCCTGGCCAATATAATGAAACCCCATCTCTAAAAATACAAAAAATATTAGCCAGGCGCCTGTAATCCCAGCTACTTGGGAGGCTGAGTCAGGAGAATCGCTTGAATCCGGGAGACAGAGGTTGCAGTGAGCCGAGATCATGCCACTGCACTCTAGCCTGGGTGACAGAGCAAGACTCTGTCTCAAAAAAGAAAAAAAAAAATGCATCTCAAAGCCTCAGTGGTTAAGCCACATAGCAGAAATAAATCCTTTTTCTTTTTTCTTTTGAGATGGAGTCTCACTCTTGTCGCCCAGACTGGAGTGCAATGGCGCCATCTTGGCTCACTGCAATCTCTGCCTCCCAGGTTCATGTGATTCTCCTGCCTCAGCCTCCCCAGTGGCTGGGATTACAGGCACCCACCACCATGCCTGGCTAATTTTTGTATTTTTAGTAGAGATGGGATTTCACCATGTTGGCCAGGCTGGTCTCAAACTCCTGACCTCAGGTGATACACCTGCCTCAGCCTCCCAAAGTGCTGGGATAACAGGCGTGAGCCACCGTGCCTGGCCTAGAAATAAGCTCTTTCTTATCCTAACTATAATTTTCTTCTCAGGTGATTTTGAAATGCTGTGCCACTCACCTCTTCAGCCACTTGTTCCTCTCATTCAGTCAGGCCTCACTGAGGCACCACACTGATTTTTATTAAGTTAAATCTCTTATACTGCAGTGGGTATTATTTAAGCATCTAGCTCCAAACATAGTGCTAATTAAACCAGCCTTTCCCTGATGATGAGAATGTCTGTATATGGCTTCTGAGCACTTGAAATGTGGCTAGTGTGACTGAGGAGTGAGTTTATGTAATTAAAATAGCCACATGCAGCCACTGTACTGGGTGGCACACGTTAAACCTTTAATCGAAGACGATGAATTAAGAGGATATGCATCTGTTTTTTTTCTGCTGATGAATACCATTTCAACCTTATTTCTGTTAACATTTTTCATCTGAAATAAAATTAACCATGTCTGTTAGCATTTTTCATTTGAAATAAAATTAACCATGTCTTCTATGGTTAATTCTGGAGAGCTAATTATTTTATTTTTTCATTCCAGAAAGCTTTACCGGAGGGATCCATACAAAGGACATCCCCGCACTTCCATAGTTTCTTGATGGACATGTTTTACTCTCTATCCTTCTGCATGACGCTGGCTACTGCTATCTCAAAGTCCTCCTGGGTGACATGCACTCGCCGTTCCCTCAGGGCATATATGCTGCTTTCTCTGTATATGACTTTCACTTCAGCCCCTGATGCTCCTGGCATAAGCTTGGCAATTTTTCTCTGGTTGATCCCCTGGGTCAGGTTCCTTTTCAGAGAATGGATCTTCAAAATGTCCAGCTGGAATTCAATTTTTCTGTTGATGTGCCCTGAGTGAAGCAGTGGTCCATGATAACCTTGATCTTCTTGGGGGCCTCAAAGCTGTCCAGTTGGTTGAGCAGTTCCAGCACGATGTGCAGCACTTCACTGTCCCCTCCAGAACCCCCCTCCAGCTGCGAGGAGCTGATGGAGCTGATGACAGATGGCAGGTCCTCATGCCATGACAAACAGCTCCCTCACCATTCTTGGCCCTTCCCCGATGAATTTCTATACAAATTCAGAGCCAGGGATATGAACAAAGGTACAGTCTGTATGGTGAGCCACAGCCTAGGCAAACAGTGTCTTCCCAGTGCCTAGAGGTCCGTACAGCAGTACCACCCTGGGTTGTGTGATACCCAGTGCTTCAAAGAGCTTGGAATGCTTAACAGGCTGCTCGATCACTTCTGTGATGTCCTTAATCTGCTTGTCCAGTCCACCAATCATCTCTTAAATCAAGGTTGGCACCTTCTCCACCATCACTGGTGACACCAGTGGGTCTACTTTGCTGGGTATGATATTGTGCAGTGTGTCGCTATCATTTCTTAGCGCCCCCCTGGCAATTGGGTCTCATGTCATTGATGTTGCTGTTTCTGTCCACATCTAAGACAAACTTGCCCTTGGGATACACCTTGACTAACACTTTCTCCTTATTCATGGCCCGGACTACTTCCCTTATACAGGAGCCCTGTTCCTGCAGCAGCTGTAGCTCCTCCTGCAATAGGTGAACTTTTGCATTGAGTTCATTCATTTATGCCTGCAGCCTCTGGAGGTCCTGGCTGTTATCATTCACTACTGACTGGAGTTCTTCAGTCTCAGACAGATAATACTGGCAGAGTCTGTTGCCTGTCTTCCCCTCTTCCAGCTCCATCTGCTCTGGTCCATCAAACATTATCTTCCCTTTTCAGCCAGAGCTAATTTTCTTTCTGAATATAATCCTCACCATCTCCCTTGCTAACACCCTAGTTCAAGCTGCTATCATATATGTCAAAACTACTACCCAGCCTCGTGAGTGGTCAGTCTGTTCCCACCCTTGCTACCTCAAAACATAAAAGGTAACCTTGATGGTCTCCCATTAAAAACAATAAAATCCTGATGCTAGAGCTGATCTACAAGGTCTGAAATAACCTGGGCCCTAGCTACGTGTGGTTCTCCCCGAACCCTAGAATCCTCCTGCACTCAGGCAGCCCAAGCAGTTGAACCCTTCCACCTAGAATGCTCTTCCCTCCTTTCCCCAGACAGATGCATGATGTCTCCTTTTCAGTCCTAGTTCAGATGGCAAGTCCTTAGAGAGGCCTCCCTAATTTGCTATAGCAAAGGCTGCACCTCATTCCTTCTCTTTGCTATCTGCCCCCACTGCACTCTCTCATCCCATCACTGTCATTGTATTTACCTGTATG
The DNA here is from genome assembly GCF_000001405.40 of Homo sapiens. Lineage (NCBI taxonomy): Eukaryota > Metazoa > Chordata > Mammalia > Primates > Hominidae > Homo > Homo sapiens. Next base: position 63,416,975 of record NC_000018.10, read on the forward strand.
CTCACCCACTGGCTGTCTCCTTTAGGGAGGTAGGTTCCATGAGGACAGGACTTCACCTTGAGCTACCCATGCCTAGAATGGTGCCGGCATACAACAGGTACTCGAAATTGTTTAACGAATGAAAAAAAAAATTCCCTACTCCTTTTTCAGTATCTTCTTCCTTTTGGTTACTTCACTTCTGTCATTCTTAACAATTTCTCTCCACTAGATATTTCCATCGACATACAAACAGCCCTCCTTTAAAAAGTCTTATTTGACAAAACACTGTTCGGTGTTAGTTCTGTTTCTCTGCTACCTTTTAGAGCCAAAAATCTCACCAGAGTGGCCTCTATTCTCTTTCCTGTATCACATAATAAAACGGCTCATATCAAGGCTCTCTAGCATGCTAGATCCAAACACCAGCTCTGTCTTCTTGATCTTCTGACATTTTACAAAGTTGATTATTTCCTCCTTCTTGGACACTGTCCTCTGCTGAGCCCCCAACCACCACTTTGCTGGTTTTCCTCCCACCATTCTGGCTCCTCCTTCTCAGCGTCCTTCATTGATTCTTCCTCTCTTATGTGACAATGAAGTATATTCATCAGGTGTGGGCTGGGACTCATTTCTCTCTGTTTCCTCCCCCCCTACATCAGTGACTTAAGGCTGATGATCTTTGTGTGTGCATGTGTGTGTCTGAGCATGCATATGTTTTTTTTGTTTTTTTTTAATTTATTGGCCTCTCTCTTCTATTAGAATGTAAGCTCCAGGAGAAGAGCAGTTCTGTCTGTTGTCTTCACTTCTTTATATTCCCAGAGTCTAGCACAGTGGCTGACACAAGACTGAATGACTGTGTCACCCCAGGATCAGTCAGGATCCAGTTATCCATACGGAAGTATAAAGGTTGGGAACATGTGGAATTGTCCTGTTCCACTTAGGAGTCCCAGACACATCCACCTTAGAAAACCCTGAGAAATGGGGTAAATTCTACAATTACCTACCTCAGAAGAGGTGTCCCAGGCCCTGTCTGTTGAGACCAATTCTTTCTCCTCTGCTGTGGAGCTGATCCCCACCTTCCTCTGCTGACATTTACTCCATCAATGACATGCCTATCAACTGTTCTCTCCAACCTTTCCTTTTTTCCCTCAGCAGAAAAATGTGTTGTCCTATCTCAGACTCACATCTGCAGAACACAAACTACACACCATCACTCCTCAGCTCCTCGGTTCTCCTCTCCCTACATCTCACTCATCTCTTTGCCTCCACAGCAAAATCCCAAAGAATACCCATGTTCATCCCAGTTTCCTGATCTCCTATTTCTCCCACAGCAATGCTTTCTGCCTCCTGATAGCCAAATCATATGCTTATCTCACTCCCTCTCCGCAGCATTTAACACACACAACAAATACCCTGACAGTGTCTCCTTGCCTGGCTGTCATGACACCATTTTCTTCTAGTTTTAGTATTTTTTTTTTTTTAGACAGGGTCTCACTGTGTCACCCAGGCTGGAGTACACGGGTGTGATCACGCCTCAGTGTTACCTCCACCTCCTGGGCTCAAGCCATTCTCCCACCTCAGCCTCTGGAGTAGCTGGGACTACAGGCATGCACCACCACACCTGGCTAATTTTTGTAGAGAGGGGTTTTCACCATGTTGCCCAGACTGGTCTCGAAGTCCTAAGCTGAAGCGATCTGCTGCCTCGGCCTCCCAAAACACTGGGATTACAGGCATGAGCCACTGCGCCTGGCCTGGTTTTACTTTTGATTCATAATTCTTTTCCAGGCTCCCATTTCTCTCTCCTTAACTGTCGCTAATCCATAGAATTTCTAACGTGGTCTTTGTTTTGCCTTATTCTGTAAACTCTCCAGGATGTGACTCTGTATGCCTACAACCTCTGCTACCACCTGTACGCTAATAAATCCTTATTTCCAGCCTAGTCCACTCTCCCTACTTCTACACATATGTATGCAAATATTCACCGGACATTTCCATTTGATTGTCTCCACAAGCATCTCAAACTCGACAAGTTTAGAACCAAATTATTTTGCTCCCTTGCCCTGGCCCCAAATAGCTCTCCTTTTGTATTCCCAGAACCAATCCCTACCTGAGTTGGGTACTCAGATACCCAACCCAGAAATCTGGGAGAAAACTCAGACTCTTCCTCCTCCCTCACTTTTAAAATGCAGATACAGCAGGGAGCAGTGGCTCACGCCTGTAATTCTACCACTTTGGGAGGCCAACGGGGGTGGATCACCTGAGTTCAGGACTTTGAGACTGGCCTGGCCAACACAGCGAATCCCCGTCTCTACAAAAATTAGCTGGGTGTGTTGGTGCATGCCTGTAATCCCAGCTGCTACATGGGGGGCTGATGCAGGGGAATCGCTTGAACCTGGGAGATGGAGGTTACCATAAGCCGAGATCATGCCACTGCACTCCTGCCTGGGCAATAGAGTGAGACTCTGTCTCAAAAAAAAAAAAATAAATGCAGATACAAGCTTGACTCTTCTCCATCTTCAATTTTTCTCCTTTGATCAATCCTTTCCACTTCATTTGAATGGATACTCTACTAATTTGGCCCCTTACCGCCTCCCATCCCACAGACCTTGCCTCCTTGCCCAGTACATTTTATTACAATATACTGTAATAAAAGTGATGTGAATGTGGTTTCTCTCTCTCAACATCTTATTGCACTGTTCTCAACCTTCTTGTGATTATGTGAAATAATAAAATGCCTACGTCATGATATGAACTGAAGTGAATGACACAGGCATTGTGACATAGTGTTTCAAAATTATGAACTATTTATTCTAGAATATTTCATTTAAAATTTTTGGACCCAGGTTAACTTCGGGTTATTGAAACTGTGGAAAGTAAAACCACAGGGAAGTGGAGAATACTGTGCAGCTTTATTACATTATATAATTTTGATTTTTAGTTATCTGCATTCCCTCATTAGATTATAAGCATCTGGCCACAGAGATTTTTGCCTTGTTCAGCAGGAAGTTAATCACTACATGAATATTAATCCAAATTTCCTAGGTTAGAAGGTTGAAAAGGTTGAATGAGAAAGCACACATGTGAACCTACCACTAACAAAATTACAATTCAAGATCCTTCCTGCTTAAGAGTAACAATTATGCCTTTCATGTTGGTCAGTCTCTGGCTGATTCACTGAAGAACAGCCAACAGTCCAATTCAAGTATGATGCATTCTGGGGCCGGGCACGGTGGCTCACACCTGTAACCCAGCACTTTGGGAGGCTAAGGCGGGCGGATCACTTGAGGTCAGGAGTTCAAGACCAGCGTGGCCAACATGGTGAAACCCTGTCTCTACTAAAAATAGAAAAAATTAGCCAGGCGTGGTGGCAGGCACCTGTAATCCCAGCTACTCGGGAGGCTGAGGCACAAGAATCACTTGAACCTGGGAGGTGGAGGTTGCAGTGCGCCAAGATCACGCCACTGCACTCCAGTCTGGGCAACAGAGCAAGACTGTCTCAAAACAACAACAACAAAAACCTGCAAATGATGAAGATTATGTTGTAGAGTATCGAAATCACATGCAAAGTCTCTGACAAATGAAAAGCTGGTGGAATAAAAATTGTTAAAAAGCCAACGATGACAAGATGGGCACTTCAGAAGAGTCACCTTTAATACTCAAGGGAAAAATACTTTTACCAAATGACCAACGCTTTTTCCAAATACGTTTACCAAAAAGAACCTTTCCAAATAGGACTACAAAAAGCTACAAAAAACTCAAGTGAAGATTGCTGAATCTTAGTTTAATACAACCTTGGTGAAAAAGATAGTCATCCGGGCACGGTGACTCACGCCTGTAATCCCAGCACTTTGGGAGGCTGAGGTAGGCGGATCACCTGAGGTCAAGAGGCCAGCCTGGGCCAACATGGTGAAACCTCATCTCTACTACTAAAAATACAAAAATTAGCTGGGCGTGGTGGTGGGTGCCTGTAGTCCCAGGTACTCAGGAGGCTGAGGCAAGAGAATCGCTTGAACCTGGGAGGTGGAGGTTGTAGTGAGCTGAAATCACGCCACTGCACTCAAGCCTGGGCGACCGTGCAAGACTCCGTCTCAAAAAAAAAAAAAAAAAGAAAGAAAAGAAAAGGAAAAAAACACAGACAAATCAACACTTGACTTATTCCACAAAATGAGTCATTGTTGCAATTATACAATTATAATATTTTGTGAAAGATAACAATTATTTTAATAATCTTCTAGGTCGATTTTCAAGATGAAAGTCCCAAGCAAGCCTCCTTTCCCACTCTTTTTGTGTATGTGTGTGTGAAATTTTAATCTCTGTTTAAGTGGGTCTACTTTGAGTGGTCTTTCTTCAGAATCAATTATCATGGGTTAAGGAGTTCTTCCATTACCTTTGATGCCTCTGTCAGGCACTCCAATAACTGCTTGTTCAACAAACTACCGGAAGTCCACGACGGGGACTCAATACAAGTATTTTAGGCTACTCTTTTGTGCCTTATTGACTTACTGGACTGGGAGTCCTCTACATTAAGCCACATTACATTCTAAACGCCACTGAAGCCCTAGATCCATTCTGGGGATGGGAGACACCATTACATTAAGAAATTTCTTTTCTGAACGAATTCCATTCCACAGAGGACTAACGATTAAGCCTAAAATCTTAAGATTCCATGATTTGTGTACAAAACACTGTGCTCATTGCGGTAGAGGAGGGGAAGTGGAGCCACACAGAGGTTTAAGAATACTCCTCGATCTTACACACTACCATCTGGGAGCCACAGGAGTGTGCACATAAATTCAATGACTTCACGGAGATTGCATGCAGGCTGGCTGTAATCTCAGATTCTTGGTCTGTTCCCATATCTCTACTCACCTGACAGCTCAGAATGAAGGGGTCTGCTGTCAGCTTGAGAAACTAAGACCGAACTATGACCACCCTATCTTCAACTGGTCCAGAATAGGGCTTTGCAAAAATTACGTTCTTTCTTTCTCCGTTAACCCTGATTGGAGAAACCTGCCCAGATCTTGGCTGGTTTGGAAGCGGGAAGTGTCAACAAAAGTGAAGAGTCTCACAAAGCCAGTAGCTCGGGAGACCCCAAGAGCGGGCCAGAAACGACCTTTCCGTTGGAAAACGGGCCCCTCTCCCACCTGCTGCAGGTCCCCGGACCCGCCCTCCTGCGCCTCGACCACAGGCGCGGCCGCTTCCTCCCTTCTCCCCGCCCCCCACCCGCTTCTCGCGCCTCCCCTCGATCCCAGCTCCCTAGGGGGACGGGAGATGAGCAATGATACCTGGAGGTTGGGCGAAGTGGATGACATGGCGGAGTTCCCAGGCGGTTCCCAAGGGAACGAGGGGCGAGGAGAGCCAACAGCAGCAACGTCGAAGCGCGCACGGGGTAACAGCCCTCAAACTGGGGAGGCCGGTGGTTCTCGGACCGCGAAGGGCAGCCTCCCTTCCGGAACTTGTTTTAGACAACACTCTCTCCACCAGAGCTCCGACCCTCCCCACCAAACTTCCGCAATCCCGAGGCCCTCTAGGTTCTGGTCCCGCCTCTGCTCCGGGCACTTCCGATTTCGTCATCAGCACGCGCACCCAGTCACCAGACTCCCTTCTCTAGCCACAGCGCAGGCCCTCCCTGGGCCGGGAGAAGTAGCCTGGAAGCCAATCGAGCCCTGGCGGAAGTCGGGCTCGGCGCAGGCGCACTGAGACTCTGGCCTAGGCGCGGGCGGCAGCCTGGCAGACCTAGGAGAGCGCAAGCGCGGAAGCACAGAGCCGGGTTTTGTTGTTTGTTTGTTCCCCACCCCCGGGGACGTCTTTTACTTTGAGATGAATTATTGGCCCCGGCTCCCTTCCCTCCTCATCCACATGCTTTGTTGCCTCGTAGCTTTTGAGTGAAAAAGTCGTCCATTTCCAAGACCCGCCGACTGGGGGCTTTGGGCCTGTGACTGCGCCTTCACTCCGTGTCCTCTGTGGAATGGGGGCGATCACCGTCCTCGTCTCGGTGGTGAATAATTCAGGAGGGAGTGCGCGGTGAGGCGGCCGCACAGCGGTGCGCTAGCAGTCAGGCCGCGGGCGGGTCGGCGCTCGTTCCCGCTTGTTCTTCCCACGCCACTCGGCATCTTCCAAATGACTGTTGTGTTGGGAAGATGAATGTAAATAAGGCGTGGACGGCCGCTGTCCTCGAGTATGTGGTCTGAGAGGGAAGCACTTGTCCTGTAAAATGGGCATATCAGATATTATTTATGCCAGTTATGTTTACAAGCAAATGGCTTGAGGAGGTTGAATGCGTCAGGGATTAGAGGCAGAACCAAAGTAAAACCCTTTCTCAGCCTTCCTATGGTTTGCAGCCACCACCACCCTTTTCTTCTTTTCATAGTTAACATTCTCAAAGGAAAGCAACATAGATGTTTAATCACTCCATCATTTTTTTCTCACTCATTTCTTAATTTTTTCTCATCTGGCATCTCCGAAAGAATTAAAGTCCTCTCCTCTTCCCTCTTCATTGGTATTGTCAACTACCCAGTTCTTGTTTGTCCAGCTTCCCAATATTCCTTATCTGCTTCCTTCACTGTCTCCCTTTCTTACTCCTCCCTGAGCTTAAGCTGAATTTACTCAAGAGTCTGATGTCCTCTTCTCTCTTCACCTCTGCTCATCTAACTCTCTTCTTGAGCTTCAGCTATCAATAGACTAGAAATTGCTTCAAATCTGGATCTCTAGACCCACCCCATCCCCAGCCCAGCATTTACAACAGCCTCCCAGAGGTTTCCTTCACAGGGTTTTTCTGCAAGACAAATTCAACATACTCTAATTAATTACCTTCTACCCTAAACTTCTTTCTCTGGTCTCTCCTTAGAATAGTATTGCCAAATCTGTATCATCCAGGCTCGAAGCACAGAGCCCTCTCTCTGCCCTGCATCTACCCGTCCTTTCTTCCCACTTGTGAATTTGCCTTCGCAAAATGATGACTGAGACAGTGAAAGAGATCTAACTTAACCAACTCCATCTTACTTTTAACCTCCAAGCTGTCCTTGTACATTCCTGAGCATAGGCTGAACTAACTGTGGGAGAAACTGAGTTTATAATTTAAGCAAAGATGGGCCGGGCGTGGTGACTCACGCCTGTAATCCCAGCACTTTGGGAGGCCGAGGTGGGTGGATCACTTGAGGTCAGGAGTTCGAGACCAGCCTGGCCAACATGGTGAAACTCCATCTCTACTAAAAATACAAAAATTAGGCCGGGTGTGGTGAGTCACGCCTGTAATCCCAGCACTTTGGGAGGCCAAGGCGGGCGATCACCTGAGGTCAGCAGTTCAAGACCCGCCTGGCCAACATGGTGAAACCCTGTCTCTACTAAAAATACAAAAATTAGCTGGGCATGGTGGTGCGTTCCTGTAATCCCAGCTACTCGGGAGGCTGAGGCAGGAGAATTTCTTGAACCGGGACCTAGGAGGCAGAGGTTGTGGTGAGCTGAGATCGCACCACAGCACTCCAGCCTGGGCTACAGAGCGAAACTCTGTCTCAAAACAAACAAACAAAAATTAGCCAGGCGTGATGGTGCCTGCATGTAACTCCAGCTACTTGGGAGGGTGAAGCAGGAGAATCACTAGAACCCAGGAGGCAGAGATTGCAGTGAGCCAAGATCACACCACCGCACTTCAGCCTGGGCAACAGAGTGAGAATCGGTAAAAACAAACAAACAAACAAAAAACCCCTCTTTTATCACCAGTAATAAGCCATGTTGTTATGATGGAACCCCTGATGTGGAGAAGGGCACATTAGCTCTGTGGTATGCTTCCCAAACCTGTAACCTCAATCTAATCATGAGAAAACATCAGAAAAATTCATATGGAGGGTTTTTCTACTTCTACAAAATAACCAGTGCTCCTCAAAAATGTCAAGATCATAAAAGACAAGGAAAGACTGAGGAACTGTCACAGATTGTAGAGACTAAGAAGATGACAACTAAATGCAGTATGGGATTCTGGATTGGATCCTGAAACAGAAAAGGGCCATGAGTTGAAAAACTGTTGTAAGAATGAGAATAAAGTCTGCAGTTTAGCTAATAGTATTTTATCAATGTTAATTTCTTATTGTTGATAAATGTACCATGGTTATTTAAGATGTTAACAGTAGGGGAAATTGGGTGAAGAATATATGGGAATTCTCTGTATACCTTTGCAACTATTCTGTAAGAGTTTATTTTTAATTTTTATTTGTGTATTTATTTTTATTTTTTTTGAGACAAAGTCTCGCTCTGTCACCCAGGCTGGAGAGCAGTGGCACAATCTCGGCTCACTGCATCCTCCACCTCCCATAACAATTCTCCTGCCTCAGCCTCCCGAGTAGCTAGGATGACAGGCGTGTGCCACCATGCTTGGCAAATTTTTTGTGTTTTTGTAGAGATGGGGTTTTGCCATTTTGTCCAGGCTGGTCTCGAACTCCTGTCCTCAAGTGATCTGCCTGCCTCAGCCACCCGATGTGCTGGGATTACAGGCGGGAACCACCACACCCAGCCTGTAAGTATTATTTTAAAAGGAAAATTTTTCATTTTAAAATTCCTATTCCCTGGGACCTTACATTTTAGTGGAGTAGAAACTTTTAACCGTTTACATATTTAAAATGTAAATATGTTACATGTGTAAGAGTTTTGCATACATTATCTTATTGTATACGACAAGGTAAATCTTAAGTATCCCATTTTTACAAAAGAGGAAACAGGCCAGGCGCGGTGGCTCACACCTGTAATTCCAGCATTTTGGAAGGCCGAGACTGGCAGATCATGAGGTCAGGAGATTGAGACCATCCTGGCCAATATGGTGAAATGCCATCTCTACTAAAAATACAAAAACTAGCTGGGTGTGGTGGCACATGCCAATAATCCCAACTACTCGGGAGGCTGAGGCATGAGAATCACTTCAACTCAGGAGGCAGAGGTTGCAGTGAGCCAAGATCGTGCCACTGCACTCCAGCCTGGCAACAGAGCAAGACTCCATCTCAAAAAAAAAAAAAAAAAAAAAAAGAAGAAGAAGAAGAAAAAGGGAAACAGCCTCAGAGGTATCAGTAGAAATCCCCCCCAATTCATTCAGCTTTTATATGGCAGAGCTGGAGTTTGACCCAGGTCTTCTGACTCCAGGGTGACAAGTGCTAGGATAGAGGCAGGAAGTCCTGTGGGACCACAGGAGAGAGAAGGCTTAATTTTGAATGAGTGGTTAGGGATGTCTTAGGGAAAGTTCACTTAAACTGAAGTTTAAAATCTTAATCTGATTTTGACGGAGTGCAGGCCATTTCAGGCAGAAGGAAAAGCAGAAATAAAGGCGCGGAAGAATAAAGTACCTGCTCTGAGGGATCCCTGGAATGTAGGAAGCAGAGGCACTGTGGGGTTGGAGTGGCAGGAGATGAAGCTAAAAATACACCAACTGGCACTGCCAGTTAGAGGCTTGGAATAAGGAGTTTGGACATTATTCTGTAAGATAATGTTGAAAGCTTCCCTCTTCATTCTGTCACTACCTCCTGCTTTTCTGTCTTCCTGTCTTCCTTCTTGGTAGAGTTGTGATTTGGTCAGATGTTGGTTTCATGAAGGTGGATCTGACAGTCCTTTTAGGATACACCAGAAAGAGAGAGGAGGCAGTAAGATCAAATGGGAGGTTCCTGCAAGTGTTTCATTTTAGAAAACAAGGGATGCAGAGCCAAAAGGGATATTCCCAGTTCCTGCAGTGCAGCCCCCGTTCCTTGCCTCTTGGGCTTTGAAGAATAGATTCTTGCTTCTGGCCTGGTGTGGCTCACACCTGTAATCTCGGCACTTTGGGAGCCCAAGGTGGGTGGATCGCCTGAGGTCAGGAGTTTGAGACCAGTCTGGCCAACATGGTGAAACCCTGTCTCTACTAAAAATACAAAAATTAGCCGGGCATGGTGGCGGGGGCCGGTAATCCCAGCTATTCGGGAGGCTGAGGCAGGAGAATGGCTTGAACAAGGGAGGGGGAGGTTGCAATGACCTGAGATCATGCCATTGAACTCCAGCCTGGGCAACAAGAGGAGAACTCCATCTCGAGAAAAAAAAAAAAATCCTGGCTCCTTCCATTGCTTTCACCAATTCAACCTGTTAAAATCATACTATTCCTCAAGTGTCAGTTCCAATGTCACTTCTTCAGGAAACTTCTGAAATCTCTCTGAGCTCTCATCACACTTTGGACCTTGAATTGCCCTTAAATCACACATGCCAAGTGCCTAACACAGTGCCTGGTGCAGAGCAGATGCTCAAAAATTGTTGATCTTACTAGCACAGTGTTCTACTTTTCTCGATGATAAAATCCCCAAGGGCTAAGACTTCATTTTATTCCATTTACAACCTACTCCCCCTGCCTTACCACCTACAAGTACAAAGAGGGTGTGTTCTTAAATAGCTAAGGTTTGTTGAACAAAATGGAGTTTCCCTGCTGTGATCAAGGACTTCAGAAACTAGGAAGGTCAGTGGGGTGGCAGGTGGTGTTTGTGTATTCAGCCTTCGATAGGATCTCACATGCAGACCACCCAGGACTGAATTCATTTCACTCAGACCATGTTAAAGGACATGCATAATATTAATATTAAGGTCGTCCCCTCATGTGCACCCAGAAGTCAAGTCTCTACTTGTTGAGTTTTCAGCTTCCTCCCTGACCCGAAACATATGAGTCCCATGAAAGTGACTCAGGCAGTTGTCAGGCAGGAAGCTGGTTGAGCCCATCAGGTTACATTCCTTTCTGAATGTGCTCAGCTACCTTGAAGGCCCAGCCCTTTCTCACTTATTGCTATTCATTTTATTCATATGAAGCCACAGCCAGCTTGTGGACTGATAAGGAGGTGTGGGAATCAACCCATCAATGTCATTCATTCAGCCATGTGATGGAGGGCGTGGGGATGAAGCAGCAATTCCTCATTGCTAGTCATATAAGGGTGAACATGACATAAGGCATTAGCACAGAAGAAAAGACGACGGGTCTGCCCTCAAGAAGTTTGCAGGCTAGAATAAAAAAACAGAAGAAAGAAGTTTTTTTAGCTGCACCCTGGTAATTTTGTGTTTTTAGTAGAGATGGGGTTTCACCATATTGGCCAGGCTGGTCTCGAACTTCTTACCTCAGGTGATCCGCCCACCTCGGCCTCCCAAAGTGCTGGGGATTACAGGCGTGAGCCACTGTGCCTGGCCCATCTTGTTTTTATTTTATTTTATTTTATTTTTTATTTTTTGAGACAGAGTCTTGCTCTGTCGCTCAGGCTGCAGTGCAGTGGCGAGATCTTGGCTCACTGCAACCTCTGCTTCCCGGGTTCAAGCGATTCTCCTGCCTCAGACTCCCGAGTAGCTGGGACTACAGGTGCAAACCACCACACCCAGCTAATTTTTGTATTTTTTAGTAGAGACGGGGTTTCACCATATTGGCCAGGCTGGTCTCGAACTCCTGACCTTGTGATCAGCCCGCCTCAGCTTCCCAGAGTGCTGGGATTACAGGCATGAGCCATCGTGCCTGGCCTTCTTTTTACTCATATTTTCACCTGCAGTTGGTTGAGTCTGTGGATGTGGATTTATGGATTTATATGCTTTATAAAAGCATATAAAACAAGGTATTCTTCTGTTGTATGTGTTGCACATATTTTACCTGTTAGTATTTGGGTCATTACTTTTTTGGCATGAAAATTTATTATTCTTTTTCTTTTTTGCTGTGTTGAGAAAGAGCTTACCCACTAGTAGATTATTTAAAACAACAACATCATACCTTTATCTTCTTCCAGTGTGTTCAGGGTTTCACTATTGCATCTAAATCTTTGACTTGTCTGGAATTTATTTTGGTGTTTTATTTATTCCAAATGAGTAGCCAATTGTTCCAATATTATTTAGTTAACATTCATCTTTTCTTCACTCATTTGAAAGGGCAGCCCTTATTGTGTACCATTTTCTCACAAGGATTTGTCTGAATTCTTGATGATGTTTTAACTATTCCTTTTAACCACCTATTCTTACTCCAACAAAACTTATTACAATGGCTTTATAATACATTTCAGTATCTTGTGAGACTGCCCAATTTCTTCTAAGCAGAATGCAACACTAGTTAAGGGCTCAGTTTCTGATATCAGAATGCTTGCTTCAATTTTTATTTTTTATTTTTTGAGATGGAGTTTTGCTCTTGTTGCCCAGGCTGGAGTGTAATGATGCGATCTCAGCTCACTGCAACCTCTGCCTCCTGGGTTCAAGCGATTCTCCTGCCTCAGCCTCCCAAGTAGCTGAGACTACAGGTGCCCGCCACCACGCCCAGCTAATATATTGTATTTTTAGTAGAGACGGGGCTTCACCATGTTGACCAGGCTGTTCTCGAAATCCTGACCTCAGGTGATCTGTCTGCTTCAGCCTCCCAGAGTACTGGGATTACAGGCATGAGCCACCACGCCACCTTCAGAATCTTGACTCTAGCACATAGTAGGCAATTACTCAATCTCTCTAAACTGCTGTTTCTGCATCTGTAAAATGGGGGTGGTATTACTCTCTGTCTACTGGGGCTACATGAGAATTAAATGAGATTAGAACATCACAGAATTGGGCTCAAAACATAGTTAACACTCATTAAATGTTTGCTATCAAAAATTTTCAGAATAGTTCAGATTTTTCTTACATTACTTTTCCACATGAATTTTAGTATTATTTGTCAAATTCCACCTAAAACATTTATTTATTTTGTAATTGAATTGATATATTAATTCAGAGTAGATGGACACATCGTTATAGAAATGAGTTTCCCTCAGGTTTAAAAATCATGATACGTCTTTCTTCAAGTCTTCTTGTATGCTTTTTTTTTTGACAGGTCTCGCTCTGTCACCCAGGCTGGAGTGCAGTGGGGTGATCTTGGCTCACTGCAACCTCCACCTCCCTGGTTCAAGCTATTCTCCTACCTCAGCCTCCTGAATAGCTGGGACTACAGGCATGCACCACCATTCCTGGCTAATTTTTGTATTTTTAATAGAGACGGGGTTTCACCATGTTGGTGAGGCTGGTCTTGAACTCCTGACCTCCTGATCTGCCCACCTCAGCCTCCCAAAGTGCTGGGATTATAGGCATGAGTCATGGCACCCGGTTTCTTGTATGCTTCTTAGCAGTGTTTTATATTTTTCTTCACATGGTTTCTGAACATTTGATTTGGATTTATCTCTAGGAATTTCACTGTGCTATTGTTGCTATCACAAGTAATATATTTTCTTCCCATATTTTCTAGCAGATTATGGTTTATATACAGGAGACCATGAATATATGCAGGTTGATTTTGGCAGACACTTTGTTTCTAATAGATCATCTACCTGTTCTCTGAGGGTTTCTAGGCAAATGATGAAAACTTCTGCAAACAATGATACCTTTGCCTCTTTCCCATACAAAGTTAAAAGTGTCAAGAATAGACATCCTTATATTCTCCCAAAGTTTAAAGAAAATCCTTCTAGTGTCTTATGAAGAATCATTTAACACATGAAATATGATTATATTAGTTTTCTATTACTGCATAACAAATTAGCACAAACTCAGTGGCTTAAAACGACATACTTTTATTGTCTCACAGTTTCTGTGGATCGAGAAGCCAGGCCCAGCTTAGCTATGTTGTGTGCTCAAGGTCTCACAAGGCTGAGATCAAGGTGTAGGCTGGGATGCATTTTCATCAGTAGGCTCAACTAGGGATGGATATGCTTCCAACTGCCTATGATTGTTGTCAGAATTCATTTCCCTGGAGCTGTAGAATTCATGACAGCTGATAACCTGCTTCTTGAAAGCCACACACACACACACACACACACACACACACACGCACACACATGCACACACACGCAGAGTTTCTGCTGCTTCAAGTCTCTTACTTTAGGGAAAGCTCATACCCTCTTTAAAGGGCTCACCTGACTAGGTAGGACTCACTGAGGATAATCATCCTTTTGATGAATTCAAAATCAACTACTTAGGTGCCTTAATTACATCTACAAAATCCTTTCACCTTTGCCATATTCTATTGGTTTGAAGCAAGTCACGGGTTCTGCCTGCACTCAAGGAGAAGGAAATTACACAGAGGTATGACTTACTGGGGTGTATCTGCTACAGTAATATTTCAGAACACATCTCTATAAAGGAGATAGGAAAAATTAATATTCTGCTCTTAACATAAGAGAAATGTGTAAGATTTCATATTCTAAATGCTATGCTCACAAGCAACTATAAAATTTTTGTTGGTGCTATATAGATGTGAATATGTAATTTACATTTTATAAGACTAAGACAACTGTTGCATTTATTTAGATATCAACAATAGATAATAAAAAAGAGGAGTGACCAAAGGCAGATGCTTATAAAGAAAGGTAAAGCACTGCCTTGGGACATTGTATGGAGGGGAAGCATTTGGTTTAGAAAAGAGGAATTAGTTTTCCATATCTTGGAAATATGCTGACCAATACATATTCCAGCAGCAAAATTCATCTGGATCTACAAGCTCTTATTGTCCACTGAGTGCCTCTTCTCCAGAGTAACTCATTCCAGTTGTCTTTTGGATTGGCAAAATTTGGAGTGCCAAGATTGCTGTCACTAAATCAACACGCAGATCTAGGGTGAGAGTATTGGAGTGGAATCATTTTTATTCCAAAAATCCACCTCTTTATTTCTCATGGACTAGTTTCAGGAGAATTTAGGTTCAATTTCAGGAGTCCCCCCAGCACCAAATGGTACAATCTCCTAAATAGCAACAATGCCATCATCAGGCTAATGATTGGCTACATGAGCAAAGGAATTTTGCATATCATTGTCTAACTGCATATTTTCCCAGGAATTATAGTCTACATTAGTTGTTCATTGTCCGATTTGATTGCTAAATCAAGTCAACAAGATTAAGCAGAAATAAGTGAAGACATCATAAGAGTAGGAATTATGTATCAGAGAGGGCTCAAATATGATGCCTATAATGTTTGTTTAGTAATTTTTTTTCCTGAAAATTGTATAATGCTCTCTTACTCTGTCACCAGGCTAGAGTGCAGTGGTACGAACATAGATCATATCTCACTGTAGCCTGGAACTCCTGTGCTCAAGCCATCCTCCTGCCTCAGCCTCCCAAGTAGGAGGGATGAGAGGTGTGCAGCACCATGCTCAGGTCCTTCACTTTTTACAAGCTCATTTGTATCAACTTCACGCAAATCTTTCCTGAGACCTTAAGCTTTGCTTCCATCTCTCTTTTCTTCCTTTTCAAAGTGCATAACTTTATATCATTTCTTGATACTGCAGCCATTTTTAAAAAGAATATAACTGTCATGGCTGGGTGCAGTGGCTCATGCCTATAATCCCAGCACTTTCGGAGGCCGAGTGGGGTGCGGATTGCTTTGAGCTCAGGAGTTTGAGACCAGTTTGGGCAACATGGTGAAACCCCACCTCTGCAAAAAATACAAAAATTAGCCAGGCGTGGTGGTGCATACCTGTGATCCCAGTTATTCAGGAGGCTGAGGCTGAAGAATCGCTTGAGCCTGGGAGGTGGAGGTTGCAGTGAGCCAAGATCATGGCACTGCACTACAGCCTGGGCAACAGAGTGAGACCCTGTCTGGAAAAAAAAAGAAAAAAGAAAATAAAAAACATCTAAAAAAAATTGGCTATAAAAACAAAAAGAATATAACTGTCAGGAAAAAAATAAGCTGTGGTTGTGGTTTTGTGTGGAACACACAGAGAAGCCTTATGATTTAATTACTAGCTAAACTTTTAGTAAACGGCCCTTAGGTAAATTTTTGAGTAACAGATTAGGGTAATACTCTGGGTAGTAGGAAGTAAGGAAACAGGACTGGGGGCCGCTGAAAAAGGTCACCCCAATTGGAACCTTAAGATTGAAAATCAGCTGGTTACCTTCTTTGTAATTTATCAGTTTCCCTATGAAAAACCAAAAATTGCCAAACTTCAACAATGTTTTATTAGAAGTTGCTGTTTCAGGGCACTTGAAGGTCAATATTTTAAGTACATAAGACATTCAATACTCCTATTTATGCTTTAGCTGTAATAATGTTGGGCTTTGAAATCAAAACATGGGATAGAATTCTTATTTATATGTGTAAATAGATGTGAACCCTGGGACTCAAAGAAGAGACGATAGAATTCATGGCACAGCTGTGTTAGAACCAATAATGGTTTTCAATCACTTGGTCAGATAGTGTTAGTTGAGACTCTGTCAGGTATGCAGCACTTAAATTTGATGTTTAAGAGAAATGAGTCCCAGACAGAAGTCAAACATGGCCCCTTCTTGAAAACTTCTAAAACGACTGAAAAAATAAAGCAGATATATACCGAAGGCAGTCTTTATGGGTCAAAACGAATGATAAATACATTTTACGGCTTATAAGTTATAAACAAGCAGTGAGAGATGTTGGTTTCAGTGATCATGGAAAGGGCTGGGCCTGAATTATGCCTAGAGAAGAAACTGGATACAATGAAAGAATTTACTTATTCATGTAAAGGCACTCGGTGCTACCAAAGAGAGTTGTCTTTTCATATTATTCAAATCGTAATTCCAAAATGGAAGTCTTGGAAGCCCAAATGTTTACTCATAATCTTGGCCAAATTCCACCTTGGAGGAGTAAGTTAAAAACCACAGCCAATTCAATTATTTAATTTCACTGTATTAAACCTCAAGGTTGCCAAATGATCTCATTACCAAATTATATCCTAAGGTTGTCCTGGGAAAATAAGCTCTTCTATGCCAGACAAACTATTCCCAAGGGCAATTCTTGGCCAGTGATATTTTCGAAGTTGCAAAATGGCTGTGTTTTTCATTGGAAAATTCCATCCTCCGCCCCTGGTCCTCTTGGAGAATTCTGTAGCTTACCTAACCTAGCACAACAAAGCATTGGGCCAAAGAGTATCATGCAAAACACACTCAGTAACATGTGAATGACCACTAGTTGCAGTCTGAAAAACAAATTTGTCATAGATTTTGTAAAGATGCAAATTGGGTCTGCAAAAATCATATGAGAAACAGTGGATTCCAGTATTAATCACAAGTGCCTGTCATATAGTCTGGTTTTTTTTGTTTTTGTTTTTTTGAGATGGAGTCTCGCTCTCTTGCTCAGGCGGGAGTGCAGTGGCACAGTCTTGGCTCACTGCAACCTCCGACTCCCAGGTTCAAGCAATTCTCCTGCCCCAGCCTCCTGAGAACTGGGATTACAGGTGCGCACCATCATGCCCGGCTAATTTTTGTATTTTTGGTAGAGACAGGGTTTCACCATGTTGGTCAGGCTGGTCTCGAACTGCTGACCTCATGATCCGCCCACCTCAGCCTCCCAAAGTGGTGGGATTACAAGTGTGAGCCACCACACCCAGCCTCTCATATAGTCTTATGATTAGGCATTCACAGGTTATTAAAATGCTGTAGTAAGAGATGTTATGCTTGGGAACATTACCAATAAAGACATGAAAAGACAGAAATGTTTTGCTTTCACTCCTTGTGTTTTAGGGCTCATTTTTTCCAATGGAGGGACTTTGTAGTAGCAAAAGGTTCAGGTTCCCTCTTAAAAGAGAAAATATACTACCCCTATCAAGGTAAGGAATACCCCTAAGCAAAGTAGTCTTATTGTGCCAGGGACAAGTGAGAAACTCCAGGAAAGGGATATTATAAGAGCCCCTAAGGGGTTGATTTAGGTCAGGGGAAATGTATACCTTGGAGGGAGATGGAAACATTAACTTGTTTAGAAGTTGGCTCTCTTCAAAGACCCCAGAGTGTAAAGTATCATGTAATTGATCCAAGTGGCCAATATGTCAATCAACAAATCTAAATTGAGTTGACTATTATGTGAAAGGTACCTAACTCTCCAAGCTCCTTCTAAATTTCCCTAAAAGGGAAGCATTGGGCATTGATTGTCTAACTCATGAGTATTAACAACACAGATATATTTTAGAAGTACCAACAGTGACATTGTAATTTTATGGTGTTGTGTCTACACATTGTAATGTTGTGCAAAGAGCTCTCTCTGGAGTCCAGAAGTCCTAAGTTCTAAGCCTGCCTCTTCCACTCAACAGCTTTGGTGCCTTTCTCAGAGAGTAAAGGAAGGGGTTTGGATGAAAGGAGTCTGATGGAATCAGAAGACTTCAGTTCTATACTCAGCTATCCCACTGCCTTACCTTTTGACTTTGGGAAGGTCACTTAGCTTCTCTCTTTTGTCTTTAGTTTGCTTGTCAGTGAAGAGAAAAAGCTACATCACCTCTAAGTTATCTTGCTGCTTTAAATCAGTCCCTTGAAGCAGAAAATAATTATATCACTTGAAATTACTGTGGATGCTTAAAGTTGCACCTATGCTTTTATGCCTGCCTCTTGAGACTCCATGGTATAACAGAAAGTATTAGAGATTTTGAAGTGAGACTCAAGAACAGGCAATTACCTGGCTCATAGCAGACACTCAGTAACTGGTGGTGCTTTTTATTTTTACCTCTATGAACTACTTGATGCCAAGGTGTAGCATTATTCCTATGGGAAAATAAAGTAGACCGTATAACAGTCTCCTGTTTCTAGGGCATCACTGCGGCAGACACAGCATAATGCTATCTTATGTAATGTAGACTGTCAGGTATGAAATTGTAGGGAAACTTATTAATGGAGCCCAGTACTTTACAAAGGTATTGAATGTTACCTTTGTAAGGTCTCTCACTCAGATCTTGCAGTGAATTCTGACACTTAATGCCCAAGGCTTCTCCATGTAGTCGGGTCAGCTCTGATAGGCTCCAAGTTAGGGATATTCTACCGATTGAGTAAAGCTGCTCCTCTGCTTGGTGTTTTTCTCCATCCTTCTTTTCGGGCTCCTCTTTTTCACCAGCATCCCCAGCACATCACGCCCCCACTGCTCTGTGTTTCTGCATTTTTACCACATCGTGGATACTGTTGGATGCTTCCTTTTTCTTATTTTATTTTATTTTATTTTATTTTATTTTATTTTATTTTGAGACAGAGTCTTGCTCTGTCACCCAGGCTGGAGTTCATTGGTGCTATCTCAGTTCACTGCAAGCTCCGCCTCCCAGGTTCATGCCATTCTCCTGCCTCAGCCTCCGGAGTAGCTGGGACTACAGGTGCCCGCCATCACACCTGGCTAATTTTTGCATTTTTAGTAGAGATGGCGTTTCACCATGTTAGCCAGGCTGGTCTTGAACTCCTGACCTCAGGTGATCTGCCCACCTTGGTCTCCCAAAGTGCTGGGATTAAAGGTGTGAGCCACTGCGCCTGGCCAATGCTTCCTTTTTATTTTAGGAAAACAGAACAGCATGCGGGTTTCTGCCAACAGTGGCCACTGCCCTTCATCTCCTGTGCACCACCAGTGACCCTTATAACGTGCAAAGTTATAAACCCTTTCCATGTCATGCAGTGCTTGCTTTTGGAATCAACTTTAGATTAGTTCATTTATCCCATTTGGAGCACCTGTCATTTGCTATTCTCGGACCTGGGACTTCTTGTTGGCACTCAGAAATGAGCATTCATTCGTGGTGTTTCCAGCTTTCACAGTTTCACAGGGAACTCCCTGTGTAGGGCATGATCCCTATTTTCAAAGAGCTTACAATCTATTCACATATGGAGAAATAAGCAATACACAATCCTGTGTAATAACGGCGAGTAGTGTTACAAGCAGGAACTTCAGGAAGGAGAAGAGACTGTTTTGGGCTGGGCTGGGCTGGCTACTAAGAGGAATTCATTACTGAGCTGCCTCTCGGTAGTGGGAGAGGAGAAGCTGGGCTTTTCAAGAGCAGAAAGGCAGGGGCCAAGGTGGGTGGCAGGATGGGGCCAAGGTGGGTGGCAGGATGGTGCCAAGAATGTGGTCTGTGGAGATTCTTCCCTAGAGAAGTTTTAAAGAAAATTATTTTCCAATCAATTCATAAGCTCATCTCTGCTGTGGACATTCTTTTTACTCTAACCCAGAGAAGAAAAGCAGGTATCAGGTACTGGATGCCTGAGCCTGGCTAGACCACATAGCGACATTAAGTCCCGTTTCATCACCAGTTAATGTCAATATCATACGGTTAGTGTGACAGCTAAGATGCAGCATGTGACGATACTGAGAGGCCGCAGGTTCTTGATGAAGAAATATGTATATGACAAGTTGGGATTGGGATATATTTATCTCTGTAATTTATTTTTATTTATTTTATTCATTTATTTATTTATTTTTTGCAATGGAGTCTCGCTCTGTCTCCCAGGCTGGAGTGCAGTGGTGCGATCTTGTCTCCTGCAACCTCTGCCTCCCAGGTTCAAGCGATTCTTGTGCCTCAGCCTCCCAAGTAGCTGGGACTACAGGTGCACGCTGCCATGCCTGGCTAATTTTTTGTATTTTAGTAGAGACAGGGTTTCACTGTGTTGCCCAAGCTGGTCTCGAACTCCTGAGCTCAGGCAATCTGCCCGCCTCGGCCTCCCAAAGTGTTGGGATTACAGGCGTGAGCCACTGCGCCTGGCCTATCTCTGTAATTTATTAATCTTATGTAATTTTTTTTTTTAAAGAGACAGGATCTCGCTCAGTAACCCACGCTGGAGTGCAGCACTGCCATCATAGCTCACTGCAGCCTCAAATTCCTGGGCTCCAGCAATCTCACCTCAGCCTTTCAGGTAGCTGGGACCACAGGCATGTGCCATGATGCCTGGCTAATTATTTATTTTTTTGTAGCGATGAGAGTCTCACCATGTTGCCCAAGCTGGTCTTGGACTCCTGGCCTCCAGCAATCCTTCCACCTTGGCCTCCTAAGGTGCTAGGATTATATGCCTGAGCCACAGCCCCTGACCAATCTTATATAATTTTATATAAGCATTTATTTTCAAATTAATGCGCATACTTATGTGAATAAATCTAAACAAATAGGTTTCCTAGCTCTTTTTTTTCTGAAATATTTCTGTGATGGATTGAAAGAAATTTAAAAAATAATTTTAAAGAAATCTTATCAAATGTTTTAGCTCTGAAAACAGAAAATTGTGTCTGGATTGCTGCTGTAACAATGTAACACCAACAGAATGGCTTCAAACAACAGAAATGGAGCCTGGGGCATGGTGGTTCATGCCTGCAATTCCAGCACTTTGGGAGGTGAAGGCAGGAGGATTGCTTGAGCCTGGGAGTTTGAGACCCCCAGCCTCCACAGCATGGTGAAACTCTGTCTCTACAAAAAGTAGATTTTAAAAAAAGAAAATAAACTTGTCTGGCATGGTATATGCCTGTAGTCCTAGCTACTTGGAAGGCTGAGAAGGGGGGATAGCTTGAGCCTAGGGGTTTGAGGCTGCAGTGAGCCATGATTGCATCACTGCACTCCAGTCTGGGTGACAGAGCAAGACCCTGTCTTAAAAATAAAACCAACCAAACAAAAACCAACAGAAATATATCCTGTCACTGTCCTGGAATCTGGAAGTCTGAAAATCAGGGCAATGCTCCCTCTGAAGGCTCTAGTGAAGGATCCTGCCTGGCCTAATTCTAGTTTCCGGTGGTGGCTGGCAACCCTTGGTTCTCCTTGGCTTACAGACAAATCACTCCATCTCTGCCTCCATCGTCATCACATCATGTTCTCCCTCTGTGTCTGAGTCTCTGTGCCCAAATTTCCCTCTTTTTTTTTTTTTTTTTTTTTTTTTTTGAGACAGAATCTTACTCTGTCACCCAGGCTGGAGTGCAGAGGTGCGATCTTGGCTCACTGCAACCTTCACCTCCCTGGTTTAATTGATTCTCCTGCCTCAGCCTCCTGAGTGGCTGGGACTACAGGCATGCACCACCATGACCAGCTAATTTTTGTATTTTTAGTAGAGACGGGGTTTTCCCAAGTTGGCCAGGCTGGTCTTGAACTCCTGACATCAGGTGATCCACCCGCCTCAGCCTCCCAAAGTGCTGGGATTACAGGCATGAGCCACCAGCGCCAGCCAAAATTTCCCTCTTCTGACAAGGATACCAGTCAGCAATCAAGAACCCTGAGCAATGGCAACATGAACTGAAGCTAATTCATGATCCAAATATTACTAAATGGTTCCAAGGAGAAGCAGTATCTAGAGACAGTTAGCTTCAGATGAGTAACTGCCATGAAGAGCATTCTGACACAACGTGAAATATTGACTTCCAGGTCAACCTTTTGTTATAAATATTCTGTACAAATGACAGGATAAAGCTCCTTTATAAATAAAGTAATTACCTCAGAAAATTTAAGAATTTCACTCTTCTGTGTCTAGTGGTCTGACAAAGGAATTAAAATTATTTTAAAAATTGTGATTCAAAGGGTTTTAGAAAAAAATAAAAGCAGTTCAAATACTGTTGCTCCTTTTAATGGTTTTTTTTTTTTTTTGGTCATTGGATCAATCCCCAAATACCAGTTTCATCTGCAAATTTTAAAGAAATTCTCCCACTCTTGAATTAATTTTATTTTCTTAGTTCAGTCAATCTATCTCTTAATTAACTAACAATCCAGAATGTATTAAAGACAATCTGTATTCGTTAGTTTTCCAGTTTTTTGGTCTTAAGTGTGGTAAGAATGCCCTCTACTGGCAATGCCCCGAAAATACAGTTCTCTATCCGTGCAGCTGGAACAGGGGGATTCAACGGTAAGCAGCTTGCCTTTCCTTGTAGCCTTCCTTGAAAATTGCCAGAGGTAGTAGGCTCAGGGCTAGCAACACCGAAAGGCACAGATTAGGAAACCCACTGTGAAGTAAGCCTTGGCCCACAGCCCTCTGGGTTGAATTGAAAAACGCTTACTTCTCTACAGAGCAATGCTGTTCAATAGAAAAATAATGCAAGCTACAAGTGTGAGCCACATATATGATTTCAAATTTTCTAGTGGTCACATTAAGACAAGTGTAAAGAAACAAGTGAAAATAATTTTACAAATGTATTTTTATTAACCTAACATATTCAAAATATTGTAATTTCAACATGTAATCAATATAAAAAATTAATGAGACATTTTCAGTGTTTTTGTTGCACTGATCTTTGAAATCCGGTGTGTACTTTCCACTTGCAGCGCATCTCCATGTGGACTAGACACATGTCAAGTGTTTAGTAGCCCCATGGGGCTGGTGGTTGTTGTGCTGGACAGTACAGGACCGACTCCAGAAACAAAGACAAGACGTGAGGGATATGACTTTACCTGCTTCACAATTTATAATTCATAGCTCAGGGCAATACCTTACCATTTTCCTGAAATCCGTCTAGAAGAAGACCATTATACATTCATACATTCGCTTGCAAGAATCTAGAGGTCAATATTGTGTTTGTATCATTTTTGGCGCAACAACAATTATACAAAGTAGCAGCACCAGAACTCTGGAAGGTGGATTGACATTATGTATCCAGAGCTTACAAACATTCACAGCTTCCAGATCAGCAGTTATATTGATGGAGATTGTGGCAGTGAAATATGAGCACAGCTCTGGCTTTGGGGGCCAAGTTCCTGTTTGCTGGGTTGGGCTGTGTCTCTTTGCTGGGCTGGACTGCATTTCTGCTCCCAACTCTGGCAAGACTGGGCTCTCAGGATGGCTGTAACCCTCAGCAGCACATGTCCAGTCATCCCTGACAGGCCTGCTTTGGCCTGGGCCCAGGAACACTGACACTCCTTCGGACTGCTGGTCACACTTTTGGCTTGCTTTTCTTTCCCTTTCCCTTGGGGTCTGAGGTTGGGTGGGATGGGCTAGTTAAAAATTAGATGCATCCATAAAATTAAACTAGTAATCAACATGTATAATTTTACTAATAAGTGTATAATGAAACTAATTAAATGTATTATTGTTCATGAAGGTCTTTGTCCTCCAGGCTGTTTCGTTGGTTCTAATGAGAGGGAGCCGTGGGTTATGGTGAAAGGGCATGGCTTTTCTGGACCTTCTGCCCTGGAAGGGGTATCTACCCAGAGGAGATAGACAGAGATGCAGAGCAAGATCCATGGATAAATCTATTCAACCAGCCTTTTTTATATTAGGAACAAATAGAAACAAATATTCAACAGTAGGAAATTGCTTAAAAATATGACATTTCCATATGATGGAAATTATGTAGCTTTCAAATAAGGTTTCAATTAATGTTTTCCCTCTTTTGTTTTGTTTTGTTTTATCCATGACTCCATGACACCCGAGTTTTGTAGGGTTTATTATGAAAAGCATCAGCCCCTTTCCCTTTCACTTCTCCCCTCCCCAGATGTCTCACTACCTCTGAACTGGTCATTTTGAAATTTACTTCCAGTTCTCCAAATTAGCCACATGTATTTCTGTTTGTAGATTTTCGGCTTTAGTCATTATGTATTGGCTCTTAGTTCTGGAGGAGGCACTGAGCTTCTTCCCTTCCCATCCCCACCGTGAATGCTCACCTCTCCCGTTTCCTTGCCCTTCTCTCTCCTACGGCTTCAGCCTCCTCAGGCTGGGTGCTGCTTTTGCTTTTTTTTTTTTTTTTTTTTGAGACGGAGTCTTGTTCTGTCACCCAGGTTGGAGTGCAGTGGCATGATCTCGGCTCACTGCAACCTCCATCTCCCAGGTTCAAGTGATTCTCCTGCCTCAGCCTCCCAAGTAGCTGGGATTACAGGCATGCACCACCACGCCCAGCTAATTTTTGTATTTTTAGTAGAGACGGGGTTTTACCATGTTGGCCAGGATGATCTTGATCTCCTGACCTTTTGATCCACCTGCCTTGGCCTCCCAAACTGCTGGGATTACAAGTGTGCTGCTCTCTTTCTACCCACGCTTTGCCCTGACATTTGTCTCACATCAGATTGCGGTCATCCATTTCGTTGTTCATCTTCTTTGAGGACAGTCTATGCCTTTCCACTCTGTCTTGGGTGTCTGATGTATTCCAGACACTCAGTGTTTGAGGAAAACCAAACAAGGCATGTGGAAGCCCCTAGGCTGCTGCTTTAAGAAGGGCATGGAATGCTAGCAGCAAGTAAAGCCACCCCACCAGGAACTTACAAGGCAAGGGACTACCCTGCTGGTCTCCACCATCTCTCCAAACATGTTATAGCTTAACCAGCATTCCTCACCCTCCCAAGACTTCACTTTTATGTTGAGGCTTCTCTTTTCTCCCTGTCTTTATATTGGTCAACTTTCTCCCCAAGTCTGCCTATAATTGGGAAAGCAAAAAGTAAATCAAAATCAAGAACGTTTAAAATGAATAGTCTCATTGAACTATCCCAAGTGGAGCTGAATTTTCTCCTGAAATAAGATATAGAATGGTGAAGCTTTTAGATTGGGCCTTGAAGATCAGGAAAGACATCAACAGAAGAAGATAGGGCTTATTTTGCCAAAGGGTGGTCCCAGTAGTAATCCTTTGAGGCAGCGGAGTGGGGTGTGTTCCAAGGAAAGCCACCTGTTTATGTTAGTTATAAGTTAACTGTATTTGTAATAGAGATTAGGCCATAATATTGTTGCTGTTTAGATTTGATGCACTCTGGTCTTCCAGAGGAGCTTGTATATATCTGTGAAGTTTGTGAGTTGAATGTTCGTAAATAGAGAATCTGCTAGATTCTACTGCATACCAATTTTAGGACAGGCACCATTATTGATCCTGGAGATAGAAGCAATAAAAAAAGACATGGATCTTACAGTTCAGTAGGTGAGATAATCACAGATAATGAAATAGGTAATCATGTACAATAAATGCTATGATGAGAAGCTTCTGTGAGAGTGTTTAAAGGAAGAAGGAGGAGGAGGGGTGGTTAGGGAACGCTTCCCTTGAGGGAGGACTGGCCAAAACTCACCTTTCATTAGAGAAGATTGTAAGGGGATGTGGTGCCAGTGGGCCAAAGTCAAATTCCAAGTATTAAAGTGTATGGAGATGGGACAGGTATACAAAGAAATGTCTGAAAATACAGGTTAAATCATGCATGTAATGTTATACATTTTCAAAAATCAGATATACAAAAATGTAACTTTTTTGATAACTGAATTTAGTTCTCATAAAGGGAAAAATAGTCTGGCTACTTTTAAGTATATCCAGCTACATTCAGTAATTTGGGGGCATTACTGATTTAAAGCTTTGTCACAATTGGAACAAGCTCAACCATATTCAGGATGATCACTTCAGGCACTATTCCTCTCCCTGGGATAGATATTAGGATGTGAGCTTTGCATCTGAGGCACAATAGACCCCTGGCAGGGGGTGGCCATGGGTATGTCCAGATGCCCTCCCAAGCCTAGACACACTCTTTTTTCTTTTCTTTTCTTTTTCTTTCTTTCTTTTTTTTTTGAGACAGAGTCTCACTGTTACCCAGGCTGGGTATAATGGTGTGATCTCGCCTGACTGCAACCTCCACCTCCTGGATTCAAGTGATTCTCCTGCCTCAGCCTCCTGAGTAGCTGGAATTACAGGCACGTGCTACCATGCCTGGCTAATTTTTGTATTTTTAGTAGAGACGGGGTTTCACCATGTTGGCCAGGCTGGTCTTGAACTCCTGACCTCAGGTGATCCACCTGCCTTGGCCTCCCAAAGTGCTGGGATTACAAACATGAGCCACGGTGCTCGGCCTAGACACACTCTTGTACTGCCATTACCCCTCCAGGGTTGTCATGACCTGTAACCCCAGGGGGGACTTTTTGGTAGAGACTTGCTGTCTCCCTGGGCCTCCTCCAGCATTTGAGGCTCAGGCCCTTCTTGTTCTTGGATTTTGAAAGTGAAAAGGGAGCTTTATTGTGTGTTGCTACTTCTCCTTCCACCCCCAACTCGACTTACCAAATGAAGGGCAAATTTTGTGGCCCCTACACTGACTCTTACCCTCTTACTTTCTTTCCAAGGCTTCTTCCTCTGTCATCCAAATCAGAGGGTCTTTTGTTTTATTGGAGTGGGAGTGGGGCCTAGGAGAACTGGGTCTTCTCTGTTATGCCTTCTTTAAAATACTTTCTGCTTTACTCCTTTCAACACCTTTGCTTGCTAATCGTGGCCATGCCTGGGCTCGTGGGAGAGCCTGAGAGTGTAAGGGAAAGAGGCATTATTGGGTTATTGGGTGTACCTGCCTGGAGGTGGCTGCCACACCCAATAACGCATACTCCAAAACACAGACACCCCTCTCTGTTCACAGGAGAACAGGGCTTCTAAAACGGCCCATAGTGGTAGGGTGGTGAACAGAGGTGATGTGTGCCTCAGGGAGAACTAATCAGGGCAGAGAAGCAAGCGGGAAAGAAATAGTAAAGTCAGGGTGAGAGGTTTGCACCTGGAGGGCAGCGATGGTAGTTACCTAAAATGAGCAATGAGTCAAGGGCGTGTCATGGTACAGGCGGGGGAATCCTGAGTGTGCAGAACTTTACCTTATGTTCTATGAGCCATTTGAAGCATAGTTCTTTTTTTTTTTCTTTTTGTCCCTTTGAGATGGAGTCTTGCTCTGTCGCCCAGGCTGGAGTGCAGTGGTGCGATCTCAGCTCACTGCAAACTCTGCCTCCTGGGTTCAAGAAATTCTCCTGCCTCAGCCTCCCGAGTAGCTGGGATTACAGGCGCCTGCCACCATGCCCAACTGATTTTTGTATTTTTAGTAGAGATGGGGTTTCACCATGTTGGCTAGGCTGATCTCGAACTCCTGACCTCAAGTTATCCACCTGCCTCGGCTGAGATTATAGGTGTGAGCCACCTCATTCAGCCTGAAACATAGTTCTAAAAAGCTTATTTTTCATTCCTTTTTTTTCCTGTTTATTCAATTTAACAAGTGTTGTGGTTGGAAATATAGATTGCTTATTTCTTGAGTACTTACTTTTAAACCTGAGTGAATGCCTAGACATTTGAAAACTCAATAAATTAAAAGCACGTGGTAGCTTATAGAAATATTACAACACACACACACACCCAGTATGTCTGAGTGAGTCAAACGGAGTGTCTTTGCAAAATGTGCTGTCTGAATGAGACAGCGATTATGTCACTCATTGGCAATAAACACTTGTGGAGCCATCACTGAGGCTGACAGGAAGTTAAAAAAAGAGTCTCTGGGGAAACAGCTTGTTCTGCTTCTGATTCCATGAGATGTAACTATGTCTCTCGAAATGCGTACATATATATTTTATTACTTATTACCACATAAAACTTCATCCCTAAGGTAGGGTGCCCATCGTGATGATGGATTTGAGTACTAGCATTCATTCTTCAAAGGCACAGTTCAGCAACCCCATTCCTGGGGTGAATATGCGCCTGAAATGGGAGCTATTTTCTTTAATGGCCAAAACCCCCCACAGAACAACCAAAAACCACACCCAAAAATTCTTCCCCATTCTTCCTCAAAGTGTGAATTCATTCTCTTGAGCCAAGATTCACAGAAGACAAGGTGCTGGGCATCATGTAGCAGAAAAGCCCTCATTCCTAGAAGCTGGAACCCATGATCCTCTTGTTGGGGCCTGTTAGGGTGATTCTCTGTTGGAACAAACCCCACTCGGAGCTGGGCCCAGTCCCTGGGCAGAGAGCCTGCCCAGTCACATTTGTATCCTAAAGCCAAATATCTTGTCTTATGAGGAAATTAACCAGTTCTCCTAGACGTTTTATGGGAGCAGCAGAGAGGGTGGGTTTGACTGAGGAGAGAGAGAAAGAAAGGCCCAGAGAGAGGAGCCAAGCCTCATTGGCTTAGAGTTATTGGGAAAAACGTGAGTTTACATAAAGGAAAATTCTAAATTATGGAGTATCTCAAAAGAAATATAATTTAATATTTGAAAGTATGTAATAAACACAAATACCTATGGTTATTAGTCAACTAAATGAAAAGGTATAATTTTTCTTTTTTCTTTCTTTTTTTTTTTTTTCTTTTTTCTTTCTTTCTTTTTTTTGAGACAGAATCTCCCTCTGTGGCCCAGGCTGGAGTGCAGTGGCATGATCTCGGCTCACTGCAATCTTTGCCTCCCGGGTTCAAGTGATTCTCTTGCCTCAGTCTCCTGAGTAGCTGGGATTAAAAGTGTGCATCACTACACCCAGCTAATTTTTATATCTTTAGTAGAGACAGGGTTTTGCCATGTTGGCCAGGCTGGTCTTGAACTCCTGACCTCAGGTGATCCACCCGCCTTGGCCTCCCAAAGTCCTGGGATTACAGACGTGAGCCATGGTGCCCGGCCTAGACACACTCTTGTACTGCCATTACCCCTCCAGGGTTGTCATGACCTGTAACCCCAGGGGGGACTTTTTGATAGAGACGTGCTGTCTCCCTGGGCCTCCTCCAGCATTTGAGGCTCCAGTGATCCGCCCACCTGGGCCTCCCAAAGTGCTAGGATTACAGGCATGAGCCACTGCACCTGGCCTACAAAAGTATAATTTTTCTTAGTCCTACATTGTATATTAATATATCATAAACATTAAAAAGTGATTTTGAGCTTTTAAACAAATACAATTCAGTGCTATGTATACATAAGAATAAATTTTAAATTCGTGAAGTTAAAATCAAGGAAGATCTTTGGCTTGTTATTATTAATTGTTGCTTAATCATTGCAATAATAACTGCTCTAAGGTTTCTGAAAGGGCATCTGAGAGGTGACACTCTTTGCAATGGAACAATTTGAATTCAGTGACCCGTGGGACTTACTTCATTGGTAACAGACTTGGACAATACTAATTGGTCTGGAGATGGACATGTGACCAGAGTTTGGCCAATCAGCATGCTGCCTTGAGGTCTGCCTGCCTGGAGCTGGCCGGATAGAGCTTTGTGCTCTCTGGCCATGGGGTAGGTGTTGATGAAGCTGTAGGTCTCCTGTTGCCTGGGGAAAGTCCACCTGCAGCGGTAGACTGAGGCCAACATGCAGAGAGAAGCAGAGATGAAAGGAAGTGAGATAATGTCCTGCCTGGGCTAAATCCCTGGTCTTTGCCTACCCTACTTGTTTAAATGGACATATACTGTCTCCTTTCACTGTGGGCAAGCTTATGTTTCTGTTACTTGCAAGCAAAAGGATCTACCTGATCCATTACTCATTAGTATTATTTCCTTGAATTTGCAAGGAAACTGAACACTAAGGCACTGGTGTGAAGTTTGTTGTCATGTTGTACGTCGCATCTGTAGCTTCATGGGTACTCCTTTAGGTGTTTCTATGTGTTTACTTATGATTAAGGCACTGCTGATGGGAATGGTATATACTGTTTGATATATTGTTAAACAAAGTTGCACAATTGAAGGCTTGCTTTACATAGCTGGAAAGTATATCCCGTTGTTTGTGTGTGTGCCCAGTTCCTGGATTAGATTGTGAGCTCCCTAACATCAGGGATGTGCTACTTGTCATATTCATATCCCGAGGACCCAGCAGAGTTCTGTCCTGTAACAGGCACCTAGTAAAGGTTGAATGTTCCTTTCTCACACTCCTGGCACTTCTCCCATTTTGCTTTCTGCTGGAGATACTTGGCACAGGCCTCAGTTCTCTGAATGTCGCATTAGCTTTTGCTGTAGAGTCCACGTTCAATGATCTTTGCACCTAGCACAGTGCATGGCCCAATGGCAGGTGCTCAATACGTATATCGATCTGCTCCCAGAAACTTGTATTTGGGAGCCAGGGTAATGGAGGCTACAGCAACTGTATCTTGGATACTAATCTCCCAAGATGACTTCTGATTAACCCAAGTTCTGGGAATACCTCTAAGATTTCTAATCTCTCATAGTTACTGTAAATCCGGCCCTTAGGTCAAAACAACCTTTATGTTATCATAAACACATACTTACCATAAATCCTTCCCTTAGGCAAATGCCCTATGGTATATAAGCCCTGGGTCTGGAAGGTATCAGGGTGGGATCCACCATCTCAGGGCTGCATGGAACATGGCTTCTGTTCCTAAGCCCCTATGACATGTTTCTTTCTGAGAAACTGGATTTATCAGCCTCTTTCTGTGGCCTCTCAGCTTCCTTGGTCTTTGGGGCTTCATAGAGCTTCTCACTGCAGAACAGGTGTTAAGATTATGTACATTTTGACTGGGCGCAGTGGCTCACGCCTGTAATACCAGCACTTTGGGAGGCCGAGGCGGGGGGATCGTGAGGTCAGGAGATGGAGACCATCCTGGCTAACTCGGTGAAACACCGTCTCTACTAAAATACAAAAAATTAGCCGGGCGTGGTGGCGGGCGCCTGTAGTCCCAGCTACTTGGGAGGCTGAGGCAGGAGAATGGCGTGAACCCGGGAGGCGGAGCTTGCAGTGAGCTGAGATCGCGCCACTGCACTCCAGCCTGGGTGACAGAGCGAGACTCTGTCTCCAAAAAAAAAAAAAAAAAAAAAAAAAGATAATGCACTTTTAGCATCATGATGTGGGGACCAGGGGCATCTCCTTTACCTTTACGTTCAAATATATTCTAGAATGTGCACCTCTTACACATCCTGGGCCTGCTCTAAACAAGCTAGATATGCCGCTTATTGGAGTTGCTTCACTGTATTTCTTCTTAACTTCTAAATTTTGAGATAATTAAAGGTTCACAGGAAATTGCAAAGATAGTACGGAGGGCCTCCATTCACTCAGTTTCCCCCAATGGTTACATCTTGTTTATTTATTTATTGGAGATGGAGTCTTACTCTGTAGCCCAGACTGGAGTACAGTGGCACAATATCAGCTCACTGCAAACTCTGCCTCCTGGGTTCAAATGATTCCCCTGCCTCAGCCTCCCGAGTAGCTGGGATTATAGGTGTCCGCCACCACACCCGGCTAATTTTTGTATTTTTAGTTGAGATGGGGTTTGCTAGGCTGGTCTTGAACTCCTGACCTCAGGTGATCCACCCACCTTGGCTTCCCAAAGTGCTGGGATTACGGGTGTGAGCCACTGCGCCTGGCCAGAAACAATTCCTTTAATGAGGTAGTGGGAGAGAAGAGGGGAGTGGGAAATGGTTTTCATGACTCAGTAAGGAATCACTTGAGAGAGCAGCCATGGAACAAACGAGTTAAAGAGGACCACTTCTTAGTGATGGGGACCACCTAACCTGGAGAAGGTTACTGGACTCCTCTGAATTTCAGTTTTCTCATCTGTAAAAATATCATAACAATGTCTAGCTTCACAGTGTTATAAATCCGTACTTCCATATATTAAAGAAAAATAAAAGTAGTGGCTGGGTGAAGTGGCTTACACCTGTAATCCCAGCACTTTGGGAGGCTGAGGTGGACGAAGTGCTTGAGCCCAGGAGTTCGAGACCAGCCTGAGCAACATGGCAAAACCTCACTTCTACAAAAAAATACAAACATTAGGCGGGCATAGTGGTGTGCACCTGTGGTCCCAGCTACTCGGGAGGCTGAGGTGAGAGGATCACCTGAGTCTGGGGAGATCAAGGCTGCAGTGAGCCAAGATAGCAGCACCACACTCCAGCCTGGGAGACAGAGCAGGACCCTGTCTCAAATAAATAAATAAATGAATAAATAAATAAATTAGGCAATTAGTATACATTCTAATTGCCTGGGGAAGTTGTCAAAAATGAAGATTTTGGCTGGGCACAGTGGCTCATGCCTTTAATTTCAGCACTTTGGGAGGCCGAGGTGAGAAGATCATGAGGTCAGGAGATTGAGACCATCCTGGCCAACATGGTGAAACCCCGTCTCTACTAAAAATACAAAAATTAGCTGGGTGTGGTGGCGTGTGGCTGTAATCCCAGCTACTAGGGAGGCTGAGGCACGAGAATCGCTTTAACAAAGGAGGCAGAGGCTGCAGTGAGCCGAGATTGTGCCACTGCCCTCCAGCCTGGCCACAGAGCAGGACCCCATCTCAAAAACACCCAAGGAAAAAAGAAAAAAAAGATTTTAAGGCTCCTTCCAGAAATTCTGACTCAGTCAGCATAGGGTGAGGCTCTGCCCTGGAATCCTCATTCTGTAATCAACCCTGGTGATTCTGTTGAAATTGATTTCTAGATTTCAATTTGAGAATTCTTCTGTCCATTGATTCTGAAACCTGGTTGTGATTTATAATTGCCTGGGAACTTTATTTTATTTTATTTAAAATTTTTTTTTTTTTATTGAGCATTCTTGGGTGTTTCTCGCAGAGGGGGATTTGGCAGGGTCACAGGACAATAATGGAGGGAAGGTCAGCAGATAAACAAGTGAACAAAGGTCTCTGGTTTTCCTAGGCAGAGGACCCTGCGGCCTTCTGCAGTGTTTGTGTCCCTGGGTACTTGAGATTAGGGAGTGGTGATGACTCTTAAGCAGCATGCTGCCTTCAAGCATCTGTTTAACAAAGCACATCTTGCACTGCCCTTACTCCATTTAACCCCGAGTGGACACAGCACATGTTTCAGAGAGCACAGGGTTGGGGGTAAGGTCACAGATCAACAGGATCCCAAGGCAGAAGAATTTTTCTTAGTACAGAACAAAATGAAAAGTCTCCCATGTCTACCTCTTTCTACACAGACACGGCAACCATCCGATTTCTCAATCTTTTCCCCACCTTTCCCCCCTTTCTATTCCACAAAACCGCCATTGTCATCATGGCCCGTTCTCAATGAGCTATTGGGTACACCTCCCAAACGGGGTGGTGGCCAGGCAGAGGGGCTCCTCACTTCCCAGTAGGGGCGGCCGGGCAGAGGCGCCCCTCACCTCCCGGACGGGGCGGCTGGCCGGGCTCGGGGCTGACCCCCACCACCTCCCTCCCGGACGGGGCGGCTGGCCGGGCAGAGGGGCTCCTCACTTCCCAGTAGGGGCGGCCGGGCAGAGGCGCCCCTCACATCCCGGACGGGGCGGCTGGCCGGGCGGGGGGCTGACCCCCCCACCTCCCTCCCGGACGGGGAGCGGCTGGCCGGGCAGAGGGGCTCCTCACTTCGCCTGGGAACCTTAAAAAAATAATGACGCCTGGGCCCCACCACAGATCAATTACACCAGAATTTCTGGGGGTAGAGCTTGGAAACTGTATTCGTTAAATACTCCCAGGTGATTCTAACATGAAGCCAGGGAAGGGAGGATCCTAGCTAGACGACCAAATGTCTAGGGCGATATTGGCATTCAGTTGCATGCATGGGAAGAGTGGTGTTTACTCATGATTTAAGATCGTTATTTAAACCTTACAACAATTCTATGACATTGGTATGATTATCTCTACCTTTTGATTTAAAAAACCCAAGGCTTAGAAAAGTTGCATTATTAATTTGAGCACTGAAACCATCATTGGATTCTGGAGTTAAAGGCCTTTTCTATATATCTTGCTGCCTCCTTCCACTAAGAGAAAAACAAATTTAATTTAGTTTTAGAATTGAAATCAACTGATTATCAAAATGCCTTAATAAGAAATTGCCCCCATTGAAATCTGTTTTTAAGCATTGTGTTATAAACTTAGGTAGGTCACGTGCGTGTAACCTGAGGAATGATCGATGAACTGGACACAACCTTGTCAATGGGTAAAAACAGTGTTGCTGATTTATATGGAATTTTGCTTATGTGGAAAGAAAGTGAAGTCAGGTCGGGAGCAGTGGCTCACACCTGTAATCCCAGAACTTTGGGAGGCTGAGGCGGGGAGATCACTTGAGGTCAGGAGTTCGAGACCAGCCTGGCCAACATGGCAATACCTCGTCTCTACTAAAAATACAAAAATTAGCTGGGCATGGTGGCACGCGCCTGTAATCCCATCTACTCAGGAGGCTGAGGCGTGACTTGCTTGAACCTGGGAGGCAGAGATTGCAGTGAGCTGAGATCCCACTGCTGCACTCCAGCCCAGGTGACAAAGTGAGACTCCATCTCAAAAAAATAGAAAGTGAAATCAATTTGTTGCTGGTGGCAAATCCACATGGGTCTGCAGCAACCTCAGTTCTTGCCTCCTCAGAAGAAAGAATTCGACTGAGGGGCATGAGGCAGAAGGAGAGACTGAGGCAAGTTTTAGAGCAGGAGAGAAAGTTTATTAAAAGCTTTAGAGCAGGAATGAAAGGAAGTAAAATACACTTGGAAGAGGGCCAAGTGGGTGACTTGAGAGATCAAGTGTGCAGTTTGACTTCTGATTTAGGGTGTTATGAGAAACAAACTCACCTGTCCAAACCCAAAGAATGGTCTCAAAGACCCACAGAACAGCGAGAGTGAGACTTTTAATGATGGTCTTGCAAGATTGGGAGTCTGATGGGCAGGCACACCCAGTGCAGTTTCAACAAGCAATTTATCTCCCAGTGCGCAGGTCCCTCCCCTCGTTCCTCATAGTCTGGGAACACATAGTGCTGACAGGCCACTGCATATGTGGACAACTCATACCAAGGGAAGAATCACAGGGGAAGGGATGCAAGACCCTGGAAGTATGCCAACATGTAGCACTGAAGGAAATAATGTACACAGTGATCCATTTCCAAGACAAAGTGCCTTGAATCGGCTTGTTGTGGGATTCAGGAGGACGAGAGAGACCTCGGGTTGAAACAGGAGAATCTTTACCAAGTGCACTCAAGCCCAGCTGACTTACGTCCAAAAGACTCCAGCCTCATAGCCTGGGAACACATAGGCATGGGGTCACAATCTTCCCAGACGTTGCCTATTGATTGTTAAGTAGGGACTTTAGGTGTTTTTCTTTTTTAGGGTTGTCTTGCTGCATTTTGTTGCAGCCCACAATGCATTGCAATCCTAGTCAGCTCTGGGGCTCTTCAAGTATTTGATTTATGACCTAAATAAAAACTGGGCAGGCTGATAAGAACAGACAAAACGAGCTATTTTGCAGGCTAGTAAACTTTCATCTTAGACTACACTTCTTTGGTTTGGGTGAGGGCAATAAAGGGGTGGAGAAGTGGGGGAGGGGGAGGCAGACAAGCAGGAATTGGCTATCCAAGCAGGGGCCTAGTATATCCTGTTTGCTATGTAGTTTGCTGACCTAAGCCTGAGGGGGGAAATTAAAGAAAAACAAAATTAAAAAGAAAGAGAAATAAGTTTTCCTGTTTTAGGCTAACTTTTCCCAGAGGCAGCAACAGGCACAGCCCAGACCCAGGAAAAGTTTTGATAATATTATCTAATGTGCTCTGGAGACTCTCCCAGCACTCCTTCAACATAGGGAAAAGAAAACAAATTTTCCTTTGTTTTACAGAGTGAGTTTATAGATTCCTGTTCTCTGTAACTAGTGACTTCAAGTATTCTGTTTTATCTAAGAAGTACAACGAAGGTCATGAGAAGCCTAAGCAGGCCTGAACTACAGCTGCCTGGGCACCATAGCGAAGGTTATAAGATAAGCTTGTGTGTGCCCAGGCAAACCTAGATAACGGACATCTGGGTTGCTTGGCAATGGTCATGGCAATCCTGTCTTTGTCCTGCCTCTGTATCCCTGCTTTCACGCCACTGTAAGCTTGCTTCAAGCTAGCCCACCCCCTTCTATGAAGTGTGTATGAAAGTCAAGTACTGTCTTTGTTCCGGGCCCAGTCTTTTGGACGTCAGTCAGGTGGGCCTGAGTGCACTCAATAAAGATTCTCCTCTTTCAACCCGAGGTCTCTCTCGTCCTCCTGAATCCCACAACAAGCCAATTCAAGGCACTTTGTCTTGGAAATGGGTCACTGTATATATTATTTCCTTCAGCGTTACGCATTGACATACTTCCGGGGCCTTGCATCCCTTCCCCTGTGATTCTTCCCTTGGCATGAGCTGTCCACATGTGCAGTGACCTGTCAGCACTTGGGAGGGGCCACACGTGCAGCGTATTTACTGGGGTTCTGCACATGCTCACTTGAGGTGTTTTTCCCTCACCAATCAAGCGTTCTTCCCTTAACAGTCTAGCGTTCCCAGAGGAAGGTCATATGCTAGTTAAACTCCGCCATTTTGCCTCTTCGTGTGCATGCTTGAGCCCACTGGCCCAACTTCTGAGATCTTATTGGGAAGCTGCTGATTACCAGTGTGGTTTTTTCTTTTGCCTTTCCCAGGCAGTCTCCCAATAGATAGATAATTGCCTGCCTACAATTATTATTTTAGAGAGGCAGTTTAACAACGACCTGACCATCACCTGATGGCCGCCTGACATTCCTGGTGTGTGTGTTGGGGGGGCCCCTCTCCTGCCCTGCTCACCGTCTGACTAGCTACCTATTGTCATGTATTCTCCCCCATACATACCAGCGACTTCCACTTGCTGCAGGGATGGAGACTCCTTCCAGGAAGACCATTCAGTTCCTCCCAGACAGGTGCTTCCTAGAACTATTGGCCTCTTGTTTCTTCAAGTTGATTGTCAATCATTGTTCTGAATCTCAGTGGAACATCAATTCATGTGCCAAAATTGAAAGAAAATATTTAATCCCAAATCTTTTCCCTCGGCTCCTTCTTTGCAGTGTTTCGTAGCTGACACAATCTCTATAGAGGGATATTGACAGTGGCCCCATCATCTTTCCTTTACTTTGTGACATTGAAGAAAATGAAAATATTTCTCTGCAAAATATTGAAGGTTGTTGAGCTGAAGAAGGTTAAAATGCAGAGGGTGGATATTGAGGTTCCTTATGCTTACCTGATGGGAAGACAGTGATTCACAAGGACAAAAAGTCTTTCTCCCGTTTCCCTTCTTTTCCCACCTAAAGACAGAAGTAAATTCTGTCTTCACTGGAGATGGCCCTAGCTCTCATCAGCTCAGAAACTGGCTGCAGCAGGGCTAGGGGAATCTAGGAGCCAACTTTACTCCTTTCCCACAGTTTTCCCACCTTGAGAGACTGGAAATTTTGTTTCTCATCACTGCTCTAAGATTTATTGCTCTTTGATAAGATACTGTTTAAGCAAGGCCTCTAAGCCACTGATTTGGGACAGTTGCTTTCTCCTGCGTGATGGGCATGGCATGCATAAATAAAAATGCTTGGTTTTCTCTTGTTCATCTGTGTTTTGCTAAGAGGAATCTGTCCCAGCAACAAACTTAGGAGGGTTCAAAAAAGAAATGATTTTTTTTTTCTCCCCTTCCACATCGCCGGCTGCCAGACGACTTGGGAGAGGCTGTGGCCTTGACTCAGGCTTACTCACAGAGCGCCCAGGGCCTGGGGCTGTTTGGACACCGCCATTAACTGCCCCACCCATGGCTCCATTTACCCATGGATGAAGGAAGGGCTCTTTTCAATTAAATAGAGGAATCTTATCTATTTCCTGCATTCACAGAAGGTTTAATAGGGTACAGTTTTCTCAGTAGGTCACGACGCAAAAACTTTGATTTTGAAGGTAGACTCTGAGTTTGAAAAAGAGACTAATATTCTAGGTTTTAGATTTTTCAATAGTATTCCAGAATGATAGCTAGAATGCTACTGAGAAGAAGCCTTATGTTTGTGTGATGTATAATCGCACAATCAGCCACTCCCTGATGTGTCTGTGCCCAGTGTAATTTCTTCTTTCCTCCTTCACGGGGTCTGCAGTGACAGCTTCAACAAGATGGCTGAATGGCTGCTGGCTCCCCCACTCCATCTTCCATTAATGGTCTCCAGCATCACCTTGTATCATTCTTATCTTTTCTAGAGCCTCTAAAACAGCCCACAATTCATTCTGTCAAGGACTGTCTGGCAAAGCTCGGTTTTCCTCCCACCTGCAGCTGGTGCACTACTGGCGTTTCTGTATCACTCTGACTTTCCCTAAAGCATATATTTTAAAAATAGCAGCTTTATCGAGATGTAATTTACATACCATAAAGTTCCTTCCATTAAAGTATATAATTAAGGTTTTTTTTGTTTCATTTTGTTTTGTTTTTTGAGACGAAGTCTCACTCTGTTGCCCAAGCTGGAGTGCAGTGGCACGATCTCGGCTCACTGCAACCTCCACTTCCCTGGTTCAAGTGATTCTCCTGCCTCAGCCTCCCGAGTAGCTGGGATTACAGGCACATGCCACCGTGCTTGGCTAATTTTTTTATTTTTTGTATTTTTAGTAGAGATGTGGTTTCACTACGTTGGCCAGGCTGGTCTTGAACTCCTGACCTCGTGATCCGCCCGCCTCGGCCTCCCAAAGTGCTGGGATTACAGGCTTGAGCCACCGCGCCTGGCCTAATTAATTTTTTTAAAGTTTTTTCACAGAGTGTGCAACCATCACCACACTACCTAATTCCAGACATTTTTATTACTCCTAAAAGAAGCCCCATACCCATTAACAGTCACTTCTCATTTCACTCCAACCCCACCGCCACTCCAGTCTTTGGCAATCACTAATCTACTTTCTGCCTCCATAGATTTGCTTGTTCTGGGCATCTTGTATGACTGGAATCATACACTATGTGGCTTTGTGTCTGGCTTCTTTCACTTAGCATGATGTTTTCAAGTTTCATCCATGCTGTGGTACCTGTCGGTACTTCATTTGTTTTTGTGGCTGAGTAATACTCCATTGTATGAATGTGCCACATTTTATTCACCCATTGATCAGTCGATGTACATTTGGCCTGTTTCTATTTTTAGCTACTATAGATAATGCTGTTATGGGCATTCATGCCCAAGTTTTTGTGGACGTATTCTTCATTTTGGGGGGCATATATAGATGGGCAAAATGGCTGGGTCATATGGTAACTCTATGTAAAGAGTTCATTTGTTTTTCTTTTCGTTCATACATGATCCAGATGACAAGTTTAGATCAGTGCTTCTCAAACTTGACTGTGTAATGAATCACCTGGGGGTCTTGTTAAAAAGCAGGTTCCTGTTCATTAGGCCTGGGGTGGGTCCAAGGTTCTGCATTTCATCGTCAGCTCTCAGGTGATGTGGATCCTGTTTCTCTAAGGACCTCACTTTTAGTAACAAGGAGCTAGATAACTGTTTCCCACGAGAAGACCTCCTGTTAGGGGATTACTTCATATGACACTGAAAAGGTATAAATACATCATATCACTGTTTTGACAGTGATTGGTCTACCTGATGTTCTGTGTGGTCTGTATTTAAAGGACCAACTGAAGTGTCAAGTCACTTTAAAAGAGGGCTCTTACATGCTAGTGTTAATTCACCTCTGATTGTTTATTTTTGTTTTTATTTTATTTATGTTTTTTGAGACAGAGTCTCGCTTTGTTGCCACACTGGAGTGCAGTGGTGCGATCTCAGCTGACTGCAACCTCTGACTCCCGGGTTCAAGCGATTCTCCTGTCTCAGCCTCCTGAGTAGCTGGGATTATAGGCGCATGCCACCAAGACAAGTTAATTATTGTATTTTTAGTAGAGATGGGGTTTCACCATGTTGGCCAGGATGGTCTTGATCTCCTGACCTCGTGATCTGTCTACCTCAGCCTCCTAAAGTGATTACAGGCATGAGCCACTGCGCCAGCCTATTTTTTTATTTTTTAGAGACAGAATCTCACTCTGTTGCCCAGGCAAGGGTGCAGCGGCACGATCCTAGCTCACTGAAGCCACGAACTCCTGGGCTCAAGCAATGTTCCCATCTCAGCCTCCTGAGCGGCTGGGACTAAAGGCACGTACTACCATGACCAGCTAATTTTTTAAGTTTTTAGTGGAAATGGAGTCTTGCTATGTTGCCCAGTATGGTCTCAAACTCCTGGGCTCAAGCGATCCTTCTGCCTCGGCTTCCCAAAGTGCTGGCATTACAGGTGTGAGCTACTGCACCATATTCAAGTCCTAGAGGTTTCGAATGACTACTTGTTTGTATTTGGCATAGCAGTACTTCTGATAATTAGCATTAAATAAACCTGAACCTACAAGTAGCTGGCAAGCTTATAATGGTGAGCATTAAACATGTAAGAAAATCCGATGACACATTTGAAAATATAGAACTGCCTGGAAAAGTCTTCAGAATATACCCTAAAACAGTTTTTATAATTTAATTGTTGGTACTAAAGATCAAATGTTTGACATATTAGACATTGTGGGAGATCCTTCTGAGGCAAGAATATTTTTTCTTGCTCCTACAGTTGTGAAAAAATATTTCTTCTTCATGAAGATTATCGGGATGTGGATGTGAAAACAGTTTCTTATAAAATTCTATCAATTCTTAGGTTTTGACTGTGAACTAAATTAGCTCCCTATATTTTGGATAGAAAAGATGAGACAATGGACACTTTTTTGATAGATTTCATGGGTATACATCCATCTCGTTTACTCCATGTTTTAGATAACTACCATATCCCTAAGTGGTTCCTTCAACCGTAATTTTATATTTTTGTATTATACTGGTTAACTCAAGTGTTGTTCTGTGTGTGACAGACAATTCTGATATATATTTTCAAAATACTTTT
This sequence comes from Homo sapiens, assembly GCF_000001405.40. Taxonomy (NCBI): domain Eukaryota; kingdom Metazoa; phylum Chordata; class Mammalia; order Primates; family Hominidae; genus Homo; species Homo sapiens. The sequence goes on from NC_000018.10 coordinate 63,457,890, forward strand.
CATCATTCCAGAATTTTCTTTCATATTTGAACATTTATATAAGTGTTATGAATTGCTATACATTTTGGCTATAGGTAAGATTATCCAACATGTTTTGGGTGAAAATCACAGCTTACACAAAAATAAAATGGTGTTTTAGGTGTTAACAAACATGTTCTAGATCAGAGGAGATACTGAGAATCCATGAGTAGTCACAGTGGCTGCCACTCCTTTTCTTATCTAGGCTTACAATACCATTGACTTATCACACCCACAGACCTTTCATAACTGGCAATCATTTAATCATTCTAACCATAACATCGTAAAAGATGAGGCTTACAGCCGGGCGTGGTGGCTCACGCCTGTAATCCCAGCTCTTTGGGAGGCCGAGGTGGGTGGGTCACTTGAGGAAAGGAGTTCGTGACCAGCCTGGCCAACATGGGGAAACTCCATCTCTACTAAAAATATAAAAATTAGCCAGGCATGCTGGCTACTTGGGAGGCTGAGGCAGGAGAATTGCTTGAATCTGGGAGGCAGAGGTTCCAGTGAGCTGAGATAGTGCCACTGCACTCCAGCCTGGGTGACAGAGTGAGACTCCATCTAAAAAAAAAAAAAAAAAAGATCATTCCCTAATGTGCTCAACCCAATACATAATCATTTGTATTTGTCTCAGAGGAGTCTGAGAAAACTTATTTTCATATGCACAAAGGATTCCCGTAGGTTTGCCTCCTAGTTTACATGGTTTCCCCCCACCCCCCATTTTTATAACACCTGTAGGTGTTTTTGGTTAAAATAAAATTAATATTAAATCATAGTTAATAATTATAATGCATATGTTCTTATCTAGACTATCTTCTTGAAATAAAAGTATTGGTTTCTCTTCCTGTCATATGTGCTGTTGGCACTTTTTAAAAAAATCACAAAATTGGCTGGGCACAGTGGCTCATGCCTGTAATCCCAGAACTTTGGGAGGCCGAGGCAGGTGGATCACGAGATCAGGGGATTGAGACCATCCTGGCTAACAAGGTGAAACCCCGTCTCTACTAAATATACAAAAATTAGCTGGGTGTGGTGGCAGGCGCCTGTAGTCCCAGCTACTCGGGAGGCTGAGGCAGGAGAATGGTGTAAACCTGGGAGGCGGAGCTTGCGGTGAGCCGAGATTGCGCCACTGCACTCCAGCCTGGGCAACAGAGCGAGACTCCGTCTCAAAAAAAAAAAAAACCAAAAACAAAATCACAAAATCTCTATATATTAGTTGAAGCACATTTGGAAGTATAAGAAAACAGAGAAAACCAGAAATATTCTATAAGCAATGGATACTCTTGGTTTTTGTGTTAGTCCGTTTTCACATGCTAATAAAGACATACCTGAGACTGGGTAATTTATAAAGGAAAGAGGTTTAATTGACTCACAGTTCAGCATGGCTGGGGAGGCCTCAGGAAACTTACAATCATGGCAGAAGGTGAAGCAAACATGTGCTTCTTCACATGGTGGCAGCAAGGAGAAGTATAAGTTAAGAGGGGAAAAAGCCCCTTGTAAAACTATCAGATCTTGTGCGAACTCACTCACTATTGTGAAAGCAGCATAGAGGTAACTGCCCCCATGATTCAATTACCTCCCACCGGGTCCCTCCCCACAACATGTGGGGATTATGGGAACTACAATTCAAGATGAGATTTGGGTGGGGACACAGCCAAACCATAACATCTCTTCTAAAAGTCCATTGCTTTGGTAACTCATCTGCCAGGTCCAGAGCTTCCTCTTGCCACTTCTGTGAGGCAAGTGAAGCAGGCATGGGGGTAGGAGGATGGAGGAGAAAGCTTGACCTCCTGAGCTGGGCTTTGAATGAAAATGACTGATCCCTGAATATACTTATTGGACCAGGCAGTTCTTCAGACCCTGACCAGTAGACCACCCAGTTTCTTGTCTCAGTGGGACCCTATGATTCTTTCCAGGCCAGTTCTGGGGCTCTGCTTATTTGAATATTTGATCTAAGGTTCAAAACATTTGATTTCATGTTCTTAATTAAACTGCATTGCTGTATAAGTGAAGTCAAGTCACCACTAAAGTTTAAAATCTCACTTACTCTAAGGTTGCTCAAACTGTTGTTCCAATAATGTCCTATATAACTAAAGAAAAACTATTTTTTTCTCTTCCTTCTTTCCTCCCTTTTTCTGGTTCAGGATCCAATACAGATTCACACATTCATTTAGTTTACCTGGTTGGATTTTTTATTTTAATTAATTAATTAACTTTGAGACGGAGTCTCACTCTGTCACCCAGGCTGGAGTGCAGTGGTGCAATCTTGGCTCGCTGCAGCCTCCACCTTCTGGGTTCAAGCAATTCTCCTGCTTCAGCCTCCCGAGTAGCTGAGATTACAGGTGTGCCACCTCACCTGGCTAATTTTTGTATTTTTAGTAGAGATGGGGCTTCACCATGTTAGCCAGGCTGGTCTTGAATTCTTGATCTCAAGTTATTCACCTGCCTTGGCTTCCCAAAGTGCTGGGATTACAGGTGTGAGCCACCATGCCTGGCCTGTATTTTCTAAAAATCAGCTTTTTTGAGGTACAATGTACACATAATAAAATGCACCACGTTAGGTGTGCAGTCTAGCAAATTTTGACAAATCCATGCTTCCATGTATCCACCACTTCAATGAAGATATGGAACATTTCCATCATCCTAAAAGATTCTCTTTGCTCTTTCCCAATCTCACTCCTGGTCTTAGGTAACCTCTGATCTCTTTTTGTTATTTTAGATGAGACTTATCTTGTTTACAGTTTTGTGCAAATGAAATGGTACAGTCTGTACTCTTTTATGTCCAACTTCTTTAATTCAGTATACCATTTTGAGATTCATGTATATTACTATATATAATATGTAAACATATCATTACATGTTTTCCTTTTTTTGTTTCATTGTTCATTAAAAAAATTAAAGTAGCATTCTACTGTATGGACATACTAAGATTTGTTTATCTGTTGATAGACATTTGTGTTGTTTTCTTTCTTTTTTTGGTATTAAAAATAAGCTGTTATGAATATGTTTGTACATGTTTTTGTGTGAACATATGTTTTCATGTCTCTTGGGCAAAACTGCTGGATTTTATGCTAAGGGTATATTTTTATTTACAAGAAACTGCCAAATTGCTTTCTAAAGTAACTATACCATTTTGCATTCCCATCAGCAATGTATAAGAGTTCCAGTTCCTCCACATTCTTGCCAATAGTTTATGTGCCCAGTTGTTTTAACTTTAGCAATTAAGATTGTAGAGTAATTATGGTTTCAATTTATATTTCCCTGATAATCAATGATGTTGAGCATCAGCTGATAAGACTTTAAATTTACAGACAATAATAACTTTTATCATGCACTTACAATATGCTAAACTAAGTCCGAGCACTTTATTTGTATTATTTCGTTCTCATAACTACCCTATGAGGTAGGTACTACTATCATTCCTGTATTAAAAATGAAAAAAGTAAGGCACAGAGAGGAAAGCAATTGGCCCAGGTTCTCATAGCTAGGAAGTGTGAAGCCAAGTATTAAACCTGAGTCCAGAACCTGTACTCTCAACCGCTATCCAACACTTGACCTACGAGTGGTGTCTAATAAAAACCTAACACTCTTTCTTGACTGCTTCAAACTATTTCTCTTGCAGATTGGTTTTCTTCTTCCCCCTTGCCCTCTGTCTAGTTCTGGTCTTGCTGGTGCCCTCACCTTGAAGCCTTTCCTTAATTGGTAAAATGACCTGCCTAGAAAAAAATAATCCATTTTATCTAGCAATCTCTTCCCTTTCTTACATCCAGAGGCTGTTTACATCTTCCTTTTTTTTTAAAAATTGCAATTTCTTTTCTCTCTCTCTCTTTTTTGAGACAGGATCTTGCTCTGCTGCTTAGTCTGGAATGCAGTGGCGTGATCATGGAGCACTGCAGTCTCAGTCTCCTGGGCTCAAGTGACTCTCCCATCTCAGTCTCCTCAGTAATCGGGACTACAAGCAGATGCCACCATACCCTGCTAACTTTGATGTTTTTTGTAGAGACAGGGTTTCGCCATGTTGCCCAGGCTGGTCTCAAACTCCGGGCTCAAGTGATCTGCCTGCCTCAGCCTCCCAAACTGCTGGGATGACAGGCATGAGCCACCAGGCCTGGCCTTTTTTTTCCTTTTTAAACTTTTGTTATGAAACATTTCAAACACAGAGAAAATACTTTATGAACCCTCACTTTATCTGTAAAAAATATTAGTAGTTATCTTAAATCGAGGAGGATTTTAAGAAATCATAACTCTGATATCATTATTACACTTGAAAAAATTATATCAGCTTATTAGTATCATCAATAAATCTCCTTGGTCTTCTCATTAATTTGTTTTATGGCTAGGGTGAAGCAAGATCCAAATACTTGTGATCATTTGATACATCTCATAAATTTAGTTGAATGTATAAGTTCCCCTTTGAACTCTTTTTTGTCCTTGAAGTTTAATTGTTGAAGAAAACAGGTTGTATGCTTATAAAGTTTCCTATAATCTGAATTTTTTTTGACTGAATCTTGTAGTATAGTTTAAAGTGCTCCTCTGTTCTTTATATTTCCTGAAATTTGTAGTCAGATCCAGAAACCTGATCATATTTGGGTTCAATTTGTTTTGCTTAGACTACTTCAAAGACAATGCTGTGAGCTTCCACCAAAAAATAGACAATATCTGATTGTGTCTCCTTTTGAGATGGTATCAGCCTAAAATATTTTAGGTATAGCCTAAAATATATGAATTCATTAGGGGTTGTATTCCTATCATTTCTTCCATATTTATTAGCTGAAATATACCTACAGAAAGAAAACTTCTCCTTATCTACTATTTAGTTATTTAAGATTTGTAGAGAAAAAGCAAAACAAATGTTGGGCTCTTTCTATTTTGCACTGGTTTTCAAAACAATAAGTTGGTTAGGAGATGATGTTCTTTTTTTTCTTTTTGAGACAGAGTCTGGCTCTGTCGTCTAGGCTGGAGTGTAGTGGTGTGATCTCGGCTCACTGCAATGTCTGCTTCGCAGGTTCAAGTGATTCTCCTGCCTCAGCCTCCTGAGTAGCTGGGGTTACAGGTGCATGCCACCATGCCCAGCTAATTTTTGTATTTTTAGTGGAGACGGGATTCACCATGTTGGCCAGGCTGGTCTGGTCTTGAACTCCTGACCTCAAGTGATCCATCCACCTCAGCCTCCCAAAGTGCTGGGATTATAGGCGTGAGCCACTGTGCCTGGATGGTTGTGTTCTTTAAGATAGTAGGAGAATGCAAAAACGATATGATGATGCTGGTCCATTTGCCAATAATTAATCATACAAACTCTTTTAGTAGAGTCTCATCCTTGGTTTTCCTGAAGAACATGCCAATGCTAATGGGAAATTAGGCACCTTATGCCGGAAAATTAGCACAAAGAATAATGTGGCACTTTTCATCTTCAAAGCATTTCAGGGCTAATTATTTCTCCCATCTCCCCAAAGAAGTAGGTGTTATTAACTTCATTTTAAAGATAAGAAAATGGAGACTTAAAGAAGGCATGAAAGCCACCTGCCCCGAGCTAAGAGGGCGTCACCATGAGAAATGAGATTGTAATTTATATGTGGCTTGATTTTTAATTTCATCCTGAGGAAGGGAGGTCCAGGGAGAGCCAGAGAAAAGGGAACTGGGGATCTCTGACTCTGTTCTGATGCCAGGAGTTGTGCAGTGTGTGGAGACTTGAAGACACGCTGTGGCATGGGCATTATCAATGAAGTATTTGATGCTGTAGTGCCTGACCTGTGGCAGGTGATGTGTGGATGTTTGTTAGCGCACCATACACAATTTGCAACGGTATATCTCTGTCCTGTGACAAGGACAGGAACCTCCTCACTAGATTCAGACTTCTCAATTACTGTACAGCAGGCAGTTGGAAGATGACAGTTGTTTTCTTTTTCCTCCGGGTTAGAACAATTTAGTTTACACTGATTACCTCTTATATACAGCAAAGATAATATTAATATTTATACTAAGCTTGGAACATAGTCTGTGCTGAAAGACTCCAGGTAATTGTGAGCCTGAATCAAACAAGAGATCATATAATTCTTGGGACTCAGTCTTCTGAACATCTGGGCTGGTACTTGACTTTTCCACTGTAGAGATGTTGAAGTTAAAATAATTTCAACATCTTGGAGCTGGAACATACAAAACTTGTGTTCTCCACCCAGAACAATTGCCCTAACAGCCCATAATCACCTGGTCCTCAAGTAAGTTTGCATCATCAGCACCAAACCCACTGTAGGTGGTGCTGGTGTGGGGAAACCTTCAATCAATAGAAGGTGTTTCCAAAAGGAAGAAACCTGGAAACCTCTTTCTGACATTCATTTGTGTTTCTTTGTTTTTAGAGACAAGGTCTTGCACTGTCTCCCAGGCTGGAGGGCAAGGCATGATCATGGCTCACTGTAACCTCCTGGGCTCAAGTGATCCTCCCACCTTGGCCTCCCAAAGTGCTAGGATTACAGGCATGTGCTACCACACCCAGCTAATTTTTAAATTTTTTGTAAAGATGGGGTCTCATTATGTTGCTCGGGTTGGTCTTGAACCCCTGGTCTAAAGCATTTCTCCCACCTCTGCCTCTCAAAATGCTGGGATTACAGGTGTGAGCCACTGTGCCTGGCCTAGATTTTTCTTATTTGTTACCTAACAACATCTCCTAGACTAAAACCCATTTGGTGAGCTTTATGATGACTTGGCAATTTATCTCCTCCTTGAAAAGAAAGGCTAACACCTTCCATGTACTGTAGACTTTTAGTTCATGACTCAAATGCCACATTGCTCTTTGTGCTCATTTTCTGGCATGAGGTGTCAGTTTTCCCATTACTGGGCGAGAAATCTCTGTTTAGTTTGCACCTTATGCCTCTCCTCTCTATTTAATTCTTAACTCATGTGCTAATAACCTATTAATTGGCTTTTTTTAATTTAAAGGAATTGCATTTCATTTTAGTTTTTCTCATTCCTTAACTTCAAGCTAGCATTGATTCTATGGTTGCTCAGCTACTTAGAGACATTCTTGTAATCGTTTGGACAGGGAAAATGGAATGGGAGAGGTCCTGTCCCTCTTACACAGCCTCCTCCTGCCATGAATCCACTCAGACATGCCCCACTTTCCTCTGGCTCTTTCCTCCCTGGCTAATGATATCTTCGTGTCGTGACTGATGACAGTAGGGAAACACTGGTTTGCTCATCAACTCCTGAAATACAAGAGCTTGTGAAAAGTAGGTTTATGACTAATATCAAGGACACATTATGTGACACAAGAAGAGAAAATGAACCATCTTTGCCATCCTAGCAAGTGACATATATAATTCAGTTAGGGGTATGCTCCATGATGAGGGACTCCAGGAAGGCATCTACCATGGACACCAGTCATGCTCTCCTCAGGGGGGTGAGCATGGTGTGGACCAAGTGAGTCTACATGGTGGTCTGGCTTCGTGCTGAGTCTTTGGGCTTCCCCTTCAAAACCTCCTTTGAAAAGGAAACTGATAATAAATCTTGAGAGAATTACCTTTGGTTCATTCATTTTCTTCCATTCTTTTTTTTTTTTTTTTTTTTTGAGACAAGGTCTTGCTCTGTTGCCAAGGCTGGAGTGCAGTGATGTGATCTCAGCTCACTGCAGCCTCTGCCTCCCAGGTTCAAGTGATTCTCCTGCCTCAGCCTCCTGAGTAGCTGGGATTACAGGTGCATGCCACCATGCCCAGCTAAGTTTTGTATTTTTAGTAGAGACGGGGTTTCACCATGTTGCCCAGGCTCATCTCGAACTCTGGACCTCAAGTGATTCGTCTGCCTCGGCTTCCCAAAGTGCTGGGATTATAGGCATTAGCCACCACACCCGGCCTCCAGTCTTTTTTTTTTTTTAGACAATGGAAGGCAGTATGGTATTTGTACCATCTCACTGAGTTCTGAATGTGACTTTGACTTTATTTCTTACTAGTAATTACTTAAATTTCTAATATCACTTTTCTCATTTGTAAAATGGAGATCATAATACATAACTGACTGATTTATTGTGAGGTTTGAAAGAGATAATACATATATAATTGCTTTGAAGAAAAGGCTGGGTAAACAATAACAACTAATAAACTGCAAAGCACCATAATTATGCTAATATGTGTTGTTGGTCATATTAATGATATTTATTTAATTTGAACTATTAAATGTATACTCCACTCTTTGAAATCTTAATCTCCTTTCTCACTATGAGTAAATTTCATTTTATTCTTGTTTTTCATGTTATAAGACACCATAACCCAAAGGTAGAAAGTGAAAACTTCACATAAATTGTGTGTGTGTGTGTGTGTGTGTGTGAATGTGATATGGTTAATGATTCTTAATTCTTCTCAAGCTTTAAAGACTATCAGTTTTTCTTCCAATTAAAAAATCTTGAAATATATTAATACAAATACAGACAAAAAATTTTCTGTCTATCCCTACTATTGAGGTAAAACCAATCTCTCTGAGGTTTGTAACTTCACTACAGCCTTTAGAGTACAAAAATCATGACAGTTAACATTTTTTGAACATTTACTGGTGGCAGGCAATATTCTAAGCCTTTAGCATGTATTATCTCATTGTGTCCTTGTTATAACCCTATGAGGAATTGCTAATGTCACCTCCATTTTACAGACGAAAGGACTGAGGCAAAGTGAAATGTACTAATTTGTTCAAGGCCATGGTGTCATTAATGGCAGAGTGGGAACCAGCCAGTCTCATGCTAGAATCAGCGCTGACCATTGGACCAACTGTGGTTAGTGCAGAACCTGCCAGAAGCTTGTGATTCTGAAAGTGTGGTCTGTGAACAACCAGTTCTGAACCACCCAAAGGGATTCACATTCCTGGGTCTCACCCTAGACCTCTAAATCCCAGATCTCTGAGGATTGGGGTCTGGAAATGTGAAATTTGATTGTACTTCTTCACCTGTCCTCCACACACATTATTCCTTCTTGATTCTGATGTGCAGTGATGTTGAAGGACCACTAGCATAAGGATCTTTATCTAGTTGGATAAAAAAATAAACCTTTGATTTACTTGCTGTAATGTTTAATTCTTTCTTTATAATTCAAGATATTAAAATAGCAACACCATCTATCATGGACACCACCTCCTGTCCTAACAATCATTGTCTGCACTATGACATTGTGAGAGGTAATTGATTGGTTTCTACTACTAGACTAGGACAAGTTTATTTAATGTGTAGTGTGAAAAGAACTTTGTGAGTTCTAGGAGAGGGAGTAGGGATGTACAGATAAACTGTGGTCCCTGGCCTCCCCATGGCTCAGGGTCTAGACAGGAACCAGGCATGAATGCAAATAATATAAAGGGGTCTTCAAAAAGTTCATCAAAAATGTGTATCATGCAAAAACAATGCATGGATTTCAATTTTTTTGTATCAAAATAAACTCATACTAACTAGTTACAACATGTCTAAACAGGATCTAGTTTGAAGTGCTAAGAAAGATACCAGTTTGAAAAGAGCCCCTATCAAAGCAATGTGAATTCTGCTAAAATTGAAACAAGAGCAAACATCAAATTTGTGGTGAAGCTTGAGTGCAAGAATGGTGAAATCACTGATGCTCTGTGAAAAGTTTACGGAGACAATGCCCTAAAGAAATCAGCAGTTTACAAATAGATAACTCATTTTAAGTAGGGATGAGAAGATATTGAAGATTGTGAAGAAAAAAATTCACCTTGTTTGTGCCCTAATTGAAGAGGACTAATGATTAACAGCACAAACAATAGCTAACACCGTAGACATCTCAGGTGCTTCAGCATACATAATTCTGATTGAAAAATTAAAGCTGAGCAAACTTTCTACTCGATGGGTGCCAAAACTGTTACAGCCAGATCAGCTGCAGACAAGAGGAGAGCTTTCAATTGAAGTTTTAAACAAGTGGGATCAAGATCCTGAAGCATTCTTTGAAGAACTGTTACAGGAAGTGCAACATGGCTTTACCAGTATGACCCTGAATGCAAAGCACCATCACAGCAATGGCTACCAAGAGACAGAAGTGGGCCAGCGAAAGTGGACTGGTCAGGAGCAAAGGTTATCGCAACGGTTTTCTGGGATACTCAATGCATTTTGCTTGTTGACTTTCTGGAGAGCCAAGGAACATTACATCTCCTTATTTTGAGAGCATTCTGAGAAAATCAGCCAAAATGTTATTTAAACACCAGAGAAAGCTTCAGTAGAGAGCCCTTCTCTACCATGACAATGCTCCAGTTTGTTCCTCTCATCAGATGAGGGGACGTGTGCGAGAGTTTCCGTGGGAAATCATTAGGCATCCACCTTACAGTTCTAATTTGGCTCCTTCTGACTTCTTTTTGTTTCCTAATTGTAAAACAACAACAACAACAACAACAAAAATCTTTAAAGGGCAGCCATTTTTCTTCAGCAATAATAAAAAAGGGACTGCATTGACACAAATTCCCAGGACTCTGCTTTCCTCAGAGATGGACTACATGGCTGATATTACCACCTACAAAAGTGTCTTGAACTTGATGCAGCTTACGTTGAGAAACGGAGTTTATATTTTTAATTTTTCTCTTTATAATTCAAATTTTCCATGAATTTTTGAAGTCCCCTCATATGTGGGAGTGAGTGAAGAGACAGAAGTCCAGACTGGGACTCATGAAGAAGTGTCTGTTCTCAAGTTTCTATGGGGGGCACTCTTGGAGCTACAAGTGAATCTCAGAGTCCTCCATGTCTGGGAGAAATTGAAATTGCTGGATAGAAGGACTCACTCTTAAATCCCATTTTAGGAGGCAGAGACCGGGACAGAGTTCTCATCTGCAGAGTCTAGCTCAGTGCTTTACATACCTAGCACAGGCTGATTCATACATCTCCCCCGCCCCTGCCAAATGACCTTCGAAGACTTCATGAAAATGTCCTCCCTTCCCATGGGGTGGGGAGGTGATGGGGATGGTTAATGTGTACAAGAAATAACTAGAAAGAATGAATAAGACCTAGCATTTGACAGCACAACAGGGTGACTATAGTCAATAATAATTTAATTGTACATTTAAAAATGACTAAAAGAGTATAATTGGATTATTTGTAACACAAAGAATAAATGTTTGAGGGGATGGATACTCCATTCTCCATGATGTGATTATTACACATTGCATGCCTGTAATAAAATATCTCATGTATTCCATAAATATGTACACCTACAATGTACCCAGAAAAATAAAAACTAAAAAATTAAAACAAAATTCCTCCCTTTCCAAGTAAAGCCAGCTGACTTTGTGTTTCTGAGGCCTGTAAATTCCTGCATTCTCTCTCCTCTTGAATTGGATCCTGACATCACATAGAACTAAGTGCTTATTAGAGGAAAAAGTATTTCATATCAATATATTTCTATATAACAATTATAAATATATTTCATAATTGCTATTATATATAAACATATATAGTTATATATTTTATATAATATAAATATATGTTTTATATAGTTATATATTTTATATAATATACATATATAAATTTTATATATTTTATATAATATACATATATAAATTTTATATATTTATATATTTTATATAATATACTTATATAAATTTTATATATTTTATATAATATACATATATAAATTTTATATAATATACATATATAAATTTTATATATTTTATATTTCATATAATATATATAAATTTTATATATTTTATATAATATACATATATAAATTTTATATATTTATATATTTTATATAATATACACATATCACATATTTATATATTTTATATAATATACACATATCACATATTCATATATTTTATATAATATACACATATCACATATTCATATATTTTATATAATATACACATATCACATATTCATATATTTTATATAATATACACATAGCACATATTCATATATTTTATATAATATACACATAGCACATATTCATATATTTTATATAATATACACATAGCACATATTCATATATTTTATATAATATACACATAGCACATATTCATATATTTTATATAATATACACATATCACATATTCATATATTTTATATAATATACACATATCACATATTCATATATTTTATATAATATGCACATATCACATATTCATATATTTTATATAATATGCATATATCACATGTTTATATATTTTATATAATATGCATATATCACATGTTTATATATTTTATATAATATACATATATAACATGTTTATATGTTTTATATATTTATACATTTTGTGTGTGTGTGTGTGTGTGTATGTATATATATATTTATTTTTTATTTTTATTTTTTTAGAGACAGAGTCTCACTCTGTTGCCCAGGCTGGAGTGCAGTAGTGCTATCTTGATGGACTGCAATCTCACCTCTTCCCAGGTTCAAATGACTCTCCTGCCTCAGCCTCCCAAGTAGCTGGGATTACAGGCACCCGCCACCACGCCCAGTTAAGTTTTGTATTTTTAGTAGAGACGGGGTTTCACCATGTTGGCCAGGCTGGTCTTGAACTCTTGACCTCAAGCAATCCACCCTCCTCGGCCTCCCAAAGTGCTGGGATTACAGGCATAAGCCACTGTACACGGCTGTATTTTTTATATTTGATACAGGAATAGGCTTATTTAATCTCAGATTAGGGTCAAGAATATAACGTTTAACACGTGGATATAGTATGTTTGTTAAGAATGCTACCTGGATTTAAATCGGGTTCTACCATTCACTAACGTTGTGACCTGGGGGAAGTTACTCAATAGCCCTAGGCATCTGCATGTTTTTCCTTTTCATTTATAAACTGGGATGAAAATAGACCTTACATAAAGTGTTACTGCAAAGCATGTATAAAAGGTCTTCCTCGTATGACTTTAAAAAATGCTCACACAAGGCGCTGTGGGTGTATGTTCTTCACCATTTGGAAACAAGGTTTGGACTTAGTGGAAGCAAGCTTGCTTTAGCGAAGAGCTGCGCTTCTCCTTGGCACATTTCAGTTGCATCACCTATCAAGGCAGAGATCATGGCCTGCAACTGAGTCAGCACACTGGCTGATGGTACAGAGGAGGAGAAGGGAGGAGGAGGGAGAAAGAAGTCAGGCGTGTTCCCATTTGAGCAGCTCTCCCCTGCGGGGGCTGACACTCTCGGAGGTGCTCCTGAGCACCCCAGAGCCCCGGGCTTGGGCTCTCCTCAACCCGGCTCACCTGGGGTGTGGGTGGCGGTAGGGGTGGTGTGCCAAGATGACGTGCTCATCTCAGGACGACGTCAGCTTCTGTTGTGCAGCTGAGAGGTCTTATGCCTCACAAAGATGCTCTGGAATTTCCACTGCTTAAGAAATGCAACTTTTTAATCATAAGAAATGATATATGGTGATTGTTGAAAATTTGCAAGATATGCCAAGGATATGGAAAAATAATCTTTAATTTTGCCAGCCAGAAATAACTATTATTAAAATTGTTTAGGCCAGGCGCGATGGCTCACACCTGCAATCCCAGCACTTTGGGAGCCCCAGCCGGGCGGATCACCTGAGGTCAGGAGTTTGAGACCAGCCTGGCTAACATGGCAAAACCCCGTCTCTACTAAAAATACAAAAATTAGCTGGGCATGGTGGCACATGCCTGTAGTCCCAGCTACTTGGGAGACTGAGGCAGGAGAATCCCTTGAACCCGGAAGGCAGAGGTTGCAATAAGCCAGTAGAAATTAGGAGCTTCTGCTTCTTGTTATAAAGCACTTAAGGGTTGCTTAATTTTGTATTAGCAAATTAGATATTTAGAGGACTTGAAGAAAATATATAAAATAATTTTTTTTTGAGACGGAATTTCGCTCTTGTCACCTACGTTGGAGTGCAGTGGCCTAAGGGATTTGTCACTCAATTTTTTGCTCAGATATGCCTTTACGCATAGTATTAAGCATTTTATTTATTCATATATATTTTTAATAGAGACTGTGTGTTGCTGTGTTGCCCAGGCTGGTCTCAGACTCTGAACACAAGTGATCCTCCTGTGTTGGCCTTCCAAAGTGTTAGAATTACAGGTGTGAGCCACCGCGCCTGGTTAACGAAGCATTTTAGAGGCAAATTGTGCCACTTCTACTATCTGGTTTTGGTTTAACTCTGGGGTCCTGTTTAACTCTATTTTTTTTCACTGTGGTCTTTTTTTTTTTCTCTTAAGTTTGCTTCTTAGAAAATTTCACACAGCCTGTTTTCTGTAATATAGTACAGTTTATCATTTAATATAAAATTTCTTCTAGACAAACACCAGAAGTTGAAAAGACAAAAAGTATGAAATAAATCCTCAAAATAGAGTAGTTAGGAAAAAGAATTATAAATCTGGGGCTTTTAAAATAGTTTTTTTTCCATCTCAGTCAGAAACTTTAAAGCAGTCACTTTATCTTCCCTGACTCAGTTTCTCCACAAGTGAAAAGACATAATAGTCCACAGTGACTAGTTAGGATCCTTTATAGTCAACTGTGAATGGCTGGAAACGTGGACAGCTAATATGATTCCACTATTGTATGGGAGAGGCATCATGTGAATTAGTGGGAATCACCTTTATTAGTGAAGAAAAAAATCACTTGATGATTTGTAGGAATCCGGGGAGAATGCTGAGAATTTGTGGCTGAAACTTCTCTTAGGAAAAGAGAGAGATTGAGTGAGAGCGAGAGCGAGACAGAGAGAGAGAGAGAGAGAGAAAGCGAGAGGCACATGCTAGAACAAAGCTCCTTTCATTTGTTCCTGGGAGTGGCTGGGTGTGTCAAATCATCCCTCAGCCTCGATGCTGAGTAATCAAGTATAATATTTGCAAAGCTTCAACCTATAGGTAAGAAAAAGCACCAACAAAACAGTCTCCTAGGTTATTAAATATTTAGTCCAATGATTACTTGTGTTGAACTAGAGGAAGTTATTGCTTCATACAATTGTATAATGAATGAATGAATAATTCATTCTTTGAGCTATGTATCTCCCCTCCAAAAAATCTACTCTTTTAAATATATAGTCAATAAAATGGTTTTTGTGGCAAATAAAGAGAGGGGAAAACATTATGGATTATTTTTGAAATTATAGAGCAAATGCTTTTTCCTACAAACAGGTGTATTCTTTGTCACTAAATTTTTTTAAATAAATCATTTATTTGGTTGGGTGCGGTGGCTTACGCCTGTAATCCCAGCACTTTGGGAGTCTGAGGCAGGTGGGTCACAAGGTCAGGAGATCAAGATCATCCTGGCTAACAAGGTGAAACCCCGTCTCTACTAAAAAATAAAATAAAAAAAAAATTAGCTGGGCATGGTGGCGGGCGCCTGTAGTCCCAGCTACTTGGGAGGCTGAGGCAGGAGAATGGCATGAACCCAGGAGGTGGAGCTTGCAGTGAGCCGAGATCGTGCCACTGCACTCCAGCCTGGGCGACAGAGCGAGACTCCGTCTCAAAAAAAAAAAAAAAAAAAAAAAAAAAAAAAAAAAAAAAAGAATCATTTATTTTACAAATGTAAAGTGTTTGGGATGAATCAGATGTACTGGTCTTCATATACAAAGAGAACTGGAGGAAAGGTAGCTGGTATTTAAGGAAATGTCAAACTGACTTCAAATTTTGGGTTGAATTCATCCTTAGTTGAATTCCTGTCGGGTAGGGTTATTTCCCACTCATTCATTCTCTACCCACTATGTGCTAAGTACCCACTATGTGCCAGATACTATTCTAAGTTCTTGGACTACATCAGTGAAAAAAACAGACCAAAAAAATCTGCTTAGATTTCAGCTGAAGGAGGCCATCAACAGTAAACATAATAAGTGAATTGTATAGTATATCATATAGAAAACTATAAAATCTGGCCTTATATCTGCTTCTTATAGGTTCAAAGTTCATCAAGAAGAAGGGAGATCAAAAATACTCTGGAGTTGACTATTCATGGGCCCACATAAAAAGCTTTTCATGAGGCAAGAGACTGAAGATTATAACAGGATAATAACACCATATTGTTATTTTTATGTTGTTGCTCTCTGAGTTATTAGTATGAGTAGAACCTTTTTTCTTATAAGTCTGATGCTTCTAAGTCCACTTGTTAACATAATTGACATGACAACTTTGTTCTTTCCAGGCATTTCCTTCAGGATGTATGTTTTTTTTTTTTTTTTTTTTTTTTTTTTACAGTATAACAATTAGTGTAGGTATCTGACTTATAGAAATGCAAAGCTAAACTGTAGTCGGCTTGAGATCCATAGTTAGGTCTTATTCTGGGTCTTGCCCAGGGTCTGACACACTCAAAAAATGCTTATTCAGTCAATCACAGACTCCAATCAAAATGTCCAGTTAAAACAGGGAAGCAGAGTAGAAACCTATTGAATGCAGAAGACTTTATTGAGGCCACTCTTTCCTAAAATTAATCAGCAGGCATGTTCTCCAGAAACTAGTTTGAAATTCTGTAATTTAAAAAATGTGAACTGCTTGTATAACTCCATCCTCTCCCACTTTTCTGTTTTCTAGTGTCTTTTTAGGTAGAATTCTAAAGAACTTAAAATTTTGGCTGCCGTGGAAAAGAATATTACTGGGAAATGGGTCTTCTCAGTCAAATAGAATCACAGTTTTAATACTCTTTCCACTGAATGGGAACCACTTTTTTTTTTCCTGCAATTTTGCCTAAATCAACAGTGTGTTTTGTCAATGATGTTACACCTGAGACTTGTGAGTCCTTGCCTTACTTGGGTTCAATGAGAGGGTGAGAACATTCACGTACAGGGTCTGACCTCCAGAGATACTTCAACAAGTGAAAGCTTTTGACAGGAAATGTTCTGTTTAATCTTTTGTTAACATATCTGTCCAATATACCTTGTATCATCCCAGCTCTGGACCTCCGTTCTCAGGCTTAAATGGTCTCCTGATGTCCAATGATGCTGCCTCCATGATCCTTCCCCAGTCATAGCCAGACTGAAAAGGTCACACCCATCTCTGAACTACTTTTGTCATTTGCACCTCTCTTAAGTCCCTTATTACATGCCTCCAGATACTTTCTTTTGTTTCTTGTCTTCCTACTGTACCCTTTGGGGAGAGGGAACATGTCTTATAGCCCCAGTCGAATGGTGCCTCTAATTTTCACCCAGTTAGAATCACCCAAAGGCATTTCACTTTGCTAGAACTTCCTTGGGTATTGTTGAATTCCTGTCATTGGAAATGTTTCTGCCCCGGTTGAGCAAGCACTGAACAGGAGTGTTTTAGAGGGAATTAAAACTTCAAAAAGGAGAATAGAGAGGCTCTACCATTTAAATGCAAGTCGCTTGAAATCTGTAGACCACAGTAGCAAGCACGAAGCAGGTATTCAATAAATGTGGTGAATTCAATGTCAATAACATGCTCCAGTCTTTTGTCCACTATTCCCCGAGCCTACCTAACCAATGGGCAAAGTGGTACTAATTGCCATCATTAGGAAGCACATGCTATGTGTCAGAAAGTATGTAAGAATTGTCTCTTCATCCATCTCTGTCTATATCTCATTTTATCGATCTTATTGACAAATGAGAACTATATATAGATCTCATTTTACAGATGAGGAATCTGAAGATAAAGGGATTAAGCAATTTGCTCAGGATTTCTCAAGCAATGAGTGGTTAGACTTAGTTTGCAAATTTATGACTCTGCTCCCAAATTCTCATTTTCCCTCCTACAGCTGGATAATAGAATTTTTAAGAAGCATCCTTCCACACCTCCTCACCTATGACCTTCCCTCCACTTGCTCCACTGATGCCTAAAATTCTGTTTTTGGAGTTCACTTAGTTTATGACTTTGATTCTGGTTAACATTAAAATACCCAGGACATGGGGGAGGGGAAGCTGTTATCAATCTTAGTTTAGTCAGTTAATATAGCGAGTTGCTCTTATTCATTACTCAACAAGCACTTATTGACTGCATACTGTACATCAGGTCTGTACCAAGCTTTGGTGTTATAAAAATGAATGAAGTTTGGCACTTACCTTTAACATTGTTGTAGTCACATATAGGAGAATGTAAGAGATTATTATGAAACAATGTAGTAAATGTACAATAGGGAATTCTAGATAAGCACAGCAGAGAAGCAACCAGCTCCGTTTCAGGTCCTTTCCTGAGACTGATTCGGCTGGAAGGGAGTAGGTCCCGCCAAATGAAGAAGCTGTGGGAAGACAGGAGGACAAGAACAGGCTCCACGAAGAGATTTCAGAGCAGAGCTGCGTACTCCTTTTTCTTTTTGTTTCTTTTGCTCTGTCACCCAGGCTGAAGTACAGTGGTTAGCTCACGGCTCACTGCAGCTTTGACCTCCCAGGCTCAAGTGATCCTCTCGTCTCAGCTTTCCAAGTAACTGGGACCACAGGCATGCATCACCACACTAGGCTATTGTTTTACATTTTTTGTAGAGATGGGGTCTCACCATGTTGCCCAGGTTGGTCTCAAACTCCTGGGCTCAAGCAATCCGCTCACGTCAACCTCCCCAAATGCTGGGATTACAGGCGTGAGCCACCGCGCCAGGCCTGAGTAATCCTAATCACAGGATTTTAAAAAGAAACTTCCTGCGCCACCCATTAAACAATATCTCCTACCAATTTGGTAGTAAATATTTTGCTAATAGTACCTAATTTTTAGGTAGGCACTGTGTTTATACATATATCCATTCCTTCTTTTTTGATTGTCTTTCTGTTTAATGGGCAGCTACCTCTCTTGGCATCTAGCAGAATGAGCTGCTGCAGTTTACACAAAAAGAATGGAGATCAGAGTACTTTTTGTGCCACCAACGTGTCTGAGAAATTTGTAGTGTTACTATCATCACACATTACTTTTATTTCATCGAATATTTCACCTTCCGGTCCTGCGTGGGCCGAGAGGATTGCCGTACGCATGTCTGTACGTATGCATGTAACTCACAGCCCCTTCCTGCCCGAACATGTTGGAGGCCTTTTGGAAGCTGTGCAGACAACAGTAACTTCAGCCTGAATCATTTCTTTCAATTGTGGACAAGCTGCCAAGAGGCTTGAGTAGGAGAGGAGTGCCGCCGAGGCGGGGCGGGGCGGGGCGTGGAGCTGGGCTGGCAGTGGGCGTGGCGGTGCTGCCCAGGTGAGCCACCGCTGCTTCTGCCCAGACACGGTCGCCTCCACATCCAGGTCTTTGTGCTCCTCGCTTGCCTGTTCCTTTTCCACGCATTTTCCAGGATAACTGTGACTCCAGGTAAGCAAGGTGGGGTAGCAGGGCTGGTGACTTCCTTTTTTCAGGGAAATTCATAAATATCGTTATTTGAGCTGATTTGAGATGGTGAACAAAATGGACTTAGGTCCATTTTGGGGCTGTTTTCAAAGACGGGCTGTTGGGTTGAGTACTGTCGCCTCTCATCCCCCATGTTGGCAGTATTTCCAGCTCCCAACCCTTTGAGCACCAGGAACACTGCAGAGGGAGTAAAATCACTTAACCATACAAGGTAAGAATATGAAGAAGTCACGTGGCTCGGAGGTTTTGGTGGTAGAGGGGTGCAACCGTGATTCACGGAGGAGAAAATACTTCTGAGGACATTTTCAGGCCTACTTTGGAACTCAGAATGAATTTTGCAATGCTAGTTTCAGAAAGGGTGTGGTACCCGCAAACTGGGGAAAGTTGAGAAGTATTGGTGGGTCTGGCTGGCTCTTCTCCCTGGCTGACGTTGTAAGGCTGAGATTTAGGCATATGGACTGCCCTTCTTTTTGGCATTTTTAAGCATCAGATCGCTGTTCATCTACTTGCAACTGCATTCTTCTAAGCGGAAATTATTCTCCCTTCAGTTTTCTGGGTTTCAGCATAACTTTAAACAAGTTACACATTTCAGATGCATATTCTTGGACTTATAAATTGTAATAGCTGCTTGTAGTTTCTTACTCATATGCTGTACACTTTTTCTTATGGCTTCATTTAAGCATATCATACTAAAAACCAACATGCCAGGCTATTCCAGAGACTTGTAACCAGATCCTCAGAGCTGGGGGCTCTTAGACATATTTCAGCCCAGCCCCCTCATTCTGTAGATGAGGAGCAGAACTCACAGAGGTGATCTGGTGTCCAAAGGCACACAGCTTGTAAGTAGCACCGCTGAGATCAAATCAGGCCTTCACACTTGCAGCTCGGGATGTTTCCACAACACCGTGGGTTCTGTTACCATCTTTTTCATCCCCTACATCTCCCGGGAGGTTTTCGATAATGGGTTCCAAACCTCAGTCCCTGTCAGTTAGTGTAAGTGTTCGATGAGTTCCTTCATGGGTGGAGATGAAGCCTGTCTGAGGAAAGGAGTCTCCAAAGGAAATGAGTCAGCAGGTTTATATCTTTGCTTCCTAACGCCTTGAATTGTGCCACTTCAATCCCTCTGGGTTGTGGATTGACTTTGGGGCTATGCAGTCTCAGCGATTTGGGCCATTCTGGTGTGGCTGAGTCTGGCTGTAAGTTTACTGCTTGGCAACAGTGGGCTGGGTCAGTGGTCAAGATCAGGCTTCTAAAGAGACAGGAGCAGCTATGATGCTTCAGAGCAAAGCAGACGCCCCCCTGCCATGGGAAATTAAAGCAATTACTAATAGCTGTATTGTACTTTCTTGCCCACAAAGCACTTTTCATATACATTGATTCACTTAATCACTTCGTTTAGTCCTCATAGTCTTTCACATTGCAGAAACTTCAAAATATCCTATTTTCTTAATCCTGCACATCCTTTGCTCCTCAAAGACTTAGAATGTGGACAACAGAGGTTGTGTTTTTTGGCATTCCATTACTGATATTATAATAGGCAAGGTTTCTCATGGCATTCCCTAAGGACTGGTTATACCAAATACTTGAGAGATGTTTTTCACCATGTCTTTCCATCTTTAAAATGAGGCAGGCCAGGCTAAATGATATCTACGATACTCTGACACAGTAAAAACGTAGTTTTTTTTTTTTTTTTCTTGAGATGGAGTCTTGCTTTGTCACCCAGGATGGAGTGCAGTGGCACGATCTTGGCTCACCGCAACCTCACCCTCCCAGGTTCAAGTGATTTTTCTGTCTCAGCCTCCCAAGTAGCTGGGATGACAGGCACGTGCCACCACGCCCGGCTAATTTCTATATTTTTGGTAGACACAGGGTTTCACCATGTTGGCCAGGCTGGTCTCGAACTCCTGACCTCAAGTGATCTGCCCGCCTTGGCCTCCCAAAGTGCTGGGATTACAGGTGTGAGCCACTGTACCCGGCCAAAAGTTAAGGTTTTAAGGGATGAAAAAACTATACTCATAGCTCTGTTTAAATATGCACGCCCGTGATGTGTGGGTGAAGAGTGTGGTTGATGGTCTATAAGTAAAATGAACATATATTGTTCAAATCAGGATATGTTTGAGAGTAAACGGGGCACTGTTATCAATGTCAAGACAACAGACATAAACCAGGATTGTCCCAGGCAAAGTGGGATGTATATATCCTACCCACAGGACTTTTTTCTCACCTAAATGGTCTAAAGACAAAAAATGTGAGGACCATTGGCTCAGATGCATAAAAAACTTAGGAAATCTTCATACAAAGACCAGTGACAAGCTATAAGTCTAGAGAAGTGAGCACGGCCCTACCCCCAGCCCAGTACATGCGTCTCCATTCACTGGGGCCTCTCTGAATTGAGTCAGTTCTCCCTGTCCCACGTTTTTGCAAGGCTAACTCCTACTTATCCTGTAGGACTCACCTTTAATGTGACTTACTCAGTTGTCACTGTCTCTGAGGAGGTGTCACTGAGGTTTCTAGTATGGGGGGTCTGTCACTCCTGGGGATCCCATAGTGACTTGGGTGCTCATCAAAACACTTAAAACAGTCATCATACCACTAACTGACAGCTCCTTGGAGGCAGGGGCTATGTCGTTTTCACCTTTTCTTAATGCTTACCCTGACACAAATTAGGTACTCAGTTAATACTTACTAGATGAAAGCAACATCATACCAAGAGTTTACAACATAAGTGGCAGAAAGGGAACAAGGGCTTCTTCAAGTAGGAAAATCATAGGGAAGAAGTTTTGTGTCGATTGAACAAACCATGCAGGATATGTTGATATCTTCAAGGGGAGACTTCAGGACATGCAGGATTTTTGGAACTCGAGAGACTTCTGAGAGAACAAATGCCAGCAAAGATGCAATTAACAAGAAAGCAGGTGATCAGGTGTGGCGGGGAAGTGCCAGGCTGGGAGCTAGAAGCAATGAATTCTAGGTCTGGTTTTGCCACTCTCACTCCCTGCGTGGGTGGCCTGGGAGACTCACTTCATCTTTGTCTGCCTCATTTTCCTCATCTGTAAAATGAAGAGGTGTGGCCAGCCTAGATCCTCTCCAAGATCTTGTCCCACTTTCAAGGTTTATAATTTGCACAGATTGCGAAAGCAAGGTACTTGGAAATAAGTTCTTAAAACTGCATTTGTATTACTGCTTGAACTTCCATCTATCTCACTTTCCTATGGTTAAAATAAAGTTCCTTTTAAACTTTTAAGTGCTGAAAGATGTAGCGTTTTCTACATTGCAACTATAAACGAAGTTCTCCTTGTTAAAATGGTTACAGGGTTTTCACAGAAATGGAAGAAGACCCTTGTGACAAGGCAACAGAATGAAAAAAAATTTGTAGCAATTTTAGCACTTTCAACAGAAGTCATTAGGCACATTAAATTTATTATATAGGAATTGCTAATCTCTACTCTGGTACTTGCAATTTTATAGCATTTGATCATGCAAAATGGTCTGTGTAGGAAGTTTGTATTTTTTCCAGGTCATGTATTGTTAACATTGCTGAGGTTTGTTTAAATGCTTTGATTGTCTTGCAACACAGTCATGTGGCAACTGTGGCCAAAGTCATCTTTTGAGCTACCTCAGACCAGATCAACTTTATAGTGTTTTTAGGTCACTTGGGACTAATCACAGAGCCACTGATCAGATTTACCGGGCAGTATTTGATTGATTACTTAGTGGGTGATTTTTTGCAACTACAACCTTTTCCATGTACAGACCTTTTCTGTTTCCTTTAGCCAGCATCAAACAATGCTCTTGCCACTGGGACCCCAGATACTAAGGGCTGTATGACCTTCCCAGACATGAAGGAGAATTTTCTGAGAAAGGAGCCAGTCAGCATAGGAACAGGAAGGCAGATCTCTTTGCGTTCATGCACTGAGGATTAGCATGCAAAGGAAGGGACTCACTCAAAGGGAAGGTCCGCCAATGGTGAGAGAAAGCCCCAGAGATGTTAGGATGTCAGATGTGCACTGATTTACATCTCCAACAGGGACCTGGATCTAAGCCTTGAATTGCAACACAGCATTAATTGTATTGTGTAATTAACTACACTAAAAGCCACAATGATCTTGTATCCACAATCATTTAGACTAAATGTATCTCAAAATGTTGTGACAAGTGAATGAATAATGCTTTAGTGAAATAAAATGGTAAAATGAACATCTCCTCACCATTTGATCCACTCCTAAGATCCATTTGTAGGTGTTTGCAGCCAAACTCCCTCAGCACATTAAGATCTTAAACACCATCTTTCTATACAAAGGAAATCACTAAAAGTATAGTTTGTTATTGACTATGCAAAATTATTCTAGTTTCTCTTGGAGGATAATAAATACGTGCTTGGAGGAGCTACTTGTGTTTGTTAAAGCAGTTTGTGTGTTTTCATATTATTATCAGTGCGATTAGCTCTCCACTGGTGGAAGTGTTAAGAAGCTTTCAGGGATCTGGGTTTAGGCTTCTCTATTTGGTGAAGAAATAACTCATTACTTCTTGTACATGTTGAGTTTTACTTGTAGATGAACTTGGCATTACTAATATTAAATGTGCTGTGGAAGGAAGCCAGGTTTCCTATTCTGAAAGTCTGTCCACAGATTCCCCAAACCTTTTGTGAAGAGTTTCTTTATGTTTTCCCAGTGGCAGGCACACTGGGTGAAACACTCAACAGGCTTTCATTTTTGCCTCAGTATACCCTGCTGACCTCAGTATACACCTAATGCCAGTCACCTTTCCCTGGGGTGTGATGTCACCTGTAGGCCCTTGCCCCTGCCCTGAGGGGAGAAGGAGTAAGGTTGTGGGCTTTAAAGAAAAGTGAGAGGCCCACCTGACTTCAGGGGGCCTCGTGGTATATTTGCAATGGGAACTGGCCTGAGCGCATGGCTGTACTTATCAGGGACATATGGAGAAGGAGGAAGCCCATGGAAATGACCAGTGAGCATGAACAGAGTCAATAAAACATTATTTTTGGATAATGAACTCGCTTTTTCAGACTCTGAGATATAATCGATTTAAGTCCATCCTACACACAAGCCATATATCCCATAAAAGGGAGAATTCTGAAGAAATGTTTAAAGACCAGGAGTCCTCTCCTCCATCTTATTCTCGTCTTTGCATTCTGAATTTGTGTCCAGGTATAAGGTGCAAATTGCAATCCTATTCATCATGCCTTTGACTCTTGACACACGTTTGGGTACTGGCCAAAGGGAGTCCTCTATCTTAAGCAGTGGAGCTTACTTTCTAATGCCAGGGTGCATGTCCTACCTGAAGACCTTCAATGTCACATTCGGCCCTTGTGTCTGTGTGTGTGCGCCTGAGGCTTTGGGGGAACACTTCGAGTTTAATCCCTGTACTGCTCACCCCGGGGTAGTAATATCAATTCATTTCCCTTAGAAACATGCTGTCCTGGCTTAGGCAGAACCTCAGGAGTTCATGTAGTTCAGCTCTGCTCCCAGAAAGGGAAGCCCTGACTGCCTGAATTTACCTAATTGTCTTTGGAGTCGATCAGTAACTACCAGACTAAATAGGTAGGTAGACCTTTATTAGAACAGTGAAGCTTTTTAAATCTGAGGACCCTGTTACACTCTTAAAAATTACCGAGGACCCCAAAGAACTGTTTCTTTAAAAAAAATGTAGATTATATCTATCACTATTTACCAAACTAGAAATGAAAACCAGACACATTTTGAAATGTTCATTTACTAATTTATTAAAATAATATAATAATTAAATACTAATATGAATAATATATATATTAAAAAACATTTTCTAAAGTGAAAAAATGTAATGAGAAGAGTGATATTGTTTTTCATTTTTGCAAATCTCCTTAATATTTGGCTTAATAGAAGGGATGTCATATAGCCTCTGGAAAACTCCGCTGTCTATTAGAGATTGAGAATGATAATGTCTTAGTATTATCATGAGAATAGTTTTAACCTCATGGACCTCCTGAAAGGGTGTTAGGGACTGCCAGGAGTCAAGACACAACACTTTGGAAGTTGCTGTGTTAAAATTAAAGAGCTCTGAGATGTGACAAGATGCCTAGTTGCTGCTATATCCACTTTACCAGGCTACATATTTTGAAACTGTTCCCTCTTTTCTTTAACTCCCATATTACTTATTATACCACTCACATGTCTTGGGCAGCTCTGTATTCTAGTTATTTGTCTGCATATCTGCCCAAAGAGACTATGAGCTTAGAGAAGGAGGAGGTCCACTGATCCTTGTAACACTCTGGGTAGTGTCTTACACACAGATGCGTATTATAAACGCAAACAATAACCGCTGCTGTTTATTAAGTATTGTTATGTGCTGGGTGTCCTGCAAAGGCATTAGTTACTTTAAGGGTTTTCTAGCACTTCTCACAAAGCACCACAAACCAGGCAGCTTAAAGCAACAGAAGCTTTATTCACCCACAGGCTTGGAGGCCAGTACTTTGAAATGACGATGTCGGCAGGGTCATGCTGTCTCAAAAGGCTCCAGGGGAGAATGTTCCATGACTTTCTCTTGGTTTCTGGTGTTGCCAGCAGTTCTTAGCATTCTTTGGCTTGTGGAAGCATCCCTCCAATCTCTGCCTCCATTGCCATACGGCATGCCCTTCACACAGGTGAAGACATTTGTGTCTTCACATCTTCCCTCTGTGTATGTCTGTTTCTGTGTCTCTCCTCTTATTCCTTTAAGGACACCAGTCATATCGGATTAGGGCTCACCTAACTCCAATGTAACTTCATCTTAACTAATTATATATTAGTTAAGAAATAGGACATACCCTGTTTCCACGTAAGGTCACATTCACAGGTAATGGGGATTAGGACTTAACATATCTTTTTGGGGGACACAATTCAACCCATTACACTTACTAAATATTAAACTGAACAATGCAAAACTGCTGCAATTCGACTGTTTTTGTTTTATAAAAGTTTTAACTTTGTAGTTTAACTGAAATCCTAATGGAAACAATATGTGATAAATAAAACCAACTGATGTTGATTAGTGCTGTCAACTTTTCTGACATATGCTGGAGAAGAGATGTGACCACTGGGCTCCCGACAATGGCCACTGTGGCTGAGCAGGCCCAAGACTGCAGAGTCTAGGCAGAGCTGGACACACAGAGGACCTCACATGCCTTCAGACATTTGCCTGGAAGTTTCTTCACAACTGATCTTACTTTTGAATTTACAGAAAGTTCCTTGTTTCTTCTGAGATCAATTACTTTGTTTAAATAGAATTCTTATAGTGTTGGCAGAATGCAGTTGAGAAGACGTTAAAGATGCTTTAGAAACTAACTGCTCCCTTGTCCTTGCTTCCAGGCCCGCAATGGATGCCCTGCAACTAGCAAATTCGGCTTTTGCCGTTGATCTGTTCAAACAACTATGTGAAAAGGAGCCACTGGGCAATGTCCTCTTCTCTCCAATCTGTCTCTCCACCTCTCTGTCACTTGCTCAAGTGGGTGCTAAAGGTGACACTGCAAATGAAATTGGACAGGTAAGCCCCAAAACCTTGTTTCTACTTTAAGTGGGAATACAGTTATTAGAACCCATAGGCAGTGCCTACGGAAAAAAGGAATGTAGACTTTGTGGCCAGAATTGGTCAAGATTCAGAACTGTGCCATTCCAGGACTCTCTTAATCTTTTTTTTTTTTTTTTTTTTTTGTGAGACAGGGTCCCACTCTGTCACCCATGCTGGAGTGCAGTGGTGCGATGTTGGCTCACTGCAGCCTCCAGGTTCAAGCGATTGTTGTGCCTCAGCCTGCCGAGTAGCTGGGATGACAGGCGCGTGCCACAACGCCAGGCAAATTTTTGTATTTTTAGTAGAGACAGGGTTTCACCATGTGGCCAGGCTGGTCTCGAACTCCTGACTTCAGGTGATCCGCCTGCCTCGGCCTCCCAAAATGCTGGGATTACAGGCATCTTAATTTATTTTTAAATGTGAAAGCTCGCTTGTAGGTAATGCAACTCACATCTGGGACAGGCACCAGGCTGTGATGGAGAACCTGGAGATCTGCTGGGTAATCACAGCTTTTTCATTCTGACTTATAATATTTTCAATTTACAATGGTTTTATTGAGATGTAACCTCATCATAAATCAAGCAGCATCTGTATCGTTTTAGGGTTTCTTTCTGGCTATGGTTGATTATCTAGCTTTGTAAAGTTCTTAGACCTTCAAATGAGACAATTTTCCTGATTGTTCCGTTTTAAGTCCTCATGTACTTTTACATAATAGGTGAATGTTCTTCTAATTCTATTTCATTATTACTCTTATGCTAATCATTCTAGGTTCAATAGAATTTCTTTTCTATTAGCTCATAAGCATTTAAAAAGGCAACACCTTCTTGTATTCATATGTGTCCAGAAAGTATGGCCCATAAGAGTTATTTAGGTAAGGATGAAGAATTTACACTTGGGACTTGAAGCAGCTTCACTCCTGTGAAGAGGAGATGTATCTTGACATCAAGCCACATCTCTGAACTGCGCAACTCCACTATCCCTACCCAATCTCCCATTCCTCATTTCTCATCTACCATTAGAGAAAGGCCAGCGAAAGAGAACTTCCGGGTAGTGGGTCTGTTCCTCAGTAATTCCTCAAGCTCTTCTCAGTATATGCAACTGGTTCCCCAGCAGTAGTTACCTGGGCTCTTAAATTTTCTGGTCTCCTTCATCCATCTTTAGGCATGAGAGTTATGCACTGTCTGGGACCAGCATTTGACCCTGCAATGCTGAGGCTATGTAATTCATTGGGACAATGTGCCGGTTTGGCAGCGTTCGTTATCTGGGTTGTGGAATCACAGCATGGCCATTATGAGTTATGGAGCGAGGAGGGTGTCATCTTATGCTGACATTACATGTTGTGGTGTTGCAAGGCAGAAAAGATGCTGGACTATTGGTTGGAACAATAAAAAAAAAAAAGGAAAAAAATACAATGATTTAAGCCCTCCAAATGATAGTATCCTGGTTTTAAATGGCTTACAATATTATTACAAGAATAATTAACAGTTTGAATCCATATAATATTTTACGTGTTTTACATATAAGTAATCCTCATTAACAACTCAGGAAAGCAGGTATTTTCAGCCCATTTTACGGAGAGGAAAGGAGGCTCTGAAGAGTTGGAGAAGATTCTCTGAAGAGTTGGAGAAGAGGTGGTGAAGGCTGGGATTCACAGGCAGGGCCATCTGACTCTAGCCAGCCCAGGGCAGCCCACCATTTATTGTAGCTGCCCATCAGAAATGACACATCTATTTACCTGGCATTTGCTAAAGCACCCAGAGGGACTAGACAGACTCTGGCTAGAGGCACTTGTCCTGAAATCTGATTCCTGCCTGATGATGGTGTCTCTTGTATCAATCTCTCTCTCTGGTCTTTGAATTGGATAGAAATTATAACCCAGCTTCATCGTTCTCCAAGTTTGGAAATCCTTCTGTGTGAGTATTAAGGGCATCACTTTGAAGAAAGGACAAATGTTCTCGATGGTTGATTTGGAAGAGTACCTTTATGGTAGTGTTTCTCAGTGGGGACAATTTGTCCTCCCCTTCCCACTCTGGGATAATCTGGCAATGTCTGGAGACATTCTGGGTTCTCACAAATAGGAGGAGGATGCCACTGGCATCTAGTAGGTCAGCGATGCTGCTAAGCATCCTGCAGTGCCCAGGACAGCCCCACAAAGACTCATCCAGCCTGAATGTCAATAGTGCTGAGGTTGAGGAGCCTTACTTTACGGGAACTAGGCAGGAGGAGTCTGTATGCCCAAGGACGTTGGTCATTATCACGTGTCCACTTCAGTACAGCACTACTCAGAGGCAATGCTTTTTGGGTAACGGATTTTTCTCTTAACAGGTTCTTCATTTTGAAAATGTCAAAGATGTACCCTTTGGATTTCAAACAGTAACATCGGATGTAAACAAACTTAGTTCCTTTTACTCACTGAAACTAATCAAGCGGCTCTACGTAGACAAATCTCTGAATCTTTCTACAGTAAGTTGTTTAAAGCAAGTAGCAAGACTTAACTTTTTACAAGGAGTGGCATTTTCATGCTGTTAGACCTACAACTTTTTTTCAGTGAAATTCCTTTCTAGGATGTTCACTTGTGATTTGAGGCTTTAAATAAATAAATCCTAGTGGAGAGGTTGAGTATAGTGGGAATCAATTGCAGTCACATCTTCTAACTCAAAATACAGAGAAGCTTATGGGCTTTCCTTTTCTCTCTCAAATAAATCTTACCCTTTCTTTTACCTTCCTCTGAGAGAATGGAGAACAGAGTAATTAACTCTCTAATAAATGTAGCTCCATAGACAATGAGCTGTCTTACAGAGTGTAAGACAGCTAATGATTTAAACTTCTTTCTCCTTAAAGAGCAGGGCATATGGCCTGGGACAATGTTTTAAGCTCTCCACCTCATTTTTTATGCACACATTCTTCTGATGTTTCTCAAAATCAGTAAGAAAAATAATAACTATGAATTCACAATTTTCATCAGTCACAAATTAGTTTTGTTGGCTGGGCTGGTCAGATGGGGATCTCCACAGGCAGCTCTGGTTATATAAGTTTAGCCATTGCTCTAAGGAATCATACAAACACCACTACGGTACCCATTGTTGTAATATTTAAAAATCTGTATTTGAAACACACAGACAATATTCTAGACTACATGAAGTTTCCCTCTGTACTTCAGTAACACAGAGTTGATTTAGTTCCTGTTTGGATGGTCAGAATTTCAAGGTTTCCAAATCGAAAAGCTAGACTACCAGCTTTTAAATATTTTACCATGATTTTGCAACTTTCTGCAGTAGGTATTTTTGTGGTTAAGATCTTTTGAGGACATGGGTTACTAGATATTGTGAGTATATTTTTTGTTGCTTAAAGATACATACACACAACCATTTTTCTTCCAACAATCATCTGAAGAATTTAAAAAAAAAAACTGAGATGTGAGTTGAAGCCTGAGCATACAACATTTCTAGAAGCTCCCTAAATGATCATTAAAGAGACAATTAACACATTTTTATTGCTGGCAGTGAGGACAATGGAGGCCCTCCTTCATCTGGCTGAGGCTTTCTAATGTTTTCAGGTGAGATTGGTTCTGTCAGTCAATGGTGACAGTGAGTCCCAAGGTTGATTTGCAATTAACTGAAGCTAAGTTAATTGGCTAAGGCTGAAGCTGCTCTGAAGAAATTCAAGAAGCCCTGTGCTTGGAAGTGAACTGACATGACACTGAATCAAGTTATATTTAGTTTCACTGAACTTCCATGCAACATCTGGAATGATCTTAACCAGACTAGGAGTTGTAAAGTTTTGTTTTGTTTTTTTCCTTGGAGATGGAGTCTTTCTCTGTTGCCCAGGCTGGGGTGCAGCGGCATGATCTCGGCTCATTACAAAAGATTTTTTAAAAGACTGCTTTCCATTGCTCCTGCTAGGTGCACAGCATCTGCAAATTTACTAGTTAAAGGTCCAAACAAGTGTGCTCTGTGGAGGATCTCTTGCATAAGAACTATCTGGGTGTTAAAAGGGCAAGTTCTTCAGGCCCTTTTAACACCCAGGTAGTTCTGATTGAACCCAGGTAGTTCTGATTAAACCCAGGTAGTTCTGATTGTCAAGGTGGGAATGGGGTTTAGGGTTGCACATTTTAAATAAGCATTAGAATAAGAACTCCTGTTATGTTCTCTCCTGCATTGTGTTTCCAACCTTAATTTGCAGATGGCACACCTGGAAATTTTGTTAAAATGCATTCTGATTCAGTATGTCTGGGGTGGGGTCTGAGATTCTTTATTTCTAACAAGGTCTCAGGTGATGCTGTACACCACCTTGGACCACAGTTTGAGTAGCAAGGGTCTACAGGATATTTAGTTCAGCAAAGACAAGAGTTTTCTGCTCATAATTCTGTTTTCTATACATTTCCTATATTCTAATATATATGTATCTGTAGACATACAAAATTTTCATGTTTCTGAAATTACAACCCATAAGAGAATTGGGCATATTTAACATAGTGTTTTCCCCAAAGCTGATATTAAATTGATAGATGCATTTAATAATTGAAATTGTCTTATAATTGAAAAAAATGAAACATTCAATACAAAGAAATTCACTGACTTCTACATGAGGTTTCAATTCATATAGTGTTACCAATTTTGAAAGTGTACATATAGCAGTTGATATTTAATAATCCTTTTGTTAGAAGAGAATAACAATGCAATAGCTTGACTACAGACTCTGATTTTATGAACTGCATGTTTTTCAGGAGTTCATCAGCTCTACGAAGAGACCGTATGCAAAGGAATTGGAAACTGTTGACTTCAAAGATAAATTGGAAGAAACGAAAGGTCAGATCAACAACTCAATTAAGGATCTCACAGATGGCAAGTACCCTTTAATTGTTCTGCTATCAATCACCAAGTAAACAGGGCCTTCCATCTCATAAATGTTTGCTCCAAGGATAAAAAAAACATCTGGAGGATTCTCTGGATATTTTTACTACACAAGCTAAATTCTTTCCCTTCAAGCCTGTAAACAACTTGGATTTCTGGGCAATTCTTGTATCATCTCATCACTTGGTAGAAACTGTTGATGCTTCAGTGTTAGTTTACTTTGTCTTGCTCTCTGACGAGCTGTCACAGGCCCTAGTGGAATCCTAGCTGCGCCTCTAACAAAGTATGACTTTGGGCCAATCATGAGGCCATTTTTCAGTCTGGAAATAGAGGGACTGGATTATAACTTCATGATCCCCGAGGCCCCTTTCAGCTGACAAATTTTACAAATTTGTTAAGGAAAAAGGGACATAGGCAACATATGTAAAAGAAAAACCGGCTGGACGCGGTGGCTCACGCCTGTAATCCCAGCACTTTGGGAGGCCAAGGCGGGCGGATCACGAGGTCAGGAGATCGAGACCATCCTGGCTAACACGGTGAAACCCTGTCTCTACTAAAAATACAAAAAATTAGCCGGGCGTGGTGGCGGGCGCCTGTAGTCCCAGCTACTCGGGAGGCTGAGACAGGAGAATGGCGTGAACCCGGGAGGCGGAGCTTGCAGTGAGCAGAGATCGCGCCACTGCACTCCAGCCTGGGCGACAGAGTGAGACTCTGTCTTAAAAAAAGAAAACCAAACCAAACAAAACCGTAGTGTCAGCTTGTCCTCGGTGCCGCAGCTCCCCATGCTGGTCGTTCCTCTGATAGCCCCGGGGTCCAAGAAGCTCCTAGGTTCTTTCTCCGGCTCAGTGCTTCCCCCAGGCGTCTCCCTCGTCGGACTCCTCGTCCCTCCCTTAAAATTGCCGGTGAGTCGTCTTCCTTGCTGGAAAAGAATTAGGGTTATGATGATTTTGAGGGCAAATCAGTGACTTTGTCCCCCTCCCCAGTGGATATATTTATAATTGCATCTGGAGGGACCCGTTGGGAGGCCGGGCCGAATCTAGTCATGAAAGAATGAAGCCTAGGCAGTCGCTGCTGTCTAGGGAGGGATACACTTCCGGGGCAAGGGAGACCCACTTCCTGCGAGAATGACTGGCGCCCCCAGCTACTCTGTCTCTGTACTGACTGAGGAAGTTCTAACAGGACAGTAACTGCAGGATGAGAACATGGGAAGAACAGGGTCTCTGGAGTCATTCAGCACCTAGGTTCAAATCCAGACACTGGTACTTACTAACTGATATTTGGACACAAAGCTTCAATTTACTGAACTGTAAAATGAGGCACATGTTACCTGATTTAATTTTTAAAATTGTATTATATTGTGTTTTATTTCAATAGGTTTTGGGGAACAGGTGGTTTTTGGTTACATGGATAAGCTCTTTAGTGGTTACTTCTGAGATTTTGGTGTACCCATCACCCAAGCAGTGTACACTGTGTGCAATGTGTAGTCTTCTATCTCTCACCTCCTTCCACTCTTCCCCCACCCCACAAAGTCCATTATGTCATTATTATGCCTTTGCATCCTCATAGCTTAGCTCCCACTTATAAGTGAGAACATACAATGTTTGGTTTTCCATTCCTAAGTTACTTCACTTAGAATAATGGTCTTCAGACCAGGCATGGTGGCTCATGCCATAATCCCAGCACTTTGGGAGGCCAAGGCAGCTGGATCACCTGAGGTCAGGAGCTCAGGACCAGTCTGGCCAACATGGTGAAACCCCGTCTCTACTAAAAATACAAAAATCAGCTGGGCATGGTGTCACGCACCTGTAGTCCCAGCTACTTGGGAGGCTGAGGCAGGATAATCGCTTGAACCTGGGAGGCGGAGGTTGCAATGAGCTGAGATCGCGCCATTGCACTCCAGCCTGGGTGAGAAGAGAGAAACTGCGTCTCCCAAAAAAAAAAAAAAAAAAAAAAAAGAATAATGGTCTTCAGCTCCATCTAGGTTGCTGTGAATGCCATTCTTTCTTTCATTTTTTTTTTGAGATAGAATGTTGCTCTGTCGCCCAGGCTGGAGTGCAGCGGCACGATCTTGGCTTACTGTAACCTCCGCCTCCCAGGTTCAAGGGATTCTCCTGTCTCAGCCTCCCAAGTAGCTGGGGCTACAGGTGCGTGCCACTACGCCCAGCTAATCTTTGTATTTTTAGTAGAGATGGGGTTTCACCATGTTGGCCAGGCTGGTCTCAAACTCCTGACCTCAGGTGATCCACCCGCCTCAGCCTCCCAAAGTGCTGGGATTACAGGTGTCAGCCACCGCATCCAGCCATGAAAAGACTTCTGAGTTTGAAATGGGAGGCTCAGGGTTGAAGTTGAAGCTCTGTCGTTTACCGGCTCCCACACTTCTTTGTTCTTCAGGTTTCTTCAATAACACTAATATATATTTAACATATTATATAGCATTGGCAGGACCAGTTACATAATTTGCATGGTCCAGGGCAAAAGTAAAAATGCTGGGCTTCTTGTTTAAACATTTATTAAGAATTTTGAGGTAGTGACAGCTGAACATTAAACCAAGTGCAGGGTCCTTCACACAGGGGTCACAGGCCTGTGAAGTGGGCCCTGAACATTGGTCTGAAAATTGGAGATTAGGTGAATGAAAACCCTTTATAAAAAACCTGTGGGCTATTCAAATGTGAGGAGTTCTTTTTATTAAGGGATCACTCCCCTTGAATTGTTTTGGCTATTGGGATTTAGCTTTATAATAACTGCAATTGTGATTGAGCCCTATGGTGATTACAGTTGACCTTGAGGCAATCAGCCTGCCCGCAAGGAGTGCAATTGAGAGAGTGGATGGAGAGCTGTGGGGTGAAGGGGACAACCTTCAGACATGTTTTCCAGCTGAGGAAACTAGAACAGCTCCTTGGCCTCTCTGAGCCTCAGTTTACTGCACTGTAAAATGGAGATAATGATCTTTGCCTTATAGGACCATTGTGAAAAGACTGAGATAATATATGTGAAATTCTGCCATAAAGAAAGTGATTACGTATTTTCATTCAAGAGCACAGGCTTTGGAGTCAGAAAGAGCTGGCTTTGAATCCTGAATCCACCCTTGTTTATATATCATCCTTGAAAGTGACTTATCATCGCTGAGTCTCAGCTTCCTCATTCATAAAGTAGGAAGAAATATATATAATGTGTATCAAATAGCTTGTATACTGCCTGACACAGAATAGGCATTCAGAATGGTAGCTGTGCTTTCCTTCTTATTTCTCTTCCTTTCTTCCCTGCTCCTTCATTCTCCTCTGCTGACCTCTTTGGTAGATCTGGTTGTGTCAAGGTAGAAGGAGAGAAAGGAGTCCTTCTGAAATTTGATGGTTGGAACCATCAGGCCTTACATGGTGTGACTCCATGAAGTGGTAAATACTCAGTGAATATGCATGTGAATTTCAGATGTAGTTTGGAAGAATAATTCTGCTACTTGTGTTTTCCTAAAATTGTTGCAGGCCACTTTGAGAACATTTTAGCTGACAACAGTGTGAACGACCAGACCAAAATCCTTGTGGTTAATGCTGCCTACTTTGTTGGCAAGTGGATGAAGAAATTTTCTGAATCAGAAACAAAAGAATGTCCTTTCAGAGTCAACAAGGTATGTGGGGCAGCATGTAGCAGTAAAAGGAGCCCAATTATAGATGTGAAAAATGATAGGGACAGAGTGGGGCATAAATCCATTCCAATGAGGAACCTGAGGGCACGGCCGGCAAAGTGCCTTTCCTGAGATGAACAGCTGGAAGGTAAGTGGTACAAAAAGAGCCAGAATCCAGAGGCCCCCCCTCCTCTTTTCCATAATGTCTTCAAGGATCTGAGCTGAGTGAAACTTTATAGAATTTGTAACCCAGCGAGGAAAGCTAAGTCACCAGCTGAAAAATAGCTACAAACATCTGAGAACTTTAGCAGAAAAGGAAAAGACCAAACTCTGTTATCAGAGGACTTTGGATTATCATGAAACCTTGACATCTAGGAATCTTGTTCCTGATTGATTAACTTCTCTAACATCTCATTTCCTTATCGGTTGATAGCGAAGTATATTGTTCTGGGATTTTAATTTATAATTTATAAGATGCTTTGATGGCTGGGCGTGGTGGCTCATGCCTGTAATCCCATGACTTTGGGAAGCCGAGGAGGGCAGATCACCTGAGGTCAGGAGTTGGAGACCAGCCTGGCCAACATGGTGAAACCCTGTCTCTACTAAAAATACAAAAATTAGCTGGGCATGGTTGTGGGTGCCTGTAATCTCAGCTACATGGGAGGCTGAGGCAGGAGAATCAGACCCTGGGAGACAGAGGTTGCAGTCAGCCGAGACTGCACCACTGCACTCCAGCTTGGGCAACAAGAGTGAAACTCCACCTCAAGAAAAACAAACAAACAAACAAACAACAAGACCAGATGCTTTCAGGCACTTGTTGGCTGTGAAAAAACAAAGTATGGCTTACTCATTGACATCACTGGAAGTCATTATGGGAAGAATTAAGGGCCTGTTTTGCAGGCCAGTCTCATTGATACTGTTGAAGTAAATATGTTAAATAATTAATAGAGGGTGGGCACAGTGGCTCATGCCTGTAATCCCAGCACCTTGGGAAGTCGAGGCAGGCAGATCACGAGGTCAGGAGTTTGAGACCAGCCTGACCAACATAGTAAAACCCCATCTCTACTAAAAATACAAAAATTAGCTGGGCATGGTGGCATGTGCCTGTAATCCCAGCTGCTCAGGAGGCTGAGACAGGAGAATGGCTTGAACCCAGGAGGCAGAGGTTGCAGTGAGCTGAGATTGTGCCACTGCACTCCAGCCTGGGTGACAAAGTGAGACTCCATCTCAAAAAAAAAAAAAAAAAAAAAAAAGAAATGGGTAAAGTACCTCTTTTGTAAATGAGATCAAGGAACTGAGACTGGAAATTTGACCCATTTTATTGGAAAACCCAGACATCTATATGATGATGTGATGTGGTCTCCGTGGGTGGGATCTGACTTGTGTTAGACTGGAAGCAGCACTTCAGTTAGTACAATACTTGAAGGTAGCTTAGTTACCTGTAGCTCCTACGCGTCAGTTCTAGTTTTCATGCTTCTCCCAGTAGTTAGAGTACTTAGCATCAATATCTTGTTTTTGCCAAATATAGTAGCACCTTCTTAATGCTAGCATCCATGAGGAAAAGCCCTGCAAGATACAATCTATGCCTGGGTTAGCCGGATGGCTTCCATTACTCTTTCTTTCTTTGTTCCCATGGAATTTTTATTCATACTCTCCCCTGTCCACTGCCAGAATTTGCTTTTCCACAGTGAAATCTGTTTACTTACATAGATCCCCTACTAGCGCATGGGATTTTTAAGGTAGGGACAATGCCTTATTCACCTCAGTGTCTACAATTTCTGGCCAAGTCCCTAACACATCAGTAGGTGCTCAGCAAATTTGCTGAATGAATGATCAGTCCCTAAGGGTCAGTTTGCTTAAACAATCAATAGCAGACAAAACCTGACTGGCCTTTGGGACTACCATGGTTTCCTATGCAAGACCCATTGGGCATTTTCACTGGGAGAAGACAATGATGACTGTTACTGCTCCTTACCAACTCAAAATATCCATGGGAGCTGAGGGATGGGTAGGAGGTCCTCCTAACTTCCTGAGTTTAGCTTCCCAACTGCAGTGGTCTTCTCAAAGCTGACTGCAGAGACAGGATTGACCCTGCACACAAGAGGTCTGTCTGAGATTCTAGAGACATAGCTTATGCTCTTCACACTCTTGTGTTTTGCACACACAGGTCCTTGAGTTTTAAGCATGGCTTTTTGACCTTCTCAGTATTGTCTTTTATCTGGAGTGGAAGTGGAACGTGACTTTACCCAGCCTCTACTGTGAGTTAGGGAGGGGTGTTGGCCCCACTGGCCCTGACGGCATCCACACAGCCTTTGCTGTCATAGAGTGACCCTTCTGGCTCCTTTGATTAGTGATTGGCTCTCCTCCATAGCAAGGGCTGGCAAAGGGTTCCTAACTCTGTTTAAGTGAAATCTGAAACAGGTTGCCAATGGTGCCTCTCTTCAAGACCCCAGAGCCAGCCTGGAAGGAACACCATGAAAATGTTGCAATAGTCAATGAGTAGAATGTGGACTTTTGTGTCAACCACACTAAGGGTCGTACTTTTTTCATTAAGAAAGTATTAACGTGTGTTTTTTGAGAAGGGAGGAAGAATGTGTGCTATTCCTTTATTCTTGCTATTAAATCATAAAGCTGGGTTATATAAGATCCTGGAAACTCAGCCTTTATGAACAGAATTAATAAAAGTTTGAAATGTCATTGATCTCTCAGTGTTTCACTTGATAAAGCAATAAAATGCTATTCACAGCTGCATGAGGCTACACCCTTCTTTTGAATGCAGATGCTATTACTTCTCCTTTGTTTTCTTTGAATTGCTTTGTCCACCCTAGAAC
Source organism: Homo sapiens (assembly GCF_000001405.40). Classification (NCBI taxonomy): domain Eukaryota; kingdom Metazoa; phylum Chordata; class Mammalia; order Primates; family Hominidae; genus Homo; species Homo sapiens. The sequence goes on from NC_000018.10 coordinate 63,495,924, forward strand.
TTTTTGAGTGACATTACTAAACCTTTTCTTATGCCCCGTGGTGTCTCCGGTAAGGGTTAGACTAAATTGGTGAAGTTATATCATTAAAAGTTTAGTATAGTACTTATTCTGATAAAGATATCTATCCATATATATCTATATTAGTATATATGTTGTATTATATTTTCTGGGGTAGATAGTCTTTATTTGGTCCTCTTTTCAGAAGATATGTCGTCTCAACATGTGTTTCAGAAAATAAAGTACCTGTAGTCAGTGCCGATAAGTGAAATTGATGACAGTTTTTGGAGGCCACAACTATGTGCACATTCAGAAACTATGAGCAGTCTAACCTGTTGGAGATTTTTAGACAAATTTCTTTAGGAGGAATATATTTTAAGACAATATCCTCTTTAGGAGAAATAAAGGGAAGAATTATCTGTTAACCTCCAAAGTAGTATGTTTTCCTATAATTCTGTTTTTGGTTACACATAGAGTTGAAGTCTTCCATTATTTATCAGCCAAATATTCAGTGAGAAACTACAAGCTGGGGTAGAAAATGAGACTTAGTTTCTGCCTTGACTGTATTCTAGTTGGGGTGGGAAGTGGAAAGACAATCACTAGATAATATTTCTAACACTGTGGCAAGTGTTAAAATAGAGGTATATACAAAAGTAAAATAAATAACGTTTAGCTCTGCTGGAGAGAGGTATTGGGGAAGGTTCAGCTTAGTATTTGAAGATACCAGATGCAAGTTTACTGGAGTATTATCCTTGCAGGCTTGATATGAAGTTTGAAATTTCTCCCCAAAGAGATTTAGTTAACAGGCAAATATCCCATGGGAGGTATATGTCAATAGGTTATACAACATTACTGTCAGTCTTTTACAACTTAGCGTGAATTAATTTTCCTTCAGGAAATCAGTCATCTCTGGAGCAGAGACAGGAGGCCAGGTGTTAATAGGAGCAAAGAGAAGAAAAGGCCTGGGCAGTGCTTGGACATAAAAGACCTGAACGATCAGACCCTTCCATGGGCTCCCTTTAAGAAGAGCAGGGAGAGACCAAGGGCTAAAGTTGGGAGACTGAGAAAATGCAGCCCACCGGGGCATTACTTATTTCTCCAGCTCTGATCCGCTGTTGTACTAGGGGTCTAATCCGGCCTGTGTCTGCCTCCTTCTTGAATAGCCCAGAGCATTCATCTAAACAGCCTTCCTACAGCAGCTCCCCACTTTAGGTGTGGCCAGACAGGAGTTCTAGACCAGGTTGTCTCCTGGGACATTGACACCGCAGCCAAGTTTATTGGTGCTGAGGCAGACACAGTTGGTGTGGTTGGTTCAGGGGCTAGCATTGGAATAGCGTTTGGCAGCTTGATCATTGGTTATTCCAGGAACCCATCTCTCAAGCAGCAGCTCTTCTCCTATGCGATTCTGGGCTTTGCCCTGTCTGAGGCCATGGGGCTCTTCTGTTTGATGGTCGCCTTCCTTATCCTCTTCGCCATGTGAAGCTCTGTGGGGGTCACCTGCCTGTCCCTGCTGCTGCGGCTGCACACCATTCTTGGTGCTGGGCTGTGCTAAGCTTTACCATTGAACACAACGTTTCTGAAAAAAAAAAAAAAAGAGCCAAGCATACAGTGGAGCTCAAAGGGACTTAGAGATAATTTTAAAAAGACTTAGAGATAATTTTAAAGAACATTTTCCTTTTTAAAAATTATGCAATACTCCAAGCATTCAGAAAATGATAGAGAATAATAAAACGAACACCCATATACCGATCAATCATCTTTTTGAACTTAATATTTTGCCTTAATTATTTCAGATATTTTAAAGAAAAAATATAACAACAGTTGCATTGCTTTGTATGTATCCCTTCACTGCTCACTCCACTGTCCTGTTCCTCTTTCTTCCTCCCCAGTGGTAACCATTATTCTGAATTTACAATTTCTTCATTCTACTGACAAGAATACTGAGGCCTGGAGAGATTGAGTGATTTGCTCAAGGCCACAGAATCTGTTTATGTCACATTTGGGACTAAAAACCAAGGTTCTTATCTTCAATTTAGACTTTGTTAATTAGCTCAGATCTGAGTAGGTGGCAGTACAGTGGGGAGTGGGCAATTCAAACCAAAGACAAACAGAGAGGTCACAACAAATATTGTTTTGTTCTGCTATGTGCTAAGTTTGTTGTTGTTATTGTTCTGTTTTGTTTTGAGATGGAGTCTCGCTCTGTTGCCCAGGCTGGAGTGAGTGCAGTGGTATGATCTTGGCTCACACCAACTTCTGGCTCCCAGGCTCAAGCAATTCTCCTCCCTCAGTTTCCCAAGAAGCTGAGATTACAGGCGTGTGCCACCATGCCTGGCTGACTTTTGTATTTTTTAGTAGAGACAAGGTTTCACCATGTTGGCCAGGCTGGTCTTGAACTCCTGACCTCAAGTGGTCTCCCAAGGTGCAGGATTACAGGCATGAGGCACCGTGCCCAGCCAGTTTTTGAAATTAGGCATTTTATTAGGAAAAGCCGTATAAATGGTTATGTGGGTTTGCAGTAGAATTTACTTTCAAGTCAGCTCCACCAGGAATAGTTTAAAGATCTCATAGGCATCTGTAAAGAATAACAAACGTTGCCTATATTTACAGCCATACAGTCTTATTTTTAAGGTTTGATCTATGCAAATACAGTATTATATATACTTCATGTAATGTGTAACATGTAGATTATAAAGTATATGAATAACTTTTCAAAGGAACACAAACTCTTCACAGGACAGTCTCTGGTTTCAGTGCAATACAGTTTGGATCTGAGTGGATGATGAATTATAAGCCATAATAATCTGACACTGTGTCAAGAGCAAATTTGTGTATATATATATATGTACATATATATTTATGTGTTTGCCTATATATGTGTATATATGTGCATGTGTGTATATATGTATGGGGTATATATATATAGTATGTATATATAAGTGTGTATATATAGGTGTGTGTATATGTATATGTATGTATATGTATGTATGCATATATATGTATATGTGTATATATAGGTGTATGTATATATGTATGTGTATCTGTATATATATAGGTGTAGGTATATATGTATGTGTGTCTGTATATATACATGTGGGTATATATGTGTGTGTGTGTGCGCGCGTGTGTGTATATATATATATATATATATTTATGCATGTGTAAATTGAAAAGTAAGCAGTCCAAATTTTCCCTTTTACAGACAGACACCAAACCAGTGCAGATGATGAACATGGAGGCCACGTTCTGTATGGGAAACATTGACAGTATCAATTGTAAGATCATAGAGCTTCCTTTTCAAAATAAGCATCTCAGCATGTTCATCCTACTACCCAAGGATGTGGAGGATGAGTCCACAGGCTTGGAGAAGGTAAGGAGAAGGCAGGTGCTCTCCACAAAGGCACCCCCTGCCTTGGCAAAGAGTTGTGCCAACAGGTCTGTGTGGGCCGTGAGAGCTGGGCCGGTAGCCCTCCCTTATTGCCACTGGCTCAGTCACCTCCAAGGACCCATGGTTCTTTCTGGGGCCTTTCCTCCTTAATATTAACAACAGCCAAAATTTATTTGGCACTTACAGTGTTCTAGGGACTGTGCTAAGTTGCCTACGTGCATTATCTCATTTAATTCTTACAGCAGGCTGATGAGTTAGAGACTGTTACCACACTCTTGTTTACCAGTGAGGGAGCTGAGGCACAGAGGGGTGGGTAACTGGTTACATAATTAGTCAAGGGTGTGTGCAGGATCAGGATTTGGGCCCAGGTAGTTGGAGCCAGGTTCTTAACTGAAGGCTAGAGTGTCTCCCTCACCTCCTAGGCAGTTAAGGCACTACGTTGCTACGCACTGCCAGGTCCACTATCATGTGACCTGATGTCAAGCATCCTCTCTCTTGCTCTTTCTTTTTTTTTAAAATTAGTAGATGTTATTTTTAGAGTAGATCTATGCCTACAGAAAAATAAGCAGAAAGTACAAGGAGTTCCCATATACTCCCCTTCCCGTCCCAGGCCTACAGTTTCACCTGTTATTAGCATCTTGCATTAGTTTGGTATGTTTGTTACAATTGATGAGCCAATACTGACATATTACTATTATTATTATTATTATTATTATTATTGTTTTAGAGACAGGGTCTTGCTCCATTGCCCAGGCTGGAGTGCAGTGGCATGATGGTAGCTCACTCTAACCTCAAACTCCTGGGCAGGCTGGAGTGCAGTGGCATGATGGTAGCTCACTCTAACCTCAAACTCCTGGGCTCAAGTGATCCTCCTGCCTCAGCCTCCCAAGTAGCTGGGACTAAAGGCACACAGCACTATGCCTGGCTTTTTTTTTTTTTGTAAAGGTGGGATCTCACTGTGTTGTCCAGGCTGGTCTTGAAATCCTGGCCTCAAGCAATCCTCAGCCTCAGCCTCCTGAAGTGCTAGGATTATAGGCATGAGCCACCACACCTGGCCTTCACAATTTACGTTACGGTTCACTCTTTGTGTTGTACATTTATGAGATTTTAATACGTACACATATATGCTTCAAAATTTTGAATTATGCAGATACTATTTTATAGTACACATTATATATAAGTATTTTATTTTATATGATAAGGGTTATTATATTATTTTATTTATATAGATTTTTAAGGCACAAAGTTTAAATAAGAGTAGCAGTTTTCTCTGCAGGTGAATGGAGTTTTAGCTTCCTCTCTGCTCCCTCACCTCTGCTTAGCTGGCTGAGGCCTGTTCTCCCTTTAGTCCCTCCCTGGCTTCCATTCTAGCTCCACCCCGCCTGGCCTCAACCCTTGGCCAGGAAGGAAGAAGGGGCTCTTTGAAGGCCTGGATCACTTGCTATATATCCACATGGGCCTCAGTGATTTGCTGACTTTCCAGGGGACCATCCAGTCTCCAGCTTGCTCCTTTGGTTGCCATTATGTTTTAGCCACCACTTTATTAACTGAATTATAATTCCTGTCCTTCTTCTTCTTTGGTGCATTACTCTCTCTGTTTTTTTTCTTTCCATTTTATGCTTTGATCTTTCAGCCATTATCCAGCTGTCTTGGATTTTACCTTTCGTTCTTAAAACGCCCTCCAATAAACATCAATTATTTTCTTCTTCTTCTTCTTTTTTTATTTCAATAATTTATTTTTCTTTTTTTTAATTATACATTAAGTTTTAGGGTACATGTGCACAATGTGCAGGTTTGTTACATGTATATACATGTGCCATGTTGGTGTGCTGCACCCATTAAGTTGTCATTTATATTAGGTATATCTCCCAATGCTATCCCTCCCCCCTCCCCCCACCCCACAACAGGCCCTGGTGTGTGGTGTTCCCCTTCCTGTTTCCAGGTGTTCTCATGGTTCAATTCCCACCTATGAGTGAGAACATGCAGTGTTTGGTTTGTTGTCCTTGTGATAGTTTGCTGATAATGATGGTTTCCAGCTTCATCCGTGTCCCTACAAAGGACACGAACTCATCATTTTTTATGGCTGCATAGTATTCCATGGTGTATATGGGCCACGTTTTCTTAATCCAGTCTATCATTATTGGACATTTGGGTTGGTTCCAAGTCTTTGCTATTGTGAATAGTGTTCCAATAAGCATACGTGTGCATGTGTCTTTATAGCAGCATGATTTATAATCCTTTGAGTATACACCCACTAATGGGATGGCTGGGTTAAATGGTATTTCTAGTTCTAGATCCTTGAGGAACTGCCACACTGACTTCCACAGTGGTTGAACTTGTTTACGGTCCCACCAACAGTGTAAAAGTGTTCCTATTTCTCCATATCCTTTCCAGCACCTCTTGTTTCCTGACTTTTTAATGATCGCCATTCTAACTGGTGTGAGATGGTATCTCATTGTGGTTTTGATTTGCATTTCTCTGATGGCCAGTGATGATGAGCATTTTTTCATGTGTCTGTTGGCTGCATAAATGTCTTCTTTTGAGAAGTGTCTGTTCACATCCTTTGCCCACTTGTTGATGGGGTTGTTTGATTTTTTCTTGTAAATTTGTTTGAGTTCTTTGTAGATTCTGGATATTAGCCCTTTGTCAGATGAGTAGATTGCAAAAATTTTCTCCCATTCTGTAGGTTGCCTGTTCACTCTGATGGTAGTTTCTTTTGCTGTGCAGAAGCTCTTTAGTTTAATTAGATCCCATTTGTCAATTTTGGCTTTCAATTATTTTCTTCTTAAAGTATAGAACTAAAGAAAATGACCTTTTGAGTTTTGGAAATGATTTTTTTTTTTTTTTTGAGATGGAGTCTTGCTCTGTCCCCCAGGCTGGAGTGCAGTGGCATGATCTCAGCTCACTGCAAGCTCCGCCTCCTGGGTTCATGCCATTCTCCTTCCTCAGCCTCCCGAGTAGCTGGGACTACAGGTGCCTGCCACGACGCTTGGCTAATTTTTTGTATTTTTAGTAGAGACGGGCTTTCACTGTGTTAGCCAGGATGGTCTCGATCTCCTGACCTCGTGATCCACCCACCTCGGCTTCCCAAAGTGCTGGGATTGCAGGCGTGAGCCACTGCGCCCAGCCGCATCTCTCTCATTTTTTAAAACAGCTAAAATGGATGCATTCACTACCTATGACCCTAGGGCATGGCTCAGAGTTAGTTCAAATTCCCATTAAAAAAAAAAAGTAACTTTAGCTTTAATTTAATTTTCTAAATCTGATGCCATTCCTAGTACATGAATATTCTGGATTTCCTCGTAGAGAAATTACAATAAGCATTCAAGAAATATGTGTAAAAAGCTTTCTAATTTTATATTCATTTCACTATTGTGTATGCAACATCATGATCCAGGCATTTGTTTCTATAAATCTACTCTCTAACTTAAGGTTGGGTGCGGTGGCTCACACCTTTAATCCCAGCACTTTGGGAGGCTGAGGCTGGCACATCACTTGAAGCCAGGAGTTTGAGACCAGCTTGGCCAACATGATGAAACCCTGTCTCTACTACAAATACAAAAGAAAATTTAGCTGGGCATGGTGGAGTGTGCCTGTAATCCCAGCTACTCGAGAGGCTGAGGCACGAGAATTGCTTGAACCCAGGAGGCAGAGGTTGCAATGAGCGACGATCACACTATTACACTCCAGCCCGGGTGACAGAACAAGATTGTCTAAAAAAAACCCAAACAAACAAACAAACAAACAAAAAACTACTCTCTAACTTAAAATGAAAAAACAGAACCCTGTCCTCATAAATTTCAGTGCACATGGAACACTGTTATAGGCTGGGGAGGAGGAGGACACAGCTGGGTGGCTGCTGGGTCTCCTGAGTCACATACCAAAAACTTCTGGGCCATCTTTGATGTTCCACCCAGACTGCTTTGAAGCTGGGCTTATCATAACACCTTATGTTTTCAATTGAGCCAGGTCTTTTACAGTTGGAAATAAATAAAAATAATTTCTTTTCATTTTTGTCCTTCAGATTGAAAAACAACTCAACTCAGAGTCACTGTCACAGTGGACTAATCCCAGCACCATGGCCAATGCCAAGGTCAAACTCTCCATTCCAAAATTTAAGGTGGAAAAGATGATTGATCCCAAGGCTTGTCTGGAAAATCTAGGGCTGAAACATATCTTCAGTGAAGACACATCTGATTTCTCTGGAATGTCAGAGACCAAGGGAGTGGCCCTATCAAATGTTATCCACAAAGTGTGCTTAGAAATAACTGAAGATGGTGGGGATTCCATAGAGGTGCCAGGAGCACGGATCCTGCAGCACAAGGATGAATTGAATGCTGACCATCCCTTTATTTACATCATCAGGCACAACAAAACTCGAAACATTATTTTCTTTGGCAAATTCTGTTCTCCTTAAGTGGCATAGCCCATGTTAAGTCCTCCCTGACTTTTCTGTGGATGCCGATTTCTGTAAACTCTGCATCCAGAGATTCATTTTCTAGATACAATAAATTGCTAATGTTGCTGGATCAGGAAGCCGCCAGTACTTGTCATATGTAGCCTTCACACAGATAGACCTTTTTTTTTTTTCCAATTCTATCTTTTGTTTCCTTTTTTCCCATAAGACAATGACATACGCTTTTAATGAAAAGGAATCACGTTAGAGGAAAAATATTTATTCATTATTTGTCAAATTGTCCGGGGTAGTTGGCAGAAATACAGTCTTCCACAAAGAAAATTCCTATAAGGAAGATTTGGAAGCTCTTCTTCCCAGCACTATGCTTTCCTTCTTTGGGATAGAGAATGTTCCAGACATTCTCGCTTCCCTGAAAGACTGAAGAAAGTGTAGTGCATGGGACCCACGAAACTGCCCTGGCTCCAGTGAAACTTGGGCACATGCTCAGGCTACTATAGGTCCAGAAGTCCTTATGTTAAGCCCTGGCAGGCAGGTGTTTATTAAAATTCTGAATTTTGGGGATTTTCAAAAGATAATATTTTACATACACTGTATGTTATAGAACTTCATGGATCAGATCTGGGGCAGCACCCTATAAATCAACACCTTAATATGCTGCAACAAAATGTAGAATATTCAGACAAAATGGATACATAAAGACTAAGTAGCCCATAAGGGGTCAAAATTTGCTGCCAAATGCGTATGCCACCAACTTACAAAAACACTTCGTTCGCAGAGCTTTTCAGATTGTGGAATGTTGGATAAGGAATTATAGACCTCTAGTAGCTGAAATGCAAGACCCCAAGAGGAAGTTCAGATCTTAATATAAATTCACTTTCATTTTTGATAGCTGTCCCATCTGGTCATTTGGTTGGCACTAGACTGGTGGCAGGGGCTTCTAGCTGACTTGCACAGGGATTCTCACAATAGCCGATATCAGAATTTGTGTTGAAGGAACTTGTCTCTTCATCTAATATGATAGCGGGAAAAGGAGAGGAAACTACTGCCTTTAGAAAATATAAGTAAAGTGATTAAAGTGCTCACGTTACCTTGACACATAGTTTTTCAGTCTATGGGTTTAGTTACTTTAGATGGCAAGCATGTAACTTATATTAATAGTAATTTGTAAAGTTGGTTGGATAAGCTATCCGTGTTGCAGGTTCATGGATTACTTCTCTATAAAAAATATGTATTTACCAAAAATTTTGTGACATTCCTTCTCCCATCTCTTCCTTGACCTGCATTGTAAATAGGTTCTTCTTGTTCTGAGATTCAATATTGAATTTTTCCTATGCTATTGACAATAAAATATTATTGAACTACATGTCTTGTTTTTTTTTTCCTATTAAGTTAGACTATTTTGAAATAGAACCAAGCCGTGCGTTTACAAAAGCATCCCTGAAGCAGGCAGATCACAAGGTCAAGAGATTGAGACCATCCTGGCCAACATAGTGAAACCCCGTCTCTACTAAAAATACAAAAATTAGCTGGGCGTGGTGGCGCCCACCTGTAGACCCAGCTACTCAGGAGGCTGAGGCAGGAGAATCGCTTGAACCTGGGAGGCGGAGGTTGCAGTGAGCCAAGATCAGGCCACTGCACTCTAGCCTGGCGACAGAGCAAAACTCCGTCTCAAAAAAAAAAAACAAAACAAAAACTCAAAACATAAAAACAACAAAAACAAAACAAAACAAAAAGAACAAACCCCAAAAAACCCCAAAGCATCCCTGTAGGTAAAATGCTCTTTTGAAGATTGAGGCAGACTAAAAAGAAATAAGAATAATTACTTCCTCTTTTCCCTTGTTTTCCTTTCTTCCTAGCCCTCAGCTCTGACTTCTTTCTCCCACACTCCTTTCATCCTAGGGAGTAAAAGACCAGGGCAGTGCTAGAATGACTCTCAACTGCATAAACATCTATAATGGAATCAGACACCTTGGGACATAGAGATCTTCCCAGCCCTTTTCACTCTAAACCCACCCTCAAAAGTCATTATATTAGGACACTGTATGTGCTTAAAACATTGTTTCTTCTTATGAAGAGTGTTTTTCTCAATGCCATGCACATTTGTTTTAAATTAGTTATGGTGTCCCTGAACCTAATATTCAACATAGCCTCTTTTCTGTCCCTATTGTGTGCTTGAACTAAACGTGTCTCCTCTTTCAACAAATGATGAGTACAAAAGCTGACAAATGCCCCCACATCCTTAAAAGATTATTTGTGTGGGATTGCTGGGGGTGGTCAAAGCCAGATTTTGCCCGCTTGGTTCATCATCCCTCTTATCCAGGCTATGAAATACAAAATGTGAGATGACTGTGAAAAACATTAGTGAGTTTTTAGAGGAAGGGAGAGATTTGTGCCTCTTTAAACCAAGAATGCAGGGAGCTTAAAGTGTCTCCTGCAATTTGGAAAACACTGAAAATTTTGGTCATCTTATCTGGGACAGTCTTAATTCAGTGATTTTTCAACCAGGGGAAATTCTGCCCCCTAGGGGACATTTTCATTGTCACAGCTGGGGTACTGTCATCTAGTGGATAGTCTGGGGGGTTTTGTCTAGGATGAGGAGGAAGATGAAAGAGGGTCGGTTTGGAAAGGAAGAATTCAGTGCATTCTGCAAGCACCCTGCCCAGCCCAGCTCACTAGCAAACTGGTCACAGGTATATTATCTCATTTTGTCCTCTCCACAGACCTTTCAGGAGGAAACCATGATCCCATCTTATAAATGAGGACGCTGAGACAGAGAATGGATAGACAACCTACTCAAGGTCACAGAGCTAATGCATGTTGGTGGCTATATTTGAACTCATGAAGACAGACTCCAGAGCTGGACTTCCTAACCTCTCTGCTCCATGCCCTCTTCCAACTGACAGCGATCCCTGACAGGGGTCACTGAATGAACCTGAAAGAATTCCTCTCTTCCAGACCTTCTCTATTTAGGAGGAGTTCCAAATATTTGTCATATCCTGGCAGTCCTTTCCTTGTCAACTAAAACATCCCTAGAGTCAGAGACAGTCCACCAGTAAGGGGCCCAATTACTGCCTTTGCTTATTCTCACAGTGACCCTGAAGTTAAGGGCCATGCCTATCTATTTTATGAGGAAATATGGGCTTAGAAGAATTGGATAATGCCTCCAAATGGGTAAATAGCAGGGCTTGGATTTGTGAACATTATGACTATGAAAACATATATTTAGTTATTTCCTTACTGATGAATATTCAGCTAGTTTCTGGTTTTTCTGTTATAGATAATATTACTATGGACACCTCTATACTTAATCATCTGTAATTATTATTATTATTATTATTTTTTGAGGCAGTCTCTCTCTCTGTTGCCCAGGCTGGAGTGCAGTGGTGCAATCTTGGCTCACTACAACTTCCCTCCCTCCCAGGTTCAAGTGATTCTCATGCCTCAGCCTCCTGAGTAGCTGGGACTACAGGCATCTGCCACCCCACCTGGCTAATTTTTTGTATTTTTAGTAGAGACGGGGTTTCACCATGTTGGCTAGGCTGGTCTTGAAATCCTGACTTCAGGTGATCTGCCCGCCTTGGCCTCCCAAAGTGCTGGGATTACAAGCGTGAGCCACTATCTGTTTAAGATTTCTAAAATCTTTGTGATTGATATGTTATGAATATATCACAATTTATTCATTCTACTCTTGATGGACATGTGGGTATTTCCAGGTTTGGGCTATTACAAATAGTACCATTGTGAATATTCTAGTACATGTTTTTTGGTGAAATATGTGTGCATTCCTGATTGTTACACACACACATATATATATTATATATATATACATTTTATATATATATAAAATGTATATATATATTTTAGTGGTTTTCCCAGTGCCTCTCTATCTTTCATTATGATTGTATAATAATTATGAGTGATTACTTTTTCCAACTATGACTCCTACCATCACCACTGCCATTCTTGGAGAAATTATTATGAGCCAGACACTTTGCTAGACATGACATATGTTATAATTCAGCTTCCACAGCAACCCTATGGGGCACCATTTGAGGTGAAAGGTGCTAAAGTTCAGACATGCGACACAAAAAAGCTTGCTGAGCACAGATGGCTACTGAGTTATATGGTTAGGACTTAAACCCCAGCTCTCTGACTCCACAGTCCATACTTTTTAATCACTATGATTTGATTATATTACAAAACTTACTTGTATTTGGCCATAAAAAAGAATTAAATCATGTCATTTGCAGAAACATGGATGGAACTGAAGGTCATTATCTGAAGTAAAATAAGACAGATTAATCATCTTAGGTGAAATAACCCACATAAAAAGACAAATATTAAATGTTCTCACTTATATGTGAGAGCTACGATATTTGATCACATGGAGGTAGAGTGTGGAAAGATAGAGATCAGAGACTGGGAGGGGTGAGCTGGGGGAGGAGGGGAAGATGAAGAAAAGTGGCTTAAAGGGTACAAACATATAGTGAGATCGAAGGAATAGAGTCAATGTTTGATTTCAGAGTAGGGTGACTGTACTTAACAAAAATGTATTGTACTTGGGTGATGGACAGCCACATACCCTGACTTGATCACTACACATTTTACACATGACATGGAACAAAATTTCATGTGTGCCCATACATTTTTACAAATAAAAAATGAAAGAGACCTAAAGTCCCTTTAGCCTGTTTAGTGTTGGTTGCTTTGCATCAAGAAATTGATGATTCATAGGAAAAAACAAAACAAAAAGCTTCAAGGGCAGATTTTCCTCTATGTTAAAAATGAAATGTTATGTTGAATAGAAGACAAATGAATGTAGATAAAAATAAAAGTTAAATGTTTACATAATAAGTAAACATTCCATAAATACTTGCTTTTCAAATATGTCTGGTTAAATGTAATTTTTGGAAAATTCTGTTTCTTTCTCAGGAGTCCTGTTCAGTCAACTGTATGGCATTTGTGATTTATATCAGATTAAAAAGACTTCCCTTCTAAGTTTTAGCTCTTGGACTAGAAACCACTAGCACAACATTCTTACCCTCAACCCCACCCTACAGTCATGGAAGATTTAGGTGATGGGCGTTTCCCTGTTCTTTTGTCCTTGTCACCATCCTCTGCCAGACAGTAACAGCTGCTTGAGTTTGTGAAAGCTTTTTGAGAAAAGAGATCAAACTGTTTCACTAACGGCAAATGACTATTCCTCTCCCAAGGCCTGGAACAGACAAAGGAAATGGCATTATTCTCCATTAGAGATGAGATAGATACAGACGTGTCCCTGGAACTTCTGACCGCATTTGAGGAGTCTTGCCAGTTGCACGTGGCCTGAAATGACAGCCCTCCCTGTCTCTATCACAGGCTGCTTTGCACTTCTCACATCTCCTGGGACAGGATCTATCACACAGTAAAATAAATACCAAGGCATATTTTCAATGGATGGAAAATAGAGTTTGAATGGGCAGGTGATCTATGTGTTTGTGTTGGTTGCCTCTTGCATCTAATGAGGGCTTCTCTGATGACATAAAACAAGATCGTCTTGTGTTTCTGAAAGTGTGTCTGGAGGAACAGTAGTTGTGTAGGGTATGAGAAGCTGCTATGAAATAGGAGTCCGTGGTTGAAAAATCTTGAAAAAGCTGTTTTGAACCAAATTAAACAGGTTCTGCAGTACTCTTCAAGCTTTCAAGAAGTTGATGTGGCCGGGCGCAGTGGCTCACGCCTGTAATCCCAGCATTTTGGGAGGCTGAGGCAGGTGGGTCACCTGAGGTCAGGAGTTCGAGTCCAGCCTGGCCAACGTGGTGAAACCCTGACTCTACTAAAAATACAAAAATTAGCTAGGAGGCTGAGGCAGGAGAATCACTTGAACCAGGAAGGCGGAGGTTGCAGTGAAAGGAGATTGCACCATTGCACTGCAGCCTGGGCAACAGAGCAAGACTCTGCCTCAAAAAAAAAAAAAAAAAAATTGACGCAGTTGACGTCTTTTCTGAATATCTGGAGGAGGGTACAGTGTCTCGTTCCTTATTTATTTTATTTTATTTTTAGAGACGGAGTCTCGCTCTGTTGCCCAGGCTGGAGTGCAGTGGCATGATCTCGGCTCACTGCAAGCTCTGCCTCTCGGGTTCACGCCATTCTCCTGCCTCAGTCTCCAGAGTAGCTGGGACTACAGGTACACGCCACCACGCCCGGCTAATTTTTGTATTTTTAGTAGAGACGGGGTTTCACTGTGTTAGCCAGGATGGTCTCGATCTCCTACCTCACGATCCGCCCACCTTGGCCTCCCAAAGTGCTGGGATTACAGGCAGTGAGCTACCGTGCCCGTCCTGGTTTCTTAAATTTATACGACCTCTAAACCTGGTAGTCACCCTGCATCTTGGAGGACAATTGTTTAGTAGAGTGAGTTTTGGGAAAAGTCAACTTAGCTGGGAAATAGACTTAGTAAGAAAAATCAAGATTTTTCCGGTTGCCATGTGGATACTATGGAAAGAACCCTGGTGTGGGAGGAAGCCCTGGATTCCAGCAACCAAACCACTCCTATCAATACCTGTATATGAGGGAGGGAGGGTCTTTATCTCAGGGATTTCTGAGATTCCTCTTGAAGCTAATAGTTCACGGGGCCCAAACAAATCCTCCATCCTGAGCCATCCCTCACCCATCCATCTATGTGGAGACGGCTGCCATTTCCATCCCTAAAAGCATGGTCAAGGGTCTGACACTCCTCTCTGACACTAGGAACAAAGGTTGTCCTCCCAAAGGTGAAGAGGCATGATTGCTATGTGCGCCGCCCCCCTCCCCCCAACTTTGGCAGGAAAATGAGAACAAGTGAGGCAAAGACTCACTTGTTATGTCAATTCTAGGACCACATATTAGTGGTGAAATGACTTTTTCTTTCCAGCAATCCCAAAGTTACTGAGGGAGGTAGGAAATGTCAAGACAATGCAACCAACTTCTCTTCCACACCATATAGCTGCTTTTCCCCTGCCCAAATATAAACACAGACTTGCCTCTTTCTTGCAGGCTGCCTAGTCTTTTACTGTTTATTCAGGCTGTTGCCCACACGAGCACCATTGCATACAGGTGTGTAGGTAGATCCCTGCACAAGGATATCCTACAGAGATGGTTAGAGGGAGCTGAAGTCAAGCTTGTAGTCCACTTGCATAGCAGGGCTCCAGGGTGTGGGGCTGTGCCTGTCTGAGAAAGGGTCACCTCTTTTGCATTCACAAAAAGATAGGGTATAGGCTAGCAGTGGCCCTGTTCAGTACTCAGAAAAATTTGCAGAAGAAAAAAGAGCATCATTACATCTTCAGTACTACTATCATTACCATTACTGACATCATCATCATCAATTCGATATGTTACCTTGCTAAGATAATGATCCTCTGTAAAATTAGGGCAATTAGGAGTATATAGATTTTAGGAGCAAATAAGCTGATGAGAAGTAGGCTCTGCTTAGGAGGATGGACATACCCTGGGGGAGAGCATGAGTGAGGGGCGCTGGTATCAGCTGATTTATTGCAAGGAGCAGTCTGATAGCCGTGATGACATGCTGAGACCTGACTGGAGTCAACCTGGGGTCCAAAAGGAGTCGTTGCCATCTCTAGTTCCATCTTTCCTTAGGGAGGATGCCTGGATAAAGGGAGCTGGATGCCTAAGAACCAAAGCCTGGGTACTGGAGAGATGGACACTTGTGCACAGCACCCAAATAAACAAGCCTTCTTTCCTTTGTCAAGAGCTGCTGTCGATAGCTAAATTTAGTCAGCCGCTAGAGGGAGGTGCTGGGAAGTTAGGATGAGCTGTTTTCTCTTGCCCTTAATTCTTCTTGCTGATTTAGGGGAAAGCAGGAACTCCGCGGATTGGATAATTAGGTCAATGGCTTTCCACATAGAGAACAGGTTTTCCCATCGTTGGGCAGGTGTCATTGCAATGTTGCTGGCCTCAGAGTTGGCCTGCCTGAGCTGGCGAACAGGAGACCATTTGGATATTGTTCTCTTTGTTACCAAAATTCATCACAGGCACTGATAATGGAGGTATAGTAAGCATTAAAGAAGATTTGCACTCTGTATTCAATAATTTTAAGCACTTCATTCCCAGTCATAAATTTATTTTTTCATTTAATAACATTGTATTGAGCATCCAATAGACAGCTATCTGAAACGACCTAACTAGACCCTCATTTGCTGTCTCCATCTTGTCCACAAGGTTATCAAGGAAATTTTCGTCAATCTAATTACTCATCTTTTCATTAATTCTTTGGATAAAAACTTATTGGCCAAAGTGTGGGAGAAGAGGTAGGAATAAGACACAGAGCTCATAGCCGTGTAAGAGAAAGTGAGCCGCGAGCAGAGCTGCGATGGGTTATTGGAGGGGCGCTGGAGCAAGAAGGAGGACTCCCGGCTCAGTCTGAGCTGAGTCTGAAAGGACCAGCAGGAATTAGTTAGGAAAACAAAGCCGGGGGGCTAGTGGCCCACACACAGCAAGGACTCAGGAGAAAGGAAATGGCTGTGGGGTCGCGGTGGGTGGTGAGTGTAGGCAGGACTGTGCATGACACCCCAACACTCTAGGAGGTTGAAATTCATCCCAAGGACGATCAGGAGGAGGAAGACAATTCACAGAGGTGCCTGTCAAACTACCTACGGTGAAGGAACAGTTTCCCCCTTTATATTACCAATTCATCATAGACCAATACTTAAGTAAAACAAAATAAATATGAGTTCCAAGGAAAGTAAAATAAAAAAATGAAGACACCCAAAACAGAAGCCCTAGCTTTTCATGATTAGTTTCGACATACATAAAATTACTTGGTGAAGTTTTCCTAACAGTTTCTAGATTCATAATCTCCATTTCTATACTTACGTCATGATGGCCAAGTTTCAGAATCCACAGACTGCCACAGACATGGAGCCTCCTGAGAGTCTCAGTAGTTGAAAGGAGGGCAGAGGAGAGCTCAGATTTGCATTTTTGAAAAGTGTACCTGGCCAGTGGCTGGTGAAGCCTGAAAGAATGGATACAGGTGAGGAGGGAGTTGAAGTAACCCAGGTGAGAGTGTGTGAGGCCTCAGCTTCAGCAGTGGTGGTGGGGATGGGAAGGGGATATCAGGATATGCGCTCTGGAGAGCCATTTTCCCAGTGTAGACACAAATGGGTGTGGTGATTTATTGGGTAGGGATGTGTGGGTGAAGGACCACAGGGGTATTGTGATGGTTCTTCATTTTCAGGCTTATACAACTTAATGGAACCATCTTGGACATGGGAAGTGCAGTGTGACTGTGTACAGGACTCCGTTTTGAAGGGCAGGGCTCTCTGCTGGCATCTCCAGATCTGGAAGATGGTTTCAGATGATAACCATAGGCCTCTATGAACATTTTTAGAAAAGTCCCTGTGTTTATTATGGACAAAGTTTATTATTTTGCAACATCTAAGTTTCATAGGTGTCCTGAATTGAAAATGTAGAATAAAAAGAGTTAGCCAATTAGCTGGTTTGTAAATATCTTTTTGTTGTAATTGACATAAAAGAGGCATCATGGACATGGAATTGTTAAACTGCCTCTGAGCAGTGTATATTACAACTTGTTTACCAGGTTGGCAGCAGAGGGGCAGAAGGAAGGATAAAGGGAGAGAAGTATGCAGGTGCGTTCATATTAACATTTTGTTGATAGCCATTGATGTGTGTGCATCTCTTTTGGCTGTACTATAGGAACATACTAAGTAATTCAATGGAAACATACCTTCTTGCTAATACTTTAATGGTATAGATCTGCTGATGAATTCTCTTAAGAAACATTATACTCAATGTATTCTGTTGCTTTAGGTTTCATTTTAAATTGAGCATTAAGGGAGTGCAGTATTCTGACTGGAACTCTGCTAATGCTTTTATCTAGAGGTCTGTTGCCATTTTTGACTTCTATGAAATTTTTGTCCCAAGAAAGGTGGGGTTGCATTTTTTTCTAACAGCAAAAAAAAAAAAAAAAAAAAAAAAAAAAAAAAGGGCAGGATGGGGAGTAGGGTTTTTTGTTTGTTTTCATTTTTAACATGCTTTTAGTTGCTTTTAGTTTTAGCTATGTTGATTTTGAGATGCCAATGGGACATTCAGCAAGAGACAGGAAAGGATACTAGTGTTTCTAGAGGCGAGAGATGAATCAGCTTATGGTGGGGTCCAAAACCATGGCTGGGAGAGAGCATCAGGAGAAGAGAGTGGGCTGAGGGCAGAACCCAGGGAAGCCAGGATGGGTGGCCCGCCAAGGAAGAGGAGCCATAGAGAGACGGGATGATTTTAAGAAGGGAGTGATTTGGAGAGCCAAGAGCCCAGTGCTACAGAAGACCCAGCTCCCTTACAGACTGAAAAGTTCCTATTGCATTTTCACTGACCTGAGCAAGAATGATTTCGGAGGCAAGTCTGCAGGGTTTTCTTGCTCTATTAGCACGTTAATATTATCCACAGAAGGAATTCAGCCCATTTCAATTGCAAATTCCTGACGAGTAAAGCTATGACAAGGGAACAAAACTTAAGGGAACAAATCCTGGAAACCTGTTATCCAAGGCACCCACCTGTGAGGTGAAAAGTCATCTCCAAAGATTAAAGAATGCCAACATAAAGGAAGCCCACTCTGAAACTCAAGAAAAATTTGATTTGCTTCCTCTTACCTTTGTACACCTCAGTTTCCTACTAGTTTAAGTTTATGTAAGTAACCTTTAGCGAGTAGCCTATAGCTTAACCCTCTTCCCTGTAAAGGAAGGGGAAGAACGAGGTCACTTCTATCTTCCTCCATAGGAGAGGAGAGCGCCTTGTCCAAAGCTCAGTCAGCCCCTCTCCTGCTGCAGCTGAGATTCACCTGAGCTCTTGGCATGCAAATGGCGGTGTGGAGGTAATTTAGGAAGGGATTGGAGATTGCTCTTTATAAGCATAGAGACAGTACTCACGTTACAGCTGTTTTCAGAAGGTCTTATTAGCATTTATCCCGGATTTAAAATAATTTTAAGTGAAGTATATTTAACATTTGCCTAATATTTAAGACAATCCTGGATGAGTTCGCTAAACCCCTCCCTCGCAACTTGTACTTCTAGCTTTGCCATTGTCTTCTCTAACAGTGCGAAACAGAATTTTCATTTAAACACGGGGTCAAACCTAAAAGATGACCCATGATTAAAAAAAAAAACAACAAAAAGAAAACACTGTTTGATTGATTGATTCATTATTTATTTTCTTGGAGTCTTTCCAGATACAACAAAACTAATACCATTCGTTCAAGATACCACGTAAGATAGTAAAATAAAGTACATCTAGGCATTGACTTAGGATCTCTGAGTGTGGGAGAAATATTGGCTGCTGCGTCAAAGACCGAGGCCTTGGTCTTTGAGGTTCACAAAGCCCCAGGGCTGCCAGGTGGTGAGGTCAATAGGAAATGTCTGAAATTAGAGCTTGTGTGTTTATGAAATACTGGGTCACGCAGGCTGAGGGGTTCTGTGAGCATATACAGAATAGTCTGAAGGCACTTGCGGTTTTATCAGTTAGTGCATGGGGGTAAATCTGCAGCTGCTTATTTATTTGGTAACAACTTTTAATTTTGCAGTAAACCCTGTTGACAACATTGAGCTTAAAAAAAAAAAAAAAAAGAAAGAGCATATTTAATGAAAAACCAGGGGTGCTGAATTTGCTTTTCTCCTGTTGACGATGTAACTTGGATTAAAATTTCCCATTAACCACGGGCTGCACTGCCATCACTGACCACATGAAAACCAGAAATGCTAACCTGCTGGAGAAGCACGAGGGTCTCCTCCAAATGTTACAATTTAGCACATCTGGCTGCAAAGGCCTTCCATGCAGCCCTCTGGGAAGTGTGATGTTTCATTCAGATCATGTGACTATTGTCCAAATTAATTAACTCATTCTAATTCCAAGTTTTTCTTATAAGAATGACCCCAACAGTTAAATGATGTCAGTTTTATGTCAGTGTCATGAGCTGTTGCCAATAGAAAATTATTTATGTTAATTTAAATAATGGTTCCAATTTTCTTTTGTGGGATTTACAAAACTTCTGGAATATTTGTCTATTAAATGAGAAACATCTGACACTATTACGAATTTAATTGTAAATTTAAAGGTTCATAATTGAAGATAATACTTATTTCTATAGTGATAACATAAATAGAAATTTTGGTAATGTCAGTGTTTTTTTTCCACTTTTCAAAAATATGCATTTATTTTTCATCATTTGTTTCTCTACAAAAGGAAAACAATGTCACTGTTATAATGAACACATTTTCTTTTCTAAATTAAAAAAATCCCCTAAGTCAGCAATAAACTTGGAATTGGTTGTAGGGCTCATAAAATTCATAATTGTGTCCAAATACACTGTTATTTTACAAAAATAGAGGTTACAGTTGTAAAAATGTATGAACATTTATTTATTTTAGAAATTGTTTTTCCTTTAATTTTTTACATTGACATATAACAATTGTATATATTTATGGGGTATAGCGTGATGTTTTGATACATATTATGTGTAGTAATCAGATCAGGGTAATTAGCATATCCACCATCTCAAATATTTATCATTGCTTTGTGTTGGGAACACTCAATATACACCTAGCTATTAGAAGGCCTGTACTATATTATTATTAACTGAAGTCACCCCACAGTGCTATAGAACACTGTAATTTTGTATTTTTTAACAAATCTCTATCTCCCCTCCATCCCTTACTAATCTCTAGGGTCCTCTGTACAAGTTTTTAAATGTATGTACAGAATAATTGCAGTTTTTTGTGAAGCCTTCATCAGTTGGGTTTTAGAAGTGTCGGAATCTTTGAAAAACTATATTATGAATCAACTCATGTCCCATATTAGTATTAAAGTTTTGTTGTTTTTAGTAAACCAATCATTTACCTTTTCATTGCATTTCCCCTCAAAATCAGTTGGAAGTGTCTACACAAAGCATTTATGAAACAGAGCATAAGAAAACCTCAGCTTTTGCTGCTTTTAGCTAATTAAAATTATCAAAAACAAAGCCTGCAGACAGGACGCCATATAAATTAATCACCAAAGAAAGAAAGAGGGAGCTGAACAAATTTAAGAATAAGAGTTCAAACGTGTGTGATGTTTAATTTTGAAATTCTATAATTGCATTTTGGAATATTTCAACTCGTGGGAGGGATCTTTTGATAGGATTTGTACTTTTAATTAGACAACTTCATATATATATGTATTTTTTACCAGTACAGAATGAAACCAAGGTCCTCAATTTTGCACTTTCTAAACTTGGTGAAATGTTCAAAATAATCATAAACAGATAACTTATTTGACAAGTTCCGGCTTTTTGAAAACATTTTCTCTGAATAGAGGCAAAGAAACCATAGCTGTGACAATATTAGAGCTGGATTATTTAAGAATTAAATTATGGAAAAGTTTTAATCAACAATATCCCTTATGTAGAATTTGCTCTGAGCTTAGCAGGTATTTCAGCATCTACTGAAAGACTATCTTCTAACAACCCCAATTTCGTTAATCATAAAATGAGCTTTGAAGAAGATTTCTGGCAATTTTATAAAAGAATTAAAAATAATACAGCACATTGAGAAACTAAATTCTTCGGAAAAATTGTAGTGACAGCTTTGGAGACCAGGATTTCTAAAATACCTGAGATTATACAAGAATAATGATTTTGTTTGTTTGTGTTTTTTTCACACTGAGATAACAAAAAGTTTTTTCACATTTTGCTTAGTGTGTACAGATACATGCTATTTTATTTTATTTTTAATTAATTAATTATTATTATTTTTTGAGATGGGGCTGGAGTGCAGTGGGCGATCTCAGCTCACTGCAACCTTCTTCTCCCGGGTTCAGACGATTCTCCTCTCTCAGCCTGCTGAGTAGCTGGGATTACAGGTGCATGCCACCATGCCCGGCTAATTTTTGTATTTTTAGTAGAGACAGGATTTCACCATGTTGGCCAGGCTGGTCTCGAACTGCTGACCTCAGGTGATCCACCGGCCTCAGGCTCCCAAAGTGCTAGGATTACAGGCGTGAAACAGTGCGCCTAGCTAGACACATGCTATTTTAAAAGAGAATTTTATTAGGGCCGGGCGCGGTGGCTCACGCCTGTAATCCTAGCACTTTGGGAGGCCTAGGTGGGCGGATAACCTGAGGTCAGGAGTTTGAGACCAGCCTGGCCAACATGGAGAAACCGCGTCTGTACTAACAATACAAAAATTAGCCAGGCGTTGTGGTGCACACCCGTAATCCCAACTACTCGGGAGGCTGAGGCAGGAGAATCGCTTGAACCGGGAGGTGGAGGTTGCAGTGAGCTGAGATTGCCCCACTGTACTCCAGCCTGGGCAACAGAGCGAGACTCTGTCTCAAAAAAAAAAAAAGAGAATTTTAGTTTTGAAAACTTTTTTTTTTGTATAGAACGATTTTAAAGGTCCGCCGGTAAAATAAAAGCAGCTGTCAATTCAGATTTCATCTATCTATGCAACTTTAGCTCTATAACTGTAATTATTTTTGATGCCCTTTTCCCTTTCAGAATTGTCCTGGTGTGGAAGAATAATTATATGGTCGCGCTCTCTATATAACAGGGCGGAATAGTAAAAATGCTCTCCAGAAAGGAGCTTTTCAGGTTTTCTTCATCTCCATTGGCCTCAGGAGAGGTGTTATTTTTGCTAGGTATGAAGTTTTTTCTGGTTGTTGTCTCGACCCTGACACCATAGAGTTTGCTTCTTTGTCTGGGTGGATGTCAGGGCTGAGAAGGAAACAGCTCTGTCACTTGAGAACTGGCTTAATCTGTGGGGAAATCAAACTTAGTCTCTATGTTTCCTCTGTAAAATATTAACTGTTAAGGTGCCTTCCGACTCAAACGCAATGTTATCATCAACCTTTAAGAGAATCGGTCACTTCTGTTCATTTTCTCTTCCACTAGATGGCGCTGTCCGTCACATTATAACAGTGCTGCTCAGGGCCTGGAACGGTCAGTTGCTACAGCTTTTCTTTAAGGTCTGTGAACTCCCGCCCTGCCTTAGACCTTCTGCCCCTGCTGCTATGGGGACGTTGTTGAAGTGCTTTCTTCTCCTTGCCACCAAGACACTCTGCAACATTCCTTAACGTTTCATTCTAGGCCACCTCCCCAAGCTTAAAAAATTTGTTTATGGTAAGAACGGTTAATATGAGGTGTAACTTCCTAACTAATTTTCAGTGTACAACAATATATTATTATCAGCTGTAATAATAATAACAATATATTATTACAGCGTTGAACAGCAGATCTCTAGAATCTATTCATCTTGCTTAATTGAAACTTTACTTTCCGTCTTTCTAGAACTCACGTTGCACCCGGCGTGACTATGATTTACCACTCACAGTTCAGGGTGGGGACACTGAAATACGAGGCTCATAGAGTCTGGTGGTACTGGGTCTTGGTGAGTAGGAGCAAGCAAGGCACTGCCCAAAAGCACTTCTACCCGTATGAGCATCCGTCCACAGGTAAGACCCGGGGACTCAGCCCCAACTTACCTGATGTGGCTCTGTGAGCACCAGGTGTGTGGGGCCGGGAGACAGGGACCACCCTAGTTTAGCTTCCTTAAGACCTTCAACAGTGGCTCTGCAAAGTGCTTATAAAAGGAAAAATCAGTGGAATGAATCCCAGGGCAGCTGAGATCTGCTGTGGATCTACTCTGTACCAGCCATGTGCTAGATGCTTGATATACACAACCACATTTATGTGTAGCACAAAAACCCTGTAAGGTAGGGACTGGTACTTTGATCCTCACTTTGTTTCTTGAACTTTCGCTAATTGTTCTTTGCTTCTGCCTCAACTCCGCCCCTTCTGTCCCTCTCAGTCTGATATACCAATGGACTGCCCTCCTAGCTTGGTTTCCTAGATTCCAGTACCATTTGGTGCATTATTGCAATTAACTGTTGAAAATCATGAGCCTCTTTCATGTTAGGGAACTAGGTCTTCTGGGTGGAATCCAGCCCTGAAGGCTGGGAGTTGGTAACTTTGCCATGTGTTTCTTGTTGTCACGAGATGCCTCATCCCTCATTCTAGGAGTCCTAAAAATTTCATATGTCTCAGCATCTCCTGAGAATTTTGTTAAAATGCAGATTCCACGGTCCCATCTCTATAGGTTCTGACTTATTATCTAAGGTAGGCTCGAGAATGAGTATTTTGAAATAAGCATCACGGGTGATTCTGAGGCAGTTTCCAAGGATCCTGTGTTGGGAAACTCAGCCCCGTGGGGCTGGCTCATTGTCATGGATGCCCTGTCTTGGTGCCTGCTTCTTAGCTCCCTGCCTATCTCTAGAACAGGTACCCCATGTGAAACGCGCTCATCAGGAATCTGTCCCTTTGCCCCTGGGAATCTTCTGTAGTCCAAACCAGGGCCTTCACCCTCAGCTCTGTTTTCAGGTGTGAGGCTCTTGCTCTTCCTCAGAGACAGGTTCCATGAGTAACCTTTTCCTTTCGGTTGGGCCTACTCCCTATAAGCAGGGCATGGCCTCACACCCAGTGCAGGCTTGGTAATGCCTTAATTGTGGAGCACACAGAGAACAAGTGTTACCAGGACGGGACAATGGTGGCAGGAGCCATGCTTCTGCCCAGCCCTAGAGGATGATGACGATTTCTCAGGCAGGTTAAGGGTGGGGTGGAAGCTATTTCTAGGAAAGGAAAAGCAAGAACAGTGAAAGGGCAAGGTGTGTTTGGGAGCCTAGAAGAGGCTGTGTAGCTGAAATGCATGTGTCAGTGGAGAATGAGTCACAGATGCATGGTGGGGAGAGGCTGGACATCCACCCCCAGGAGATTGTCCTTCATGCTGGCTGAGGAGTCAACAGGTGTCCTTGCAAGGGGGAGACAGACTGAATGAAATTGGGGGACTCAGTAGGAGAAAGAAAAGCTGATCAGAGGCTGTTGACTCTGATATAGAATAAAAGTAATGAAGGCATAAACCAGGACAGTGGTAGAAAAACCAGACCACAGAGGAGAAAATGTAGAGAAGTTTGATAGGTAGAAGCTAAGCATCTTGAAGCCCAGTTGTGGGTAGGGGTGGGTAAACAGGAGAAATCAACAACTAACATTTTAAGCTGAAGTGAATAAACAGATGGTGAGGCCATTCTACAAGACAAATAGAAGGTGTCAAACTAAGTAACACATAGAGAGGGAAACTCTCCAAAAGAAAATGATATTTATTTCGCAGTAGCCTTGCAATAGGAATATGTGCATCATAGTAAACTAACTGTGTGTATTCAAAGAGGTTGAGGCAAGGAGAAATTTTTAAAGGTAAAATAAGGAGGATTACATAAGTTGTTTTGAATTAATTATCCTTGGCTACAAGAATCAATACCAAGGGTGGCATCAGTCCAATGTTAAACAGGCAGTTGGTGGACAGATGTCCTTGTATAAGGAATTTTTTTGTGTGAGGTTGTGATGTCCTTTGTGCAAAGTTATGGCTTTTGCAGAGTCTTTTGTGATACTTCTTGTTATCAGGTGTATGTGTATGAAAAAAATCCCTTCTTGCCTTCTCTGGCTCCATTTTGTCAAGGCTTGACATAAATGACTCCATTTGATTCTGACAACGTTCACATTTCCCCCTTTTGATCAAGATTTTGCTCTGAAAGCATCAGCGATCAGTCATCTTGATAAGTTTTGGTTATCCCTCAGTGTCAGTGTGGACCTGTCCCAGGTTGCTGATCTGATCCTCTGTTGGAGAGAAGTGACTGGTGACTAGGAGTCCGGGTCAAAATTCTTTTAGCAACATTTGAGCAACAAGGGAGGTTTGGAAGGAGTGGCTCTTGACTAAGTCGACCTGGAGTCCATTGTCAAGTTCAGTTTTTGTCTATTCCATAGGCCTTGGCTATCATCTCAAAGCACTGGGCCAGCATTAGTCTGCTAGGATTGTACTTAGCATTATCTTGCCCAAAAAAAAGGTAGGCACAAGCAAGGGAAAATTAAGAGGGGTAAGAATCTCATTATGCTGGGAGTTTTGTTCTGTCGCTGTGAGAAAAGCCATCCACAACAGTCAACTGCCTATACCTCGTCCTGGTTTGGAGTCTGAACACCTCCAGTAATGGAATTAGGTGGTCTAGTGAAGTTTTGGTGTGACCCATACATCAGGCATGAGACTTGTCCCTTAAAATTCATTTAGTTTCAGCTACAGGGCTTCAGGAACAGACCAGTTATCGTTCTTAGTTGGAGCATTGCAGCTAGATATTGGAGGAAAGTAAGATAATTCAGAACCTAGTTCAGTCTACAGGTAGATAACCAGAACTCAAAAGCAATAGGTAGGACTACAATCTAATGAAAAGCGTATTATAGCTATAGAGAAACATAGTTTTTCTCTCTATAGTAATCCTGATTTTTATCACAGATAATCAAAATAAGACTAATTTGTTTGTAAAATAAGTTTAGTTTTTATCAAATTTTACCTGATCATTTACATAGTGTGACAAGAGTAATGATTGACCACATGGTAATTTCAGATTAAAAAACCCCTTGAGGCTAGAAAACCGAATCAAGGCAGACTTCAGACTTTGTCTGCAGGACGTATAAACAACTTAAAACTAAAATCTAAGTCAAAACCTTGGTAATATAACCAACACTTGCAATTGTATCCTTTTATAAAAAGAGGAGATTCTTATTGCTAGAAAAATAAGAACATTCACAAATAGTTTCCAAATTTTGGAGGGATCAATCAGCAAAAAAAAGTAAATGTTTCCACTTTTGTTCACAAGAGTATATTTTACCAAATTGCAAGCTGTAGATAAAGAGAAAAATGGTAAAGAGAAAATTTCTTTAAATCTGGGAAGCAAAACATTTAAATAAAGAGCCAATAGTTTTCAAATAAAAGCCATAAAACATAATCTTTATCAGTTATTCAATTTCATGTAATTAATTTTTTGTTTTGCTTGATCTTGATTAGCAGTTTCACAAATTCAACAGTTTCTCCTTTAAAGTTGAGGAAAATTTTTATTCAGTCCATCATCTAAACATTATTAGAAATCTGCATTCGAGAGTACTGGTTAGAATCTTTGCCATGAATCTGACTGCAGATGCCTTTAGAGAAGAATCAAAACAATAACTGTGGATGACAAAAACTTAGAATAACCATGGTTAAAAATCTGGAAATTGATAAGAAATTTTTTTTTTGTGGCATACAACAAGATAGCCAGAATTATAACTGATGACATGCTAGATTTTAAGGAATTTTGAATCACTTTGGAACATTCGTATCAATAACATACTCATAAATGTAACTGAGATAAAAATCTAACATCAGATATCATTTGATAATGTTTCCCATATAATTCAACATATTAATTCAGCCTAATTTAGTTTAATATGTCATTTCCATAAAACTTTGAGATGTTCCAGGGTCCTCTGGAACATCCCAAAGTTAGTTTGAGATAAAAAGAGATTTAATTTAGAACTTGATTGTGGGGAAGCCTGCCAAAAATGTCAAAAGGTTCAAAACACTTTATCAAAATGGGATAACATGTCACTGTGAAGTAATAGTCATTCATTTAAACAAAGTGATGTTCAAAAGACTTTAGAAGCAAATATAGACAGTCACATGGCTGTAAGAAGAAAAATCCTTAACCCTTTCGAAGTTCATTTTTCCTAAGTAGTAAACTCATGAAGACAACATGAAGCACAAGAAATGACAAAATATTTGTTTCCTAGGCCAATTACTAAAAGGTAAAGAAACAAACCTCCTTCAGCGTGATTGCTTCCGCATATGGGAAGCTTGTTTAGATAATCTGGAAGTCAAACCTGATGAAAAGGTGCTTGAATTCAGTCAAGCACAGGAAGAGTCTGTGCCCAAGTTATGAATGTACACCATATGACAGAAGAAATAAACAAGAAAGCCAGTACCTTGAACAGGGGAATGTATGGCTTTTAGAAAAAGTAAAGACACCTGAAATTGCCTGGATGCAAGCACAATTCGGACAGATCAAGAAAAGCCAAGAGTACAGAATCAAGTTATACTGGAAGAAAACATTGCTTTTCTAAGCCTTCAGGACAAACATTTCAGCATCAGGTCACAGCAGCAGATTAATAAATGGAAAAAAAAGTTATAGGAACTGATGAGAAGGTTGAAGGAGAGAATTACCATCCCAGCCAAGCAAAAAGCGGTACTTTCTCAAGGACAGAAACAGCAGGAGGCAGTGATGCGTGACTTGCAAATCACAAGCTGTGGATACAACGGAAGTTGAACTTCCAAGATATTGAATCTGAAAAGCTTCAAGAGGAAAATTCTACCTTGAGAAATAAAATTGCCATTCTAAGTGAAGAAGGCAGCATTCTCAACCTTAAATAGGGAAATTAAATGGATCTCAGGAAGAAATACGGCAGAAATAAAAACTGTAAAACAAGAAGATGTTGCAGTTCAGAAAATGGTTGAAAAAAATTCAGAATTAAAAGAAAAACTTTTTTTTTTGCTAGAAAAGATCAACACTTTAAGTAAATTTTGTTATTCCAACATAGGGGACCAAAATATTCTAGTTCCGTATTAGTATATTAATGCTCGATTTTTGGAAAAACTTCTAAATGATTCCTTTAATTATAGCCAAATTGATTACACACAAAATTTCTTTCTTTCTTTTTTTTCTTTTTGAGACAGTTTCACTCTGTTGCCCAGGCTGGAGTGCAGTGGCATGATCTCA
This sequence comes from Homo sapiens, assembly GCF_000001405.40. Lineage (NCBI taxonomy): Eukaryota > Metazoa > Chordata > Mammalia > Primates > Hominidae > Homo > Homo sapiens. Next base: position 63,524,360 of record NC_000018.10, read on the forward strand.
GCTGACTGCAACCTCTGCCTCCTGGGGTCAAGCAATTCTCCTGCCTCAGCCTCCTGAGTAGCTGGGATTACAGGTGCACACCACCATGCCCGGCTAATTTTTGCATTTTTAATAGAGATGGGGTTCCACCACGTTGGCCAGGCTGATCTTGAACTCCTGACCTCAAGTGATCCACCCGCTTCAGCCTCCTAAAATTGCTGGGATTACTGGCGTGAGCCACTGTGCCTGGCCAAAATTTCTTTTATAAATTTATTATTTATAAAACATTTGCAACGTGCTCAGAACTTCTACAACATGCTTGGACCTTCAGTTTTGTAGTTTTGTGCTATACTTCTTTTTACCAGTCATTTTATTTTAGGACAAAAAATTTACTTTTTTTTTCTCTTTCCCTTTCCTTTTTTTTTTTTTTCGTGACAGTCTTGCTCTGTCACCCAGGCTGGAGTGCAGCGGCATGATCTTGGCTCACTGCAACCTCAGCCTCCTGGGTTCAAGTGAGTCTCTTGTCTCAGCCACTCCAGTAGCTGGGATTACAGGCACGTGCCACCATGCCTAGCTGATTTTTGTATTTTTAGAAGAGACAGGGTTTTGCCATGTTGGCCAGGCTGGTCTTGAACTCCTGACCTCAGGTGATCTACCAGTCTCGGCCTCCCAAAGTGCTGGATTACAGGCGTGAGCTACTGTGCCTGGCCCCCTTCCCATTTTGAAAAGTTCTTTGGTTTTTAACCTTCGTTACCAAAAATGTATTTTCACAGCTATAATTTTTTAATTTCTTTCTCACATGCTTACTGGTTTTTTTCTATGTTGTTTCTATTTCCTTTCTAAGTCTGTATTTTGAAACAACCATTAAATCACCTCTGATTTAGACAATAAAGAACTCATTTTCTATGCCTTTCTTATAATTTTTCCCATCGAAAATACATCTTAGCTTTCTGGTACACTTTGTGTACAGAATTGTATATACTAATTAGGAATTTTACTCATAGTAACCTTAATTTCTAGTGAAACCTTAGAAGTGAGCAGTTTTGAACTCTTATTCTTATACCAACAGCTTATAAATACATATTTTATAATTTTTAGAAACATAGCTTCTCATACAACAATTTTTAATAGTTAACAATTTTATTAATAGAGTCAAATGTATTTAGTTGTTCTATAAAATTTAAGAAGTCAAGAACAAACTTGTACTTGTGTTCAGCAATTTATTTTTCATATTGGAAATGACCCAGACACTTAACGAGTATCTATTACTTAATTCAACATAATATTACTTTAACATTTCAAATTACATGAAAAGTTTATTTATAAATATTTATCCAACTTATAGTTACCAAATTTATTTTTTTAAACAATTATACCTAGATTACTTATGAAAACTGCAATATTCAACAGGTCGAGTCATTATTTCAAGTGATTTCTTTGTTAAGTGATTTTATAGCCTGTAAATATCAGGCATTTATCACCCAAGTAAGAACTTTAAAGTAAATATGTGTGTATTTTGCCAATAATTCAGAAGGTACAGCTATTTTCATTAAATTAACAATATTAAACTAGCCTTATTCATGAAAGACTTACACAAAGATCATTTTGTTTTTAAGCTGGATTTATACTTTCATTACTTTAAAACATCTAGGGGAGACAAATATAATCCCATCTGACCAATAAACCCAGGAAAAAATGTATGCTGATAATTCTGAAGACATTTCTATTTTTATATTATCAATAATTTAAAAATCATGGATCTTAAAAACATTTGAGCTAGTTGCTGTATTTTTGGTAACATATTTGATTTAAACACTTATTTTTTTCCTTTTAAGTTAATTAATTAACTAGAGCTCTTTCATGAATTCTGGTTGAAAGCTATTACATACACACAACATGAAAACACACAAACAACATAAATACAGAAGCAGATTCCCTAGCTTCCTTTTTATTTATTTATTTACTAATACTTATTTACTTATTTTTAGAGATGGAGTCTTGCTCTGTTGCCCAGGCTGGAGTGCAGTGGTGTGATCATAGTTCACTGCAGCCTTGAATTACTGGACTCTACTGATCCTCCCACCTCAGCATCCTGAGTAGTTGGGATTACAGATGTGAGTCATGGTGCCCATCTTCCCTAGCTTTCATCTTAGAATTTTAGTCATAAGACAGTAAAATATAGTAAAATAAAATCATGACATTAACTGTTTTATATTTTTATCCAAATTGTGTTTCTGACAAAATGGGACAAATCTATCCTGCTTGATAGCTTAGCGTTATGATTTTTATTTGCCTGATAATCTTATGAAGGCTGTGGACCATACTTGGGATAAAACAGTTTGTTGTAAAAAAGTATTTTACCATGTTTTCACCTCTCTTTTCAATTTTAAGTGAGTTGAGAGATTAATTCTTTCAATGTTTACATTTTACAGTCACGTGTTGTTTAATGATGAGGATACATTCTGACAAATATGTCATTAGATGATTTCCTCATTGTAGGAACATCATAGAGTGTATTTACATGAACCTAGATGGCATAGCCACTACACACCTAGGCCATATCGTATTGCCTGTTGCTACAAACCTGTGCCGCATGTAACTGTACTGAATATTGTAGGCAATTGTAACACAATGGCATATTTTTGTGTATCTAAACATATTTAAGCATAGAAAAGGTACAGTAAAAATACATATTATAATCGTATGAAACCTCAGTCCTGTATGTGGTCGGTTGTTGACTGAAATGTTGTTATGCGGTATATGACTATAGTTAGAATTGGCTGAATTGTGCGAGACCATCTCCAAGTGGTCTTAAATTTTAGTAACAAATTTTCCTTTGTTTGCTGGTCTGGTTTGCTTGACTAGTCAATGCAGGCAGGGAAGCATTTTATAAAAATGTATTTGCTTTTATTTTATGGCAGACCAAGTAAATTTTATGCTGGACAGAGATATATTATAGCTCTGAGCTCAAGATATTGACCTGTTTGACCTGGAAGCTTTTCATAAGAACATTTATCTAGTTCTTTCCTTTCAGACTATCAATCCTTCAAATAACAGTTCCATTACTCTAAGTGATTATTAGACAGTCAAATCCAAATTTACATTAAAAGGGATGACTCCTCAAGAGGCTGTCATTGAGAATGGTCTTCTGGTGGGGGAAGTGGAAGCTGAGAGAAAGATTGCATGGACCTTTTGCTTTTGTGGCAATATTTTTTTTCCAGTGAGCTGCTTTTTTATACTAGTTTTTATACTGGGAGCTTCTATCTGCTGTAATTGAAGTTTAAGGGTTTTAGTGGTTTTCTTTGTAGTAGCTTCCTCAAGAGTGTAGGCAAGTTGGTTTGCTAAATTAATTAGATAGGGAGTGGGCATAGTTTCCCATTCTGTGTGAACTCCTTTAACAAACTGGGAAAGTTTTTAAGAAAGGCAATTCACAAACATAGAATTAAAATTACTCAAGTAGAATCAACATCAATAGGTAATTGATATGGTTTGGCTGTGTCCCCACTCAAATCTCATCTTGAATTCCCATATGTTGTGGGAGGGATCTGGTGAGAGGTAATTGAATCATGGGGGAAGGTCTTTCCCGTGCTGTTCTCATGATAGTGAATAAGTCTCATGAGATCTGATGGTTTTATACGGGGGGAGTTTCCCTGCACAAGCTCACTCTTTGCCTATTGCCATGTAAGACGTGACTTGCTTCTTCTTGCCTTCCACCATGATTGTGAGGCCTTCCCAGCCACATGGAATTTTAAGTCTATTAAACCTCTTTTTCTTTATAAATTACCCCATCTTGGGTATGTCTTTATTAGCCCCATAAAAATGGACTAATACAGTAATAGAGAATTAGCTAGGAAACTTCTAAGAAAAATAAGTTTAGGGAGTTTGAATGATCTGTTTAATAGCCACAAATTATCCTTGGTGTAATTTGTCCATTGATTAAAAATATATACAAGAATGGACCATAAATTTTGAACAGATAGCTGGCTGGAGTCACAGAAAGGTTGGCATGCCTCAAGATTTGAGAATCCCATTTCATTTCTTAATCTCTGAGAGCAATAAATAAATAAATAAATAAATAAATAAATAAATCCTATAAATCCTATCAGGCCATGTCAGGGGTTTGGACTAATGTTTTAGATGGTGGATACTGCCCTAGTGTCTTTTAATTTTGGCCATCTTGTGCCTACCATATGGAATGTTCATTTTTACTTTTGGGAGATGTTCAGAAATGAGGTAAGGGGAAAAAAGTAAAATAGCCGGATAATTTACAGACATGTGTGGCCAAACCAAGATGAAATCAAAGAGTGCTCACAAAAATTTTAGACCAGGCAAGCAGACCAAACAAAAATAACTTAGGCATGTAAAAAGATCCCAAACTGAATTCACCGGAAAAAAATGAGGTCCTCACAAATGGAATGTAAATTCAGTAGAAGCTAGAGTACTCTCCAAAAGGACACTTGTCTTTATATCAGAAAGGGCTTGCCAAAAAAGACTTTATAGTCTCAAGAGGGATGCAGGGTCCTTCATTTAAGGCAGTCTTATACCAAAAGAGAAGATCCCAAATAAAGTCAAAAGAACTCATCAAAAGGAGGGAGTGCAAGAATCAGAGAGGAGATTCATCAGGGTAGAAAAGGCAACTCCTGGAAGTAGATAGTGCAAAGGGCTCTGCTGGGACCACACTCAGTTCCAGGGGCCATTGATCCATGTGAGGCGAGCTCACTCTATCCTGCTTCTGGACACTATGATGTCAGACTAAATAACAAACAGAGAGGAAAATTCTCTAAATAAAAATATTTATTCAGGAGTAGCATTGCAATGGGAATACATGTGTCTTAGTAAATTACATGTGTATTCAAAGAGGTTCAGGCAAGGGGAAGTTTTTGAAGGCAAAACAAGGAGGATTATGTAAGTTGCCTTGAATCCGTTATCTTTGGCTACAAGAATCAATAGCAAGGATGGCATCAGTCCAAGGTTGGTCAGGCGGTTGCTGGACAGATGCCCCCAACGAAGTGTTTTCTAAGGTTTTGATGGCCTGTATGCACAGCTGTGGTTTTGGAGAGTCTTTGGTGATAGTTCTTGTTATCAGGCATATGTGTGTGAGAACCTATCTTCATGGCTTTCCCAGGCTGCGTTTTGTCAGGGATTGGTACAGGTGACTCCATTTTGATTCTGACAACTTGCACAGATAAAAGCCAGCTTGGAGTAAATAGATTGAATTCAGTTTGGATGTGCTAGGTTTGATGTGTTGACAGTTTTCTACTGGCCCAGATGTCAGCACTTCATTTAAAATCATGTATTGGAATATTCTTTCATAACTTTACTGCATAAACTGGTGGAGTGCTGTGTATGTGTGTGTGTGTGTGTACCTACCTGTATGTATAGTTTGGGGTGGGAGAGGTGTTTAAACCAGTGAAACGTAATTATGCCAATTAAAAAATAAAATAATTTATCATTTAAAAACTGATGTTTTGTTTATTGATTGGGGCACAAGACTAGGTTCCTTTTATCCACTCTGTTCAAATTAAAGAACTCTTATTAATCATCTTACTTATTATGTAATGTTTTTCTTCCCTTTTTCAGAAACTCCTTCCCATGACAATTAAAAAACCTACAAGATGCATACTTGCTCCCAGGAATCATTGTGATTACTAGAATACTATAATATTGAGGGAAAAAAGCTATCTAAGTCTGTGGAGGGGGTCTCATTCTATTGCTGTGGTCACTGTCCCTGTTCAAACACAGGCACGAGGTACATGACTTCCTTCATTGGTAAATGATCTGGGTGACCTGGGTATGTAATGTCCCAGCCAGGTTGCTCTTCAGTGGTAGGGCATCCCTGTCCACTGAAGCAAAGCTCTTTGGTGACCTAAGGCTGAAGCCAGTATTGCTGGCACAAGGATAGTGTTTTGAGGATAGGGTGGGAGATGTCTTTGCCCTGATTAGTATTCTCAGTTACAAAAAGACCACACCACCATAGGCCTGGACTCTCTACAGTTACACTGCCATTTTGGTGCTGATGTTTGTTAATGTATACACACTTGCAGCCATTTTTCTAAGGAATGCCACATGATGCCCAGGTCTAGACCCACCTTCCCCCCAAACTTCCATATCTCAGCTTTTGAAGCAGAGGAAGAACTTCCTTCTATTGGATTCAGGGCTTGCTTCTACTTCTTGACCTAGAATGATACTTCTTTAAACGACTGTTGGAATCAATCAAAACAATAGATGAAAGTCAGGTGGCTGTCCCACTGCTGCCTTGAAGAGATATCTTACTTTCAGAGTTGCCTCAATGCCCGATGTCAAGTTATGCTTGACAACATAATCAGGCCGTGAGTACTTATCAGATGCCCACAGATGGTGTAATACATGGTGCTCACACACTCAGGCCCTCCTTCAAGGATTTATAGGTGATAAGTACATAATTAAGTGAAGTATGTCACAGAAAGGTAGTAATTACAACCGTATCTTTAAAAGGGAGGGGAAGGTTAGAGAGGGGGAGAACGAATTGGGAAAACCTAACCAAGGCGGCCGACTTTGAACCATTCAGAAACTCAGTTTCATATTTAATAAACACCTACTGACCAGCTACTAAGTGCCAGGCACTTCCACATAATTATTTTTGTTCTAAGAAATATAATTAATCCTCAAGTGTATGCTGCATGGCTCGAAAAAAACAATTCTTTAAAATCATAGAGTTCCTCAAGGCCCAATAGACCTAAATCTTTCATTACAACATTGTAGCCTGAAGAGTGTAGCCTGCTTGCTTAAATGTGCAGGAGTTTGCCAAACCCCAGATGCTCAAGAGAACTCAATGAGCAATTGTTGATAATTATGAATCCATACACAAAAATGGATGAAGAGTTCACTTGGGTCATTTAATTTTCTCTTTCTTTATAGATCCTGAGATCACTAAGCTTGAGTTGCTGTGGCCTTTCTTAAATTGTAGTCAACATTTGGATTACTAATTTGTGCCAACTTCACAGGGAAGTACAAGAAACGTCAAAGACCTGGGCCACGTCTGTGTTTCTCAAATATTCAGGGATGGACCACAGAGCAATTTTTACTATCAAACTCAGATAGCATTGTTCTTTGGATGTAAATACAGGCAAATAGTTTTTGAGGCAGTAAAGATTTAAGAGTAGGAAAGATACGGGTTTGAGTTACCCTATTTAGAGTTCAGAGACCTCAGCAAGTCACTTCACCTCTCTGAGTTTCCATTTCCTAATCAGTAAAATTGAGATAATATTCCCTGTCTCCTACTGAGGGTTAAGTGACATAAACTAATAAAATACTCAGTTTAGTGCCTGGCAATAGTAAATATTCAACAAATATTTGTTACTTGTTTTTCCATTCTCCTAAATTAAATATCATCTTATACCTAGTCCTAATATAGATAACTTGCAACAAATGCCAAAGGTTTAAGACATTATTTCAATGAAATAATTGTATTTATTAAAGTTTCATTTCTGTGATTTGGGGAAATGCTGTTATTTAAATATGGTTGAGGAAAATTTTAATCCAAACTGTGGCACCCAGGGCATTGTGAGATCATGACTTGAGCCCCTCTAGCCAGTATGGTTTAGGGATGACTGTTACTTCCCATAATAAGGTAACCATGTAATCACATAATTCCCACTGATTTAAATAGTTATTTCCAAGATCTTGGGAAATAGGATCATTGGGCATTTCCAAGATCTTAGGAATAGTATCATTGTATTAATACAAACCTATCAGATGGATTTCAAGACCACTTGGACTCTAGCTCATACTTTTGCCTCCTTGTACCTTATTTTCTACTAGGGAAGACTGCAGACATCCTTTCAGTGGTAGACACCCTACACAGATATAGGACACAATCATACATTTTAGTTCAAGAGACTCAGGGGTTGCTTATCTCCAGCCTTGTACTTACAGTTGCTAGGACCCTGACATCCTCTTTCACATGGTTGAAAATACTCCCCATAGATATTTTAATGGTTGTCTGTCAAGGCCAGGGACATCTAGAGAAGGCCACGTAGGTTATAGTAAGTTTTCACTTATCACTAGTTTATCACACCAGCTAGTTGACATCTTCCACTTCTGTGGGAGTGAGGCAGAGGTCAGTTTCTGGTTGGGGCCTGAATGTTGGGGGTTTGGGGTACAGCAAGAGAATGCTGATTAAGGAAGTGGGTATTATGTGATGTAGCCCTGGACTGTATGTCTATAGGAGCAGTGGGGATTTTGGAGGAGGAGATGAAAGTTTTGGACAGATTTTACCTACTCTACGGTTTTGTCTTACTTGCTCTGACTCATCTTCAAGAGCAGGTTGTTTGAGATTAAAGAGGTTGTCTCTATGGTAGATGCAAATGATTCTTGAAGTTCAGTAGGAGTTTGCTGAGGGGTTGCTAACCTCTCAGGGTGTGTCCACAGATCAGGTGGTACTAATTCTGGCTTCTGAGTGATGTTTGATGAATCTAGTTGAAAAGTAAGGAAAACAACAACAGCAGCAGAAGCAAACCCCATCGCCATTCTTGTTTTTAGACCAGAATATGTTTGTAGTGGGTTCCTATACCTTTCTGAGCCTGAAAAACTTGACCTAACAGGTAATAGAAGCTTTTTATTATGTAAATCTTTGGTACCTAGTAAGTACTCCTTTCATGTTTCTTCTTCTTTTTTTTCGAGACAGAATCTTGCTCTGTTGTCCAGGCTGGAGTGCAGTGGCGCAATCTCAGCTCACAGCAACTCCACCTCCCGGGTTCTAGGGATTCTCCTGCCTCATCCTCCTGAATAGCTGGGATTACAGGCGCCCACCACCATGCCTGGCTAATTCTTGTATTTTTAGTAGAGACGGGGTTTCACCATGTTGGCCAGGCTGGTCTGGAACCCCTAACCTCGTGATCCGCCCACCTTGGCCTCCCAAAATATTGGGATTACAGGCATGAGCCACCACGCCCGGCCTCGTATTTCTTAATGAATGAATCGAACTTAAGTTCTGGTGGTTGGGAATGTGTAAGAAGGTTGAATCCTGACTATGATATTCAATCAGATCTTTCAACCTTGACAATTTGATATGATTACCAGTTAGTCCACTGTCCTCCCATACAATTCTCATGTGAACAAATATGGCACCCAATTACACTTAATGCCGAGTCTGAAATTATAGAAGAGCAGAGCTGAGAGCAGTCTTAGAGTTTCATTTATCCAACCCTTTAATTTTGCAGATAATGGAACAGAGGCATAGTTTTAATCCTTTTGAAAACATGTTAATCCAGATTCCCTCCTGACTGTAATGAATAGGTGCTGATATCTTTCACTGCTGACCCAGAGCCAGGATTTTAGAGATTAGTTTGCACAACACTATCTATAATAGAATATTTGTAACTCTGGTGTTTTCCCACCTCCCTTTATGTGTACCCTCCCACCTCTTGAACTTTCATCGCCAAAGGAATACATCTACAAGCTTAGAATTACAGAAATCCACATGTGCATGTGGGAAATAAACATATTTGGAGAAGGGGAGATTTTTTTCCATCCCTCATATTTTCCTAGATGTAAACTTTTTGAAATTTTGGGGCTGAGAAATAGGCATAAAGAGAATTACTGACTAAATGGGAATAGGTTGAATTCTTCAAGAATGTATATCATCTCCAGAGAACAAATCTGTTTTGTGAGGTAGTTTTGGGATGCACAAACACTGCTCTGGGTAGAGTTTGAAATCACAATGACACATCCTACTGCTTCCAGTCTTACTTGTCCTAGACTTGATTCTGGCTTGTTTTATGGCATGATTTTAAAAATTAATCCCTGTCACTCAACTCACAGGCCTTGTTGAAAAATTCCTCACCAATATTTTTAAATTAATGTGGCTTCACTGACAGTCTTAGAATCTAAAAATAAAGAACACACTCATCAAAAGCAATTGTAAGGCTAGTAGCAATTGATAGTCTGTTTTATAAGGAGACAACACATTAAAAAACAAAACAAAACAAAACAAAACAAAAAAACACCTAACAATTATCTGTGGGTACTTGTGGGGAGTTACTAAAGTTAAAGGGCCCTGAATTTGTCAGCTATGTCCTTGCTGCCTTATTGTATTATTTATCACACAAAAGGACCAGATTTTCTGAATCTGAATTACTTAGTACTCATACAATTGTTTTATGAACTTTTCATGAACCGGCATGATATTGGCCAGCACAGAAAAGCTAGACTCTGCTGATACAGATTGTAGACTTGATTTCTGAGGCTTTAATCTAGTGGAACGTGGAAATAACCTGAAATTCACAAACTTTTTTTTCTTTTTTCCTGGTAGAAAGAATAGATGTTTAGGAGAAACCGGATCAAGCAGACTCCCTGGTAATTTGTACTCATTTCCATTCTAATATAGTTTCTCTGTAGCCGTCAGTACTTGTTTTATGAGTTGCTTTTCCAGTAGTGGTGACACTTTGCAATAACACATTTGTCTTTGTGGCTTCTGGTATAATGATTGGGTGGAGGAGGAAGCTGTTTTCCTGTGATCGAACCTATTTGGAAATTGAAACTGCAGAACATGGTCTCATTCACAACACATTATGACCAACAAAAGAGTGCAGACCACAGGCACGTATGCATGTGGAACACCCTTAGATTTACCATGAGCAGAGTAAATGTCTCAAAGGAAGAATATTTTTCTTAAAATATTTTAGATGAGAGATGGAAAGCAAAATATAGACAAACTATGCTCAGTCAGAATATTGCTAATGGTTTATGGATTTTTCAGAACAGTTTTCCAGGTTACCAACTAATAAATATAGAGAGAATACTGGTTAGAAAATAACTTTTAAAACATTATGGTAGTCATTGATTCAAGCAAAAATCATTAGTGGATGCTAACATTTGAAAATGTTTGATGAGGGCAAGCATAGCTACAGTCTCAAAATATCTTCCTCCTTCGTATTTATCCAATAAAAGGGGCAGTAATAACTTTACAATGGAGAAATCTACAAGACATCACCCAACCAAATGATCAAAAGTAGAATGATCAAAGGTAGAATGGGAAAAAGGAACATGATATGCCTCCCGAGGTGATGCCCCGAGATAGCTCAGGCATTGTGCTTGCCAAAAATGCGTAACTCGAATCTAATCATGAGGAAACTTAAAAATAATACCCCAAACTAAGGGACATTTTATAAAATAACTGGCCCTTACCCGTCAAAATGTTAATTCCATGAAAGTCAAAGAAAGGCACAGAAACTTCCCTAGATTAGAAGACAAAAAAGATATGACAACTAAATGCAATGTACAATCCTGGGTTGGATCCTGGACTGAGAAAACTGGACATAAAAGACATTTTTGGGATAACTGGTGACATTGGAATATGAACTATGAACTGTGGATTATGTTACATTTCCAGATTTCAGTACTTGTGCTATGGTTGGGTAAGAGCATGCCGTTTTCCTTAGGAAATGAATGACAAAATATTTAGAGCTAATAGACAGGATGTATGCAACTTATTCATCAGTAGTTCTGAATACATATATAAATATACACACACACATATATACACACATACACATGCATATATATATGTATTCATGACTATTGATGAATAAGTTACATAGATGTGTGTGTATATATATGTATTCAGAACTATTGAGGAATAAGTTGCTATATATGTGTGTATATATATTTTCTCTCTATGTAAAATATTTATATGTATTCAGAACATATAAATATTGTATATATAGAGAGAATTGTAAAACAAATGAGACAAAATGTTAATAATTGGTAAATCTGGATAAATGGTATATATAGTTCTTTTAAGTATTCCCACAACATTCTATACATTTGAAATTAATTACAAGCAAAAATAAAAAAGAAACAGTTCTTTCAAAAAATTCATAAAGAAAAAGACAGACTTGATTTAATAAAAATTAAAATCATACGTTTTGAAAGAAATAACCATATTTAAATGTCAAATGACAAAAATGGAAGAACATTTACAATAGGTACAGTTAATATTTATAACAACAAAAGAGGATGTACGAATCAATAAGAAAATATAAATTACTCAATTTTAAAAATTATTAATGGATAGAAAGACACAGAAAAAGAAATAACCTACAATTGCCAATGAATATGATTAGATGCTTAACTTATAACTAATAAAAAATGCAAAATAAAACAAGGTGATTCCACTTTTTGCCATTTTTGGCAAATTTATAGGAATTGATATTAGAAGAAATTGTCTTTCTTATAGAGAGAAGATGACTTCCTTTTTTCTATTCTCATGAAAGAAGCACAGATTGACTAAAAATTCTTCTCTTTCCATTCCCCATCCATTTCACCCAATGAGGATTGGTTAGATTGGACAGAACGATGATCTCCATTGGTCTAAAATAACTAATCTCTTTGTTGAGAGCATTTGTGTGCTAGGTACTACATGGTGTATTTTATATACATAAATTATTTCATTCACCTATCACAATAATTTGTTTTACAAATAATAATAGTATTATTTTATAAATGTTTTAACTTTATCACATATATAAACTAATTAGATGGTAAGAGAAGCAATGCCAATCAAAGGAGGAGTTGGTAATTCATATAGTGCTGGGAATATTGGCTGGGTATTTAGGGGAAACAATTTATTTAAATCCCTACCTCACATCGTAGACCAAAATAAATTCTTGGTAGACTAAAAATAAAAAGTTAAAAATAAAACCTAGAAGAAACTGAAGATGAATGATTATATACTCTTTGGAAGTGGAACAACTATGTAAATATAAAATAATTAAATATGTTATCAAGAGAAGATTAAATTTATCACATGAAAACCTATGTTTATCAGAATCAACTAGTACATATCTACATCATGGACTGATTGCCAGCAATGGTTTGTTTGGAGACAGCTAGGGCCCTGTAAAGAAGTGGCCTGCAGAGATTGCAGGTTGGCACCAGGTGCACTCTGTGTCTCTCCTAATAAGCTACATGTTCCTCCAGGGAAGCTACTGTGTTCTTCTGACCTGTGTGTTTCTAGTTTCTTGCACTGCACCTAGTACACCTTGTGCATTGGGTTTTCTCTTTTGGTAAATTGAGTAAAGGAAAGAATGTATTCAGGTGTGGCCAGAGGAGAATGGTAGAAAAGCACAAAGGCATGTTCCTAGACTGATGACATACCAGGGGTAATGATAGAGTTGGAACAGTTTTATGCTTGAAAGATATTTGATTTAATTCTACACCCATATTTCTACATTTGTTACGAGTGTGGATAAATTATATGAATATTCTTTCATGCCCAATAAATTGTTATTGGAAGCTTGGGAGATGAAAACAAATCAGTAGAACTCTGACTTTCTAGGGAGGCAACTACAACAATCAAGCCCGAGTTTTAACACTACCTGAATGAAATCTTACCATATGGAATCCCTCTTGTTCATGGTTTGAAAAAACTCATAAAGGTTGTCACATTTATTAATTTACACTTAATGACTAATCTTCAGAAACCATTTAATTAATATTATTCAAAAATAACATTAAGTCTTTGCACTTGGAGATGAGGTTTAGAGCCTGAGGGAGCACATTTGGATCAGTTGAGAGTAGGTGGAACAGGTATGAGACTGTGGTGGGATGAAGGCTATGGATGAGGCTTTTCTAATATATAGGAGAAATTCCACCAGATGCAAATTTCGGATCTGTCTTATTCACTTCTAGATGCATCTACCATAGTATTTAATAGGTGCTCAATGATTATTTGTTGAATGACAACTGAGTGTAAAAATAACATGGAAATAAGATATGAAAGTATGGAAGAACTTTAGGCACCAGGACTTCTGCTGGAAGCCTTGATCTGTTGAAAGCAACATGTCTAGCACTTTTCCTAGAAAACTACTTTATTAAAATATAATTCACATGCAATAAAATTCACCCTTTTAAAGTGTGTAACTCAGTGATTTTAAATAAATTTACAGAGTTGTACAGCCATAACCACAATAAATTTTAGAACATTTTCATCATCCCTAAACAAAACTCTCTATATTAGCAGTCCTCATTACCCTTCCCTCTAATCCTGGCAACCACAATAATCTACTTTCTCTCTTTATGGATTTGCCTATTCTGGATATTCATGTAAATGAGATTGTAAAATATGTGGTCTTTTGTGACTTGCTTCTTTCACTTAGCATAATGTTTTCAAGGTTCATGTATGTTGTAGCATGTATTAATACTTCATATTTTTAAAGGCCAAATAATATTCCATTGTGTGAATATACTACATTTTGTTTATCCATTTGACAGTTGATGGATATTTGAGTTGTTTTTTCTTTTTGGCTATTATGATTAATATTGCTATGAACATTTGTGTACAAGCTTTTGTGTGGACATAGGTTTTCATTTATCTTAGGTTTATACCTATGAGTGGAATTGCTGGATCATATAGTAACTCAATGTTTAGCATTTTCAGGAACTGCCAGACTGTTTTCCAAAGTGGCTGCATCATTTTACATTTCCACCAGCTATATATGATGGTTCCAATTTTTCCACATCTTCACCAAGACTTGTTATTGTCTGTTTTTAAATTATAACCATCCCAGTGTGTATAAAGCGGTATCTCACTGTAGTTTTATTTTGCATTTCCCTAACAACTAATAATATTGGTCATTTAAAAATGGTGGCTGGGAGTGGTGGCTCATGCCTGTAGTGAATTCTCCTTGAAAATTTCCCCTTTGTTTCTGGCCAATATTTAAATGATTGGGATCCACTTGGGATGGCTGAGACCACCAACCTTTCTCTCTATGAGAAGAGAATGAAGGTTCCTCCCTGACCAGGGTTATTTCCTCTCTCCAACACTGTTTTCCCTTTATGACCATGACTCTTCTTGAGGTCTCCAGTAGCTATCACTGGCAACCATAGCCAAGGCCCTCCCAAAGGCTCAGTCAGAATGGATAGGGGGTGTGAAAAAAGAAAGCATGGCCTCTATATTCCTGTCCAACTTTTCAGTAATTCTAAAAGTGTGCTAAAGAAAATAAAGTCTATTCCACTTCCCCATGTCCCCTGAAAAAACAGAAGCAAAATGCACAAAATTTCCATACTTTTTCAGCAAAGCTGAATGAGCACCAGGAGGTGCTGCATGTCCCAGTGATTTAATCCCTATTTCTCCAGAAGTAGGAAGAGAAGGTTCTAGATATATGATATAGGGATATGGGAGGATTGTTTCTTGGGTCTCGGTCAAGGAATTAATGTCTGTTCTCTCAATTTATCAATCTATTACCTCCACTCATCAGGTGCCCCCCACCCCACCCCGCCTGCTTTCAAAACAAAACAAAACAAAAGCAACAGCAAAATCTTGTCATTTTTTGTGGGCACGTACACCAATGTCTGGCATGGTGGGGTTTGTCTAAAATGAGTTATATTCCCCAAGCACACTGGGAGGTATGATATGGGGCCATTACCCTCCCAGAAACCCTCCTGATAGAAGGGAGAACCAGCTGGGCATTATTTCCATGTATGTTGTTTCTTTTAGATTCCATTTTGTGCACAACTTTTACAAAATAAATTAAGTTTTTGAGGGTGGTCTTCTTTCTAAGTTTTTCAATGGTGTGTCCTATAGAAGTCATTGCTGGGTGCCACTGGAGACACTTAGTACGTGGACATAGAGAATTGCAATTGGGTGCTAGAGTCACAGGGAAAATAACACAAGAAAGGTAGGCTCCAACTTGTCTTTGGTTTTCCCCTAAGAATACTGAGAAAATTAGGTGGTTACACCCTGTTTCCACTCCATGGTGAGAGACTAGCTTGAAGGATGCTTAAAACTTGGCTCAAAAGAATTGTAGAATGTCTAAATAGTCACTTGTCTGATTGTGCAAATGAGTGATTTATGTTAGAGGAGTTGTACAAAATGCTGATCTTTTTCTTTCCTCTCCTGAAGAGAGTGGAGGTTGGTTACTAGGTTTTAGGAGAGGAAAATGGGATGAAAAACAAAATAGTGCAAAGGCAGTACATTCCATGCATTGCTGATGGGATCTCCCTGGAGTACAATTCAACACGATGCATTCCAGCTTAAAAATGTTCATGCATTTTTATCCTGTAATTCGACACCTAGATATTCTATGCTAAGGAAATCATCTGAGATTCAGATAAACTCTTAAAATCCCACTGCTGATGGGATCTCCCTGAAGAACAATTTGATACAATGCATTCCAGCTTAAAAATGCTCATGCATTTTCTCCAGTAATTCAGGACCTAGATATTCTATGGCAAGGAAGTAATCTGAGATTCAGACAAACTGTTAAATCCCACTGCTGGTGGGATTTCTCTGGAGTAAAATTCAACATGATGCATTCAAACTTAAAAATGTTAATGCATTTTTATCCAGTAATTTAACACCTTGATATTCTATGCTCAGGAGATCATCTGATATTCAGATAAATGTGTTAAAACCAGATATTTTTAATAAAACTTTGTATATAAATTAGAAATCACTTAAATGTTTAATTAATAGGAGAATGGATGTCATTAACATAGTCACTCAAATAATTCTTATGATTGGAATTTTAAAATATGAAGAAGAAATATCTAGGTTTAAGTATTAAATGTTAAAAGGACACAAAATTACAAATTAGTATGAGCTCAGCTATGTATAAAGTGTGTGTAGAGAAAAGGAAATTGTGGATTTTGATGGGCTTACAAATTATCTTTACTTTTCTTTACGTTTTCAGTATTTTTAATATTGAAACATTTTCTCAAATGACATGTACTATTTAAAATTCATTTGCACTCAACTACCCCAAATTTTCTACCATCTCCCTAATTCAAAACTTTTATTGCTTTGACAATTATATTCTCAATTATACGATTATTCTGTGGGTTAAAGCTGGTTCATGGGAACCCAATTTCATGCTTGCAAGTTGCATGCCACTCGTTCCCTCAGATCCTCTTATTACCTGGTTTATAGGTTAGGCATTCACAACTTTAACACCCACAGCACCATAGGGCTTTCTCATATAGTGGGGTAGGGTCTTCATTTTTAATATAATTGCAGACAGTGTGTGCTCCCCAAGTTATGATCCTCACTCAATCATGATGCAGGATGGGTTTTTGTAGATTTTGAGTGTACTGTCCTAAAGTTACACTTAGAGACAGGACCCTCAAGAGGAGGAGGCTTTTTGTGGAAATCCAAGGGCATGGCTTTGCTTTAAGACTGCAAATTGAACTAAATGCCCTCAAAATATCTCAGAAAACCTCCAAGCATGCATTATTTTTCTTAACCAAATATGAACCACGTTTTGAAAAAGAGCTGATGTTGTTCTATGATGATAGGTAATATCTAGTGAGTTTTGCAGGTGAATGAAGTCTTCTGAGGTATTTGTACTGAGAGAAGTAGAGGGAGAAAGAGACAAGGAAATGGGATGGGGTGGGACAGAGGCAAATGGGGATGGAGGAGATGAGGAAGACAGAGGTGAAGAGAAGGAACAGAGACAGAAGGGAAGAGGGGAGAGACACCTTTTGTTTATTTGCTAGGTACAGTCTGAGATGCCAGAAGAAAAAATAACTGGTGAGGATGCTCAGGAAATTATCCTAGACAGCTGTGGAGTTGCAGTCATGATAGAGTAGCTAATAACAGTTGATAATACCTGAAAAGTCTAGCTTCACACTTGACTGAGAACCTCACAGTTTTGTCACTACTCAATTTATTTGATGGTGTGCATTGGGATAGGCGATGAAAAATATTCCGCTTGGGTTTTGTGTATTCTGTTATAAATTATGAACTCATGTGTTACACAGTGGCTGGAGGGCTCTGTAAGTTGTTTAGGGAGAATAAGGGACAGAGATATGACACTTCCTCTTTACTAAGGCTCTAACCCCTAACCTGTGTTTTTCCCACTGTTCCCCTCTAAAGGAGAGGCCCTCATGGTGGAACGGTTTGTTCTAAAGGAGTGATAATGTAGAGATAATCACTTTAACTTAAAATTCATTGAATTGATGGCCATAAATGCATGTCTTATTTTCCCCTTCATATGTTAATTGTCCTGATTCACAAACCTGTATTTAAAGTGACAGAATAGCTTGCTCAATGCCTCTCCTTATAAGTTTTCACAGGCTGTAGGACTTGCCTGGTTCCTCCTCTGCTAGATTGATTTTTGAATTGACTTTATCAGAGCACAGACCTTAGCTGGGGACAGCCCTCACTGGCTTCCAGGTATGTGCTGGGAGGTGGACAAGCTATTGTTGGTAGAGATGCCTCTGGGGGCTAGTTGTCCTGGTAGTGAAGCTATATGTGTTGCAGGTCTTCATTCTTGGGATCAGAGAGTCAGGGAGGTGCTAACGTTATTTTGCTACTTTCTTTTTTAAAAACTTTTATTTTAGGTCAGGGTGTATGTGTGCAGGTTTGTTATATAGGTAAATTGCATGCCAGTGGGGTTTGGTGTACAGATTATTTTGTCACCCAGGTAATAAGCACAGTACCCAAGAGGTAGTTTTTCGATTCTTACCCTTCTCCCATCCTTCACCCTCAAGTAGGTCCCAGTATCTGTTATTCCTTTTTTATGTCCATATGTTCTCAATGTTTAGCTCCCACTTATAAGTTAGAACATGTGGTATTTGTTTTTCTGTTCCTGTGTTAGTTCCCTTAGGATAATAGCCTCCAGCTCCATCCATGTTGCTGCAAAGGACATGATCTTGTTCTTTTTAATGGCTGCACAGTATTCCATGCTGTGTATGTACCACATTTTCTTTATTTAGATCATGCTGCTACTTTCTAGCATTATGATTATGAGCAACTTAAGGCCTTCTCCAAGTCCTTGTTTTCTTATTTGTCATATTGGGATAGTAATGTCTCTCTTCCTGACTTATTAGGAATGAATGAGATAATGGGTATGTAAGGGCCTGTTACATATCAGGTCCTTGAAAAATGTTTATTGTATCTAAATGCAGGTCATCTAGTTGGACTGTAAGCTCCTATTGCATGAGGCATCATAAGTGCAGGGACAATGGCAGTCCCCTTTACTAAAGGCTCTAACCCTAACCTGTGCCTTTCCCACTGATCCCTTTGAAAGGAGAGACCCTCGTAGTGGAATGCTTCATTCTGAAGGAGTGATAATGTAGAGATAATCACTTTAATTTAAAGTTCATTGAGTTGATGTATATGCAGTGCCTGACACATTATAGGCACTTGATACATAATTGTTCAACAAATGAATGTCTAGGCTGTTATTTTACTGTAATACTGAAGGGCATTAGGGTTTTGCTTGGGGTTAAGATCTAATCAAAACATACATTTTATTTATTTATTTTTATTTTTATTTATTTTTTTTTTTATTGAGACAGAGTCTCACTCTGTTGCCCAGGCTGGAGTGCAGTGGCGTGATCTTGGCTTACAGCAACACCTCTGTCTCCCCAGTTCAAGTGATTCTCCTGCCTCAGCCTCCTGAGGCAGGGATTATAGCCTCCTGTAGCTGGGCTTACAGGCGTGCGCCACGACACCAGGCTAATTTTTGTATTTTTAGTAGAGATGAGGTTTTGCCATGTTGGCCAGGCTGGTCTTGAACTCCTGACCTCAAGTGATCTGCTGGTGTCAGCCTCCTAATGTGCTGGGTTTACAGGTGTGAGCCACTGCGCCCGGGCAAAATGTACATTTTAGATTTAAGAAAATATGTTTCTTGTTAGCATATTACAATATTTATTGTATGTAAATAGAGGTTATATATCTAGGATATAAAAACTTCAAAGGTTTTAAAAACCATGGTATTTCATCATTTAAAGCAGGGATCAGCAAACTTTTCAGTAAGGGGACAGATAGTAAATATTTGCAGCTTTGCAGGCCATGTGATTTCTTCTCCACTACCACTGTTCAACTCTGTCATTGTAGAGCAAAAGCAGCCATAGACAGTAATAAATGAATGGATGTGTTTCGTTCCAATAAAACTTTATTTACAAAAACAGGCAGAGGGCTGGATTTGGCCTGCAGGCTGTAGTTTGTAAGCCATGATTTGAAGGATGAAGTCCTCATTTACAGTTTTGGAAGAAATAGATAATGTTATAAAGATTTGGCTAAGAAAATAAAGCTTTGTGCAATACTAATTCTATGTAATTATATTAAAAACGTGAATAGTTGTAAACACATAAGAGCTTGGAAAACCATATTATTATTCTTATTTTTTTAAGGGCGAGAAAATTGAAGTTTTCATGATGTAGTTGCCTGAGGTCTCAGGCTAGTAAGATTCAGCCCAGGGCCTGCTTCTTCTGATTGCAAGTTTACTGCTTTTTCTATGTGTTCTTTGCTGTCTCATAGCTTTGCCTGTCTTTGATCTCTATGTCTCTGTCATATTGGGGTGGACAGCTGACATTTTTTCAATCCTGGAGATGTCAGTTTTGAAGCTGAAAGAACTAAGGGCTTTGGATATCTTAAGAGTGATTGCAAGTTTTGAAATGAGTTTGTGTTTTAGTCTTTATTGTTGTTTTAATAGATTTTTTCCTCTTTTTATGTGTTATAAGACTCTTAAATTTGGAGGATACAAGATAAACATCAGGAAAACTGTCTGCTTTAGATAAAAGATGCATTTTTTCATTAGGTTGAAAGTGTCTATGCTGATATTTTTCCTATAAACATGTTTTCTTTTCTCAATATTGGGTTTTAAAATTAAATGACAAAGAGCCCCTTTGTAATATTTCAAAAATACTGCCTTTATCAGTAGGGGAATATTAATCATATCATTTTGCATCATAAACTGGCAAAGACTTTGATTGCTGAATCATTCTGGCCTCCTTAAATTTTTAATTCTAGGCAGAAAAAGGCTAATTGCTGAAAGATTTATTGATTGGCTCATAATTCTTGCTGAGTTGTAACATACCTAGGAGGAATCATCTAGCTCTATACTTGATGAAGTAAACATTATTTTTACGGCCTGTTGACATAGAACTATTTTTTTTTTTTTTTAGCTTGCCTTGAATAGCACTGTCAGGCTAGTTGACCTCCAAATTTCTTTCAAACCCTAGTGTAATTCTCTGGCACTTGAAGTCACGGGTACTAGAGAGGCTCGCTTTCTTCAGCCATTCAGTGATATATTACATGTGTAAAGTACCAAATGCAGCTTGACATTTAGTAAGTGCTCAAGAAATTCTCATCCCCTTGTTAGTGATTTATCAAGCTACCTTAATGTTTAGCTACATTTAGTGTCAGATTTCATCTTCGCTCATTGAGCAATCGCACCACACCAAATTTTTAGGCTTGTAGGGCACAGTCATCTGTAGTTAGATCTTTGTTGAATTATTTAAGAGGATAAACAGATGCAAATCTAGATTAAAGACATTCAAACAAGTTTATACTCTTCTCAGGTACCCAGAAGCCCAGTGAAATTTGAATATTATCCCCCAACAGTAACAGATGTGACACCTACTTCCAGGAAGCCAGGCAAGAACTCATCCTGTTCTGAATATGAATGGTATACCCTTTTGGAAAGGCTATGATGGGCAACATGAAGTAGTAATCAATGACATAAAATATTAAATAATTCACGTGTTAAAATTTTCCAAACTCTTGCAAATCATAACCAATGACTAGACTGGTTTTTAGAATTTTGTGGAAGAATTTAGAAAAAAAAATAATTATTTTCAAATGATCAAGGAGTAAAGAAAACTAACAGCACGTTTCTTTTCTATGCTTACTATTGATAATTCAGAAAAACTCTGGATGCTTAGTCATTAATTTCCACTGGTCAATATCTTATAAAACTTGTTTTATTTATACACTAGCTACATAAGTAGTTTATATTTTCCATAAAGGCCATCTCTCCATTTTAGAAAGTTTTCCTTTGAATTTCTCTACACCTAATGTATTTGTAGGGTCATGGTTCAGATAATATTGTTGTCTGACAACAAGTTAGAAAAGGAAGATAAAGGGCTCAGTAGGAGAACCAGGTCAGAGAGGGGTCCTCGTTTGTCCTTAAGACATGTCAGTTCCTGGAGTTTGACTCTTCCTAGCTTTCTCCTAGTTGCTCCACACTTTTTGCCCTATCCACTGACCCTCATGTTTACAGTCAGTAACATAACACGATTGTAGAGTGCTAGAACCAAAAGTAACATCAGAACATGCTTTGGCTAAGTTTAAAAAGTTTTGTGTTTTCAGTTGTAAAATATGTGTGTCAATAATCAAATAATAATTCTCATCCCTACCACACACCTACTGCAGGAAAGCAAAAACTTTGAAGTAGCTTAGAGCACATTTTGCAAATCCTATGTAATAACTTAGAAAGATTTTAGAATAATGCAAAAATTCAAATATAAGAAATCATCTAAGACAATGTGTATATGAAGTAAAATACATTTCTGCTTCATGGTCTTCTAGTATAGAAATTTGAATTGAAAAGTGTGAGCCAAGTATTGCTTTGAGGGCTCTATAAAATTGGAAAGAGCAAAGAAAATATAAGCATATTAAGTTAAATATTCAATGTAGTTAAAAGCATAGCATTTGTTTTAAAAATATATGCCACTCTTTTCTTTTCCCTTTAATCTATCAATGATGATTTTACTCTGGATTCCAAAATGGCACTGGAAAAGTTCCACAGAGGGAGGGGCAAAGTTGATATATTTCCATTCCCGACAGGGTGTGGAGGGAAGCTTACCTGACCAGCTGTTAGCAGCAACTCTGAGGGCAAGAAGGTAAATGCTCGAATTGCCTGATATAATTTTTAACAATGAACACTGAATTGGAAAACCATTTTAAAGGATAGAAACCCAGAGGAGATGTGATTGAAATAGAAGGATATACTTGTTTTTATTAAGTCAAATACTTAAAAAAAGTGAGTTAGTTTTATGATGTTTTGGATTTTCTGCAGATGTGGCAGTCATCACTGGGAGATATTAACAATGCTTGTCACCTCGCTCAGCCCCAACCACCTGGTCAGATGCCTGATGTATATGATTGATTTTTTTAAAATGTAGATGTTTGAATAACTTTTTAAACTTTCACATACTTGACATATTGTATTTTATCTTTTAATGAATTATTTCTGAAACATAAGATGGTATAATATTTAGAATATCTATATTTTAAACAATGTGAGTTAGATTTTTTTTTTTTGCACCATAAGTTGGAAAACACTTTCGATGGTATTGTTCACAAGTATTTCTTTGTTTTTAGATATTGGTTATTATTTAGTTTGCTGTAACCTGGTTTGAATATTTGTTCCAGCAGAATAGCATCTATTTGTGTAAAGTTTGAATTTCATTCTTGAGTTGTTAGTAGCTTTGTGGGAATTATAGAAATTATAAGACATGAAATATTTTTGGAGTATAAATATTTTTCTTCCTACTATATATAGGAAAAAACAGTTTTACTCAGAATATTTTGGGTTGTTAGAATGTCTATCTTGTCTAAACCTTTACATTTTTACTATAAGGGAAAATTGTAATAAATGAACTTTTTCTTATACAGTAAATGAATTTTTTTTATATTGCAGTAAGTGAACTTTTTCTTATATAGTAAAAAATTAATAAAAAGCTGATTCTCTTATGCAGAATCTCTGTTAATTACAGCTTCCTGCAGGATATATAAAGTTAATATGAAATGCTAAATAGTCTTCTAACATTTCAAACATTAGGATTATCTACAATGAAAAATGGGCAGATGACAGCAAATCAATCCATAAATATTATGAAGGGTTCTCATGTGCTACCATTGTGTTCTTCACGGATGGGTACAAGGATGAATTAAAAACACTGAACCTACCTTCAAGACAATTATGATTTGGAAGTAAAGACATCAGTATAAAAAATAATTACCTTACAGTGTGATAGAGGAGTTAAGGGAAACAAATGTTGTATGGTTATTGTATACAGTGGTGACTAATTAACTCTTTAGAGGGAGAGGTTGGAGGAAAGTGGAAGAAGGTTTTACGTGTGTAACAAAGCCAGAAGGAAAGAAA
This sequence comes from Homo sapiens, assembly GCF_000001405.40. NCBI lineage: Eukaryota > Metazoa > Chordata > Mammalia > Primates > Hominidae > Homo > Homo sapiens. The sequence goes on from NC_000018.10 coordinate 63,548,215, forward strand.
ACAAGCAAAATAGATCATTTGTTGATACCTCAAACACCATAAAAATGGAAAAAAATACCTTTAAAAAATTAAAAATGTTACACATTTCAGATAGTCAGTATTTAAAAATGTATCTTCAAAGCTAACAATGTAAGTTAAAATCTTACAGGAAAGATTTTCTTTCTTGTAAAAAATTGAAAGTAGATGAGGTTTTAAAATTAAGTTGAAAATACATTACCCTCAAGGTTTTGAAGTGATAGAAGAGAGTGCCAGAAAATATTGACAATTTTCAGTAAATAAGAGTAAAAACAATTCTATAATAACAATAAAGAAAATAAAGGAAGGTAAAACAGGGGAAATTTTTTTAAAGAACAAGTTTGAAAAACATAAAATGTTTATATAATATGAAGAGTTCATAATGATCCATAAATAAATGATCAAGACCTCAATAGATAATTGAAAGATGAACAAGAGACAGTTAATATGTGAGAATTTATAAAGAGAAAAGAACACATGGAGAAACATTCAAATGTTAGCAAGTATCAATGCCATGTAAATTTAAAAATAATACAATTTTCTTTTTATTTTTTAAGTTATTAAGAATGGCAATAATATCTGAAAAAGGTGATTATGATATAGCAGTTTCATCTGTAACTTTTGGCTGACAGTATGAAAGTTAAAAATCTTTATAATATTTGACCTAGAAATCCCATGTTGAAGAAGATACTCTGAAGAAATAATATGAAGGGAGATAAAAGCTATATTTATGACAATGTTTATCGTAGAATTATTCATATTAATAAAAACTGGGAAGCTAATTTAAGTATCTAGCAATATGATGTTAGTTTAAACATTTAGATAAGTCAGTATAATGAGATATTATAAGGCCATTAAAAGAACATCTATGAAGACAGTATTAGGATAAACACTTAAGATGCAATTTGAAGTGAAAACAAGTGAACATAAAATGTTCATATAAACAGGCACGTACACACACATCAATGCAGTGATTGAGAGATTGGAAAGCACACGGAAAAATAAAGGCGATTTATTTTTCAGTATTGTGAGGGCAAAATTCCTCATTACTATTATTCTGCCATCTGTATAACAAATTAGACCTTGAGAATAAAATTCCTTCTTCTACTTCATTAGAAGTTAAATCGTGAATCCCTTACTTGGAAAATATTATAGGCAAAAATATGATAGTATTTGTATTGATATAAAATGAATTTTTTTCTTTTTCTTCTGACTAAGAACTGCTTATCTTCTCTTTCCTATATAGCTATGGTCAGTAGGAGGTGACATTGTGGATAGTACATGGGAGCTATCATGTAAGTCACTCCCAATTAGGCTACGATTGTTTGCAATCTATTTAGGATACATTTGCACAGATTTCAATGCAATTTGAGAAGGATTTTTTGAGTAATTTTTCAGTCTAGAGAAGCAACCCCCATAAAGATTGTAGGAATCTTTGGAGGACAAACTGGAGCTTGAGATGTGCCTTCCAGAGAGGGAGTTCACGGCCGTCCTGAGATGGACTCTCAGTGCTAGGAGGTCCTTTCTACAACCAGTGGTCTTGGTAAGAGACACAAACAAGACATGGACCTGCTGGTGACATCTGCATCCCACAGAGCCACATGGTGGTCACTCAGGACATGGCTTTTGTGAGCACAAGTGTTATCTGCTCCAGAGGGTGGCCTGGTATAGGAGGAAAGAGGTAGCTTTGAAATCACACTGAAAGAACTGATTTGCACACCACTTGTGCCACGTAGTGGTTGGAAGTACAATGAAAATTATTTCTAACTTACAGGATTTTTTGAAAAATAGAGACAATATTTGTGAAATGCCAGACATATCACAAGCTCAAACTGAACAGTAGCTATTAGTAGTATAACATCATTGTGGATAGAGTTAGCACCAATTACTTAAGCTGAATGAATTTTGGGAGACCTTACTATTTTAAAAGATTATTTCAAGTCTGTTTGAAAATAATGATGACTGAAGTAAATTGCATACAAGTTTTTCAAGTTGTAGCTCACTAAGAGGCAGCCTGTGTGAGCAATTGCCTTTAGACTCAATCAAACAATAACTTCTTTGTGTGGTGGATATTTTCCAGAGTAAACACCAAATACGGCCTGTGAATGCTTGGGGAGCATTCCCTAAATGCATCTGGGGCCAAAATTTCATTTTGAAAAATTTCTCTTCAATTTTCCATATACAGTACTCTTAGCTATTGTGTTAGGCACTAACTTGCAATGTCTTAAAATTAAATGCCATGTTTAGTAATACATCTACAATACATTTTAAAATTAAACTTTATACATATATACCTGCATGAACACCCACACACACATTAATACATAAGTGCATAAGAAATAAGTGTAAGCTTAATGTGTAACCAACACTCCAACCAAAAAAGGAACCAGTACCAGCTTCCTAGAAGGCTCCTTCATGCCTAGTTTACATGGTGTCCTGAGGCCGGCTCATACCAGCTCACAAGAGCTGATTTTGTGCATTTTTCCCAACTCTGGGTACAATGGTGTCTTGCTGGCAGTTTGAAATTAACCTTAATGGGGGTATTTACACCATAGAAATCAGCAAACATTGTGAATCATGGATTTTTGTTGACTTTTGTGTTTTGGGAGACAGTCTGCTACTGTCCCTACCTGTGGCTAACCACAGTTCTCCCCACTCATTCCTAAGGATAGCCACTCTGTTGACCTCTAAAACTGCAGATTAGTTTTGCCAGTTTTGGAACTTTATGTAAGTGGAATCATACAGTATGAAAGTTTTCGGCCGGGCGCGGTGGTTCACGCCTGTAATCCCAGCACTTTGGGAGGCCGAGGTGGGCAGATCACGAGGTCAGGAGATCGAGACTATCCTGCCTAACACGGTGAAACCCTGTCTCTACTAAAAATACAAAAAATTAGCCGGTTGTAGTGGTGGGCGCCTGTAGTCCCAGCTACTCGGGAGGCTGAGACAGGAGAATGGCATGAACCTGGGAGGCGGAGCTTGCAGTGAGCCAAGATCACGCCACTGCACTCCAACCTGGGCGACAGAGCGAGACTCCATCTCAAACAAACAAACAAAGAAACAAAAAAAACAAAAAAAAGAAAGTTTTCAGGTATGATTTCTTTTTTTTCTTTTTTGAGATGGAATTTCGCTCCTGTTGCCCAGGCTGGAGTGCAATGGCACGATTTCAGCTCACTGCAACCTCTGCCTCCCAGGTTCAAGCGATTCTCCTGCCTCAGCCCCTCAAGTAGCTGGGATTACAGGTGCATGCCACCATGCCTGGCTAATTTTGTATTTTTAGTAGAAACGGGGTTTCACCATGTTGGCTGGGCTGCATGTATGATTTCTTTTACTCAACATTATCTTATGATGTGATGTGAGATCCATGCTATGTGTTTATTCTGCTGATGATGGACATTTGCGTTGTTCCTGAGTTTTGGCTATTATGAAAGTGTTGCTATGAACATATTTGTACATATTTTAAAAAAATTCTTAAGGTGATTTTGCTACATACCTTTGAGAAATCTCTCTTACAATTACATTTTGGTATTGTAATATTTAGATCTCTGCCTTTCTATTTCTTGCTAAAGTGGTCCTATTTTGAATCCAATTGATTTGGAATTTGTGATTTAGTCATTACTGTTTTCAAATTAGTGTCCATGTAAAAGGCATTATTGAAATGCCAGGGATTTGGTCTATGTCCTATTGCTCACCGCACAGAGAGGCAATCACTGAGACAAGTGTTGCCAGGGAAGAAGGCTTTAATCAGATGACGTCAGCCAAAGGGATGGGGATAAATCTCAAATCATTCTCCCTCAACTTACTAAAATGGGAGGTTTATATAGTGGGGAAGAAATGTAGCTACATATGGGAAAATAAGGATTAGGGAGGGGAAAGAAAATAATCAAGACGAGTGTGGGTTCTGCTATCTCTTTGTGTGCATGCCATGATGTGAATTTCAGTTGCTTGATACTCTCTGGGAGGCCTGCGAATGGGTTTCCTGAAGAAGTAATTCAGATACGACAAATGTAAGTTTCAAGCTTTAAGACCAGGAGGGTCAATTTCTATGTTTATTCAAAAAGACCATAAACTCATTTCTATGGAAAATTAGGCTGGTTTCAAAGGGATTTTTGATGAGAACAAGACAATTAATCTTAAATTTCTTTCTCTTTTCTTTTTAATTGCAACAACATAACATAACATGATTTTTACTAACAGTCTAAGCTTATTTTTAATAAATAAAAGCAATGTTAAAAAGCTTTAAAGTATTTTTAAAGTGTTATATTTTAAAATTGCCTATTTGAATCTGTGTTATTAGCATAATCAAATCTTAATGAGTGCTTCCTACAAAATACTCTTTTCCCTTTTCTATTTCATTTTGTAAATTAATATCTTACTCTTCTATGCGTCTTAAACTCTACTCCTGAATCTGCGAATGCATTATCTGCTCTGTTAGGTCATAGATTTCTCAAAGGCAGAGATTGTGTCTTGTTCAGTTCATCTTTTATATATAGTGACTAACCCAGTGGGAGAACTTCATAATTAGGTTGGTGTCAGATTTAGGCAGTTTCTAATTTAAAAAAACTGACTCACCCCCACCCCCCAAAATAACCAAGCAACCCTTCAGAAGGTGGTTAGCAGATGACATTTTAATCTAGTCATTAAATGTTCATTATTTGCTATGTTTTAGACTTGTATGTAAAGCCAGGAAAGATCTTCCTATTGTAAGGGCTTACATATAGTCATAAAACTTTAACAGCAACTGTCCAGCTGTTTTTTTTTCGTTGTTTTCTGTTACTATTGTTCTCTCAACTCCCTTGGGAGGTGAGGCAGCATTAAAGCTGCACACAACTGTAATGAAAGCTTAGAACCAGGTAACACTCAGAAAAGGGAATTGTTACTGGGGTGAGAGCATCACAGTACTCCTGGAAAGTAGTTCACAAAGTTTATAGAAGCTTGATGCAGAAACAGGCAGAGAGAGTTTTGGAGTGTTCTGTAGCCCACAGAGTGAGTAAGTGTAGTGCCAGAATTAGAATGGAATGGAATGTGAAAAACTGTGTGATCTAGGAGGAAGCAGCCCTAGGCATGAGGAAGTCTTAGCCTTGCTTTGCTTCTGGACAGCTGCATGATTGTTGCAAGTCACTTCGCCTCATTTGGCCTCAGTTTTTTTTATCTTGAGAAGTAGGGAGTTGGCCTGCATGAGTAGTCATGTCCTTTCTAAAGCAGGCAAGACTCTGATCATTCAGTTCTGGGAGTGCTCATGCTAGAAGGCAGAAGGGGTGAAGCCAAGTGATTAACTGGAACATTTGAAGAGCCAGGTTGGGATCATTCAGTCTTTCTAACCAACCCCTTCTTTTCCTTCAATATAGTCAGGCTCTTGTCTTCTTTTAATAGTGATGGCCAAATTGCCAGGATTCCCTTTACCTTCTCCTCCTTCGAGCTGAAGATTTTGATCAAACATTAACCTAAGTTATACAACAAAGGTTTTAAAAAATATTAGACTACATTTCACACAAAATTTTATCATTAATCGAAAGCCTGTGAAATCCCCCCAACTCAGACCATCTTTAATTTGTTGGTTTTCTTTTCTTTGTTAGTAGACTTGTTACTAGATGGGTAATGTGAGCTATGTGTAGAGAAAATCTGTTGGACATCAAGATGTTTACCAACATATGCAAAGGTAGCTTTCTGAGTTGTGAGGCATTATTGAATTTCCAGATACATCCAGGACATCCATTACTCAAAAAACACCCACCAATTAAGGCATAATGCTCCTGAAAACACTCTGGTGATCTATGATTACCCTGAAATTAGTTTGAAAATACAAAGTACGTCTCAAACCCAGTTCCCAGATGCAAGATAAGAACTGTGAGTTAGGTACAAACTTGGCAGAAAGAAAATGTAGCAATAAAATGGACTATAAGCTGAATAAGGGGGGAGAGTACCCACATACAGCAGGCATGTGTTTGATCACCTATCATCAGTTGAGGGGCAACTTAGAAACGATAGATACAGTAGAAAGATTACTTAGTTTGGGGCCAAATATATGTGCTATTTGATTATGCAGTTTTCTTTTCTGAAAAAGAAGGAATGATCATATCTACCTTGCAGAGTTGTAGGATTAAAGCTAACACATGTAAGATATTTGGCACATGTTAGACACATTTTTTAAAAAGTTACATAATGTTATCTTTTTGAATTAGGTTTTATAGGCTAAGAAAATCTATATTAACTGGGAAAGTGTTAAAACAAATTACACCATTCCATTCAATGCAGCAATATTTCTTCATGCTTATGGTGTGCTGTATCTGATGATAAAAGCACAAATAAGAGGATTTACATTTCTATCTTGGAAATACACAATATCTATAGGCAAAGAGACAAAAGAAAAGGCATTTCATTTGAAAGGCATAGGTCAGTGGTGAGATCTACATATTCTCTTGATACTCTGGAATAGATTGGGTGGGGAAGGCAAGATACCTGTTCTTAGGAAGTCACTATCTCACTCTGGTTCTATATTATCTGTAGTTCTACACTGTCAAAGAGGACATTGAACCTGGTGATATGGTTTGGCTCTGTGTCCCTACTCAAATCTCATCACACATTGTGATCCCCATAATCTCCACGTGTTGAGGGAGAGACCTGGTGGGAGGTGATTGGATCATGGAGGAAGTTTCCCCCATGCTGTTCTTGTGATAGTGAGTGAATTCTCATGAGATCTGATGGTTTTATAAGTGTTTGGCAGTTCCTCCTTTTCTCTCTCTCTCTCCTGCCGCCTAATGAAGAAGGTACTTGTTTCTCCTTCTCCTTCCGCCATGATTGTAAGTTTCCTGAGGCTTCCCCAGCCATGCGGAACTGTGAGTCAATTAAAACTCTTTCCTTTATAAATGACACAGTCTCTGGTATTCTTTGTAGCAGTGTGAAAATGGACTAGTACACCTGGTGACATCAAGACCCCCAGCATCATTCAAGATTTATTGTCTCTTGAACAATATGAATGACTGACTAAAGTGCCTCAAATTCTGTAGTTTGCATGTGGGATGAGTCAAAAGGGGGTGAGAATGTTAACAAGGCACATGACCCATGGGAATTTGCTGGGCATATCCTCAGTCACAGAGCAATGAGGGGAGAGTACAGGCAAAAGGTGTAAGCAGAACCAGCCACAATCTGTGGAGAAGAATGAGATGGGATGATGTTTGCTTGGCTGCTAACTTGATAATAAGAATGTTAGCCTTTGGCTTCATTTTACGTGAATACAGGGAGTTCCACCACAAAGTGGGTAGGATTATGTCCCCTAAAAATATAGTTTAAGTCCTAATCCTTCTACCTGTGAATATGACCTTGTTTGGAAATAGGGTCTTTGCAGATGTGGTCAAATTAAGATGAGGTTGTACTGGCTTAGGATGGGCTCTAATTCAGTGACTGCTGTCTTTAAAAGAAGAGGGAAATTTGGATACATACATGGACAATAAAGAGAAGGATGTGAAGATGGAGGCAGAGACTTGAGTGATTTGTCTACAAGTCAAGGAATGTCAAAGTTTGCTGGCAACCACCACAAGCTGAGAGAGAGGCATGAAACAGATTTTCCTTGAGAGTCTTGAAATGAACCAAATCTGCTGATATCTTGATTTTGGACGTTTGTCCCCCAGAACCATGGGAGAATAAACTCCTGCTATTTAAACCACTCAGTCTGTGGTAATTTCTTATGGCAGCCCCAGGAAACGAATTCACACTACTAAATGAAAATAGATCTCTGTCTATCAATATCAACACCAATATTTATATACAGGGATGATAATGACCTTAGTTTTCCAGTTCTTAATAGCATACTGAATAATTGTGCATGATTGTATTTCAGGTATGTAAAATAAAATTGTTTGTTCACTTATTTTCTTCCAATCACCATTTTCTCTTTCTCCTTTTTTTTTGGTTTTAGATCGTTATAAGTTTTACAATGGACTCTCTTGTTACAGCAAACACCAAATTTTGCTTTGATCTTTTTCAAGAGATAGGCAAAGATGATCGTCATAAAAACATATTTTTCTCTCCCCTGAGCCTCTCAGCTGCCCTTGGTATGGTACGCTTGGGTGCTAGAAGTGACAGTGCACATCAGATTGATGAGGTACGTGTCCACTAGGGTGCTACACAGGGTCCTAAACTCTGGGTCCACACTCAAAGTCAGACCCTAATCCCACTTAGGCAAGCCAAGGGGCTTATTGCACCCTGGGCTTGGTCAGAACCCATCCCTGTCTCTGAGTCTTTATTTGTATTTTCTCCATCTTACTTCCTCTTCGATCCTACCATTCTTAAAGTCTCACTTAAACTTGTACCTTCTTTAGGGTGCTCCTCAACTTCATGTCTGGCAGCTTTTCTCATTCATCTCTATCTTTATCTCTGTATGCATGTCTGTCACTCTTTTACTCTATGATTGCTAATACCAATATTGCTAGCGATTTTTAGTATGTGTATATGTCTTCTGTCTCACTCATTTCATTAAATAAATATTCATTAAGTACCATATATGGTTCCAGTGGCTAGAGAGCTTGGTGTCCTCCTGGACTCTTTCTCTCTCACTTTATACCACATTTGTTAGAAAATTCTGTTGGCTTTTCTTTTGAAAGATATCCATAATCCAGGCACTTCTCCCAGTCTCCTTGAGGTCTGAACCACAACCATCTTTTCTCACCTGGATACTGCAGCAACTTCCTGATGGGCTTTCCTGCTCTCACTGGCAATCTATCCTTTGCACAGCAGTCCAAGAGACCCTTTTAAAACCTGAGCCAGATTCTATTTCTCATCTGTTCAAAAACCTGGATTTCTTATTTCACTCATGATAGCAGTTCAAGTCCTTACAATGGCCCACAAGGATCTGGAGATCTGAATCCCAGATAAGCCCTGTGACTCCATCTCTCACTTTCATCCCTCCTCACTGTACCTGTCACATTGGCCTCCTGGCTTCCTTGGGTAAGTCATGCCCATCCTATCTTGGGGCCTTTGCTCTCGGTCCCTTTGCCTGATGGCTCTTTCCCCTGGTAACTGACCTCAGCTCACTTTCTTCTTCAAGACTTTGATCAGTGTTTATCTCCTATACGGGGCCTACTTTGACCTCCTAATCTAGTGCTGCATCCTGACCTCCAGACCATAAGGGATACTTTTGTAGGCACCTAATAAACATTTCTAGAATAAATAAATGAAGGTAATAAGAACAAATCCCCAAATAAACTACAAGTTCCCATGGTTGGCCTTATACTTCCTTGGATGTAGCACATAGTGCGGGGGTTATGCACAACTCAGGCTGTTTCCCCTGAATATGGAGCAGTAGAATTTATGGATTAAGACAGAATGTGTTTCTGGGGTCATTCTGCTTTATTCATCTACTAAGATTTGGTGTATTATTTTCTTATTCCATTAGCAAAACTTAGCTTTAGAGTGTGGTTTGCATCTTGCAGGGCAGAATTCAGATGTTCTTTCTTAGGCAGTTGAGGGCACCTGCTGACCAAATGGGTCTGAGTAGTGCAGGATATGACGCCTGTCTCCTACCTTTCTACCAGGCTCTGGATAACTTGTCTTTTGCTGTCCTCACTCCCTTGATTCATGTGAAACTCTAGATCAGCACTGTCTGACACAAACATAATGAGAACCACATAGTAATTTAAAATTTTTTAGTAACTGTATTGCAAAAGTAAAAAGAAACAGGTGGGACTAATTTTAATAATAATTTTTTAACCTAGTATATGCAAAATATCATATCCACATATCATCAATATAAGAATTTTAATGAGCTATTTTATTTATTTATTTTTTTATACTATATTCAAGATCTGGTGTGTATTTTGCACTTACAGTCAATTCAGATTGGGTATCTATGAAATGCTCCATAGTTACATTTAGCTTGTGGATACCTCTATGTTCTTTTAGTTTGGTTATATTTATTCATAAATGCTCTCCCAGGGTAGCGGTTGGTTCTTCTCCTCGATTCCACCTCCCAACCCAAGTACAGAAGCACCCACTTTCCTTTAAACTGTTGTTGATTGTTTTGTTTGACTATGTAATCATTGCCATTGTCTCATTATGAAATGTTTCTGAAGTTATTCAGGCTTCCCTCTGTTCATATTATCTGAAAGACCCCATCCCGTTATCATGCAGGTACTACACTTCAACGAATTTTCCCAGAATGAAAGCAAAGAACCTGACCCTTGTCTGAAAAGCAACAAACAAAAAGTGCTGGCTGACAGCTCTCTGGAGGGGCAGAAAAAAACGACAGAGCCTCTGGATCAGCAGGTGAACCGCCACCGTAGAAAACTCTTGCCTTTCTTTTTTACAAACTGCTTATTCTGGCTGTAGGATATTTGGTGATAGTTGCTTATCCCCAAATATTAGACTCTGGATACCATCAACAGCAATAACCTCATGTGATCTGTGATTCCTGAGTATGGATCTCAGATGTCCTTGGCTATCAGCTAGTTTCCTAAAGAGTAGGATCTGGTGTCTTCTGCTTATGATAAAGAAGCCTAGATCATCACTCTGTCCCTCATCTGCTTCTATAGGCCACAGGGCCCCAACACAGAGTATGGTCAAAGATAAAGGTGGTAAGGGGTAGGGTCAGCTGTGGAATTCTTACTGTCTCCCTCTATCTCTGCTTGTTCCATTTCGTGCTGAAATCTGCACTGACAGACAAAACTTTTATTGGTTGCCTCATGCCAGGAGGAGGAAAGATATTATCCAGGGTATGCATCCCCCTACTTTAGAAAGTTTAAGAGGAGGGTGGATAGATGATTGTCTTTCTTTCTTTCCTTCCTTCTTTCTTTCTTTCTTTCTTTCTTTCTTTCTTTCTTTCTTTCTTTCTTTCTTTCTCTCCTTCTTCTCTCCTTCTCTCCTTCTCTCTTTCTCTCTTTCTTTCTTTCTTTTTGTTTTTTCTGAGATGGAGTTTCGTTGTGTTGCCAGGCTGGAGTGCAGTGGCGCAATCTCAGCTCACTTCAACCTCCGCCTCCTGGGTTCAAGCAATTTTCCTGCCTCAGCCTCCAGAGTAGCTGGGATTACAGGCATGAGCCACCATGCCTGGCCTCTTTGAAATGTAAAGAAAATCAGAGTGTGTCAGTCTGAAATATAGTGAGCGTTGCTGAGTTCCCCAGATGTATTTTTCCTGGATGATCTTGATATAGATGTGGGAGCCATAATCTTCCACTGGGACCACTTCTCACCCTCCATTCCTCTGTTCTTCCCAGCTCACTTCCCCCAGCATGGTAACAGAGACAGCTGACATCTTACTAAGAAGCTCTATCTTGCTTCTGTACAAAACACGCATCTTTTAGCGGTGTTTAGCTCTTCTGATAGACACAGTGAAGGTCACATTTTGTTTCTTCTTTCCTTAGGCTGGGTCCTTAAACAATGAGAGCGGACTGGTCAGCTGCTACTTTGGGCAGCTTCTCTCCAAATTAGACAGGATCAAGACTGATTACACACTGAGTATTGCCAACAGGCTTTATGGAGAGCAGGAATTCCCAATCTGTCAGGTGAGTTGCACACGAATGGTGACTAAAGCTACCATGTAGCATACTATTTAAAAATCAGGGAGTAGCTGGGTTACTCACCTGCCATCTAGAACACAAACCTCTTTGACAGGATGATGCGCTGTGGACTGGTGAGGTGTCCAGGACCTCCCTCTTTCAGTCCCACAGTTTTCTTCTCTTCCCAGTGTTCAATGTGAGCAGTTTACGGGGCCCATTGTGGGTGGAATAGAGTGGGTGGGAAAAGGTTGTGTGAGTAATGGAGGCTTTGGAGCACGTGTGGGCTTGGTAATGGCATCCTCTCCTGACTGTCTTCCCCAGTCAATGTGCCTGGTTGCTGCACTTCTCTCTCCCTTATCTGTTAGGTGCCCCCAAGACATTTCTGTGGAATCTCCTTTTGTGCCAGGATCAGGCTACCCCCGCAATGCAATTGTGTTCACTATGCTCTTTTGAGAGTGGGGTAGCAGGAGGAGACTGCGTTTTGGCATTTGGAGCTGAAAGGCACAGGACTTGTGTCTGTGGCTAAACAGCTTCGTACCTAGAGCAAGCTGTGTCTCCATCTGGGCTTCAGTTTCCTTTTGAATCACTAGAAGGAGCCATGTGCTAAATAATAAATGTGGGGGATATGACCAATGGCAAAGACGTGACATGGTTGGTTAGAGCAGGACTAGCCAGGGGTTGGGTGGCCTCCTTTGGCCAAAATAAGTGTGTTTCCTTGCAATGAAAGTAAGATTTTTCATGCTGGATTTTTAAAAACTAGCCTTTTGATGAGCTATAAATTCATATATTAAACAATTCACCTGTTAAAAGTACACAAACCAATGGGTTTGGTATATTACATTACTGATTTTTTAAAATTATAGTAAAATACATATAAAATTTACCATTTATGTGTACATTTCAGTAGCATTACTTACATTCACAATGTTGTGTAACCATCACCTTATCTATTTCTAAAACTTTTTTTTTCATCACTCTAAACAGAAACTCTGCAACCATTAAGCGGGAGTTTAATTCTTAAAAACAGAAGCATTTTCCAGCCAAGTCTCTCAAGTTACTTGATACTTACCTTGTGATGGCTCCACAGATGGTTTGTTGAAATAAAAGGATATCCAGTAGGAAAGGCTTGTCCCGTTGTAACTATAGACTGTTCATGAATAATATTTGATATCCTCATTTTTCACTAAAAAAACTGAAATGTCTCTGGCTAGTTTAAGACTGGGGATGGCTAGAAACTGTCAGGCCTGTCCATGAAATGTGAAATGACCAGGCTCATCTTTCTTGGGAGACTTCTCAGGAGAGTCTCACTCCTAACTACGAGCATCACTGCCTGACTTTATTGCATTATTTCCCTTTTATTCCAATGGAACAGGAATACTTAGATGGTGTGATTCAATTTTACCACACGACGATTGAAAGTGTTGATTTCCAAAAAAACCCTGAAAAATCCAGACAAGAGATTAACTTCTGGGTTGAATGTCAATCCCAAGGTAAGAAAGCCCAAAAGCACGGGAGCTGGTATTGGTTTCCATTTAAAAGAAAATTGGTCTGCCTAGCTTTGCAGACTGCTGGTCTACTGGGGGCCAGAGGTTCACATATGTGGACTGTGTTCAAAGCATGGTTTGCAGAATGAGATACCATCTCACACCAGTCAGAATGACTATTATTAAAAAGTTAAAAAACGACAGATTCTGTCAAGGCTTCAGATAAAGGGGAACACTTATACACTATTGGTGGGAATGTAAATTAGCCATTGTGGAAAGTAGTTTGGAAATTTCTCAGAGTTAAAACAGAGCTGTCATTCGACCCAGCAATCCCATTACTGAGTATATATCCAAAGAAATAGAGATCATTCTACCAAAAAGACATATGCACTCATATGTTCATCACCACACTATTCACAATAGCAAAGACATGGAATTAACCTAAGTGTCCATCAATAGTGGGTTGGATAAAGAAAATGTGGTACATATACACCATGGAATACTACACAGCCATCAAAAAGAATGAAATCATGTCCTTTGCAGTAACATGATGGAAATGGAGGCCATAATCCTATGAATTAACACAGGAACAGAAAGGCAAACATTGTTCTCACTTATAAGTGGGAGCTAAACATTGAGGACACACAGACATAAATATGGCAAGGAACAATGAACCCTCCAGATACTAACTTGGGTCAGGGAGGGAGAGAGGAATGGGTTGAAAAACTACCTATAGGGTACTATGCCTACTATCTGTGAGCAACATGCCATGTAACAAACCTGCACATGTACTTCCTGTATCTAAAATAAAAGCTGAAATTTAAAAAAAAACAAAACAAAAAAGCATGGTCTGAACAGCATCAAACAGTTAAACTGCTTAGATATTGCTGTTATTTATTATTGCAGTTTTGGTCTCTGGTCTTGCTGGCTCTGGGCGGGAAAGGAGGACACCAGCCTCGTTAGTGCTGATCTTCTAGGTGGGGCTTAGAGAATGCTCCCTTCTACCGGTGCCCGTGTGAATTTGAAAAACAGAATAAACTCTTCCCTCCAGGACCAAAGTTAGTGACCTGAAGGGTCAGGTCAGGCTGCTGGACATAGACTAGGCCCCTTTTTGATCATCGTGTGGGGCTGGCGAAGGTGTTCGTGTACAGTGAAAAGTTTGGAGTGCATGAGAGAGCACAGGTAGTGCATTATGTCTCCTGCCTTCAGAGTGAGACCATGACCCCAGGCATTTGCATACATTTTGAGTGGCTGGAGGCTGGGAAATGACAGTTGACTTATTTTAGGCTGTCCTTGGTACCAGAGTGACAGTTTCGGTTCCTCCCTTCCATTTGGTGGCTTTCTCTCCCTGTCTCCTCTTTTTCTCACACTGACTTAGGGATGGGATACCCCTGCCTGCCTTTCCTTGGGAGAAGTCTCTAAATTCCAAAATTATTGCTTTTTCCTTCTTTCATAGGCCATAAAAATGACCATTCTTTCAAGGCTCTACTCAGCTGTCAAAAGGAAAGCAATTCATTAATGAAGCTCATATTAAGGCCTGGATATGTACTTTCCCCTTAGTGAGTTAACTCCTCCAGAAAATTTGAAATGTAGATGATGTCAACCTAATCTATTATTATGGGATTTAAATAGAGCTCTTCTTGAGATGGAAGATCTTTTCTTCTTAAGACATCTGCAAATATTCAAGTAACTGGTGATTTGGTAGTTTGAGTAGGAAAGGGTGTATACTAAAGGTGGGATATTGCCCGCTAGCCTGGGGCTTTTCAAGTGGAGCTTAGGGCTGTGTTATTGTGGAAGGAGCCCCAGAGCTGAGCCCAAAGGTGGAAGGCCTGAGGACCCATTCCTGCCAGTCTTACTGCTTCTTGGCTGTGTGACTTCAGCTCTCCCTGGATGCAATTGATTCTTCTATGAAGAAGGGATAATGATACCTCCTTATCGTGGGATGGATCAATTAATTGATTAAGGTGGGGTGGAATGAGAAAGAGCATATAAAAGTATCTATAAAATAGGTTTTATATCATGGTCTAGCACATTTATGTGTATTTTTGTTTACATGTAAGCATATACCTTATGCTATGTTGAGTGCTTGAGACAGGAAGTTTATATTGTAGTTCTTTGTTCTCAAGGGAGCTTATCATATTGTCAGATGACTAACTATATAATTTGAAAGATAAACCATAGTATAAGATGTCTACTGACAAGTTCCAAACACAAGCAATACAGGGAATCAAAGGAGATTCCTTCTGTTACAGTGCTGTGATTGGACCCCCTGCGAGGTGGAGTTAGAGGGTTTCTCCCCTGCCCCATCACCCCCTCGCTTACCTCCAGCCAGGACTGTGAATTAATCTTCTTGGGTTAGTTCTTGAATGAGACACTCCCTAGTCTTGGGGGTGATAAACTGCATTAAAAAGAATTATTGGCCAGGCACGGTGGCTCATGCCTGTAATCCCAGCACTTTGGGAGGCCGAGGCGGGCAGATCACCTGAGGTCAGGAGCTCAAGACCAGCCTGGCCAACATGGCGAAACCCCTTCTCTACTGAAAATAAAAAATTAGCCAGGCATGGTGGCGGGCGCCTGTAATCCCAGTTACTCTGGCGGCTGAGGCAGGAGAATCGCTTGAACCCAGAAGGCAGAGGTTGCAGTGAGCAGGGATCACGCCATTGCACTCCAGCCTGGGAGACAAGAGCGAAACTCTGTCTCAAAAAAAAAAAAAAAAAATTATCTACACAAATGCTTTTGATACAATTCATACTCAGGATATTCTCTGGGATCTTTTTTTAGGTAAAATCAAGGAACTCTTCAGCAAGGACGCTATTAATGCTGAGACTGTGCTGGTACTGGTGAATGCTGTTTACTTCAAGGCCAAATGGGAAACATACTTTGACCATGAAAACACGGTGGATGCACCTTTCTGTCTAAATGCGGTAGTGTATCAGAACTCATGGTTTTCTAGCTAGCCAACTCATAATTTCCACTAGGAATGATTTACAATATGTATACTCGAAAAGTTACAGCTTACATTTACAATAAGAACATTTTTCGTTGATAAGAACCAGTACCTGAATTTCATTGAGTATTTTTGTGCCAAGTGCTTCCTGCACTGAGTATTCTTCCATTTGTTATTTCATTTGTTCCCCCAAAGAGCATTATGAGATGGGTGTTATTATGATTTCCACTTAGGATTTGAGACAAAAAAAGGAAAGGCTAAGTTAGCTGGATTCATGCATTAGGATTCAATCTGTGAGTGTTTGCCCCAGAAACTTGTGTTCTAAGCTAGTAGATTTAGAATGGGAGGAAACAGAAAGGGTTGGGTCCCAGCCACCCACTTGTTGGCCAGCTAGCTTATTACTGGAGATGCATTTTTCTCTCAAGCACCAAATATCCCCATCTGCAGGTTGATGACCCCTCACCCACCACCTTGAGGTTATTATGAGATTTAAGGTGCCTGGGGTTGTGCTGTCCCTCTGAAGGAGCAGGTGTTGTTATTTAATATGGAGATGATTCTCACTTAACATGTCTGCCCTTGGTGCTGTGGTGGGGTCATCCAGGCCAGCTGGCATGGGGTGGTATGAGGCCAAGAGGCTGGGCTGGGATAGGCCCTACAGTGGGACAGCTGGCAGGGCGTGTTTCTGCTGACTTAACAGTGGAGATGCTTTGATAGTAAGTTTACTAATAGTCACCTTGGGAGCTGAAGAACTGATTAAAAAACATGGAAAGGGCCAGGTGAGGTGGCTTACCCAGCATTTTTGGAGGCTGAGGAGGGAGGATCAGTTGAGACTAGGAGTTTGAGACTAGCCTGGGCAACACAGGGAGACCGTGTCTCTACAAAAAATAAAAAAAATTAGCCAGGTGTGGTGGTCCACGCCTGTGGCCCCAGCTACTCAGGAAGCTGAGGTGGGAGGATTGCCTGAGCCCGGGAGGGTGAGGCTGCAGTGAGCTATGATGGCACCACTGCACTGCAGCCTAGGTGACAGAGCAAGACCCTGTCTCAGAAACAAAAAAGCAAACACCTGGCCCCCATCCCCGTCACTCCACAACAAAAAAAGACACGGAAAGATAAAGTGTTGGCAAAGTAAGGGCCACTGATGAGTGGGTAGACTCTTGTAGGCTGGATCCCTGGTGTGGCTCAGGACTTCTCCTGCAGAACCTTCTCATCTTTAGGAACCCCTGTCCTCCGTGAAGCTGGGGCCATATGAATTTGGGAGTTTCCCATAGCCGTCCTGTGACCTCCTACCTTGACTACTACAGAATGAAAACAAGAGTGTGAAGATGATGACGCAAAAAGGCCTCTACAGAATTGGCTTCATAGAGGAGGTGAAGGCACAGATCCTGGAAATGAGGTACACCAAGGGGAAGCTCAGCATGTTCGTGCTGCTGCCATCTCACTCTAAAGATAACCTGAAGGGTCTGGAAGAGGTAAATCTTCATTTCCACATCTCTACAAAATATTTAATGATAGATCTTTAGAGAACAACACTGTCTACTATCTACCATCTCGAGGAAATTCAGTACCTCAGCTGTCAGAGACATCAAGGAATGTGTAAGAATCTGAATTAGATTAGATATTTATTCCTCATTTGTTTAGAATTAAACAACAAATGCCAAAAATATTGGGATTGGAGTTTCTTCTTTAATCTCATAGCTCTCTGCCACTGTTTTAGCAAATCAAGGAATCTGGGTTCTGAGTAACTTGAAAAGTTTTTAAGTTTTCCCTTTTCTCTGAATATTCTGACTTCTGGCCTCTTACTCATACCATTTTTCTATAGCTCAGTTAATTAAAGAATTAACTGAATACTGTTTTGGGGAATATGTACCTTGACAGAAGTGTAGAGAGTGACAACAGAATTGATTGCTTGTGAGGTAGGAATTCATAAAGGCTGGAGAAGCTCAGCTACAGATTGTCCAGGGGGGTAAAGAGATAAAGATAGAAGGAGAGAGAAAGTGAGAAAGGAATACCAATATAGCAGGTATAGTAGTTACAACATCAATAACAACCATTATTCAGAATTTGCTATGTGCTATCACTGTGTTAAGTTCTTTATATACATGATTTTATTAATGCTTGCAAGAACTTAATCATATTATCTCTCTTTTATGGAAGAGGAAATTTAACTTCAGAAAATGAGGGCTTGGCCACAGAACTCAACTAATCGACTGAGCTTTGCTGTGCTTTGAACACTTGTCTCTCAAACACCAGAGCACACTGGAACCTGAGTTGTCCCCTAACTTCTTCTAAAGAGGAAAGATATTTGCTTGAAGTTTTAAATGAAATCAGACTATTCTCTAGCTTAGGGAAAGGTCTTGAAGGTTGTCACTGCCCACTGAAAGGGACTCAGGCACCTTGAAGTAATTGGGGCATTCTTTGTGGTCCCATAATCTGATGCTAAATATTATTTCCTTCCTCTTGTAGCTTGAAAGGAAAATCACCTATGAAAAAATGGTGGCCTGGAGCAGCTCAGAAAACATGTCAGAAGAATCGGTGGTCCTGTCCTTCCCCCGGTTCACCCTGGAAGACAGCTATGATCTCAATTCCATTTTACAAGACATGGGCATTACGGATATCTTTGATGAAACGAGGGCTGATCTTACTGGAATCTCTCCAAGTCCCAATTTGTACTTGTCAAAAATTATCCACAAAACCTTTGTGGAGGTGGATGAAAACGGTACCCAGGCAGCTGCAGCCACTGGGGCTGTTGTCTCGGAAAGGTCACTACGATCTTGGGTGGAGTTTAATGCCAACCACCCTTTTCTCTTTTTCATTAGACACAACAAAACCCAAACCATTCTCTTTTATGGCAGGGTCTGCTCTCCTTAAAAGGGGAGCAGTGTCTAGTACTTTGGAGCTGGAGGAAAATATCAATACAATCTTCCCCTGGCATAAGATGGGCATTTGAGTTTTTGGTAATATCTAAAGCATCTCCTTCATCCTCCAGCCATCGGCTTGTGCTTATCTTGATCTTTCTGTCACCCTGTAGCTTATTTTCATCTGAGTCTGTTAGTATTGAAGGGCTGTTGTTCTCTACCCTAAACTTTCAAGCATATAAATTCACCCTCTGTGACCTGAAGGTCAACACAATTCAGAACAGTACCTACCTCCTTTTGAAGGAATCCTAAAAGTTCAGGTCATTAGACCATTTCTAAGAGATGGCAAACTCAGAAGCCACTTTAACATGGGCAGCAAGAGAACATGTTTGACTGGAACGTGTTTGGAAACTCAGCTCTGTTTCTGGGGTAGTTTGACCGGAACGTGTTTGGAAACTCAGCTCTGTTTCTGGGATAGTTATGATTGTGGTCATCACTGGGCGAGATGCCCTGTTTCTTCCTTTGACAGCTACTGCATGGAAGATGTCCTGTGAGGTCTTTTCACCTAGGACAAGGCAGGGCTTGGGCGTATTTAAGTGATAGCTCAAAGATGTGTGACTGCCCCAACCAGCACTCATTTTGCACAGAGCAGGGGAATGATATTTGTCTTGTGATTTTGACACTGACCCAGGAAAGTGGCTAGTGGATTTAGAGGAGGTTTATCTCAGTTTTCCTTATTGAGTCCCCCAACATTATCATCAAACACTTCCCTCTGTCTCTCCTCCCCCTAGCTCCAAGAATTCCCACCTGTGGCTAGCTCCTTTTATGCACCCAGCACAGGCAGGTGTCAAGAGAAGTGCTGCTGGCATTGTGGACGGCTGGCCTCCGTATGCCCCTCTCTCTGCCTTCTGGCCACGTGGAGGCTGGCCTCTGTGTGCCCCTCTCTCTGCCTTCTGGCCACGTGGAGGCTGGCCTCCGTGTGCCCCTCTCTCTGCCTTCTGGCCACGTGGACTTTTGTGTCTTCCGAGAGGTCTCATGCCAGACCACATGGTGACAACAGGCTTGAGCCTGGGCATGGTGTCCATAGCAATGCTTGTTGGCTGGGCATGATGGCTCATGCCTGCAATCCCAGCACTTCTTGGGAGGCCGAGTCAGGTGGATCACTTGAGTCCAGGAGTTCGAGACCAGCCTGGGCAACATATTGAGACCCTGACTCTACAAAAAATACAGAAATTAGCCGGGCGTGGTGGTGTGCACCTATAGTCCCAGCTACTCGGGAGGCTGAGGTGGGAAGATCACTTGAACCCAGGGGATGGAGGCTGCAGTAAGCTGAGATGGCGCCACTGCACTCCAGCCTGGGTGACAGAGCGAAACCCTGTCTCAAAAAACAAACAAACAAAAAACCCAAAAAGCCAAAACAAAACCTGAAACCCTTGTCAAGAAGGCCATTGGGCTCATCTCAAGCTCTAGTCTACTGAAGGCCTGACCTCTGAGTGTTCCTACTCGCGGACTCAGGGCCTCTGTTCTCTGGTGTGGTAATCTGAGTTCCTAATTTCTATCTTAGCTGAATGTTCTGCCATGACCACTGACACGTCCAACTCACATCTCTTTGGAGTCAGTCTCTTTCCTATCGAGGTGGGTTTCAGGTCTTGCTTGCGGCTCAGTTTCCTTGGCCCACCTTGTGGCTGTCCTCCTCCCAGCTGCCACCAGTCGTTCAGTGTGGCCACGCAGTTTTTTTGCAGAAGGCAGGTGAACCACACCTGCTCCCATGCTAGCCTCCTCTTCCTTTTCTCACCTACCCCAGTGATTTCTTTGTGCTCTGAGAGACAAGTTCCATGTTCTCCATACAACCTTCTCATTGTTGAAGCTCACTTACGACCTAAAACAATTTGACGTTGGTAACGTGAGGCAGTTTGAGGCAGTGCCCTATCCAGAATGCATGTCCCATGGGTCAAATTAATTTCAGATAACCAAAAACTTCATGTCCCCTGTGGTTCCTTTTGGGGTTGACGTTTTGGGGGCTGTTTCCATGTCTGACTTGGCACCACTGCCCGACACGTAGCTGGAAACCATGACCTATATATAGGCCTGCACTGCCCGGCATTTCTTTTGTTCTTATTCTTTTACTTGGTAAACACATTTTTTTTTCATTTACATCGGGATTTCTCAGATTTTGAAGCATGAGAGGGAGAATGTATCTATTTACAATAATGAGGAAAATTAAGAATCTTAAATCTTTATGTAAATCAGTAAACATTCTTTACTAACCTTTGATTTATTAAGAAGTTTCTTCTGAATGAATAAAGCACTTTTGTTATTAGTTAAAATATATACGATGTGTTGCCAACTGATTTTTTTAGGGATATAAATTTAACTTCAAACTGTTTCATCCAAAAATATAAAAATACATAATCTATGAAACTAACAATTCATCTCAGTTACACAGGAAAAATACATCTTGCCCCAGTAATAGTTTCTCCCAGCTTTCCATCATAATTACATATGAAGGCATATAAAAAAGATGAAAACTGACAATGCTAAAACCAGAGTGATAGCCAGCTGATCATCAGAATATAGAAGACATTTCTGCCGACTACAGGTTTTTCTTTTTTTTTTGTTTGAGATGTAGTCTTGCACTGTTGCCCAGGCTGGAGTGCAGTGGTGCAATCTTGGCTTACTGCAACCTCTGCCTCCTGGGTTCAAGTGATTCTTAAGCCTCAGCCTGCTGAGTAGCGGGATTACAGGCGCCCGCCACCACGCCCAGCTAATTTTTGTATTTTTAGTAGAGAGGGGGTTTCACCATGTTGGCCAGGCTGGTCCTGAACTCCTGACTTCAAGTGATCCACCTGCCTTGGCCTCCCAAAGTGCTGGGATTACAAGCTTGAGCCACCGTGCCTGGTCCCTGCTGACTACAAGTTAACGAGGCTGGGCAGTGAGGCATTGTTGAGGGGTCACCTGCATCTCATTGCCAGTGAGTCAGTCTGCCTGTTTCCTCCCATTGCTGCCTTCCTCTGAGTTCAGAAACACATGCTGTCTCTCAACTTGAATTTTAGACGTCTATCTCTTTATTTTGTACTTGCTGCTGTCCTTCACCCTCTGTCTTTCTTATTAGTTAGTTTCTTTTTTTCTGCAGCCATTTGAAGACTGAATGACTTCCCAATTATGACTTGGGAGAAGGTGAGGACAGGCATTTGTTCTTTCCATCCTAGGCAGTTTAGTCATCAGCAATAAAATACTTTTGGTGGAGCCAAGGACAGGAAAAGCCTTGGTGGCAGAGTTCTTGGATATTTTATCTACACTGTCTGTCTAAAGTGTCCCAGACCCAGGCCATACAAAGAGGAGAATATTTACCTGAGCCCAGCAGAACTACACTAGATGGAAGACTTTCAGACACTGGAAATTATGTTCCAAATAGGGAGACCTTGACTCTTCATTTTTCTTGCACCAGCAAGATTGACCCAGCAATATGGTGCCCAGGGGTAGAAAGAACATACAAGTCCATAGGCTGATATAATTGCTGGAAAGCCAACCAGAGCATGATTTTAAATCAACAAGAGAATGAGCTCCCCACTTCCTCAGTTTAAGGTTTTCTCCATATAGCAATGTTGACAGGTAGAACAGATGAGGTAATGTAGATTCAAAAACAATTGTTTCACTTATGCTGACTGTAAATATTCTGGTAAGAGAAACATGGACATATAGTACTCAACAGGCTCCCTAATAGATACAGAATCTGTATGTTCAATTGCATTTCAATTCAAGTCCTCCTTATAACTTCACACATTGTCTAGCGCATACTCCTCAAACTCTTCTGTAGTTTTTTTCCTTGAGCTGCGACAAGCCAGAACATGTGTTGCTTCATTCCTAATTGCTGTTTACAGATTTTGCATGCTGGTATTTTTAAAAATTACACTGTCATTAACCCGAGGCGGAGGTCCAGTTGGAGCAACAGGGTGAGGAATCTTGTGCAGTTGTCTCAATGGATTTCTTTGCTCCACAGTTGAATGCCAATTCCAGATGTGTTCTTTATCCACACCACTCGTCTTGCATTCTTCGTTTCCCAAATCCATTTTATTTTCTTCTTACTCAATTAAAAGAATCCAAATCCTTTCTTTACCCAATAAAAACAGAAAATATCCCCAAATATGCATACTTAAGTATATTAAGCATATCAATATACTTATTAAGCATATTAAATAATAATATATTCATAGTATTTACATTAACTGTAATATATACTTGATATTTAATTTATAAATGCTCATATTCTAATGCAATAAATTTCCCATTTAAATACTGTTTCCCTTCATGTGCTTCAACAAAGTTTTAGCTACAGAGAGGTGAAAAGGATTTAAAAAGCAATCCAGTGCACAACAGCGGGGCTGAGAAACTTGCACACCTCTTGTTGACACACATAGGTCCTGAACAGATCATTCCATGTTCAAGATTAAATAAGTAGAAACAAAAGTATAAGGTATGAAAAAAATCAGTGCCAAATAAGAAGAGATATATCATGTTATAAATGAGAGAGAGAGAGAGAGAGAGAGAGACTGACTTCATAAAATGATTTACAGCAAGAACTGGAAGAAGCTTTTAGAAAATATGCCCAAAATGCATATTAATTTTGGGCATAATTAATAGGATTTAAGAAGACACAAAATCTATGGAATTGGAGTGCAATGCCACAAAGATAAACTCTGATAAGATGTGAAAAAGCTAAATGAGATGAAAACAGACCACTAGGGAACAAAAAAATGCAATAGATGCCATAGAAGAATTTAAATAGAATTTAAAGGCAATAAAGAAGCAAAACTGACATGCTGGAAACTTTAGTTAGTGATGAATAGGGTGTATTTGAGTGTGTCTCTTAGAATGTATAGGAAATAATAAGAGAGAAGTTGGTAGATATAAAGAGAGAATAGAAAGTAAACCCAACAACTATGGTGTTTCTCAGGAAAAAAGAAGACTAATTGGCATAAAGTCAACAATCCATGACATGATGGAAGAAAACCTTTTTAACTTGGATAGTCACAGGATCATACCGAATGATTCGCCCTCCCCCTGCAGAGCAAAAACAGACATGCTGAAAAACTTTAAAAGATTGAGAAAGTAATCCTATCAGCATTTGGGCAAAAAAAGAAATAGTTATAATGTATAAAGGATAAAAAAAATCAGATGAGCATCAAATTTTGTTTTGTACAAAATTTCTGAAGATAGCGAAACTTAGTGTGCAGGTCTGAGGGAAAATATATGATTAAAGAATTTCATATCTAGGCTGGTTGGCTTTTGTGTATGCATGGAACAGAAAACCATTCTCAGATCTATTTTGGTGTATGCGAATGCAGATATATTTTATCTTTAGCTCCTGACACCATGCTGTAAACATCACAGGAATTAAAATTAAATGCATGTTGTTTTGAGTGGCATCCAATGCAGTCAAAGACTCAAAAAGCTAGTGTATTAATCCATTTCATACTACTAATAAAGACATACCCAAGACTGGGTAATTTATAAAGAAAAAGAGGTTTAATGAACTCACAATTCCACATGGCTGGGGAGGCCTCACAATCATGGTGAAGGAGGTAGCAAGGAAGGCAAAGGAGGAGCAAACTCATGTCTTACATGGTGGTGGGCAAGAGAGCATGTGCAGGGGAACTCCCTTTTATAAAATCATCAGATCTCATGAGACTTGTTCACTATCACGAGAACAGCACAGGAAAGATCTGCTCCCATGATTCAATTACTTCCCACCACGTCCCTCCCATGACACCTGGGGATTATTATAATTCAAGGTGAAATTTGGGTGGGGATACAGAGCCAAACCATATCAGCCAGTAAAAAAATTCCTTCAGTAAAACTATGACCTCAATTGATAATCAATGGAAGAAGAGAAATTCCTCATTTAGAATTCTCACTATGCCCAATAATTGTTGGCAGCTGTGACTTTTCCCCTTAGCACTGGTTTTTTTTTTTTACAATGTTGGGTTCAGGCATGGAATGAGTTTCAATATCCAGAATAAGACTGCAACCATGAAATATCTGAACTGGGACAGTAATAACACTAATACTTGTGCTTATTGTGTGCCAGCTTTTGTCGAAGACCTTTATGTGCCCATTTAACACTCTCACTCATCCTAAGAGGTGGGTTATTATACTTATCCACCCTTAACAAATGAGGAAACAGAGGCACAAAGAGATTAAGTAATTTGCCTAACATCCCTCAGACAGCAAATGATTGAACTAGGATTTTTAACCAGGCTGTCTGGCTGGATGTTATACAGAAGATATATCACCACCACTCAATGAAAGTATCAAGAAGTAGAAGTTCCCAACAAGGTTTGTAAGCCACTAATACACTTGCCCCAAAGCACATTCAGGCCCTACCACCCTGAAATTGCCAAGGCAAGTTGTGGTAAACCCCAAAGCAGTATTCATAGACAGTCTAATGAGGAATCTCAAATACGAAGAGAAACCTACAACCCAGATCTACCACATGACTGTAGAAAATAATCACATGAATAAAGGGTATCAGCCTCAACAGAGTTAAGAGGTCAAATGAGATTTTTAAAAATATATAAGTAATATGCTTGATAGCATCCATAAAACAAGAACAGAGAATTATTAAAAATATTCATTTAGAGTTTCTGGAAATAAATTTGATTATTGCAATTAAGTAGATTGAATAATAGAATGAAAATAGCTGAAGAGTTAGCTAGTAGATTGAGCTGTGGAATTGTACAAAATGTAGAATAAAAGGATAAAGGGATCAAAAGTATTTTAAAATGTTGGCCAGGTGTGGTGGTTCATGCCTGTAATCCCAGCACTTTGGGAGGCCAAGGCAGGCAGATCGCCTGAGGCCAGGAGTTCAAGACCAGTCTGGGCAACATGGTGAAACCTTGTCTCTATTAAAAATACAAAAATTAGCTGGGCATGGTGGCATGCCTGTAATCCCACCTACTTGGGAGGCTGAGGCAAGAGAATCACTTGAACCTGGGAGGTGGAGATTGCAATGTGCCGAGATTGCACCACTACACTCCAGCCTGGGTGACAGAGTGAGACTCTGTCTCAAAAACAAACAAACAAACAAACAAACAAACAAACAAACAAAACACACCTTAAAATGTTAAAATCATGTAAGGCAGTTTAAAGGGTTTCAACATTCATTAAGGAGCATTTCAGGAAAAAAGAACAGAGAGATAACTGAAGAATAGAAATACTCAAAGAAATAAGAAAAAAAATGTACAGAATTGAAAACAGTCATGCATTCTCTTTTGAAAGGGCCCATTCAGAACCCACACTTCCACACTGTGGCAAAATTAAAGAAGATAAATGCAAAAATAATATATTCTAAAAGCCTTTTGTGTTAAAAGTTCAAATTTATAAACTGGAACGAGAATCATATAGAGTTTAGCTTCTCTTTGTCCTACAAGAAGACACAGAAGAATATTTTGAAGTTCTGGGAGAAATAAATACTGTAAACTGAAATATTTACCCATAAAAAGTTTTATTCAAGTGTGAGGGCAAGATGCATGAGCAAGCACTCTAAGTTTACTATCTGAAAACTTTAACCTAAAGGAATGACCAGAAGTTCTGCTCCAAAAAATTTTTTTAAATGAATTGGCTAAAAAGTATGGAATATGAGTAGCAGTGATGCAAAAAAACAGAGTAAAACATGATTGAAGATTAAATTAGAAATAATAATTTAAGAATTAAAACTTAGATGATCTCACTTTGAGAGGTAGAAGACAGTAGGCTTGAGGAGTGCCAAGGGAATTATAGAGAGAATGGAAGGAAGGAAATAAAACCTCTGGGGTTCTTGTTCTTTTCAGGGGGTGATGGGGAAAATAGTCTAACCCTGGACATTAATTTAAAAATTATATACAATATTTATGTTAAACTAAACAATAACCAGTCAAAGATTGAAATAGAATGCATAATCTCCAAAACAGTAGAGGGAAAAAGAATGAAAAACACTTGGAAAAAATTCAAAGGAATGTAAAAAAAAAAAAGCAAGAAAGCATAGCATGTACAAAGCATAAAACAAGACAGCAAATAAGTCCAAATATGACCAGTCTCAAGAAATGTGGATGTCTTAAATTGGCCAGTTTAAAGAAATACTGCATTAAAAAGACAAAGATCTACTTATAGACAATTTATAGGACACAATTCTAAAACAGTAAAAACAAGAAGATTAAAATAATGATAGAGAAAAACAGACACTAGAGAAGTATTAAAAAGAGAAAAGCAGAAATAACAACAATAACATCGAAAAAAATTCTACCCAAAGTCCAAAACAGTTATAAGAACAAAGATAAATATTTCAGTTTGATAAAAGATGCCATGTGTTAAAACTAAAAAGTAATATCACCTAATAGCATACTTCGAAAATACTAGGAGGTATAAGTAAAAGAAGAAATTGAAACATCTACAAAAATATTGAATAACTTTCACACACCTTTTCTAGTGATCAATAATTTAAGTAGAAAAAATTACACAGAGAAAAAATTAAACTTTTATTTCATTTATTAGAAAACAGAAAATAATTAAAATGCATAAATTGTTTTTTCCTCCAGAATTTTGAAAAAAGAACAACATGCTTCACAAACCCAAATAAAGGTAAAAATAATAAAGACGAAGGCAGAAATGTAAAAAGTGAAAGACAAAAGCTTAAAAAAATTAGAGTTATGGCAAAAAGAATAATGACACTAACCAACAATTTAGGAACAAGAGAGGGATATATACTATTTTGTATTTATGGAGGTATACCTTTAGGGTAAATTCCCAGGAGTTGCATTGCTGAGCCAAAGTACAATTGCATATATAATTTTCTTAGCTATTGCTAAATCCAGGTTTTAAGGATTACACCATAGCACTCCTATTAGCAATAATATGTATCTGCCTATTTCTTCACATCCACACCCACAGAATGTCATAAAGGCTTTGGGTGTCTGCCAAACTGATAGATAAAAAATACTATAGTAGTATATATTTAATTTAAATTTCTCTTGTTTTGAGTGAATTTATGAGCATGCAATCACATGTTCAGTCATTTATATATCTTTCCCTGTGTTATGTCTGTTCTTTTTTTGACATTTATGTAGGTGCATTTCTTCTTGATTTAAGAGATTTTTATGTATTAGGAAGATTAACCCTTTGTATTAGAATTAGCATAAACCTTTCCTCGGTTTGTCAGTTCTCTTTGACTTTGCTTATTAACTCTACTTTAAAATTTTTTATAAGCTGAATATACCAATCTTTTCTTCTATTGCTTCTAAATTTTTAAAATCAGGTTTTCCCCACTTCCAGGTTTTAAGGTATTTACCCACACTTTTTTCAATTACCTGTATAGTTTCATTTAAAAAATTTAGATCTCTGATCCAATTGAAGCTTACTTGGCATGAGATAAATATGAATACTATTTTAATCTTTTTCCAAATGGCTATTCAGTTGGTCCAATACTACTTATTAAAACATCTACCTCTTACCTCCAGCCAGGGCTGTGAATTAATCTACTTGGGTTAGTTCTTGAAGGAGACACTCCCTAGTCTTGGGGGTGATAAGCTGTATTAAAAAAAAATTATCGGCTGGGCGCAGTGGCTCACACCTGTAATCCCAGCACTTTGGGAGGCTGAGGCAGGCAGATTACTTGAGGTCAGGAGTTAGAGACCAGTTTGGCCAACGTGGTGAAACCCCATCTCTACTAAAAATACAAAAATTAGGTGGGCATAGTGGCAGGTGCCTGTTTCCCAGCTACTCGGGACACTGAAACAGGAGAATCACTGGAACCCAGGAGGCGGAGGTTGCAGTGAGCCGAGATCACGCTATTGCACTCCAGCCTGGGTGACAAGAGTAAAACTCCATCTTAAACAACAACGACGACAACAACATCTATCTTTCCCTTTGGGATTTGAGTTGCCACATTTATCATATACTCAATTTCCATATGTGGTTAGGTCTGTTGATGGATTTACTAGCCTCTTCCTTTGGTCTGTTTATTCATGTACCAACATCAGTGTTTTAATTATGGAAGCTTTGTTGCTTTTCCTTTGCAATGGTTTCCTATTTATTCTTGTTTGTTTATTTTTCCATATGAACTTTAGAATCGTATTGTCTTGTTATTTTACAATTTTTTCTCTTTTTAATTTTTCCTTGTGATGTTTAGGAAAGTTTGTATTTTTGTTCTAGACATTATTTTTATACAATATTATGACCTAATGGCCTCACGGTACTCTTTTATTTACTTAGGCTTTTATCATTTTTAAGTGATGTCTTTTGACACCCATCTACTGCCTAATAATCAACAGATTTATATTCTACCTTCTAATTTCTTTCTAGCATTTCCTCTCACTTTATTGTCATTTTTTTTACTTTGGCAGCCCATATAAAACATAGAACATTTATATATTACTTTCCTACTCTTATTCACATGTTTGCTTTAGTCTTAGAGCTATAATAAAATATATTTGTGCTGTCAGTCTTTTGCTAAAGTTTCTTCTTCAATCTTTTTTTTTTTTTTTTTTTGGTTACTGGATGAAGCTCATCCTCTGGTAGATTTCTCAAGAAGGGCTAACAAGTACAATATTCTCTAAGTTCTTGACTGTTTAACATAGTTTCTTTATGGTCTTGAAAGACCATTCATGAAAGAATACTTTTTGGCATATAAAATTCTTGGTTTGGACTTGGAATCTCTTTATTGTTCCACTGGTCTGTATGTTGTTCTCAAGAAGTCTGATGTTAACTTGCTTTCTTTACTTTATATTGACTTGATTCTCTCTCATTCTCTTTCTCTCTTCTCTTTCCCTCTTTTTCTCTTCTCGGCAGATGTTAAGACTGATTTTCCAGAATATGTCTTAGACTTTATCATTCAGGGTCAATTTTCCTAGTTACATTGTAGGCCATTTCAATGTACAGATTTGGGATTTATTTTATTTTTGAACTGTTTTCTTGGATTATAGCTGTAAATATCATTTCTACTCCACTGTTTTATTTCTGTACTTCAGAGACTATGGTTACACATATTTTAGATTTCTTTGCCTGTCTTTATTTCATTCTTTTATGCTTTTACTCTCTTTATTTTGTTTTTGTTCTCTAGGCTATTTTTATTTCTCTTCTCTATATTCTTTATTGTACTTTCTCCTGTAGGCAACTGGTAGTCTAGGCCCATTTCTGAGATGATTTTTTTATTTCCATCATTTCTATTTAATTCAGACATAGCTCATTACAGTACTTTCTTTCTGTGGTTATTTTGTTATTCATATATATTCTGAGTTTTTTAAATTATGACTTGAAGCATTCTTCATATTCGCAATCTCTTTCCAAACAATATTTAGTTCATAAGCTAGTGTTACACTACAGCTTTATTCTCCCTCATGATTGATTTCTTGGGTAGTATCTCCATGGCTAAAAGTTTTAATTTTCACCGTTTTCTTTGTATAGTAATTTTACATATTTGTTTGGTACTTTTTCTTGTTCATACTGAAATGTGCAGGATTTTTGGACTGAAAAGGACAGGCAACTTTATGAAGGTGAGTCGGGGGCCATACTCTGTTTTCTTGGTGAAAGAGTGCCCTCTTCTGTCGGTACAGTGAAGTGCAGTTTTAAAATGGTGTCTTACTGCTATGCTTGTTCATCTGAGTTTTGTGCAGAGAGATTTGAAAGTAGGTGTCCTCCATTATACTGAAGAATAGTTCCATCAGGGGAATAAATATTGGTAAAAAGAGGCCAAACCATTATGCAGAGGTTTTATGGTCATCTTTCTAGAAAATCTAAGCGAATAAGCTTATAATTTACCATAAAGAATGTTCTTCAAGATGGTTTGCTAGATATCCAAATTTTTTTTTCTTATACACCAGTAATAACTATTCACCAACACAACGCCTTATTCAATTCATAGCACTTAATTTTATTTGAGATTATCTTGTTTTTGTTTATTTATTGTTTGTATCACCCCCAAAGAATGTGAATTTAATGAGAGACTGGACCTTTTACATCTACATCTTATTCATTGCTTTACCTCAGTACCTAAAGCAATATCTGGCAAATAGTGGATGCTCAGGAAATACTTGTTGATTGACTGACTGAATGAATGAATGGAAAACCCAAAGACTGTATTCACAAGAATATCAAAATGATAAAATATCTATAAATAAATTGAACAAATTTATTTTTCTTGTGATGAATAACACAAATATGGAAACATTAAAATGTATACATATAGCTCAATAAATTATCACAAAGTGAGCAACCATGGAGCCACCACCCAGATTAAAAAAATAGAACATTACCATTGCTCTAAAATTCCCCCTACATCCCTTTTTAATTATTACTTTCTACCTCCTCTTCAATATGTAACAAATATGCTAACTTGCAGCACTATACAGTTGACCCTCAAGCAACACGGGTTTGAGCTGCATGGATCCGCTTGTACTCAGAGTTTTCTCAAAAAATATACTGGAAAATATTTTGGAGATTTGGGACAATTTGAAAAAACTTGCAGGTTTTTCAAATCACAGATTTTTCAAATTGCTGTACAGTCTAGAAATACCAAAAATATTAAGAAAAAGTTAGGTATGTAACGAAGGCATAAAGTATATGTAGGTACTAGCCTATTTTATCATTTACTCCCATAACATATGTACAAATCTATTATAAAAAATTAAAATGTATCAAAACTTGTGCACACGAACACTTACAGATAGTCATACTTGGTGCTACTTGCAGTTAAAAGAAACAAGAACAAAAGTAAAGATGCAATGTTAAGTCATAATTGCATAAATTAGCTGTAGTACATAGTGTATTACTGTAATAATTTCGTAGCCAACTCCTATTGCTATTACAGTGAGCTCAAGTGTTGCAAGTATCTGTTTGAAGCACAGTGTGAGGACAATGATCTCTGCCTGAGCAGCTCATCTGTCCAGTAAGTTGTGTATGACAATAAAAAGTGATCTCTCACAGTTCTTGTGTATTTTTCATCATGTTTAGTGCAATACCATACAGCTTGAATAACATCATGGGACCTGTATGAAGTGCCACCAGTGATGCTGAAAGTGTGCCCAAGAAACAGAGAAAAGCAATAACATTATAAGAAAAAGTTGAATTCCTTGATATCTACCATAGATTGAGGTCTGCAGTTGCATTTTCCCACCGTTTCAAGATAAATGAACCCAGTATCAGGACCATTGTAAAAAAAAGAAAAGGAAATGCGTAAAGCTGTCTTTGCAGCTACACCAGCAGATATGAAAACTTTACACTTTTTGAGAAACACGTTTTCATTTTATATTGAAAATGCAGCTTTTATATGGGGGCAGAATTACTATAAGAAAGGCACACCTATAGACTCTAATATGATTAGAGAAAAACCGAAGTCATTGTATGACAACTTAAAGCAAGAGGAAGGTGCAGGATCTAAAGCTGGATAATTTAATGTCAGTAAAGGATGATTTGATTATTTCAGAAAAAGATTTGGCTTAAAAATATCAAGATAACATTTTTTATGACCAACAGGCAGCAAATTCCCAGTTGCCATAAGAAAATAATTGAGGAGAAAGGATATCTACTTGACCATGTTTTTGAAGCATATCTAAGTGCCCTATTCTGGAAAAAAAGGCCGTAAATGACATGTATTAGTAAGAAAGAGAAGCAGGCATCAGTGCTTAAGGCAGGAAGGGATAAGCTAATGCTACTGTTTTGTACAAATACAGTTGGGTTTATAAGATAGCACTAACCCCCAACACTTGAAGGGAAAAGACAAATACCAGCTGCCAGTCTTTCGGTTGTACAAAAAGAAGGCCTGGAATATGAGAATTCTTTTTCTGGATTGATTCATCAGTGCTTTGTCCCTGAAATCAGGAAGTGCTTTGCCAGAAAGGGACTGACTTTTAAAATTCTTTTGCTATTGAACAATGCCCCTGGTCACCTAGAACCCCATTAGTTTAACATCGAAGACGTCGAAGTTGTCCCCTTGCCATGAAACACAGTATCTCTAATTCAGCCTCTAAATGATTACACACAGTACTCCATGGAAAGTATTGCCAACGCTGTAGAAGAGAACCCCAGTAGAAAGAACACTCTGGAAATGTGGAAGGATTATACCACTGAAGATGCCATCATTGTTATAGAAAAAGCCATGACAGCTGTCAAGCCTGAAACAATAAATTCCTGCTAGAGAAAACTGCATCCAGATGTTGTGCATGGGCCGGGAGCAGTGGCTCACGCCTGTAATCCCAGCTCTCAGGGAGGCAAGAGGCAGGAGGATAGCTTGAGCCCAGGAGTTCGAGACCTGCCTGGGCAATATAGCGAGACCCCGTTCTCCATAAAAAGGAAGAAACAAACAAGCAAACGAACAAACAAACAAACAAAAAACAAAAGACAGATGTTGTGCATGACTTCAAGGGATTTACGACAGAACCAATCAAGGAAACGACGAAAAAGATTGTGGATACGGCACACACACACACAAAAGGTAGGGGATGAAGGATTTCAAGATATGGATCTTGGGGAAATTCAAGAGTAAATAGATTCCACACTACAGGAATTAACAGAAGACAATTTTATGGTGATGAGTGCTTCTGAACCAGCTCCAGATGGTGAGAAAGAAGACATAAAAGAAGCAGTGCCAGAAAACAAATTGACATTAGACAATCTGGCAGAAAGTTTGTGAGTACTCAAGGTTGCTTTTAAATTCTTTTTTGACATGGACCCTTTGACAACACAGGCACTGAAGCTAAAGCAAATTATGGAAGCAGGATTTGTACCACGTGGAAACATCTTTAGAGAAATGAAAAAGAAAAAAAAAGTCAGAAATGATGATGTATTTCTATAAAGTTGCACCAAGTCTATGCATCTGCTGCCTCCCATTCTGCCTTCTCCACCTCTTCTGCCTCTGCCACTCTTGAAACAGCCAGGCCAACCGCTCCTCTTTCTCCTCCGCCTCAGCTACTCAATGTGAAGATGACGGGAATGGACTTTATTGATGATCCACTTCCACTTAATGAATAGTAAATATATTTTCTCTTTTTTTATTTTCTTAATAACATTACCTTTTCTCTAGCTTACTTTATTGTAAGAATATGGTATGTAATACATAGAACACACAAAATATGATTTAATAGACTATGCTATTGGTAAGTTTTCTGTTCAACAGTAGGCTATCGGTAGTTAAGTTTTTGTGGAGTGAAAAATTATACGTTGGTAATCTTTGTCTTTGATTGTAAACCAGGGGTGATTTTTTTGCCCTCTTCATGCTTCCTTTGTTTTCTACAAGTTTTATATATCATGAACATGTATTCTTGTAATCAAGGACAAATATTTAATAGCTGTGTTAAAATATTATTGTGAAGGGTAAATACACACACACACACACACACACACACACACACACACAAGCTGGGCACGGTGATGCATGCACGTAGTCCCAGCTATTCAGGAAGCTGAGATGGAAGGATTGCTGGAAGCCAGGTGCCCAAATCCAGAATCTAACCTGGACAACATAGTGAGACCCCATCTCTAAAAAGAAAATTATAAAAATAAAAAATTATACCTGGATTTTCAACTGTGAGGGGGGTTGGCATCGCTAACCCCGTGTTGTTTAGGGGTAAACTGAAGTTTAGTTTTGTCTGCTTTTGTACTTTGTATAAAAAGAATCATACAGTATGCGTTCTTTTACATTTGGCTTCTTTTGTTCAAAATATTGTTTGAGATATTTATCTTTTTTTTTTTTTTTTTTTTTTGCCTGTAGCTTTAGTTCATTCATTGTCATTGCTGTGTAGGATTTCACTGTGTGAACATACCATTATTTACGTGTTATGCTGTTAATGTACATTTGGGTTTCCAGTACTTGGCTATTATGAATGCTGCTATGGGCACATGTCTCTTGGTGCCCATGAGCACACATTTATATTGGGTAAATATCTGGGGTGAAATTATTAGGTCATGGGGTGTATCTATATATATCCAACTTTGGATATATATGTATCTCCAACTTTGATAGTGTTTTTTGATTAATAAAAGCTTTTAAATTTTGTGTTGTCCAGTTTGTTAATTTTTACTCTTACTGTAAATGCTTTTTTGTGTTTCAATTAGCTCTGTGATCCATTTAGAATGGAAATCTGTATATGGTGTGACGTAGTAGTTAAGATTCCTTTCTCCCCCATGTAATTATCCAATGAACTGAACATAATTTATTGAAGAGACCATTCTTTCTCCACTGCTCTGCAACAAGCTTGAACAAAATCAAGGTGCACACGAGCATCAGTATTTTTCTGGGCTTCTGTTCTGATCTATCCTTTGCCAAAAACCATTCTGACAATTAATAATAAACCTTGCTATCTGACAGAGCAGGTATTATCTCTTCCTCCTTCTCTTTCAACAGTGTCATGGCTGTTGTTAGCCCTTGGCTATTTCATATAAATTTGGAATCAGCTGGCCAATTTTTTGAAAAAATGAGCTTCCTGAGATTTTGATTGAGATTGCAGTGATTAATTTTGAGAAAATTGACATCCTTACAATATTGAGTCTTTTAAATCACAAATAAAATATACCCCTCTATTTACTCAGTCTTCTTAATT
This sequence comes from Homo sapiens, assembly GCF_000001405.40. Lineage (NCBI taxonomy): Eukaryota > Metazoa > Chordata > Mammalia > Primates > Hominidae > Homo > Homo sapiens. The sequence goes on from NC_000018.10 coordinate 63,583,564, forward strand.
TCTCTAAATTATGTTTAATCTTTTTCTATATGGAGTCTTAAACATCTTTCATATTTACTAGTTACGTGATGCTTTTTTCATTATCTTAAAACAATTGACATAAAATTATATGTATTTATCACATACAAGGTGTTTTGAAGTATAGAACATTGCATAATGACCAAATCTAGCTAATTAACATAGTATTACCTCACATACCTTATTATTATTATTATTTTTGAGATGGAGTCTGGCTCTGTCGCCCTGGCTGGAGTGCAGTGGTGCTATCTCGGCTCACTGCAACCTCCACTTCTTTGGTTCATGCAATTCTCCTGCCTCAGCCTCCCGAGTAGCTGGGATTACAGGTGCATGCCATCACGTCCAGCTAATTTTTGTATTTTCAGTAGAGACGGGGTTTTGCTATGTTGGCCAGACTGGTCTCTAACTCCTGAACCCAGCTGATCTGCCAGCCTCGGCCTCCCAAAGTGCTGGATTACAGGTATGAGCCACCATGCCCAGCCTCACATAGCTTTTTTATACTCTTTTAAATAATATATTAAAAATGTTTCTAACTGTGTGTTGCTAGTATATTAAAAACACTTGAGTTTTTATATTGACCTTGTAGTCAGCAATCTTGCTAAACTCACTTTTTAATTCTCATAACATTTACCTCAATTCCTCTGTGAATGATTCTATTTTTCTTTTTAAATTATCTTACCTTTTAAATAATTATCTAATTCATCAGTTAATTAATTGCTTTATTGCACTTGTCAGGGTCTCTGGTTCAATTTTGAGTGGAAGCAGCGGCGGTGAACATGCTTGTTTTGTTTTTCATCACAAAGAGAAAACTGGTTCTCTCTCTCCTTTGTCTCTCTCCCCGTGATTTCTTTCTATTAACTATTGAAGGACATGTAAGATGATCATACCGCTTGCTCATTATGTAAAGATGAAAAATTTTCCCATTTAACATATTAATTCTAAAGAGTCCCGATCTAAACCCCAAAAGTGTTTTTCATAGGTCTTGATAAACTAATTAAAAATTTTATCTAAAGAGAATATATGCAAGGTTGCAAATAAATTTTTGGAAAGCAAAAATAATGAGGGCTTGGGCTAGATATCACAACACTTTTGTCATAGGTGAGGCACCCTAGAAGCAGAGCTAAAGACAGGGATTTTTCAGGTAATTTTTGGGAAAAGCGTGATGGGGAGCATGCTTGTTTGAAAGAAGCAGAACAAGGCAAGGGGAAATGTTAATCATGTGGTTTCTGCTAAAGACTGGCTTCAGTCTAATCTTGTGGGGGAGGTCTGGAGGAGAAGTGGCACTATAAAGTTAGTCTTACTCAGGCAGCTGTCTTTTTTTTTCTTTTTCTTTTTTTTTTTTTTTTGAGGTGGAGTTTCGCTCTTGCTGCCCAGGCTGGAGTGCAATGGCGTGATCTCAGCTCACTCCAAACCCCACCTCCTGGGTTCCAGCGATTCTCTTGCCCCACCCTCCTGAGTAACTGGGATTACAGACATGTGCCACCACGCCCGGCTAATTTTTGTATTTTCAGTAGAGACAGGGTTTCACCATGTTGGTCAGGCTGGTCTTGAACTCTTGACCTTAGGTGATCCACCCGCCTTGCCTCCTTAAGTGCTGGGATTACAAACGTGAGCCACCGCGCCCAGCCAGGGGCTGTCTTTTTATGCCCTTATGCCAGTGAGTCATGCCTGAGGTGTGCCCTGGCACGGGGGATGGAGTGGTACCTGGCTTCCCCCGTAGGCAGCTCTCTTTTAGCCGAGAAAAGGGCATCTGTGAATTATAAGGGAAAACAACAACTGGGTAACAGGCATGCTGGTAGGTTAAGGAAATCTGGTGGGAACATCGGCAGCATCCACTACGAGATTACATGCTTGGAGAAGAAAAATATTACAAGTCAGTATCAGTAACAGACACACAGAAGTTGGAACAAAACTATGAGCTATGGAACAGGGTTGGGAACCTATCAATACTCTGCTTCAGGGGATAACTTTCTTCTCCTCACTTGTTAGCATAGAAATCATTTTTTAAATGGTTCTTAATCATCAACATATATTCCACCTCTGGGGCAGTTTTGATCCTAGAAAGAAGAGATGGATAAAACAGAACAGGGAGGAGTCCTGTGATAAGAGGTTGGGAAGGCGTTGAAAATTAGGTTTAGAGAGAATAAGGATGAGAATCTGTCACCAGATGGAGGTGCTTGAGTGTTAAACAAGAGCAGTTCCTGGTGTGAGTGGGCCACTATAAAAGAGGGAAGGTGAAGGTCCGAGAAGTGAGAGGCGCTGGCAACAGGAATGGTGAAGTGGTACAGGGTGGCGGTAGCAGCTGGGGTGGACAGGAAGACCATATGCAGAGTCACGGAGGGACCTGTGGTTGGGGACAGAGCAGCACAGCGTGATGGTCTAAGTTTCCAAAGGGGAGCATTGAAGGTGACTGAAGGAAGAAAGACTTGGAAGAAGAGGGAGTGCGAGGGAGAATAGGAATGGTGACTTTGCTTTCCCAAGATATGAGTGGCCGTTCCCAGAAAAGACTATGGGATGTAGTAGTCCTCAGGACATGCCAGGTTTCCCGGTGAAAGCAGGTGGTAGAGCAAAAGCTTTAGCAAAAAGCAGAAGGCCTGTGGAAATGGCTGGGCAATAGAACAGGAAGTCTAGGGGCCACAGAGAAAGAAATAAGAAGATATAAATGGATAGGGATATTAAAACATAAAGCATTATGGCCGACTCAGAGATTTTATGCCATTTTAAAAAACTAACATTTCCATTTCACTGGCATCCAGGGTTCACTAAGTGTTAATTCTTTCTAAACCTTACTCAATTTGCAAGATTCTCAGTGCCTATTAAAAAGCAAATCAACTAAATGTGGCTTTGAGTTTGCTTAAAGAGCAGCAATCAAAATATTTTGAAAAAAGTAAATTGTGAGTATGGAGATTGGAACACACATGACCCATATGCCCTTCGAGCCTGCGTATCTAGGGAGGTGTTCCTCTAGGCAGAAGGAAGAGCTAAGACACCCTTCTAGGAGCTGCTGCCCAGCAACGATGGCAAATCTCCACGCCCTTTACTGAAGATTAAAGCTAAGACTAATCCAAGCACAGTTTCTTTTAATGAACTGGTAGGGCCAGTAGAAATGCTCCAGGGTTGGCAGGAAAAACTGGAATCTGGGGGTGTAATTTCCTATTGAGTTTTTTTGGTAGTGTTGTTTTCCTGAAATCAGTGAGGATATTGAGTGCTTATGAATTATTGGCATTAGACACAGTACCTGGTACATAATAGACTTGATAAATGTTTATTGAATGAATTAAAATGAGATATTTTACAATTAATGGATGGAATACTTGAGAATAATAGGTGTGTGTGTGTATGTGTGTGTGCGTGTGTGTGTGTGCGCATGCTCGCTTGTGTGTGGCTGCCTACCCAAACTTTTCTTGTTCTTTTTTCTTGTTCCTTTGTAGCAAGATAGTTTTCTTTCATTTTCTTCCTGGCATTTGGCACTCCTAAATAATGCAAATGCAAAAATAACTCTGTTACAGAGAATGACTTGTCAGGACACAGCTCTGTCCATCTGTGGTAAGTAAAGTATGCATTTAATGTATGTGTTCATCAGGCTATACACCTTTGGTTCCCAGCGTTGGCTGTACATTGTAATCACCTGCGGTGATAAAAATTCTGATGCCTGGTTTCCACTCGAGAGATGCTGACTCAGTTGGTCTGGGGTGGGGCTTGGGCATAGATTTTTTTTAAAGTTCCAAGGAGATTTTAAGGTGCACGCAAGGTGGAAAACCACTGCTGAAGCAGATGTGGAGAACTATAAATTAAGGATCCCAGCTACTTAATTGACTTATGCTTCCTAGTTCGTTGCCCAGCCACCACCGTCTCTCCAAAAACCCGAGGTAAGTTCTTATTTTGGCTCCAATTTAAGACCTCTGTATTTTGAGAACAATGATGTTTGTTGTTTGAAAGAATTACTTTTATTTTGCATAGACTTTCTGGAGGTAGTTTTATTTAATTCAGTTCCAACATGGCCATGACAATGTATCTTCTTTGACAGTAAATTAATCCATTTTATTTCTGAGTTAACCTGTAAAGGATCTCTGCAAGGAAACCTGAGGTTGAAATGAAAGCTTTGATATCAGATGTGGGATGCCTTAGCGGGGATGAGCCCTTGAGGGCAAAAGGCCCCAAAGTATGTGGGCTTTAAAAAACTTTATTTTTCATTAATCTTATTCTTGTTTTAGGATTCCTCCTAAAGCCTTTACTTACTAGTTTTAAAGTAGTTGGTAATGAAGCAAACATAAAAACAGTTCTACCTATTTATTTTTGGCAAATATTAATTGCTCTTTAAAAACTATTTTTGTGAAATGACAAAAGTAATGCAAGCTCATGTACAAGCCTAAAACAATACAGAAAAGTATAAAAAAGAAAACCCTTTCATCTCCACCTAATAATTCATGACCAGAGATATGTGGTTTCTGCTTCAGAAAAATTCAGCCCAGAGTCAAGTTTGTATGCAGTTAGGGAAAGGGGTTTAAGAGATTTAATCAATCCTGTCACTCTCTGGGCTGAATTTTGAATCAATTGAGAAATAGTATCAGATAAGGATTCAAGTCTCGGCTTAATTATTGCTAAGGTTGGATCTGAGAGCACTGTTTGAACTTGAGGCCCGTGGAGATTCTTGTGCCTACCCCCCTGCCTTATCATGGGCCCCACATCTGGACAAACTGGTGTCGCCTGGACAAGGGCTGGGTCTACCTGGGGAAGCTTCCATGAAGAGGAGGCTGTGGAGAGGCAGAGACAGGCAGGGTCAGACAGAGAGCAAGAGAATAAAGCCATTAAAACATTAACCCTGCTCCGCGGGGAAATAAGAACTGAGCACCACCGGATGACGGAAGACTCCAGTAGATTGATGGATGTCTCCCAGCAAGAGAAGGCCAAGAGAGGACGTGAGAAGCAGGCAGCAGCGACCTTTCACCAAAAGGGTGGAAATCCCTGTATTCCGGATCGATGCAAGAAGAGGAATAGAAGCAGAAAGGATTCCCCTGACACAGAGTAATTCAAATGTTCAGTTTTGATTGTTGTTCTTGCTATTCTAGGTCTCGCTAAAATCATCATGGATTCACTTGGCGCCGTCAGCACTCGACTTGGGTTTGATCTTTTCAAAGAGCTGAAGAAAACAAATGATGGCAACATCTTCTTTTCCCCTGTGGGCATCTTGACTGCAATTGGCATGGTCCTCCTGGGGACCCGAGGAGCCACCGCTTCCCAGTTGGAGGAGGTTGGGCGCAGTCAGGGGGCTTCCTTGTTTCCTATGCACAAATTCATTTGGCGGGGGGGTTGTCAGCCCTCTTGCATTATCTTAAAAATACGCTCTTCTTGACCTGTGGACCAGGAAACAGAGACTTTCAAGACAAGGAGCAATTTCAGGTCTATCAGGAAAGCCCTCTTCCTTTTCCAAATACCATCTCGCCACCTGCTCCCAGATGCTTGAAATTTTTTTGAGTAGAGACTGGTTGCGTAACCTTGTCCAAGTACTTATGGAAAAAGTGACATAATCCCCACAAGGGTAAAAATGACACATCCAAGATGAACACAGGAACACATAAGCCAATACGAGTTCCTTAGAAAAAAATTAGAGGTATTTTTAGTAAAGAAGGGGATTCACCATGTTGGCCAGGCTAGTCTTGAACTCCTGACCTCAGGTGATCCACACGCCTTGGCCTCCCAAAGTGCTGGGATTACAGGCATGAGCTTAGCTGGGTGTGGTGGCAGGTGCTTATAATCCCAGCTACTCGGAAGGCTGAGGCAGAAGAATCGCTTGAATCCAGGAACAGAGGTTTCAGTGAGCCAAGATCATGCCACTTCACTCCAACCTGGCCAAAAGAGCAAAACTCCATCACACACACACACACACACACACACACACACACACACACGAAAAATCAGAGGTAAACGCAGACCTTTTTCTGATTTTGCAAGGAGATAATGTCACCTCATATACCACCGAGGTTTCTTTCAGAAGCGTCCACTCTCCCCTGACTGATTCTGTGTGAGGTTTTCTCTTCTCTGAGCACCACAGTAATATTTTCTATCTCTTCCAGGTGTTTCACTCTGAAAAAGAGACGAAGAGCTCAAGAATAAAGGCTGAAGAAAAAGAGGTGGTAAGAATAAAGGCTGAAGGAAAAGAGGTGGGGAGATGTGTTTTACAAACTTCAGTAGAGTTGCATTTTAGGTGTGGGGTCTCTGGGGAAAAGGACTGAGAAAGGCATGAAAGCAATATTGTTGCTTTACTATTAAGCAATAATAATCACCATAGACAAATATTGTTGTAAGGATTATACAATAATAATAACCCCTTAATATTGAGAAGAGACCTTAGGTGTAATGGACAATACCGCTATGATAGAACTGGTAAAGGCTAATAGACAGAAAAGTTCCCATAGCAGAGTGGATGGGTTTTGGAGTTAAACAGACTTAGGTCCAAGTCCTGGCTCAGTCACTTAAGAGCGATGCTACTTTGGGCAAGTTATTTATCTTCTTTCAGCCTCTGTAAAGTCCGCAGTAGGGGCATCTGGCAACTGAGCCAGTGGTGGTGGTGGTAGTAGCAGTAGGTGATATTATTGCTAAACTCCACTCATATTTTTAACCCCGTGCTGATGTTGTATTTAAAAAATTATTACAGGCCCAATGACTTCCTGAGGTCTTTTCCAGCTCCAGTGTTCCTGTATTCGCCATCCAAAGGAGAGTCTACTCAAATATGGGAAAGGAATAAGCCCATTAGGTCGGGGCTAGGATCAGACGTTAGCACTCTCAGGAAGGGCACAGCTGCTCTGACAGTAGTCATAGTGCAATTCCAGACCCTCATAAAACCATGGCTCAGATCACCCAGCAATAGGAGCTGCTCATTTCACAACCCCAAAAGGCTAGGTCGTGTGGGTGGCTCAGTTGCTCCTGTGGAGGGTCAGGCTTCCTTTCAGGGTTTGCGCAACCAAGTTGGGTCATATGGCCACTGCAATGTTCCCTCAACTGAGAAGTGCAGTTGTCTTCAGAGCACATTCTTTCTCAGCCATGATAGCCCATGTAGAACCTTTGTGCAAATTAGAAAACAGCTCATTCTTTTGGATAGCTGCCCTACTCCTATGTGAAGGGCTAGATGACTGGGGTGGAAACTGAATTTCAGCTTTGTGTAAGGCAAAGCTTACACATACATGCTGTCTAGCAGTTTTGCCCATTCCCCAGAATTTTCCTGGGAGCCACAGGGGTATGAAGAGAATAGAATTACTGACTGAAAGGATATTAGCACTGGAATACATCTTAGAGGTCATCTACTCCAATCTCCTCATTTAATAGTTTGCCCAGAGACTGGCTTGGCATGTACCCGTTTGATTATTATGTAAATTCAGAGTATTTTGAATCTTGCTTTTAAAAAATGCTGATAAAATCTCAAGACATATGTACAAAAGGTATAAGGAAAAATGCAATAAACACACTTTAACCCCTCCTTTAAGTGTACAAAATAAACTATTACCAAATCAGCTGATGCCCCTTAGGCTGATGTATAACACCTTCCTTGAGCACGCCCCCATCCTCTCCTCAGAGAGGAAGTCCCACTATTGTGGATTAGGTGTTCATTATTCCCACGTATTTATTATTTCATTACATGCCATATATTTTTGTCATTCTTCTTTGGAACTTGATTATTTTTGGCTTAGCATCATGTTTATAAGATTCATCTATTTTAAGGGGATACTTATAGCTCTATTTGATTCATTTTTATAGCTATTTCCTCATTTATTTTGTTGATGGGGCCGGCCTTCCTTCCTTCCTTCCTTCCCTCCTTCCTTCCTTTTTTCTTTCCTTCCTTCCTTCCTTCCTTCCCTCCTTCCTTCCTTTTTTCTTTCCTTCCTTCCTTCCTTCTACAAACAATGCAAAAATGGCCTTTTTAATGCCAGCCTCCTAATTTGCCTGGGTGAGAGTTTATCCAGTCCCAAGCTATCCAGTATAGTAGCTACTCAAGTGGCTATTGAACACTTGCAATACATCTAGTTTGAATCCAGATGTGCTATAGGTATAAAATGCATATTATATTTTAAGAACTTAGTATGAGAAAGGAATACAAAATATTAATTTTCATGTATTATTTTTGCTGAAATATGTATCTTATATATTAATATGTAATTAATATTTATTGTATTTATATGTTGAAATAATGACATTCTAGATATGTCGTTAAGGTAACATAGAATATGAAAACTTCAATCAGAAAACTGATGGGTCCTACATAAAATATTCAGAAAATTTTTTTTTTCCCCTGGAGACAAGGATAAATCTCACTTCAGCCCAATGTGTAGTGACTCATACCATTAGGAGTCACTCTTCTTATTCACTATCTGGAAAAATTTCCAAACTTCAATAGATAAGAATCGTCCGGAGAAATCACTTACTTTCCTTAGATGCTTAGAATCTTGTGGGGAGCTAAAAACAAGCTTATTGAACATTTAGTGAGCACTTTTATTTGAGACCAAAAAAGCCCACAACTTGAGTTATAAATGCAAGATCTGTGGTGTTGGGCTGGCAGAGAAGGCTTCTCTCTGGAGCTGAGATTGGTCATAACTGACATTATCATATGACTTGGGTAAAGGCTACCTGATATCCAGGGGCCACATCAAACACAGGGATCACCCTTGAGGCTGACAAACGGAGGGAGAGACCCAGCAGCCGCATCCTCTTAGGGGAGAATCTGGGCTTGCTTTTGCCAAGATAACCTGTTGAGATTTTGTTTTAATTTTCAAGATTGAGAACACAGAAGCAGTACATCAACAATTCCAAAAGTTTTTGACTGAAATAAGCAAACTCACTAATGATTATGAACTGAACATAACCAACAGGCTGTTTGGAGAAAAAACATACCTCTTCCTTCAAGTAAGTTTGCCATGCCTACCATATCTGTGAGTGGTATTCTGGAATGGCCAAATGGCCCTGGTAGGACTATGGGTCCTGAAGTCGTGCTGCCTGGCTCTGGCCACATCCCTGTGGTGCTTTTCCATCCTGATCTACAGATATTCAGAACTGCAGGGAGTTCCTTTTTAGTCCTGGCAATCTGAACCTGATTTTTGCCTCATCCCCAGAATAGCTGCATAAAAATGTGCAGCAGGAACTCAATGTGAGATGCCCAGGGCCTTAAAATTTCTCTTACTGTATTAGTCATCCTAATGTATACATAAATTTATTTAGAGATGTTGGCAATTGATAAATTGAGTTTTTAACCTCTTTTTATTCCTTCCTTGTTTCTCCTAAAGAAATACTTAGATTATGTTGAAAAATATTATCATGCATCTCTGGAACCTGTTGATTTTGTAAATGCAGCCGATGAAAGTCGAAAGAAGATTAATTCCTGGGTTGAAAGCAAAACAAATGGTAGAGTATGGGTGGGTCATTCATTGCAAAAAAACAAAAACAAAGAAACAAACAAACAAAAAACACTTCTTGACAACCTGCTGTGAATGAAGCCCTGGACTTGTCACTGCGTGGGGTGCCATGCAGTGCACAAGCTTTGGGAAGGGACTTGAGATAGGTTTTGCAGGGTTGGAAGGGCAAGCCCAGGCCTAGGAGGTAGGGAAGGCACTGCAGATGGTGGAGCAATTTCAGCAAATGTGGAGCGGCCAAGGGGAGCCAGTGAGGGGACTGCATGAAGCCAAATGCACGGAAACGCTTGCTGGAGAACTGTTTACACATAGCCATGGATCACAATATCTTGGGGGTCCTGAAAATAGGATGATGCCTGTCTTGGGTTTACATTCTTTCCTTTATATCAGAGCCTTTCTTCCTGAGTTTTTCTCTGTCTGTGTTAAATGAGAAACACGCAGCTCTCCCATCAAGACTTGTCGTTCCCATCCACAGCTGGGGCCACCTAGTCTTCATCTTCACTTAAGCATAGTGCAGGGGTAACGACAACCTACAGCTCTCCCCACAGCAGAGGATTTGACAAGTTTCTTATCCCATTATTCCTTTCTCATCCCCTGGTATGGGAAATCCACAGAGAAATGTTAATGTGGAAATTCACCTTGGGGAGCAATAGCTGATACTTTAGTGTTAGAGTTTCAGATTCCATTTTTATACCAATTATCAGAGAGAACTTTGTTATTCAGAATGTGTTTTTTTTTTCCCCTCATGCTTGGTCTGAAGAAAGGAAATAAAAGAAACAGAAAAAATAGGATCTTTCAAAAAGTTGAACAGTATTTTTTAGAATTTATTGTGGGATGGGGTGAACTCAGAGACAAAAATATCAACTCCTTCTCCAATATAATAAGTAATCCCTTAATCTCAGGTGGTAACTATATTGAATGGTAAGCATAATAGCTAACACAGAGTGCTTATTATGTGTGAGATGGTATTCTAATAGCTTTACATGTGTTAAATCATTTGTTCCTTTCAACAACCCTATGAGGCAGATTTTATTCCTATTTTACAGATGTGGAAACTGAGGCACAGAGAGTTTAAATAACTTGCCCAAGATTCCTCAGCTGATAAGAGGCAAACTGGATGCTAACAGAGGCATCTGACCCCAGAGTCTGGACTCTTAACCATGAACCTTAATTTATCCACTGGGATAAATAGGCGATGGGCAAAATGAGAACCTCCCCGTCGATTCTGCCAGCAAACCCTTTGTCAGCAAGGCCCTCAGGTGCTGACCTGGCTGGGTTTTTAATGATCAGTCAAGTCCATCTGCATCATATTTGTCATACATATTATTTGTCATTTGGAAGATGGGTCAACCTTTTTCTGTTTCTTCATTTGCAGAAAAAATCAAGGACTTGTTCCCAGATGGCTCTATTAGTAGCTCTACCAAGCTGGTGCTGGTGAACATGGTTTATTTTAAAGGGCAATGGGACAGGGAGTTTAAGAAAGAAAATACTAAGGAAGAGAAATTTTGGATGAATAAGGTATGGCCCTTAGTTTATTTTCGTGATGTGCTTACACATGGAATGTAAAGTCTAAAGTCATGGCTGGGCGTGGTGGCTGACACCTGTAATCCCAGCACTTTGGGAGGCCAAGGTGGGTGGATCATGAGATCAAGGGATCGAGACTATCCTTGCCAACATGGTGAAACCCCGTATCTACTAAAAACATAAAAATTAGCTGGGTGTGGTGGTGCACGCCGGTAGTCCCAGCTACTTGGGAGGCTGAGGCAGGACAATTGCTTGAACCCGGGAGGCAGAGGTTGCAGTGAGCCAAGATCATGCCACTGCACTCCAGCCTGGTGACAGAGTGAGACTCCATCCCCCACCCCCCCAAAAAAATCTAAAGTCATATTTGAGCAAATGCATACTGGTAGATAGTGGATGCTCATTCTGAGACTCTGATATTGGGTTTTATTTTAGATTGAGCTAATTATTTTGATGAACTAACTTGGTTGCCTTAATGCCTTTGGTCTTATGTCCTTTGATATTGTGTGCTCTGTTAATTTGTTGCAGAGCACAAGTAAATCTGTACAGATGATGACACAGAGCCATTCCTTTAGCTTCACTTTCCTGGAGGACTTGCAGGCCAAAATTCTAGGGATTCCATATAAAAACAACGACCTAAGCATGTTTGTGCTTCTGCCCAACGACATCGATGGCCTGGAGAAGGTAAACGCTTACACCTCCTTATTCTTTCTTTCATTTCCTAAGGCTTTTTGTCTCAGGGCTTCTGAGTAGGAGCTGGTGGCCAGCAGTGTCAAATAGAAAGTGTTTCTCACTCTCCAGCAGCTACAGATGGATGTCTACTGGGGAGCATTAAATAGTATGGGTCAGGTTTATTGAGAACAACTAATCCTAGAATGTTTGGGATGAACTAAAATGAACATTTAAGATTATATGGGAGTCCTAACGATCACCCACCATTCTGAGAAATGGTTGGTATCTATGGACCCCTTTCCTGGAAAAAAGAAATCACATATGCATATATACAACCAGTTCTGCACACTGTTCAATAGGCTTTTGGAGCTTTTGAATTTCTTTCTTACACTCTTACACCATTGATTTAGTCTCATCCATTCTGTGGTTAAAAAAATTATGTGAAGGCCGGGCGTGGTGGCTCACGCCTGTAATCCCAGCACTTTAGGAGGCTGAGGCGGGCGGATCACGAGGTCAGGAGATCGAGACCATCCTGGCTAACACGGTGAAACCCCGTCTCTACTAAAAATACAAAAAATTAGCCTGGCGTGGTTGTGGGCGCCTGTAGTCCCAGCTACTCGGGAGGCTGAGACAGGAGAATGGCGTGAACCTGGGAGGTGGAGCTTGCAGTGAGCCGAGATAGCGCCACTGCACTCCGCCTGGGTGACAGAACGAGACTCTGTCTCAAAATTAAATAAATAAATAAATAAATAAATAAATAAATAAATAAATAAATAAATTGTGGCTAGTGTCCTGTATTTTGAAAATGAGGAGAGTTTTGTTTCAAATCCCTGTTCCTCTAGTGGCTTTCTGACCCTTGAAGCTTCTTAACTTCCTTGAACTTCAATACTTTCCCATCTCTGAAGAGGGCTCCATGGTGGTTAACGTGCAGCAGTGTTGGAATGATTAGAGAAACGTAGCCTAGAAGGGGTCTAGGACATAGAAAGCACTCAAATGATAACTGCTATCGTCTTATACTACCAGATGCTGTGCTACTTCTGTGAAATATTGCTAGTAGCATTTTAAGTTGGAAAATATTTTGAGACAGCAAAATAGCAATATGTCTGAGAGCTTTAAGAGTATTTCTGATTCAAAAACCCCAGTTGTGGGAATTACTCTAAAGAAATAATGCAGAAGAAAAAAGTTGCCTTTCTGAGTAAAATCAGTTATTTCGGTATTAAATACACTGGAATGCCCAGTTTGAAATTCATCGTAATTATTATTTTGTATCCTTAGTAACTATCAAATCTATCACAATGCCTGATAAAGACTAAATGTTTGTAAAGTGAATGAATAGCTAAATATTGGGAAAAATTTATCAACTTCATAAGAATATTATCTAGCTGTTTGAAGATAGGAGAGATATGCAATATTGTGAAAAAGTTTACTTTTTATCAAATAAAATGGACATTCACTGTGATTGCAACTATGTAAATATATATGCATTCAAAGACTAGGAGAGATAGTTAAAATGAAATATATACTAGGTTGATAAAATAAGAAATGACTTATTTTTAATCTTTAAAAATGTATTCAATGCTATTGGATTTCCACATATACACAGATAATTTAAACAGAGAGATATAAGACAACCGCCTGCAGTATAAAGACAACAATCTAGTGAAATAAAATTTCTACTTTTAATATTACTAAAATTAATAACTTCTGACTGACACAAATCAGTGTTACACTGTTTTAGATTTTTATTGATAATCATGCCATTCTACTCTTCTTTTTTTGAAAATAGATAATAGATAAAATAAGTCCTGAGAAATTGGTAGAGTGGACTAGTCCAGGGCATATGGAAGAAAGAAAGGTGAATCTGCACTTGCCCCGGTTTGAGGTGGAGGACGGTTACGATCTAGAGGCGGTCCTGGCTGCCATGGGGATGGGCGATGCCTTCAGTGAGCACAAAGCCGACTACTCGGGAATGTCGTCAGGCTCCGGGTTGTACGCCCAGAAGTTCCTGCACAGTTCCTTTGTGGCAGTAACTGAGGAAGGCACCGAGGCTGCAGCTGCCACCGGCATAGGCTTTACTGTCACATCCGCCCCAGGTCATGAAAATGTTCACTGCAATCATCCCTTCCTGTTCTTCATCAGGCACAATGAATCCAACAGCATCCTCTTCTTCGGCAGATTTTCTTCTCCTTAAGATGATCGTTGCCATGGCATTGCTGCTTTTAGCAAAAAACAACTACCAGTGTTACTCATATGATTATGAAAATCGTCCATTCTTTTAAATGTTGTCTCACTTGCATTTCCAGTCTTGGCCATCAAATCAATGATTTAATGACTCCAATAATGTGTGTGTTTATAACCATCCTCGAAAGTGAAATGTCCTTTTCTTTGTGCCATGCGTAAGGTGAGTCAAACCAAACCTCATTGATAATCTCCCTTTGGTTTCCTTTGAAAGTAAATTGGTATCTTGTAGTTTTGTGCACACGAAAGGAGAGAAAGTCTCTCCAGTAAAGAGTACGAACTAGTAATTTTGGGGGGTCTCTCTAATTCTGGTATTTTGACATGTTATAATACGCAAGTAAAATAAAACAATAGTTTACTCAGCTCATGTTACTATTCCCCAACAGATATTGTGGCAAATCACACATAGGAAAGAGAATTTGGGAATACAGTAGCAAAACATAAATTAAAACTCAAATGCCAGGACAAAATAAAACAATATACCAGATGGAGAGGATGCCCGTATTTTCATCTTCCATTCTAACATTATCCATTGTTAGATGCATAAGCATTTTGATATTGTGTAATAAATGTGGTATTTGAGAAGATAAATGATGTAGTTGATCAGTATTCCTCCTCTATCACCTTTTTAGACTTTGTAAGGTAAATATTTGGACTAACTTTTAGAAAAGTTTCCCTTTTTTTCTCCATTTACATTTTTCTGGTTTTTTTTTTTTTTTGAGTGAGGTACGAGTATTACCAAATGATATTTTCTGAAGATGCTTTTTGGAAAGCTCTGAATCTATACCTAATGCTCTTAATTATTGGCTTGTTTCATTTTTTTCCTCCAGTTTTTAACAAGATCACATAACTGGCTTATTTTTAACAGCTTTGTCAAACTACAATTTACATGCCGTAAAATGTACACACTGTAATTTTATAATTCATTGACTTTTAGTAAATTTCTAGCGTTATGCATCGCCACAATCCAGTTTTAGAATATTTCCATGACCCTAAGAAGTTTCCTCATGTCTATTAATATTCCCAATCCTAGGCACCACTGAGTTGTTTTCTGTCTTTATAAGTTTTTCTTTCTACATCTTATATAAATGGAATCATAATACATGTAGTATTTTGTGTCTGGCGTCTTGCACTTAGCATGGTGTTCTTGAGGTTCATCTGTTGTAGTATGTATTGATACTTAATTTTTTTATTGCCGAATACTATTCCATTGCATGGAAAAGACCTATTTTATTTCTAGGTTCACCAGTTGAGGGACATTTGGATTGTTCCCACTTCTTGGCTGTTAGGAATAATGTTGCTCTGAACATGTAAATAAAGATCTTTGTGTTCACATATGTTTTCATTTCTGTTGGGGAGATTCCTAGGCTAGAAATTGCTGGGCCATATGAAAAATCAATAGTTAGCTTTGTAAGAAACAGTCAAACTGTTTTCCAACGTGACATTTTATATTCCCACCAGGAATGTTTAAAACTAGTGTCTTCAAATCCTCACCAACATCCAGGATTGTGTCTTTATGATTATAGCCATTTTTGTAGGTACAAAGTGGCATCTCATGGTGGTTTTAATTTGCATTTCCATAATATCTAATTAGGTTGAGCTTTTTTTATGTGCTTATTGGCCATTTGTTTGACTTTGTTTGGTGAAATGTATACAAATCATTTGCTCATTTTTAATTTGGGTTGTCTGTCTTGTCTTCTCATTTTATTGAGTTAAATGAGTTCTTAATAATCTCTGGCTTACAAGTCCTTAATTTATCAAATATATGATACGTGGACATTTCCTCATAGTCTGTGGTTTCTTTTAATTTTGTTATTAGTCTTTTTAGAACATATATAATAATTTTTAAAAGATATAATTTAATACCATAAAATCTGCATATTTAAAGTACAATTCATTGGTTTTAGTGTATTCACAGAGTTGTGTAGACACCTCCACTGTCTAATTTTAGAACATTTATAACACCCCAAAAGAAATTCTATACTCATTAACAATCACTCCCCATGCCTCTCTTCCCCAACTCATAGAAATAAATATTCTGTTGTCTGTCTCTGTGAACTTGCGCATTCTGGACATTTCATATAAATGGCATCATATAACATGTGGCCTTTTGAAACATGATTCTTTCACTTTGCCTAACAATTTTAAGTTACATTCAATTTGTAGCATGAATCAATACTTCATTCCATTTTTGGCTAAGTAACATTCCATTGTATGGGTACGTTAGACTTTGTTTATTCATTAATTAGTTAACAAACATTTGTATTTGACTTTTTGGCTCTTATGAATGTTACTATGAACATTTTGTGTGGAACAAGTTTTTGTGTGGATATATATCTTCATTTCTTTTGGGTATATACCTAGGAGTGGAATTGCTGGGTCATGTATTACTAGTACCTTTGTGTTTATCGTTTTGAGGAAATACTAAATTGTTTTCCAAATCAGCCGTACCATATTACAATACCACAGCAATGCATGAGGGTTCCAATTCTCTACATCGTAGCTATACTTATTCTAGTCTTTTTAGATTTTTGCTATCCTAGTGAATGTGAATTAGTATCTCAATAGTTTTGTGGGATCTTTCATAGGGTGATTGGAGTTCAGCTTATCATTAATATTTCTTTTTTTTTTTCTTTTTTTTTTTGTGATGAGTCAATCTCTGTTGCCAGGCTGGAGTACAGTGGCGCGACCTTGGCTCACTGTAACCTCTGAGTCCTTGGTTCAAGTGATTCTCCTGCCTCAGCCTCCTGAGTAGCTGGGATTACAGGCACGTGCCACCAAGCCCAGATAATTTTTGTATTTTTGTATTTTTTTTTTAGCATAGACGGGGTTTCACCATGTTGGCCAGGATGGTCTCGATCTCCTGACCTCATGATCCGCCCACCTCGGCCTCCCAAAGTGCTGGGATAGCAGGCTTGAGCCACTGCACCCAGCCCATTAATATCTTCTAAGGTTCAGGCTTTGGTATCAAATCTGAGCATATTTCCCTAATGATTAGTCATGTTGAGCATTTTTTACTATCTCTGTTGGCCATTTTGTATGTCTTCTTTTGAGAAATGTCTATACACGTTCCTTGCCCATTTTTAAAATTAGGTTTTTTGTTTTCTTGTTATTGTTTGTTATTTTTATATTTTGGATATTAACCTTTTTTTTTTCTTCAACTTTTATTTTAAGTTCAGGGATACATGTGCAGGATGTGCAGGTTTGTTACATAGGTAAAGCATGTGCCATGGTGGTTTACCGTACAGACCATTCTATAACCTAGACACTGAGCCCAGCATCCATTAGCTATTCTTTCTCCCTGTTAGAAGTGAGAACATGTGGTATTTGGTTTTCTGTTCCTGCATTAGTTTGCTGAGGATAACAGCTTCCAGATACATCCACATCCCTGCAAAGGACATGATCTTGTTCCTTTTAATGGCTGCATAGTATTCTATGGTGTATATGTACCACATTTTCTTTATCCAGTTTATCATTGATGGATATTTAGGTGGATTTCATGTCTTTGCTATTGTGAATAGTGCAGCAATGAACATACATGTTCATGTATCTTTATAATGGAATGATTTATATTCCTTTGGGTATATACCCAGTAACGGGATTGCTGCGTCAAATGGTATTTCTGTCTCTAGATCTTTGAGGAATCGCCACACTGTCTTCCACAATGGTTAAACTAATTTACACTCCCTCCAACAGTGTAAAAGTGTTCCTTTTTCTCCACAACTTTACCAGCATCTGTTGGTTTTTGACTTTTAAATAAGAGCCATTCTGACTGGCATGAGGTGGTATCTCATTGTGGTTTTGATTTGCGTTTCTCTAATGATCAGTGATGTTGAGCTTTCTTTCATGTTTGTTAGCCACCTGTATGTCTTCTTTTGAGAAGTGTCTGTTCATGTCCTTTGCCCACTTTTTAATGGTTTTTTTTTTTCTTGTAAAGTTGTTTAAGTTCCGTGTAGGCTGTGGATATTAGACCTTTGTCAGATCGATAGATTGCAAAAATTTTCTCCCATTCTGTAGGCTGTCTGTCTGTAGGCTCTGATGATAGTTTCTTCTAACCTTTAATCAGATATATGACTTGCAAATATTTTCTCCCAATCCAGAGGTGGTCTCTTCACACTCACAGGACCATTTCTCAAAAAGATGATTCTTTCTGCATTGCATTGTCTTTGTATCTTTATTAAAAATCAGTTGACAATAAATACAAGAATTTTTCTTATTAAGCTTATGCCTAGGTATTTTTTTTTTGCTATCATGAATTACATTTCATTTTCCAACTTTTTTGTTTGTATATATAAAGGTTATTAATTGTTGTAATTGTAGTTTTATAAGCTATTGTCTTATAAAATTATTTTATTGCTTGTGTAGTGTTTTCATCAATTATTTTGTGTTTTCCAGATATTTAATTATATCACACTATATCAAATAGAGCATACATAATTTTCAAATTGATTTTTACCTCTTCCTTTCTAATTCTAAGGCTCTATTTTCTTCCTCTTCTTTGAATGCATGGCTAATACCTCTAATAATATGGTAAATAGTAGTAAAGATAGTGGTCATTCTTGTCTATATTCTGAATTAATGGTACTGCCTCTCATATTTCCCCGTTAAATTAAAAAAGTGTGTTGGCTGTCAGGCTGAGTATATAAATGTTTTCTTAAGTTCTGGAAGTATCCATGAACTCATGATACATGTGTTTTTTAACATTAATGGGAATTGATTTTTTTAAAATGCCTATTGTGCATCTAAATAAATGATCATATATTCTGTTCTGCTCATTAATATGTATATTTGTTTGTTGAGCCCATTTAAAATTCTATTTAACTTCTGACAATTTTGAGTATTCAGTTTACATTGGCATTAATTTGGAAAATCATCTTCCAGATAATTTCATCTAAAATTTTACCTATATTTTGTAAACTTCCTATTTGTTGGTTTTTCCCCAGGCTTTTCTGACATTTTTTATTCTAAAGACTTATAATTAATATTATAGAACTTTCCAACAATGCACTGATTTTAAAGCAAAGATTGTATGCACACACTTGGCCATTGTTCATTTTTGTAATTTTTTTTTTGGTAATCAGTTTGTTTGATTTTTTTATATCTCCATCTCTTCTTTGAAAGGGTTTTTAAGATGGCAAAATTTTTAAATTTACCTTTTTTAAGAGAACATGTGAACATTATTTTCTAGTTTATATCATTCAATTTTTTATCCTAAAATGACTGTGAGTTATCACTCTTGATTTTCAGAAAATGAAATTCTTCAGTTTGTTTCCACTGAGGATAGTACAAATTCTAAGCTGTGGCTCTAAGAAAATCCCCAAGAAGTTCCCAAACTATTTTGAATAATAAAACTAACTTGAAGCCATCAGTTCTCGTTTTTCATGTTCCAACTGAGTACTCTTGTTAAAATCTCAGAGGGCAGTAGAGGGATACTGTAAGGTAGGAGGAGAGACTTTCTTTCTTTCTTTCTTTCTTTTTCTTTTCTTTTTCTTTCTTTTTTTTTTTTTTTTGAGACAGGGTCTTGTTCTGTTGCCCAGGCTGGAGTGCAGTGGCATGAACTTGGCTCACTGTGGCCTCAACCTCCCAGGCTTAAGTGATCCTCCTGCCTCAGCCTCTTAAGAAGCTGGGACTACAAGTGTGTGCCACCATGCCTGGCTAATTTTTGTACTTTTTGTAGAGATGAGGTCTCACTGTGTCACCCAGGCTGGTCTCAAACTTCTGGGCTCAAGTGATCTGCCCACCTCGGCCTTCCAAAGTGCTAGGATTACAGGCATGAGCCACTATGCCCAGCTATATTCTGTCTGTTTTCTTCCTGCTCCTAACTCTATCTCTAACCTCATTCCAGCAAGGGTTTTTCTCTCCTGGAAGTGTAGTTTTGGTTTTAGTCCTCCTAACCTCCTAACCTTATTATGACCTTTTAGATACATCAGCATTAACTATGTGATGCCCTTTCCTCCAAAATCTGAGTTCCAGATCTGAGTTCCAAAATAGAGATTCTCTACCAAATTTCTAGGCTCTGATATTCCCAACATTACAGTTTGTTCCCTCACTGTTGGAGTGGTCCTTCTTGTCTACAGTTACTTTGTTTTGTTGCTTCAGGGTTCCCTAACACCTGTTTATGAATTCCTCATGTTAAATTCATTCTGTTGCAATACCTGGTGTGAGTCCTTTTTTCCTGCCTCATCCCTAATTAATGCACATATGTTATTTTCAGTATTTTAGCATAATGAAAATTGCTGTTCTCAGTTCCTTTTGACATTTCACAACATCAGCTCCTCGAATATTATTTTTGGAATATTTTTATATGCTGTTTATTTAAAACATTTTCTTCTGCCTGGTAACAATTAAAAATTATTTTTAGCTATAAATATTCCAGGCAAACAGAAACAAATAGAAAACAATATGATCAGCAGATTCAACGGATAGTTACATTTTGCATATTTGTTTCAATTTCTGTTTTCAAAGACAGGAAATGTTACATATACAGCTAAACCCAATTCTGTACTTTTTCTATTCCTCAATATTGAAGGTTAATCACTGTTCTGAAGATGGTGTTTGTAACACCAGTTATGCTTCATACTTCTGAGGTAGGAGTCTGGACATGACTCAGCAGGCAAGACTCAACTCTGGCAGTGGGGTTCAGACATCAGACAAATTGAGGACTAGCTAAAACAGGGAAGAGTTGGAAGCACCTCTCCAGAAGACATGCCCACCAGTGTGCCATATCAGTTTACCCTTGCCATGGCTACACCCAGAAGTTATGGATGAAGCTGCTATGGATGAAGCTGGAGGACATTATGCTAAGTGAAAAGTAATACACAAAAAGAAAAGTACTGAATGATCTCACTTAAATGTGTAATATAAAAAAGTCAAATACATAGAGAAAGAGAATAAAATGGTAACTATCAGGGATTGGGGAGATGCAGGGAGAGGGAGAAAAAATAGAGAGATATAGGTCAAAGGATCCAAAGTTGAAGATATGTAGGATGAACGAGTCTAGAGCTCTAACGTACAAGACAAGGATGATGGTTAATAATAATGTATTATATATAAGATTTTTGTGAAAATAGTAGATTTAAGGTGCTCTTGCCACACATACAAAAAGGATAACTATGTGAGATGACGGATATATGTTAATTTACTTCACTAGAGCAACCATTTCACTGTGTACATGTATATCAAAACATCAGGTTGTATATAGAGATATAAAATAAAAAAGTAAAAAAAGATTGTGTGTTTAAAATGATATTCAAAAGAGGACATTTAAACAAAAAGGAGTTAAAATAATAAAATGCTTCAATACAAAATGTTTTAAGGGAATTTAAAAGGTGGGGAAGTATTAATTTTCATGGGCATTTTGTTGAATGACACCTCTGATGCTCAAGAACTGGAGAATGAGGCTCAAAGCTGGAACAAAGAGTCTTTAAGTGCCCTACATTCATAAAACCCCTGAGTATTGCAACAAGACACCTCGGGCTTAGGATGAAAAGGCCAAACCAGCTCTTCTGCTTCTGACCAGTTAGATGGCCACCCCCTTCTCAGTCTATTAAAAAGGGCAGGAATGAAGCAGTGGAGGTGATTCATCTGAGTTGTGAGTAATAAGCCTTTAGCAAGTGCAGTGAATGAAAATGCAGTAACGATGGGCCAACAGGTAAACAGATACAGCAGGAGTATTACTAACCACAGGTACAGTTCAGGGCCTTCATCAGTGCTTCCCCCACCAGCTACAGATATGAAGCCCCTTCATTCCACACTCCCTTGACCAAATATTCAAGGTCTCTTTCTTTGGGTTTACAAGTGTCCACAATGGAGCTGGGCATGTCCATAAGTGGTAAAAGGAGGATATCAGGAAACAGTCAGGTGATATAGTTGAGCAGTATCCTATCTGGCAAACAGCAGAGGAACAGCTGTTTAAACCCTCTCTTGGTGCCACTTGGCTCTAATCTGGCAAGGTTGTTAATCAGTTCTAAAGGACCTCGACTGGTCACATGGCTCAGTCCTGGCCAATCACTGTCTGTGTTCAGCCACAGTAGTCTGTCTGAGGGATAAGAATGTGGCCTTGGACTTCATATAAACATGATGGGACTGAAGCCCTCTTTCCTTGGGGTTACTAGATGGCATAAAGTTATCTACGTATTTCCTGAAGTCATATACTGTTCTTCTCATGGTGCAGGAAGCTTTCCCTTATACAGTAGAAGAAGATGAGACCAATACTGAGAAACAGTGCCAAGGGATGAATCTCATTTTCGCCACCCACTGACACACACATACATGCGCCCACACACACACACACACACACACACACAGAAAACCTGATCCACTCTGTTTCACAGTTCTACCAGCCAGCAAATGTCTGTAGTTGGTTAAGCTAGTTAAAGCTGGGCTTCAATTCTGGGTACCTGAAGAAGACTGGGGAATACACAGCATCTTTAGATGAAAACTTATTAATAGCAGCCAGGTTGGAATCTGTTTCTAAGGGATGGCTGGAGTCCTAGTTATTTTGGGGAATTGACTGAAAAGATTTCCACTTGTTTTACATACGGGGAGCGGCGGGGGGGTGGGGGGGGGGTGGGTGCCAATGGCACAGCTAGCATATTTTTAGAGAATTTAAATTTTGCCTTATAGTTTGCCTAGATAGAAAACCATCTATTACAGGGAGAATAAGAAAAGTAAATCTGAGAGTTAAACCTTAAAATTTTTTTCAACTTTGGTAATAGTTTTCTTTCCTTTTTTTTTTTGGAGATGGATTCTCACTCTGTCGCTAGGCTGGAGTGCAGTGGCACAACCTCGGCTCACTGCAACCTCAGCCTCCCGGGTTCAAGTGATTCTCCTGCCTCAGCCTCCTGAGTAGCTGTGACTACAGGTGCACACCACCACGCCCAGCTAATTTTTTGTATTTTTAGTAGATATGGGGTTTCACCATGTTGGCCAGGATGGTCTCGATCTCTTCACCTCGTGATCCACCCGCCTTGGACTCCCAAAGTGCTGGGATTACAGGCTTGAGCCATCGTGCCCGGCCTTCTTTGGTAATAGTTTTCAAATGAATCTCTTGCTTCTTGTTTACATCTGAGAGATGGTTTATGAATTGTATAATTCACATCTGCTTCAAGGTAGGTTGGTAATATTTCAGTGGGCACATTATTATAATTGATCAAATTCTTTGGATAAGAATGCATTTATTAATAAACAGAAACATCAGAGTAAGCTCTGAGCATTCTTTTTTGTAAGACAATTTAGGGCAATGTTGTGTTGGCTTCTATGGTGATAATCACATTTACAGAAGTATTTGGGTCAAATATAAACTACTGCCCATGTTACATTCTTTGGAAGTGATCAGCTTCTGAGGAAAGACAGAGTGGCTGGTGTTGTGGAACATGTGGAATATGCATGAGAGGTCCGATGGGGAAATGCTTACAAATGAGGACTCTGGAATCGGATTACCTGAATTTGATTTCTAGCTCCACCACCACTTAATAATGTGACTTTGAGCAAGCCATATAACCGTCTCTATCATAATTTCTTCATCTGTAAAATGGGGAGATCACCCAATAAAGTAATGCCTTGTAGGGTTGTTTTTGAGATTAAATAAGATTGTCTATACGAAGTGCTTAAGAAAATGGCTGGCACTTAAAAAATTCTCAGTAAATGTTAGCTGCTGCTTCTTTTTCCTTCTCCTTTTCATCGTCATCCTCCTCCTTCCTCTATAATTGTTTATAGTAATTGAATGCAGTAATTCTATCAGTCTGTGTCCCAGCAGGAAAGAGATGATGTATTTAACTAGGTTTTTAAAAGAGAATGTTCTTTACATAAATTTTTATTTGGAGTCATTTTAGATTTGCAGAAAAGTTGCAAAGATAGTAGAGTGAGTTTTCATATGCCAGTCACTCAGTTTCAGTTTCTGCTAATTATTGTCGTGCATTTATCAAGAATAAACCAACATTGGCACATCACTGTGGCAAGCAGAATGCTAAGATGGCCCTTAAGAGTCAAGGCCCTTGATCTATGCACACCTTCTACTAGTTATTCGATCAAATGATCCCGTGGTTGTTGCTGTGAAGGTATTTTGGAGAAGTAATTAAGGTCCCAATCAGTTGACCTTAAGATGGAGAAATTATTAGAGTGGACCTGACCCAATCCTATGAGCCCTTTAAATCTTGGTCAAGAGGTGAGAGTCAGGGAAGTCAGGGAGATGCAAAGCCTGAGAGGGTTTTGACAAGAGTGACATTCTCCTGCTAACTTTGAAGATAAGGGTTCCAATAGCAAGACTCAGAGCAGCCTCTAGCTGCTAAGAGAGGCCGTGCTGACAGCCAACCAGGAAATGGGGAGCTCATTCCTGCAATAGCAAAAAAAATGAATATGGGGAGCAACTCAGATGAGCTTGGCAGTGTATTCTTCTTCAGAGCCTCCAGAAAGGAGCACAGCCTGGTTGATACCCTAATTTCAGCTTCGTAAGACACTGAACAGAGAACTCCATCATGCTGCGCCCAGACATCTGATGAGCCAATAAATGCACACAGCTATGCAGGTGTGAGCTAATAAATTTGTTGTAATTCATTATGCAGTAATAAAAAACTAGTAAAATTACTATTAGCTAAGCTCCAGACTTTATTTAAATTTTATCATTTTAAAAAATCAATATTATTTTTCTGTTGTAAGATACAGTACAGGGTATAACTATGCATTTAGTTATCATGTCTTGGTCTCTTCTGATCCCTGGATCAATGACAATTTCTCATGCTTTCCTTGTTTTTCATGACCTTGGCAGTTTTGAGGGGTACTGGGCAGGTATTTTGTATTTTGGGCTTGTCTGATTTATTTTCTCATGATTAGAGAAGGGGTATGGGCTTTTGGAAAGGATATCACAGAGGTGAAATGCCTTTTTATTTCATCATATGAGGGGGTCCCCGATATCTACATGACATCACTGGGGTGTTAACCTTGATCACTTGGTTAAGGTAGAGTTTGCCAGGTTTTTCCAATGTAAAGTTTCTAGTTTTTCCTTTCCATACTATACATTATTTGAAAGCAAGTCATGAAGTCCAGCCCACCTTCTTAGGGGAGGGTTTAAGCTCCGCTTTCTGAAAGGGAGAATACCTGTATTATTTGGTATTTTTCTGTAAGGAAAAATTCAGGAGTATGTAAAAAAATTAATAATCAACTTTGTTAAGATATAATTTATGTAACATAAAATGTACCCATTAAAGCCTAGGATTTGATGAGTTTTGACAAATGAATACAGGAATGAAAACACCACAGTGACTAAGATACACAACACCATCCTCCAAGTTTGCTGCTTCTGCTTCCCAGGGAACCACGCATGCAGCCTTGGCCCAGCAACCTCTAGTCTGCTTTTCATCGCTACAGAGGAGATTTGCCATTTCCAGGTTTGTGTGTTTCTTGTTTTTTTTTTTTAATTTTTTAATTTTTTTATTATTATTATACTTTAAGTTTTAGGGTACATGTGCACAATGTGCAGGTTAGTTACATATGTATACATGTGCCATGCTGGTGTGCTGCACCCACTAACTCATCATCTAGCATTAGGTATATAGAGACAGCATCTTATTCTGTCACCCAGCTTGAAGCTCAGTGGTGTGATCATAGCTCACTGTAACCTCAAACTCTTGGGCTCAAGCAATCCTCCTGCCTCAGCCTCCCAAAGTGCTGGGATTACAGCCACAAGCCATCACACCTAGCCAATTTTCAGGTTTTATACAAAGGGAATGATATAGCATGTAGCTCTTTGTGTTTGACTTCTTTTGCTCAGTGGTATGTTTTTGACATTCATCAATGTTTTGGGGATGTCAGTAGATTGTTACTTTCTATTGACAAGCAGTATGTCATTATATGGAAAAGCGTATTTTGTTTATTCATCGATGGGCATTTATGTTGTTGCCAGTGTTTGGCTATTGTGAATAACTACTATGAAAATTTGTGGGCATAAGTTTTGTGTGGGCACATGTTTTCATTTCTTTTGGGTAGATACTTACAGTGAAATTGCTGGGTCATATGATAAGTGTAAGCTTCGATTTGTAAGAAACTGCCAAAGTGTTCTCCAAAGAGGTTCTATCATTTTATATTCCTATCAGCAATGCACGAGCAGTCCAGCAGCTCTGTGTCCTCTCTAATATTTAGTATGGTCAGTCTTCTTTATTATAGCCATTCTACTTGCTATAATTTAAGTAGCATCTCATTGTGGTTTTAATTTTTGCATTTCTTTTAGGACTAATTATGTGGAGCATCTTTTCTTATGCTTATTGGCCATATGCATATCTTATTTTGTGAAATGTCTGTTTAAATCTTTGCCCATTTTAAAATTATTTTGCTGATTTTCTTACTGACTTGTAATTGTTTTTTAATGTATTCTAAATACAAGGCCTGTGTGAGATCCATAGATTGCATCTTGATAATGTTTTCGAAGAGTGGTTTTAAATTTCCGTGAAGTTTAATTCTTTAACTTTATTTTATGTTTTCTACTTTTCTCTGTATTAAGAAATATTTGCCAATTTTAATTTTGCTAAAACTTTTATCCTTTTTTTCTAGAGGTTTTATAGTTTTAACTTTCATATTCAGGCCTATGAGTTATTTTGAGTTAATTTTTGTGAAGTAAGTGTTGGTGTTAACTGTTTTCTATGCAGATATTCAATTGTTTTAGGGTCATTTGTTGAAAAGACTCCTTATTCTAATGAATTAATTACCTTGGACACTTTGTGACATGTAAATATACAGGCTATATCTGAATTCTTCGTTTTTCTACTAAGCTGTGTCTATCATTATCTCGATACCACACTATCCCTGATAATAGTCCTTGTCCTGAAATTTAATTTGTCTGATATGAATGTAACTACTCAAGATTTCATATGTTAGTGTTGGCATGGTATTTTCTTTTTGCATGTTTGATTTTTATCTTAAAGGTGCCATTACATTTAAAGTGAATTTTCACATAGACATCATATATTTGGATGCTATAGTCACATCGTGAAGACAGGATAGATCCCCTCACCCACCTAAAATTGGTTGAATGTTGTGGCTGATGATGCTACACATGCACCAGGAGAGTATGAAGAGATTTATTACTCATGTAATGAGGCTTTCTGGAGAGAGCAGAGAAGATTCCCAAGCAGGCTTGAGAGAGTCAGGAGGGTCAACTGGCTTTGGCTTTTATTGTGGTTAGGGGCTGGGGCTGGGGCTGGGGTGAGGGTTTCTGTAATGGTCAGGGCTTGCTTGGTTTGAACTACCCGCAGGTACCAAGGGAGGAACCTCAGGGCTTTCTTCCCAAGCACATGTGGATCAGAGGGAGAGAGAGAAGGTGGGGTTTGATGCTGTCAGCAGTCAACCATCAAAAGTGGAGCCAGGCTCCATTACATTGGATACTTGCTTTGTAACGCAGTCTGACAGTTTCTGTCTTTCCAATAGAGTGTCCAACAGCATTTATGGTAATTATCATTGAGCTTGGGCTTGAATTTGCCATATTGCCATTTATTTTTTCCTTGTCTCATCTGTTCATTGCTCCCCTCTTCTTCTTTTCCTGACTTCCTTCTGACTATTTTAGTATTCTATTTCATCTCCACTCTTGGCCTACTCATAGCTGCTTTACAGGTTACAATATTCATATTTAACTTATTAAGGGCTACCTTCAAACAATATTATTCAACTTAATTTTTAATGTGACAACCTTACCACAGTGTACTTCCATTTCACCCTCTCATCCTTTGTGCTATGGTAGTCATTGATTTTATTTCTACATTTCTTATAGCCCCTGTAATACCTTTCTATTCCTTTTGCTTCAATTAGTCACTCATATTTTAAAATTGAGCAAAACATCTTTTATATTTATCCACATATTTACATTTGGTGTTTCTTCATTCTTTTGAAGTTTCTATTTCGTACCTACTGCCTAAAGAAGTCTTGGGGGAGGCCAGGCAAGGTAGCTCACACCTGTAATCCCAGCACTTTGGGAGGCTGAGGTGGGTGGATGATGAGGTCAGGAGTTCAAGACCAGCCTGGCCAAGGTGGTGAAACCCTGTCTCTACTAAAAACACAAAAAACAAAAACAAAAACAAAACACAACAAACAAAAAAACAAATTAGCCGGGTGCAGTGGCAAGTGCCTATAATCCCAGCTACTTGGGAGGTTGAGACAGGAGAATCGCTTGAACCCGAGCAGCAGAGGTTTCAGTGAGCTGAGATCACGCCACTAAACTCCAGCCTGGGTGACAGAGTAAGACTGTGTCTCAAAAAAACAAAAAAGTCTTGGGGGAATTCCAACAACTTTTTCACTAGAAGTATAGAGGTGACCTGACCCCTCAGCATAGATATGGTGGACCCACAGGGACATACAGTTGAAACTATATTATTTTACCTTTTTTGAGACTCTGAATATCTGAATAGAAAGAGGTAAAAGAAAGCAAGCATGATTTTTAAACCTGTGCTGTTCAATAGGGTAGCAACCAGCCATATGTGGCTACATTCATTTAAATTAATTAAAATGGGAAAATTTAGTTTTTATATTAGTTATCTATTGGTGCATTTAAAATACCCCAAAATATAGCAGCTAAAAATGATAAACATTTCTGATCTCACATTTCCCGGGGGTCAAGAATCTCCCAGAGCTTAGGTGGGTGCCTACGGCTCCAGGTCTCTCAGGAGTTTGTAGTCAAGCTATCCCCAGGTCTGCAGTCATCTCTAGGCTCACCTGGAGCTGCAGAATCTGCCTCCAAGCTCACTCATACAGCTGTTGTCTTCCTGTCTCAAATGTACCATCAATTTTTTTAAGTATTAAAAGTTTACTTTTTTGTGGTGCTCTCATTTACTTATCCTATGAAGAAGTATATACTCTGCTAAAAGGTTTCTTAAAGGAAGGAATTGACCAATAGAATGCTGGAAGTAACCTTAGAACTCATCTATTCAATCCTTCATTTAAACAATGAGAAACAGAAGCCCTTGGCCGGGCGCGGTGGCTCACGCCTGTAATCCCAGCACTTTGGGAGGCTGAGGCGGGCGGATCACGAGGTCAGGAGATCGAGACCATCCTGGCTAACATGGTGAAACCCCGTCTCTACTAAAAATACAAAAAATTAGCCGGGCGAGGTGGCGGGCACCTGTAGTCACAGCTACTCGGGAGGCTGAGGCAGGAAAATGGCGTGAACCCAGGAGGCGGAGCCTGCAGTGAGCCGAGATAGTGCCACTGCACTCCAGCCTGGGGGACAGAGCGAGACTCCGTCTCAAAAAAAAAAAAAAAAAAAAAGAGAAACAGAAGCCCAAAGTAATTAGCAATACAAAAGGAAAACTTTACAACTATAGCAATACTACCTCATATGCAAATTTTTAATATTTGATTAGCATAACCACCATAAATTCCATACCCCATTATTGATACTAATTAACTGTATTAGTCCATTTTCACACTGCTATAAAGAACTGCCTGACACTGGGTAATTTAAAAAGGAAAGGGGTTTAATTGACTCACGGGTCAGCATGGATGGGGAGGCCTTAGGAAACTTAACAATCATGGTGGAAGGCAAAGGGGAAGCAAGACACCTTCTTCACAAGGTGACAGGAAGGAGGATGAAAGAAGGAGGAACTTGCCAGACACATATAAACCATAAAAACTTATGAGAACTCACTCACTATCACGAGAACAGCATGGGGGAAGCTGCCCCCATGATTCAATTATCTCCACCTGGTCTCTCCCTTGACACATGGGGATTATGCAGATTATGGGAATTATAATTCAGGATGAGATTTTGGGTGGGGACACAGCTAAACTGTATTATTCCACCCCTGCCCTTCCCAAATCTCATGTCCTCATAATCTTGCCTTTCCAACAGTCCCCCAAAGCCTTTATTCATTTCAACATTAACCCAATAGTCCAAGTCCAAAGTCTCATCTAAGACAAGGCAAGTCCCTTCTACTTATGAGCCAGTAAAACAAAAAACAAGTTATTTCCTTCCAAGATATAGTGGGGGTATGGGCATTGGGTAAATACACCTGTTCCCAATGAGAGACATTGGCCAAAACAAAGGGGCTGCAGGTCCCATGCAAGTCTGAAATCCAGCGAGGTTGTCAAATCTTAAAGCTCTGAAATGATCTCCTTCAGCTCCATGTCTCACATCCAGGTCATGCCGATACAAGAGGCGGGCTCCCATGGCCTTGGGCAGCCCCACCCTGGTGGCTTTGCACGGTACAGCTCTTGAAACTCCCTAACTTTTCTCCAATTGTCAGCTACTGAGTGGATCCTTCACTGGTTTGTTCTCTTGCCTGGCAAGTAAACTCAGTGCTGCTTTCTTAGCCCCAGTGGCCTCTGCTTCATCCTTTGACAGGGCACACAGTAAGGTGATACCAGAACTGGGAAACTGAAGCCTGCTATCTTGACTCCCAGTGGGGTTGTCTCCCCACCCCAAATGCACAGAGTTGTCCTCTGAGAGCATTACCCACATAGGTCTGAAGAAATCCAATCCTGGGCCAATTCACTGAGTCCAGAGCAGATTCACCATGAGTTTAACTAACAGATCTTGTGATATGCAAACACTTCAGTCCTCCTGGTCTCCCCACACAGACCCTTTGATATTGCCACATCTGTCCCCTGTGAGGTAGGAGTGCTGTGCAGTTGACAGCATTTGTGAAAAGACTTGGAGTAAAATGTACAGAATCCAGGGATTTCCCCAAGTCTCACCTGTGGGCTGGCTGTTCTTTGCTGGGGCTCCAGGATGTTTGAGGATCTGGTCTCAGTTTTACAGAATCAGGTGCATTTTGTTTGTTTCTGGATCTATAACTTGTTAGATCCTAGGGATCTAGTTTAATTCTATTCAATGTATATCCTTTAAGTACTCACTGCAAAAAATATAAGCATGAGTGGAACAATCCTTGCTGTTGAAGGACGTCCAATTTGGTGGTAGAAACAGACGTGAAAATACAGCAGCCTACGATGATACTAGTGATCTAAAGGAAACTTTCATTAGTTCACTGGGAGGTTAGAGTGGGTGAGAGACTTGGCACAGATTGGAAGGGATGTGAAAGACTTCCTGGAAGAGGGTTTCTCATTACTCCAAGCCATGCATCTGATCTATTCACTGGAAACAGTAAATTTATTGACATGTAAAAGGAGCTATATTGTAAGCCGTGTTTACTCATCTTGGAACATCTTTCTGCTGGACAGGTATATTCACAGACCAAATTATAGTTTAGAAACTTGCTTGGTAAGTAAAGGATTAGAAAAAGAAAAATGGGTGTGACCTGAGATGACAAGAACGTAGGTATAGATGTTCTGGGAGCCATCTGTATAGACCTTGCAACAGAAAGGTATTTGAAGAGATACTGACTTGTTGGCCAGCATGGTGAAATCCCGTCTCTACTAAAAATACAAAAAATTAGCTGGGCATGGTAGCATGTGCCTGTAGTCCCAGCTACTAGGGAGGCTGGGGCAGGAGAATTTGTTGAACCCAGCAGGTGGAGGTTGCAGTGAGCCGAGATTGTGCCACTGCACTCCAGCCTAGGCAACAGAGAGAGACTCCATCTCCATATATATATGTATATATATAATTTTTTTAAAAATTATTTTTCACTTGTCATCCTAAGCTGCTTTGTAGGAGCTTGTCTCATAAAAGAGACATCATTATGAAAATGTATCCTAGATCAGATGTGTTTTGTGGTAACCTGCTTCTGCTATAGTATTAGAGAGAGAGCCTGGGCTCATTCATGAATCCCAAGCCTGACCAACAAGTCATCTGTAAACCCTCTCTCTGGAGAAGATTATTTTACTGAACAAGGTCCACAACATCACATTAACTTTAGGGAACTTTGGAGAGTTTTCATGTCAGAGATTGATATTTTCTGACTTTGTCTTGAGGTCAGTAGTCCCCTGGAGATTAACTAGGGACCATAATCTGCTTTAAACCAAATCAGGGAAGCCTGCTTGTCATGACAGTAGCAGAGCTGAGTAACAATAGGAGAAAGTGGGAAGTTAGAACCAGGGAAAGGGATGAGCTTTGATTTCGTAGGAAGAACTATTCTTTTCCTACCCACAAATATCTGGTTCATATATCAAAAACATGCAAACAGAGAAACTCATGTTGGTATTGTGGGACTTGTGAATAAACAAAATCTATTTTATAAATATGATATTCTAATTTTGAGACGCATTTGCTACTTCAGTGATCATTAAAAGTAAAAAACTAAACACAACAAATTATAATATTAAAATCAGTTTTTAAAAACCAGCTATAAATGGTTTATATTTCCAAAATATCATTTGAGTATTCATTAAACTGTGTAAGGTGGCAGTGACTCTTCCTAAGACAATGTATTTCATACCAGATGCTTATTTGCTTTCTTGAAGACTCTGCCATTGAGTCTTTTTATGTTCCCAATACATTCAGGAGCTGGAAGTTTCAGAGCTATTGTCAGAGAGCTGAGCTCTAGCTGCCCCAAAGTTCTGATCGCTCTCTCTCTCCAAATATAATATAATATAATAAATATAAAATAAAATAAAATAAAATAAATTCATCCTTTGACAAGGCACACAGCTAGGTGATACCGGAACTGGGAAACTGAAGCCTGGTGTCATGACTCCCAGTGGGGTTGTCTCCCCACCCCAACCGCACACAGTTGTCCCCTGAGAGTATTACCCACATAGGTCTGAAGAAATCCAATCCTGGGTCAATTCACTGAGTATATCTATGGAGAATATAACATATATTTAGAATGACGAAAGTGCTTTCTTTGTCTACTACCATTGTGGAGAGAGTTTCTGGGTTGGAAGAAGATTTTAGTTTTAATCATATTTTTCCAACACATTCCACAATTATGAAGAGTGTGCTGATATATATCTATATGATATGTGTACATATATGCACACATATCAAGTATATTTTATATATATATATATACACACACATATCTAGGATATATCTATATCTATGTATCTATCTACACATATCAAGTTTTGAGATACATATATCTGATATATATATATATATCTCAGAACTTGATGTGCATGTATGTGTGTGTGTATATATATATGCATATATATGTGTGTGTGTGTGTGTGTATATATATATATATATATGCATCCTAGATATGTAATAAGTCACTCTAAGAATGACAACTTGGAGGGGAAGGTACAAAAAGCCCCAAGTTCCCTGTGAGCCTGTTCAGTCTTGATGAGGTCCCAGTGCACTCCTGCACCTGGGTTCCCTCAGAGTACTGAGGTCCAAGCCTCTTAATAAAATTATATCTAAGGGTCTCTCCATTCCACAATGCATCAAATGCGGGTAAGAAAACAAAGCCTCCTCTCTTCAATGTCACAATTACCAAGCATATTTTCCTTAAGCATCTCATAAGAGGGTTCTGCTGGAA
Organism: Homo sapiens; assembly: GCF_000001405.40. Lineage (NCBI taxonomy): Eukaryota > Metazoa > Chordata > Mammalia > Primates > Hominidae > Homo > Homo sapiens. The sequence continues at coordinate 63,616,766 of NC_000018.10, forward strand.
CAAAGCACACTCTTCATAATTGTGGAAGTGTTGGAAAAATATAATTAAAACTAAAATCTTCTTCCAACCCAGAAACCCTCTCGACCACGGTAGTAGAGAAAGAAGGCGCTTTCATTATTCAATAAGCATTGAACCAGAATGGGATCACAGGCAATCTGCTAAGAGATGGCCAAGTCAGGAAAAAAATCTCACCCTTTTATGCAGACAGGCAGATCCAATCCATTCCATAGATGTTCTCAAAATAAACAGTAACTACTCAAGTAAGGGCACTTGACAGACCCATTTATCACACATAATTCATCCCAGGTTCACCTGGTAATTGGGGTGACCATCTGTGTTAGTTAATTGGTTTTATACATAGGAAAAACAAACTTCTCCTATCTTGAGAGACAGAGGTAGTTTTGCAGCTTGGAGCCAGGTGCCCTCTGATGTTAAGCTCTACCCTCCTCCAGAAGCTGAGAGAGAGCGCAGCTATCTCTCCTGATGTTTACATTTCAAAGAGATGGTTCCCAGGTCCTTGAGAAAGATATTTCTTGGTCATAAAGTTGACAAAAGACATATTTAGTCTTCAAATGAATTAATATACACTTCAAAGGAGGAGGAAATATTTAGAATTATAAACTTTCTAAAGTAAATACTCTGATAAAAATGAGGAGAGGAGAATCTCTTCCCTTATCTTTAATAGGAAGAATTAAGACTCTTAATTTTAATTTGTATTTGTCTTTACAAAGGTTAAGTTAAATTGGGGTTTTCACATTAGGCCTGTGAACCACAATCTGGTTATCACAACTGTCATATCTCACTCAAAAATGTATGTAAAACAATGTGGTCAGTAATATACTTTCAATTCTCTTTTTCTTTGAACTCATTGCATTGTTTTCTTTATCACGATTTATTATCTTAAACTAGTATTACCAGATGTTTGGAAATAGTAGTTGCCAAAACCACTTATCAGAATTACAGTGTATAGAAAATAGCGAATCTTTGTAGACAGTAGTAATGCACTATAATTAGAGGGTACTCTGCTTTGTTTAGTGTGAGTCAGTTTATTCCAATAGCAGTGTTTATGTCAGACTCTGTTCCTTGAGAGCTGACAGCTTATTAATGCAAAGAGCCATGCCTAGATGGATAGGTAAAATAAATCAGACTTAGAGCCAGTGAACTCTTTTAAAATTTAGATTTTATTGATATTTTTAAATAGGTGATACATTCACATGATTCAAAATACAAAAGGTGAAAAGGGTTTACGCAGTGCACATTCTCTCTGCCACCAGTGTCACCAAGCCACTCAGTTACCCTGCCCTGGACCACATGGTGTTGTTTCTTATATATTCCTTCAGAGATATGTTATATGTGTACACACAAATACATGTGCACAGATTTTTTTTGTCTTTTTAACAAAAATGTTATCACACCATATAAACAAATCTCCTCTTTAATTTTTTTATTTTTTACCAATTCATTCTTCGGTACTGATAAAAATAATAGTAATACAAGTGTTCTTTTTTATCCTTTGAATTCAATGCTTCTTGTGTTTCTAACTGCTTTTAGAAACTATTAAACCTGATTTTGGCTTTGAAATTGAGATGGCTACACTTTAATATGTTAAAGAGTCAATTTCTTTCTATTTTATTTTATTTCATTACTAGCTTTTATACAACATATATATTAAATTTTGTCACATAATTTTCCAGGATCTATATAGCAGTGCTGTCTCATAGAATGCTCTGTGATGATGAAAACGTTCAATAATTACATGGTTCAGTACAATAGCTGCTAGGCGTAGGTGGGTATTGACATGTGACTAGTGAGACAAAGGAAGTGTACTTTTAATTTGCTTAATGTTAATTATTTAAATTTAAATAGCCACATGTGAATAACGATTACTGTATGGACAGTGCAATTCCGTAGAGACTTCCCCCTGAGATCTTTTAATATGGTAAAGTATATTAATATATTTTCTAATATGGCTATCTGGAATAAGCCCATTTAATCATACTGTGGTATTCTAAATTTTCCTTGATTTAAAAATATATACAATGAATATGTACAGAAGTATATATATGTGTGTGTGTATATATACAGTTTAATAAGAATAGTGATAATAAATAATTTCCCATATATCTTTCCAACAGGTCAATAAATTGGCCTCAGAATCTGTCTCTCCATACATTGCTTCCTGCAGATATATACTATATGCATTTTATTTTTATTTTTAGTAGAGAGAAAGTCTTGCTATGTTGCCCAGGTGGTCTTGAACACTTGGGCTCAAGCAATCCTGCCTTGGCCCCCCGAAGTGCTGGGATTATAGGCATGAGCCACTGCACCCAGCCTATGTTGACTTTTGATTTAATCGATTCCTAGTTTTTTTTTGAGACGGAGTCTTGCTCTGTCCCCCAGGCTGGAGTGCAGTGGCGCAATCTCGGTTCACTGCAAGCTCTGCCTCCCGGGTTCACGCCATTCTACCGCCTCAGCCTGCCGAGTAGCTGCGACTGACTGCAGGCGCTCGCCACCACGCCCGGCTAATTTTTTGTATTTTTAGTAGAGACGGGGTTTCACCGTGTTAGCCAGGATGGTCTCGATCTCCTGATCTCGTGATCCGCCCGCGTCGGCCTCCCAAAGTGCTGGGATTCCTATTTTTAAAAATAGTTTTACCAACTACGAATGTACTCCTAAATAATGTGCCAATTAGTTGAAAACACTGAGTAGTAAGCACAAACCTAGCCATATAAGGTAAGGCCACTGTCTCCACTATTAGATGAAGATTCCTGGGTAACCTTCACAGGGTAAATGACGTACGCAGAATTGCAGGGCCCTGAGCCTATCTGAGCATTTCCAAGAGGCCCCTTTGAAGTAGTCAGTGGCTGAAGTAATGAAGGATCTTGGGACGTGTAGGTTTCTCTACAGTTGCAGCATCAGTCAAGTGTTTAGTGTGTCCAAGGGACTGATTATTTGGTAGAGTAGGTTACAGATGGAGCTGCTCTGGGATTTTGGCTTTTAAGCTCACCTTGGCCTACTTCCAACTCACAGAAGCATCTGTGGGGAAATGAGTATTCTTAGCTGATCCAGGCATCAGGGTATGAAGAGCAGGAATTTTGTCAGCACGCGGTCAAGACAAGCCAAGTGTAGATAAGACTCTGAGTCAATATCAGCTGGCCATCCTGTCCTGAAGATCAAAGCATGTTACTATTGCAGCAGTGATCTTGGAAATGATAGTCATCCATGTGTTGCTTTTTCCTTAAATCATATTCTCTGATATACGCTGATTGGTACACTCTCTGGTCAATAGTTGTCATCTTAGGATCTCTTTTTACTGCCTTTTGGAGATTTCCTTTGCCTTACTCCTATACTGGGTATCTATCCTCTTTTCTGTTGTCTCCTGTGTCTTGATTTACTCTCTTATTTGATAGAACATGTCCTTCAGTAGCCTCCTGAGGAAGAATGGATATGAGATACATTTTTGAGATTTTGCATGTCTATATATGTCTATATATGTCTATATTCTACCCTCACATTTGATTGGTATTTCTCTGAGTTTGGAATTCTAAGTGGAAAATAATTTTTTCCTTCACAATTTTTAAAAGATGTTGCTTTATTGTCCTCTTTCTCTCTTGCCGTGGAGAATTTTGCATCCACTCAGGTTCCTTATGTGTGATTTGCATTTTTTCCCCTCACTTGAAGCTTTCAGAAACTTTACATCAGTATTCTCAAATTGTACAATATGGGCTTTGATGTGGCTTTATTTTCACTTATTGTCCTGGGCACTCAGTGAGTATTTTCACTTACTCTTTTCTTAAAATCTTTGTTTTGAAGTTTGGGTAATTTTTATGAACCTATATTCAGGTCACAGATCATTCTCTCCATGGAAAATCTACCAGTAAATGCTTCAAAGGCATTTTCATCTCTGTTATTATGTTTTTTATTTCTACCATTTCTCTTTTGCACTTTCCATCTTTCTATTGAAATTTCCAATATGGTTTGAACATTGTCAAGACTTTTCACCATTTAATATATTAATTATATATAAGAATGTGTGTATATATAGATACATGATTACATATTAGAATGTTAGAATTATATGTTAGAATATTAGAATATGTGTCCTAAATGAAACAGAAATATTTAACTCCCACATAGACTGTTATTCATGAACCACAGTGTAATCAGCATTTGACTTGTTGATCATGGCAAAAGAGGAGTGAATTCCAAGGCCCATGCAGTCAGTGCTTCTGGAGGATGACAGATCAGTTCCTAAGTGGACAGCATGAATCTGTAACATTAAATTGATCAACCCAGTGGAGGGTAGAAAGCCAAGTGAAGAGCACCAGGCTGGAAGTCAGGAAGCTAGAGTTTCTATTCCAGTTCTGCCCTGACAACTGCGAACTCAGAAGGCAATTAAGTTATTTGGACTTTAATTGCAAAAATGAAGAAAATTGTATAAATGATTTCTAATACCACTTTTAACACCCCCTTTAAAATTATTCGCTATCTAATTTTAATGAAAAATGAATAATCAACAATTAATTCAGACATAAAGATGAAATTATGGCCAACTACTTTAGCAATAAAAACAAATCTTGTTCATGTTCATCTCTAAATCCTATGTGCCAAGTTTAGGGTCAGACAATTGGAACGACCTTGGGCTGTTGTGTTTATCTTTCTGAGCTTCAGTTTAAAAACATTTAAATTGGTTTTATAAGAATTTCTACTTTATTGAGTTATAATAAATAGAGCATGTGCTCATTAAAGAATCTGGGACACAGTGTGTATTCAATTGATGTTAACTACTATTTTTTTTGCTATCATCATCATCATCATCATTTTATGACCGCCGCCATCACCTCCACTACCACCATTAGCAGCAGCAGCAGCAGTGGTGGCAGAATCTTTTAACTTTACTTGGAAACTAAATCATGGCCATCCTGTCCTCAGCCACCTTCTTAGACTATCAGTGTTAACTTATCAGTTCTAAAATGTTGGTGGATACCAGGTCAAAGAGGTATTTCTCTTCCCTGTTTGATTTGTAGCTCCACATCAGCTTTGAAAGTGAGTGTTCTTGGAAGCTGTACACCAATGTTCGTATTAAGCTTATTAAGTGTGTTTAATATTTCTGGCTCACTAAGCTTACACAGATTAATTCCTTGAGTCTAGAAAATGTTAACTTATGATCTTGTATTTATGATGCACTTTCCATCTCCAAGTAGATTTTATGTCATCACCACAACCAAAACCTGTCACTGCAAGAAGTGTTGGCAGAACAAGCTGCTCCAAAATTTACATATATGCAAACTTCCTGCTTCCTTTCCAGCTCACTCTCTGGGGGTCAGCAGAAGGTCCTAAGATGCCTGAGCACTTGTATAACTCTGCTTTATTTGTGCAGGTGTGTATTTGGAGGGTGGGGGCTTGGGATGGAGAGGACAACCTCCCTATCCCCAGAGCCACCATTTGTGTGATCCAGAACATGCTCTGGATGATATGGGATCAGAGATGCAGTGATAGGCTGTATCAGGATGCAGAGCTTTCCTATGATGGAGACAGGAGACATTAGGATCATCTTCACTAGCTGTCTCAGCATTGCCTTGGAGGTCATTGATGTGCAACTGCTGGAACAGTCATAAACATGGCTGTGCATACAATGCCCCATTTGTCATGCTCAGTTTATCTGAAGGTGGTCCTCACTTTAGTCTGACCACTGTCCAACTTAAAAGACACTAAAAAATGCAAGCTTTGGTTTTTCTTAAAATTATTATTAGAGAAAAAATACAGATACAAAGTTCTTAAGGAGGAAGCAATTGCATTTGTTGTCTAACATGAAATATGAATATGAATTATCTTATGTAATATTTTAAATTATGTGTCTTTCTGGCTTCTTCCCATTATGGCAGATAATTAACAGCAACAGAAAAAATACAAACTTAAAACTTTAACCTCCTAGAACGCAAAGTTTGGCCTTGGGTTTCTTATACCCTTGGATGGCCCTATCCTTGATGGAATCATACAAATAGCTGCTTGGGTGGACAGAAGTTTGCTTCAGTGAATTCTGCTCTCTTGTGTCTATTACAAAATGTCTTCCTGAATTTTTGAGTATTTCTCTGTTATGAAATCCCCGGGTTTTGTGGATTTATAGATTTTTTGACTGCTCACCAACTCTTTTCTGCCTGATCTCAGGTACTTACATCCACATATTGTGTTTATACTGCTATTGTAGTTTTAGACCTTTGACTCTGCTTTGACCATTTGGACATTTTTCCAGGTTCCGGTCCACTTGTGCTCTGAATTTGGTTCCCCCTTCTAGCCTTCAGCATGCTTGGCTAATTTTTTGTTGGCCTACATCTGAGAATCCATTGCCTAATCCAGTGTGGCACATAGTAGGTGCAGAATAATTGTTGAGTGGCAGATAAGACTGAACACTATACACAGTGATACTACATTTTTGGTGTTTATAATATATTTTATAATAGAAATATAGATGTGTTCTCATATAACAAATGATGGGTTCCTGAGTGACTTAAGGGAAATGATTCAGTCATTCATTTACCACATAGATGCTGACCATCTGTGTGGGTTCTAGGTATTCAACATAAATGATACTTACAAAGCCCCCATTTTGATAGAGCAGACAAGATTATACAGTAAGGGTTTTTCTCAGAAGAGTACTGTATCATTTATAAGAAAGGAAGTTGTGTATCCTTCCATTTATACAGCAAAAGTAGTTTGTAAGTCTTAACTTCCGTCTTTGACTATTGGAAATTGTATAAAAAACTGACGTAAATACCGAATTTTATCCAATCACATTTAATGGAAAATTATCTAGAAACAAAATTCCTCTTTAAACTCTTCAAAATTTCAAACAAAATTTTAAATACAATCACTTTTAACCTCCTGATGATCAGTTAAGGCAAATTGGTAAGTCACAAATAACAGAATTTTATTTTTCAATTTTTAGTTTCATGATGTTTCTTGCTCTGTATGACAGGAATACTATCATACATATGGTTAACTGTTTGTATGTTAATCTGTTCTCACATTGCTATAAAGAGCTATCTGAGGCTGGGTAATTTATTAAAAAAAGAAGTTTAATTGGCTCATGGTTCTGCAGGCTATATGGGAAGCATGGCTTGGGAGGCCACAGAAACTTACAATCCTGCAGAACATGAGAGGGAAGACAGCATGTCCTACGTGGCTGGAGCAGAAGAGAGAGAGCAAAGGGAAAGGTGCTATACACTTTCAAACAACCAGGTCTTGTGAGAATTCCATCATGAGACAGGACTGGAGGGATGGTGCTAAACCATTAGAAACTGCCCCCATGATACCATTATCTTCCACCAGGCCCCACCTCCAACACTCAGGATCACAATTCAACATGAGATTTGGTTGGGAACATAGAACCAAACCATATCATTCTACCCCAGCCCCTCCCAAATCTCATGTCCTTCTTACATTTCAAAACACAATCATGCCTTCCCAGCAGTCTCCCAAAGTCTTAACTCATTCCAGCATTAACTCAAACGTCCAAGTCCAAAGTTTCATCTGAGGCAAAGCAAGTTCCTCCTGCCTATGAACCTGTAAAATAAAAAAAAAGTTGGTTTCTTTGAAGATACAATGGGGGTACAGGCATTGTGTGAATTATCCCATTCCAAAAGGAAGAAATTGCCAAAACAAAGGGGTACAGGTCCCATGTAAGTCTGAAACCCAGTGGGGAAGTCATTAAATCTTAAAGCTGCAAAATAATCTCCTTTGACTCCATGTCTCACGTCCAGGCCTCACTGACACAAGGGGTGGGAGTCTAAGGCCTTGGGCAGCTCTGCCCTGTGCCTCTGAAAGGTATGCCTCCTATGGCTGCTTTGACAGGGTGATATTGAGTGCCTATTGCTTTTCCAGGCATATGGTGCAAGCTGTTGGTAGATCTACCATTCTGGGGTCTGGAGCACAGTGGCTCTTCTCTCACAGCTTCACTAGGCAGTGCCCCAATGGGCACTTTGTGTGAGGGCTCCAACCCCACGTTTGCCTTCTGCACTGCCCTTGTAGAAGTTTTTCATAAGGGCTCCATTCCTGCAGTAGACTTCTGCCTGGACATCCAGGTGTTTCCATACTTCCTCTGAAGTCTAGGTGGAGACTTCCAAGCCTCAACTCTTGCCCTCTGTGTACCCGTAGGCTTAAAACCATGCAGAAGCTGCCAAGGCTTATACCTTGCACTCTTTGGAGCAGTGGCCTGCGATGTATCTGGGGTTCCTTAACCATGGCTGGAGCTAGAGCAGCTGGGATGCAGGGCACCTTGTCTTGAGGCTGCACAGAGCAGCAGGGCCCTGGCCCTGGCCCTGGCCCTGGCCCACAAAACCATTTTTCCCTCCTAGGCATCCAGGCCTGTGACGGGAGGGGCTGCTGTAATGGTCTTTAAAATGACTTGGAGGCATTTTCCCTATTGTCTTGGCTATAAATATTTGACTCTTCTTTACTTATGCAAATTTCTGCAGGCAGCTTTAATTCCTTCCCAGAAATGGGTTTGTCTTTTATACAACATGGACAGGCTGCAAATTTTCCAAACTTTTATGCTGTGCTTCCCTTTTAAGTGTAAATTCCAGTTTCAGATAATCTCTTTGTGCATGCATATCAGTGTATGCTGTTAGAGGCGGCTAGGCCAGGCCACATCTTGAATACTTTGCTGCTTAGAAATTTGTTCACCAGATACCCTAAATCATCTCTCTCAAGTTCAAAGTTCTACAGATCCCTAGAACAGGACACAATGCACCAGTCTCTTTGCTAAAGCATAGCAAGATTGACCTTTATTAAGTTCACAATAAGTTCCTCATCTCCATCTGAAACCTCCTTAGCTTGGACTTCACTGTCCATATCACTTTCAGCATTTGGTCAAAATCATTCAACAAGTCTCTAGGAAGTTCCAAACTTTCCCTTATCTTCATGTCTTCTACTGAGGCCTCCAACCTGTTCCAGCCTCTGCCTGTTACCTAGTTCCAAAGCTGCTTCCACATTTTCAGGTATTTTTATAGCAATGCCCCACTTCTCTTGTACCAATTTTCTGTATTAGTCTGTTCTCACATTGATATAAAGAACTACCTGAGACTGGTAGTTTATTTAAAAGTCATATTTAATTGGCTCATATTTCCACAGGCTGCACAGGATCTATGAATGGGGAGGCTTCAGGAAACCTACAGTCATGGTGGAAGTCTATGGGGAAGCTGGCATGTCCTACATGACTAAAGCAGGAGGAAGAGAGAGAGGAAAGTGGGAGGTGCTACACACTTTCAAACAATCAGATCTTATGAGAATTCTATCACAAGACAGCATGGGGGGATGGCACTAAGCCATTAGAAACCATCTCTATGACACAATCACCTCCCACCAGGCACCACCTCCAACACTTGGGATCGCAATTCAACATGAGATTTGGGTGGGGACATGGAGGCCAACCATACTTACTGAATAACCATACCATTATTCAGTAAGAATAATGTTGCTCTTAAAAACATGTTTAGGATGCACATCAGCAAGATGGTGAAATAGGACTCTCCAGTATTTATCCCCCTACAGAAACATCAATTTGAATAACCACCAATTCATGAAACTACCTTCACAAGGATTAAGGAATCCAGGTAAGAGATTTCAACACTTGGATGTAGCACAGAAATGAGAAAAGACACATTAAAGAGTATAGGAAAGACAGTTTTACATTACCCACATCACCCCTTCCCCAATCCTCGGCAGCACAATGCAGAGAGAGATAATGCATGGAGGAAGGAGACGGAAGTAAGCATTGAAGTTTACCTGACATCCCAGTGCAACTAGCTTGCCATAGCAAAGCCCAGCACTACGCAGGCCCTCATTGCTCCAGATTCCAGGCCAATACCTGAGGACTGAGTAACCAGACTTGCCCAAGGGACAGGCCAGATCTGGAAGCCGCAGGCTTAAAGCCTGTGTAACAGACCTAGGGTCTAGAACTGTCCCTCTGGACTCCAGTGTTGGACTGGCTTCCATGAACCCAGGCTCCAGGATTGTCTTTGTGTATCTGAGTCCCAGGCTAGTCCTCAAGCCCCCAGGACCCAGGTTATCCTGTGAAGAATTATCCTCTAGCACACTCAGCCTCCAGGAAAGCACCAGAGGACACAAGGCCCATGCTAGTTTCTGTCACCCAAGGGTCCAGGCCAGCCACAGTGGCTCTAGGTACAAACAAGTGCTCATTATTCTGGACTTCAGACTAGCCTTAGTGAGCCCAGGCTCCATGCTGACCACAGCACCAGCATCCAGGCTGTTTCTTCTGTCCCAGGCTCCAGAAGACCCAGGGTCTAGGCTTACTCCAGGATATCAAGGGTCCAGGCCCACCTCAGTAGATTCCAGTGTGTGCAATACTTTGTGGACTGAGGCTCCAAGACCACTCCTGCAGACCCAGGCTTCAGGCCAGCTCCCATGGACCCAGGACCAAGACCTTCCCCAGTGGACTCAGGATCCAGGCCAAACTATGGGAACTAAAGGCTCAGATGTACCCACACAGATTGAGGCTCCAAGCCCAAACCAGTGGACCAAGGTGTCAGTCCCATCTCAGTGTTTGGCCATTCTTTGAAGACTCAAGCTCACAGACTATCCCAGTGCCAGGTTGGCTGGCCCTGGTGGACCCAGGCTTAGGCTGGCCCTGTGGCTGCAGGCTTCAGGCTTGTCCTCATGGACCTGGGCTCCAGTTAGATCTTTGGGGACTCAATCAACAGGTCAACCCCATTGAATCTATACTTAAGGGCCAACTCTCAGGACTCAAGCAACAGACCTGACCACTCATTGACTCAGCACCAGGCCAGCCTTACTGAGGACTCCAGCAGCAAACCTGCCCAATGGCCTGCCCAGAATCTCTGAATGGAATAACTGGTGAAGGACTTTCCCAGAGAAAGCCAGTCTGCAAAGACTGGAAAATTATCTGCTTCTTCAAACATGCAGACATCCAGGTAAGACAACAACAAACATAAAAAACCAAGGAGACATAACACTACCAAAAGAACAAAATAACTTCCCAGTAGCTGACTCCAAAGAAATGAAGATGGAAGAACTGGCTGACAAATAATTCAAAATAAAAGTTTGAAAAAAATCAAGGAACCTAAAGAAAGCACAGAAAAACAATCAATGAAAACAGAAAAACAATAAATGATGAAAATTGGAAATTTAACAGAGACTGAAATTATTAAAAAAAAAAATCAAACAAATTCTAGAGCTGAAAAATACAATGGATAAAATAAAAATGCAGTAGAAAGCATCAACAGCAGAATTGATCAAACAGAAGAAAGAATCTGTAAACTTGACAGATTATTTGAAAATATACAGTCAGAGAAGAAGAAAAAAATAAAAGGAAGAAACAATGGTTACAGGGTTTATGGAAAAGTATAAAAATTCAATGTATAGAAGTTTCTGAAGAAGAAAGAAAAAGGAACAAAAAGCATATTTTAAGATATAATATCAAAAAACCTTCCAAATTTGGAGAAAAATATAAGTATCCAGATATAAGAAGGTCAAAATTCTCCAGTCAGATTTAGTCCAAACAAAATTGATAGACTGCTAGCAAGACTAATAAAGAAAAAAAGAGAGAAGAATCAAATAGACGCAATAAAAAATGATAAAGGGGATATCACCACTGATCCCACAGAAATACAAACTACTATCAGAGAATACTACAAACACCTCTACGCAAATAAACTAGAAAATCTAGAAGAAATGAATAAATGAAGGACCTCTTCAAGGAGAACTACAAACCACTGCTCAGTGAAATAAAAGAGGATACAAAGAAATGGAAGAACATTCCATGCTCATGGGTAGGAAGAATCAATATCGTGAAAATGGCCATACTGCCCAAGGTAATTTATAGATTCAATGCCATCCCCATCAAGCTACCAATGACTTTCTTCACAGAATTGGAAAAAACTAGTTTAAAGATCATATGGAACCAAAAAAGAGCCCGCATCGCCAAGTCAATCCTAAGCCAAAAGAACAAAGCTGGAGGTGTCACGCTACCCGACTTCAAACTATACTACAAGGCTACAGTAACCAATACAGCATGGTACTGGTACCAAAACAGAGATACGGATCAATGGAACAGAACAGAGGCCTCAGAAATAACGCCGCATATCTACAACTATCTGATCTTTGACAAACCTGAGAAAAACAAGCAATGGGGAAAGGATTCCCTATTTAATAAATGGTGCTGGGAAAACTGGCTAGCCATATGTAGAAAGCTGAAACTGGATCCCTTCCTTACACCTTATACAAAAATTAATTCAAGATAGATTAAAGACTTAAATGTTAGACCTAAAACCATAAAAACCCTAGAAGAAAACCTAGGCATTACCATTCAGGGCATAGGCATGGGCAAGGACTTCGTGTCTAAAACACCAAAAGCAATGGCAACAAAAGCCAAAATTGACAAATGGGATCTAATTAAACTAAAGAGCTTCTGCACAGCAAAAGAAACTACCATCAGAGTGAACAGGCAACCTACAAAATGGGAGAAAATTTTCGCAACCTACTCATCTGACAAAGGGCTAATATCCAGAATCTACAATGAACTCAAACAAATTTACAAGAAAAAAATGAACAACCCCATCAACAAGTGGGCAAAGGACATGAACAGACACTTCTCAAAAGAAGACATTTATGCAGCCAAACAACACATGAAAAAATGCTCACCATCACTGGCCATCAGAGAAATGCAAATCAAAACCACAATAAGATACCATCTCACACCAATTAGAATGACGATCATTAAAAAGTCAGGAAACAACAGGTGCTGGAGAGGATGTGGAGAAATAGGAACACTTTTACACTGTTGGTGGGACTGTAAACTAGTTCAACCATTGTGGAAGTCAGTGTGGTGATTCCTCAGGGATCTAGAACTAGAAATACCATTTGACCCAGCCATCCCATTACTGGGTATATACCCAAAGTGCTATAAATCATGCTGCTATAAAGACACATGCACACATATGTTTATTGCGGCATTATTCACAATAGCAAAGACTTGGAACCAATCCAAATGTCCAACAATGATAGACTGGATTAAGAAAATGTGACAAGTATACACCATGGAATACTATGCAGCCATAAAAAATGATGAGTTCATGTCCTTTGTAGGGACATGGATGAAATTGGAAATCATCATTCTCAGTAAACTATCGCTAGGACAGAAAACCAAACACCGCATGTTCTCACTCATAGGTGGGAATTGAACAATGAGAACACATGAACACAGGAAGGGGAACATCACACTCTGGGGACTGTTGTCGGGTGGGGGGAGGCAGGGAGGGATAGCATTAGGAGATATACCTAATGCTAAATGACGAGTTAATGGGTGCAGCACACCAACATGGCACATGTATACATATGTAACTAACCTGCACATTGTGCACACGTACCCTAAAACTTAAAGTATAATAATAATTAAAAAAAAGAAAAAAAAAGAAAAAAAACCCTAATTATTCAAAAATTCTAATGATAGTTGAGAAGAAAACAATAATTACAAATAAAGGAAAAAAAGAAATAAAAAAAAAATTTAGTCCAAACAAATCTACAAAAGGCCATAATATAATCAAACTGTCAAAAATAAAAAGAGAGAATAGTGAAAGTAGCTGGAAAAAATAAGGGATTAACAAAAAGAGAGTTCTAGTAAGTCCTCAGAGTGTTCATAGCCAAGATCTTAGAGGCCAGAGAGAGTGAGATAATATATTCAAAGTACTGAAAGATTAAAAACTGCCAAATAAGAATACCAAATATGACAATGCTATCCTTGAAAAATGGAGGGATAAAAAATTTTCCAGACAAAGAAAAACTGAGGGAGTTCATTATGAGCAGACATATCTTATAGGAATTGCTAAAGGGAATTAATTATTCAATGTGAGAGAAAAAGATGCTAATGGGCAACACAAAATATATGAAAGTATAAAACTCACTAGTAAAAAATAATAACTACAATAATTTGTTAAGGAATATACAACATAAAAAGATGTAAATTATGACATCAAATATTTAAAATGTGGGGACATAGATTAAAAGTGCAGAGGTTTTCAATGCAGACAGAGTTAAACTGTTATCAGCTTAAAATAGCCTAATGTAAATATAAAATATTTTCTATAATCCTCATTGTAAATACAAAGCAAAAACTTAGAGTAGATACACAAAGGAAAAAAAGTAAAGAATCAAAGCATGTGACTACAGAAAATCATTCACAAAGGAAGACAGCAAAAGAGGAAGAAAGGAATGAAAGATCTACAAACAACTGAAAACCAATTAACAAAATAGTGGTAATAAGTCTTTATTGATTAATAGTTACCTTGAATATAAATGGATTACATTTTCTAATCATAGACATAGATTGACTGAATGGATAAAAATAAACAAGATCTAACTATATGCTGTCTACAAGAGACTCACTTCACCTTTAAGGACATAGACTGAAAGTGAAGGGATGGGGAAAGTTATTGCATGCAAATGGAAACCAAAAGAGAGCATGAATAGCTATACTTATATCACATAAAATAGGCTTTGAGTCAAAAGCTGTAAAAAGAGATGAGGAAGGTTATTCTATAATGATAAAAGGATCAATTTATGAAGAAGATATAACAATTATAAACATATGCATCCAATGTCAGAGCACCTAAATATATAAATATGAACAAATCTGAAGGGAGAGATAGACAGTAATACAATAATATTAGAAGACTTCAGTACCCCACTTTCCTCCATACAGAAAATCAATAAGGAAACAGAATTAAACTAAATCTTAGATCAAATGGACCATTCAGAACATCCCATCCTCCAGTTACAGAATACATATTTTTCTCAGGCATAGAAATTTGAGAACATTGAAATCATAGTAAGTATCTTTACCAACCACAATACTTGAAACTGTAATTCAGTAACAGGAGGAATTTTGGAAAATGCCCAAATATTTTAAAATTAACCGACATACTCCTAAACACTCAAGAGATCAATGAAAAAAATTTATTAAGAAGTATGTTGAGGCAAACAAAAATAGAAAAAAAAACATAACAAAACTAATGTATGGGATGCATATAAAAAGCACTTCTAAGAGTAATTTTTCTTTTTGAGACAGGGTCTCACTCTGTCACCCAGGCTGAAGTGTAGTAGCACAATTATGGCTCACTGCAGCCTCAACTTCCAGGGATTAAGGAATTTTCTCACCTCAGCCTCCTAAGTAGCTGGAACCACAGGTGTACACCACCAAGCCTAGCTACTTTTTCATTTTTTCTGTGTAGAGATGGGGTTTCCCTATGTTGCCTGGACTGGTCTTGAACTCCTGGGTACAAGCAATCCTCTCATTTTGGCCTCTCAAAGTGCTGGGATTACAGGCATAAGCCACTGCACTTGGCCAAGAGTGAAGTTTATAGCAATAAACACCTACATCAAAAAAGAAGAAAGCTCTCAAATAAACACCCTAATGTAATATCGCAAAGAACTAAAAAGACAAGAACAAAGCTAAGCCCAAAATTAATAGAAGGAAGGAAATAATAATAATCAGAGCAGAAATAAATGAAATAGAGATTAGAAAACAATAGAAAAGATCAACAAAAGTTAGAATTGCTTTTAAAAAATTATACACAAATGATAAACCTTTAAAGGCTTAGAAAAAAGTGGAAAGATGCAAATAAAATCAGAAATGAAAGAGATTTTACAACTGATACCACAGAAATACAATGCATCATAAGATACTGCTAAGACCAATTATAGACCAACAAATTGGATAACCTAGAAAAAAACTGATAAATTTCTAGATACGTATAATCTACCAGGATAAATCTACGATGAAGAAACAGAAAATCTGAACAGACCAATGGTGAGTTAGGAGATTGAATTAGTAATAACAATTCTTTTATCAAAGAAAAGCCCAGAACCCAGTGGCTCTACAGCTGAATTCTACCAAATATATAAGGAAGGACTACTACCAATTCTTCTCATACTTCCAAAAAAACTGAAGTGGAGGAAATACTTTCAAACTCATTTTAGGAGGCCAGGATATGGAAATACTAAAGCCACACAAGACCACTACAAGAAAAAAAATTATAGATGAATATCCTTGATGAGCATAGATGCAAAAATCCTCAAAAATTACTAGCAGACTGAATTCAATAGCACATGTAGTTGATCAATTGACATAATGAAATAGGATTTATCACAGGGATGCAAGGATGGTTTAATATATGAAAATCCATAAATATGATAAATTTTATTATCAGAATAAAGGACAATGATATGATTATCTCAAGAGATGCAGAAAAAGCGTTTGAATAAATTCAACCTGATTTCATGATAAAATTTCTCAATAAATTAGGTACAGGACTGTATTTTAACATAATAAAAGCCATCTATGACCAACCCACAGCTAAAATCATATGCAATTATGAAAATTTAAAACTTTTCCTCTAAGAATAAGACAAAAATGCCCACTCTTTTATTCAGTTTGGTACTAGAATTCCTCGTCAGAGCAATTATGCAATAGAAAAATGTAAAAGCCTTCAAAATCAGAAAGAAACAACTTAAATAGTCTCGTTTGCAAGTGACATGATATTTTATATAGAAAACCCTAAAGATTCCACAAAAAAATCTGTTAGAACTAATGACTTCAGCATAGTTGCAGAATACAAAATCAACATACAAAGTATTAGTAGTGCTTCTATGTACTTACAAGCAACCACCTGAAAAAGAAATCGAGGAAACAATTTCATTTACAATAGTTCAAAATATACTTAGGAATGAATTTAACTAAGGATGTGAAAGACATTGAAAAAAATTGAAGTAGACAGAAAGCAATGGAAGGATGTACCATTTTCATGGATTGGGAGAATTAATATTGTTAAAATATTCATACTTCCCAAATTTATCTATGGTTTCAATTCAATACCTACCAAAATTTCTTTAAAAATCCTAAAATATGTATAGAACCACAAAAAACCTAGAATAGTCAAGCAATTTTGAACAAAGAGAACAAAGCAGGAGGCATCACACTACTTAACTTCAAAATATCTTAAGAATCAATATTAATCAAAATGGCATGGTACTGGCATAAAAACAGGCACATAAAGAAGTAGAAGAGAATACAGTCCAGAAATAGATCCAGATATTTATGGCCAAATAGCTTTTAACAAAGGGCCAAGAACATTTAATGGGAAAAGGACAGTCTCTTTAATAAATTGTTTTAAGAAACCACATACACATGCAGAAAAATGAAATTAGAACCATATCTTACACCATATGAAAAATCAATTCCAAATAGATTACAGGTAAGACTTAAAACTGTAAAACAACTAGTAGAAAACAGAGGGGAAAAGTTTCATGATATTGGTTTGGGCAATAATTTTTTGGTTATGAAATCAAAGGCAACAAAAGCTAAATTAGACAAATGAGACCATATGGAATTAAAAAGCTTCGCACAAATGAGAATCACCAGAGTGAAGAGACAAATGGGAGAAAATATCTGTAAAGCATACATCTGAAAACGGATTAATATCCAAAATATATAAGGAACTGAAAAACTGAATAACAATAAAACAAATAACCCAATTAAAAATAGGCCAATGATCTGAATAGACATTTGTCAATAGAAAACATGCAATATCAATAATCATTTGAGAAATGCCAACTAAAACCACAATGAGCTATCACCTCACTCCTGTTAGAATGGCTTTTTGTCAAAAACGCAAATGATAACAAGTGTTGACAAGAACGTTGCAGAAAAAGGCTTATTTTACTCTGTTGGTTGGATTATAAATTAGCATAGACATTATGGAAAACATCATAAAGATTCTTCAGAAAATTAAATACAGTACTGCCATATGATTTAGTAATTCCAGTTTTGAGTATATTTCCAAAGGAAATAAAAGCAGTTATGTTGGAAAGATATCTTTATTCCCACGTTCATTGCAGCATTATTCACAATAATCAAAATACGGAATCAACCCATCTATGTAATAATGAATGACTGGATGAGGAAAACGTGCTATATACATGCACAGTAGAAAACTTACTATTCAGCCTTTAAAAGGAAGGAAACTCTGTCATTTATGACAGCATGGTAAACCTGGAGAACGTTATGTTGAGTGAAATAAGCCATGCAGAGAAAGACAAATATTGCATGATCTCTCTTATATGTGGAATCTAGAAAAGTTGAACTCATATAAATAAAGAGTAAAATGGTGGTTACCAGGAGCCGGGATGTGAGAGGGAGTTGAGGAGATGTTGGTCAAAGGATACAAATTTCAGTTAAACAGGAGACATGAGTTCAGAAGGTCTATTTTACAACATGGTGACTATAGTTAATGCATTTTATTTTTGAAAATTGCTTTGCAGTGTTCTTACCACAAAAAATTATGTGAGGTAATGTATATATAAATTAGCTCTACTGACTCATTCCACTATGTATACATATTTCAAAACAACATGTTTTACAACATAAATGTATACAGTTTTTATTAATTAAAAATACATTTAAAAACAACATTTAATGAAGAAGATTTTTTCACCTAAAGATGTGTGTTTTGGACAATTCTCTTTTTCCTCTTTTGAGTCAACTTTATAGAGGCATAATTAATTAAAATAAAATGTAAGTGTGTAGTTCAGTGATTTAAGACTGTTTTCCAACATGGTTGCACCTTTTGTATTTCCATCAGCAGTTTGTGAGAGTTCCAGTTGCTTCACATTCTTTTCAAAACTTGCAATGGCCCAGTATTATAAGTTTTAATTTTGGCCATCATAATTGGTACAAAGTGGTATTCCATGAGGAGGAGTTTTGAAAGCACTTAAATTTTGCATTTCTTATGAAACTTTTAATTTAGTCATTTATTTTATATGAGCAGGGACTCGTATTCTGTTTTACTCAATAGATTTTAATTCATTATTTAAAAAATCAAGACAAAAAATTTGGCTTTCCCTTCAGTGTCTCTTGCAGATGGCTACAATGCAGGGGCAACTGGTTTTCTGGTGGGCCTAGAATGTATGTAAATATTTCAATTCTCCTAACAAAATATCAACTATGCCCTCTCCTCTATAAGAATCTAATGCTTATGAGCTTTGTCTTAACATTTTCATTATTAAAAAGTACCTTCTTTTAAACCCAGAAAAATTAATAATAGTTGAAGGATATGGTCTAAAGTGATTCTAACAATCAGTTCTTCAAAACTATCCACTCTACCATTTTCAGCTTCATTGAATCATTAGAAATTAATCCTCACCTATTGGACAGAATTTGAGCTTTATAATTCCTTACAATTTATCATTTTAAAGCATACTTCAAAATCATAGGTCCTGGCCCAAACTTCTGACCTCTTCATCTTTCTCATAAACTCAATACCATCCTTATTTGACCTCAGTAAGTATTGTAATGCACATGTGTTCTTCAAGACTATTACATCCTTCTTTGCTTTCTTTCCCCAGCTGTATTCACTGAACAGATTGTTGATGTTATACACTCTCTGGCTAGTCTGTCAATTCCCTCGACAACTTGACCAAGTCTCATAGTTAAGTGGTGAAACATTTGTTTCCTCTGCCTTCATCTTGGACTGCTGAATCTTGCTGAAGAAAACTTCAACCTTGTTCAAATTCTCTAAAACTTATGTTTTATGAAACCAGGTGGGATTCAGTACTGACTGGGAAGAATCTATGGGAGTAAATATGGAACCCTAAGAAAAGCTACTTTCTGGAAAATAAAAATGATCAATTCCTGATCTTTACACATGCTGATATACTTCAAGGTCAATTCTAGATTCTTCTTTCTTCTAACTTTATCCTTTCTCCCTAGTATCTTATTTTTGCTTTTAGCTACAACTACCATATTTATCCCAATGACTCTAAAGTATTTATATTGAATATCACAAATTTAGAGCTTCAGATCATATTCTGTTTCTGAGATTTAGACTAATATCTTCAAGTGCCTGCCAGGCAAATCCATTTGAATATTAAAAGTACCTTAATTCATCAAGTACAAATTTAAACCCAAAGTCTTTTTTTCTCTCAGAAACAAGATATTCTTCCATCCATCCAGTCAGATAGGTCAGCAACTTAGATGTCTTTCTGTAACTATTATTTCCTAAATAATTCCCCCAGGCTCTTTCTTTCTCTCCATTTCCACTCCCAATACTCTAATGATTTCCTAATTTATATATGGTAACCACACTGTTCTTTCCTCGCATCCATTGATATCAGCGTAGCCAGAGATGTATTTTCTAGATGTGGATATGATAATTTTATGCCCCTCTTTGACAAACAACCATCAAAGCCTGTAATGAGTTTCTTATCCCTTTAGCATAAAATAGGAAGTTCCTATGTGGTTTACAAGGCTCCTCCTGTTCTGGGATATGCCTTCTACTCCAGGCTCATCATGAACTACTCTGTTTTTAATTTTCCTTTATATATGATTAATATATCTCTAAATTATCTTTCCTATGTGTAACTGGACACTTGCCCTTTCCAGAGAGAAAACAGGTAAAGCAAAAATGATTTTATGTCATTATTTTATTGATGATGTGTTTTATAGAATCACAAAATTTAGAAACATAAGAAGGATTTAGGTATCACCTAAATTCAAAGAAATGTGTGTTTCTAGGTTGCTAAATTTGAAGAGAAAGTATGATTTGGTTTGGTTCATTTAAAACAGGTCAGAAACAGAATTATATTTCAAATTTAGAAGACACGGTATTAAATGATTCATCTTATCTTGGACATTTTTCCTCAAGGGAAATTTTTCTGGAAGGAAAAGTACATTTATATGTGGGCTTATTAAGAGAAAGAGAGAAAGGCATGCTATTTTAATCATTAAATTCTTGATGATGACTATCATCATCAAGATGAGATAGAAAAGAAATATGAGCCAAGAGAATCTGTTGTTGCCAGCAATCAGTTTACCAGAACACCTCTAGGTGAACATTTTCTAAATGGAGTGACAGACTAATTGCATCTATGGGGATGAGAATCTGCCATAGAAGAGGATGCTGTTGGTCTTATTTTGCCTTATGAAGAATAGGAAAGGGTGATTACAACAGAACTCTTCATTAGTTGAAGGAGATGATAATTCGACTACTACTACAGCGGTGGCAGCTGCAGCTTCCACTCCCTCCTCAGTGACCTCCACAAAGGCCTTGTGTAGGACTTTAGATACTGAGAGACCGTGGCTCCAGGTCATGCCTGAGAGGTCTGCATCCCCATTGAAGATATTCACCATTCCCATGGTTCTCAACGTGTCCTTGAGGTCATAGCTCTCTTCCATTTTGAACCGAGGTAAGTGTAAATCGACACATGTCTCTCTCATATTCTGCAAACTTGTCCATTCCATCAATTTCTCAGCAGTGAGTTTCTCTTCAAGCTATACAAATGGAAAAAAGAAACTGATATGACTAACTGTCGATCTCTAATACACCTTAACAATGAATTGACTATGTGGAGATTCGTTATTTTGGCAATAAATGTGAAATACAGAAGGTTCACTTTAATAGACATTATTATTCTAATAGGTAAAATATGAGTCCTGAATATATAAATACATTGGGTTATATGTGTATATGTATATACATGTATGTAAAAACAGAATCATGTTTTTACGTATATGTATATGTGTACATATGTATGTATACAACTGTATGATACACATGTAAAATATGATTACATTATTTTGTACACAATGAACTGTATGTATCACTATTTCTTGTGCCAACAGCCTACTACATGTGTCAATTTTTAATAGGCTCATCATATTTTTCTGTATACATTATTTAGTACACATTGCAATTATTAAATTGTAATTCCCTAAATTCCTAAATTTGTATTCCCTTTTCTACTCGGCCTATTTGTAAACTTTCCTCACATTGGTATATATTTCTCCCAGTCAAGTTTAAATTGCTGCATAATAATATCATCAAATTGATATCCAATGCATGTAACTCTAATAAATTAATCATTAACTAAGCCATAGATGGAATTAAATCATAGATGGGAATTGAACAATGAGAACACTTGGACACAGGAAGGTAACATCACACTCTGAGGACTGTTGTGGGGTGGGGGGAGGGGGGAGGGATAGCATTAGGAGATATACCTAACGCTAAATGACGAGTTAATGGGTGCAGCACACCAGCATGGCACATGTATACATATGTAACTAACCTGCACATTGTGCACATGTACCCTAAAGCTTAAAGTATTATAATAATAATAATAAAAACAAACAAACAAACAAAAACTAAGCTTTCAGTTTGTGTCAGGCCCTATGCTCAAATATTTGTAATATGAAGGTGAGTCATCATTCCTCATTTAGAATTTTTCATCATTTTGAGGCAACTCGGTCATAAGCTTTTACCTTGTTTAAACTTGGTATCTTTGGAAAAATGTCCGGCAGTAGAAGGAAGAGTTGTAGATGCAAGTTCTTACCTTCTGCAGACCATCGATTTCATTTGGCAGCAGCACAATCATGCTTAGATCTTTGCCTTTGTATGGTATTTCCAGGACCTTGGCCTGTACATCCTCCAGCAAGGCAAAATTAAAGGAATTGTATTGCCTCATCATCTGTACAGATTTGTATGTATTCTGCAATAAATCAATGTGTCCAACAAATAACACGTGAAACACAAGACAAAAAAGATAATATTATTGAGATAGCAACACATCCTTCTTCTTCTAAGAAATAACCCAGGAATTCCATGAGTTAGAAACAATAGTTTTTCAGGTATTCCTAACTAAATAAAGTTATAAGAGTAAAACAACAAAATAACAGACATGAACAATTTTTATTTTTTACTTATCATGTTACATTCCATCAGAAATGTTTAACATTCCATGTATTAACATATTACACTATATAAATAAAATATAGACAATACCTTGTTTGGCCAAAATTTTTCCTCTTTAGTGTTTTCTTTTTTAAATTTATTCTCCCACTGCCCTTTGAAATAGATTGCGTTCACAAGAACCAGTGTCGTATCATTGCCAATAGTCCCATCAGGAAATAGGTTTTTAATTTTTTCTGCAAGGGAAAGAATAAAAGAGTCTTTTACACAAGCTACAAATGGCTTGTCTGGAAGATGCTTTGCAAATGTTCGTGACTGATCGTTAATTATTGACCCAAATCCCTGCTTGAGACTCACTGACTTTGATCTTTGAATTGTTAGACTCACTGACCAGTGGTTCACCAGATGCAGCTTTCTTCAAGGCTCCAGTCGTATAAAGTTACCCTTGATGGAGACATCACTTCTTGTGATAGAGAAGGAGTTCACGTTCTCTGTGTATGAATGTCTCCAATCATCTGATTTGGAATACTGATAAACTGATTTTGTCTACTCTTCCAACATGTGTCTTTCCTTTCTCCCTCCCTCCTCTTCCTACTTTTATTTTTTTTTAACTACGGGGTCCCCATTCAGAGGAAGGAGGCCCTGATTGCATTTTAGGATGAGTGACTTGAGCTCTGTAATATGAAACGCATGTCCTGTGCTGTCAGACACTACTTCCGGGGGTATCTTCCTATTCACTCTCATGTTGAGTTGCTGTAAGTTTGGCCTGTAATGAGAGGTGGGAGGTAAGAAAGATGTCTGTAGAATGGAGACTTTGTCAAGCTCTTTGCCCTTGATGGGGAAGAGAGCTGTGATAATCCCTGCAGAACACATTGGCTACAGATGTGATCCAGGCAGCTCCAGCTCAGAGACAAAAGGGTGATTTACCAGAGAGCTGCTTGTTTCCCAATTAGTAAAGGAGACGAGAGACGCTTTCTAATGTTTTCTATTAAATATTCATCATAAAAATTTGAGTCTGATTTAAAGTAAAGGATATGATCTCAAAATAGGCCTGAGCGGAGACAGGGGATCCACAAAGCTATTGTCATGCAGGGCCATAAGCAAATAATTCTCCAGATGTGTTTCCATCTAATTGGCTTCCTGTGATTTCCTCCTTGGCTCCCCTAGGCTCTCTTCATATTCATTTGGACAAATCCTTCATCTGGAGTGCCCTCTTCAGCCCTCCCTGCAAACCCATCTCAATCCCCACACCTGTTCCCCCATGCAGTGTCAAGCACAAGGCTCACTGGCATAGGTTTCTCAAAGGTGTTTCTATAATGGGTGGCTCTCCTACCATTCGTTTGACTTTCCACCCAGGAGTTAATCTTCTTTCGACTTTCTTCTGGAGCATTTGCAAAATCAGTAGATTCCACACTGGTCTGGTAAAATTTCTTGATGGCATCTAAATATTCCTTTGAGATATGAAGGAAGAAGTAGGAATTAGGAGTAATTTATGTAACTATATATTACCAAACTTACTTATTTGTAACAACAGTAAGCTGAATCCAGACCCTGAATAGATGCAGTATCTCCTGTCCATGGATATTTTTATACAGGTGTCATGTAGGCAATGCAAAAGGGGAATGTGGGCTGGCACAAGAAAGAGGTCACTGAAGGTCAATATCATCTTGGCAAAAGGCAGAAGCAGAAGAGGCTGTGGTTTGCAAACTGCAGAGCAGGCTTCCCTGAAGGAGATTCATTGCTTCTCAGACTTCTCTCCAGTAATTTTAACCATGATGTTTCTGATCTTTGTTTTTGTCTTTCATCCTGTGCATTCAATATTTCCTGGTACTTCCTCAACTATTCTCAGGAACTCACCCAAGCCTGCCCATTCCAATAATATCCCATTAGTCATACATTTCCCACCAAGATGTATCGTATGTGACTGAGTCAGTGCCAGTTTATCGATGGTATCTTATTACTTATTACTCTTACTCACTCTATTACACAACCTCCTCTTTTATCACAAGATTATCCCTAAATCCACACTTCAGTGATGTATCGTTGGGGTCTGGGACACTCCAGTGGGGGAGAGTTGTGGAAATGGAGCTAATGCACTCTGAGTAAATGCTCTCCACCTGAGTCGGCCAGGCTCATCTGCCTTGCTTTCTTCCATTTGGCCACTCAGAGACACAGACATCAGGATGCAAATGAAATGTGGGTAGGCCAGGTGAAATTACCTGTAAAAATTGATACGTCTTTTCTCCGAAGAGCTTGTTGGCGATCTTCAGCTCATATGCATCAGTGGATTTGTTGAATTCAGTCAGAAGCTTTTGAAACTGGTGATGAACATTTCCTGACCTATCAACCTTCAAACATCAAAAAGGGAGATCATTCAATTGCTGTATCAATGTAAATACTAAACCCATGCTAAGTCTGTTAGATCAGTCCCTAAATGCTGGTAGTCTCATTGAGGACCTTTGATGTTATTCCCTGATAATTGGTGTATTTCACCTCAAATACCCTTCAAAATCCACCTTATATTTGACTTCTTCCAGAAAATTCTTCTTGCTCTAACGTACTGCAATCTTTTCTCTTCTGAACTAAAGATGCAGCGCTGTCTACCAGTAGATTTTCTCCTTGTTGGTTTAAAGGGTTAGGTTTAGCTTCCCAGTTAAACTCTCAGCTCCTTATGGGCAAGGACCATATTTCACTTCTAACAGTCATCAAGGATACGAGTATGTTGAAGGTTGGATATTTTAAATAGATTATGCCAGGAAGCCCTGTTATACCTGTTGGTGCTATTATCTTGTAGGACACATTGACTGATCTGTGGCTCTTTCCTCATGATGGTCATTCTCTGCACGTAAGAAGAGTGTATGCCAGGTCCATGGCTAAGGACTTTACATGGGTAACTCTAAGTCTTTAGTTCAATTCAGATGAACACAAGAAAGCTCAGAGAATGGGGAAAAAAACCCTGTTTATAGAGACATAAATTAGAAGTGCCAAGTTTTGAACCTAAGCCTGTTTAAATCTAGAACTTTCTACCTTCCAGCAAAGCATTTTGCACTATTAAGGCTCTAAACCAATATATTCCATAGCAATCATTTTCCAAAATATACTTGGACTTGTGCTTATTCCTCTGAATCTCATTAATGACTCAATGAAAATTAAATTATTTTCACATTATTATGATTAGTATAATTATAGCTACTTTATAATAATAATAACATTTATTATGACTTTTATGGGCAAGGCACTGTTGTAAACATTTGCATGTATTTGCATGTATTGAGTCAGATTTTTTCTTACCCTTAGTTTTCTGGGATGAGGTCACTGGGACTCCGAGCAGTTGTGTCCTGCTCTTATTCATCATTTGTGAAGAGCAAAGCTGGAGTCTGAACCCAGCCTATCCTGATCCAGACCTATGCTCTGAGGTACAGTGCTGACTGTCTTTTAGTAACGCAGAAATGAGGAATAATAATTATGTGCCATGAAATGCCAACCCACTCTGTATGTCTCAATCTTTGTGTCCAAGATTTTCCCTAAAACTGGCCTTTTCTTAGTTTTTGTGAAGTTCCAGGTTTAAACTATGACCTGTTCAGGGATCTAAAGCTGAACCATAGTGCTCTGTGACTCACATGATATGTTGCAGCTTTTTCTGTGGTGTTCTCTGTGACTTGATCAAAGTGAAGAACCTGGAAGAGACATGAAGCGGGACAAGAAAACTTTACTCAAAAGATCTGTTTAAGTCAGTGGTCTCACAGTTATGGGAATTCCTGCACAGCCCCCTGTGCTACCCATCAGACCACCACATCTATTACCATCTGCGTGCTAGCCGACGGAACCAGAGAAAAACTGCAACAGGACAACGTAATGATGCTGATAGCTACCTTGCTAATTTGTTGTGCAGTGTTGTCTTTGGCTCCTAAGAGGACCATCCCTAATGCTGATGTGATGCTGATAGGGGAATAGAAGATGTTGTTCTCTTTTGATTTTCTGAACTGTTGGAACAGATCGAACATGAACTTGGTGTTGGCTTCACTGAGTGAATTCATGGTGAACTCGATGTGATCTGGAACTCCTGGAAAAGCATCAGATTCCTGTCAGAATGACTTTAATAAATGGAATGGTATTTTGTAGTACAATTTTCTTAAAGAAATGATATATCTGGGTTGTGAGATTTTGACATTTAAAGTTTTTCTCTTATTTTTAACGCTTCAATCTTTCTACAATGTGCATATATTAAATATATTAATGTCCTAATTAGAAGGCTTACAAAACTACGTTTTTAAAGACTATTGTAAATAAGTAATCGACCCTCTTTATCTTTCTTTCATTGCTGGTTACACTAGAGCTAGGTAGGATGGCTTTACAATGAATGCTAACAGGAGACCTCTGTGGATCACATCCAACCAGCTGTTAAGATGCGTCCCTGACATCTCCTTCAAGACTCTCTGGCTGCAAGGCACTCTCCCTCTGTGTTCCTAAAAGTGCCTTGGTTTACTTGGAACTAAGCAATTTAGATAAAGGACAAATCAGATGAAATAGGTATTTTAATTTTGCTCTGGCAGAATAAGTAAAATATAATCAGACAGAATGCAGGAGATGCATGATATAGAACACAGTATCATTATTATTCTCAAAAATAATTCATGTTATTAAGCTGGAGAGGCTTGAAGCTCTTACCTGTGTTCCTAGAGGAAGCAGAGGTGGGCAGAGAGGCTGTGTGTGTCTGTGGAATGAAGGGTGAGATCCTAAATTTATGCCTCTCCTCTTGCTGCCTTTCCCTCTGTGGTTAGTATTTGAAGTTACTCAACTTCAGATTTCACAAGCGGGCTAACACTCACCTTTATGAATATGAAAATTTATGACAAAGGACAGGATTACAGTTCTACCATTGTACCTCCTTTTTAATCTATAGGGAAAAAATAAGAATGCAAGTCAGCAGTCACCGGCTCATGTGAAATACATGTAGGTGCCTTTCTAATGCCAATGAGAATAAGTTTAGAATTCCAATTTCCTCTCATTTGTTTCAACTCCATCCCTTTGTATTCTACTCCAGCTGTAAAACAAAAACAAAAACAAACAAACAAAAACCCCACCATTCTTTTCTTGGATTTTGCATTGTCTTTTAGGCATACTTCGAATACCAAAGAACTAAAAAGCTTACATTTCCTGTTTTTCAGTTCTGAAAGTTTTTGTCATCCTATGAATTTCCTTAGTAATTTTTCTGTATAACAAGGAATGTAGTGCTAATTCTAAGTCCAAAGAGATAGTGAAGAAGTGTACTTCAGTATCTTATAGCATACTATGGAGAATAGGATTCTATTGCCTTCTCCTGAGTGCTCAGCTTTGGCAGTGATCCTACCAGTCACTTCCTGTGCCCCTTACAACCATCCCAGATGGTTTTCTGTTGCATAGGCTCAGTGAGAAAGTTATCTGCCTTGCTGAGTGATATGGTTTGGCTGTGTTCCCACCCAAATCTCAACTTGAATTGTATCTACCAGAATTTCCACATGTTATTGGAGGGACCCAGGTAGAGGTAATTGAATCATGGGGGCCGGTCTTTCTTGTGCTATTCTCATGATAGTTAATAAGCCTCAGGAGATCCGATGGGTTTATCAGGGGTTTCTTCTTTTGCTTCTTCCTCATCTTCTCTTGCAGCCACCATGTAAGAATAACTTTTGCCTCCTACTGTGATTCTGAGGCCTCCCCAATCACGTGGAACTCTAAGCCCAATTAAACCTCTTTTTCTTGCCAGTCTCAGGTATGTTTTTATCAGCAGCATGAAAACAGACTAACACATTGAGTTAACAGGCTGACACTGAGAAGAGCAATTGAAACAGACGGGCCATTTTAAATGGCAGCTTTCTAATTTTACATTTAAAAATGAAGCCGAAAAATAAATTGCTTGACCTGTCAGGATCACAACATTTCTCAATGGTCCTTCTGTTTAGCACCTGGCTTCAGACTCATTCCAGTGTTTCCCCTGGAATATCTTGTAATCTGAAGAATGTCTGTGGCCAGGGAGAGGGGTTGTTGTCCAAGGCCATTTAATCCAATATCTCCCTGACAACCAGAGTGGGGGGCTGTTTGTTTTGTGGACCCCCTTTTTATTAACATATAATTTATATACCATAAATTCAACTGTACAATTCAATGATTTTATTATATTCACAAAGTTGTGCTATCATCATCATGATCTCATTCCACAACAATTTCACTACCTCCAAAAGAAATCTTGTACTTCATTCTTCCCTTCCTGGAGACCCTGGAAACCAGGAATCTACCTCCTGTTTCTATGGATTTGCCTATTCCAAACATTTCAGGTAAATGGAATCATACAGTAAGTCCTTTTGTGACTGGCTTCTTTAATCTAGTGTTATTTTCATGGTTTGTCCACATCATTGCATGGATCAGTACATCATTCCTTTTTGTGGTCGAATAATATTCCATTCTATGAATAGACCAGATTTTCTTTAATCATAAGTTGATGGACATTTGTGTTGTTTCCATCCTTTTACTATTATGAATAATGATGTTGTGACCTTTCATGTACATTTTTTTGCATGGCATATTTCTTCATTTCTTTTGAGTATAAACCTATGAATGAAATCGCTGGGTCATATGGTAAATCCAGGTTAACATTTTGAGGAAATGCCAGACTCTTCTCCATAGAATTCTGCACAAGTGTGCATTCCAACCGACCGTGAATAGAGTTCTGATTTCTCCACATTCTCCCCAACACTTGGTATTGTCATGGGCCCTTTTTAACACCAGCCGTGAGTTTGTTTTCTCAGCACATCACAAAGTCAAGGGAGATTTATCTACAACAAGGTGCCAGAAACACATAGGCTGAAAGTAGGGGCTGGATGGGAGAAAGGAAGCTGTGTTTCCAATCTGGAAATTTCTCACCTGCCTGTTTCCTCAACCCCCAAGACATGCTCTTCTTAGGTCTCCTGTATCAATATATATGTTTTGAGTCTCTGAATGAGTTTAAGAGGTATAAGTTCCCTGATTGAAGTCGGGGAATAGACTAATGGGGCGTTGATGGACTAAAAATCCAAAGATAGAAGAAAAAGAAAGAAGAGGAAATATCTGAGATAAAGAATTCCAAAAATGAATAATGGTCTTCTCAGCTGAGTCTGCATCCAGCGCTATAAGACAAAAATGGACCTTCCTCTATTGGAGTAGGATGGATTTACTCGGGTACCAAAGAAAAGGAATCTAATGTCTCATAGGACAGAAGCAACAAGCTCATCCTGGGAATGGAGGGAAGAAAAAAACAGGATAACAAGCTGAGACAAACCGGGGTTACAGGGGACCAATCTATGGAAGAGAATTTCAGACTATGGCTAAACGTCCTGAGGCACGGAGGTTTGCCCTGAAGGTTGAACTTAAGGAAAGGTACTAACTGAAAATGACCAGGAGTTTGCTTAAATTTAGAGAAAGCTTGGATGAGTTCAAATGAGAAATCATTTCAGGCATTTTTTTCTGTTCCTAAATAGTTCTCCTAGCATGTGATAGACAGGCTAGAAAGGACATATCCTGGTGTGTGAGACTGGACATATCCTGATGTCATATATTGCCACAGAGAACTCAGAAATTCCAAGAAGTTTTTGCATATGAACACTTGCCAACTTATGTCTCTTGATATTTCATAAACATACACCAACTTCATTGGCTCCAGGAATCCAGAAATTAAAAACAAATCCTCAATGGGAAATTACACTTTCAGGAAATATCCTGTCATTACTAATGCCTTTATAGATTGGTTAAGAAATATCTCCTAGATTTTCCTGGACCTCACTTCCTTATGAAGGCTGTAAAGTTTTCTCAGCATTGTTAAGTAACAAAGTCAAGAGAACATTTTATTTATTGTTTCTTATTATGTGCTTGTGGCAATCTATAGGGAAACTGGTTAGTGGAGGAGATTTTTCAAGCATCAAATAACAGAATATATGTCAATTACTGTATTCCCAAGGATTCTGTCTACAGATATAGATATGTATACATTGAACAACCTCAGAACAAGACTAACTAGCTTTCCTTTCTTGGTTTTCATGAGGGAAAACAACTCCAGTAAGGTTTGAAAAGCAGAGAGGGAAATAGTCTCATATGTAAGTACAGTTGGAGCACAGAGAAAATGATATTATCTCTTGCCTCCCTTCCTCCTTCCTACTCTGCCAACACTGCCAGGGACAGACATCATATTTACTGTATGCTTTCAAACCAAACCAAATCTAACCCTGTCCCCTTGCTGATCTCTTATAACTCTCTCCCTAATTCCTCTTGGCCTTCTTTTTCTATTGCTAAGAAACATCCTATATTGATGTTCTCCCTTTTACTAGAACTGTCCTTCTTCTTCCTCCTTGCTTTATCTGCACTATGGATTTTCCCCGATGGCTGCATGCTCCTTGATCTTTTCTCATGGATGTCTACTCACTCCCCCATTCTCATGCCATGAAGCCAGGAAGCATGATCTTCTCTTTTATTCCTACTGCCTTTTCTAGCCATTGTTTTTCTCTGTCTTCAATGGCCTATTTTAATTTCTTTGGCTATGCAAGTATACCATGTACTTCTTGTGGGAAAGAGAGTTTCTGGGGTGCCAGTTGAGTTGGTCTCCCCTGTGTGAGACACCCATGCGTAGCCATGGGCAGCCTCTGAGGAGAAAAGTCTCCTTATGCCTTCATGTCTTTATGCCCCGAGAGCATAACAGCTCAGCGGTATTCCACAGGTTGCTCAGGGAGATAACAGTCCCTTGAAGCAGGGGAGTATAATCAAACGTCTTGGCTCCTCCTGAAACCCGCTCCCGCCCATTTCAGTCCCTATAAGTTAAAGATCTTACGTAGTTTAGACACATGCCTTTGCTCAAAGAAATTCCCAGAAACCGCTACTGCTCTACATCTTATTGAATGACTCATGAGTTCTCTTTCACTGATTAATCCTTTTCCTCATCCCTTCCTCCTGCTCTCATCTGCCTTAGGAACAAAGAGCTTATAAACCAATAAATTAGGCGGAGCCTGAGAGCTCCACATTTTCTTTATCTAGTCTGTCATTGATGGGCATTTGTGTTGGTTCCATGTCTTTGTTATTGTAAATGATACTAACTATTCTTAAATACATAGGATTAGTGAGATGTGGACAAATAAAAATGACAAAAATGCTGTTGCAAATGTTTACTGGTACAACTATTTTGGAAAAACTTGGCCATATCTAGTTATTTTAGCAATTCTATGTTTAAATATATACCCTAGGCTAGGTGCGGTGGCTCATGCCTGTAATCCCAGCAATTTAGAAGATTGAGGGGGAGCAGATCATTTGAGGTGAGGAGTTCAAGACCTGCCTGAGTAAAATGGTGAAACCCTGTCTCTACTAAGATTACAAAAAAATAAAAATAGGGCCAGGCATGGTGGCTCACGCCTGTAATGCCAGCACTTTGGGATGCCGAGGCAGGTGGATCAGAAGGTCAGGAGTTCAAGATAAGCCTGGCCAATATGGTGTAACTCTGTGTCTACTAAATATACAAAAATCAGCCGGGCGTGGTGGCAGGCAATTATAATCCCAGCTACTCGGGAGGCTGAGGGGCAGAAGAATCGCTCTAACCAGGGAGGCAGAGGTTGCAGTGAGCTGAGATTGAGCCACTGCACTCCAGCCTGGGGACGGAGCGAGACTCCATTTCAAATAAAATAAAATAAACAAAATAAATAAATAAAAATTAGCCTGGTGTGGTGGTTCATGTAATCCTAGCTACTTGGGAGGCTGAGGTGGGGGGATTTCTTGAAGCCAGGAGGTAGAGGTTGCAGTGAGCTGAAATTTTACCACTGCACTCCAGCCTGAGTGACTGAGTGAGACTCTGTCAAAAAAAAAACAAAAAAACCTCTCTCCTTCTCTCTATATATAGCCTAGATGAACCCATGTACTATGTTGCACAAGACACATACAAAGGCATGAATTGCAGCATTCTTGTTAATGGTGAAGAATTAGAAACAACTTAAATATATATCAAAAGAAGAATAAGGAAAAAATTAAGCTAGTTTCATACAGCTGAGTATTCTACAGCAGTGAATGTAAATGAACTGGATAATCATTTGTTAAGAAGAATAAATCTCTAGACATAATCGCAAGGAACAGGAAAACAAACGAAAAAGAATGTATAAATATGACTTAGGTAAAACATTTTAAAAGCACCTATAACATTATATCTGTCATGAATTATATTTTAACATAGGAATGACAATATATTAACTTTTGTCAAATTGAGGTAGTAGGCATATGAAGTTCTTAAATTGTTTTCAGAAACTGTTTTACAGTTAATTTTTTTAAAAAATGGTAAGTAAAAATTGTATTTATTAATGGTATGTAACATAATGTTTTGATATATGTACACGTTGTTGAATGGCTAAATTAAGCTAATTAGCATATCCATTACCTCATATAATTATTCTTTTTTAGAACCAGAACATTAAAATTTCCTCTCTCAGCAATTTTCAAGTATACAATATTGGTATTAAATATAGTCATGATAAGATACCTTAAACTTATTCCTCTTGTTTAACTGAAATTTCATATCCTTTACCAACATCTTCCCAACTCTTCCACCCTACCAGCCTCTTGTAGCCAGCATTCTACTATCTGTTTCTATGAGTTCAACATTTTTAGATTGCACATATAATTGAGGTTGTGTAGTATTAGTCTTTCTGTGTCTAGCTTACTTCACTTAACATAATATCCTCCAGGTTCATCCATGTTGTTGCAAATGACAGAACTGTCTTTTTTATGGTGGAATAGTATTTCATTGTGTATATATATCATATTTTCTTTATTTATTCATTTGTTGGTGGACACAGGCTGATTTCATGTCTTGGCTATTGTGAATAATGCTGTAATGAACATGAGATACAAATAATTCTTTGACATGCGTATTTCATACCCTTTGGATGTATTCCAAGAAGTGGGATTGCTGAATCATATGTTAGTTCTGTTGTTAATTTTCTGAGGCATCTCCATAAGGTTTTCTAAATGGCTGTACAAATTTTATTCCCACCAGCAGTGTACCAGGGTTCCCTTTTCTCCAGCTCCTCAACAACACTTGTTATCTTTTGACTCTTTGATAATAGCCATCCTATCGGGTGTAAGACGATATCTCATTGTGTTTCTGATTTGCATTTCCCTGAGGATTAGTGATGTTAAGTATTTTTCTATGTAACTGCTGGCCACTCGTATGTCTTCTTTTGAAAAATGTCTATTCAGGTTCTTTGTACATTTTAAAAGTTTTTTTTTTTTTTTTTTTTTGCTGTTGAGTTTTATCAGATCCCTTTACATTTTGAAGAAGAATACTTTATCAGCGATATAGTTTACAAAAACTTTTTCTCATTTGGTAGATCATCTTATCTCTCTGTTGATTGTGAATTCTTCACTCCTTTGCTGTGAAGAAGTTTCAGTTTTATGTAATCACATTTGTCTATTTTTACTTTTGTGGCCTGTGCTTTTGGAATCATATC
Organism: Homo sapiens; assembly: GCF_000001405.40. Lineage (NCBI taxonomy): Eukaryota > Metazoa > Chordata > Mammalia > Primates > Hominidae > Homo > Homo sapiens. Next base: position 63,651,027 of record NC_000018.10, read on the forward strand.
TAAAGGCCAGACCAATGTCATGAAGCTTTTCCTCTATATTTTCTTCTGATAGTTTTACATTTTCAGTCGTTACATTTAAGCCTTCAATCGGTTTTCAGTTGATTTTTGTATATGGTGTGGGATGAGGATCTAATTTCCTTTTTCTCCATATGGATATCCAATTTTTTTCAACACTCCTTATTGAAGAGACTGTCCTTTCCTGATTGTGTGTCCTTGGCATCTTTGTCAAAAATCAACATTTTTAGATTCCACATATAATTGAGGTTATGTAGTATTAGTCTTTCTGTATCTAGCTTACTTCACTTAACATAATGTCCTCCAGGTTCATCCATGTTGTTGCAAATGACAGAACTGTCTTTTTTTTTATGGTGGAATAGTATTTCATTGTGTATATATATCATATTTTCTTTATTTATTCATTTGTTGTTGGACACAGGCTGATTTCATGTCTTGGCTATTGTGAATAATGCTGTAATGAAAATGAGATACACGCCTGGGAGGCGGAGCTTGCAGTGAGCAGAGATTGAGCCACTGCACTCCAGCTGGGTGACAGAGCGAGACTCCAACTCCAACTCCAACTCCAACTCCAAAAAAAAAAAAAAATCCTAAAATATGTATAGAACCACAAAAATCCTAGAATAGTCAAGCAATTTTGAACAAAGAGAAGAAAACAGGAGGCATCACACTACTTAACTTCAAAATAACTTATGAATCAATATTAATCAAAATGGCATCGTACTGGCATAAAAACAGGCACATAAACAAGTATAATACAGTCCAGAAACAGATGCAGATATTTATGGCCAATTAGTTTTTTAAAATGCGCCAAGAACATATAATGGGGAAAAGACAGTCTCTTTAATAAATGGTTTTAAAAAACCGTATTCACATAGAGAAGAAAGAAATTAGAACCATATCTTACACCATATAAAAAATCAATTCCAAATAGATTACAGGTAAGACTTAAAAGTATAAAACAACTAGTAGAAAACATATGAGAAAAGCTTCATGATATTGGTCTGGGCAATAATTTTTTGGATATGAAATCAAAGGCAAAAAAAGCAAAATTAGACAAATGAGACCATGAAAAAGCTTCTGCACAAATGAGAATCAGCACAGTGAAGAGATAAATGGGAGAAAAAATATCTGTAAAGCATGCATCTCAAAAGGGATTAATATCCAAAATATATAAGGAACTGAAACAACTGAATAACAATAAAACAAATAACCCAATTAAAAATAGGCCAATGATCTGAATAATCATTTGTCAATAGAAAACATGCAATATCAATAATCATTTGAGAAATGCCAACTAAACCATAATTAAATATCACCTCACTCCTGTTAGGATGGCTTTTGTCAAAAACATAAATGATAACAAGTGTTGACAAGAACATTGCAGAAGCAGACTTATTTTACTCTGTTGGTTGGATTATAAATTAGCATAGACATTATGGAAAACATCATAAAGATTCTTCAGAAAAGTAAATACAGAACGATGATATGATTTAATAATTCCACTTTTGGGTATATTTCCAAAGGAAATAAAAGCAGTTACGTTGAACAGATATCTTTATTCACATGTTCATTGCAGCATTATTCACAATAATCAAAATACGGAATCAACCCATCTATGTAATAATGAGTGACTGGATGAGGAAAATGTGTTATATACATGCACAGTAGAATACTTACTATTCAGCCTTTAAAAGGAAGGAAATCCTGTCATTTATGACAACAGGGTAAACCTGGAGAACATTATATTGAGTGAAATAAGTCATGCAGAGAAAGACAAATATTGCATGGTCTCTCTTATATGTGGAATCTAGAAAAGTTGAACTCATATAAATAAAGAGTAAAATGGTGGTTACCAGGAGCCGGGATGTGAGAGGGAGTTGAGGAGATGTTGGTCAAAGGATACAAATTTCAGTTAAACAGGAGACATGAGTTCAGAAGGTCTGTTTTACAACATGGTGACTATGGTTAATACATTTTATTTTTGAAAATTGCTAAGAGAACAGACTTGCAGTGTTCTTACCGCAAAAAATTATGTGAGGTAATGTATATATAAATTAGCTCCACTGACTCATTCCACTATGTATACATATTTCAAAACAACATGTTTTACAACATAAATGTATACAGTTTTTATTAATTAAAATACATTTAAAAACAACATTTAATGAAGAAGATTTTTTCACCTAAAGATGTGTGTTTTGGACAATTCTCTTTTTCCTCTTTTGAGTCAACTTTATAGAGGCATAATTAATTAAAATAAAATGTAAGTGTGTAGTTCAGTGATTTAAGACTGTTTTCCAACATGGTTGCACCTTTTGTATTTCCATCAGCAGTTTGTGAGAGTTCCAGTTGCTTCACATTCTTTTCAAAACTTGCAATGGCCCAGTATTATAAGTTTTAATTTTGGCCATCATAATTGGTACAAAGTGGTATTCCATGAGGAGGAGTTTTGAAAGCACTTAAATTTTGCATTTCTTATGAAACTTTTAATTTAGTCATTTATTTTATATGAGCAGGGACTCATATTCTGTTTTACTCAATAGATTTTAATTCATTATTTAAAAAATCAAGACAAAAACTTTGGCTTTCCCTTCAGTGTCTCTTGCAGATGGCTACAATGCAGGGGCAACTGGTTTTCTGGTGGGCCTAGAATGTATGTAAATATTTCAATTCTCCTAACAAAATATCAACTATGCCCTCTCCTCTATAAGAATCTAATGCTTATGAGCTTTGTCTTAACATTTTCATTATTAAAAAGTACCTTCTTTTAAACCCAGAAAAATTAATAATAGTTGAAGGATATGGTCTAAAGTGATTCTAACAATCAGTTCTTCAAAACTATCCACTCTACCATTTTCAGCTTCATTGAATCATTAGAAATTAATCCTCACCTATTGGACAGAATTTGGGCTTTATAATTCCTTACAATTTATCATTTTAAAGCATATTTCAAAATCATAGGTCCTGGCCCAAACTTCTGACCTCTTCATCTTTCTCATAAACTCAATACCATCCTTATTTGACCTCAGTAAGTATTGTAATGCACATGTGTTCTTCAAGACTATTACATCCTTCTTTGCTTTCTTTCCCCAGCTGTATTCACTGAACAGATTGTTGATGTTATACACTCTCTGGCTAGTCTGTCAATTCCCTCGACAACTTGACCAAGTCTCACAGTTAAGTGGTGAAACATTTGTTTCCTCTGCCTTCATCCTGGACTGCTGAATCTTGCTGAAGAAAACTTCAACCTTGTTCAAATTCTCTAAAACTTATGTTTTATGAAACCAGGTGGGATTCAGTACTGACTGGGAAGAATCTATGGGAGTAAATATGGAACCCTAAGAAAAGCTACTTTCTGGAAAATAAAAATGATCAGTTCATGATCTTTACACATATTGATATACTTCAAGGTCAATTCCAGATTCTTCTTTCTTCTAACTTTATCCTTCCTCCCTAGGATCTTATCTTTGCTTCTAGCTACAATTACCATGTTTATCCCAATAACTCTAAAGTATTTATGTTGAATATCACAAATTTAGAGCTTCAGATCATATTCTGTTTCTGAGATTTAGATCAATATCTTCAAGTACCTGCCAGGCAAATTCATTTGAATATTAAAAGTACCTCAATTCATCAAGTACAAATTTAAACCCATGGTCTTTTTTTTCTCTCAAAAACAACATTTTCTTCCATCCTTCCAGTCAGATAGCTCAGAAACTTAGATGTCTTTTTTTAACTATTACTTCCTAAATAATTCTGCCAGGCTGTTTCTTTCTCTTCATTTCCACCCCCAATACTCTAATGATTTCCTGATTTATATATGGTAACCACACTGTTCTTTCCTCTCATCCATTGATATCAGAGTAACCAGAGATGTATTTTCAAGATGAAGATATGATAATTTTATGCCCCTCTTTGACAAACAACCATCAAAGCCTGTAATGAGTTTCTTATCCCTTTAGCATAAAATAGGAAGTTCCTAATGTGGTTTACAAGGCTCCTCCTGTTCTGGGATATGCCTTCTACTCCAGGCTCATCATGAACTACTCTGTTTTTAATTTTCCTTTGTTTGTGATTAATATATCTCTAAATTGTCTTTCCTGTGTGTAACTGGACACTTTCCCTTTCCAGAGAGAAAATGTAAAGCAAAAATGATTTTATGTCACTATTTTATTGATGATGTGTTTTATAGAATCACAAAATTTAGAAACATAAGAAGGATTTAGGTATCACCTAAATTCAAAGAAATGTGTGTTTCTAGGTTGCTAAATTCAAAGAAAAAGTATGATTTGGTTTGGTTCATTTAAAACAGGTCACAAACAGAATTATATTTCAAATTTAGAAGATACGGTATTAAGTGATTCATCTTATTTTGGACATTTTTCCTCAAGGAGAATTTTTCTGGAAGAAAAAGTACATTTATATGTGGGCTTATTAAGAGAAAGAGAGAAAGGCATGCTATTTTAATCATTAAATTCTTGATGATGACGATCATCATCAAGATGAGAAAGAAAAGAAATATGAGCCAAGAGAATCTGTTGTTGCCAGCAATCAGTTTACCAGAACATCTGCAGGTGAACATTTTCCAAATGGAGTGACAGACTAATTGCATCTACGGGGATGAGAATCTGCCATAGAAGAGGATGCTGTTGGTCTTATTTTGCCTTATGAAGAATAGGAAAGGGTGATTACAATGGAACTCTTCATTAGTTGAAGTAGGTGATGATCCGAATCCTACTACAGCGGTGGCAGCTGCAGCTTCTGCTCCCTCCTCTGTAACCTCCACAAAGGCCTTGTGTAGGACTCCAGATAGCACGAGACCGCGGCTCCCGGTCATGCCTGAGAGGTCTGCATCCCCATTGAAGATATCCACCATTCCCATGGTTCTCAACGTGTCCTTGAGGTCATAGCTCTCTTCCACTTTGAACCGAGGTAAGTGTAAATCGACACGTGTCTCTCTCATATTCTGCAAACTTGTCCATTCCATCAATTTCTCAGCAGTGAGTTTCTCTTCAAGCTATACAAATGGAAAAAAGAAACTGATATGACTAACTGTTGATTTCTAATACACCTTAACAATGAATTGACTATGTGGAGAATCCTTATTTTGGCAACAAATGTGAAATACAGAAGGTTCACTTTATTAGATATTATTATTCTAATAGGCAAAATATGAGTCCTGGATATATAAATACATTGGGTTATATGTGTATGTGTATAAACAGAATCAAGTTTTTATGTATATGTAATGTGTACATATGTATGTATACAACTGTATGATACACATGTAAAAATATGATTACATTATTTTGTACACAATGAACTATATATATCACTATTTCTTGTGCCAACAGCCTACTACATGTGTCAATTTTTAATAGGCTCATCTTATTTTTCTGTATACATTATTTAGTACACATTGCAATTATTAAATTGCAATTCCCCAAATTCCTAAATTTCTATTCCCTTTTTTACTTGGTGTATTCGTAAACTTTCCTCACATTGCTATATATTTCTCCCAGTCAAGTTTAAATTGCTGCATAATAATATCATTAAATTGATATCCAATGCATGTAACTCTAATAAATTAATCATTAACTATGCCTTCAGTTTGTGTCAGGCCCTATGCTTAAATCTTTGTAATATGAAGGTGAGTCATCATTCCTCATTTAGAATTTTTCATTATTTTGAGGCAACTCGGTCACCAGCTTTTACCTTGTTTAAACTTGGTATCTTTGGAAAAATGTCAGGCAGTAGAAGGAAGAGTTGTAGATGCAAGTTCTTACCTTCTGGAGACCATCGATTTCATTTGGCAGCAACACAATCATGCTTAGATCTTTGCCTTTGTATGGTATTTCCAGGACCTTGGCCTGTACATCCTCCAGCGAGGCAAAATGAAAAGATGTGTATTGCCTCATCATCTGTATGGACTTGTATGTATTCTACAATAAATCAATGTGTCCAACAAATACCAAGTGAGACACAAGGCAAAAAGATAATATTATTGAGATATCAACACATCCTTCTTTTAAGAAATAATCCAAGAATGTAATGAGTTAGAGACAATAGCTTCTTCAGGAATTCCTAACTAAATAAAGTTATAAGACTAAAACAACAAAAAAACAGACATGAACAATTTTATTTTTTACTTGTCATGGTACATTCCATCAGAAATGTTTAAATTTATTAACATATTACATTATATAAATAAAATATAGACAATACCTTGTTTGGCCAAAATTTTTCCTCTTTAGTATCTTCTTTATTAAATTTCTTCTCCCACTGCCCTTTGAAATAGATTGCGTTCACAAGAACCAATGTGGTATTGCTGCCAATATTACCTTCAGGAATTAGGTTTTTAATTTTTTCTGCAAGGGAAAGAATAAAAGAGTCTTTTACACAAGCTACAAATGGCTTGTCTGGAAGATGCTTTGCAAATGTTCGTGACTGATCGTTAATTATTGACCCAAATCCCTACTTGAGACTCACTGACTTTGATCTTTGAATTGTTAGACTCACTGACCAGTGGTTCACCAGATGCAGCTTTCTTCAAGGCTCCAGTCGTATAAAGTTGCCCTTAATGGAGACATCACTTCTTGTGATAGAGAAGGAGTTCACGTTCTCTGTGTATGAATGAGTCCATTCATCTGATTTGGAATACTGATAAACTGATTTTGTCTACTCTTTCAACATGTGTCTTTCCTTTCTCCCTCCCTCCTCTTCCTACTTTTTTTTTTTTTTTTTTAACTACGGGGTCCCCATTCAGAGGAAGTAGGCCCTGACTGCTTTTTAGGACAAGTGACATGAGCTCTGTAATATGAAACGCATGTCCTGTGCTGTCAGACACTACTTCCGGGGGTATCTTCCTATTCACTCTCATGTTGAGTTGCTGTAAGTTTGGCCTGTAATGAGAGGTGGGAGGTAGGATAGATGTCTATAGAATGGAGAATTTGTTAAGCTCTTGCCCTTGATGGGGAAGAGAGCTGTGATAATCCCTGCAGAACTTGTGGCTAGAGATGTGATCCAGGCAGCTCTAGTTCAGATGGCAAAAGGGTGATTTACCAGAGAGCTGCTTGTTTCCCAATTAGTAAAGGGGAAGGGAGATGCTTTCTAATGTTTCCTTTTAAATATTCATCATAAAATATTGGTTCTGATTTAAAGTAAAGGACATGATCTCAAATTGGACCTGAGTGGAGACAAGGGATCCACAAAGCTATTGTCATCCAGGAACATGAGCAAAGAATCCTCCGGCTATGTTTTCTTCTAATTGGCTTCCTGTGATTTCCTCCTTGGCTCCCCTAGGCTCTCTTCATAATCATTTGGAAAAACTCTTCATCTGGAGTGCCCTCTTCTTCCCTCCCTGCAAAGCCATCTCAATTCCCACCCATGGTCCCCCATGCAGTTTCAGGCATAGGGCTCACTCGCATAGATTTCTCAAAGGTGTTTCTATAATGGGTGGCTCTCCTACCATTCGTTTGACTTTCCACCCAGGAGTTAATCTTCTTTCGACTTTCTTCTGGAGCATTTGCAAAATCAACAGATTCCACACTGGTCTGGTAAAATTTCTTGATGGCATCTAAATATTCCTTTGAGATATGAAGGAAGAAAGTAGGAAGTAAGAGTAATTTATGTAACTATATATTACCAAATTTAGTTATTTATAATTATAGTAAGCTGAATCCAGACCCTGAATAGATGCAGTATCTCCTGTCCATGCATATTTTTATACTGGTGCCATGTAGGCAATGCAAAAGCGGAGTGCGGGCTGGCGCAAGAAAGAGGTCACCGAAGGTCAATATCATCTGGCAAAAGGCAGAAGCAGAAGAGGCTGTGGTTTGCAAACTGCAGAGCAGGCTTCCCTGAAGGAGATTCATTGCTTCTCAGACCTCTTTCCAGTAATTTCAACCATGATGTTTCTGATCTTTGTTTTTATCTTTCATCCTGTGCATTCAGTATTTCCTGGTACTTCCTCAACTATTCTCAGGAACTCACCCAAGCCTGCCCATTCCAATAATATCCCATTAGTCATACATTTCCCACCAAGATGTATCGTATGTGACTGAGTCAGTGCCAGTTTATCGATGGTATCTTATTACTTATTACTCTTACTCACTCTATTACCCAACCTCCTCTTTTATTACAAGATTATCCCTAAATCCACACTTCAGTGATGTATTGTTAGGGTCTGGGACACTCCAGTGGGGGAGAGTTGTGGAAACGGAGCTATTGCACTCTGAGTAAATGCTCTCCACCTGGATCGGTCAGGCTCATCTGCCTTGCTTTCTTCCATTTGGCCACTCAGAGACACAGACATCAGGATGCAAATGAAATGTGGGTAGGCCAGGTGAAATTACCTGTAAAAATAGATACGTTTTTTCTCCGAAGAGCTTGTTGGCGATCTTCAGCTCATATGCATCAGTGGATTTGTTGAATTCAGTCAGAAGCTTTTGAAACTGGTGATGAACATTTCCTGACCTATCAACCTTCAAACATCAAAAAAGGAGATCATTCAATTGCTGTATCAATGTAAATACTAAACCCATGCTAAGTCTGTTAGATCAGTCCCTAATGGCTGGTAGTCTCAATGAGGACCTTTGAGCTTATTCCCTGATACTTGGTGTATTTCACCTCAAATACCCTTCAAAATCCACCTTATGTTTCACTTCTTCCAGGAAATTCTTCTTGCTCTAATGTACTGCAATCTTTTCTCTTCTGAACTATAGATGCAGCACTGTCTACCACTGGATTTTGTCCTTGTTGGTTTAAAGGGTTAGGTTTAGCTTCCCAGTTAAACTCTCAGCTCCTTAAAGGCAAGGACCATATTTCACTTCTAACAGTCATCAAGGATATGAGTATGTTGAAGGTTGGATATTTTAAATAGATTATGCCAGGAAGCCCTGTTATACCTGTTGGTGCTGTTATCTTGTAGGACACATTGACTGATCTGTGACTGTTTCCTCATGATGGTCATTCTCTGCACGTAAGAAGAGTGTGTGCCAGGTACATGGCTAAGGACTTTACATGGGTAACTTTAAGTCTTTAGTTCAATTCAGGTGAAAACAAGAAAGCTCAGAGAATGGAAAGTAAACCTCTTCATAGAGACATAAATTAGAAGTGCCACGTTTTGAACCTAAGCCTGTTTAAATCTAGAAACTTCTACTTTCCAGCAAAGCATTTTGCACTATTAAGGCTCTAAACCAATATATTCCATAGCAATCATTTTCCAAAATATAGTTGGACTTGTGCTTATTCCTCTTTATCTCATTAATGACTCAATGAAAATTAAATATTTTGCAACATTATTGTGATTAGTATAATTATAGCTATTTTATAATAATAATAACATTTATTATGACATTTTATGGGCAAGGCAATGTTGTAAACATTTGCATGTATTTGCATGTATTGAGTCAGATTTCTTATTACCCTTAGTTTTCTGGGATGAGGTCACTGGGACTCTGAGCAGTTGTGTCCTGCTCATGTTCACCATTTGTGAAGAGCAAAGCTGGAGTCTGAACCTAGCCTATCCTGATCCAGACCTATGCTCTGAGGTACAGTGCTGACTGTCTTTCAGTAACGAAGAAAGGAGGAATAATAATTATGTGCCATGAAATGCCAACCCACTCTGTATGTCTCAATCTTTGTGTCCAAGATTTTCCCTAAAAATGGCCTTTTCTTAGTTTCTGTGAAGTTCCAGGTTCAAACTATGACCTGTTCGGGGATCTAAAGCTGAACCATAGTGCTCTGTGACTCACATGATATGTTGCAGCTTTTCCTGTGGTGTTCTCTGTGACTTGATCAAAGTGAAGAACCTGGAAGAGACATGAAGCGGGACAAGAAAACTTTACTCAAAAGATCTGTTTAAGTCAGTGGTCTCACAGTTACGGGAATTCCTGCTCAGCCCCCTGTGCTACCCATCAGACCACCACATCTATTACCATCTGCGTGCTAGCCGACGGAACCAGAGAAAAACTGCAACAGGACAACATAATGATGCTGATAGCTACCTTCTTAATCTGTTGTGCAGTGTTGTCTTTGGCTCCTAAGAGGACCATCCCTAATGCTGATGTGATGCTGATAGGGGAATAGAAGATGTTGTTCTCTTTTGATTTTCTGAACTGTTGGAACAGGTCGAACATGAACTTGGTGTTGGCTTCACTGAGTGAATTCATGGTGAACTCGATGTGATCTGGAACTCCTGGAAAAGCATCAGATTCCTGTCAGAATGACTTTAATAAATGGAATGGTATTTTGTAGTACAATTTTCTTAAAGAAATTATATATCTGTGTTGTGAGATTTTGACATTTAAAGTTTTCCTCATCTTATTTTTAACGTTTCAATCTTTCTACAATGTGCATATATTAAATATATTAATGTCTTAATTAGAAGCCTCACAAAATTAGTGTTTTTAAAGACTACTGTAAATAAGTAATAGACCCTCTTTCCTTCATTGCTGGCTACACTAGGGCTAGGTAGGAAGGCTTTACAATGAATGCTAACAGGAGACCTCTGTGGATCACATCCAACCAGCTGTTAAGATGCGTCCCTGACATCTCCTTCAAGACTCTCTGGCTGCAAGGCACTCTCCCTCTGTGTTCCTAAAAGTGCCTTGGTTTACTTGGAACTAAGCAATTTAGATAAAGGACAAATCAGATGAAATAGGTATTTTAATTTTGCTCTGGCAGAATAAGTAAAATATAATCAGACAGAATGCAGGAGATGCATGATATAGAACACAGTATCATTATTATTCTCAAAAATAATTCATGTTATTAAGCTGGAGAGGCTTGAAGCTCTTACCTGTGTTCCTAGAGGAAGCAGAGGTGGGCAGAGAGGCTATGTGTGTCTGTGGAATGAAGGGTGAGATCCTGAATTTATGCCTCTCCTCTTGCTGCCTCTCCCTCTGTGGTTAGTATTTGAAGTTACTCAACTTCAGATTTCACAAGCGGGCTAACACTCACCTTTATGAATACGAAAATTTATGACAAAGGACAGGATTACAGTTCTACCATTGTACCTCCTTTTTAATCTATAGGGAAAAAATAAGAATGCAAGTCAGCAGTCACCGGCTCATGTGAAATACATGTAGGTGCCTTTCTAATGCCAATGAGAATAAGTTTAGAATTCCAATTTCCTCTCATTTGTTTCAACTCCATCCCTTTGTATTCTACTCCAGCTGTAAAACAAAAACAAAAACAAACAAACAAAAACCCCACCATTCTTTTCTTGGATTTTGCATTGTCTTTTAGGCATACTTCGAATACCAAAGAACTAAAAAGCTTACATTTCCTGTTTTTCAGTTCTGAAAGTTTTTGTCATCCTATGAATTTCCTTAGTAATTTTTCTGTATAACAAGGAATATAGTGCTAATTCTAAGTCCAAAGAGATAGTGAAGAAGTGTACTTCAGTATCTTATAGCATACTATGGAGAATAGGATTCTATTGCCTTCTCCTGAATGCTCAGCTTTGGCAGTGATCCTACCAGTCACTTCCTGTGCCCCTTACAACCATCCCAGATGGTTTTCTGTTGCATAGGCTCAGTGAGAAAGTTATCTGCCTTGCTGAGTGATATGGTTTGGCTGTGTTCCCACCCAAATCTCAACTTGAATTGTATCTACCAGAATTTCCACATGTTGTTGGAGGGACCCAGGTAGAGGTAATTGAATCATGGGGGCCGGTCTTTCTTGTGCTATTCTCATGATAGTTAATAAGTCTCAGGAGATCCAATGGGTTTATTAGGGGTTTCTTCTTTTGCTTCTTCCTCATTTTCTCTTGCAGCCACCATGTAAGAATAACTTTTGCCTCCTACCGTGATTCTGAGGCCTCCCCAATCACGTGGAACTCTAAGTCCAATTAAACCTCTTTTACTTCCTAATCTCAGGTATGTCTTTATCAGCAGCATGAAAACAGACTAACACATTGAGTTAACAGGCTGACACTGAGAAGAGCAATTGAAACAGACGGGCCATTTTGAATGTCAGCTTTCTAATTTTTCATTTAAAAATTAAGCAGAAAAAGAAGTTGCTTGACCTGTCAGGATCACAACGTTTCTTGGTGGTCCTTCCATTTAGCACCTGGCTTCAGACTCATTCCAGTGTTTCCTCTGGAATATCTTGTAATCTGAAGAATGTCTGTGGCCAGGGAGAGGGTTGTTGTCCAAGGCCATTTAATCCAATATCTCCCTGACAACCAGAGTGGGGGGCTGTTTGTTTTGTGGACCCCCTTTTTTAACATATAATTTATATGCCACAAATTCAACTGTACAATTCAATGATTTTATTATATTCACAAAGTTGTGCTATCACCATCATGATCTCGTTCCACAACAATTTCACTACCTCCAAAAGAAAACTTGTATCTCGTTCTTCCCTTACTCGAGACCCTGGAAACCAGTAATCTACCTCCTGTTTCTATGGATTTGCCTATTCTAAACATTTCACGTAAATCGAATCATACAGTAAGTCCTTTTGTGACTGGCTTCTTTCATCTAGTATTATCTTCAAGGTTTGTCCACGTCATTGCATGGATCAGTACATCATTCCTTTTTGTGGTCGAATAATATTCCATTCTATGAATAGACCACATTTTCTTTATTCATAAGTTGATGGACATTTGTGTTGTTTCCATCCATTTACTATTATGAATAATGATGTTTTGACTTTTCATGTACATTTTTTTGCATGGCATATTTCTTCATTTCTTTTGAGTATAAACCTATGAATGAAATCGCTGGGTCATATGGTAAATCCAGGTTAACATTTTGAGGAAATGCCAGACTCTTCTCCATAGAATTCTGCACAAGTGTGCATTCCAACCGACTGTGAATAGAGTTCTGATTTCTCCACATTCTCCCCAACACTTGGTATTGTCATGGGCCCTTTTTAACACCAGCCATGAGTTTGTTTTCTCAGCACATCATGAAGTCAAGGGAGATTCATCTACAACAAGGTTCCGGAAACAGATAGGATGAAGTAGGGGCTGGACGGGAGAAAGGAAGCTGTGTTTCCAATCTGGAAGTTTCTCACCTGCCTGTTTCCTCAACCCCCAAGACATGCTCTTCTTAGGTCTCCTGTATCAATATATATGTTTGGAGTCTCTGAATGAGTTTGGGAGGTATAAGTTCCCTGATTTAAGTTGGGTAATAGACTAATGGGGTGTTGATGATCTAAAAAGCTCAAAGATAGGAGAGAAAGAAACAAGAGGAAATATCCTAGATGAAGAATTCCAAAAATGAATAATGGTCTTCTTAGCTGAGTCTGCATCCAGGGCTGTAAGAGAAAAATGGACCTTCCTGTATATGGAGAAGGATGGGTTTACTTGGGTACCAAAGCGAAGGAATCTAACGTCTCATAGGACAGAAGCAAGAAGCTCAGCCTGGGAATAGAGGGGAATAAAAAGCAGGATAACAAGCTGAGGCAAACTGGGATTACAGGGGACCAGTCTATGGAAGAGAATTTCAGACTATGGCTAAATCTTCTGAGATGCTGAGGTTTGTCATGAAGGTTGAACTTGAGGAAAGGTACTAACTGAAAATGACCAGGAGTTTGCTTAAATTTAGAGAAAGCTTGGATGAGTTCAAATGAGAAACCATTTCAGACATTTTTTTCTGTTCCTAAAAAGTACTCCTGGCATGTGATAGACATTCTTGACAGGACATATCCTGATGTGCGAGATGGGACATATCCTGATGTCATATATTGCCACAGAGAGCTCAGGAATTCCAAGAAGTTTTTTGCATGTGAACACTTGCCAACTTATGTATCTTGGCATTTCATAAACCTATGCCAACTTCATTGGATCCAGGAATCCAGAAATTAAAAACAAATCCTCAATGGGAAATTACACTTTCAGGAAATATCCTGTCATTACTAATGTCTTTATAGGTTGGTTAACAAATATCTCCTAGATTTTCCTGGACCTCACTTCCTTATGAAGGCTGTAAAGTTTTCTCAGCATTGTGAAGTTACAAATTAAAGAGAACATTTATTTATTGTTTCTTACCTATGTGCTTGTGCCTATCTATAGGGAAACTGGTTAGTGGAAGAGATTTTTCAAGCATCAAATAACAGAATATATGCCAATTACTGTATTCCCAAGGATCTCTCTACAGATGTGAATATGTATATATTGAACAACCTCAGAATAAGATTAACTAGCTTTCCTTTCTTAGTTTTCATGAGGGAAAACAACTCCAGTAAGGTTTGAAAAGCAGAGCGGGAAATAGTCTCACATGTATGTTGCAGGAAGTCAGGGACCCTGAACCGAGGGACTGGCTGAAGCCATGGCAGAAGAACATAGATTATGAAGTTTTCATGGACATTTATTAGTTCCCCAAATTAATACTTTTATAATTTCTTATGCCTGTCTTTACTGCAATCTCTGAACATAAATTGTGAAGATTTCATGAACACTTATCACTTCCTCAATCAATACCCTTGTGATTTCCTATGCCTGTCTTTACTTTAATCTCTTAATCCCATCATCTTTGCAAGCTGAGGAGAATGTATGTGGTCCCAGGACCCTGTGATGATTGCATTAACTGCATAAATTATTTGTAGAGCATGTGTGTTTGAACAATATGAAATCTGGGCACCTTGAAAAAAGAACAGGATAACAGCAATGTTCAGGGAACATGAGTGATAACCTTAAACTCTGACCGCCGGTGAGCTGGGTGGAACAGAGCCATATTTCTCTTCTTTCAAAAGCAAATGGGAGAAATATCGCTGAATTCTTTTTCTCATCAAGGAACATCCCTGAGAAAGAGAATATGCCCCTGAGGGTAGGCCTTTAAAATGGCCGCTTTGGGGGGCAGCCGTCTTTTATGGTTGAAGCTGTAGGGATGAAATAAGCCCCAACCTCCCGTAGCGCTCCTAGGCTTATTAGGATGAGGAAAGTCCCATCTAATAAATTTTTGGTCAGACCGGTTGTCTGCTCTCAAACCCTGTCTCCTGATAAGATGTTATCAATGACAATGCGTGCCCGAAACTTCATTAGCAATTTTAATTTCACCCAGGTCCTGTGGTCCTGTGATCTCACCCTGCCTCCATTTGCCTTGTGATATTCTATCACCTTGTGAAGCACGTGATCTCTGTGACCCACACTCTATTCGTACACTCCCTCTCCTTTTGAAATCACTAATAAAAACTTGCTGGTTTTGTGGCTCAGGGGGTATCATGGAACCTGCCAAACTGTGATGTCTTCCCCAGACACCCAGCTTTAAAATTTCTCTCTTTTGTACTCTATCCCTTTATTTCTCAGACCAGCCGACACTTAGGGAAAATAGAAAAGAACCTACGTGAAATATCAGGGGTGAATTTTACCTGATATCTGGCTGAATTTCCCCTGATATATGTAATTACAGTAGCACAGACAAAATGATATTATCTCTTGCCTCCCTTCCTCCTTCCTACTCAACCAACACCACCAGGGACAGACATCATATTTACTGTATGCTTTCAAACCAAACCAAATCTAACCTGGTCCCCTTAGTCTTCTCTTATAACTCTCTCCCTGATTCCTCTTGGCCTTCTTTTTCTATTGCGAAGAAACATCCTATACTGATGTTCTCCCTTTTACTAGAACTGTCCTTCTTCCTCCTTGCTTTATCTGCACTATGGATTTTCCCTGATGGCTGCATGCCCCTTGATCTTTTCTCATGGGTATCTACTCACTCCTCCATTCTCATACCATGAAGCCAGGAAGCATGATCTTCTCTTTTATTCCTACTGCTTTTCTAGCCATCGTTTTTCTCTGTCTTCAATGTCCTATTTTAATTTTGTTGGCCATGCAGGTATACCATGTACCTCCTACCATCTTCTATGCTGCTCCTTCATATTCACTAAGTAATCTATCACATCTCCGCTCTTTATTCAAACTGCTTCAATTATTCTGAGTGACTTCAAAGCTTTCATTTGATTGGCAACAGACAGCCAATGTTATTTTACATCTCTTTTCTAGTTTAATTTCCTCTTTCGTGAATTGTCTTTCTTTTACCCTTTTGTTCATTGGAATCCTTGTGTTTCATGTACCTGAATATGGTTTTTTACATAAAAAATGTAACTATTGTTGATGCTTGTCTCTGGAGTACCAATGGAGATGTGAAGTTCTAGAGACATAAAGAAATTTGCCCTCATGGGAATGTGGCTGTGCTGGGTATCTTATTTTGCTTCTTCAGTTACACCTTTCATTCTTCTCTACCTCGTATGGGTTCCAAGAAGCTGAGTTGTACAGAGACATAATAAGGCTCCTGTGCCCTCTGGCATCCAGTTAGATTTGGTCAATGGCAGGCACCAAGAGTAGGTCAGCAACTAGGTGAAGACAGAGTGCTTAGCCAACTGGATCCCTCACTTTGAGGGTCAAAAGAGATGTTTGCGTTACTTTACCAAAGGCTACAGAGCTTATTGGGCAATGTTTTCCAAAGCTACATCTACTTTCTCTGGGGTTTGGTAATGACTTCACCATTTGCCCTTCTGGACTAGGGTTAGAATAGTCTCTTCGCTATTGCTAGATCTTGGATGTTTCACCATTCTTTGTTGCTTCCTCTTAGTCCGAATCATACTGTTGTAAATAGTCCCTCTATTTGATTACAGATTTGATGGTGCCCTTTGTTTTCTGTAGCGACCTTGATTAATAGCAAGTACTTGGTATCAGGAATAGCTCTAGAAAGCAGACCTCCAAATGGAATTCTGAGACTGAGTTGTTCACATGCTGAGAAACACACGGTGGAAGGAAAGGGACTTTGCTATATGGCATATGGTAGCATCAAAATATCACTGACGGAGACAAAACATGAAGCGCGAGTCTAAGTCAAGGTGTTGAGATTGTGGTGTTTAGCAGCTATAGTGACAAAAGTGATTACAAAGATTATGGGCTCAGCTGCTTCCTTTCATGTCTTGAGAAATTCACTCCTATTCAAAATCCCCAAGGCATTTTTCATAGACCTTGACAAGTAAATCCTGAAGCAATGTAGAAGTTTACAGTGGAAAGATTCTTACTCTTTTTAGGTGGGGAAAATGCATTTAAAACAACAGAGAGGTTCACACCAGTAATACTAACTATTCTTTTTTAAATTTTATTTTTAATTTTACTTTAAGTTCTGGGATACAAGTGCAGAACGTGTAGGTTTGTTACACAGGTATACATATGCCATGGTGGTTCGCTGCCCCGATCAACCCATCACCTAGGTTTTATGCCCTGCATGCATTAGCTATTTGTCCCAATGCTCTCCCTTCCCTTTTCCCCCATCCCCCTACTGGTCCCTGTGTGTGTTGTTCCCCTCCCTGTATCCATGTTCTCATTGTTCAATTCCCACTTATGAGTGAGATCATGTGATGTTTGGTTTTCTGTTAATGTGTTAGTTTGCTGAGGTTGATGGCTTCCAGCTTCATCCATGTCCCTGCAAAGGACATGATCTCATTCCTTTTTATGGCTGCATAGTATTCCATGGTGTATATGTACCACATTTTCTTTATCCAGTCTGTCATTGATGGGCATTTGGGTTGGTTCCATGTCTTTTTTATTGTAAATAATACTAACTATTCTTAGATATTTAGGGATGGAGTGATGTGGACAAGTAAAATTGATAAATATGTTGTTGAAAATGTTTATTGGTACAACTATTTTGGAAAAACTTGGCAATATCTGGTTATTTTGGTAATTCTATGTTTAAATATATACCCTAAGCCAGGTGTGGTGGCTCTGACCTGTAATCCCAGCAATTTGGGAGGCTGAGAGGGGCAGATCACTTGAGGTCAGGAATTTGAGACCAGCCTGGCCAACATGGTGAAACCCTGTCTCTACTAAAATTACAAAAAATAAAAATAAAAATAAATTAGCCAGGCATGGCGGTGCATGCCTGTAATCCTAGCTACTTGGGAGGCTGAGGTGGGAGGATCGCTTGAACCTGGGAGGTAGAGGTTGCAGTGGGCTGAGATTGTGCCACTGCTCTCCAGCCTGGCTGACTGAGTGAGACTCTGTCTCAAAGAAAAAAACCTGTCTCTTTCTTTCTATGTATAGCCTAGATGAACCCATGTACTATGTTGCACAAGATACATACAAAGGCATGAATTGCAGCATTCTTGCCAATGGCGAAGAATTAGAAACAGCTTAAATGCATATCAAAAGAAGAATAAGGAAAAATTAAGCTAGGTTTATACAGTGGACTATTCTACAGCAGTGAATATAAATGAAGTGGATAATCATGTGTCAAAAAGAATAAATCTCTAGACATAATAGCAAGGAACTGGAAATCAAATGGAAAAGAGTGTGTAAATATCACTTATGAAACATTTTAAAAGCACCTATAATATTATATCTGTAATGTATTATATTTTAACATAGGAATGACAATATATTAACTTATGTCAAATTTAGGTAGTAGGCATATGAAGTTCTTAATTTGTTTTCAGAACCTTTTTTTAACAGTTAATTTTTTTAAAAAATTGGTAAATAAAAATTGTATATATTAATGGTATACAACATGAAGTTTTGACATGCACACATTGTGGAATGGCTAAATTAAGCTAATTTGCATATCCATTACCTCATATAATTATCATTTTTGTAGCTAGAAGACTTAAAATCTATTCCCTCAGCAATTTTCAAGTATACAATATAATGGTATTAAACATAGTCATGATGATGTAAAATAGATGCCTTGAACTTATTCCTCATGTTTAATTGAAATTTCATATCCTTGAACAACATCTTCCCAACCCCTCCACCCCACCACCCTCATGTAGCCACCATTCTACTCTCTGTTTCTATGAGTTCAACGTTTTTAGATTCCACATATAATTGAAGTTATGTAGTATTTGTCTTTCTGTGTCTAGCTTACTTCACTTAACATAATATCCTCCAGGTTCATCCATGTTGTTGCAAATGACAGAACTGTCTTTTTTATGGTGGAAGAGTATTTCATTGTGTATATATATATCATATTTTCTTTATTTGTTCATTCGTTGGTGGACACAGGGTGATTTCATGTCTTGGCTATTGTGAATAATGCTGTAATGAACATGGGATACAAATAATTCTTTGACATATATATTTCATACCCTTTGTGTATATTCCAAGAAGTGGGATTGCTGAATCATATGTTAGATCTGTTCTTAAAATTCTGAGGAATCTCCATAAGGTTTTCTAAATGGCTGTACAAATTTTATTCCCACCAACAGTGTACAAGGGTTCCCTTTTCTCCACATCCTCACCAACACTTGTTATCTTTTGACTCTTTGATAATAGCCATCCTATCGGGTGTAAGATGGTATCTCACTGTGGTTCCGATTTGCATTTCCCTGAGGATTAGTGATGTTAAGCAGCTTTCTATGGAATTGTTGGCCATTTGTATATCTTCTTTTGAAAAATGTCTATTCAGGTCCTTTGACCATTTTAAATATATATGTATATATATATATATTTGCTGTTCCATATCGTTTTTTCCCATTTGGAATGTCATCTCATCTCTCTGTTGATTGTGAATTCTTCACTCCTTGGCTGTGCAGAAGCTTTTCAGTTTTATGTAATCACATTTGTCTATTTTCACTTTTGCGGCCTGTGCTTTTGGAATCATATCTAAAAAATCATTGCCTAGGCTAATGTCATGAAGCTTTTCCTCTATGTTTTCTTTTAGTAGTTCTACATTTTCAGTCCTTACGTTTAAGTCTTCAATCCATTTTCAGTCGATTTTTGTATATGGTGTGAGATGAGGATCTAATTTCCTTTTTCTCCATATGGATATCCAATTTTTTCAACACCCTTTATTGAAGAGACTTTCCTTTGTCCTTGGCATCTTTGTTAAAAACCAATTCACTGTATAAGCATGGATTTATTTCTGGGTCTTCTATTCTGTTTCATTGGTCTATATGTCTGCTTTTAGCCAGTACCATGCTATTTGATTCCTACAACTTTGTAGGATATTTTAAAGTCAGGTAGGGTGATGTCTCCCACATTGTTATTTTTCAAGGTTGCTTTGGCCATTGGGGGTCTTTTCTCATTCCATGCAAATTTTAGAATTTTTACTTATATTTCTGTAAAAATTGTCATTGGAATTTTGATAGGAATTGGATTGAAATGAATCTGTGGATCCCTTTTGGTGGTGTGGGCATGTTAACAATATTAATTCCTCCAAACCATGAACATGAGATATCTTTTATTTATCTGTGTTTTCTTCAGTTTCTTTCATCAATGTTTTGGTTTTCAGTGTACAGATATTTCACTTCATTTGTTAAATTTATTTCCAGGTATTTCACTTTTTAGTGGCCATTGCAAATGGGATTGTTTTCTTGATTTCTTTTTTGTATAGTTCATTGTTAGTACATAAAAACAGTAATAATTTTTGTATGTTGGTTTTGTAAACTGCAGCTTTGTAGAATTCATTTATTAGTTTCAACATATTTTTGGTAGCTGCTTTAGGGTTTTCTATACATAAGATCATGTCATCTCCAAACAGAGATTGTTTAATTCTTCCTTTCTGATTTGAATAGCTTTTATTTCTTTCTATTGTCTAATTGCTCTGGCTAGATCTTCCAGTGCTATGTTGAACAGAAGTGATGAGAGTAAGCATCCTTGTCTTGTTCCTGATCTTAGAGGAAAAAGTTTCAAATTCTCACCATTGAATATAATTTTAGCTGTGCATGGGGCTTTATTTTGTTGAGGTATGTATTTTTTGTGCCTAATTTCTTGCAAATTTTTATCATGAAAAAATGTTAAATGTTTTCAGATGCTGTTTCTGTATCTATTGAGATGATTATATGGTTTTTGTCCTTCATTCTGTTAATGTGGTGTATCAAATTTATTGATTTGCATATATTGAACCATCCTTGCATCCCTGGGATAAATTCCACTTCATGTTGAATGATTCTTTTGACATGCTGTTGAATTCGGTTTGCTAGTACTTGTTTGAAGATTTTTGCATCTATGTTCATCAGGGATATTGGCCTGTAATTTTCTTTTCTTGTAGTGTCCTTGTGTGGTTTTGGTATCATGGTAAGTCTCGCTTCCTAAAATAAGTTTGGAAGGATTCCTCACTCTTTGTTTATTTGGAAGAGTTTGAGAAGAATTGGTATTACTTCTTCTTTAAATGCTTAGCAGAATTAAGCTATGTTTGTGAACTAAAAGACAATATTGTTAAGATGACAATATTACCCAAAGCTACCTACAGATTTTTTTTTGCAAAGATAGAAAAACTCATCCTAAAATTAATATGGAATTTCAACACACCTTGAATTGCCAAAACAGTCTTGAAAAAAGAACAAAATTTGGAGGTTTCACATTTCCTGTTTTCAAAACCTATTAGAAAGTTACAGTAATCCAAATGATGTGGTATTGGCTAAAGACAGATATATAGACCAACGGAATAGAATAGAGACCCCATAAATAAACCCTTCTGTAAGTGGTCAAAAGATTTTGACAAGTGTTTCAAGACCATTCAATGGGGAAAATTACAGTCTTTTTAACAAATGATGCTGGAAAACCTGGATATCTACATGCCAGTGAATGAAGTTCGACCCTTACCTTAAAGCATATATAAAGGCTAACTCAAAAGTATTAAAGACCTAAGTGTTAGAGTCAAAATGATAACTTTAGAAAAAAAAGATAGGCAAGAGGCTTCATAACATTGGACTTAACAATGACTTCTTGGATATGACACCAAAAGCACCATAACCAAAAGAGAAAATAGATTAATTTGGCTTCATTAAGATTAATAACTTTTGTGCCTCAAAGGACACTATCAAGACATAGTTAAAAAGTAATGTACAGAATGAGAGAAAATACTTACAAATAATAATTTGATATATAATTCATATCCAAAATATATAAAGCACTCTTTCTACTCAACAACAACAAACAACCCAATTTAATAGTGAGAAAAGGGATTTTAACAGACAATTTTCCAAAGATACAGGTGGCCAATGATTACATGAAAAGATGCTGAACTTCAGAACCACATTGAGAATAAGAAAATAGCAAGTGGTGGTGATGATGTAGAGAAATTGGAACTCTAGCAATCGCATTGCTGGTGGAAATGTAAATTGGTGCAGTAGCTGTGGACATCAATAGAGCAGTTCCTCAAATAATTAAATACAGGATTAACGTATAATCCAGCAATCCTACTTCCAGGCGTATATACAAAATAATTGAAAACGGGGACTCGAATATATATTTGTACACCAATGTTCATTGTGGCGCTATTCAAAATAAACAAAAGGTGTAAACAACCCAAATGTCCATGGTATATATTATGGTATATACTGACAATGGAATACTATTCAGCCTTAAAAAGAAATAACATCCTGATACACGCTACAACAGAGACCAACCCTGAAAACGTTATGCTGAGTGAAATAAGCCGGAAACAGAAGGACACATATTGCCGGAAACAAAAGGACACATGATTCCACTTATGTGAGGGACCTAGAATAGAAAAATTCACAGAGACATAAAGTAAAATAGTGGTTATCATGGGCTGGGGGAATGGGAGAATAGGAAGATGCTGTGTAATGGATACAGAGATTCTTTTATTATTATTATTATTATTTTTACATAGAGACAGGGTTTCACTACAATGCCCAGGCTGGTCTCAAACTTGTGGCCTCAGGTGATCCTCCTGGCTCGGCCTTCCAAAGTGCTGAGATTACAGGTGTGAGCCACCACACCCAGATGATAGAGTTTCAGTTTGAGACAATAAAGAAGTTCAGGAGATGGATGATGGTGATGGTTACACAACATGTGGATGTACTTAAGACCACACTGAAAGTACACTTAAAAATGGTTAAAATGGTGAATTTTATGTTCTGCATATTTTACCAAAATTTTAAAAACTCATGAAAAACAATCTCTTTGGTGACTTACTAATAGCTTCCTGATAATAACTTCTGTGCATCAAAATTTATTGTCTCTCACTGAAATTTTGAACCTATTTGTCTCTGTTGACCCCTCTTCCTCGGAATTCTGTATTTTGTTCTCCGGTACATCTCTGACTTCCGGTCTTCAACTCCTTCTCCATTGCCACCCCTTACATGCAGACATTTCCCAGGCATCTATCCCAGACGTTCTTCTCTCATTCTCCTTGGGTGATCTAATGGATTCAACCTGGAAGTTCTGCCATCTGTTTCTCTCAACTTTGCGCTTTTCCCTTCCTTCTTTCCCAGCTCTGTGCGGTAACCCTTCTCTGACATCTGCCATCTCCACTCCCTTAATTCAAACTTTCTCTTCCATTTGGTTTGGATCGATATTTAACATTTTTAAAATTGATTGGTATTTAACATTATTTTTATCAGTCCTTAGTGAAAAATGTGTTCTGTAACTTTTTTATCATATCAGAACAATTACCCTGCTTCCTCTCCTTCTGTTACATGGCTCTGTGAATATTTCTGTAGAACAAGTGCTGTTCTTTGGAATGCCTTCACATAACCACAGCGCTACATTATCCTCTATGCAACAAGTCTGGCTGCAACCAGGAATCATTTTTGGCTGCTTGACATTTTGATCAATGCTTCTTGAGGACCAAATGGGATCCAGGGATGGTTACATACTATGTTTGATTGTCTATTTTTAAGGGTTCTTCAGTGATCTTTTCTTTATAAAATGGATTCTTAGTTATTGTCTATGCCTAAACGGTAGGCTAAGTGAGAAGTCTCTAGCGCCTTGCCTGAAGTAGGGACTTACTGACAAATGAGGTTTACCAAGGTCTATTTTAGGTGAGAGGTGACTTGTTAAGCGCCATCCTCTGAGCCAAATTTCTGAGCCAGTCACCTCATCACACTCTTCCCATCTCATCGCCTCTAGAACCAGCTTCTGCTTTCCTGGAAATGGTCCTGCCTTTAACATAACTTTCTCCAGGACTTCCAGGAACAGCCACCATTACCCCCTTCAGTCCCTCAGTTGCCCAGGCTGGATGAAACCTACTCCTATACTTATGAGTACTTCTCTGTTGCTGCATGAGAAAACTCCTGGCCTTGACCTTGTCCCAGGGGTGTCATCTCTAACATCATGTACATTAATTATAGTTTATGTTAAAAAATTGTTCCTGAAAACCACTGCATTAAATTGAATATTTGGTCAATATTTGTTTTGATTTATAATATTATTCCAGGGATGCTTAGCTTTGCTTCTTTAAAAGTTACTACTTTAAAAAAATTACCAAAATACTAGAAGCTTGCCATAGTAAACTAAAACTGCAGAAAAGTAGGTAGGAAAATGTGAGAGGGGACTCCTCTCCTACAGGGCAGTGGTGGGAGTAATGACAATTTTCCATTCATACCTCAGCCTCCTCCAATCCTTGACTTTTGTCAAATTGCATCCCTCTGCAAACCAAAGCAAAAGAACATCTACAAGAGCTACTGAATACTCTACCTGGTGTTTTTTTTTTTTTTTTTTTGCCAATGAATTTAAATGTGACAAATTCCTTTCTACTCTTCTTAATACTTAACCCTAGTATAAGAAAAATACCCAATCAGGTAAAGCAGTATATACTATGTGACTGATTATTTTAAATTTAACTGGGATGTTTTACTGAGTATATATTTTTAAGCTACGTTGAATAAAACCCATTACATTTTATAATTTCTTTCAAGAGTGCTGTGTATTATTTAATAAGTATATAAGAGCTATTTTATCAAATAAGATAGTTTTTATTTATTTATTTTTATTATTTTTATTTCACTTTAAGTTCTGGGCTACATGTACAGAACGTGCAGGTTTGTTACACAGGTATACATGTGCCATGGTGGTTTGCTGCACCTGTCAACCCGTCATCTAGGTTTTAAGACCTGCATGCACTAAGTATTTGTCCTAATGCTCAAGTAAGATGACAGTTTTTACCATGAAATGTTTACTCATATCACAGGCCATCTTTATTATATTTTATCTTATAAAATGATTAATGTTTTAATCTCCTATTATTAAGATCTAAGATGCTATCTAAGATGCAGAATCAATACATTTTAAAAAGTATTTTGCCTACCAAATTGTCCTGAATGAAAGACCACAGAAAAATTTTTGTTCTCATTCACTTCATTAAGAGATGCAACTACAGAAAAAATTAGCTTTTATGTTTAATAATTATTTATCAAAATTTAAATATATATATTTTCAATTGTACACTAACAACAAGTATAGTGATAACTGAATCCAGATGAAACTTTTTAAACATATAGAAAAATGACCATGGGTCATAAGAACATTTTGTATTTTAAATGCATGTACGTACTTTCATTTCAGAGAAATATGGCAAGGTTATCAATAAAATACTTTCAAATGTAAAAGTATATTAAATTAGAAGAAAATTCTTTGGAGGAAGTGAAGTGGAAATATAACACCGAGGTAAAAGGAATGATGTAAAATATCTGAATGTTCAAGAGGTTTTTCATGTGTATTTCATAGGTTTTTCATGTGTATTTATTAACGATGGTGGATCTCACATGGTTAGATTTCACTGCATGCATGTAAAGAATGATGGAACTGTTTTATTTTAAAACAACAGAACTCACAATTTGCCTGAATTAAATCATCTGCAATTATTTATATTATGGGCAACATTTTAGCTATCAGCTTGGAAATGTGCAAGGAATATATGCTTTTCATAAAAATAGAAAAAAGTTATAGCGTGTTCTTGGGCAAAGGTTTCAGAGATCACCTGTAACTTGGTGTGGTGCAGCACATTGCTGGCCACACCGCCTGTGACACCGTGTGGCAGTGGCTGCAATAGCACTTCAACAGCACAAGACTTCCTGGGGACAAGAAAGGGCTCTGGCTTTTTCACTTTAAGGCAACAGCAAGGCTGAAGATTCCTCTCCTCATCCCTAAAGTTATTAAGGGGGAGAAGATCATGGGAGAGAGAATAACATCGTTCCTCAATAGCATGGGGAAGGAAGCAATTTCATCTGATTATGAAAAAGAATGTGGACTTATTTAATGATATAGTTTTTGCTTAAGTTTACCCTGGTCTTTCCCATCAGAGATTCTCTGTGTGTGATCTGTGGATCCCTGAGAGTTTCTGAGACCACAAGAACACAACCAATTTTATAATAATACTAAAACACTTTTGCCTTTTCCACTGTGTTGTGATTTGTGCTGATGGTGCAAAAGTGATGGCTAGGACTACTGTAATTTAGCATGAGGTAGGGCATGTTGGCTCCAAACTGGGCTGGTAGCCATGGATTCCTCACTGCCACACATATATGAAAACGTCATTTTTCACTTCTGAATGTTCTTGATGAAGCAATAAGTATTGTAGATTTTATCAAAGTTCAACTCTTGAATACACATCTTCTAATATTTGGTGTGATAAAATGGGAAGTATCTATAAACATCTTTAAAAAACTTGGAAATACTTATAGGTTAGCAGGAAATTGCCAAAAAATGTATAAGGAAATTTTCTACCAGTTTCCCCCAATAACAATATTTTGCACAACTATAATACAAATAGAAAAACCAGGAACTGACATTCATGCAATCCAAAAGACTCTTCAGAGGAAGGGAAGAACTTCTCAGGGTTTAAAGGATGAATAGGAGCTCAACAAGTGGTTAAGTCTGAGATGGCATGCATTACAGCAAAGGGAGGAGACACGCAAATTGTGATGGGGAAAAGCAAATAATTCTGTTTTGCTAAAGCAAGAAATGCAGGAAGAG
Source organism: Homo sapiens (assembly GCF_000001405.40). Classification (NCBI taxonomy): domain Eukaryota; kingdom Metazoa; phylum Chordata; class Mammalia; order Primates; family Hominidae; genus Homo; species Homo sapiens. The sequence goes on from NC_000018.10 coordinate 63,677,677, forward strand.
ACACTCACAAGGGTGATGAGACTGGGAAGGAAAAATTGCCTAATAATGAAGGCTTCTTGTGTCATGATGAAAGACCTGAGTTTTTTTTCTGAAGGCCCTGGGGAGCTACTGAAGAGTTTTAAGCATGTGGGTGGTATGAATAGATCTGTATTTCAGGATAATAACTACAGACTTTTTTTTTTTTTTTTTTTTTTTGAGAAACGAGGGACCAGTAGTAACAGGGAGTAATAGGAAGCCCATTAGGAAGGTTTGCAATAATGTATCTAGGTCATGAGATTTTGAGCTAACGCAATCCACGGAAGGAGGAATATTTAAGAAGCAAAAACTACAGGGCTTGGTAGTGGATGAGGGAGGTAGGGGAAAAAGGAATCTAGGATGACTCACAGATCTCTGACTTACGTGGTAGGATTTAATGATGGTACCATTCACTCACATGCTCAGTTTGGGAATATTTGAGTTTAGCTTTTTAAGAAACATCAAGATGTAGGTAGCTGGTTTTGCTAGTACAGAGTATGGTAAAATAATCAGATTACAGATACATATTTGGATGTCATCTATTTGGGACGTTGTTAAAATAATGTGAGTGGTGGAGGTCACCCAGAGAGAGAGAAGACATAATATAATAATAAGGAAGCAAAGGATGAAAACTAGGGGAAAACTAGATGTTGGAAAGAGGAAAAGGAGTTGGAATGGTGCACTGAGGAAGATGAGAGAAGAGAAATGAAAGCTAGAAGAGAATGTTCAGCATACTAAATGCAGCAGAAATGTACAGTACAGCAGGTACCCAGACATTTTGGTTTCAGGACCCCTTTAAGCTCTTCAGAATTATTAAGGAAATCTCAAAGAACTTTTGTTTATGTGCATTTTTCTAATGATATTTACTCCATCAGAAATTTAAGCAGAAAAAGTTTAAATATAAACTTATAAAATAACATCTTAATATTAAAAAACATTACAACCATTGCATGTTAATGTAAATGACACATTTTTAATTTAAAAAGCTATGTTTTCCAGTATACAAAAAATAGTGGTAAAAAAGGCATTGTTTTACATTTTTACAAATCTCTTTAATGTTTGATTTAGTGTAATTATGTCTTGCTAGATTTATGTATCTGCATGTGCCTTCAATCTGTTGCAATATGTTGTTTTGGTTGAAGAATATATGGCTTCACAGAGATATGTGGTTTGAAAATAAAGGAGTTTTTTTTTTTTTTTTTTTTTTTTTTTGAGACAGAGTCTCACTCTGTTGCCAGGCTGGGGCACAGTGGCGCGATCTTGGCTCACTGCAACCTCCGCCTCCCAGGTTCAAGCAATTCTCCTGCCTCAGCCTCCTGAATAGCTGGGACTACAGGCACGTGCCACCACGCCCAGCTAATTTTTGTATTTTTAGTAGAGATGAGGTTTCACCATGTTGGCCAGCATGGTCTCAATCTCTTGTCCTTGTGATCCGCCTGCCTCAGCCTCCCAAAATGCTGTGATTACAGGTGTGAGCCACTGCGCCGGGCCTAAAGGAGAATTTTCATAAAAGCCTTTTCAATTAACCGTGATATTTCCTTCTTTCTTTCTTTTTTTTTTTTTTTTTTTTTTTTTTTTCGCAGAGTCTCACTCTGGTGCCCAGGCTGGAGTGCAGTAGTGTGATCTGGGCTCACTGCAATCTCTGCCTCCTGGGCTCAAGTGATCCGCCCACCTCAGCCTTGATCTGCCCACCTCAGCCTCCTGAGTAGCTGGGACTACAGGTGTGCACCACCACATCCAGCTAATTTTTGTATTATTATTATTTGTAGAGACAGGGTTTCACTATGTTACCAGGCTGGTCTCTAACTTCTGGGCTTAAGTGATCCACCTGCTTCAGCCTCCCAAAGTGCTGGGATTACAGGTGTAAGCCACTGTGCCTTACAGATATTTCTTTTTTATACTACACCAACATTCAAAAAGTGGTCTATGAAGCCAATTGTTGGAACAGAGAAACGGCATCATACTGGAGCCTTTAATGAGCAACATGCTTGGTGAAATGTTGGATTAGGAAAATAATTTAACCACATGGAAGAAAGATTTAAAGGGCACACTATTATCTTGGCCTGACCTTTAAATTAATAATAATAATAATAATAAAAATAATAAAAAATTATATCCATGGGACTGTAATACCATAGTTTTGAATTTATATTACTGAGTTAATTTGAGAACTGTCAAGCTAAGAAACTGACATAAAAAACAATATGATATACCCCCCGAGTTCCTGACAAAAACAAAGACAAAACTCCTCCGAAGAGCATTTCCTCAGCCTGGATTGCACAGAATTCTTCCTCTGAAGATAAGCTTCCAAATGTAATACTGCAAAACACTGGAGGAGGTGATCTCCCAAGACTTGCGTCAGTGAACAGAGCAAACAGAAAGATTCAACTTTCCAACAGCTTCAGATAAGAGAATATGATATTTTCATTCATGTAATTAATAGGGCTAAACAAAATGATTAAACATATAAAAGACATTAATGATTAAGTAATTAAATATATACAAGGTAGAATCAAAGCCACAAGAAACTCCAAGACTGGGTAGCAGGAAGCACAGTGATGGATGCCCAGCAAAGAGGAGACTGAAGGTGAAAGGCAAGCAGGAGGGGGAGCCGGTAGGTAATTTACCCTATCGAATCCTCAGCTGTGTGAGAACCAGCAGCAGATGAGAGGGCAAAGGTGCCTCACTGCACATGGCCCCATGAGTCTTAACTGTGCTTGAGAGTGCATGGACAGTCTAGTCCAGACTTAGTCAACAGTTTATCTGTATCCAACAGAAAATATCCTTCCTGGGACTTGTCCTTCCCATCCTGAGTCAGCCTGTCTTTATACAGCTATTGAAAGTGGAGGTAGTATATTCTCTGAAGAGCAGTCTTAAACAAAAATATTCAAAAGCTTGAGTTAAGAAAAGATCAGCTTGCAATATCAGAACATACTGAAATATACCTGATTGTTTGAATGATGGATGAGAAGAAGCTTCTGAGTCACCTCCTTTGAAGTTTTCCAAATGAAGAAAGCATTCAGGTTTGAGTGCAAGAAAAGCCAGGAGGGAAGGCTTATGTAACACTCTTTTCATTTGTGTTAGTTAAAATTTTTGTTTTGATGAGTACTTGTCCAAAAGAAGGAAATCAGTGCATCAAAGAGACACCTACACTCCCATGTTATTGCAGCACTATTCACAATAGCTAAGACGTATAATCACCCTAATCGTCCATCAACAGATGAATGGATAAAGAAAATGTGGTAACTGTGCACAATGGAATACTATTCAGCCTTAAAAAAGAATAAAATCCTGTTATTCACAGCAACATGGATGAGCCTGGAGGATGTTATGTTAAGCGAAATAAGTCAGGCACAGAAAGACAAATGCAGCATGTTTTCACTTGTGTGTGAGAGCTAAAAAAAATGGAGGTCAGTGAAGTAGAGAGTAGAATTGTGGTTATTAGAGGCTGAGAAGGATAAAGGTAGGGGAGGATAGAGAGAGGTTGGTTAACAGGTACAAAGTATTAGCTAGATGGGTAGAATAAGTCTAGTGTTCTATAGCACTGTAGGGTGAATATGGTCACCAATAATTTAGTGCATATTTTTAAAAAGCTAGAGGAGAGGATTTTGAATGTTCCTAACACACAGAAATGACCAAGGCTTGAGGTGACGAATGTTAGCCAGAATGGATCACTACACATTGTACACATGTATTAAAATATCACTAATTAATCAAGTCTGTTTTGTACACTACTCTATACCAGTATAGTCCTAGGGTATGTAAAAGATGAAAAGTAAAATGAGACCAGAGTCCATGCTCATGGTGCTCAGCCACTCATTTGGTAATATCTGCCCATGAATACACATTAAATAAGTAAATAAGTAACTTGAGAGGCCAAGACATCAAATGTGTTTAGTCAATGTGCAAATATATCAACATTGATTCTGTGTGAAGGTGCCCAGGAAATCTGAGACCATTATTTAAACACAATAAATCTAAAAACCTTGGCAGTCTTTGCACTATTTTGCCTTCATTGGCAAGTTCCAGTGATTCCGTGAGCTTTTGTTCTTTAATAAGTTGAGCAAATATGAACTACAAATGGTGTCATCTTGTCTCTATTCATTGTGTTATGTAATTGGAAGAAGAAATTCTGTTTGTTTCTTGCCTGTAAAACAGACAGGCAAAAGACCAGTCTTCTGGCATTTGTACCTGGGTCAGTTACAGAATCTCATGATTCAATGCTTTATAGACTCTCTTGCTTGCTTAATAGCACAGTATCTCATTTCCTGGAGTCTATGGGCTGACATTAAAAGCTGTGAGAATCAGGTAATCAGATAGCTGTTGGTTCCAGAATCATAGACTCTTGGACCCAAAAAGGACCTCAGAAGAAAAAGCAGCAAGCGTAAATTACAAAACATACTTTGAGGGAGAAAAAAATACAAGCTAATTAATGATTTAGCAGAACAAACAGCAGTATAAGTGCTTTCATGGGTCTGCTGAACTTTGGCCACTCACAGGGCCACCTTTAGGCCTCAGAGATGGGGCAAGACCAGGTCAGAGAAGTGACTCCAGCAAAGCATTAGATACAACTGCCTTGATTTGCAGCTGAAAAATATGAGGCCAGAGGATTTTCCCAAGATTGCCTGGAAAACAGGACTAGTGGTCTGGCCTCGATGAAATCAATCATGGAGGACAAGTTTGATCTCCCACAACCCTGCTCCTACTGGAGCCTGTTGTTTGACACACTTTTTCTTTCCCGTTAGCTCTGGCATCTTCCTTTCTTCTGCCTTCGTCCTTCTCCTCCCTCACTGCCCATCTCTTTATGCCTCCATTTTGATCCCTCCACAATGACTTCTAGCTCCTTTCACTCTTCCTTCTTTGGTATATTATATACATTTTTAGTATTTCTATGTTTATTAAATCAAGTACTCTGTTTTGAATTATTTTTATGAGTGGATTTGTTAAATATTTTATATTTATCTCTCTAAACAAGATTACACTAATTAAATTGTTGTGTGACCCAGCATTTACTCTGTGATCTGGATACCACCTCCCTATCCCAACAAAATAAGAACTAACAAAAACCAACAACATTTTTTTTCCCTCCCTGTTCCAGATTCTCCCTTTTGGATCTCAGCACTGAAAAAGTCCTCCTTCCCTCCCTCCCTCCCTCCCTTCCTTCCTTCCTGCCTGCCTGCCTGTCTTCCTGCCTGCCTTCCTGCCTGCCTTCCTGCCTGCCTTCCTCCCTTCCTCCCTCCCTCTCTCCCTTCCTTCCTCCTCTCCCTGCCTACTTCCTTCCCTCCTTCTTTTTCTTTCTTTCTTCTTTCTTTTTCTTTCTCTCTTTCTCTCTCTTTCTTTCTTCCTTTTCTCTCTCTCTTTCTTTCCTTTCTTTCTTTCATTCTTTCTTTTCCTTCTCTCTTCCCTTTTTTCTTTCTTCTTTCTCTCTCTTTTCTTTTTCTCTCAATAAATTCTCAGATAAGACTCTATTGTACACACAAACCTCGGATAACAGCAACATATCATGTTCACTATTTACTGTTCTCAGCATTATTCAGTACACAGGTTGTAAAAACAACAAGGCAAATGGATAGGAACTCCCAACAGTTGATCTGTGTATTCTCTGAGTAAGCCTTTCTTTGAGAAGCTGAACCTTGCCTCTCCACCCCATTAACGCAAGCACTGTGGAATGCAGTCTTTAAGGAGCATGGGAACACAGAGGGTGGTGACAGGCTAGGGTGGAGGGGTGGTGATTTTTTGTAAGATTGAGAAATGCAGGAAGCTGATCAGCCTTAGTAAGTCAAACCAGCAATACTGTTTTAAAACCCAGGATCTGTGGCCATTAGAGGAGGAGTCTAATGGGGTTCCATTTATCAGAGATGCCTAATTTGGGCACATGGGCTTTCCATTTCATTACAGACTCAATCTCCTGCTGCTCTAGCCAATATATAGGCAAAAAGGCAGCTGAGTGAGAAACTATGTTTTCCGGACAGAAGCTTCAGGGTCTGTAGGTGACAAGAGAATGGTTTCCTAGGACAAAGGGTAACTAGCCGCAGAGATTGGACAGCTGTGGAAGAAATCACTCAGCTTTCAAGACAGTTGAGGAAGACACTATATTAAAAATCTGAATTGCAGATGGAAACTCAGAATTTTCTATAATAAACGAGTAACATGGACTTCTCAATTTTAATTTTTATTATTTAGTTATTTTTATAACAGCAGCATTAGGACCCCTCTGAAACTGTGGCAAAAGAGGGTTTATAAAGCCTGCATGTCACAAAATCGATCTGATCCAGCCCAGCCCAGCCCAGCCCATCCCACCACTTCCTACATGATCCGTGCAGGGAAGATCCCAAAGGTGGGGAATTTGCTGTATTCCTTGCTGTATGCATCATGCTAGTGCAAAGCAGTCACTCACTGCTTGCAGAGTGCAGCGCACAAGAATGAGGTCTGGTATAAAGAACGTGATTTTCTATTCCAAAGCTAGCTTAGGGGAAGAAGTATAGGCTTCCTGCCTTAAGGGTACTGCTTCACTTTTGGAGCAGAAAGCAGGGGATTTTAAGAGGGAATGTGGCATGAATGGCACGCAGGGAGGGAGTGAGCTGGTGGGGAGTCCATGTGACTTGTTTTGGTATTTGACCTACTGGGTGGTTGAGCTGGCACCATCATGGTCAGAACTAGATTGTAGAGTGGTCTTGTCTCCAGATTCTCTCCAGGTGGGAGAGAATTTTGTAGCAGGCATACTTTTGGTTATAAATTGACTATTGTCTCTCAAGGCAATCTCCTGGTGGGAGATATTTCTGCCCTGGAGCTTTTAAGTAAGCACATGGTTAGATAATTTTGCCTGTTGAAGGGAAGGTAAATGGTTTTAACTGCATTTCTAAAGAGCTAAGTAAGAAGTGGGGGAATTGGGGAAAGGGAGGAAAGAGAAAAGAAGAGAAAAAAACCTCATTCTATATCTCTTAGAAAAATTGGGATAACTCAGTTACACTAGAACAGTACCTTGCATGTTATAGATGATCAATTAATATTTGTTGGATACCCAACTAAGGCTTTTGATGAATTTACAGTGAGAAAGAATTAGGAATGAAGGCTGAAAACCACTATATATCATCCCTTCTTTGTTGTGCACAGGTATGTTGTCAACTAAACATGCTCATTCCACAGAATGAGATCAGCTAATCCTTGATTTCCCTCATAAAGTTCTGATGTAGGATTTTTCTTCTTGCTTGCTTTGCAAGCTGAAGATCTCTGGCTGGCAATGCCCCACCTGGGCCCCACTCAGCCATGCTGGCATGCCCCAACTTGCCTGTGTTATAGCTTGTACCCACATTCAGCGATCCCTGAGCTCTTGTACCATACTCAAGAAGAAAGAGGATACGCAGGACACTGAAGAGTGAGGAGGATGGAAAAGAATTTTATTGAGCGATGAAACAGCTTTCAGTGGAGAGGGAACATGGGAGTGGTCCCCCTACCTGAAGGTGTGAAAGTCCCTCTGTGGCTGGGTCCAGGGTCTTTCATGGACTCAGAATGGGGAATGCATGCTGATTGGTTTGTGAGTAGCAAAAAAGTTTAAAGTGAAGACACCACTCAAAGGTGGGCATGACAATGTAGAAAACCAATTAGGAAAGGGTAGGTATATGTAAAATAGGTTAAGGGTGGGGACCAATCAGAGGAAAGCATGCCAAATAGGAAAACAAGTTCTCAATCTGGTCTGAGGATTTAACTTGTAGCTTGGCTTTCAGGCTTTAAACTGTCTTTGGCTTGGAGGTGGGGTTTCACCGGGGACCCGTCCCTATCTGCCTAGGCATTTGGCTGCCTCCTGCCACCCTCTGTTCCATATTAAAGGATTTTATAAGAGTAGTTATCTCAACTAGGTACACCTTTCCTAATGACTTCAGCTAAAGTTCTGGTAGAATGGACAGAACACGAAAGCACACTCTTTTTTCCACTTGCATAGAGCCAAACATTATAGGGAAGAGAAACAAAAGGAAATATCAGCTTTTCTTGAACATTGTTAAAAATTTCCTTGGTGTTTCACGTACCTGCTGCTGCATAATAAACAATCTTAAAACTAAGTGGCTTAATATAACGACCATTTTACTTGTATGCAATTCTGTGAGTCAGGGATTCAAACAGAACAGTGGAGATGGCTTGTTTCTGCTCTGCGTTGTGTCTGCTAGGGCTAGAAGGTCCAAGAAAGCTCCTTCACTCACTCACATGCCTGGTACCTCTGCTAGAATTTCTGGAATAGTTCGAGGCTGGCTGCAATGGCTCAACTGGGAAAACGAGCAGGCTGTGCTTCTCCCGATTGACTTGTTTCTTTGATTCTTCTCTGTTGTTTCAGGACCTCTTCCTTTCCACTTGCTCCCTCCTTGTGGTTTTTTCACATGCTTTCTCCAGCAAGACTCAAATGGTGACTATAGACTCCTAAGAGCATGAATTGAAATGATCAGGTCTTCTTAAGACTTAGGCTCAGATGGCCAGACGTGGTGGCTCACACCTGTAATCCCAGCACTTTGGGAGGCTGAGGCAGGCAGATCACCTGAGGTCAGGAGTTTGAGACCAATCTAACCAACATGGTGAAACCCTATCTCTACTGAAAATACAAAGATTAGCCAGGTGTGGTGGTGCATGCCTGTAGTCCCGGCTACTTGAGAGGCTGAGGCAGAAGAATCGCTTGAACCTGGGAGGTGTAAGCCGCAGTGAGCTGAGATCCCGCCACTGCACTCCAGCCTGGGCGACAAAGAAAGACGCTGTTTCAAAAATAAAAAAAGAAAAAAACAAGAAAAAAACTTAAGCCCAGAAAAAAGCACAACATCATTATTATTATTTTTAAACTAAGCTGTTTAAGTTTATAGAACAGTGGAATAGAAAGTACGGAGGTTTCCTATACAATGCCTCCACCCTGCCCAGTCACAGTTTTCTCTATTATTAACATCTTGCATTATTGTGGTACATTTGTTACATCTGATGAATCCATATGATATCTGATTATTAACTAAAGTCCATAGTTTACATTAAATTCACTCTGTGTCACATAGTCCTGTGGGCTTTGACAAGTGTATAATGACTTCTATCCACCATTAATTATAGAGTCACACAGAAAAGTTTCACTGCCCTAAATGTTCCCTGTGCTCCACCTATTTACCCCTTCCCAATCCATTTCCATGACTTTGTGAAAGTTGCAGATACTAGGAAGAAATCACTTTTGTCAGACCCAGACAAATCAGGTCTGGGAAGACCCAAAGGAGAGGAGACTCATGCTGACACGTCTGAGAGAAGAACTGTTTCAAAGGACTTTCTAAAACCTCTTTCTCATCCTTGATGCATCTCCTGCTTTGATAAGGTTTATTACCAGAAATTCTTTATGATGCACTAATTCAGACAAGATGTTCTTAGAGGAACAATTTCCCAGCATCTCCAACAATGAACTAACAACAACTCCAGCTTTGAACCTCTGGAACAGATGAACCCAATCTCTAAGTGGCTTATGTAAATCTCTTTTTGCTAAAAAGCTTCCCTTAACCTTCCCTCTTTGAATGCACTCGTGGCTTGCCATTCCATGCATTCCAGGCTATAACATATTTAAAGAATAACTTTCTCTAGTGTGTGCATGTTTCTTTTTTAGGCTGACACCTTAAACCCTTGGCAACTACTGATCTTTGTATGCTCTCTATAGTTTTGTCTTTTCCAAAATGTAACATAGTTTGAATCACACAGTATGTAGCCATAGGTTGTCTTCTTTCACTTAACAATATGCATTTAAAGTTTCTCCATATCTTTTCATGGTTTGACGGATCTTTTTTTAAGTGCCGAATAATACTCCATTGTGTGGATGTACCACAGTTTGTTTACCCATTCAACTATTAAAGGACATTTTTGTTAGTTCCAATTTTTGACAATAAGTAAAGCTTCCATAAACACTTGTGTGCAGGTATTTGTGTGGCATAAATTTAAGCTTATTTGGGTGGATATAAATTTCAACCTATTCAGGTAAATACCTAGGAATGCAATTGCTGGATTGCATGGTAACACTATGGTTGGGTTTGTTAAAGAGATTGGCAAGCTGGGGCCAATTTGGCTGAATAGAAACAGCTCTGGCCTTCAGCTCCCAGCAAGACCAATGCAGAATGTGGGTGACTTCTGCATTTCCAACTGAGGTACACAGTTCATCTCATCAGGATTGGCTAGGCGGTGGGTGCAATCCACTGAGAGCAAGCCCAAGCAGGTTGGAACATCGCTTCACCTGGGAAGTGCACGGAGTTGGGGGCCTTGCTCCCCCAGCCAAGGGAAGCGGTGAGGGACTGTGCTACCCATCAGGGGTACAACGCTTTTCCCATGGATTTTTGCAATCTATGAATCAGGAGATTCCCTCATGAGCCTACACCACTAGGGCCCTGGGTTTCAAGCACAAAACTGGGTGGCTGGGCAGGCACTGAGCTGCAGGAGTTTTTACATACTCTAGTGGTGCCTAGAACTCCAGTGAGAAAGGAGAACAGTCCACTCGCATGGAAAGGGGGCTGAAGCCAGGGAGCCAAGCAGTCTCGCTCAGTGGATCCCAGTCCCATGGAGCCCAGCAAGCTAAGCACCCTGGCTTGAAATCCCCATGATCAGCACAGTAGTCTGGAATCTTCCTGGGATGATCGAGTTCCCAGAGGGTTGGGGAGGGGGGAGGGCTGACCACTATTACTGTGGCTTTAGTAGGCAGTTTTCCCCTGACATTGCTAAGGGGACTGGGAGGTTTGGACTTGATGGAATTCCCCACAGTGTAGCAAAGTGGCTGTGGCCAGACTGCTTCTCTAGATCCCTCCTCACCAGGCAGGGCTTCCCTGCAGGAAGTCCACCAGCTCCAATAAGGAGCTTATAGACAGAACTCTCATCTCCCTAGGACAGAGCACCTGTGGGGAGGGGTGGCCATGGTCCCAGGTTCAGCAGACTTAATCTTTCCTGCCTGCTGGCTCTGAAGAGATAGGCTGAATCTGACGAGGGGGGACTCCTCTAGCACAGAACACCAGCTCTGCTAAGGGACAGACTGCTTCCTCAAGAGGGTCCCTGACCCCATGCCTCCTGTCTGGGTGAGACCTCCCAACAGGGGTTGGCAGACACCTCATACAAGATAGCTCTGGCTGGCTTCGGGTCGGTGCCTGTCTGGGATGAAGCTTCCAGAGGAAGGAGCAGGCAGGAATCTTTGCCATTCTGAAAACTCTGCTGGTGATAGCCAGGCCAACAGGGTCTGGAGTGGACCCCCAGCAAACTGCAGCAGACCTGCAGAAGACGGGTCTGACTGTTAGAAGAAAAACAAACAGAAAGCAACAACAACAACATCAACAAAAAAGACCCCACAAAAGCCCCATCCAAAGGTCATCAGCCTCAAAGATCAAAGGCAGATAAATCCATGGAGATGAGGAAAAACCAGCACAAAAACAATGAAAATCCCAAACCAGAATGCCTCTTCTCCTCCAAATGATTGCAACACATCTCCAGCAGGTACAGAGAACAGGCCTGAAGCTGAGATGGAGGAACTGACAGAAGCAGGATTTAGAAAGTGTGTAATAATTGGGTAATAATGAATTTCACTGAGCTAAAGGATTATGTTCTAACCCAATGCAAAAAAGCTAAGAACCATGGTAAAAGGTTACAGGAGTTGGTTAACCAGAATAACCAGCCTAGAGAGGAACATAAACGACCTCATGGAACTGAAAAACACAGCATAAGAACTTCATGATGCAAACACGAAGTATCAACAGCCAAATCAACCAAGTAGGAGAGAGAATATCAGTGCTTGAAGACTATAAGCACTGATAATTCTCTTGCTGAAATAAGGCAGGCAGAAAAGATTAGAGAAAAAAGAATGAAAAAGAATGAACAAAACCTCCAAGAATTATGAGACTATGTAGAAAGACCAAAGCTGTGACTGATTGGAGTACCTGAAAGATGGGGAGAATGGAACCAAATTGGAAAACACACTTCAGGATATCATCCAGGAGAATTTCCCCAACCTAGAAAGACAGGCCAATATTCAAATTCAGAAAATCCAGAGAACCCCAGTAAGATACTCCATGAAAAGATCTACCCCAAGACACATAATCATCAGATTCTCCAAGGTTGAAATGAAGGAAAAAATGTTAAAGGGGGGCAAGAGAGAAAGGCCAGGTCATCTACAAAGGGAAGCCCATCAGACTAACAGTGGACCTCTCAGTAGAAACTCTGCAAGTCAGAAGAGATTGGGGACTAATGTTCAACATTCTTAAATAAAATAAATTCCAACCCAGAATTTCGTATCTGGCCAAACTGAGCTTCATAAATGAAGGAGAAATAAAATATTTTTCAGACAAGCAAATGCTGAGGGATTTTGTCACCACCAGGCCTGCCTTGCAAGAGCTCCTGAAGCAATCACTAAACATGGATAGGAAAAACTGTTACCAGCCACTACAAAAACACACTGAAGTACACAGACCAATGACACTATGAAGCAACTACATTAACAAGTCTGTAAAATTAACTGGCCAGCATCATGATGACAGGATCAAATTCACACATAACAATATGAACTTTAAATGTAAATGGACTAAATGCCCCAATTAAAGGACACAGAATGGCAAGCTGGACACAAAGACAAGACCCGTTGGTGTGCTGTATTCAAGAGACACATCTCATGTGCAAAGATGCACATAGATTCAAATAAAGGGTTGGAGGCAAATTTACCAAGCAAATGGAAAGCAGAAAAAAGCAGGGGTTGCAATCCTAGTTTCTGACAAAATAGACTTTAAACCAACAAAGGTCAAAAAAGACAAAGAAGGGTCTTACATAATGTTAAAAGGTTCAATTCAACAAGAAAAGCTAACTATTCTTAATATATATGCACCTAATACAGGAACACCCAGATTCATAAAACAAGTTCTTAGAGACCTACAAAGAGACTTAGACTCCCACACAATAATAGTGGAAGACTTTAATACCCCATTGCCAGTATTAGACAAATCATTGAGAGAGAAAGTTAGCAAATATATTCAGGACTTGAGCTTAGTTCTAGACCAAGTGGACCTGATAGATACATACAGAACTCTCCACCCCAAAACAATAGAATATACATTTTTTTGGTGCCACATGACACTTACTCTAAAATTGATCACATAATTGGAAGTAAAACACTCCTCAGCAAATGCAAAAGAACTGAAATCTTAACAGTCTCTCAGACCACAGTGCAATCAAATTAGAACTCAAGATTTAAAAGCCCACTCAAAACCACACAACTACATGGAAATTGAACAACCTGCTCCTGAATGACTCCTGGGTAAATGGTGAAATTAAGGCAGAAATCAAGAAGTTCTTTGAAACCAATGAAAACAAAAAGATAATGTATCAGAATCTCTGGGATGCAGCTAACACAGTGCTAAGAGGGAAATTTATAGCACTAAATACCCACATCAAAAAGCTAGAAAGATCTCAAATCGACACATTAACATCACAAGTAAAAGAACTGGAGAACCAAGAGTAAACAAACCCCAGAGCTAGCAGAAGACAGGAAATAATCAAGGTCAGAATGGAACTGAAGGAGATAGAGACACGAGTAACCCTTCAAAAAATCAATGAATCCAGAAGCTGGTTTTTTGAAAAATCAATAAAATAGACCTTTAGCAAGACTAATAAAGAAGAAAAGAGAGAGGATTCAAATAAACACAGTCAGAAACCAGAAGGGGGATACTGCCACTAACCCCACAGAAATACAAACCATCAGAGAATACTATAAACACATCTATGCAAATAAACTGAAAAATCTAGAAGAAATGGAAAAATTCCTGGACAAATACACCCTCCCAAGACTGAACCAGGAAGAAGTTGAATCCCTGAATAGACCAGTAACAAGTTCTGAAATTGAGGCAGAAGTCAAGAAGCCTACCAACCAAAAAAAGCTCAGGTCCAGATGGATTTATCACTGTGTTCTACCAGAGGTACAAAGAGGAGCTGGTACCATCTCTTCTGAAACTATTCCAAACAATTGAAAAGGAGGGACTCCTCTCTAACTCATTTTATGAGGCCAGCGTCATCCTGACACCAAAACCTGGCAGAGATACAACAATAAAAAAGAAAACTTCAGGCCAATATCTCTGATGAACATCAATGCAAAAATCCTCAATAAAATACTGGCAAACTGAATCCAGCGGCACATCAAAAAGCTTATCCACCGTGATCAAGTTTGCTTCATCCCCGGGATGCAAGGCTTGTTCAACATATGCAAATGTAATTCATCACGTAAGCAGACCTAAAGACAAAAATCAAATGATTATCAATAGATGCAGAAAAAGCCTTTGATAAAATTCAACATCCCTTCATGTTAAAAACTCTCAATATACTAGCTATTGAAGGAACATACCTCAAAATAATAAGAGCCTTTTATGACAAACCCAGAGCCAATATCATACTGAATGGGCAAAAGCTGGAGGCAAGCCCCTTGAAAACTGGCACAAGACAAGGATGCCTTCTTACCACTTTTAGTCAACGTATTGTCAGAAGTTCTGGCCAAGGCAATCAGGAAAGAGAAATAAATAAAGGTTATTCAAATAGGAAGAGAGGAAGTCAAATTGTCTTTGTTTGCAGATGACATGATCCTATATCTAGAAAACCCCATTATCTCAGCCCAAAAGCTTCTTAAGCTGATAAGCAACTTTAGCAAAGTCTCAGGATACAAAATCAATGTGCAGAAATCACAAGCATTCCTATACACCAACAACAGACAAGCAGAAACCGAAATCATGAATGAACTCCCATTCACAATTGCCACAAAGAGAATAAAATACCTAGGAATACAGATAACAAGGGAAGTGAAGGACCTCTTTAAGGAGAAATATAAACCACTGCTCAAGGAAGTCAGAGAGGACACAAGGAGATTAAAAAACATTCCATGGTCATGGATAGGAAGAATCAATATTGTGAAAATAGTCATACTGCCCAAAGCAATTTATAGATTCAATGCTATTCCCATCAAACTACCACTGACATTCTTCACAGAATTAGAAAAAACTATTTTAAAGTTTATATGAAACCAAAAAAGACCTTGCATAGCCAAGACAATCCTAAGAGAATGAACAAAGCTGGAGCTCATAGTACCTGACTTCAAACTGTACTACAAGGCCACAGTAACCCAAACAGCATGGTACTGGTACAAAAACAGCCACATAGACCAATGGAACAAAATCGAGAACTCAGAAATAAAACTGCACATCTGCAAACATCTGATCTTCAATAAACCCGAAAAAAACAAGCAGTGTGGAAAAGATTCCCTATTTAATAAATGGTACTGGGAGAACTGGTTAGCTATATGCAGAAAATTGAAACTGGATCCCTTTCTTACACCTTATACAAAAATTCACTCAAGATAGATTAAAGACTTAAATGTAAAACCCAAAACTATAAAATCCTGGAAGAAAATCTAGGCAATACTATTCAGGACATAGGCATGGGTGAAGACTTTATGATGAAATCACCAAAAGCAATAGCAACAAAAGCAAAACAAGACGAATGGGATCAAATCAAACTAAAGAGCTTCTGCACAACAAACAAAACTATCAGCAGAGTGAACAGACAACCTACGAGAGGGGAGAAGATTTTTGCAACCTGTCCATCTGACAAAGGTCTAATATCCAGAATCTATGAGGAACTTAAGCAAATTTATAAGAAAAAAACAAACAACCCCATTAAAAAGTGGGCAAAACATATGAACAGACACTTCTCAAAAAAAAAAAAAAAAAAAGACATACATGTGGTCAACAAACACAAAAATAGCTCAACATCACTGATCATTAGAGAAATGCAAATCAAAAACCACAATAAGAAACCATCTCACGTCAGTCAGAATAGCAATTATTAAAAAGTCAGAAAACAACAGATGCTGGCAAGGTTGTGGAGAAATAGGAACGCTTTTACACTGTTGGTGGTAATGTAAATTAGTTCAACCATTGTGGAAGACAGGGTGGTGATTCCTCAAAGATTTAGAACCATAAATACCATTTGACCCAGCAATCCCATTACTGGATATATACCCAAAGGAATATAAATCATTCTATTATGAAGATTCATGCACACATATGTTCACTGCAGCACTATTCACAATAGCAAAGACATGGAATCAACCCAAATACCCATCAATGATAGGCTGGATAAAGAAAATGTGGTGCATATACACCATGGAATACTATGCAACCATAAAAAGGAATGAGATCATTTCCTTTTCGGGGACATGGTTGAAGTTGGAAGCTGTCATCCTCAGCAAATTAACACAGGAACAGAAAACCAAAGACCTCATGTTTTCACTTATAAGTGGGAGCTGAACAGTGAGAACACATGGACACAAGGAGGGGAACAACACTTACTGGAGCCTGTTGGGGGAGGGCAGGAGTGGGAGAACATTAGGGAAAAAAGCTGATACATGCTGGGCTTAATACCTAGCTGATAGGTTGATAGGTTTAGCAAACCACATGGCATACGTTTACCTATGTAACAAACCTGCACTTCCTGCACATATAACTCAGAACTAAAAGCCAATAAAAAATAAAAAAAAATTACATAAAAATGTAATAAAACATAAAAACCCAATAAACATAAAAATCCATTAAAAAACCAATAAAACATCAAGAAAACAATAAAACAAGAGATTGCCAAACTGTCTTTCAAAGTGGCAGTATTATTTTGCATCCCTCCCAATAACACCCCAATAATAAGTGAGAGTTCATGTTGCTCTGTATCTTCAGCAGCATTTGGTGTTGTCAGAGCTTTGGATTTTAGCCATTCAAATAGACATAATGGTATCTCAGTGTTGTCTTAATTTGAAACTCCCTAAGGATATATAATGTTTAACACCTTTTCATATGCTTATTTTCCATTCATATGTCTCTTTTGGTGAGGTGTCTGTTCAGATGTTTTGCTAACTTTTTTTTATTGGGTTGTTTGTTTTCTTATTGTTGAATTTTGAGTTTCTTGCTTGTTTTGGATACAAATCCTCTATGTGATGTGTATTGTGCAAATATTTTCTCCTAGTCTGTGGGATTGTCTTTTCATTCTCTTAACAGTGTCTTTTGTATCACAGAAGTTTCTAATTTTAATTAAGTCTAACATCAACTTTTTCTTTCTTGGATCATTCTTTGGGTATTGTATCTAAAAACTCATCAAGAAACCTAAAGTCACCTAGATTTTTTCACAGATCATTTTCTAGAAATTTTATAGCTTTGGATTTTACATTCAAGTCCATGGTCATTTTTGAGTTAATTTTTGTAAAAAGTATAAGGTTAGTGCCTAGATTGATTTTTTTTTTGGTATGTGGTTGTCCAGTTGTTCCAGAATTACTTGTTGAAAAGACTGTCCTTTCTCCAGTGAGTTTGCTCTTTGTCAAAGATCAGCTGACTATAGTTGTTTAGGTCTCGTATTAGTCTGTTCTCACACTGCTGTAAAGAACTACCTGAGACTAGGTAATTTATGAAGAAAAAAAGGCTTAAGTGGCTCACAATCCTGTGGACTGTACAGGAAACATGGCTGGGAGGCCTCAGGAAACTTCCGATCATGGTGGAAGGTGAAGGTGAAGTAAGCATGTCTTATCATGGCAGAGCAGGAGAGACAGAGCCAAGACAGAAGTGATACGTACTAAAAACAAACAAACAAACAAACAAACAAACAAACAAAAAAACAGATTTCATGAGAACTCTATCATGAGATAGCACTAGGGGAATAGTGCTAACCATTAGAAAACACCCCCACGATCCAATCACCTCCGGGGGATTACAGTTCAACATGAGATTTGGGTGGGGACACAGAGCCAAACCATATCAGGTCTATTTCTGGGATTTTTTTTCTATTCTATTGATCCATTTGTCCATTCCTTCACCAATAACACACATGTCTTGATTCATATAGCTTTATAGTATGTTTTGAAGTCAGGTAGTATCTGCCCTCTACCAAAAAATACTTTCCTTTTTTCTATAATATTATGTTGGTTAGTCCGAGTTTTTTGCCTTTCTATATAAATTTTAGAATTAGCTCTCAGATATCCACAAAGCAATTTGCTGGGACCCTGATTGGGAATATGTTGAATCTATAAACAAGTTGGAAAGAAATGACATCGTAACATGATTGAATGTTCTTATCCATGAACATAAAATATCATTCATTTATTTAGATCTTCTTTGATTTCTTTGATCAGAATTTTGCAGTTTTCTTCATCTAGGTCTTACACATACTTTGTTAGATTTGTATCTAAGTAGTTCTTTTTGGGGATGCTGATATAAACAGTGCTATGTTTTCAATTTCAAATTCCAGTTGTACATTGCTAGTATACAGGAAAGCAATTGACTTTTGTATATTGACAAAACATTATTTTTGACACATTCTAATGTTTAAAACAGGTAAGGACACTGCACAAGGTATAAATATTCAGAGGTTCATTGGGATCAACAAATGGAGGAGACCACCAAATTGGAGAGGTAATTTATACGCACAAAACTATTAAAGAACCACAAGAACCTCCTTCCATTCATTGTCTAACTGTGAGGTGCTGACTTCAGTCCTACAAGAAATATTTAAAGTAAATTTTAGTGTGAGCAGAGGGAGGCTTTGTGGATGACATCTAAAGAGACTAAGGCCAACCTCCAAATCCTCCCCATGCTCAGAGAGCTAAGACTTGCAAGCTTTACCCCAGGAGCTTCTTGACTGTGTATCTTGACTTTGTTAATGTCGATATCCTGGTTGTGACTATGTACTACAGCTTTGCAACATGTTACCATTGTGAGAAACTGACTAAACAGTACACAGCATCTCTATTAATTTTCACAATGGCACCTGAGCGCATCTTCAATTTTACCTCAAAATAAAAAGCTTAATTTAAAATAAAACATCTTTCTCCATAAGATCCTCTGGAAAAAAAAGGAAAAAAAAAACCCCGCCATACTGACATATAATTGATTGAAATGCTCAAATCAATCAGTTCAGTCAATTTTGACACTAACACATGCATGCATGTAACCCATTCCCCTACCAGAAAATGAAACATTTCTATTGCTACAGAAAGCTGCTTCTAACCATTTCCAGTCAACCCTCCCCGAAGAGCAACGACCACCAATCTGGTTTTCATATTCATGTATTATTTTTGCTAGAAACTGTCTACTTCTTTGTGTCCTGGCCTCTCTCACTCAGCATGACACTTTTTATATTTGTCTATGTTGTTGTGTGCATCAGTAGTTTGGGGCTTTTTAATGCTGTGTATGTTCCATTGTACGGATGCAACGGAGTTTATTCATGCTTTTTCCTCTTGATGGATATCCTTATGTCTATCATAATTCTTGTAGAAGGCTTATTGTGGACATGTGCCATTTCTCTTAGCCTGTGGCTTGCTTAGTTTCTTAACTGCATCTCTTGATGAGTTTTATAATTTTTTTTTTTTTTAATAAATAGCCCTTTTTCTTTTAGTTTGTTTCAAGTAGCAGATTCCTCTTGACTTCCCTGAGGAAAATTCTCCAACTGTGTAGACAAAAGTAACGAGGCCTATGCAAGTCTTGAAGCATCCGCCCTTCCTGTACTTAGAATTGTTCATTGTAGTTGAAAGGCTCTTTGAAGGAATTGCTAGGTCATAGGGTAGATGTATATTTCACTTTTTAAGAATCTGGCAGTTTTCCAAAGTGGTTGAACATTGTAGTAGCATTCTGGTTGGTCCATATCTTTGTCTACATTTGGTGTAGTCAATCTTTCTTCTTTCCTCATTCTAATGGTTGTGAAGTGGAATGTCTGTGTTTTTTTAATTTGCACATCTCTGCTGACTAATGATGTTGGACACATTGTTATGTGCTTATTGACCATTTATATGCATTCTTTAGTGAAGTGACTGTATAAATATTTTGCCTATTTGTATTTAACTTTTTGAGTCGTACTTTTTTGTGTATTCTGTATACAAATACTTTTTTTAGGCCTGCATTGTGAATATTTTCTCACAGCCTGTGGCTTGCTTAGTTTCTTAACTGCATCTCTTGATGAGTTTTATAGTTTTTTTTAAATAAATAGCCCGTTTTCTTTTAGTTTGTTTCAAGTAGCAGATTCCTCTTGACTTGCCTGAGGAAAATTTTCCAAGTGAATAGACTAAAGTAAAGATGTCTATACAAGGCTTGGAGCATCCATGCTTCCTGTACTTAGAATTGTTCATTGTAGTTGAAAGGCTCTCTCTCTACCTCCTGAAAAATAAAAGAGAAGCATTGTTGATGGTTTTTCTTGGGTCTGTGCTTCACGTTTTCCATTTCATTGCATATCTGGGTCTCTATCAAGAGCTAGTCTGACTAATGGAAAGTGCTCTGGGTATTGTTTGAAAAATTCTTGGTTTTCACAGGACACGACTGCTTTTGGAAGAATTGCTTTATGTCTGGGAAAGTAAGAATTATGGCATCTTATTGAAAAATAATGTGTTTTTGAAAATTTCCTGTCAGAAAATTGTTAAACTTTTGCAAAAAATGGAAGTTGGTTGCAGCAATCACATTCCAAGGATCTGAGAATCCTGGTAGGTGGGAACGTTGCAAATCACAGCAAAACGCAGTTGCTAGCATATCCTTCTCACTTTACGTTACTGATAATGTGTGGCTCCAGCCTTTGCAGGTAGTCAGTGAGGAAACCTTTTGTCTGTTCTTGATCAGTTCCTTTTGAATTTTCCCAATTGCCATTCTAAATCTTCATCTCTTGCCTCATCCCAACCTAAAACACAACTCCTAACCTCATAAAAAGATGCTCAGTTCAGTTTAGCCAATGATAATTAAGTGCTTACTAAATGCCCGAAACTTAGCAAAAAGCACGATACTTGTCCATGAGAAATTGACAATCCAGGCAAAACTTTGAAATCTCCTATATAAAAATGTATTTAAATATGTATCCAAACTTCTCTACTCTTATGTTTGGAAAGAGTTGTCTTTCATTTTGGGGAAAGTTGGTTCTTCAACCTGCATTGTTCTTGCTCCCTTAGTCTCTTTGGGAAGCTTTTCTCCATCAATTGTCCCATTTCTTACCTATAACAGCAGGAACCTGTGGTCCATTTTCTTCCCTTCCTCATACAAATTTAGCATAGAGCTTAACGTTGAGCTGCCTTATAGACTTTTCTTAATTCTTGTGTTTGGATAAAAAAAATGTAAGCAAATGTAAGTATTTATCACAATCTCTCAAGAAAATGCCAAAGAGGTAAGGTTGTCAGATAAAATACAGACCACCCAGTTAAATTTGAATTTCAGATAAACAATGAATACTTTTTTCATGTAAATATGCCCCATATGTAGTATAAATCTGTCCCATACAATATTTGGTATATACTTATAAAAATATTCATCATTTGTCTGAAATTCAAATTTAACTGGTCATCCTGTATTTTTATTTGCTAAATTTTGCAATCCTACAAAGCAGGATGACATCCATAATGCACGTAAAAACTCCTGAAAGTCATCATTCTCTACCCTTTTCTATCTCCCACACATAGGGCAGATGCTCCCAGAGTCTTCTTTATCCCGACTCCCACCCCAAGCTCCCAAGAACAGCTAATGCTGTCTAAACAGATTCCTCTTTGTCCAATTTTATTCTTAAAAAATCTGGTAGAATATCTTGATTCTACAGTAATTTTTTTTCTTTTCCCTTTTGTACCCACACCTTCCCTTTACCCATCACCCCTAATTGTATTAGTTCATTTTCACATTGCCATAAAGAATACTACCTGAGACTTGGTAATTTATAAAGGAAAGACATTTAGTTGAGTCATAGTTCCACATGGTTGGGGAGACCTCAGGAAACACAATCATGGCAGAAGGAGAAGTAGGAACATCTTACATGGAGGCAGATTAGAGAGAGAGAGAGAGAGAGAGAGAGAGAGCGAAGCAGGAAGGGCCCCTTATAAAACCATCAGATCTCATGAGAACTCACTCACTATCGTGAGAACAGCACAGGGGAAACCATCCCCATGATCCAATCACCTCCCACCTGGTCTCTTCCTCAACACATGGGGATTATGGGGATTACAATTCGAGAGGAGATTTTGGTGGGGACACAGACCCAAACCATATCACTAACGAAACCACAGAGGTGGTCTTGGATCTTCAGCTCTTGTGATCTCCTTCCTCTGAGAGGGCAGCGGAAGGAGTCACATTGTCAATACACATTGTCCATTGCTTTTCCCTGTCAGAGTAGGGTAAAGTCATGCTTAACAGGGTTCTTCAACTTGGCTTCCTCTAACATCACCTATGTCACGACTTTACTGCCAAACTCTGGGAAAGGGTGTGTTCTTCTCTAGCGTGTTCTATGATGCACTGCAGCCTAGATTTTTCCCTCAGTACTCTACTAAAGCAACTTCTGCTAAGATTACTTATTCCCCCAGATTGCCTCCAAGTTCTTCCTTGAAATCCTCCTCCTCCTCTAACTTGTGACAAGGGCCATCAGTTACAGGTGATGTAAGTGTCCTACCCAAGACAAGGCGGGTGGCTGGGGGCAGTATTTAGTCCATCCTCTGCTCTCCAGCCCATGATCACTGTCCTAGGTTATGAAGTCCCTAATAAATAACTCCCCTCACCTCACCTGAGTCCTGAAAAAATGAATATAAAGTCAAATAAATCAGACAGATAGAGAATAAAAATATACATTACATAATGATAGGTTGGAGGCTGGGGATTAGGCATGAGCCAATAATAGGTTTTCTAATTCTTTGGTGTACAATCTAGTCACAGGGATTACTGGAGTTTCAAAATTGGGCTTAGCCCTGGGAAAACTTAGGGCAGAAGGAATAGATGAGAATCCATACTTCCTTTGGACGCTTGGCAACCTGTGAAAACAAAACAAAACAAAACAAAACAAAACAAAACAAAACAAAACTTGAGGGCATTTCCTCTCCAAACCCACCAACATAGGTTAGATGTGTTAGACGCCTTTTGTTAGTCACTTCATATTCTGCTGCCCTACCTCTTAATCTAGCTGCTGCTGAGGCCACCAGTTCTGCATAGGCTTTAAATAACTTTGTGCATTGCAAACTGGCAGCACTTCCTCTCACACCTTGCTTCCAGTTCCAGGGCTTTGTGATGATGCTTTGGTGTGAATGTGCATAATTGACACTCAAGTGTGATCCGAGTTAACACCCATGGGACCTTCCTTGACCTATGGGGATACAAGCCTGTAGATACATGCTTCCCCTCTTCTTCCTCTCGGTGGACAGCTCTGATGCACATTTTGTAAGATTCCTCCGAAAGTCCATGGATTCAGATACCAGTGGCCAATTTTGTAAGAATTGTATTAACTTTCTTTCCATCTCTGTTCCACCCCTCTTTCTCTTCTGCTTTTATTCCCTGACACCACTTCCTAAATAAACTACATGCATGTGAGCCTTTATCTAGGGCTCTGCTTTCAGGGAATCCAGGCTAAGACATTGGGGAGCAGGAGTAAATTTGAGGGTAAAGAGAGGCAAAGAGTGTTATGCTAATGGATGTCCTTCCAACTGGAAGGAAAAATCAGAAATAAGTACTTCCTCTGCGACAGGGAAAATAACAGGAGTACAATCTAGATCAAAGGCATAAAAATACCTTCTTTGATGACCCCAATGCTTAGACAGAAAAAAAAAAAGCTAAGAAATTCAACCCCCTTTTTATGGAATCTAAAGAGAGATGAAAACAAAGTCGAAAGGTAGAAGATCAGCCCTAATGGTAGATATGAGGTTTTTAAGCTCTGAAAGCCCCCAGCTGGAATTGATTCATGTCAGAAAACATGTGCTCTGAGCAGAAAAAGACTGGACAGATTTGGGATCCCTTTTAGTTCTGTGTGATTGGTTGTGTACAGTTATTTTTATGATAACCTTGTGGGCAAAATGGGTATTAGGACTATAATTTTAGAACCATGTTTTCTGGTTCTCTTGTCTTGTAGAACGGTTTAGTTTCAACTAAGAGAAGAAATATTGTGCACTGAAAATGAAGAGAAAATCACTGGCCATAAAGGAATTTCTTGTCTTGAGTGCGGTACAGTCTGCCATCATTGGTTGGCAGGGGTAACAACCTGGGGAGGCTGGACTGTGGATTGCATGGTCAAGACTGGTCTTTGAGAAGCTGGGCTTTTCTCGTAATACTGATTCTGCCTACTGCACACCCCAAACATGATCTGTCTCTAACTCTCATTCCTACCTCTAATCTGTAATTTTTCTTCCTGGCTCCTGAATCATTACTCAGCCTCTGAATTCACTTTAGGTAGGGCTGGCTTCTTGCTCCCACCAAGCTTTTAAACTGAAACCACAGAATAACTCTTGCTTGAGTTATTACTAACTCGATAACTCTTGTGTTTTTTTGTGGGACAGGATTTACCTGCTAGTAGTTTGCTGAAACTCCACATAAAAACATATGCTGCATGCAAGAGAGCCCAGAAGATCTTGGGATGAGTGTTCCTCAGGCCAGGAAGCATCTGCCACAGCTGGGATCTTTCCTACTGAGTAGCTTTGCACCATGTGCACTGACACTGGAGATCCCTGGAATTTTGCATAGGGCACTGCTAACTTGTTGGGTTGATGGCAATCTCTTTGACAGACAGCGTATTTTTCTTGAATAGAGGCCAGGCTTGTTAATGTTTTCCCTTAGTAAAACAGAAGGAGGTTAAGAACTGGGTGCAGGGCCGGGCATGGTCGTTCACGCCTGTAATCCCAGCACTTTAGGAGGCTGAGGCAGGTGGATCACGAGGTCAGGAGTTTGAGACCAGCCTGACCAACATGATGAAACCCTGTCTCCACTAAAAATACAAAAATTAGCTGGGTGTGGTGGTGCACACCTATAATCCCAGCTACTCAGGAGGCTGAGGCAGGAGAACTGCTTAAACCCAGGAGGCAGAGGTTGCAGTGAGCTGAGATCACACCACTGCACTCCAGCCTGTGAGACTCCATCTCAAAATAAATAAATAGAAAAAGAACTGAGCACTTCTCTGAAAAGCACTGGTCATCTTGGGAGTCTCTGGGGATCTCATTACAAATTTTATTTTTATTTTTTAATTTTTAAAATAGAGATCAGGGTCTCACTATGTTGCCCAGGCTGGCCTCAAACTCCTAGCCTCAAGTAACCCTCCCACCTCAGCCTTCCAAAGTGCTGGGATTACAGGAATGAGCCACCATGCTGGGCTCTGGGGATTTAAAGAAGCTCTTGATGGACTTCATTTTCAGGGCTGTACTTTCCAACCAGCAGGTGAAGAGCTGAATCACTAAGGGCACAAATGAAAAGGGAGGGGCAAAATATGAAGGCTTTATATTTCCTTTTGAGGGACGCAGCTCCAGTCTAACTTGCCACTCTGTGAACTTCACTACTGGAAAGCAACAAAGGTAAGAGAAATGTTTCTGTACGTTATTATCTCAGCTGTGCTTGTTGTCAAAGGGGACAATAAATAAGAGTAAACTGTGGCATTTGGACAGGTTGCATAATGAACCAAATGAAGGGGCAACTTATTATTTAATTGAGTATGACTTTTGCTGACCCCTTGATAAATACATTAGCATACTTGGATGCCATTGATAGTGTGCATTTAAAAATCTTTGAGGCAGGCTGACTTGATTTCAGATCTTTGTTTAGTAAAATGGAACTCCGTTGATATTTTCTACTTACTAATCTTCATTCAAAACACAAGCTAGTCATGCATGCTGTGGCCTCTGTGTATTGACACACTTCTTAGCTCCTTAGAAGATCTTAACTTACTATGCTAGCCTTATTAATTGCTATGTGTTGGAGACAATTTCTTTCTTTTTCTGCCTCTCAGTTTCCTCTTATAGCTTTAAAATTAGTCTCCTAAGTAATATGTGTATTCTGTACATGCAGGTAAAATATAATGGTTTATGTTTATGTGAACATTCTGAAATTCCTACTATTTTTAGGAATGAGCATATGTGAAATTCACAAAGTTGTAGGGCAGAGAGTAAGAGTAAAAGAATAGCTCTGATTTAGGGAAAGAGAGGTAGGTGCTAGATAAGTGGTCATGAGAGAAGAGTCTTGTGAAAGGGGAAGAATGTACACAGGGTATGGTACATACTGTAAGATACTGGTGTCTTAGCCACCCTTGGAGATGTATTTCCCCCAAAAGGACAGAACCAGACCCTCCGTCTGTTGCAGTCCTTCAGTGTCAGTATCCCTTCAGATAAGATAAGATGTGTTCCCTTCCACACGTATCCCAAATAGAGTTGTCTCTTCTGGAAATCCCTCTTCTCAACCTCAAAGGGCTACAGTGACAGATATCCTTCTTTTCTTCGTTTCTGTCATAACAACTTCCAGATGACACAACTCATTTGCTTGAAGATTTTTTTTTTCCAAGACACAGCCAACATTCCCTTACCACGTGAGTGGGCTGTTTTGGGGGTCCATATGCATCTTTGATAAAATTCTGGGTGACTTGGGACTTCTGCCTTCCATAAGTTCTGCTTCCCTGAAATGGGCTAAGCAACATTAATTAGACTAGCTGTAAAATATCCAGAATATTGGTTTCCCTAACAAGTATTGATTCCTGGGTGAATGTGGAAGACACTGACAATTTCACAGAAGAATTTTCTCTGCCCTTACAGAATGTTCAATGTAGTGAGGAATACCAACATATTAAATGAACCAAAATCTATAAATCCATCCATACACACCTCTGCACATGAAAAGACAATCACCCAGATGTAGAGGGAATTGTCAATAAAACTAGTTAAATATATGGTTAACATAGAAACTCCATTGTGAAAGATCTCTGCAAACAGAAAGGTAGAATTTTGGAAAATGAATGAGGAAAGCCCGTGCACTTTGG
The DNA here is from genome assembly GCF_000001405.40 of Homo sapiens. Lineage (NCBI taxonomy): Eukaryota > Metazoa > Chordata > Mammalia > Primates > Hominidae > Homo > Homo sapiens. Next base: position 63,704,458 of record NC_000018.10, read on the forward strand.
CACTACATTAATACTATAGTTAAAACTCTGTCTTGCCAAGAAACAAAGTTCATTTGATATTTAGCATGTCTATTGGCAAGACAGAGTTTTAATATTATTGATTAGAATTTGAATTATTCTAATTCAAACTATCATTAATACAAAGTTCATTTGAATTAACTATAATTATGTATTGCCAATGATTTTTGAGAAAAACCTGAACCTGAAGTATTCTTTCTTGGTACTATGAGTTCAATGCTTGAAGAGCTGTAAGATCCAACTGTGAAGTGAGGCGAACATCATCACTCACCCTGCAAGACTCAAGATTCTGAATAATACACATATAGTACTGGCACATACATGAACCCTGTAAGTTGGCCATTTCCTTTACAAAGAAATTCTCACACAGCTGTGTAAGGGAGTAGGTGTGCTGATATTCATCATGGCACTGTTTGTGGTGGCATGAGGAAGGAAACCATTTGGGCATCTGCCATCGGCAAATGAATGGGCAAATTAATATGGTGGAAGCAGAAGAATGCAACAGTTAGAAGGTACGGACTATATTCCCAGAATAACATGGATGAATCTTAAAAATATAGTACTAGGTGAAAAGTATGTGAAAACTTGTATTTTTTTGTTTTTCTTTGTTTTGTTTTGAGACAGGGTCTTACTCTGTCTCCCAGCCTGGAGTACAGTGGTGCAGTCACTGCTCACAGCAGCCTTGACCTCCTGGGCTGAAGCAATCCTCCCACCTTAGCCTCCTGAGTAGCTGAGACTGCAAGTGTGTGCCACTGTGACTGGCTATGTTTTTAATTTTTTTGTAGAGACGGGGTTTTCGCCACGTTGCCCAGGCTGGCTTCAAACTCCTGGGCTCAAGGGATCCACCTGCCTCCGCCTCCCAAAGCTGATGTTAAGTATTATCTAACATAACTTCATTTATGAAAATTTAAAAATGCGTAAGATAAAGAAATCAATGTTTTACAGGAGCACATATACATAAAAGAATATGCTTTAAACAAATTATAAGTGGTGTCTATGGTGGTGGAGAAGAAAGGAAATGAACTGGGTCAAAGGCCATAAGTAAAGAAGAGAATGGCCTTCTAATCCAGTCATGGCTTATGCCAAGAACCAGAGCATGTGATGACCTCAACCTTGTGTACTTGTGGTTATAAAAGAAGAAACAATCAAATAAACAGACTAATAAAAGTGTCTGGCACACAATAAGTGGCCTATCAGTGTATTCCAAACTCTTTTCTTAGGTGCTCTAGTAACTGCAGGGCTACAATAGTTATGATATGTGAATAGGCGATTTTATAACAACAACAGGACATAAATTTAAGATAAATAAATTCACGTTACTTTCCAGAATGCAACTCCACTAGCTTACTTAATTCACTAAAATGCAGAACATAGTGTGAAGAGCAACTGACTTGGATATACTTCACGATTGGAAGTGCTTTCATTATTAAAGTAACTAAACAAAGGGCTGTCAAAGACACTGTTATTACCACACATAATACAGAGAGCTGTATTAAAATCACCTTAAAGGAAAACATCCTGTCAAAGGTACAGAATTGTATTTTAGCAAAATAAGATGAGTAAAACCCTTCTGTTATATTTTTTAAAAACTGTCAAGAGCAAAGAAAACTGTGGTCCAGGCTTGGTGCTGTATAACTACTGGGTCCTATTACACTGTGCTGGGCTTTCTGAGAACTGGAATGCACAGCATCTACTCCTTAATGATTATTTTAGGGCAACTGGTTTTGATTACAGGATTTGTGAATTTTCCTATATAAATGTCATGGGTCATTATTTTGAAAGTCCACAAGTGACATATATTCCCTTTTGGTCTGTCTCTGCCTGATAAAAGATTAAAAGCATGACATAAATGCCTAAATTGATGACAAACAAGGACATATCCCAGTGAACACATCTCCAGAAAGCTCAGCTCAGATACGTACTGACTGGAAATAAGATACATTAGTAACTAGGATAAATATGTATTGGCAGGGGTATGTATTGGCCTTTGTCACAGTGTCCTATAGCCTATATGCTTAGACTTGGATTCTAAAAGAGGGCAAAGCTGTAATCTAGAAGATAGGAGGTAAAAGAATCAAATATTTCTGTATTCCAGGTGGACTAAACAAGGGAATAATGTAACTATGCTACAGAAAGGTGAATGTGGAGTAAGTGGGCTAACTGGCCCTAGTGAACAAGGGTGTATAGAAAAACCCTTGAAGTGAGTTAGAATTCTTTTAGCTGCAAGTAACAGAAGACTCAACTAAAATGGCTTAAACAATAAGCAAAAATTATTATTTCTCATGAAAAGAAATCTCAAGCTAGGGCAGATCCAGGATTGGGTAATCAATTCACTCAATGGTGTGTTATCGAGGACGCAAGTTCTGCCTGTCCTTCTTCTCTGAAATCCTGGGTTATCCTCTTAGACTAGCTACCTCACGGACACAAAATAGCAGCTGCAGTAGTAGACACATGCAGATAACCCAAGTGTTAGAGGAAGAAGAGGGCTGGTTTCCTCTTGTGGATCTCTTCTTATTAGAAGCCTTTTCTAGAAGCCTTCCAGCAACCTCTCCTGTCTTTCTCGTAAGAATTATGACACTTTCTGACTCCTACACTAGAAACTTGGGACATAGAATTTCCTCAATTGGCTTAGACTAATCCAGGCTTGCTCTTGGGGCCTGAGAAGGGTGAAGCCTCCTCTGAAGCACATGACTCCATGAAATCTGCATTAAAGCAAGTTCTCTTAGCCCAAAACAAGGGAGTGAAAGGGAAGGGCTGAATGGTGGGCAACCAACATTTTTTAACATGCTGTCTGGGGAGAGAGAAGAAGAGAAGGAGAGAGATTTAGAAATTGATTATCAGAAAGATGATATGAACTTCTGACTAGGTGACATGAAGACCCAACTCCATCATGAGCTATGTGGGGTGTGATCTCTGATTTCTCATCAAGGGGCATGCAAGGCTTCTAAGGCCACAGTCCTGCCCATCTTCAATCCCACTGCCCACCACTTTTGGACTCTTATTTCATGCATTTGTAATATAAAATTTATCTTTCAGGTGTTTGAGTCTCTGCTCATGCTATTCCTTCTGATAGGAGTGCTCTTCTTACATGTATATACCTAGGTGATGCTTATTTCATTCTTCTAGAAGCAGCAGGGATATTATCTCCTCCAGGAAGGCTAACTATAATTCTCAGTTTGGTTCTGTGTCTCTCCTCTCTACTTGATTATGTGCATACCAGCATATCACACAGTACTTATTGGATTGAAATTCTCTTCTTCATTTCTTCCTTCTGCAAACATGTACTGGGTCACTACTCTATGGATAGAGCTTGTCTAGATGCTGGAATAAAACATAAAAACAAAACAAAGACCTTGGTGTAATGTACTATACAGGGAAGGGAATCAGATAATAAATACATATGTAGTAAGCCAGGTGGTGGTATGTGCTATGGTAATGGAATGGAGGGATGTGGGCTGAGATTTCAAACAGAATTAATGGTCAGGGAGAGCCTTAGTAATGAGATGCTATCGGAACAGAGATGATTAAACTGCTGGAATGAGCCATTCAAATATCTCCAGGAAGAACTTCATGGAAGAGGAATAGAAAGTGCAAATGCCCTGAGGTTGAATGTACTTGTTATGTTGAAGGTATGCAAGGAGGTTACATGGCTAAATTGGAGTGAGCTTGGGGGAGAGTGGTAGGAGATTAGGTCTGACAGGTGGCCAGGGCCAGATCACAGAGGGTCTTGCTGGTCACAGTAAGGACTTTGTCTTCTTCTCTGAGTAAAAGGGAAGACAGTGGAGTTTTTGAGCAGAGGAGTACCTAACCAACTGATATTTAAAAAATACTAGTCTATCAAAGATATTATGGAGGAGGATAAAGACTGGAGTAGAAAGAAGATAGGAGATTATTTCAGTAATTCAGGAGCACCGTTCATGCTGTTAAAACTGGGGAGCATGAGAAATGTGCAGATGGGGAATATTTCCAAAGATGGGGAAAACAGGATTTTTTCATTGATTGACTAAGAGTGAGAATAAGAATAAGAACGAGAAAGTACTTAAGGATGATCACAAGGTTTTTAGCTTGAGAAAGAATAGAAGAATGGAATTGCCATTTACAGAGGTAAAGAAGGCTGTGAGGGACACAGGCTGGAGAGAGGGGTTAGAAAATCAAGCATTTGCTTTTGGACATGTTAAGTTTGAGATATATATTAGACATCCAAGTGGGGATGTTGAGTAAGCAGTTGGATATGTGGGTTTGGAATTCAAGGTCAGCATAAATGTGGGAGCTAATAGCATATTGGTGACATTGGAGGAATGAGGTTGGATGAGATCACCCAGGGTATGACTGTTCATAGAGAAGAGGCTCAAGATCTGAATTCTGTTTTATTGTGATGTCTAGAGGTTGAGAATTGAGAACGATTCTGCAGAAGAGACTGAGAAGGAGCAGTCAAGGAGGCAGGCCGTGAACTGAGAGAGAATGATGACTCAGAAGTTAAAGGAAGGAAGTGTTTGATGGCAATGAGGCTCCTGAAGAATGACGTCTCCCTGAGATCAGAAACTATTCTTGATTGTTTTTATATCCATAGCCCTCTACAGTTAGCGGTGCTCAAACAATGTTTGTGGAACTGAATAGAATGAACTCTTCTTTCCTGACATATTCTTGTCCTAAGATAACACATATTCCAGCATCATCTTTTCTTCTCTTGGATTTTCCTTTTCCATTTCTATTTTCATAAACATGATGGCTGTGGCCTCCAGGCTGAGATCTCTGACCACTTTCTTATGGCAGGTCCTACTTGTTAGTATTGTCTTATTTCATGGAGGGATACAGGGAATGAGGTCCCACTGAGGAGATAAAAATGTGCTGGAAGTGCGGGCATGGTGGCTCACGCCTGTAATCCCAGCACTTTGGGAGGCCGAGGTGGGTGGATCACGAGGTCAGGAGGTCGAGACCATCCTGGCTAACACGGTGAAACCCCGTCTCTACCAAAAAATACAAAAGTTAGCCGGGCGTGGTGGCAGGCGCCTGTAGTCCCAGCTACTCGGGAGGCTGAGGCAGGAGAATGGCATGAACCCAGGAGGCGGAGCTTGCAGTGAGCTGAGATCGCACCACTGCACTCCAGTCTGGGCGACAGAGCGAGATTCTGTCTCAAAAATAAATAAAATAAAATAAAATAAAATAAAATAAAAAGTAAAATAAAAATAAAAAATGTGCTGGAAATTTTGCGAGTGCTGTCAACTTGTTTGTGCAAAAATGACTGAGATGGAGATGTTCTCCTGTGACACTGCAAAAGCGGGTAGTCTAGTGGGAAAATATCTCGACTGGCTGATCGTGTGTAGCTCAAGATTTTTTTCTGCACAAATTCCAGGATGAGGAATGTCTTAAAGCATGGAAATTCAGAATACAAAGATTCAATTCCTTTTAATCTTTTGCTCCAGAACTATTATAGATTATTTAAAAATATACACAAATGATAGTAAGATAGATTTTAACCATTGGCTGAAGGAATAGTAAATCTTCTGTTCATTGGAATGTAAAACTAATGTGAATTCCCCTGTCTAGCATTTACTCATTTCTCAGAAATTGTGATAAGGGTATGTAGTTTTTCATGAAGCAGTGTGCCCTGATACTTAAACTCATGAAATACAATAACTGAACTCCAGATACTATCTGTAACTTCAAGTGATGTTCTGAGAATTTTTTCCCTTCTGTTCTCAGGCAGTCGGCATAAAAATGGGTTCTCTCAGCACAGCTAACGTTGAATTTTGCCTTGATGTGTTCAAAGAGCTGAACAGTAACAACATAGGAGATAACATCTTCTTTTCTTCGCTGAGTCTGCTTTATGCTCTAAGCATGGTCCTCCTTGGTGCCAGGGGAGAGACTGAAGAGCAATTGGAGAAGGTATGGAATTCCTCAGAGGTTTGTTCAGAACCCAGAAGTCTTTCATGCTCCCGCTCTGGGTCAGCAAAATTAATTCTATCTTTATACCAATAAAATTGCCATCTTGAGAGAGAAAAAACACATTGAATAAATCATATTTCTTAAAAATTGATAATGGTTTGATTAATGGAGTATGCTGTAATGCAAACAATGTAATACAAGCAACGTGTGGTCTCTTTTTTACTATCAGTGGTATCACAAATAAATCTCTGCAGTTTACTTTTAGAGTCCCTTCATTCAGTGATTTAAATGTGATAAAGGTACTATTATTGTCCTCTAGAAGGTTAAATTTATAATAAACATAATGCTATTTTAGACATTACCAAGTTAAAAAATTTTCATGATTATGTTTGAACTTCATAACAGTTAGGAATTGTTATCCACACTTTATGGATTGAAAACTGAGACTCAGAAAGGAAAGGTGACTTTTCAGGTTATATAGGCTAACGTTAGAGATTTTCCCATTACGTATATTTTAATTGCAGTGGAAAGTCTAGAAGAATATCACTTAACAACTCTTAGGATACTTGCAAATCTTATTATTGTTCGTGCTGGGAAACCATGTAAGGTCTTACACAGCCCCAGATGGGTACTGTCTTAGTTAACAGCCTAAGCACAGTAGGGACAGAAGTGTCCAGGGGATAAGAGATTAGTCCCTGGAACCTGACAATGGTCTGAGGCAAGCTGCTTGATCTCTCTTAAACTTATAGTTTCCCTAACATAAAATGAGGGTAATAGTATCTACTCATAAAGTTGTTGGGAAGGTTAAATAAGATATGTAAAGACTTAGTTCAGGACTTGGAACACATTATTAAATGTTAGCTATCACTACTGATCTTGATCTAAAATAGAAAAATAGATACTTACAACTGTCAACCTTTATAGACTGTACATTGCTTCTGATGCCAAAAGATCCCTTTTTTTTCTTTTCTAGGTGCTTCATTTTAGTCATACTGTAGACTCATTAAAACCAGGGTTCAAGGACTCACCTAAGGTATGATAATATTACTGAGTTGTCAAATGCTCTTTAACCTAAGAGAAGGATGAAATAATAGTCTGGGTGTTGAGTAGAAAAGCTCCTTCTTTTGCCCATGAGGGAACCAGCTATGTGTCCCCCTTTAACCTTCCTGATGATAACTACAGCCTGTAGAGTTTAATATAATAATGATAATAATAACAATAGTAAAGTTTCTTAGATTTTATTACCTGCTTTATTGCCATCTTTACTCAAACTTTTTTGTTCCTTTATGGACGGTGCCCTGTGTTGAGTTTGCCAGTTTTGTCTATGTGGTGTTAGACTTTTCTGTCTAGAGTGGGGACTGAGAAAGGACCCTGATGCTTGGCATATAATTATGTACTGGGAAAACATGGCCTAATATTGCCCAATCCACATGCTCTGGGACTATGGTCTCTAGTTTTTTCCAGTAGAAGGATTCATTTTGACATCAAAATTATATAGAACTCCTACATGAAAATAGTTCTGTTTGATTACGATTGGTTGAGAAAATACATAAATGCATATAGACTCACAGAATACCAGCTTCACGGAACCCAACTTACTACTAAAAGTTCAAAGTCCATAGTTTAGGAACCATTTGCTTTAGGGAATGCTTTAGGGAATATAGGAATATTGCCTATAATGTCCATAAATTCTTAGCCATCTTTCAAATGCAACAAAGCTGCAGCTTAGCAGAATTGCTACCACTGAGAAGCAAATTAGTGTGTGAAGTCAGTTCAGTGAAGGGCTGAGGTATTTGATTAAATGACCACATGAAAAATGGAGATGTAGAAAAAAGTGTGAAAGAAAAGAGAAACGATTCTGTAAGTACAAAGGCAGCAATAACACTGGAATTATTGCCCTGAATACCCCACTAGGATCTCTTTATTTATGAAAACTGCCTTTGAATTAAATCATTAGGACCAACAAGTACACATGTATTATGCAGTAACTTACAATTCTGCACACAGACTGCAACTAAAGTTACAGAGTGGTGAAATTAATGTGCTAGCAAAAATCCAAGGAAGAAAATGCTTTAAACTAATTTCCTTGTATTCACAGCCCTTTTATTCAGAGGCAAACACCTTGCTCTCTAGATAGTTATCATTCTCCAATGGCAAAAATCAAGCAATTTAATACATCATTCTTTGTTTACTGATGCTTCAGTGCAGCCAAGCTGGAAGAATTCATTCCGAGTTTGGTGTCGAATTCTCTCAAATCAACCAGCCAGACTCTAACTGTACCCTCAGCATTGCCAACAGGCTCTACGGGACAAAGACGATGGCATTTCATCAGGTAAGTCCATTTGGAAGAGTGATCAACAACTTTCTTGGCGTCCTCTGAATTTCATACCCCAAAATTGATGAAGAGTGAGAAGAGTCACATGACATTTATCATTAAGAGATTGACTTTGTGCTAACTTACAGTTTCAGTGAAATGGATTTATTGAAACTCTCATGTAAAGTTCCCAAATATCACATAAAAATGACTTCTTCAAGATCCCTAATGCTGTCTAAGAACCAAGGTCAGGGATGAAGCACAAAACAAAGTAGGTAAGAATCATCCCTGTGGACCAGAAGAAAAACAAAATCAATTTTTCATATCTTTTTCAGAGGTTCTTAATAGTGGAGTATCAAGAAGTAGTTGAAATTACATTGGACTGTGAGCCAAGAGACAGGAGTTCTGTTTCCATTTAGAATATATAACTTTGGGCAAGTCACTTCTGTCTTTAAAATGAGAGGATTAGGCTTAGTTCTTTGTAGCTCCAATATTCTAACACCATTTATGCCCTTTCCCAACACCATGGTCCTATGTAGTTTTATTGAGTATTTACTCTGTGCCAGTCATTCTGCTTAGCTCATTACAAGCATTATCTCCTATAATCCTCACACTGTGCTAAGATATTGGTATAAAATTTCCATTAATTCTACAGACTGTGAAGCAGATTCTGAAAAGTCAGGCTGATAAGGGTCACAGACATATTTAAATGGCAAAACCTGGATTTAACCCCTATGCAAATCTGTCTTCCTGGTTTTAATTGCTACATCATCTTGTGATTGAGGTGAAATGCAAGCTTTTGTTTGACCAGGGTTATTTAAATGCTATCTGGGTGAAGCTGGATGAAAACATGAGTTTCTAATGTTCTTCCCTGGCCTGGTAGATCAGGTTATGTCTTGGATAACCTATGTGATGAGCTTCTGATAGTCAGAATATTTGCAACTTGGGGTAGGTATTATAGACATTCAGAGAGTATTTTCTTTTACTGCCCTGGAAGCATATAGGGAACGATGTATGGAGAGTGTCTAGAGTGGCAGGGATTAACAATCACGGTCCTTTGAGCTGGTATGCCCGCTCTCTTGACTTTGCCTTCTCAAAACAGTGACCCAGATATAACAGTAGACAAATGTGGATTTGGGATGATCATGATGACATCTGTTCCAGAAGTGAGAAGGTCCTCATTAGCATCATGAAGATTGTCTTGAACTATGTCATGAGAGGGACCTTGTTATTTCAGGATTCTGGCTGGGAAAAAGTCCATCTCCTGGGCTATGGAGAGTTACTTAAGGTTGTTTCAACCACAATTGGATCCAGCTCAGGACAAGATTCATTCTGAGGCCCAGATTTTGCTCATAGTATATTGGGGGAACCCGCCCTGATAATTCAATGTAGGTTCTTTTCTGTTTTCCCTATGTGTCGGCTGGTCTGAGAAATAAAGGGAAAGAGTACAACAGAGAGAAATTTTAAAGCTGGGTGCCCGGGAGAGACATCACATGTCGGCAGGTTCCATGAAGCCCCCCAAGCCGCAAAACCAGCAATTTTTTATTAGTGATTTTCAAAGGGGAGGGAGTGTACGAATAGGGTGTGGGTCACAGAGATCACATGCTTCACAAGGCAATAAAATATCACAAGGCAAATGGGGGCAGAGCATCGGGGCAAAATTAAAATTGCTAATGAAGTTTCGGGCATGCATTGTCATTGATAATATCTTATCAGGAGGCAGGGTTTGAGAGCAGACAACCGGTCTGACTAAAATTTACTAGTCAGGAATTTCCTCGTCCTGATAGGCCTGGGAGTGCTACGGGAGACCGGGGCTTATTTCATCCCTTATCTACAACTGTATAAGACAGGCATTCCCAGAGCAGCCATTTCAGAGACCTCCCCCTAGGAACGCATTCTCTTTCTCAGGGCTGTTCCTTGCTGAGAAAAAGAATTCAACGATATTTCTCCTATTTGTTTTTGAAAAGAGAAATATGGCTCTGTTCTGCCTGGCTCTCAGGCAGCCAGATCTAATGGTTATCTCCCTAGTTCCCTGAACATCGCTGTTATCCTGTTCTTTTTTCAAGTTGCCCAGATTTCATATTGTTTAAACACACATGCTTTACGAACAATTTGTGCAGTTAACGCAATCATCACAGGGTCCTGAGGTGATATACATCCTCAGCTTACGAAGATGATGGGATTAAGAGATTAAAGAAGACAGGCATAGAAAATCACAAGAGTATTGATTAGGGAAGTGATAAATGTCCATGAAATCTTCACAATTTATGTTCAGAGATTGCAATAAAGACAGGTGTAAGAAATTATAAAAGTATTAATTTGAGGAACTAATAAATGCCCATGAATTCTTCACAATTTATGTTCTTCTGTCACGGCTTCAGCAGGTCAGTCCCTCCGTTCGGGGTCCCTGACTTCCCCCAACATTAGTTAAGCTTTGTTTTTCTTCTACGCTAGGCACATCTTCCATATTTCAAAGTCTTGTATTGTTCTATTCAGTTCATGTTGGGGCATTGAGTCCCACTGGGCTGTGGAGGTATGCTCCTTAGGTCTCAGGAATTGCATCATGGTAAACTCATTTGGGTCCATGTAGATATCACTGTTGTCTTGGCAGAAAGACAACGGAAAGTCTCCAGTTCTATAGAAATCTAGGGCCATGGGTGGTCATAAATTGTTGCTCCAGAATGCTACACAGGAGGGCCTCCGGAGTAAAAATTTTTGGTTAAAAGAAAGGGTAAGTTCTTTATACTGAGTTTGCACACCACTTTCACTTAGATAATATGTTATAGGTGAACGAAATAATAAATTCTTAAGATATTTTTGTTCACACTTTACATAAATTTGACAGAAATGCCAACTATCTACATCACAGAATGTTTTTATTATTAATTATATTTATGGCAGCTTGTGAGGAGATTGATATATATCATGGGAGCAACCTTCTGTTAGACCTCAGAAAAGCAAGTCACTTAACCACTCTGCTTCTCAGTTTTCCTGTCTATAATCTGAGAGCAGTAACTTCCATGTCTACTTTGAAGAGGAAAGAGTAGGAATAGAGTCAGAAGGTGCTCATGTATTGCAATTTGTCATTTTGCTTTGAACACTTTAAAACTAAGAAAGCCAATCATATGACAGAAGTAACAACAAAACATTTCTGAACATTCCTTTTGGAAGGGTTTCAGATTTTGTTAAATTTATTTGTTTTATTAAAAATAAGTACATATGGATCCTGTTTCCTCTCAGACTTGTTTATGGGAACTGCTTTTTTCTCTGCATTAGAATTTTAGAATACATTGAGCTGTAGATTTTTGTTTTCCTTACACTGCTTTTGAATTGTTGTTCAATTATCATGTCTTTCATAGCAATATTTAAGCTGTTCTGAGAAATGGTATCAAGCCAGGTTGCAAACTGTGGATTTTGAACAGTCTACAGAAGAAACGAGGAAAACGATTAATGCTTGGGTTGAAAATAAAACTAATGGTAAGGATAAGTCAATATGTGTCTCTAAACTCTGTGTTGTGTTGATAAGCAACCTGAGTCCACTTGCTAAAGAGGAAGCTGGCTGAAGTCTGCACCTGACATAGGCAGATCAGCAAGAAAGGAATGGGGCCATATTTTGGAATACCCCTTACAATCAGTTGTTCTAGAAGCTATACAAAGTGACTCTGCGAATGAACACCATTTCTGTTTCATAAATGTGTGGCACATTCTGCAATTAAAATTAATTAAATTTAAATTTACTTTTCACAATTAAAAACCCATATATATTGCTAAACATTTCTTAAATGTTTCTTAGAAACATTTGGTTAAGGAAAAATTTAAGGATATACAAAGGTAAAGAGAATATATAATGAACCCTATTTATCCATCACTCAATTGCAACATTTCTCACTAATGGCTGGCTTTATTCATGTAATCTCTCACCCTTTCTCCAACACTTCTTTAAGATTATATTGCAGCAAATTCTAGATATTCTATCATTTTCCTTCACATATTTCACTTTGTTTTTCTAAAAATATGGACAATTTTAATACAACCGCTACAATTCATTACTTCTGAAAAATTAAAAATAATCCTTTAATGTTAAATATTCAGTGTGTTTTCATTTTTCCCCAGTTGGCTCTTTTTTTTTTGTTTGAATCAGGAACCAAATAACATTGACATATCACAATTAGTTAATACATCCCTTAAATCTTGATTTTAAAAATAAACTTTATGATTTAAATATACATACATATAGAAAAGTAAATTATTGTATGTGTGCTATTTGATAAATTATCACAAAGTGAATATACTCATGACTCAGGTCAGCAAAATAAGACATTAGTTGTTAGAAAGAGGCACTGCAAGGTCCCCCTTAAATCCTCTTCTGGAAATAAGCCCCTTTTTTCCCAAATGTTAAGGCTTCTCTGACTTCTGTTACCACTTATTAGTTCTGCCTGTTTTTAAATCTCATGTAATTGGAATCATAAGTTATGTGGGTTTTTTTTAGGTCAATAATTTGTGAGAGTCATCCATGTAGTTACACATTGCATGGTTTGTTCATTTTTATTAATATACATTTCATTCTCAGAATATTCCAAATATACTTATCCATTTTACTGTTAGTAAATACTTAGGACATTTTTAGTTTGGATCTCTTATAAATAGTGCTGCTGTGAATATTTTTGATACATATCCCTGGTACACATATGTATGCACTTTTATTGGGTGTATACCTTGGAATGGAATTGCTAGTCATAAGGCATATATACATTCAATTGTAGTAGATGCCAAGCAATTTTCTTAAGTGGTTGTGTCAATTTATTTGCCCAAACAAGAAATGAGAATTTCATTTGTCCCTCCTCCTTGCCAACACTTGGTAGTGTAAGGCTTGTTAACTTTAGCCACTGTAGTTATTTTAATTTTAATTTGCATTTCCTTCATGAATTATATGGTTGAACAATTTTTCATATGCTGCATATCCTCCTTTGTGAAGTTTCTGTTTAAATCTTTTGCCCACCTGTAAGAATGGTTTGTCTGTTTTTTTTTCTGATAAATTTTTAGGAGTTCTTTGCACATACTGGATACCTACGTTGCAAGTAACTTCTACTATTTTGCATCTTATCTTTCCCATCTCTTAGTGGTGTCTTAGATGAATGGAAGTTTCTAATTTCAAAGGAATAAAATTTATGATCTTTTCCTTTATAGTTAGTGTCTTTGCACACATTTTTTGGACGATTTTAAAGAAATCTTGTCGTGAAAGTATTTTCTAGTTTGTGAAAATATTTTCGTATGTTATTTTCTAGAAGTTTTATTGTTTTATTAAAGTCAGGATTCATTTTAAAATTAGTTTCATTCCATGTGGATGTCTAATTGCTATGGCACTACTTATTGAACAAAGAATCCTTTCATTATTGCACTGCAATGTAAATTTTATCATAAATTAGATGACCATATGTGTGTGAATCTGCTCCTAGGTTTTCCATTCTCTTTCATTCGTCAATTTGTTTATTCTCATGATGATGCCACAATTATAGTAGCTTTATAATAACTCTTGGAAGCTGGAAGTGTAATCCCTCCAATGTTGATCTCTTCTAGGGTTGCCTTGCCAAATCTTGATCCTTTGTATTTCCATATACGTTTTAAAATTAGCTTGTTAACTTCCATAGAATATATCAGTTGAAATGTTAATAGGATTTATATAGAATCTATAGATTTGGAGAGAAAATACATCTTTATTCAAATTCTAATCCATGACCATGAAATTTACCTCTATACAGGTCTTCCTTAATTTTTTCTTTTGATAACATTTTGTATTTTCCTATGTTGAAGTTTTGTACATTTTTTGATAAACTGATCCTAGGTGGTATTTGAGGTGTTTGGTGAATTTTAGCTGGTATCTATTATTTTGGTTTATTTGTTGTTGATGTATAAGTATATACTTTACTTTTGTATATTAACATTGCTGAATTCACTTAATAATTCTAGTTTAGCTTTATATTATTTTAGATTTCTTTTAGCATAAGGACAATGCTTTCTAATATATTTTTCTCCCATTATATCACTTAACAGTGATGAGCTCTCAATAGTATCTTTTTGATTGAGGAACTGACAGATGTCAAGTTTAGTAATAGGTGACCAGATTAAAATATATATCCATTATATTATTTGTATTAAGTCAGAAAATGCTTTGAAAGGTGTATTTTTTTTTCATATCTGTTAATTTACTTAGCACAGTGGTGTAAAAATATGCCTCTCTCTTGTGCTAACTCTAATCCACTGGTAGTGACTGCTTGGGAAATCTGTATTGAGAGTCTGAGGCTTAAACTTAGGTTACTTGAAAAAGCCCACAATTGAGCCAGTAGACACTAACTCTGTGACAGTAGAGATTTTTGTCTGTTTAGTTTTGTGTTATAGTCTGAATTTAGTGCTACAGTGCCTAGAACAGTGCCCAGCATTTAGAAAATGCCTAAAATTTTTTGGCACGAATGAAAAGATGATTAGTGTTGTCTGTCATGGGTGTGCATTAGGGATCCACATGTTATATATTTATGTAGAATATTAATGTTATTTCATCTTTTGTTTATATCTTTATTTACTGTTTCATCCAAAAATATACATTGTATGCTTAAGGTTAGGTATTGCTATCACATGCTAGGATTGTGTTAGGCCTAGAATTTCAATGAAAATTAAAACCTTCATGAAGCTTAAAGCTGATGTTCAGATATTCCTATGTTTCATATTGTATAACAGATTCCATTCCAAAAAGGTTTTATAAATTGCAATGTACCAAAATGCACCAAGAGGGCTGGATGTTTAATTTTGATCAGTTTTATTTACAAAGCAATTCCTGGCATAATTTTATGAATCTTGATTTTCAGATATGTGTTTACTTCAAGTGCTTTAGTATATATATTTGTAATACACTAATTCTAGTGCATTGAAAGAATAAATATTTTAAAATAATATATTTGTGTGTAGTGAACTGCTGGTAAGTATAAAGTCTTGTAAATATTAAAAGTAAGCCACAAGAAATGATTACATAATATCTAAATAAGCAGTGATGTATAAGAAATTACTCGATGTAACTAGGCATAAGACAAATTGATCCATCACGAATATGCTGGCTACTTCCTGGGTGCCGTCTTATGATTAAATAATAAAGCATTAAATATTCCCTGAAATAAACTTCATTTGACAAAGAAGGCTCCATGGCCAGGAGATGAAAGGAGTTCTTCTGGTATCTCAAATTTACAATTAGTCTTAAAAAAGAAATGGCTCTAAATTTCTCATGACTCTTCACCTCTCTATTATCAGGAGTTCAAATCCAAATATAATTATCTTATTTTTTATACAAGGAAAAGTCGCAAATCTCTTTGGAAAGAGCACAATTGACCCTTCATCTGTAATGGTCCTGGTGAATGCCATATATTTCAAAGGACAATGGCAAAATAAATTTCAAGTAAGAGAGACAGTTAAAAGTCCTTTTCAGCTAAGTGAGGTAAGTATTTTATTTTCAGACTCATGACAAATGTTGGAGGATACAATAATCATTTAAGGACAATTTAGAAAGATGTAGTGATTTAGTGAAAATATTGGTCTAGGTTTCTGTTGGTTCTTTTTATTGTATTTTCTACAGATTTTCATTTTTCCTTTATTAAGTGACAATAACTTTTATCACAGAGCACCTAACTGGAGACTTGGGATACTAAGATTCTCTGGCAGAGGAGAAAACCCATTCTTTTCTTAATGCTCTCTTGGCTTATTCTTTCCATATATACTGTGGTTATGTTCTCCAGCAGCACACTAAGGCTATCTGTGTTATTTTTTTTTCTAGAGAGTTTCTTGAGGAAAGATTAAAAAGAAAATGATTTAATGATATATCCTTTTTCTTCCCACTAAAATCATGTTAGCTAAAAATCCTGACTTTGTTTTTGGTAGACCAAGCTATCTCTATATATTATTAGAACAATTCAGTCTCTAACCATGACTTATTTTAAATTAAAAAAATGGATAACCTTTGCAAAGGGAAGTAATAAGGAATCTACTTTGTAGTTTCTATTTTACCCATGCCTTTAGAGTGTTCATGCAGATATCCGTGTTATGCAAGGTAATCAGTACACACACATGTGCACTCACATATGTAAGTATACTATAATCTTTTTCTTCTTAACAGGGTAAAAATGTAACTGTGGAAATGATGTATCAAATTGGAACATTTAAACTGGCCTTTGTAAAGGAGCCGCAGATGCAAGTTCTTGAGCTGCCCTACGTTAACAACAAATTAAGCATGATTATTCTGCTTCCAGTAGGCATAGCTAATCTGAAACAGGTAAAATTATAAGAATGCTATAATGCAGTTAAAGCATGTGTGCATGTTAACACACACACACACAGACACACTGTGTATCTCATGACATTAGCGTAGTCATTGATTCACAATCTAAGCCTTAGTAGGATTGTCCCGGGGGTGTGAAAGTAGCAGGGAGACACATGGCCTCTGCCTTTCAGGACAGTGTGTTTATGGAGAACAAGCTATTCTTACATGAGAAAGGCACATGGAAGCAGAAGTGATATTTTGTACAAATACACACAAGTACTGGTTGGTTGATAGTCGGGGGACATCTTTCTATAGTAATGAAGTTATAATGCTATTTGGGCTCCTAGTGTGCAGAAATCTGATTAAGCCATTTTACTCTGGGGGCAGTATTTCTGAGCCAATTGTACTTTCACAGGCTAACCATTTTTAACATCTCAGTTTTGTGGAGAAATGGGCACCACACACATTAAGAAGTGGTCATGGCCGTGAAAGGAGTTTGGATCCAACCCCCTTTCCCCAGCTGCAGCCAAAGCTGCCCAGCATAGAGCAGGCTGTGCTTCTAACAGCTGGACGTCTGGAAGCCTGCAGAAGCTGACACACATATGGGTGATATAGCCTAACAGTTAGGGGCTTCTAAGCCAGGGAGTGCTGGCTTGAGATGAAAACACTGTGGCACAGGTGAGCAAGGTGTGTGTGTGTGTTGGGTGGTAGGGAAGGAACACTGTGGCACAGGTGAGCAAAGTGTGTGTGTGTCGGGTGGTAGGGAAGGCTTCTTGAAAGAGCAGGGTCAGGACGTACGCATTTGGATTAAGAAGTGAGACGGGTGCCAACTGAAAAGGAGCTGTAGTCACAGAAGTGCAGCGGTGGCCATAACAGGTATGCTTACGGTTGTGGTTAAGTCAGAGGGAATCAGGTCCCTAAGGGCCTGTGGTTGACTGGAGTGAAAGACATTTGGAGGCATAATGCAGTTTGGGAGCAGTTTAGATTCTGCAGAAAGTTTTCTGGAAGTAGACTATGGGATTAGAATGAATGGGTCAGAAAGGAATTCCTAGTACAGCAATTTCAGTCCGAGCCTTGCTGGATGAATAGGAGAATCACAGGGGCCCTGCTAAACTGAGCAGAGCAAAGAGCAGTGCAAATGCCTTAGAAGCAAGGCAGCATGAGCTGTGGCATGAAGTCATAGTCTCTTGGATGTGGGCAGAAAATGACAAAAGGAAAAGATACTTTGGAAGAAAAACCACCTTTGCTTTTTGGTGGCTTTTATATTGTCATGGTAGGCAGTAGTTGTCAAAACTGTTTTAAATTCTCAGATTAAAAAGATGGGATGTGACACAGCATGGTGGTTTGCAGCTGTGGACAGGGCTGGCTGGAGAGTTCAATGCCCGAGGGAGGCGTTTGAAAGGTTTACAAACAAATGATGAAACTGGATGGAGAATGAGAAGTCAGTGTGCTGAGGCTGCTTTGGGAAAGCTGAGCATTGATGTGGGAGCTGACATGCTGGGCAGAGGCACAGGTGGCCCAGAGTTCAGCTTCAGGAGCAGCTACCAGAAACAGTGACAGAGAAGGGCACGAGAGGATGAAAGCTATCAGAGTGCATGGGGATCCTGGCATCAGGGATGCCAAACAAGAATCACGCTCATAAAGGAGGGTATCATGAAATGTTTCAGATATGAGAACCCAGAAGAAATGGTTGAGTCCATCCACGAAACAGGACCATGACAACTTCACAGGCGAGAGTGGGAGAAGTGCAGTGAAGCATGTATGCTGAGGGAATTGAGGGAAAAGACTGTAGGATACCTACTTGAGAAGCTTAATTATGAAATTTAGATGAGAAACAGACAACAGAAAAGGGAAAATGTGGCTAATGGTATGATTTTGTTCCCAGGTAAGTAGACTGTATTAAAGGTAGAAAAAGTGATGAAGTTGAACCACTCACACTGAGAATTATAAAAACATATGATATTTAATGTAGAGGTCGTGTGTTTGACTCATGTGGGCTTGTCTGTGTTTTGTCTCTTAGATAGAAAAGCAGCTGAATTCGGGGACGTTTCATGAGTGGACAAGCTCTTCTAACATGATGGAAAGAGAAGTTGAAGTACACCTCCCCCGATTCAAACTTGAAACTAAGTATGAGCTAAATTCCCTGTTAAAATCTCTAGGGGTGACAGATCTCTTCAACCAGGTCAAAGCTGATCTTTCTGGAATGTCACCAACCAAGGGCCTATATTTATCAAAAGCCATCCACAAGTCATACCTGGATGTCAGCGAAGAGGGCACGGAGGCAGCAGCAGCCACTGGGGACAGCATCGCTGTAAAAAGCCTACCAATGAGAGCTCAGTTCAAGGCGAACCACCCCTTCCTTTTCTTTATAAGGCACACTCATACCAACACGATCCTATTCTGTGGCAAGCTTGCCTCTCCCTAATCAGATGGGGTTGAGCAAGGCTCAGAGTTGCAGATGAGGTGCAGAGACAATCCTGTGACTTTCCCACGGCCAAAAAGCTGTTCACACCTCACACACCTCTGTGCCTCAGTTTGCTCATCTGCAAAATAGGTCTAGGATTTCTTCCAACCATTTCATGAGTTGTGAAGCTAAGGCTTTGTTAATCATGGAAAAAGGTAGATTTATGCAGAAAGCCTTTCTGGCTTTCTTATCTGTGGTGTCTCATTTGAGTGCTGTCCAGTGACATGATCAAGTCAATGAGTAAAATTTTAAGGGATTAGATTTTCTTGACTTGTATGTATCTGTGAGATCTTGAATAAGTGACCTGACATCTCTGCTTAAAGAAAACCAGCTGAAGGGCTTCAACTTTGCTTGGATTTTTAAATATTTTCCTTGCATATGTAAATAGAATGTGGTGAGTTTTAGTTCAAAATTCTCTGTTGAGAATAATAAATGCATGAAATACCTTAAAGCTCTGTGAAGACTTGTAACATGGCAGCAATCAAATGGCTTATAAAAGGATACTTTGAATGTGGATAAATTGAATTCAGTCAATATTTCAGTGGAATTTTTGGCTAATTGCTTGAATTGAATTGAATTATACTACTCAATTGAATAATATTTTCTCCTCCTCCTTCTCCCCTTCCTTCTTCCTTCTCTTCCTCCTCCTCCTCTTCTTCTTCTTCTTCCCCTTCTCCTCCTCTTCCTCCTCCTCCCCCTTCTTCTACTTCCTTCTCTTCCTCCTCCTCCTCTTCTTCTTCTTCCTCTTCTCCTCCTCTTCCTCCTCCTCCCTCTTCCTCTTCTTCTTCTTCTTCTCCTCCTCCTTCTTCTTCTCCCCTTCCTCCTCCTCCTCCTCTGTCCTCTTCTTCTTCCTCTTCTTTTTCTTCTTCCTCTTCTCCCCAATCCTCCTCATCCTTCTGCTCCTCCTTCTCTCCCTCCTTCTCCTACCCATCTTATTCTTCAGCAAGTAAAGGTTCAAAACAGAAAAAGGCATAAGTCAATCAGAAGATTTTTGTTTTAAAGGAAGCCTCCTTTTATACTCAGGATAACATGGAGCAGTAATCAGATAAGAGTGGCTATTAAACATTTACTGCCTTCTCAGTGCCTTCTTTGTGAATATTTTCTCCTGGAACTTCCTCAGAAGTCTGAGTAGAGCAGGAGTCCCCCACTTCTACCTTCCCTAGCCCCATCTTAGAAGAGGTGGCTGGAGGTCAGCCATTGCTTCCCTCCTAGGTGACAGGGCAACATTCTTTTAGGATAGACAGCGGTGGCAGCTAATGAAATCTTTTCCTTTCTCCTTGGGGCATTGAAGAATGTGGCTTACTTTAATCTTCAATAAAAATATTATAAAATTGCAAGCAAGCAACAATCTCAGCAAAGTGTAAGACTGAAGAGTACCTACTTATAATAGCATGCAACTTCCTTGCTGCACTGAATGGCTGTCTTGTTGCACGTGGTTGTCCCAGTGATTGTCTACCAGGCCCATTCGTCACATGGCATAAAGACAAGAAGCTGTCTTGGCCAACATCACAGGATAACCCAAGACTCCACAGGCACAGTGGGTTTAACTGTGGTAACATGGAGAGACATGAAGCAACAATGATGGGTGTAGGAAAAGTAAGAATGGTTTTTGATATCTACTTTTCACCCTAAACATCTTGAGGATGTCACCTGGAAGTGTGGGGGTCCTCCGTTTCTGTCTTTTTTGAGAGAAAGAATTTGGCCAAGAGACAATTTAGCTAAGAGACCAGAGAGTTTATTGAATGAGAGTACACGCTAAGAGAGATGTGGGTTGTCCTGACTGGAAAACAGCCCATATAGTCCTGTGTTGTGGTTTTTATTATGTCAGACTTTTTCTTAAAGTTCCCACTATATGTATGTTCACCATTGTCAATTATAAAACATATATATATATCTTTATATAATCTATATCTATATATCTTCATATATCTCTCTATCTATCTATCTATCTATCTATCTATCTATCTATCTATCTCCATATATTAGGGGTGGGGAGAGGCAGAGAGAGAGAGAGAGAGTTTAATTAAAGGAAATGGCTCATGCAATTGTGGAGGTTGGCAAGTGCAAAATCTGCAGGGCAGTCTTGATACCCAGGGAAGAATTGATCCTGCAGCTTGAGTCTGAAGGCAGTCTGGAGGCAGAGTGCCCTCTTCCTCAAGAGACCTTAATCTATCTTCTCTTAAGGCCTTCAACTGATTGCATGAGGTCTACCCACACTATGGAGGTAATCTGCTTTACTCAAAGTGTACTGATTTAAATGTTAATTTTATCAAAAATTGCCTTCACAGCAACATCCAGACTGGTGTTTGACCAAATACCTGTGGACCTAGCGAAGTTGACACATGGAATTAACCATCACAGGCACCAAGGGGGCAGGGAGGTGAATTTTCACCCTTCAAAGAGCTAACAGAAGCTCTGCCTCTGCCAGTATAAACAATGTAACAAACCAGCAAGACTCATGGAAATAAGCCACAAAAGCAACTTTGCATTCCCCTCCTATTGTCCCTATAAAGCTGCTTAGAGGGAGGCCCATCCTTAGCCCCAGCATGAAAACTCTGGCAGTCCTCATGGCTTTCTGGTTACACCTAAAATCTAGAAAATCTGTGATTGTTCCATATCACAAACATAATGAGATTCAGGAATTAAAACATTTGGGCCCAGATAGTAATCTAAACCCTTACCATTCCCCGGGTGGTCTGGGGACCATAATGCTGGTCTCATGGGAACTTGTTAGAAATGGAAAGGCAAAATCTCTGGCTCCAACCCAAATCCACAGAAGGAATCAGAGCCTGCAGTTTAACAAGCTCCCCAGTTGATTTGTGTGCACACGACAGTTTGAGAAGCACTGATCTTAACTGCAAGCCTAATTTAATAGTGTATCTTCTTCCCTCCCACCAACTGCAACAGGTGCAGGGAGAAGCCTGGGATCTAGAAGAGAGGGGTGGTTGTTCCCTCACCCACCTGCTATTTCTGACTCCTAAGGATAAGCAGTAAGGGAGAAATTGACAAGGGAATGAGACAGTCCTGCAGATTTACAAGCTGGTGTTATGCTCTGGACCTGACATTTTGCCTGCAGGAGCTGTTGTGGGTTCCCTGGACAGAGGGCCTCTCTGCTCTCTTCCTGCTGGTGAGCTGCTGGCCCCAGTAACATTCCCCACAACCGTAATGATTAAGTTCCCTTCTCTTTTTGGCAGGATCTCTTCCTCTGGCTTGAGGTTTTTTGAATTTCTTGGCATTATTGGTTAATATTTTTCATCAGATTTATAGAGCATTCAGTCATTATTTCCTTAAATATATTCATGTGTGTGTATGTACGTATGTTTTTGCTAAAGTCAAAAACCAAGATTACTTTTGCACCAACTTAAGTACATTTTTCTTTTTAAAAATATTTTACTGGCGACAGAGCCTGATCCCATGGAAGCATGGTTCTGGGGCTTTGCTAGGGTGGATCTAGATCAGCTGTTATTTGACGGCTGTGGCCAGCACACTGCAGCCTGACGGCCAAGTCCTGCCTTCCACCTAGTTTTGTATGGTTTTGAAGCTACCACTGGTTTTGTGTGGCCAGTGGTCAGCACTTGGAAGGAATAGCACTGTGAGCTGCTAAGACACACTCTGGTGTTCCCTCCACTCTCAGTTCTCCTCTCTGCTCCCCATCCCCAGTGCCTGCTTCCTCAGGAACCACATTATGTGGCAGAATCTCAGTCTATGAACCTGTGACTTACCAGAGGCAACCACACCCTCCAGGAGGAGAAAAGATCTGAATGTCGTTGGGGCTGAGAGAGAAACTGACCCAGGTGGTCGCACCCCTTCCCACCTGCCTACCTGGCCCACCTGGTCCCTAGTCCTTGGACAGGTCATTCTTCATTCCAAAAATGTTTCCAGCTGGTGGCAGCTGGGCACAAAGTGGGTCACCTCCCAAGATGGCCTATGGGCAAATGGGGAGGGACAAGGTAAGAGTTTATTGAAGTATGTTTTGCCTTATGACCTGCACAAGTTTTAAGGAGTCTCATACCAAGTTTTGTTGGATTACCTACATATAGTCCACTGTCTCATTCGGAAGCCAGCACCTAATTTATTTTGGTGCCTCACTTAAACTTAATTTGGCATCACGTTAGACTTGGCATTAGGTTGCATAATGCTGTTTACTTTTGTGGCAGACATATCAAAATCGTCAGTAACAATGATATCTCATGCTGATTGGAATCTCTGACCAGAAGTTATAGATATCTTTGATGAAGCAAATCTGTGAAACAAAGGCAGTTTTGTGGATACAATCTTTTAAAATATGGAAGAAAAATGATAGAAATGGGGAAAAATTAAGAAATCACTCATGTGTATAGATGCCACTGGCCTGAGTTCATGACAAGAGAAGTGGAGGACTGAGAAAAGAGACTTCTAAATATCCTCACTTGCGTTATTGAGTTAAAAGGAAGCCGGGAAAGATTCAGAATAGCCCGCACAATATTGAAGAAGAAGAATAAAGCCAGAGGAAGGCTACCGCCTGATTTCAAGACTTACATAAAGCCACAATAATCAAGACAGTGTCATATTGTTGAAAGAATAACAAATAGGTCAGTGGAACAGAATAAGAAACCCAGAAAGAGACCCACACAAATACAATCAATTGGTCTTTGGTAAAGGTGCGAAGCCAATTCAATGGAGAAAGAATAATCTTTTCAACAAATGGTGGTAGAAAAGCTGGATCTCCACATGTCAAAAATAATCTAGAATCTGATTTTACATGACTCACAAAAATTATCTCAAAATTGATTATTCACCTAAGTATAACATGCAAAACTACAAAACTTCTAGAAGATGACATGGGAGAAAATCTAGGTGACCTTTGGTTTAGCAATGCCTTTTTAGATACAATACCAAAGGTATGAGTCATAAAAAAATGGATAATTTGGACTTAATTAAAATTAAAAACTTCTGCTCTCAAAAGACACCGTGAGAATAAAAACACAAGCAACAGAGTGGAAAAAATATTTACAAAACATATGTCTAATAAAAACAAAGCTGGTATTTAAAATATACAAAGAATTCTTAAAATTCAACAATAAGAGGCCAGGCATGGTGGCTTATGCCTATAATCTCAGCACTTTGGGAGGTTAAGGCAGGCAAATTGCTTGAGCTCAGGAGTTTGAGACCAGCCTGGGCAAGGAGAAAAACGCTGTCTCCCATCCCCCGCCCCCCACCAAAAAAAATTAGCCAGGCATTGTGGTACCTGCCTTAGTCCTAGCTGCTTGGGGGACTGAGGTGGGAGGATGAGTTGAGCCCAGGAGGTAGGGGCTGCAGTGAACTAAGATCACAGCACTGCACTTCAGCCCAGGAGACAGAGTCCCTAAACACACACACACACACACACACACACACACACACACACACACAATTAACAATAAGAAAACTGTTAGTTAAAAATGGGCAAAATATATGGACACCATACCAGAGAAGGTACATAGATGGCAAATAAACAAATGAAAACATGCTGTACATTATCTGTCATTAGAGAATTGCGAATTAAAACCTATTAGCATGGCTAAAATCTAAAGTACTGACAACATCAAATGCTGGTGAGCATGTGGAGCAACCGAAACTATGTCACTCATAGCTTATGGGTATAAAAGGTGGTATTTTGGGTCAGTATCTTATAAAACTAAACATGCTATTGCCATACAATCCAGCAGTTTCACTCTTTGGTATTTACCCAGATGACCTGAAAATTTATGTCTACACAAAAACCTGCACACAAATGTTTATAGCAGCTTTATTCATTATTGCCAAAAACTTGGAAGCAACCAAATGTCCTTCAATACATGAATGATTAAAAAACTGTGGTACATTTATGCAATGGAATATTATTCAGCAGTAAAAAGAAATGAACTACCTAGCCATGAAAAGACATGGAGGAACTTAAATGCATATTACTAAGTAAAAGAAGCCAGTCTGAAAAGCTGCATACTATATGATCCCAACTTAAAACATTCGGGAAGGACAAAACTGTGGAGACAATATAAAGATTAGTGGTTGTCAGGGGACTAGGGAGAGGAAGGGAGGGATGAATAGGTGAAGCACAGAGGATTTATAGGGCAGTGAAACTATTTTCTATGATATTGTAATGGAAAATGCACGCCATTGTACATTTGTTAAAACCCATAGGATATACAACAGAAAGATTGAACTCTAATGTAAACTATAGAATTTAGTCAACAATACTGTATTTAGTTAATAGCTATCTAAATTAATAATAATATTAGTTCATCAATTATAACAAATGTACAACACTAATGAAAAATGTTAATAGCAGGAAAAACTGGGAGGGAAGGACTAAGGGAGTATATGGGAACCCTATACTCTCTGGTCTATTTTTCTTTAAACCTAAAACTTCTTCAAAAAAATTAAGAATACTAATTTTTTCTTTTCTTTTTTTTTTTTTGAGATGGAACTCACTCTGTCACCCAGGCTGGAGTGCAGTTGCATGATTCTTGGCTCACTGCAACCTCCGTCTCCCAGGTTCAAGTGATTCTCCTGCCTCAGCCTCCAAGTAGCTGGGATTACAGGAGTGTGCCACCATGCCTGGCTAATTTTTCTGTATTTTTAGTAGAGACGGGGTTTCACCATCTTGATCAGGCTGGTCTCAAACTCCTGACCTCAAATGATCCACTCTTCTCGGCCTCCCAAAGCGCTGGGATTACAGGCGTGAGCCACCGTGTCTGGCCAAGAACATTGATTTTTAAAGAAGGAAATTGGGAGTTTTGTGTGGGCGGAGCAAGATGTCAGAATAGAAGCCTATACCACTTGTTTCCCCTGCTGGAACACCAGATTTTAATAACTATCTGCACATAGAAAAGCACTGTCATGGCTGGGTGTGGTGGCTTACAACTGCAATCCCAGTACTTTGGGAGGCTGAGGCCGGTGGATCACCGGAGGTCAGGAGTTCGAGACCAGCCTGGCCAATACGGTGAAACCCCATCTCTACTAAAAATACACAAAATTAGCTGGGTATAGTAGTGGGCACCTGTAATCCCAGCTACTCGTGAGGCTGAAGCAGGAGAATCTCTTGAATCTGGGAGGTGGAGGTTGCAGTTAGCCAAGATTGCACCATTGCACTCCAGCCTGGGTGACATGAGTGAAACTTAGTCTAAAAAAAAAAAAAAAGCAGTGTCACGAGAACCAAAAATCAGGTGAGCAATCATAGTAACTGGTTTTAACTTCATATCCTGGAAAGAGGAATTGAGGGGGGCAGGAGAGACAATCTTGAATTGTCGATGCCACCCTTTCCCCATGCAACATGGAGAAAGAGTCTATGCCCTTGAGGGAGGGAGAGTGCAGCAACTTGGGATTTTACATTGAATTCAGTACTGCTCTATCACAGTAGAGAATAAAGCTTAGCAGAGAATAAGGCCGTGCTGGGCTCAGCCAGCTCACCCTTGCCCGAAGTGAGCATTTGGACCAGCCCTAGCCAGAGGGGATTCACCCATCCCAGTGGTTGGAACTCGAGTTTCTTGGCAAAGCCTTGCCACCACAGGCTGAAGTGCTTTGGGGTTTTAGATAAGCTTGAAAGACAATGTAGGACACAAGGACTGCAATTCCTAGGAAATTCCTAGTGCTAAGCTGGGCTCAGAGCCAGAGTTCTAGAGTGGCACGTGACCTAGGGAGACACTAGCTTCTAAGGGAGTGCTGGTGTCACCCCTCCCCCGACCCCAGGCAGTGAAGCTCACAGCAATAAAAGTGATTCTTTCTTTCTATTTAACAAGAGGAGAACAAAGAGCAAAGAGGACTTTGTCTTGCATCTTGGATACCAGCTCAGCCACAGTAAGATAGGGCACCAGGCAGAGTTGTGAGGCCCCCGTTCCAGGACCTGGCTCCTGGACATTTCTAGAGACAACCTGAGCCAAAAGGAAACCTGCTACCTTGAAGGGAAGGACCAGTGCCTGGCAGAATTCATAATCTGCTGACTAAGGAGCCCTTGGTTCCTGAATAACCAGCAGCAATACTCAGGTAGTACGCTGTGGGCCTTGGGCTCTGAAATGTGCTGACTTCAGGTGAGCCCAAGCACGTCCAGCTGTGGTGGCTATAGTGAAAGGCTCCATCTTTTTGAGAAGCAGAGGGGAAAGTAAAGGGGGACTTTGTCTTGCACCTTAGGTACCAGCTTGGCCACAGTGGAGTAGAACAACAAGTAGGCTCTTGGGGTCCCTGAGTCCAGGCCTAAGCTCTTGGACACCATTTCTGGATCTACCCTAGGACAGGCAGGACTTGACTGCCCTGAAAGATGAGTCCCAGGCTTGGCAGCATTTATCACAAGTGGACAAATGAGCCCTTGGGCTTTAAGTGAACATCAGCAGTGGCCTTGCAGAACCTGTGTGGATCAGTGGTGGTGGTCACCACAGGGAGAGGCTCCTCCTCTGCCTGTGGAAAGGGGAGGGAAGAGAAAGAAAGTCTTTGTATTGTGATTTGAATGACAGCTTAGCAGCAGTAGAATATCAAGTAAGTTGCTAAGGTTTTTCACTCCAATCTCTGGCTCTCAGACAACATCCATGGACATGCCTGCAGCTTGGAGGAACTTGTTGCTGTGAAGGAAAGGGCCTTGGGCAATACCCAGTGCTATGTTGGCTTCAGGTGCTGACCCACCACGGTCTCAGTGGTGGTGGCCACAGGGATGCTTGCATCACCACACCCTCAGTTTAAGATGGCTCAGTACAGAGAGAGAGAGAAAGAGAGCGAGAGAAAGAGACAGAGAGAGAGACAGATAGATAGGTAGATAGAGAGAGACAGACAGAGAGACACACACAGAGAGAGACTCTGTTTGTTTGGGAGAACGTAAGGGAAAAGAACAAGAGCCTCTGTCTGGTAATTCAGAGAATTCTTCCAGGTCTTATCCAAGACTGCCAGAGTGGTACCTCTATGAGTCTGCAAAACTGACAGCATTATGGGGCTTCAGGTCCGATCCCTTCAAATACCCTGAAAGCCTCCTCAAGGACAACCAGAAATAAGATCAGACTATAAAGACTACAGTAAATACCTAGCTTTTCATTGCTTAGACACTGACAAATATCTATAAGCATCAAGACCATCCAGGAAAGCATAACCTCACCAAATGAACTAAATAATGAACCAGGGACCAATTCTAGAGAAAGAGACATATGTGACCTTTCAGAGAGATAATTCATAATAGTTGTTTTGAGGAAAATCAAAGAAATCCAAGATAGTCTAGAAAAGGAATTAAGAATTCTATCCAATAAATTTAACAAAGAGATTGAAATTATGAAAAAGAATCAAGCAGAAATTCTTGAGTCGAGAAATGCAATTGCCATCATGAAGAATGCATCAGAGCCTTTTAATAGAATTGATCAATTTAATAGAAGAAAGAATTGGTGAGCTTGAAGACAGGCTGCTTGAAAATACACAGTCAGAGGACACAAAAAAAAAAGAGTAAAAAAGAATGAAGCATGCATACCAATCTAGAAAATAGCCTCAAAAGGGCAAATCTAAGAGTTATTAACCTTAAAGAAAAGGTAGAGAAAGAGATAGGGGTTTATTCAAAGGGATAATATCAGAAAACTTCTCAAATCTACAGAAAGATAGCAACATTCAAGTACAAAGTTATAGACACCAAGCAGATTTAACACAAAGGAAACTATCTCAAAGCATTTAATAATCAAACTCCCAAATGTCAAGGATAAAGAAAGAATCTTAAAAGCAGCAAGAGTAAAGAAACAAATAACATACAATGGAGCTCCAAAATGTCTGGCAGCAGACTTTTCAATGGAAACATTACCGGCCAGGAGAGAGTGGCATGACATATGTAAAGTGCTGAAGGAAAAAAATCTTTTATTCTAGAATAATATATCCAATGAAAATGTCCTTCAAGCATGAAGGAGAAATAAAGACCTACCTAGACAAACAAAAGCTGAGGGATTTCATCAAGACCCAACCTGTTCTACAAGAAATACTAAAGGCAGTTCTTCAATCTGAAAGAAATGGATGTTAATGAGCAAGAAGAAATCATCTGAAGGCACAAAACTCACTGGTGATAGTAACCACAAAGAAAAACAGAATAGTGCCCTGCATAGTGGCTCACACCTGTAATCCCACCACTCTGGCAGGCTGAGGTAGGAGGATCAGGAGGTCAGGAGATTGAGACCATCCTGGCTAACACGGTGAAACCCTGTCTCCACTAAAAATATAAAAAATCAGTTGGGGGTGGTGGCACATGCCTGTAGTCCCAGCTACTTGGGAGGCTGAGACAAGAAAATCACTTGAATCTGGGAGACAGAGGTTGCAGTGAGCTGAGATTGTGCCACTGCACTCCAGCCTGGGCAACAGAGCAAGATTCTGTCTAAAAAAAGAAAAGAAAGGAAAAAAAAGAAAAAAAAAACCAAAATAGTAAAGCACTGTAATTGTCGTGTGTATACCACTTTTCTCTTAAGTAGAAAGATCAAATGATCAAACAATCAAAAATAATAACTTTTCAAGACATAGGTGGTACAATAAGACATAAATAGAAACAACAAAAAGTTAAAAAGCAGGAGGACAAAGTGAAAGTGTAGAGTTTTATTAGTTTTTTTTGTGGGTGTTTGTTTATGCAACCAGTGTTGACTTGTCATCAATTTAAAATAATGAGTTATAAGATAGTATTTGCGTTATTCACAATAGCAAAGACTTGGAACCAACCCAAATGTCCAACAATGATAGACTGGATTAAGAAAATGTGGCACATATACACCATGGAATACTATGCAGCCATAAAAAATGATGAGTTCATGTCGTTTGTAGGGACATGGATGAAATTGGAAATCATCATTCTCAGTAAACTATCGCAAGAACGAAAAACCAAACACTGCATGTTCTCACTCATAGGTGGGAATTGAACAATGAGAACACATGGACACAGGAAGGGGAACATCACACTCTGGGGACTGTTGTGGGGTGGGGGGAGGAGGGAGGGATAGCATTGGGAGATATACCTAATGCTAGATGACGAGTTAGTGGGTGCAGCGCACCAGCATGGCACATGTATACATATGTAACTAACCTGCACATTGTGCACATGTACCCTAAAACTTAAAGTATAATTTAAAAAAAAGATAGTATTTGCAAGCCTCATGGTAACCTCAAAAAAAATACAATGAATACACAAAAAATAAAAATCAGGAAATTAAAGCATACCACAAGAGAAAATCATCTTCACTAAAAGAAGACAGGAAGGAAAGAAAGAAGGAAGAGAAGAGCACAAAACAACCCAAAAATAAGTAACAAAATGGTGGGAGTTAAGTCTCTACTTATCAATAATAACATTGAATGTAAAAGAACCAAACTCTTCAATCAAAAGAGTGGATGAATGGATGAAAAACAAGACCCAATGATCTGTCACCTACAAGAAACACACTTCACCTATAAAGATACATATAGACCGAAAATAAAGGAATGGAAAAAGATATTCCATGCCAATGAAAACCAAGAAAGAGCAGAAGTAGCTCTACTTATATCAGACAAAATAGACTTCAAGACAAAAACTTTAAGAAGAGACAAAGAAGCTTATTATATAATGGTAAAGGGATCAATTCAGCAAGAAGATATAACAACTATAAATATATACATGCATCCAACACTGGGGCACCCAGATATATAAAGCTGAAGAGAAACATAGACTCCAATACAATAATAGCTGGAGACTTCAACACCCCACTTTCAGCACGGACAGACTATCAGACAGAAAATCAACAAAGAAATATCTGACTTAATCTGCACTACAGACCAAATGGACCTAATAAATATTTAGAGAACACTTTTTCCAATGGCTTCAGGACATTTTTCTTCTTCTCAGCACGTGGATTATTCTCAAGGACAGACCATGTGTTAGGTCACAAAACAAGTCTTAAAACATTCAAAAAAATTGAAATAATATCAAGCATCTCCTCTGACCACAATGAAATAAAACTAGAAATCAATAATAAGAGAAATTTTGGAAACTATTCAAACACATGGAAATTAAACAATATGCTCCTATGAAACTACTACAAGAAAACATTGGGGAAATGTTCCAGGACATTTGTGTGGGCAAAAATTTCTTGATTAATACTCTACAACTACAGGCAACCAAAGCAAAAATGGACAAATGGGATCATATCAACTTAAAAAAACTACTGCACAGCAAGAGAAACTATCAACAAAGTGAAGAGATAAGCT
This sequence comes from Homo sapiens, assembly GCF_000001405.40. Lineage (NCBI taxonomy): Eukaryota > Metazoa > Chordata > Mammalia > Primates > Hominidae > Homo > Homo sapiens. The sequence continues at coordinate 63,735,628 of NC_000018.10, forward strand.
ACAGAATGGGAGAAAATGTTTGCAAACTACCCACCTGACAAGGGATTGATAACCAGAATATATAAGAAGCTCCAACAGCTCTATAGGAAAAAAATCTAATACTCTGATTAAAAATGGGTAAAAGAATCGAACAGATATTTCTCAAAAGAAGACATACAAATGGCAAACAGACATGTGAAAAGGTGCTCAACATCACTGATCATCAGGGAAATGCAAATCAAATCTCATTCCAGTTAAAATTGCTTTTATTAAAAATTCAGGCAATAACAAATACTGGCAAGGATATGGAGAAAAGGGAATCCTCATACACTGTTGGTGGGAATGTAAGTTAGTACAACAATGGAGAACAGTTTGGAGGTTCCTCAAAAAACTAAAAATTGAGCTACCTTATGACTCAACAATCCCACTACTGGGTATTTACCCAAAAGAAAGGAGATCAATGTATCTAAGAGATATCTCCACTCTCATGTTTGTTGCAGTACTGTTCACAGTAGCCAAGATTTGGAAGCTACCTAAGCATTCATCAACAGATAAATAGATAAAGAAAATGTGATACTTACACACAATGGAGTACCATTCAGCTATAAAAAAGGATGAGATTCTGTCACTTGCAGCAACATGAATAGAACAGGAGGTTACTATGTTCAGTGAAATAAGCCAGGCACAGAAAGACAAACATTGCATGTTCTCAATTATTTGTGGAATCTAAAAGTCAAAACAATTGAACTTATGGAGATAGAGAATAGAAGGATGGTGACCAAAGGCTGGGAAGGGTAGTGGGGGGTTGGGGAGGAGGTGGAATGATTAATAGGTACAAAAATATATAGTTAGAAGAAACAGATAGGACCTACTATTTGAAAGCACAACAGGGGGACTATAGTCAATAATAATTACATTGTATATTTTATAATAACTAAAATAATATAACTGGATTTTTTGTAGTGCATTTATCCATTATGCATTGAAGGGATAAATGCTTGAGGGGACAGATAAAAATGATGTGATTTTTACACACTGCATGCCTGTACCAAAATATCACATGTACCCTATAAAAACGTATGAGTACTGTGTACCCACAATTTTTTTTAAATTTAGAAAAGGAAGTTGGAGAGAAAGTGGAGAGAAGGTCTCCTTGACCTGGATTTCAAAAAACAAAAGACAAGTCTTTATTTTTTTCCTCATTGTTCATGGATAGTATTTGTTTTTTATCTCTATTGTTCTTACTTCTTCTGACACCTAAAGTTTTTGAGTTGATTAATAAATTTTTTTTTTCCTTCTTACTGGACAAACACTGAGCCCCCAAATCCATGTTTGGTACCTATGATATTATAGTGACTCAGGAAAATTGCTGCTTCCCTGTGACAGCACTCATACCCACACCTCTAATGGACAGGAAGCACTGTGTTTTCCCACAGGCAGTCAGCAGCATCAAACCAGATTCTTAGCCACAGGGCACCAGTGGGTCATGGAAAGGGCATAGTGCACACAAAAGGTAACTTTAATGAGGTGTTTCTGCTCAGAGGCTCCTCCAGGGTAACTTGATGTAAATTTAAAAGACAAAGGGAAAAGAAGTCACCATTTGGGCAGTGGCACAGTGTCTGTGTACTTACTGCTCAGTCTAGTTTTTTCCTTCTACTTCTTCTAGATCTGTCATCTTTTTTTTTTCTCAGAAATTTTCAGGAGCAGAATAGAATGGCAAAAGTGAGGACTTAATGGGGAGAACTTTCTGGGGACTAAAACCTCAGAAAATCCTGCCTTTGGAAAATCTAGTTACTTTCCCACATGTTGTCCCTTGAAATATCTGAATTAACAGGTGACTATATGCCTGGGATTCCTGCCTCCGTCTGGTCTACTCCTGTTGTCCTGGTGTAATGATAAATAGCTTCCCATTTCACTCTCAAAAGTGAAATTCTGGCAATAACAAATGCTGGCAAGGATATGGAGAAAAGGGAATCCTCATACACTGTTGGTGAGAATGTAAGTTAGTACAACAATGGAGAACAGTTTGGAGGTTCCTCAAAAAACTAAAAATTGAGCTACCATATGACTCAACAATTCCACTACTGGGTATTTACCCAAAAGAAAGGAGATCAATATATTTGGAGGAGATCAATATTTGGAGGATAAATGATATGGTCACCTTACCTAAATACTACTGGATATTGAGCCATGGTTGGAGGCTGCTGTATCTATTGGCCATCGGTTACAAAAGGCAGCAGGAAAAAGGGCTGCTAGTTAGAAGCCCTAGGTATCTTGGCAACAGCAGCCCCCTGACACTCTACTAGTCACCCAATTCTACGCCAGTGTTTATAAGGAAGCTTTATAGTAAGTTTCGAAATCAGGTTGTGGCATCCTCTGACTTTGCTCTTCTTCAATATTATCTTGGCTATTCTGAATCTTTTCCAACTTCCGTTTAACTCAATAACACAAGTGAGGATATTTAGGAGTCTTTATTTTCTCAGTTCTCCACCGCATTTTGTCATAAACTCAGGCCAGTAGCATCTATACACATGAGTGATTTTCTAATTTTTCTCCACTTTTATTATTTTCTTCCATGTTTTGAAACACTTTATGCAGAAAACTGATGTAGTTTTACACATCACACTCTCTTGACCTCTGTCTTCTTCCTCTGGTACCCTAGTTTTGTAGAGGAAACTTCCCCTTTTATCCTATCCACTGATGGCACTTGTTCCTTCTTTGTGTCAACAGAGAAAGCAGAGATCAATGAGGTACCCAGCTTGGCCTCAACAGGACCCAAAAAGGAACATACACCTCTAGCCAACAATAGATTTACTGCTCAAGAGTAAATGACTTTAAAAGATTCTCATTTTAAAAATTCATTGACACCCTTATTCAATTTCATTTATTTTTTGAGACAAGAGCTCACTATTTTGTCAAGGCTGGTCTTAAACTACTGGGCTCAAGCTATCCTCCTGCTTCATTCTCCCAAGTAGCTCTGATTACAGGTGTGCACCACCCTACCCAGCAGATTAATTTCTTCAACAAACATTTATTGAGCACCAATTCTGGCCCAGATACCATGTTAAGTCACAGAGATATACAGTGAATAACACAAAGCCTCAGTCCTTGTCTTTATAAGGCGAGGATTTATATTTTGGCAGAGAAGACAGCTTTAGGGTAGTAATGACAATAGGGTAATCGGTGTCATGAGAAGACTGTTATAGGCAGGGTCCTTTTAGTAGACCCAATTTCAAAGAGTGAGGGTTCTCTTCCTAAGATAGGGACTTGGTCAGATTTGCATTCTAGAAAAGTCATTTGGGCTTCCAGATGCTCATATTTATAACGGGAAAGGTACATTATAAACTACATGAAATAAATCACAGAGGAGCATTTTACATGCTAGTAATCAGTTTGGCAGAACTAGAACATTTTGAAGGTGGGGATAAAATACCTATTCATGGTTTATTTTGGTTATGTGTAGACAGCATCTCTGACAATTTAGGTGTCACAGTGACAGGCACCATTAGGTGCTTAACTGGGTGATGGAATTGTCCAGTAATTTGGACATGAGTCATAGTCATCCACAATAACCATGACGTGACCATGCCAAGAAATCCCCAGCACGGTCTTGGAGAATCTTTGACCATCATTGTTAAAAAGTCTCTTTGTTAAGAGGTAATAAGACTGTTGGGGGGCTGGGCGCGGTGGCTCACACCTGTAATCCCAGCACTTTGGGAGGCTGAGGCGGGCAGATCATGAGGTCAGGAGATTGAGACGATTCTGGCTAACACGGTGAAACCCATATCTACTAAAAATACAAAAAATTAGCCGGGGTGGTGGTGGGCGCCTGTAGTCCCAGCTACTCAGGAGGCTGAGGCAGGAGAATGGCGTGAACCTGGGAGGTGGGGCTTGCGGTGAGCCGAGATAGCGCCAGTGCACTCCAGCTTGGATGACAGAGCGAGACTCTGTCTCAGAACAAACAAACAAACAAACAAACAAACAAAACAAAACAAAAAAGCAAACTGTTGGGTGGGAATTTACCAGACTGGGATTTGGCAGGGTTTCCAGGTTTTTTCTCTTAAAAATTTATTTCAGATTCAGGGGTTAAAAGAGTATATTGCCAATTTTGGGGGATTGGGCTTCTAATGTACCCATGACCCATACAGTGAACATTGTACCTGATAGGTAATTTTTCAATCATTGCCCCCTTACCCTTCCACCTTTCTGGAGTCCCCAGTGTCTATTATTTCCATCTTTACATTCACGTGGACCCATTGTTTAGTTCCCATTTATAAGAGAACATGCAGTATTTAGAGACTCCAGGTTCTATATCCGAGCCAGAGATTTGTTTTTGTAAATTCTGCTTTTTGTTAATTAAATGTTTGTATCACCCTTATAGCCTGTGTCTTCCAGATGACAACAAACTAATAGTCTGGATTAGATCCCACTGATAACTGTGTGTTCTTCTGAATCCCACTCCTCCTTCTTCTGGTTCCCCCAAACCCTCTCTGAGATTCACCACTCTTCCTGAACTCCTCGTGCTTTACTCAGTGTAAAATCTGCTCCCATGTCCTGAGCTCACAGAACAATGGTGAAGCCTATGACTTAGCTGACAGGTTCATGAAGGTCTGACCCTCCTGATGTTGCCATGTCTACAACTGCTTCTGGCCAAATGTCCCTGAGTTCCTGGAGCTGCTGCTCCTGCCCATAGGGCTTGAGAATTTGATGTTGTCAGGTATTTCTGGGCTGGTTGTAGAAGCTGGGGTGGCAAGACTCTCACCATCTGTTGGCTGTAATCCCATTCTGTCATTCTAATCAGGGCTGACTTGACCTCCCAGTCTTGTTCAGATGTTGCAGAAGTTCTTTGAACTGTTCCATGGTGCCTTTTCTCTCTGAGATTCAGACTGTGGTGGGGAGAGGAACATGACCTGAGCAGACAGGTGGGCTGCTTGCATAATCACCCCTCATCTCCCAGCCTGAACCACGTCCTTTGGTCATGGACATCCTGACTCTGACTCTGCACTTGAGCATAAATTCTTTCCAGGATGTTTCTTTTTTCCTCATTCAAATAATCTCCATTAGGCTCCCTCACCACTTCTTCATGTGCTCCCATGCCACCCGAATTCCTGCATAATCACAGGGGTCCATCTGGGACCCTGGCCATGCTCGTAATTCCCACTTAGAGATATCAGACTCTGAGCTTCAGCTTCTATCTAAATTGCAACCTCAGTACACACTCTCAATCCCTCTTTGCTGTTTTACTTTTCTCATTAGCATTTACTTCTCTCTTGACATACACTTTACTTATTTATCTTGTTTACTGGCAATATCTCCCTACTAGAATGTAAGTTTCATGAGGGCAGGGGTTTTATATTTTTGTGTTGTCTCAGCAACAACAATTCCGGGAGCATGGTAGATCTTCAATAAATATCAGTTGAATGAATGACAGAATTCATTCTTTAACTGTTTTGATGCTTTTAGTACCTACTATGTTGTAGAATTGCAAAGTGAAGAGCAATGGCCTGAGTGAGATAAGCTGGGTGGAGTTAGTGCACTGAACTTGGCCCATGACAGAGCTCCACTGACAATTCTAATAAGATTGTTCTATAAGCAAGTTAAGGTGGCTTCAGGTTACAGTGTAGAAAAAAATGTTTTATTTCTACATACACATTCTCTTCTTAGCAAGGAGATGAAAAAGCCTGTGTACTACATATATCAGATGGTTAAAAATACAACTTGTGTTGAGCTGGTTTCCCAGAAGATCTAAGCTACAGTTTAGAAAGGGGAAGCCCAGACTGTCTAACTGAATTCAAGGTGTTGATAACAGAGAGCTTATCTGTTTAGTGGTTGCTGATTTGTTAGGATACGATTCAAATCTTGTAAAATTGTTAGGGATGATTGGCCAAGCGTTGTGGCTCACGCCTGTAATCTCAGCACTTTGGGAGGCCAAGACAGGCAGATCACGAGGTCAGGAGATCGAGACCAGCCTGGCCAACATGGTGAAACCCTGTCTCTACTAAAAATACAAAAATTAGCCTGGCATGGTGGCGGGTGCCTGTAATCCCAGCTACTCGGGAGGCTGAGGCAGGAGAATTGCTTGAACCCGGGACGCAGAGGTTGTAGTGAGCCGAGATCCCACCACTGCATTCCAGTCTGGGTGACATAGCAAGACCCTGTCTCAAAAAAAAAAAAAAAAAAAAAAAGAATTGTTAGGGATGATCAAGAATCTTCTGACATCTCCAAAATGAAGTTTCCTAATATTAAATAAGGTAACGAGTTTTGCCCATTATTCATTGAAATTTTATTCAGCTTTTACATTAAAGTTATAATCCTTTTGTCAACCAGTGTGTATTGAGCTCCTCCTTGTGGATGAGACAGTAACACGGGATGAATAAAAGATATAATCTGTCCTTGTGGAAGCCCAGGATGACAACAGAAACAAGAGCTAACATTTATTGCAGTATTATAACTTCATGCCAGGCACCGTTGTACATATCTCACTAATTTGGTCCCATAACTCTACGTGGCATGTCTTATTGCTATTTTCAGTCCAAGATGAGAAGACAGAGAATTGGACAATGTCAGTGGTTTGCCTAGATCAGTGTTAGTTGCAGAGCCAAGATTTGAGCCTAGGAAGCCCCAGCTTCAGAGTCAATGTCCTGTCCTCCATGCTATTGCTGTAGTAACACCCAGTACATTTGTGGGTGGGGTTAAATTTGCAGTTTAGAGAACTGAGTTCTAATTCTGATTCTCTATAGCTTCTCCTTCAGTCCCACAACTAAGCCTTTGAGATGAACGACACTAGTTTAGATGGAGCACTGCACTGCTCACTGCAGAAATCAGCTCCTCCCTGTGGCTAAGCTTTTTCCTGGCTCAGGTCCTAGAACCTTTGACTTTTACAAACTTTCTCACCCACCATACAGATGCATCCTCTCTGTTTCAGCTTTTGTGTGTGATAGTACTCCTCTAGCCTTTGTGCTGGGAGGTCATTGTTGACTTAGTGCTTGTCTCTTTCTTTTCTCTCTCTGTCTTTTTTTTTTCTTTTTTTTTTTTGAGATGGAGTCTTGCTGTCACCCAGGCTGGAGTGCAGTGGCATGATCTCAGATCACTGCAATCTTTGCCTCCTGGGTTCAAGGGATTCTCGTACCTCAGCCTCCCGAATAGCTGGGATTATAGGCACTGACCACCATGCCCAGCTAATTTGTGTATTTTTAGTAGAGACGGGGTTTCTCCATGTTGGCCAGGCTGGTCTTGAGCCCATGACCTCAAGCGATCTGCCCACCTTGCCCTTCTAAAGTGCTGGGATTACAGGTGTGAGCCACCGTGCCCGGCCCTGAACTCCTTATTTCACAAGGCTCAAGGTTTCTGCATCCCAGCAGACATCCAGTTGCCCGGGAGATGTCGATTTCTCCTAGTGGCAAGTACCTCCCTCTCTATGTGTGTTTTCTTTCTCTTAAATCCAGCTCCCCCGCCTATGGTATAAGGTATGGGGAATTTATCCCCCTCTCCTTCATGTGGAGAGAAGCAGCATCCCTTTCCCCTTTTCCTCCCAAGAAACCCCCATTCTCTAACCTCCAGGGGAAAATCCTCAGCATCCTCTCCAGTATCTTGGATGTGAGCCTTGAGGTCAGGGTCATCAGACCAGGCCCATGGTGTCTTGGCCTATCTTGAGTGGATGCCCTGGTAGCCCTCTTTACAGCATGATGCATGCTTATTATCTGCTAATATCTGCCTTGGACCAGCAGACAAACTCAGAAATGAGACAAGTCCCATTTAACATTATTACATCTATATTTTATTATAGGATGAAGTTGGAATTGGAGTTTTCTGGGGTAGATCTGGGGAGGACTTAGTCTACAAGCAAGTCAGGAATGGGATAGGGTTTAAATAGTCTCTGAGAAGGTGGGGAGCCTGTAATGTACCCTGAAACCTGTTTGCTTAGCTATACCATGCCAAGTGGGATAGCTCCCTTTGAAGATTTTTATTTCCACATTATGTAGACAGCTCCAGGGGAAAGGGCCCCAGGAGAGAGGACAGGCAAGAACACCATTGGCCGTGGCTTGGGCCGATGAGAACAACAGCTACACCTTAGCTCCAGGGACAGGCTTCCTCAAAGAAATTACAACCATTTTGGCCCTTTTATGCAGGTGGCTGCAGAGGTCGATGCCTTGGAAATAAGTTCCCCAGCAGCAGGGTAGAAAAGACACAGTGAGATACATCATACTTAAGATTCAACTGGGAGCATACCAGGGATGCTCTATAATGTAATCGAGGGAAGGTTGAATGAAACAAAGTGATTTATCATCTATAACTTCAAACCTATTGGTGTTTTGACATCAACTCTGTTAACATTATGTTATCATTTCATAGAGTCTTTGATATACAAATAAAATTTTATTTGTATTTAAAATAAAAGAAAAGGTACAGTGAGGAAGTAACAGCAATTGCCAAAGACATGTGCCTATTGCTCAGTAGGAGATCATAGCTGTATAACTTACAGTTGTCACTTAAGTTTTTGGCCAAATAAAGCAAGGAAAACATAGGTTCTCAAATATCCTAAGGGCTACATCAGAGAATCATAAAAAATACCAATTATTAATAATAATAGTTGATATTTATTGAGGTTTTACTCTGTGCTTGCCTTGTGTTAAGTGTTTTATAGTTATTTGTCATTTGTTCTGCAACAGCAACCAACAGGGTAGGTGATACAATCAACCATATTTTAAAGTTTAGACAATGCAGGCTCAGAGAGATTAAGCAATTTACCTGAGGACACACAGTAAGTCAAAGAACCAGAATCTAAACTCAAGTTTCGTTTCAGTGACTATTGCTGCAATTCAAACTACCCCAAACCTTAGTGGTTTAAGAGAGCAGCAGTCATTTCATTATCTCTCTCTTTTTTTTTTTTTGTGAAGGGCTTGATTGGTTGTTCTGGCTAGGGATATTTTATATATAAAATATGTACATATGAAATATATATGAAATATATATAATATATATAAAATATATATAATATATAAAATAATATATATAAAATAAATATGTATTTCACATATGAAATATATGTATGAAATATATATTTCATACATATATTTCACATATACATTTCATATATATTTCATATATATTTCATATATATATGAAATCATGCAGCAGCTCCAATTATACAACATTCTATGGGTTATAAATAAATCCCAAACCTGCTCAGATTGAAGGGGATGTTAATTAGACTCTAACTCTTAAGGGCAAGTGGCAGAATTCTAGAAAACTGTGTAGGATAGGAAATTTTGTTGTGAATGTCTTTGAAAAATACATCTACTACAGATCTTTTGAGTCCAAAGCCTAGGTACATAACCGCCAGGCTGTATCATTTTCCTGAAGGGGCATCAGGAGCCACACACTGATTTTTCTAGCTTTGATGTATCATAGTATTTTTTAATGAAGTTAAAGTAATTGGTTAACTGTATATCCAAAAGTTGTTCTTTCTTAGCCCTTTAAAATATTTTATGTAATATTTACAAGTCAGAATTCTTTGCAAATTCATGTTTCTTACTGTTGAGTTTAAACGATATAGTCAAGGTAAGTATAGGAATTTAGATGAAAAAGAAGTTTTTGTCAGGAAAGGCTTTGTAGAGGGGTTAGGACTTTAGCTAGTTTTGATGCATGAGGAGGATTAGGAGGTCAAACATAGCAGGACATCATTAGGACAGGGGATGATGGTGTTGAGGGCGTCAGACCCCAAATGGAGGATCTTAGGGAAGGAGAAAAAGGGCTCAGAGAGATATGGGCTTATCATACTTATGGCCATGACAATTCTTTGAGATCATTTGGTCTAAGCATCTTTGTTTAGACATAAATCATCTAAAACCCAACAAATTTGAAAGATTTGTCCAAGATCACATAGGAAGTTAATAAATATAATGGTGAAGAAACTCCAGAATTCTTTTTCTCTCTGTCTCTTTCTCCTTCCTTCCTTCCTTCCTTTTTTCTTCCTTCCTTTCTCTCTCCTTCCTTCCTCCTTCCTCCTTCCTTCCTTCCTTCCTTCCTTCCTTCCTTCCTTCCTTCCTTCCTTCCTTCCTTCCTTCCTTCCTTCCTTCCTTTCTTTCTTTCTTTCTTTCTTTCTTTCTTTCTTTCTTTCTTTCTTTCTTTCTTTCTTTCTTTCTTTCTTTCTTTCTTTCTTTCTTTCTTGCTGGAGTTTCGCTCTCATTGCCCAGGCTGGAGTGCAATGGCACGATCTTGGCTCACTGCAACATCTACCTCCCTGGTTCAAGCGATTCTCCAGCCTCAGCCTCCCAAGTAGCTGGGGTTACTGACACCCGCCACCACACCTGGCTAATTTTTTTGTATTTTTAGTAGAGGTGAGGTTTCACCATACTGGCCAGGCTAGTCTCGAACTCCTGACCTCAGATGATCTGCCCACTTCGTCCTCCCAAAGTGCTGGGATTACAGGCATGAGCCACTGCGCCCAGCCCAGAGTTCTTATTTCTTTACACTCGATAGACAGAGACCAGATTGTGTACTCATTTGAATCCCACATCGATAAATTTGAATGTTATTTGAAAGCTGTAGAGAACACTTGATATTTCTGATTAAGAAAATGAACATATTTAATTCATACATGCTAACTGGCAGGTCAAAACCCGTGGAAAGATTTTGTACAGATTCTAGTGAACTATGGATGGCAGTTTACCATCCAAACACTAGATAGCAGACTCAGTTGTAGGAGGGGGAGGAGGATGTGATAGGCATATGGTATTTAATTTCTAAATCTTATCTTGGATTCTCCTGGTAAAATAGTTTGTGGGGTATTTCACTTAGGCATTATAAATATCTATCATTACAAATTTCTACTGATTAAATTTTCTTTCAGTATGAATGTAAGAGCTCCATTTTTCCCCTTTATATATTCATTGTTTGCCAAATCTATAAAAGGAGTATACATTACAGAGTAGGAAATTTGGCCATCTCATTCATGACCACATCTAGAACAGTATCTGGCCTACAGTAGGGGCCCGAGATATTTGAAATTTTATTCGCTTTATTTTTTCATGTTCTGAGCACATCATTTTTAAAAGCCTATTTTAATTTGAAGAGTCTTTGTCGTACAAAAAAGCAAGCATGGTATGAAGTGTGGCCTTATATCTTTCAGCCCATTAACCAAAACATTAACATCTTACATAACCATAGTACAAATATCTAGAGTAAAAAATACTATTGGTACAACTGTATTAACTTAACTATACACCTTATTTGAATCGTACCCATTTGTGCCCCCTACCCACCAACTAATGCCGCCTTTGTGGTTCTGGGATCTTACCCAGAATTTCCCGTTACATTTAGTTACTATTTCTTCTGAGTCTCCTCCATTTTCTAACAGTTCCTTGGTCTTTGTGTTTTGTCGCCTTGACAAGTCTGAAGAGTACTGATTAGGCACTTTATAGATTGTCCATTAGTATTGACTTATCCAATTATAAATGAGGGTATGCATTTTTGGTAAAAACTCAGGACATAATATTGTGTCCTCAGTGCACCGCATCAAGGTATTTACAATGTTGGTGTGTCTCATGGTGGGTGATGTTTAACTCGATCACTTGGTCAGTTTGATGATTGCTGATTTCTCCAGTGCCAAGTTACTTCCCCCCAACTTTGTAGTTAATAAATACCTTTGAGGAGATTCTCTGAGACAATGCTAATTCTGCTTTTCCTCTTGCCCTCAAACTTCAGGTTCTATTTTTGCTCTATAATTATGCTGTGTTATCTATTTGGCCAAATTGCTATTCTGCTGGCTTCATTTTTCATTCTTAGATGATCAAGAATGTACATCTACTCTACATCTACTATCTGTTGACCAGTTTTAGATATAATATTTTTTACTGATGGCTAATTATTTTCCCAGACCAAAGCTTTCTTCACCTCAGTTTTAATATTTCTAAAGTGAGAAGCTATGCTCTGAAAATACTGGGAGAAAATGCCAACAATAATTAATGGAATAGGTTCTACACTCTTAATTTCATTGAAAATATAAAGAGGCCTATTTACAAAAATTTATACAGTGATATAAACATGTAAAAATACAGAAAACCTCAAAGAAATAGCTTATTAATAATTCTTCCCTCAACTCTAAACTTTGTTAAAATTATGCAAATATTCTCCCAGAATTTTCCTATGTGTATATTCACATATATCTAAATTTGTATTTTAGAAAGGATCATATTATATATACCATGTTAAGTTTCTTTTTGTATTTAACATATTCTGAGCATATCTCTCTCAATAAGCATTCTCTATAAAATAATTATTAAGCGCTGTACTGTATTCATTTACAGGATACAGCAGGATTTATATAAATAATTCCTTATTAATGTATATTTATTATTTGCTTAATTTTTAAAATTGAAATGCAGGAGACAAAATTTAGGAATAATATTTGAGGGTTACTTACTTCCTTGATTCTTCATATCCACCTTCTAGGCTTTCAATGTACACTGTCTTCATGAAGAAAGTGTATAGGATGTGGAACAGAGACACTACTGAGGTTTCTTAATCAATTTTCTAGACTCACAGTCATGTCAATAGTCTTGGAAGTCTTGACAAAGGTCTAATATCTAGACTGTACAGGGAACTTAAACAGATTTCCAAAACAGTAACAAACAACCCCATTATAAAGTGGGCAAAGGATACGAACAGACACTTCTCAAAACAAGACATTTTTGTATGCAGCCAACAAACATGAAAAAAAAGCTCATCATCACTGGTCATTAGAGAAATGCAAATCAAAATCACAATGAGATACCATCTCACGCCAGTTAGAATGGTGATCATTAAAAAGTCAGGAAACAACTGATGCTGGAGAGGATGTGGAGAAATAGGAATGCTTTTACATTATTGGTGGGAGTATAAATTAGTTCAACCATTGTGGAAGACAGTGTAGTGATTCTTCAAGGATCTAGAACTAGAAATACCATTTGACCCAGAAATCCCATTACTGAGTATATACCCAAAGGATTATAAATCATTCTATTATAAAGACACATGCACACGTATGTTTATTGAAGCACTATTTACAATAGCAAAGACTTGAAACCAACCCAAATGCCCACCAATAATAGACTGGATAAAGAAAATGTGGCACATATACACTGTGGAATACTATGCAGCCATAAAAAAGAATGAGTTCATGTCCTTTGCAGGGACGTGGATGAAGCTGGAAACCATCATTCTCAGCAAACTAACACAGGAACAGAAAAGCAAACACCGCCATGTTCTCACTCACAAGTGGGAGTTGAACAATAAGAACACATGGGCACAGGGAGGGGAACACCACACACTGGGGCCTGTTTGGGGGGTGGGGAGCAAGGGGAGGGATAACTTTGGGAGAGATACCTAATGCATGTGGGGCTTAAAACCTAGATGACGGATTGAGGGGTGCAGCAAACCACCATGGCACATGTATACCTATGTAACAAACCTACACATTCTGCATATGTATCTCAGAACTTAAAGTATAATTTTTAAAAAAAGAAAGTCAACATTTTGCTTGCACATACTGAATTTTAAGGAGACTAGTTCTTCCCATTTCTGAAATTTGACACTCAGTATACAGGTGCAAACCATGAAAGAAGCAGAATATGCAGCTAATTTGGTACGCATTTCTATTGAGAACTGAAACAACTGGATTATAACATAGACCTAAGGTTGGCTCTAGAAAATACTTCTCAAGAGTAGTCCAAAGTAGTTGCTGTAATTTATACTTCTATCAGCAATATATGAGAGTTCCAGTTCCTCTACATCCTCAGCAACACTTGTATTACCAGTCTTACTAAAAATACTCACTTTAATGGGTGTGCAGTGGTACCTTACTGTGGTCTTAATTTGCATTTTTCTGGTGACTAATGATGTTGAGAATTTTTTCATAAGCTTTTGGACATTTGGATTTTCTCATTTGTGAAGTTTCTGTTCAAATTGTTTGTGAAGTTCCTGCTTGACATTTTCTACTGGGCTATCTTTTCTTTTATTATTGATTTGTGGAATTACTTGATACATTCTGGGTAATAGATCTTTCTCAGAAATATTTATTGCAAATTATTTATTTATTTATTTATTTATTTATTTATTTATTTATTTATTTATAGGAAGGGTCACGGAGCTTCCATGTCCTCCCTGGGCATGCCAACCTCCTGGAACCTCCACCATCTAGAAGCTATCTGGGAGCTCTACAAATATTTTCTACCACTCTGTGGTATGTCTTTTTCTTTTCTTAAAGGAGATTTTTTTGATGACTGGAGGTTCTTAATTTTAATGAAATCAGTTTATTAATATTTTTCTTTATAGTTAATGCTTTTTGTGATCCATTAACATTTTTGTCTAAACCAAGTTGATGAAGATATTCCCCTTTGTTATCTTCTAGAAGTCTTTTTGTTTAATCATTTTACTTTAGATCTGTAAGCCATCTGAAATTTATTTTTGTGACCCCTGTAAAATATGGATTAAACTTCATTTTTTGAAAAAGGTATGGATATCCAGTAGATCCAGACCATTTACTGGAAAGACTCTCTGTCCCTCTTCCTTTACTTAATGGTGACTTTGTTTGAAAGCAACATGAAATTGGCTGGTCTGTTTTTGGCCGCCCTCTTCTATTCTGCTGCTCTGTTTGCCTATCTTTGCACCAATATCATAGTCTTAATTACTGTAGCCTTATAGTTGGCATCTGCTAATGTAAGGCTCCAATTTCATTTTTAAACTTCAAGATTGTCTTCATTATTCTTGGCCTTCTTTCTTTTGATAAAAATTTTAGAATCAACCTGGCAATTTACAACACATATACACAAAAAAACCTGCTAAATTTTGATTGGAATAGCAAAAAAGAAAAAAAAAGATGGAAAATTTGGGAAAATTGACATGTTTATAATATTGAGTGTTCCATTCCATAAACATGATATATCTATCCTGCTGTTTAAGTGTTCCTTCATTTCTTCTTGTTAATTATATTCTTCAATTTTTTTTCTGGTCTCTCACATACTTTGATTTTTTTTTGATCACTTTATAAATGTCATAAGTAATTAAACTTTATTAATTCACTGTTGCAAATGTCGGGACAGAAGAAGAGATTCAGGGTCATGGGCAAGCCTAGTAGGGAGAATTTGT
Organism: Homo sapiens; assembly: GCF_000001405.40. Lineage (NCBI taxonomy): Eukaryota > Metazoa > Chordata > Mammalia > Primates > Hominidae > Homo > Homo sapiens. The sequence continues at coordinate 63,750,733 of NC_000018.10, forward strand.
TTCTGTGCAGTCACTTCTCTGTTTTGATTGTTTTTGTTTTATTTTCCTTTTTTTCTTGTGGTGTTGGTTGTTTTCCAAACCCTTGATCTAGGTGCAGAGTCCTCTGTAGCTAGTCATCCAGTTCACTTTTGGCTGTAACAACCCTGCTTTATTCACTAATTTATAATAAGCCACATTGGGAATTCATTCTTCCAAAACTTTGTCAATGATGAATTTCTTTGCACATCTGGTTTTCAAGGCCACTTTTGTCAGTCAACTACTCACTATAAAGACATGTCTTGTCATCTCAGGAAATCCCTCTTCAGGGGCTTTTTGCCTTTATATCTATCTGAATTTCTAGGATCCCTTGTCACTCTGCCTTCAAATCCCATCACTTTATAAGCAAAAGAGATTCCATATGAAGCTATTCTCGGTCGGTCTTGCTGCCTGCACCATCCCACACGCCCATCCTTCTGTTTTCATGTTCAGGTGTGGAGGGCAGGGCTTCCATCGCCTGCTCCCTCAAGGTCATTGCTTACTGTAACGGTGATTTGCAAGTGAACTCTGGTTATCTTTCCATGAAATTTCTGGTACTGACATTATTCCCTTATCAACAGTGATGGAAGTTTCCCTTATTACAAATTTTATGTCATTTCTAATAACATTATATCAGGAATAGGATGAGGTGGGTGAGAATTACATTTGTGTTTCCAAAACTCATCTTCCCCCCACAATTTGAAATGGTTTTACTAGTGAATATATGAGAGTATAGTGATTCATATTTATGTCTCCATACTCACGAAGCCATGACCATATTCAATATCAAAGTTAAAATGGCAATATTTTAATAAGATAGATAAAATTTGTATTTTCCATACAGATGATGGAGGAGTGCAAAAAATGAAAGGTCTTTTTCTGAAAGGTAATGCAGGAACTGTTAAGGTGTTTACAACGGATATTTATCATCATGACCAACCCAAAATAGTACCTAAAATGCAATTAATTAAGCACCTACTTATCAAGTGCTTACCAGGTTTCTTGTAGTATGTTCAACACAATGTAGATTTTAAAACAGCATGGCTTGGTTTTTGTGTTTAGGAAAGGATTTTGTACTAAATGACTTATAAGTGACGTAAGTAGTGACTTATGAGTGACAATCTAAAATTATACAGCAGTGGAAATATTTAGTAAAATCATATGATAAAAGAATATTATTAAGAAATAAAGAACTCAATATAGGCTCATAATAATATGGAAGATGATGGAAATGGTGGAAGTTTGGGTGGCCTTGAGTAATAGGCAATATATGGATAGGTGGAGTACTCATACATCCTGGATTTTCCTGTCTCAACTTATTATTATAATAATAGCTACACTTATCAAGTGGTTACTGTGTACTAAGTACTTTACATGTTACCTATAATACTCTTAACCATGACGTTATGAAAAATTTCCCCATTTTTCAAACAAGTGAAGCAAGATACAGACAGGTTGAAGAGCCTCTCAAAGGTCACATGGGTCCAAGATGGGGAGCTGGAATTGGAACCCAGGTTTGCGTGGCTCTAAGCCTTAGCTGTGACACCCCACCTCATGTATTTTGCATCCAAGGGCATACTTTCTGGAAGGTATATCTTGAGTCTGTCTCAGAATATCTGGTCTCTGCTGTGTATGTGGGCTGTCAGTGCTTCTCCAGAGCTGTATATTGCCACTTGATATTGGTAAAAACCATCTGTATGTTGCAAACTTATCATGAGATCTGTGACTTGAGTCACCTCCTCTTTTGGGGAGACCATTTGAACCCTAGTCAATGACTGCCATGGAAATAGATAAAACCCAGGCATCTAACCTTGGTCCTCGGTGGAGGATTGGATTGTCCAAAGTCTGTTCTCCTGGCTCTGGCTCCCTCCTGGGTCCTTCCCTGGTTCTAACCTGCTGGCCCTGATTCCTGACTCTAAGGCTACAACCTGCCATATGTCCAGGCACACACAGTTGGAAAGGGAATGTGAAAGGACAATCTTTAGAATGTTTACTTCTCTGGTTTGTTGGTCAATGGAAGGATGAGCAACACGACACCATGGGGCACTCCTCTGTGCTTCCTGCAGAGTCGGGAGATGACAAGTGCCTTTCTGAGCTGGACAGGAAAGCCCCTGTGGAGTCCCTTCCTGATGTTCCCTCCATGATTTTCCTCTTTGTGCAGTCTGGGATGAAGGAGGGACTTTTCATTCAGTGCTGTCACCAGTGCTGCTGCTGTCATCAACCTCTCCCTTGGGAGTTGAGCCAAAGGGAAGTCTTGGGAATTTTCCCTGAACCTTGGTATAGGTGTGCTGGGAGGAGTGAGAAGTCTTAGGAGGTAGGAGGCAGGAGGAACTGAAGCCCAGCTGTGAAGGCCGCAGACTGCAGTGAGAGGAGGTGAGTGCTTATGCTGGGTTATTCTAGGCTTCTGAGTATGCTTAGATTCCCTAAGATGGATGGACAGCCCCTAGTGCCTGAGGTGCTGCATGCCCTGAGCATTTACCTGCTGTCAAAGTAACAGCTTTACCTCTGGCATCTGGGATTCTGGCAGACACATACCCCTTTCCAGGGTAACCACAGCCAATCTCTGTTCTCCACATGGTTGTTGTAGACTAATCTTGGGGATTAGAATGACAATTGACGGCCGCATCTATAACATTGGCCAACATATTTAATAGAGAAAATTCAGCTTTATTCCTTACCTTATGAAAAAAAAGTGCCTACTGACGGCTGAATAGACCCCTAAGCTTATACAAGATAGCTCATACACCAACTATATCTACTACCTGTGTCTGGGCTTTCTATCTCTGGTGTCACAGACCTACTGATTAAATATATGTGAGTGAATGAATTGATATTTACAAGCTAGTTTTACTTTTTTGTTAAGCAAATGATCCAGAACCCAGGTGACAAGTTACATGCCAACTCCCAGGTCGATCACAATACAACCATGATGATAATTCCCTAAAAGGTCTTCTATGTGTTGGACATTCCTTGTTGATTATAATCAATGATATTTGGCAACTTTAGCAACAATTTTGAGAGGTTTGAGGTTTCAAAAAAATTTTTTAGTAATATGAGGCACTTTTGAGTACTTGATAGAATGATTCAGAATCAGAGGTTCTCCAACAAATCCCAAACTATGTATAGCTGAGCTTTAGAATAACTCCATCTTATAACTGTCTTCTACAATGACTTACAACCTTGACATCTCTGCTAATATTTTTGCCCTCAATATAAACAAACTAGAGTGTGGGCTGCTCATGGGAAGGGAAAAGATTCTAAAACCTGTGGCTGATGGAACAGAAATGGTAACAGCAGAACATCTTGTATTTAATCATAGTTGTATCTGGAAGATTTTCATCCAAAGTCTTTGGCAGGGTTTTTAATGCTAATATATAAGCATAGTAGTTTACTTATGTTAATAAATAAAATCGCATTGATTTCTTGACAGAGTTTAAATAAATCTATTCTGGAAGATTTTTTAAAGAGTTATGAAGTCTACCATTTGTCTGAAATGTGGTTTAGAGATTGATAGAGGATAGAATTAGGAAGAAATAAATTTCACGCCAAGGGAATATGTAGTTTCATTTATGTTGAATGAATGAAGGCTGGGTTCGGGTTTGTTACAAAATGAAAACAGATTGTCTTCTTCATTCTTGGAGAACTAATCAGATTATGTTTTCCTGTCTGAACTTGGTCTCGTTGCCATAGGTAATGCTGAGGAGAACACCGGTAAACAGATAATCATAAGAGGCATTTAGTAGGTACGAGCCCTGTCGTCTAAGGGTGGTCCCTAGAGGAGCAAAGACGCTGGTCAGAGGTAACACTAGTCATTAGGGTGGTCCCGAGAGAGACTCAGGTTAGGAGGGTGGGCAGGACACGCAGGTATCAGTCCCTCCCTTGGAGCCCCACCCTCCACCCAGCAGACCTTGCTAGTCTCTCTCCTTCCCTCTGCCAGATGGAGTTTCAGCATCATTTCCACTCCGAAGCTTTCTCAAGCACTTCTTCAAGCACTTTAGAAATACTTCCACCATCACTGTTTTCACACTGTAGTCTGATTTTCAAATTTATTTCTAGATCACGGACTTTGAAGGGACAGGCAGGGAAAATGTCCTAACAATTTTCTAGTGCCCAGCATTGTTTAAACTGAGGTCTTTTTTTTTTTTTTTTTTTTTTTTTTTTTTGAGACGGAGTCTCGCTCTGTCGCCCAGGCCGGACTGCGGACTGCAGTGGCGCAATCTCGGCTCACTGCAAGCTCCGCTTCCCGGGTTCACGCCATTCTCCTGCCTCAGCCTCCCGAGTAGCTGGGACTACAGGCGCCCGCCACCGCGCCCGGCTAATTTTTTGTATTTTTTTTTTAGTAGAGACGGGGTTTCACCTTGTTAGCCAGGATGGTCTCGATCTCCTGACCTCATGATCCACCCGCCTCGGCCTCCCAAAGTGCTGGGATTACAGGCGTGAGCCACCGCGCCCGGCCTAAACTGAGGTCTTAAGTTGAGGTGGTGTTTCAGGCTATAGTTAGAGGCCTTTACTTTCTTTTTCTTCTATTTCTTCTGAAATGGATGAAAAATACATTTTTCATGGATTCTTTTCATTTCGTGTCCTCCTTGTTTTCAGTTTTTCTTTATGAGAAGTCAAGAGCAATTTTTGGATTGCAGGAGGCATGAATAGGGACAAAAATTAAAGACAAACATGAAACTGAGCTTAGTTTCTTTCTACTGGCCTTCTTTTTTCATAACTAGTTTGTTTCAGTAGCAGACACTGAAGTTTGAGGTTTAGCTGAGCAAAATTCGCTTGAAAAAGTATCATTTTAAAAGGTGAATTAGTGAGGCAAGCTATGCTTAACAGATCTGCAATTTGAAGAATATTTTAAGTCCCTATTTAGGCCAGGTTCAGTGACTCAGTCCTGTAACCACAGCACTTTGGGAGACTGAGGTGGGAGGATTGCTTGAGCCCGGGAATTGGAGACAAGCCTGGACAACATAGCAAGACCCTGTCTCTACAAAAAATTAAAAAAAATAGCTAGATATGGTGGTGTATACTTGTAGTCCCAGCTGCTTGGAAGGCTGAGGTGTGAGAATTGCTTGAACCCAGAAGTTTGAGGCAGCAATGAGCTGTGATGATGCCACTGTGCCCCAGCCTAGGTAACAAAGTGAGACCCTGTCTCTAAAACAAAAACTTCTATTCAACTGTTGACATTAAATGAATCATTTTGTGAATAAAAAGTATAAAGTTCTTATATAAGGTCATTACAGTGAGTCAAGAACGGTGGAAACAAATAGTAACAATGTTCATTGATATATAAATATATATATACATCACTTACAGCATAATACAATATAATATAAATATTATATATAGGGTTTACACACACACACACACACACACACACTCATATATGTAATATATTTAGTGTTTACACATGAACTTTTGAGGTTTAAAAGTAGGTGCTTTTCCTCAATGTGCACAGGTATTAACTAACAAGAACATGCCTTAGCAGACACAAAGCCAAGGCCAGAAATGTTTCTTCCACATGTTTTTACCTGTTTCAATGTGAAATTGTAAACTCTACCATGTACCAGATACCAGAAAATCATTAGACTGTGTGGGTGTGTAAAATGTTTGGGCAAACTGGAATGGATTTTCCTGGATATCACAGAGTAACTTGTCTTTCTGTCCATGGAACACGGAATACCAGTTTGTGAGTGGTTTAGTTCCAGACTCATGTGCAGGACTCAGCAGAGGGATCAAATGAGGACACAGCAATGCATCAATAAGCCCAAACCAGTCTCTTATTAAAGGTTTTTTAAAGCCACACAGCCATTCACTCTTATCCAACAGAGTGGGCCCAGGTCTCCACTCCATCCTGGTAGAGATCAGGGTGGAGGATAGGTAGAGGTTCCCACCTTCATGCTCGGCATTATTTGAGGAGCTTGAGAAGAAGATTCTGTGAGATTAGAGGGCATTAATAAGCATCTGGATCATCTAGGGTGGGAAGGCCTGGCACTTTATTTTCCTCCCATATTTCTATTGTGTATTTTGGGTTTTGCCAGTTGTTTCCAGGGTCTTGGGGTAGCTTGTGTGTGTGTGTGTGTGTGTGTGTGTGTGTGTGTGTGTGTTCTGTGAGTAGAAATAAAGAAACTTATAAAGACTCTAATTTCTTTGTAGTTGGCAATAAAGTGAATTAAAAGCCTTCTTTCACTCAAATTCTATACCTTTTCCTATTTCAATCGCTATCACCATTTTTGAAAGTTTCCATTCCATGTTAAGAGTTAGTAGTACATGAATGTCTTCTTTTGAGAAGTATCTGTTCATGTGCTTAGCCCACTGTTTAATAGAGTTGTTTGTTTTTTTTCTTGTAAATTTGTTAAAGTCCCTTGTGGTTTCTGGATATGAGACCTTTGTAAGATGGATAGATTGCAAAAATTTTCTCTCACTCTGAGTTTCACATTCTTTGTCTAGGAAATTCAATCAGCCACAAAATGAAAATTTAGCTCAGGTTTTCTGATTCTTATAAAGCCAAAAAATGGTGTGTAAATCCTCTCTCATCCATTATAACATGTATAGCCCTGGGAAAGCAATTGAATAACTTGAAATCTCAATCCTCAGCTGCAAAATGGGAATCAAAAACTAAGTAGTATTAATAATATCAAAGCTTGTGAAAATCAAGAGAGATGCTAATTTGCTATTATCTGTTGCTGGATTTAGCTGGTGCAATAAAGTTGTAAGGTCAGTTACAGATCTGTCAAGATTTAACTGTGTTGTTTGCCAAGGACTTTAGGGTAGGGGTTGGCAAACTCTGGTCATTGGTCCAAAACTGGCTGGACACCTGATTTTATAAATAAAATTTTATTGAAACACAGCCATGTCTATTTGCTTACATATTTCCTATGTCTGCTTTAGTGTCACTGCTGAAAAATTGAGTTGTGCTGGATGAATGCATGGCCCACAAAGCCAGACATATTTACTATTTGGCTTCTTGCAGAAAAAGTTGACCAATCTCTGCTCTTGGGAGTTCCTAATGAAACACATTCTGTAACCTTCTACAATGCATTGCTTAATCTTTCATTTAACTGTAAGCACTGGCAGTATGCTAAACAAAATAATAGCAGAGCACCCCTTCAAGTCCAGAATCTAGTTTACCTTCCTAGGTTTTGCCAAGGGTTCCTTTCTTGATTGCCTATGAATCCCTAATCTGCTCCCTCAAGTACAAGTAGCTTCATCAGGAGGATCAGAAGGGTGTGTTGTCCTTCCATTTTAATAAGCATTTCTTCATACTTTGTGTTACTATCACATTGCCACATTCTCATGGTGCGTAGCTTCTCTGTATCTCTCTGTGTCTCTCTCTCTATCACTCCTGCTCTCCCTCTTTCTCTCTCTAAAGTACATGCATGCATGCACAAACACACATACTGTATCATTGTCATTGCCAACTTTGGCCTATATAGCAGATAACAAAGGCATGATCAATGTGATCTTAAAATGTTAAAAGATATAAACCCCCAGAAATTTTTAGTAGCGTTGTTACCATGACTTATCCCAATAACTAATTATGGCCAGAAGCAGACATCAACAACAGCAATGGAACAGATATCTTTTTCCTCAGATGCTTGTTCACTTTCTGCCTGATAGGACTTCAATTTTATAGTGACTGAATTTTTTACTGTCTAGAAAAGATCAGGTAATATAAAGTGAAGCAAAAATTCATGAACCCTTTTCTTAAAGATGCTCTCTGATTCGCTGAAGCACTGGGAAATCTACCCACGTGTAGAAACTGGTTCTAAATAAGAATAATGTGTCTATTATCAGCTGGTCTCAAATCCTCTGTATCTGGCCCCTGGAGAGGTAGCAGTTGACTGTAGAAAGATATTTCAGGGATATTTTTTATAATAAGAAAAGAATTCTTTAGGCCCTGCTCCCTCCAATGACCAGAAGGTCATATTATCTGGGTCTCTGCTATAAAGCTTAAAAAGGAAATCCTCACGACAATCTTGGTGATAGCATGTGATGGTCCCACCTCCTTCTAGCCCTCTACCCCCTCACCAAGAAGAATGAATACTCTGAGAGTTATACTCTTTGCTTTGGCAGAAAGCCCAGCTCACTACAGCATCCTCACAGAGTCCAAGTGTACTAAAGCGTGAAGAGCAAGAACTGTGCTGAGTGGTGGGGTCCAAGAGTTTTCATATTAAGCCTTAAATGTTTAAGAAGAAATTTAAAGGGATGTCAAGCCTTGAGTGGAATCATCACTAAATGTGGACCCACTTCTTGGTGAGTGGCTGTCAAGTAATTTTGATAATGACCTCCTAATACGTTTCTACTTGATCATATGCATGGGTGCATACACACAAAAGAATATTTGCTCCTGCTATGAGTAGGCTTCATGGTCTATCCTATTCTATTCTACTCTTCTGATGTATCCTATCCTATCTTATATTTTAATGCATCTCATTTTTGTTTTTTAAAGCTGGTGTTTAACTATTAAATGTATTGTGTTTTTCCAAGTGATTTGTAATCTGAATTAAAAAAAAAAAAGTGAGTAGGCAAGGGTCAGTAATGCCATTACCTGGAGCATTGCTGTTTAAAGAATTAAAATTGTTCAAAAATTTTCCAATTAAAATTGACAATTGGAAAATAATGTCTATTTTCCTTCACAGAAGAACATGACAAAGGAGCTTAACTGAGAGCACACAGGCCTCTCTGGGTGCATATGTAGGTTTTTTTCCTTCCAAAACCAATTTTTAAGAATCCTTCTTTTCTTTTTTATTGTAGTACCAGGCTTTCCTCTTCCATTATTATTTTTTTCTTTCTATTTGTTTTCTCCCTCTCTGCCTTTTACCAGTAGCTCATCTGGTAACTGGAAGGGCTCCCATGCTCTCTCCTACCCCTGAAGTGGGGTTTGGCTGTGTCTCCACCCAAATTCTCATCTTGAATTGTATCTCCCAGAATTCCCATGTGTTGTGGAAGGACCCAGAGGGAGGTAATTGAATCAAGGTGGTTGGTCTTTCCCATGCTATTCTTGTCATAGTGAGTAAGTCTCATGAGATCGTATGAGTTTATCAGGGGTTTCCGCTCTTGCTTCTTCCTCATTTTCTCTTGTCACTACCATGTAAGAAGTGCTTCTCACCTCCCCCCATGATTCTGAGGCCTCCACAGCCATGTGGAACTGTAAGTCCAATGAAACCTCTTTTTCTTCCCAGTCTCAGGTATGTCTTTATCAGCAGCGTGAAAACAGACTAATACAGTAAATTGGTACCAGGAGTGGGGTGTTGCTGAAAAAATACCCAAAAATGTGGAAGTGACTTTGGAACTGGGTAACAGGCAGAGGTTGGAATAGTTTGGAGGGCTCAGAAGACAGGAAAATGTGGGAAAGTTTGGAACTTCCTAGAGACTTGATGAATGGCTTTGCCCAAAATGCTGATAGCAATATGGACAATAAAGTCCAGGCTGAGGTGATCTCTGATGGAGATGAGGAACTTGTTGGGAACTGGAGCAAAGGTGACTCTTGTTATGTTTTAGCAAAGAGACTGGTGGCTTTTTGCCCCTGCCCTAGAGATTTGTGAAACTTTGAACTTGAAAATGATGATTTAGGATATCTGGTGGAAGAAATTTCTAAGGAGCAAAGCATTCGAGAGGTGACTTGGGTATTGTTAAAGGCATTCTGTTTTATAAGGGAAGCAGAGCAAAAAGTTTGGAAAATTTGCAGCCTGACTATGTGATAGAAAAGAAAAACCCATTTTCTGGGGAGAAATTCAAGCTGGCTGCAGAAATTTGCATAAGTAGCAAGGAGCCTAATGTTAATCCCCAAGATCATAGGGAAAATGTCTCCAGACCATGTCAGAGACCTTCATGGTGGCCCCTCCCATTGCAGGCCTGGAGACCCAGGAGGAAAAAGTGGTTTTGTGGGCTGGGCCCAGGGTCCTCGTATTGTGTGCAGCCTAGGGTCTTGGTGCCCTCTGTCCCAGCTGCTCCAGCAGTGGCTGAAAGGGGCCAATGTACAGCTCGGGCTATGGCTTCAGAGGGTGGAAGACCCAAGCCTTGGCAGCTTCCATGTGGTGTTGAGCCTGCAGGTTCACAGAAGTCAAGAATTGAGGTTTGGGAACCTCTGCCTAGATTTCAGAAGATGTATAGAAATTCCTGGATGCCCAGGCAAAAGTTTGCTGTAGGAGTGGTCCTCTCATGGAGAACCTTTGCTAGGGCAGTGCAGAAGGGAAATGTGGGGTTGAAGCCCCCACATAGAGTCCCTACTGGGCTACTGCCTAGTGGGGCTGTGAGAAGAGGGCCACTGTCCTTCAGACCCCAGAATGGGAAGATCCACTGACAGCTTGTACTTTGCGCCTGGAAAAGCCACACACACTCAACACCAGGCCATGAAAGCAGCTGGGAGGCAGGCTGTATCCTGCAAAGCCACAGGGGCAGAGCTGTCCAAGACCATGGAAACCCACCTCTTGCATCAGCATGACCTGGATGTGAGACCTGGAGGCAAAGGAGATTATTTTGGAGCTTTAAAATTTGACTGCCCTGCTGGATTTCAAACTTGCATGGGCCCTGTAATCCCTTTGTTTTGTCCAATTTCTCCCATTTGGAATGGCTGTATTTACCCAATTCCTGTGCCACCATTGTATCTAGGAAGTAACTAACTTGCTTTTGATTTTACAGGCTCATAGACAGAAGGGACTTGCCTTGTCTCAAGTGAGACTTTGGACTGTGAACTTTTGGGTTAATGCTGAAATGAGTTAAGACTTTGGGGGACTGTTGGGAAGGCGTGATTGGTTTTAAAATGTGAGGACATGAGATTTGGAGGGGCCAGGGACTAAATGATATGGTTTGACTGTGTCCCCATCCAAATCTCAACTCAAATTTTATCTCCCAGAATTCCCACATGTTGTGGGAGGGACCCAGGGAGAGGCAATTGAATCATGGAGGCCAGTCTTTCCTGTGCTATTCTCGTGATAGTGAATAAGTCTCACAAGATCTGATGGATTTATCAGGGGTTTCCGCTTTTGCTTCTTCCTCATTTTCTCTTGCTGCCGCCATGTAAGAAGTGCCTTTCACCTCCTGCCATGATTATGAGGCCTCCCAAGCTATGTGGAACTGTAAGTTCAATTAAACTTTTTTTTCTTTTTCTTCCCAATCTCAGGTATGTCTTTATCAGCCGTGCAAAAACAGACTAATACACCTGGCGTGTCCTGCTGGGGCCACCTCTCTGTCTTCTAGGTCTGACCTGATCCAACTTATCTTTCAGGTCTACATTTCTGTGGAAAACAGTTTCTAATTCTTCTAGGACTCAGTGACGTCTACTTCCATGTTGTCCAAACAGCATCACTTATGGTAGTTTTCATGCCACCTCGTAATTGCTTGTGAGTTGTTTCCCTTAGTGGACTGTGGGACCATGGAGGGCAAGAACTGGGTCTTCTGCTCCACAGTAACCCTGCAATGTGGTGCCAAGCCCAGCACCCACCAGGCCTGTGAAGAAAATTCGTTCAGTCAATGAGTGGATGAATGAATCTATTGACTGGAGGGGGAAAAGGCCACTGGATGAAGGATTTCAAAGGGCAAATTTATTAAAATTAATTCCACTACACTTATCTTCTTTGGTTTAATGTGCAGGCTGGTCTCTAAAATAAGATTGTCATATTTTTCTTATCTCTGCAGAGACAGTCTTTGTAGGTTGATTCAGAACTCACTTGCCCAGAACATTCCACTATTATTGAGTCTGATTTACAGATTACGTGCATTGGTATGCATATCAGGTGCTTGAAGACACTGAGGCCTCCTGGATATGCTTATGAGATGAAAGGAAATGGGAAGAGATTATATGTATTGAGGATTCTAGCTGCAGGCACAGTCAGGAGAACTGCATATGCCAAGGATCTGATTTGCCTTATTTCCCCCCCATGATAGCTCTGGGGGAGTGACGAGAGCAGAAAACTAACAAGAGTTAGAAGGCCTGATCTTTGCTGACACATTTGATACTCACTTGTTCTGTGGTTTTGAGCAGTTTTTTAATCTTTGACTTTCCATGTACAAATGTTTATGAGAAGAGTCATTTAATGTGATGACATCTTTCATGAGAGTCAGCAATGCCTTCTGGATTCATTTTTATTTCTCAATCACCACTATTTGATCATAAAACAGGAGTTATATAAATATAACAAGATAATATTTTAAAGTAAACATTAAATTTAATTACCTGCATGTTCTTAATATTAGCAGATAATTGTGGATTAAGACGTAGATGACATTTGCCTTGAGGTTAGGTCATATTCCTATTTTTAGATTACCTCAGTAAAAGGGGGGTTTCAGCTACTATAGTGTAGCATAAAACATACTCCTTTAACTGTGGATTTGGGTGAATTGGGGTTAGACTACAAGGTAGATGAAAATCTTGCTCTGGACTGAGATTGGGCACCATTGCTGATATCATATGAGCCTCTGCTTTTCGTAATCAAAGTGCTGACATAATTTTTCTGAGTTATTACAGGAAATTGTTGAAAATTCTATATCTCTACCATGTTTTGTGCTTCAACTTTCCTGCTACTATTTTTTTAACAAGCAGAAATACTATGCTAACCAATGGAAACAACTAATATATCGTCCAGAAAGTAATTTAGTTACTAGAATAAACTGTTCTTAGAATTTCTGCTGTTATTATGTAACTATTTAATAATTTTCAATCTAACATGGTTTTATGTTGGAGCTGGTCTAAATATTGTAATATTTAAAAAATTGGTAAGTAATCCACCTTTCATTTATGAGACAATCTAAAAATAGGTTTGTCTTCTTTTAAAATAATTCTGATGAAGTCACAGCCAGAAGCTAAATTTGGTAGTGGTCAAATTCATCATGTGCTGCCTAAAGGATGATACTAATCCAAAAATTAAATATCTGATGTTAAACTGTTATGGAAATATGAAGCACTTACAAAGAGTACCTTAAATAATAAAAAGTCAGAGAATGAAGTTAAAGGCTAAAGAATGAGTTTCAGCTTTCACTGGTGCCTTTGACTTGGGTTTAATAAGGCAGAAATTATTGGCCATTGGGTAAATAATATTGTAGCTACTTTTCTTTATTAAAAATCATGTCCTGTGAACATGAACTAATTACTTTACTAAATCAAGGAAATTTCTAATGTCTTAAATCCTAACATTTCACCATGCTATTCTTTGAGAATTCCATGACTTGGGAATGCATTTCAGGCCAATGAACCCAGAAAAGAACAAGTTCGACCTGTGTTACTAAATGGGTCACTGTAGAGAATTGCATTACAATACAATTGTATAGTATTTCCCAAGTTATGAAAACAGAAACTCTGCATGCCATTTCTATGGTATGAGCTAAATTAGAGGCAGGCCCTAGAGTGAAGCTTACTCAACCTTCAGGGTAAAGAAACAAATTTTCCCAAGAGTTGAATTCTTATAAGTGATTGTTAACCTGATAGGCTTGGATGAATTTTTCTCTATCACTTACAGCCGTGGTTCCCAATATCTTGGGTAGGATTATGTGAGGGCAGTGGGATTTGGTTTGCTAAACTAAGAAGGTGTTACCACTCTACTGTTCTGTGGGCCTTAGCCCAATTACTGTGTCTGGGGATTTCAAAAACAAATTGTTTTCTGACTAATTCATATTCAAATAAACATATGAGTGACAAAGTGGTTTGGCCCTTTCTTGAAGGAACTCAGGTTTCTGCTTATTTGAGCTCTGACTGTCCCTATCCATGTGGCTGCTGAGTGGAGAGTCAAGAGGAAACTTCTCACTCATCTCTCAGGAGGGGCTGTTCCCAAGCACCAAGGCTATTCTTAGGTAACAGGTGACTCGATGTGTTTTTAAAATCATAGAAATTAATAATTCCACTATACTCTCCAGTCAGGTATTTCTCTCGAAAAATAAACACTGAAATATACTCTTATTAAACAATTTTAATTGGCAAAAAAAATGGACATATGAATGGAGCAGAGTGTAACTCAGAAATAGACTGTTAGAAAGTTAAAACAGCTTGTGATGCATGGGTATCACACATCTTTTGGGAAAAGAGAGCTTAAAGAAATAATAGTGGTATATTTGATTAACCACTATTATTATTATTACATGTGTGTATCATCACCTCATATCTAAAGACTACAGAAGGCAAGAAAATAAAACAAAATCAACTACCAGAAGAGGTGAGTAATTAGGCATTGGATCACAGAGTAGGAAAGGAGTTTCTAAACATAAACCACAGAAAAAATGATATATTTTTCACTATGTAAACATATAAATTACATCTATGTTAAAATTATCAACAGAAATTTAAAAGACCATAAACAAATTGCAGAATTTGTTTATGACAAATAAAATCTTCTGAGCTCTCTGTGATTCCTTTGTTTTTTCCTTCATAGTCACCTCCCACAATTGTAGATTCAACTATGTGTGAATAGCCATAAGCACCTCAAACTTAAGTCCCCAAATCTCATTCTCTGCAATATTCCACATCTTAGAAAAATGTTACAAACTCTTGTTCAATTACCAAAGCCATAAGTCCAGATGTTATCTTGTTTTTTTCATTTTCTTCCCTTTCCTTATAAAATCCGTCAGTGTAGCCTGAAGATTCTACCTCCTAAATTTATCTGGAGTACATTTTCTCCATCTCTGATGGCACTCCGTGGTCCACATCACTATTATTTCTGGCCTAGTCTGTTCAAATAACCTGTCTTTTGTTTGTTTTGTTTCCACTCTTGTCCATCTCTGATTTGTTTTCTAGAGCAGCTAGAGTGTTATTTTTTAAAAAGTAAGATAAGAATAAGCCATCTCTTGCTTAAAATATTTCACTAGCTTCCCTTCCCATTTAGGATAAAATTCAAATTCTTTCTGATGGCCTATAGCCTCTACACAGTCCCTGGTTTTCCTCATCCTATGCCACTCTTCTTGCTGTTCTTTATTTCTAGAATGCTCTCTCCCTTCCTCTCCTGCTCATATACTGCAGCTCCATTCTTATATTTTAGATCCTGACTTAGATTTATTTCCTTAGAAATGCCTCGATTGACATTACAATCTAAATAAGTGATTCCCATCCTATTATTCTCTTTCTAGAAACCGATTTTTTTCCTTCATAGCACTTATTATTTATAGCGTGTGTTTAATGTATTAGGATTAATTTGACAGGTTTCAAGCAGCTGAAAAACAGCATTTTTTCATGTAATTAGAAGTTTAGAGTTAGGTAAGGGGTTGCTGGTCTTGCCGTTAGTGGCTCAAGGCTATCAGGGCAGATGTCTCTGTAATACCTTTGTTCTTTCCTTCAGTGTCTCTGTCCCCAATCACAAGGATGCTGCTCTACCTCCTGCAGCCTACATTCCAGGGAAGAGCAGTGAAGAGCATAGGATAAAATGGGCACCTAACAACTGTGTAACTCCTCTCTTGGAAAAGTTTCCTGGAAGCCATAGACAGAAGCTTCTACTTGCATGACTATTTGTCAGAATCTAGACACATGTTCCTCCCCATCTGCAAGGGAGGAGGGAATTCTTTCGTTTGTTTTTAAACTGGGCACAATGGCTTCTCCCGTTTCCCATTAGTTTTCTTTCAACTAAACAAAATTTAGTTTCCTTTAAAAGAAAAAGAGGGAGAATGAATCTTGGGTATTAACATTCTTGGATACAGTGTGTATGTTTGTTTACCAAATTCCTGTTTTTCCTAACTTTTAAAAGAAGAAATCATGTTTTATTTTTTCCAAAAATGTATATACCCATGGCCTACATTTGGGTAAGCATTCAATAAATTGTTCGACAAATAAAACTTACTGAGAATCGTGGCATAGCACTTCCTGAACTTTCCAGTTCTATGTTGAGGTGGTCTAGTTTGCACTTGAAGGCTAAACTTTTGCTCATGCCCTTGGGGATCATTTTGCAGGAATGTTCTTCTGAAATTGTCTTTCTCTTTCTCCTTCACCGTCTATTATTCTTCCACTAGATGATTCCCAAAGCAAACAAGATGACTTATGATCTCCCAACTTAAAAAGATATATCTATATGCTGATTGCTACCTTCCCAACCCAGCCCTGACTTCTTTCCTGAACTGGATAAAACTATCTGTCTGACATTACCATCTAAAGGCTGCTCAAACCATTATCAAAACAACTTTCAATTCCCTCTAGTCATCTGCATTTTGGTAAAAAGCAAGGCAACTAGTTACATAAACCAAAGAAACTTGAAGTGATTCTTTTTTCTACTTCTTTCATTACCTTCCACATCCAATCAGCAAGTTCTGCTAAATACACTTTCAACTTTGCATAAATCCATTACTTTTCTCCATCTCCACTGCTACATCTCTGTTCACAGCATGGTTAGCCTTCTCCTGTCCTATGCTGAGTAAGAGTAGAGGCTGTCATTCCAGGCCACTCTTGCTGGATAACCATGGACCTACACAGGTCCAGTTGGGGACTGTGATGTGAAAGAATAGAGGCAATGGAGAGAAAAAAAAATATGCAGAGATTTCTCACACATTCGCCGAACTTTTTAGAGCTCTCTTTTCTGCTACTCAAGCCAGCACCAGAGGGCTTCTCCTGGATTTCACTCTGTCTGCTTCACAATACTCAATTCAGAGTTCTGGGGTGGGCTAAGTTAAATAAATAAATGTATTTATTCAGGATGGGAATAATAGAGGGGAAAAAAGTTAAGCTCACCATTGTCTTGATTGTATTTAGAATTCTGTTCTTCCCAGATCAATCTGTTGATATTTGCTTTTTAGAGTTTTCAAATATCCATCTACACATTCTGTCCAGGTCTTATAGTTGAGTCTGTGGGAAATAAAAGAAAGACTGTGTTTCCTCCCTCGCCTTTTCCTTGGAGTGTTAATAGATTATACTAACATGCTTTCTAATATTGAACCAGCCTTGCATTACTAACATAAATCCTTCTTGGTTGTGATGTATTATAATTTTTATATATTGCTGGTTTGATTTACTAATATTTTATTCTGGATTTTCCAGCTCATAAATGAGCTGGAAACTGTTATTTCTCATTTTCTGGAAAAGATTGTGTAATATTGGTGTTATCTCTTCTCTGAATATTTGGTAGAATTCTCTAAGAAGACCATCTGGGACTTGAGATTTCTATTTTTGGAGTTTAAAACTACACATTTAATTTTGATAGGTATAGAACTATTCAGGTGATTTGTTTAATATGGGGTGAGTTTTGGTAGTTTGAGATTTTCCACAGCTTTGGTCTAGCTTTTCTAAGTTGTTAAATTTATGTGCTTAAAGTTATTCCTAGTGTTTTTAAAAAAATTCTTTTAATATCTGTGAGGTCTGTGAAGTCTGAAGGTCTCTTCCCTTCCTGATATTGAGAATTTATATGTTCTCTTTCTTTTTAGTGACAGTCTCGTTAGGGGTTAAATCTTATTGATTAATTTAGGAAATTATCTTTTGGATTAATTGATTTTCTGTATTGTTTTTATTGATTACTGCTCTTTTCTTTATGATTTTCTTGTTTCTGTTTGTTTTTGGTTTATTTTGCTCTTGTCCTAGTTTCTTTAAGTGAAAGTATAGATTATTGGTTTGAGACTGTTCTTCATTTTTTTTTATTCTGTAGATCATTCTACCCTTTTTTTCTTGCTTATCTATAACCTTCTGCTCCAATAGTGAGAAAATTTGACTCGCACCATCTTTCATCCATTTATTTCATCACTCCATTCCACTATACATGTATAATGATATCAGAATTATTTACCTATACTCCTGTGAGAAACACCTTTATTACTGGACCACAGTGCTTATGTGCAGTTTCTTTTGCCTTTAGTCTTACAAACTCCACTCATTTCCAAAGTCACTTAGGTTCATGCCTTTTCCCTTTCAGTGAGTTTGTTTCATACATTTGTGATACAATTAGATATTTTTGTTACATTTTGCATGTCTTTCTTCCTATTAAGGTTTTGAAAAGTCAGCTTTATTGAACTACAATTATGCATAATAAATTGCATCAATTTAAAATGTAATTCAATGAGCTCTGACAAATGCAAAAAAAATTGCCACACCCAGGAAACCACTGCCACCATCAATTCATAGAATGTTTCCATCACCCCCAAAACTCCCCAAGGTCCCTTTGCCATCTGTCCTCCCTCCAGCCCTGGCCCCAGTCTACTACTAAGCTCTTTGTTACCATAAATCAGATTATGGTTTTGTTTTAGGGATTTTGAGATTCATCCACAGTTTTGAATGTATCAATAATTTGCTCTTCTAAAAAAAGGACTAGTATTCCATTGTTTGGCTATACCACAATTTATCTTTATTTTATTTAACACCTGTTGAGGAATATTTGGTTTGTTTAAAGTTTTTAGCTATCGTGAATGAATGAAGGTACTGTAACACTTATGTACAAGCACTTTTGTGCAAATAATCTTTCTTTTTCCTTGGGTAAATAACTTGGAGTTACAACTCAATGACATAATGTTAGATGTTTTATTGGTGTCTCACAAGCTCTTAAAGAGAGATGAACAGAAAATTTGAAATTAAATGAAAAAGAAAAATTGATTGAAAAATTTCTGTTGATCTCTCTAAAAGTTTCTTTATTTTTTCCATCATTTTCATTACTACATTTTGATTTTTATTATTGTATTTTTTATTCTAAAATTTCTATTTGCTATTACTATCTATTTTCTATTTTCCCACTTATTATAAAAGTGTCTGAAACCACTTGTTAGAGACTTTTTAAAATAGCTGCTTTAAAATCCTTGTCAGATAATTCTAAAATCTGTCTCATCTTGGTGTTGACATCTGCTGATTGTCTTTTGCCATATGAATTGAGACTTTCCTGGTTTTTGGTTTGACAAGTATTTTGTATTATGTCCTGGACATTTTGAGTATTATATAATGAGACTCTGGTTCCTGTTTAAATCTACTTTTTAAATAGACAGCAATGGTTTTAATGATAATTGGTGAGTTCTGGTTTTAATGGCAATTTAATTGTCAAAATCTTTGTAGTCCTACTCTCATCTGCCCTGTTTTTGCACTACCCAGCAGTCAATCTGAAACTGTATCATAATTTAGTCAACAAAGCTTTTGCTCTATTGATTCTGTTCATTTTCACAGATTAATGGAACAGTGGTGAACTCAGGACTTCATATACAAATTTAAATCATTCTTTTCTCCATCTCTCACTTCTTTATGATTGTCCTCAAACCCTCTACCTGGGAGGGGAAGGGGTGCTACACTTTTGCTAGTGTCTACTTTCTTCAGGGTGGTAGTTGACAGGATCCCACCTCACGACTTGGTGCACACAGTGTGAGTGGAAGGGGAAGGGCTTTGTTATCTGTGTCTGCAGTCACCATCAAAGGATGGAGGCAGGACATTGCCGCTTCTGCTTGTGTTTGCTTAGTGTAGAGTGGGATTGTCATTATGGTTCTACCCTACAGTTTTTACAGCAACCAGGCCAGTGGGGAGGATAGAGGGTGTTGCTTCTCTTGTGGCATCTGCTTGTAGTGGGGTTATTATCATCCAAAGGATTCTTCTTCTTTCCGGACCTCTGGTTAGAGAGATTTTATCCCTGCCTCTATTAGTATTATAGCTGCAGGGTGTGGTTGGCAATAGCACCTAGGCTGGAATGTAAAGGAAAACAACAACAACAACAACAAATGTAATACTAAGTGGCCCCTCAAGTCCTGAGATTCCTGGCCAGTCTTCCTTCTTTTCTTCCCCTTTTAGAGTTTTCTCATAGTTACTCTATGGCTTTTGTCCAGAAGTTTTAGTTGTAATTAGCAGGAAAGAATATGGTGGAGTGTGCTTTTCATATCTTGACCCCAACTGGAAGCTATTGTCATTATTATTATTATTAAATTCTTGTAATTTCAGTTTCTATTTAACTTTTACTCAGGAATTAATGACAGGATTTTTACTGTCCATGTGAAGGAACATGTGAGTTTTTCTGCTGTTGTTGATAGTAAACTCTAGTTTTATTAAATGTGATCAGAGAGTATTGTTTGTAATATTTTTCCTTTATTAAAGTTACTGATATTTTATTTGTGACTTATATGTGATGAATTTCTATGCATGAGCCATGGGCATTTGAGATGAATGTGTTCTCTACTATTAGGGTATAGAGTTCAATAGATTCATATTTAACATAATGATTATGTTGTTTAAATCTTTTACAACCTTACTTTATTTTATTTCCAGTCTGCACATGCACACACACACACACACACACACACACTCACTCACACACTCACACAGAGAGATTCCATAAAATTTTATTCATCTTCGTTGGAACAAAGGGGGCTGATAGTCTGAGATGTTGCCAGAGTGGAAGAAAAACTGAACTTCCAAAAGATGTGCATGCAGTTTGCGTGGTGGGGTGGGGTGGGGTGGGTAGGTCACATGGCACTGGGTGCTTTAGGAATGGGGATAATGTGAACATGTACAAGAAAGTAAGAGACAAAAGGGAAAGGGAGGCATAATTGTTGTGAGGAAACTGCATTTGAAGAGAGACGAAAGGTATTTAGTTGCTGATGTGAGTGAAAGTTCGGGGATGGGAAGAAATATTTTAAAAGAATGTAGGAAGTACTTTCGATGTTGGCATGCTTTGTGAAATCCTTAGGGAGGTCTCTTCAAGGAAGCCTAAGTGAATGAAATGGGATTTGTGTTTTCTTTGAATATGGTTTCCTGCATAGACTGGATCCTGGTGGCTCCCAGTTTTTATTCTCAGGTTTTACTTTTATTTTATATCTTATTTATAATGATTGATAGAATTGTAAATGAAATGACCACAATAAGATAAACTTTTAATAGTTTCCTAATCTTATTAGACTTCCCATTAGCTTATACTTATTTCATGTGTTCTTATATGTTTCACATACACAGAACATATTGTTTTTTTCTTAAAGACAGAATTGATACATGCTATTGCAACCTCTGCCCGTAAATTAAAGGCATCCTTCTAAGGGTTCGCACGGGTTGGAAATTTATTACTCCAAAAATAGTCAGGAAACTACTCTGAGTTGAAAGGGTTTACTTTTGTTTTTGATAAGGTTATATATGGGATTCTCTGTTTCTCATAGACCCTTATGAGAACAGATGGACTGTGATTTTTTTAAGCAGATTTTGTGGGGATATTTATGAATAAGTCAAGATAGTAGCCATATTGTCTTCTGACTTCTAAGGATAAGTTTAAAAGGATGTAGTGGGAGACAAGCCCAGAAATGATCAGGAAGGCTTCATGGTTCAAAAAGGAAAAAAAAAATCATAGGCACCCTAGGATCTATTTCAGCTGCTTCTTTTTTTTTTTAACTTTTATTTTAAGTTCAGGAATACATGTGCAGGTTTGTTATACAGGTAAACTGCATGTCGGCAGGGACGTTGTATAGAGATTATTTCCTCTCTTAGGTAATAAGCGTACACTTGAGGCTGGAGGGCGGGAGAAGGGAGAGGATCAACTGCTTCTTATTTGAGAAAGACACAACACAAACTTTCTGAGTCCTACTTTTCTCATTTGTAAAATGGGAGACTTCAACTTAAATAATGTCTAAAGTTTCCTTTAGCTTACTATCTATCTATCTATTAATAAAGGAAAAAATTGGATATATATTTACTTTCAAGGCCACTGAATTTGCATATTTAATTAAAATTAAAGTGAGGATTTAAGCATCACTCTGCAAATGGAAGAATATAGGTAGAGGTTTTAAAGCTCCCATTTACAAACCCAACAATAATTTTAAAGGATAAGAAAATAGAGGCTTGTAGGAAAATTAGATACATCATTTATATTTAACTTTGCCACTGAAACTGGTCAAGGTAAAGCTTAATAAATTTAAAGGTTTAGAATATTTACTTTTTCATGACAAATAATGACATTCAAAACGTGATGATAAAATAATTTAGGAGGTGAAATGGGACCAATTACTGCATTTCTTTGGGAAGTTGAAATCCTGAGGTAGAAAGTGAACTTTAATTTGCTTCTAAAATTAGATTTGGATTTTGTTTAGAAAACCTCCCTGTGTTTGTTCATGAATCTCATAGAACTAAAAGGTTTAACTAGAAAAGGTAGCACTGATAACAATAGTGATTCTTCAAGAATTTTCCATTTATTATTATGTTGGTTGGGGCCACGACAACGTGATGAAATGATGTAGCACAAATAAGTGGAAACCAACAAGGCCTCCTGCAGTTGGAATTCTGATCAGAGAGATGATAGGAAGTTCCGCTGATTGCATTCATTTAAATGCATAAGGACAATATTATATCATGTTATTTATTGCCAAGTGAAAGCTGCGATTATTCATGTCAAAAGTAAAAGAGAATCAGAAGAAGGAGGAGGAATTATAGCAAAAAGAGAAGAGAGGGTAAATATTTACATGTAAACAAGAGACATAGAGTAACTGAATTCCTTTGTGTCCTGCCCACAGTAAAACGACAAAGAATACATCAAGAAGTAAAAATAGACCTAACATGCAATCACTTAGAATGAATTCACATGATAGAATCTGCAATTAAGCCATGGAACTTGCCACTACAAGATTTTCTTCAAATAGATAGATTAGAAAGGTTAGATTTGGTAAACAGAGTTTATATAAAAATTTCAATGTCTGGAATTTGGACCAACAAAAACCATATCAAGCAAACAAATAAAACACAAATGACATCAGCTTCCAGGGAATAGGTTTATATCTTTTAGGATGTGCAAAGAATATCCCTAATTTGGAACATTAAGTATTCCCAGGTCATTTCCATTTTCTGGGCACTACACTAAATCTAGCACCCCTTACCATGCCCTCGCCATTAGTATTCGGTCACCAAAGAATTCTTATATCTTCAGCCTAACTACAGAGCTCTATGTAACCAGAGTTCACAGCCTTCTCTACTGACACCTCGTGTAATCCTGAATTAATCCCTAGTAGTTTCCTTAAATCCCTCTTCAGCCCTGGGTAAGTGAGGACAAGAGACAGTAAAATGTAGGTTATTACAGTTCATGTTTCCTCATCTATATGCATGAACTGGCAAGGCCAATGGAAATTTGGATTATCATTGTATGGCAAGGGAGAATAATTAATGTAACACGCCAGTCCACATGACTGCTTTCTTCTCATACTTATGTCACTTTGGGATTGGTTAATTGTAAATCAACTGTTGCAAACACAGTAGTGGGAGGGATGTCTGAGTTAATGTGAAGAAGAAAACAATGGTGAGTAGAGCCTTAATTATGGATGACTCTTGGTAATTCCAAGAAGATTATCCAGTATGTGTGTCACGTGGGTCCCTTGCCTTTTACCTATTGACCATTTCACCACTTGAAAGTACTTTATATCCTCAGTAGGTAAGAAATAGAAAGGATATGGGATTCAAAATATTCAGCCTATGAACACTGCAATTAGAATATGGAGAACAGGGAATCCATTTGTAGGCTCATTTTTTTTTTATATTAACAACAACCTTCTCCTTCAGAAAGTTCACCACAACTGCTAAATCAAAATTAAATTTCAGGGATTTTCTGCAACTTTACTTTTCTCTATGATTATTCTACTCATAAACAATCATGGAGGTGAGCAATAACTACTTTATTCGATTTTGGATAAGTTAACAGGACCCCCTTCTTCCTGGGAAAGAGGCAAAATTGCACAAAATTGAGAGGCGAGCAACTGTAAGATGATGGTACCTTCTAATTCCAATAGCTTTTTACAATAGAGAACCCAGTTACTTGGATAAATGTTGGCTGTACTTTTGAAAACACTCAGGCAGAAGGACCAGGCTTGCAGTCATTTCCATGCATAGCAGGTGAAGGTAGGTGCAACATACAGCTCAACCTCATGATGCTACGGCCAGAAACTGAAATGTGTTTTTGCCCCTGTGTGGCATGTTCTGATGGCAAAGGTGTAGGCAACCAACTGGGCCCAACCTACCTTTCCCTACACCTGGTCACTTTTCAAAGTGCAAACCCACTTTAACAAACTCTAGCCTGTATTATAGGAGGAAGGATCTGGGTGGTGCAGACGTGGCTTTCCATTGCCAGATCAGAAGGGTGGAGGAGAGGCTGGCAGGATGACAAGAATGAATGAACACACCAAGTTTCAGCTCCTATCTGAAGCTGCTCAGTTCAGGTAAGCATTTAGAGAAGCCAGTTGCAATAACTAACAGGGCAAATGTTTCTCTGGAAAATTCCAAGCCAGAGAAAATTGAGAAAAAGAGGGAAGGATGGAAAGCAGTACAAAGAGAAGCCAGCTCAAAAGGTTAGAGGTCCAGATGAAAATCTGAGATTGGAGAATGATAAAAAACATTGTGTGAGATTCTATTTTAGGTCATTATGCTAGGGAAATTTACACAGGATAGGGTTGAAAGAAATTAGGCTATAAGATGAGTGGCAAGTTGCAATAAAATGGCACCCTAAACTCACCAAGTCACTGTTGTCACTGCTATCTTGCCTTAGTTGATTTGATGTCTAGTTAGTCTATTTGTGTGTTTCTCACAGAAGAGTATGTTTTGACCCAGGCTGACAGATACTGTTGATTCTGAAATTTGTTTTTATGGTTATGTTAAAACCATTGTCATTATAAGAAACAGAGATGGGAATATTGCCTCCTGAAATCTGATTCACATACAAACTGAATGAACTACATAACAACCACCTTAGTCAGATACTATTTTGAAACCTGGTTCAAAACCTAAATGCTTATAAGATTCTTGAGAGACAGTGCTGTGCTCTGAGTCATAGGGAAGCCATCCCAGAAGCCAGGTCTACTCATCAATAAGCAGCTGCCTGTGCAGAGTGCAGGCTGCACCTTTGGACAGCCTTTAAAACTGAATTCTCAGAATTTTAGAACAAATTTTTGTCTAGAAATGCTGACTTTGGTTCATTAGGTAGTGGTAAAACAGGCTCCCTTCGAAGCTCTCCTTCATCACCTTCCTAAGTGCATGGGGGAAAATACCTAGGGCTCAACAGTCTTGAGAAGTGTGGAAACATTTTCTTTGTGAGTGAGAACAGATCACCTAGAGAAAGGAGACCAGATTCCCATCACTGCTTCTGGGTATCAGATGCTAGCGTGAGTACACTGTTGATTTGCTTATCCAATTATTGATTTACATTATTGCTCTTATCTTCTGTTGTAGGCAAGAGGTAAGTTCACTAACGAATCTCAAGGAAGATGTAAATGGCCAATGATCATGCTCAGAGGCCTGAAATCTCTCCAGGTCGCCTCCTTGGAGGGATGCTTTTCTGGTGGGGCAGCTTTTATCACCATACACAAATGTGCTTGGGTTTGGATTCTGCTGGAGAGAACACTGTGACCCGTGGTCTCTTCCTTGGGCCATGTCAGTCAGTCTTGGACTTATTTTGCATCCTATTCTTTACCTCACTGATGCCTGTGTATCCTTGGCTTGGTGTCCCAGCCCATTGTCCATCAAAACCTGCTATCAGGAATAGATCAATTATCAGTTATACACAATGCGCCATGACCCTATCCCAGAGGCATTAGGTCATTTGGCTTCATGTTTTTTTTGTTGTTGCTGTTGAGTTTTAAAATAATGAAATATAATGTAGCTACATAAAGATGAATTCAATAGATGCATACAATTTAATAATAGAACATCACCAGAACCTCTAAAACCTCCCTCCCCATTCTTTCACCAACAAAACCTCCCCACCCACTAGGGGTAACTAAAGCAGTTATATCCGTGGCTTAGTCTATCCACCCATGTAAGCATCCATTAAAAAACAGTTTTGTCTGGTTTGATCTTTTCATGAAGGGCATCTTACTGTGTGTATTCTTTCGTGCCTGATTTATTTGCCTTCTAAACCTTACTTCTATCAGTGGCGTGGGAGCTGATGGCTACTGCTGTGGTGATTTCAGACAGTCTTGAGAAGATGAGGGTAGAGTTTTGTGGTCAGAAACCTTCTTGTGTGCCTTAAGATAGTGCGAATTGAAAGACCATGTCCTGGTATGAAGCATAGTTTTTGGGTATACTAGATAAACCAAGGTCTGTGAGAAGCTCTGGTAGACAAAGGGAAGAAGTGGGTCCCAATGGACGTCTAACAAGGACTGGGGGGTTTAAATCATTAAGACTATGATAATTTTATCCACAGTTGATCTATAAAGTGTACTATGATATACTTTTCACAATGTAAGCTTTCTCTGGAGTTAATAATTATCAAATTTGCTCATTTTTTGGATATTTATTTGGTTTCTAAGTTCCTATCACTAATGTATTTCTTTTCTGATGGGGGTAGATATCCCTCTCCATGTGTTCAATATATTCTAACGCATCTCTCTCTCTGATAGCATATTCACCTTAGAGAGCTTCAAACAGTCAGCATACTCAATTTTAGCATTAATCATACAACGAAAATAAAGGCAGTATGGGCAAACACTTGTGGGAAATAATGTGTAAGATAAAGTCAGAAACACTATGTGAGGTACAACCCTACTTCTCTTGAGAGGGACAGCTCACCTGCCTCCCTTAAATACAATGTTCCCCAAATACAGCATAAATACCATGTTAGTGATTATACACATACATAGCAACACACACATATATATATGTGTGTGTGTACTAATGAAAATGTAATTGGTGTGAATTTTTATTTTATGGATGAGAAAAGGCCCACTCTATTCTATAGCACTTTGCTTTCTTCACCTCTCTGGGACTGCAGTGCTACTCCTCTATGACAGTTGAATTTATAGATGTCAGAATATGAATTATTCCAGGTGGGGCTCGGTCATATTCATCAAATACCAAAATCAGAGCAGGGAGGAATCAAATAAACAATAACAAAAATCAGTAACTACATTTCCACATGTAAGAAGTGCCAGTTGTGCCTTAATGTAAGGATATCTAAATTTACTACATAAAAATACTATGTGATACTAAATATCAAATGAAATAACATTTCATGCTAAAATTTGATTCATTAAAAATATCTATTTGACTACTTTGAATTAGAGCTATAGCTAATATTCTACAGACTTCTTTTAAATTGCTCTATAAAGCATCTGAATATATTTATTTTAATGACATTATTTAAAACTATCATGGCCATCATAAAAAAAAAAGTAGGGAGTGTCTGAGTCAGAGGCTTTATATTTCAGAGTAATGCAAAGAACTCTTTCAGACTCACCCAACCAGCGGCCAACTTCCTCTATGAAGACAGTAAGGTAAATACTTCTGAAGTCCATAATTTAAAGTCTGGCCAGATCCTTTGAAAAAAGACACACACACACACACACACACACACACACACACACACACACACACAGACACAGAGAGAGAGAGAGAAATAAATCTTGGTTACTTTGTGTCTGAGACATTAAACTCATCACACAACATCCAGATCGGATAATGGTCCTCTTGTCTGCTTCTCCACCTTACAGCTTGTCTATGACTGATTTAAGTGGTGTCATGGGAGAATGGCATGGGAATCGGATGCCAGCTGAAAAATTTGTGTTCCATCTTTGAAGAGATAAGTAGGGATTATGTGCAAATCTAGATTCTATATTTCCTGTGTTCTTATTTAAGGCATTATAGGTTGGAATATACTAGATTTTGAGATTAGAATTGAACTCTTTTAAGTGCATAATATACTAATTTGATTAGAGGTTGATCAAAATTTGAAACTATGTTTTTAAAAGAAATACAAAGATTTTAAAATATTTCTTCCAAGAGTATCTGTATAGCATCGTATTTGACTTATTGATAAGAATAAAAATTAATCACATTCAAGGGATTATTCATTTCTTTCCTATATGTATATCCTAATTCAGTAAATATAAAAGCTTTTTTAAAAAATAATGTGTCATGAACTATAATTAATTTTCTATATACAGGCAAAAGTATCCTAAGACTAGATAATACTTTTATCAAGCATTTAAGGCACATAATTTATCAGTTAGGTGTAATAAGTTTAGGTCCATAAAATAGTATCATAACTTTATGTTTTATTGAATGTGTTTTGTGCCTGAATTTTCTTATGCTTTATTTAAAAACTACTTTTTGCTTTTTATTAAACTTTAAAAAGAAGGTTTAGTGAGAAAATATCTATTTTTATTGTTGTTTTGATGCTAATAATATATTAGCTAAAGGATGAAAGGGATAAAAAAGTTCTCAGATTGAAATAGACCATAAGGAATCAAATAGGCTTCAGGCTGCCATGGACTTTTAGACCCTCAAGTCTGAAGTTTGGGATGTAAAAACATCCATGAGTACGTGCTAATTTGTGTTAACTTTAAAATTATAAATTAATTGCATGCTTGTTTGTTAAGCTAAAATATTTATGCAAGAAACATAAGAATATAGTATATTTTTAGCAAAATGAAAAATCAGACTTTAAAACCAAGTTCTTTTATGATTTGAAAAGAACTTTCCTGCATTGCCATGTCCAGACAATGAAATACTGGGTGGTGTCACACTGACATCTTCTTTAGGTAGCTTTAATGTGGTTGTTTTCCTTTTCAATTTCCTTAGTTATTTAACTGGGACTCAAGTCAATTGGTAGCTGTTGGTGGCTGTTGGTGGCTTGCCTGAACTTAGTTTATTTTTGTTAATGTTTTATCTATTTAAGTTGCTTTGAAAGTATTTATAGGGAAAGGAAAAATCACAGTTTTGGTCTCATGCTAATTTTTATTTATGTGTCACCTGATGAAAACTTGGAGGTATAAAACAATCAGTTCAGTCTTAAATATAATTGTTTATTTGCCAATAAGAATCAGACTTTATATCAGAAGAGGAGAAACAAATCTTACTTTTATTCCTGGAACTTAAACAGTGCACCTGCATAGAGAAAGATAATAAAAATAATTATGTGAAATGGAACATACTTTTTGGTATTTATTTTAAGCATACATGAACATGTCTGTACAAGAATGTTAAAGTATATGCTAGTTAGTATCACCTATCATTTTAAGAGTTATGACTTGAGAATTCATAATTATCTAGGAATGTCTTGGCTCATGTTTCTCTGTCGTGATTTTTTTTTTCTAGTATGGTTTCTCTGCCATAAAACTTACCTAAGCTAAACATTTATGTACTCTGTATCCTGAATGAATACATTCTTGTGTAGCTTCTCTTTTGTTCAATAAGATTATAATTTCATCAATAATTTACCATGGAAATAGGAAGCCTGAAATTTTAGAAAATGAAAATTTGTGATTGGTGCTTAGAAAGTAATTAAAGAATACTATTCAAAAGTATAATTTTTTTTTGCCCCAAAGGATAAAATAGTAAGGCATAATTTGTAAAACAACAAGAAGAATTGGAACTTGAACAAAGAAAAATGTATCTTAAAGTATATTTTTGCACTTTGGGAAATGATAGCTTCCAGACCCCCATTGGCCCGTGCAAGCAGGTTTCTAAACAGGGTCATTTAAAAACCTTTCAGGTCTTATTTTAAAAACTCTAACTCACATTTTATGAAAACATTAAAATACACCCAATCTTCTATTAAATATATTTTTCACTGTAAATACTTTGAAAGGATTAATATGACTTTGCTTTTGAAGTTACTTTCCCAAGAACAATTCATTTCATTTACTACTGTCTGATTTTCGGCAACCA
The DNA here is from genome assembly GCF_000001405.40 of Homo sapiens. Taxonomy (NCBI): domain Eukaryota; kingdom Metazoa; phylum Chordata; class Mammalia; order Primates; family Hominidae; genus Homo; species Homo sapiens. The sequence goes on from NC_000018.10 coordinate 63,780,221, forward strand.
GCATGAAGCCTTGGAAATTCTTTAGGATGGAGAGAATCTAGCACACAATTTCCTTCTAAAATTAATGAAATTCTTATGAATACTAAATAGAAAAATCAGCATAGATTTCATTTTCATATATTTAATTGTAAACTTGTTAATTTTGATCTTATTTTTTCATATTTTAGAAGGAATACTTATCTTTAGGTCAAAAATATGAATTGAATCCCTTAAACATTTGAGGGCCTTTAGCACTGCTAGTATCACTCACTGTATAAAGCTGCCCTTTTCCTGCCAACTCGCATCCTGTATACCTAGTCCTAACTTTCATTGTTTCTCGTCTCCTTTGTTGCAAAGAGTTTCTCCTGTAGCTTTAATCACAATTGCCACAACTTTTTACCCGGGATTGCTTGGATTAGATATAAAATCAACATACATTTTTTTCTGGGTAACTTTTGAAAGAACATAGGTGTTCTTTCTTAGAGTAAAGATATGTGGGGTGTGAATGATTTTCTCACCTTATGTGCCTAGGGTGTAACTGAGGAGTATGACTTATAACGAATTCTATATAGCTGAATTTGACCCTGAAAAACAGCATCATGTAGGGTGTCATGCCTCAGTGGTGTTCTCTGTGCTTGGAATTCCAAAGAGCAGAGTATGGGTCCCTCAGGGACATTCTTTCTGGAAATGTTTGCTGTCTTTTAGGACAGAACAGGCTATTACCACTTCACAGAGAATAGTAAATGCAGCAGCTTCAACTCATTGAACGTCTACTCTGGATCATGCATTGTACTAGAAAAGTTTTTTTTTAATTTTTTAACTCAAACTCCCATTTGACATAATAAAAGTTAAAAAACTTATTTTAATTTCATTTACAATTTTAAAAGGCCTTAAGTATTTGCAACTGTGACAAAGCCAACACAATGGCAATTTTAGAATGTTCTTCTTTCAGACTGCATGGCTCTCCCTCCTTGTGACCCCCTTCCTCACCCACAACATGCCAGTCCCCAGATGCCTATGTGTGCTCTTCTTATGGAGCAAAAGGTACAAGGAAGCATGATTTTCTGTTGAGAATCGCTATGCTAGATCCTGTACATAGATCATCTCACTGAACAAGATGAAACTTAGAAGTTCAGAGAAATTAAAGACTTGACCCAGTTCACACAACTATTAGCAACAGGGTTGAGACTTGGATGAAGTCCCCTAAGGGTTTGTGACTCCTGGCATCTGCAACACCTGGCACCTGCCACACCATCAGATGTAATATCATTGGACATTCATGAGGAATAATTTGGAGAATTCATGTAAGTTCATGTAGTCTGAGACAACCCCAACTGCTATTTTGAGATCAATTTGAGTTGAGGAGAAATTCTGCAAAAAAAATTACCCAAGTGGATCCCTGAAGAATTCCATGGTGGTAGCAACCGTCTGTATTGCAGAAACAACATCATGAATTTGAAGATAATCTCCACTTTGTTACTGCACCCTGGGTTCTCTAGGAAGAAATAGGCCTATGTGTTGAAAAGTCTTGTACATGTTCTTGATACATACTCTGATAATCACACTTTGCATTCCAAAAAAATCAGAAAATGGTTTTAAACAAATTAATGCACTTATGGGACCAATGATGCATAATACTTAAAATTAGGACAGTTTTGAAAAAAAATAGAATGTATGATTGTTCTAAGAATTTACAGAGGCCTTAATGGAAAGAATGGGTTAAAAATGATGTGTTAAACCTCAAAAATTTAACATTGTATTGAATTACAGATGGTTTAGAAAGCAAAGGCTGTAGTGCCTCAAATAGACTGTCTAATATTGTAATATTTACTTTTGCTCTATTTCAGTTCAGAAATCTGGGGTGATTTGAGAAATAGTGAGCCCCATGAATGTGTCTGCTTGGGGGTTGGAAACAGGCCACTCACAGGCCACTGAGGACAGAAATGTCCACCAACGAGAAGAGATAGTTTTAGGGTATTAGTGACAAGGATACTGGGCCAAGGGAACTTTTCCCTTTTTGTTAGAGTTATTTGATGATTACCTCCAAGGCTGAAAAAAAATGAAGCTTTAAATTATAAAAAATAAATAAATCTAAAAATATAATATTCCTAGAAAATGTACCGGGAACTAATTTCATTTTCTCATTGTCCTCTAGGCTGCACTCCATTTTGCAATGGCCTCCCTTGCTGCAGCAAATGCAGAGTTTTGCTTCAACCTGTTCAGAGAGATGGATGACAATCAAGGAAATGGAAATGTGTTCTTTTCCTCTCTGAGCCTCTTCGCTGCCCTGGCCCTGGTCCGCTTGGGCGCTCAAGATGACTCCCTCTCTCAGATTGATAAGGTCAGTCTCAGCTTTTGCAGTTAATCACTGGGACAAATTGTTTTTCCCACGAGAACATTTCGTTGCAATGGTCCCCATGTTAATGGAGGTCATCATGAGGCACAAGGTGTCACATCTTCACACATCTCCACGAGGCCCTCTTTGGGTGTGAAGAAAGCACACAGCTTGCAGTACTTGTTTTTGAGCCAAGAGGCAGCAGAAATATTCCAAGTACTGCAGCTTTGATGTTTTCCCTCAGTGCAGTGGTTCTCAAAGTGTGTTTCCCAGACCAGGATCATCAGCACCGCCTGGAGAACTTGTTAGAAATGCAAATGCTGGCCGGGCGCGGTGGCTCATGCCTGTAATCCCAGCACTTTGGGAGGCCGAGGCGGGCGGATCACGAGGTCAGGAGATCGAGACCATCCTGGCTAACACGGTGAAACCCCGTCTCTACTAAAAATACAAAAAATTAGCCGGGCATGGTGGCGGGCGCCTGTAGTCCCAGCTACTCGGGAGGCTGAGGCAGGAGAATGGCATGAACCCGGGAGGTGGAGTTTGCAGTGAGCCGAGATAGCGCTACTGCAGTCCAGCCTGGGCGACAGAGCGAGACTCCGTCTCAGAAAACAAACGATCAAACAAAACAAAAAGAAAATAAAGAAAGAAAGAAAGAGAGAGAGAGAGAGAGAGAGAGAGAGAGAGAGAGAGAGAGAGAGAGAAAGAAAGAAAGAAAGAAAGAAAGAAAGAAAGAAAGAAAGAAAGAAAGAAAGAAAGAAAGAAATGCAAATGCTTGGGCTCTACCCCAGAAGTACTGAATCAGAAACTATGGGTGTTGGACCCAGCACTCTGGGTTTTAATGAGCTCTCCAGGTGCACATGAAGGGTTGAAAACCACTGCCTGAGTAGATACAGTTGAGATAGGAGAGTTAGAAGGAGATTCCAATGACATCCCAGTTTAAGCACTGGTTACCGGGGCACAAAAACATCATAGTACATTCCAGATAATAGCAGCCTACCTGAATAGTCCTCACATTGTCATCATCACCACCTTCACCGCCACCTTCAGGGAGTGCTTATTAACACACCCGTGCACACAGCTCTGGGAGCACTTTATAGGGAAGTGGAATGGTCGTTTCCCTCCCTTCTCAGAAAATTGCCACTGAAACTCAGTAGCTCAACAGCAGGTGAGATGCCAGGTCCAGGCTGCATGCAGAGGCCTTGATGTCGTCCCTTTCTGCCCCCACCTCCCTGTGCCCACCTCTTGCCCCACTATTCCTCCCATTATTTTAGTTCTGAAGGGCTTGCCAGAGGAATCTGGTGCCTGTTGTAACCTGTCATACCTCAGGTCATATGGAAAACCATTTATGGGATAATTTAAGCTAGAATAATTCCTTCCTTTATCTGAATAGCTCAGTAAATATTAATTGCTAGAGAACAACTACAGAGTCTTAGACTGCTGTTTTTTTCAAGCGCTAGAGCGGTTTACAACCTAGTACATAGGATACAACACTTTAATGAGATGATAGTAACAACTATCTGCTGAGAACTTAATCAGTGTTCAGGATCTGGGATAAGCCCTAAGAATATGATCTTATTTGATATTCACATTGACACACTGAAGTGGGAATATTACCCTGATTTTATGGAGGGGTGACCATACTGTGTGCTGGTAGATGGCGGACCTGAGATTCAAACTCAGGATGATCTTCTACAACTGGTTTTCTCAACTTTGGCACTATTGACATTTTTGGCTGGATAAATCTTTGTTGTGAGGGGCTGTCCTATGCATCATTTAGCAGCATTCCTGGCCTCTCATCAACAACTACCCGCAGCATACCCCTCCCCCATCATGACAACCAAAAACATTTCCAGATATTTCCAAAGAATGCCCTCAAAAGCAAAATCAGTCTCCAGTTGAGAACTGCTCTGAAGCCACCAAACTGAAATATAGCTCAAAGTACATCACTGTGAAGCTTCAGTATTTTAAAGTGGGTATTTTGATAAATAAATATAAAGCCCTTGAAAAACATTCAACAAATAAAAATTTATTCATTCATAAAAATGCATAATGTTTCAGAACCAAGTGAGATGATTTGGTATCATGGAAACATAGCCTTGGTCTGGGAGTTAGAAGATTGGGTCGAAGATCTGACCTTGGGAAAATCATGTCATCTCTGTGGGCACTAGTGTCCTCACCTGTGCACGGAGGATGCTGATTTGATGATAAAACAAATAAAGAAAAAAACCTTACAGTTGTCACTGTTCAATGTGTTAGACAATGATGTGCAGGCACCATGCCTATGACTAAAGCTTGATTTTAATGCAACAGAAGACACACGGCTCTTACCTACTGTGTGCTTTCATGTCAGGAGCAATCTTTCAGCTCCTGTCTGGTACACCTTCTGAAGTCTCCTTGCCCTGCACCTCATGCCTGGTGGGCCAGGGTCAACAGCTCATGAGTCATGGTGAACTGAGAGAGCTGCTGTTCTGCTGGAGTTTGCTCTGTACTCTTTACTGCCTCATCAATTACTCTCATGTGTGACTTTTTATAACTCTTACTATTATGATCTTGCATGAAGAAACATGTAAGAGGAGAAAAGGCAACTACAGACACAAAAACATTCATCTAATTTATCTGCACACATTTTTAATCCTCTGTAAATGTCTTCTAGGAAATTAATTTTCAGCTTCTCCCCTGCTTCAGTTGGTTTCTCATTACTACACTCGACCCTTGTCACCATAAATCACACATTTCTATTTTAAATGAATCCCGGCTCAATTTATGGCTTCCATCTGTGTGTCTCTTTTAAGCATTCCCATGGATCTGTGTTTCTTTTTCTTTTTGATGCTCAAAGTGTCATAGCTTCGCCAGTAGATATCTCTTTAACCCAATCTTTTTAAACAATCCTTCCCAATAACTTTAAAATATTTTTGCTTTCTGACAAGACGTTCTGGGCTTGTCTTGAGTTATCTTAGCTCCAAAAGGAGCTCAGCTATTCCTCATGAAACTCTGGCTCATTTACTCTATTAAATATATAGTATAGAGTAAATATATATGTTTACTTGATTAAAGTCAAGAATCAGTGTGCTTGAGGTTCAATGCAGTTGAAGTGCCATGAAGGCTGCTCACCATTTGAGTGAAAGAGCTGGAAAAGCGTATTTACTGACAAAGTCATGGGTTCAGACTCATGGTTTCTTTTTGTTGTTGTGTTTTGTTTTTTTTGTGTGTGTTTTTATTTTCATTTAGATCTAATAATGCTGTTCTTTCTTATAGTGTTTGAATATAAAAGTATTAAAAAGTGATTTTCCTATTTCGTAAGCTACTTACTCCTCTCTTCTCTCACAAGACATTTCCATTGAAATGCTTTATATATATATATAATATACGTATATATACACATATATAATATACGTATATATACACATATATAATATACTTATATATACACATATATAATATACGTATATATACACATATATAATATACGTATATATACACATATATAATATACGTATATATACACATATATATAATATATGTATATATAATATACTTATATATACATATATACATATAATATAAGTATATATATGTATATATGTATATATATACGTATATACATATATACACACACACACACACACACACACCAGCATGGCACATGGCACACACACACCAGCATGGCACATACGTGTATATATATATATATATATATATACACACACACACATCCACACATTTCCTTTGAAATGCATTATTTTATATATTATATATAGTTTGGATTACACGTTTGGATTATATATGTATGAGAGCCATATGTTTGGACTTCCTTCTCTCAACGTTTCCATTGAAATACATTATGAAATATATACGTATACACACACGCATATATATATTTTTCTAAAGTTATGTTTGGATTACAATATTATTTAAAAGTTGTACAAATTTGTATTTTCTAAAATGCAACTGAGTTTTACAAAAAGCATTTAAAAATAATCACTATAATATATTACGTATTCTACCACTCTCTAAGACGAAATAATAGTTTCATAATTTGGCATGAATATGCAGGTAGAAGCCCAAGGATGATTCATAGTATCTTTTTTTTTAAAAAAAATCCTTAATCCAAATGTCCTGAAATTTCTTAGACTGTATAGACTCATGATTTTCCTCATTGCCATCATCTGAATTCATAAACCATTTATCAGAAAGAAAAATTCTGATTTCCCTACATAAGCACATGAGGGAACATGAAAGTATAGCACACTTTGTATTTCAGATAGAAACACCAAAGAATTAGATAAGAAAAGTAAGAAGAGGAAGAATTGTGATAAACAAGCCCTTTGAAGTTTTATCTAATATTTATCACACATAAATATTTACTGTAGGTTGAATATCCCTTATCTAAAATGCCTGGGACCAAGTGTTTTGGATTTTGGATTTTTTCCCATTTGGGATTTTTTTAGATTTCAGCAAGTTTGTTTATACATGAGATGGGATAAGACCCAGGTATAAACATGAAATTCATTTATGTTTCATATACAACCTATACATATAGCATGAAGGTAATTTTATACTACATTTTAAATCTTTTTATTAATGAAACAAAGTTTTGACCGTGACACATCACATGAGGTCACATATGGAATTTTCTACTTGCGTCATGTTGATGCTCAAAAATTTCAGAATTTGGAGCATTTTGGATTTTGGATTAGGATGCTCCACCTGTAGCATCATTATGTGTCTTTAGTCATGGTAGTTTTACTGTTGAATCTACAATTTCTTGGATTTTTGTAAAGATAAAAACAGATATGTATCATTTCAATATTTGACACTTCTGTTTACTAAGATTCAATTAGGAATATCAGAAAATCAACCAAATTCATATCAAAAGAGAGTAATATTAGTAATGATCAAAGAACGATGTTAAATATTTAAACTTATTAAAACTTTATTCAAAAAGTTAAGGAGAATGACTTCTGGATAGTTATATAATTTTAAAATTATTGCCTGGGTGCCACAAGCATTATCTCAGAAAAGATGTTAGTATGTTTGAATCACTTTAACATGGTATTTTATATTTTTGTTCCATGCACATATTCCTAAATAATTCTTTCCAATGGTAGCTTTAGGACTATTAAAAACAAAACAAAACAAAACAAAAACCAAAAAAGAATTGCAGGGAGTTGTTAAAAAGTTACAGTCTGTCTTAAGAAAAATTTTGGCTAATGAGAAGGGGAGATTCCTTTCTCTGCAAGGCTTCACATGAATTACTACATTCTTTTTACGAGGTACAGTCACAGTCCACATAATGACATTTTGGTCTATGATGGACCACATATATGAGGGCAGTACCGTCAAATTATAATGAAACTGAGGTATTACTATTGTCTAGTGATGTTGCAGCCATCATAATATCATAGCGAAATGCATTACTCATGTGTTTGTAGTGATGCTGGCATAAGCCAACCTACTGGACTGCCAGTTGTAGAAAAGCCCAACACATACAATGATGTACAGTACGTAATGCTTGATAATGGTGACTATTACTGATTTATGCATTTACAACAGTATACTTTTAGTAGTTATTTTAAAGTGTACTCCTTCTACTTACGAAAAATAAAAGTTCGCTGTGGAACAGCCTCAGACAGACCCTTCAGGAGTGATTCCAGAAGGAGGCATTGTTATCATAGGATATGATGGTGCCATGCGTGGTAATGCTCCGAAGACCTTTCAGTGGGACAAGACGTGAAGGAAAAAGACAGTGATATTGACAATCCTGACTCTGTGTAGGCCTAGGCTAAAGTGTTTATGTCTTACTTATTCACAAAAAAGTTTAAAAAGTTAAAAAATTAAATAAATACAGCTCATAGGATAAGAATATAAAGAAAAAATATAATTGTACTGTTGTATGATGTCTTTGTGTTTTAAGACTAGTGTTGTTACAAAAGAATCAAAATGTTTTTAAAAAATAAGAAGTTTATAAAGTAAAAAAGTTAAAGTAAGCCAAAGTTAACTTATTACTGAAAACAAAAATATTCTTTATAAATGTAGTGTAGCCTAAGTGTACAGTGCTTGTGAAGTCTACAGCGGTGTACAGTAACATCCTAGGCCTTCACACTCATTAGTCACTCGCTGACTCACCCAGTGCCACTTCCTGTCTTGCAAGTGCCATTCATGGGAAGTGCCTATACTGTTTTACCAGTTTTCATCTTTCATACAGTTTTTTACTATACCTTTTCTATTCTTAGATGTATTTAATACACAGATATTTACCATTGTGTTACAACTACCTACAGTCTTCAGTACAGTAACATGCTATACAGGTTTGTATTTGGGAGCAATAGGCTATACCATGTAGCCAAGTTGTATAGTAGGCCATACCATCTAGGTTTGCATGAGTACACACTGTAACATTCACACAATGACAAAATCACCTAACCATACATTTCTCAGAAAGAATCCGTGTAGTTAAGTGATGCATGATTGTAATAAGTAGAAGGTTTAAAACTTTGAAGAGCAGACATCAGTCAAATTATATTTTATAACTTATATTTATATAAATGTACATAGCCATTTATATTTTTCTCAAGACATTATGTCATAATCAAATATGACTTCCAATATGTTCTCAGCCTTTACTGGTTAAACTTTCCTCCTTGAACTGTTTCAAAGATTAGCGAGCTGGTCCCATCAACTCCTGACCCCTCATTTTAGGAAAGAAGGATACAAAGGGACCACCTAAGTTCAAGCTGGCCACTGCTCATCTCTCTCTCCATCTTATACTGAGATGATGGACAGTAATGACTTTCATTTGAAACTTTTCATTTTGGGAGCCCTGAGAGACAAACTTCATCTATTTTCTGACATAGGATGAAACAATTATAATGATGTAGTCCAAAGTATAAAGATACATGCTTTTATTTCCTTTCTTATAGTAGTCCAAATAAATAATTCCATGGAGTGGAAGGTCCCTGTTGAACCTCCCTTTCCTAGTAACAAGTGACCAACTCCACTGTTCGCCACTGCTCACCAATGAAGTCGCAGCTGCAATAAAATTGACTAAAAAACTGAGGGAGGATTAAGGATACAGAGTACCCAGTATATTCTCTCTCTGAATTCTTTCTCTCAATTGGGAAGAGATAACTGCCATATTTTTAAAGGTATTGAAAATCCACATTGGCCAAGAGCTTATTCTATTTTCAAGTAGAGATGTTGCAAAGATGCAAGATTCTCAAAATATAGTGAAAGGTTGAAAATTAAAAGACTTATGCTTTCATCATCTTTTCTTTATCATAACATGCATAAATGTTCTTATAGACTGATATGACAGGTCCTTCAGTACCATATGCTCACAGTGACAGTTTATCTAAAGACTAAGAAAGCTCTTCTATAAATCAAATGCTGATGTTCCCAGGCTGTTGAACCAGAATTGTTCAAGGGTCTCTGTCACTCAGTCACTGCAGGTTCTAGTTCAAAATTTTGGATTTTGAATTTTTCCATAGGTGAAAACATGCCATGCATAGTCACTATTGAAATAAAAATCACTTGCAAATAATTAGGTGATAAAAACTACAACTTAATAACAGCAATGACTTCTTGAGCTTTATTGTAAGTATGGACGTTTCTAAACTGAAAAATATTAAGCTTTCCAGTTTTATTATATTATGAATTTAACAAATTTTTCTTTAAACTAAGCCCACTTAATATAAAAATCCCCAAATTAAACACATTTTAAATTTTATAAACCTCCGTAAAATAATTTTGAATTAAAGGAGCAGAGGGGGCAAGTGCTGAAAAGTTCTCTTCTTTTGTCAGAAGCCACCATGGTGAGGTTGATGACAACAATGATGGTGGGATTAGTTAAAAACAGTCAGCTTTGGGGAGGAAGCATTTAATCACTGTTATTCTGTATATACACTGCTATGAGAAAAATCCTCTATCAGACTAATATGGTCAAAATTATGCCTGATACACAAAATATAGTTTTTAAATTTGGTTGGTACAAATGATTTCCTTAACTCAATTTGTATAGTGCCTCCTTTGTGTGAGACAATGTGTAGTTATAAACAATAAGAAAGAAATATAAGGGATAATATCGAATATTAGAGATAGTACAAATTCTAATTATGAGTTTGTATTCTCGATAAGCTGAAAGTTAGGGGAAGCTCCACATGTTGAAAACACTGTAAAACATGGGGTAGGGAGGGAAGGGGAGAAAGAAAGAGTTTTAAGTGTTCATATGGATTTGACCCAGCCATCCCATTACTGGATATATACCCAAAGGATTATAAATCATTCTACTATAAAGACGCATGCACACGTATGTTTATTGCAGCACTATTCACAATAGCAAAGACTTGGAACCAACCCAAATGCCCAGCAATGATAGACTGGATAAAGAAAATGTGGCACATATGCACTATGGAATACTATACAGCCATAAAAAGGATGAGTTCATGTCCTTTGCAGGGACATGGATGAAGCTGGAAACCATCATTCTCAGCAAACTAACACAGGAACAGAAAACCAAGCACTGCATATTCTCACTCTTAAGTGGGAGTTGAACAATGAGAACATATGGACACAGGGAGGGGTACATCATAAACCAGGGCCTGTCAGTGGGTTGGGGAGGCTAGGGAAGGGATAGCATTAGGAGAAATACCTAATGTAGATGATGGGTTGATGGGTGCAGCAAACCACCATGGCATGTGTATACCTATGTAAAAAACCTGCACATTCTACATATGTATCCCAGAACTTAAAGAATAATAAAAATAAATAAATATTTTTTAAAAATGGTGATGACATAGAGTTTTAGAGCCTATTTAAGTAAAACAGTGCTTTTTTGCATAAAATGACATTTCAAGAAATTTAGGAATAATCATTGGTGGGAAATGTTGATAGGTTCCATGATTCCAAAATTACAAAAAATAACAGGAAAATCTGGTAGGTAAAACTTAACAAATATTAAATTAACACATGAATTGATGACCTAATTTGTATTGGCCCAAATGTTAAAATTATAGCTGCCCAGTCACTTCAGAAAGAGGCTTATTCATTCCATAAATCACAAAATAGTCCACAGGTATTTTTATTTTTATTTTTTTTTGAGATGGCGTCTCACTCTGTTGCCCAGGCTGGAGTGCAGTGGTGCTATCTCGGCTCACTGCAAGCTCTACCTCCTGGGTTCACGCCATTCTCCTGCCTCAGCCTCCCGAGTAGCTGGGACTATAGGCGCCCACCACCACAACCAGCTAATTTTTTGTATTTTTAGTAGAGACGGGTTTTCACCGTGTTAGCCAGGATGGTCTCGATCTCCTGACCTCGTGATCTGCCCGCCTTGGCCTCCCAAAGTGCTGAGATTACAGGCCTGAGCCACCGCACCCGGCCAGTCCACAGGTATTCTGAGTTACATCATTGTATAGTGAAGAAGGTGGTCACATTTCACTGACTATATTGAAAACTGTAGAGTTCCGCTGCTGAAATATGCTTTTCATTCAGTGTCAGACTGGGAGAGCTGTGCACTGAGGCATTAATATCCGTGTGTGGACTGACTACCAGACAAGCATGATTTAATTGGAAGCGATATCACCATAGCATTTATGTAAATTGGCACAAATTCCAAAATCCTAGTAAACCTAAGAGAAAATCAAGTTGTGGTAAAGAAAGAAAATGCAATAAAAATTAAAACCAAGTATGCCTGTTGATGTGCATTCAGAGTCATGGGGAGAATCTGCTCTAAGATACTAATGAACTTGGAATGGCAATTAGACACATTTATTGGGAAAGAATATTTTTATTTTTAAAACCTCTTGCAAACTGTTCTCGTAACCTCTGATTCTAATGATTGCTTTCCTTGTGCCCTGTTTACAGTTGCTTCATGTTAACACTGCCTCAGGATATGGAAACTCTTCTAATAGTCAGGTAAAGACAATATGTTCTTTTAGAAAAAGAGAAGGTGAGCCAGGTGCAGGGGCTCAAGCCTGTAATACCAGAACTTTGGAAGGCTGAGGCGGGTGGATGACTGGAGCCCAGGAGTTCAAGACCAGCCTGGGCAACATGGCAAAACCCCATCTCTGCAAAATATACAAAAATTAGTTTATAATCCCAGCTACTTGGGGGGCTATGGTGGGAGGTTAGCTTAAACCCAAGAGATGGAAGTTGGAGAATGTGGAACTATCCTTTCAAAGCAAAGAAACATGCTTTATTCAGATTTCCAGATTGTGAATTTTTCAAGTAAAATTTTTGATAATTTACTTGTTATTTATTACTTTAGTAATATTTTATTTGCATATTGGCCATATTTGGGCAAGAAAGGATGAAGTTAAATGTTTTGCCTTTTTCTTTGTATATTCATAGACAACTTACATTGGTAAAATTAATTAATATATATGTTATGCAAAATCATTACCTTCTGTTAACAATTTTAAGTCCAAGTATTTAGTAAATTATTTCATTTGATCACAGACACTATTTTGAGAAAGGGTAAGACATAGATGTATGTGGCCTTGTTTGCCATTTTTATAGTATTTAAAAAAATTCTTTTATGGTATAATTTGCATGTTTTGTTTTATGTGTAAGTGAGATTATGCATATCTTTGCAGTCCAAAAATAAATTTTTATACATCTTTTTAATAACAGTCAGGGCTCCAGTCTCAACTGAAAAGAGTTTTTTCTGATATAAATGCATCCCACAAGGATTATGATCTCAGCATTGTGAATGGGCTTTTTGCTGAAAAAGTGTATGGCTTTCATAAGGTAAGTGAAACTGCCTTTGTTAGAAGGACCTGAATCTTGTTAAATCCATTATCTGAACAAAGGCTTGTGTCTTTCTACTGAGCAATACAAAGATGGTTTTGTTTCTCATTGCTACTTATTATGTTCTCAGATGTCTTGAATATATCATCACCATTTCCAAAGTTCAACTTTTTACCCAATTAATCCACATATTCAGGTTCATTAGACTGATAGGCTTCAAAACAGAAGAGAACGTGTCTATTGGTAGGGATGCTGAGCTGTAAATGGAATGGAGGAGCAGTCAGCCCATTTAGGGGTGTCCATGGCAGGAAACACATTCTGGGTTCAAGCAATAATCCCACCTCAGCTTCCTGAGTCGCTGTGACCACAGGTGCATGCCACTATGCCCAGCTAATTTTTTTGTTGTTGAGAAAGGGTCTCTCTATGTTGCCCAGATTGGTCTTGAACCCCTGGGCTCAAGTGATCTTCTTTCTTCAGCCTCCCAAATTGCTGCAACTACAGGCATGAGCCATCTTGCCTGGCCAAATTTTATTTTTTATGTCACTTAAGTTTTATGTATTTTTTTTAAGGACATAGACAAGTCTTAGAAGGAGATCAACATGACATACTAGTTGGACTTTTTAAAAAAGTATAAATGCTTAGTGGCTTCTAGCTCTTCTAGAGCTTCTCTCTCTCTCTCTCTTTTAGACAGAGTCTAGCTCTGTTGCCCGGGATGGAGTGCACTGGCGCAATCTCGGCTCACTGCAACCTCTGCGTCTCGGGTTCAAGCGATTCTCCTGCCTCAGCTTCCCAAGTAGCTGGGATTACAGGCACGTGCCACCACATCCTGCTAATTTTTTTTTTTTTTTTTTTTTTTGTATTTTTAGTAGAGACGGGGATTTGCTATGTTGGCCTGGCTGGTCTCAAACTCTTGACCTCAGGTGATCTGCCCACATCAGCCGCCCAAAGTGCTGGGATTACAGGCATGAGCCACTACATCTGGCCTGAGTTTCTTGGAAGTGGTAGAGAATAGCAACATCTATATAACTATCCTGTCCCTCCCCACTGCTATCTTTATTCCTTGCTGACATCTTGCATGTATCAATCTCTTGCATGTTTCAACCTTCCTAGGCCATGGACTACTTAAAACTACTCTTTGTGCGGTGGCTCACGCCTGTAATCCCAGCACTTTGGGAGGCCGAGGCGGGCGGATCACAAGGTCAGGAGGTCAAGACCATCCTGGCTAACACGGTGAAACCCTGTCTCTACTAAAAATACAAAAAATTAGCCGGGCGCGGTGGCAGGCGCCTGTAGTCCCAGCTACTCGGGAGGCTGAGGCAGGAGAATGGCATGAACCCAGGAGGCGGAGCTTGCAGTGAGCCAAGATAGCGCCACTGCACTCCGGCCTGGGCGAAAGAGCGAGACTCTGTCTCAAAAAACAAAAAACAAATAAACAAAAAAACAAAAAAAAAATACTCTTTGTGTCAAAGTGGATGGATGAATGGATGTGTGGATGGAAGAATGAATTAATCAGTAGATGAAAAGAGCTGTATCCAAGGAAATCACACACAAAGCTTGCATTAGAGAGCTAGTCTTATCCTGCAGATAGACAAAGGACAACTAGTGAATCTTCATTATTAGGATGAAAATCCTATAAACTTTAACAGGAAATCCACTAACAATACATGGTTTGTAATACATCTTTCTCTTCTAATTCTGAACATCTTTCCACAAAAATATATTTGTGTATATTCATTGAATTACTAATGTGTTGATAAATTAGATCATTATGACTTTTTTTGTATTAAGAACAGCAAGTATTTCTTAGGCAACTATTATGTCCAAGGCAATGTGTTAGGTACTGGGAATAAAATAATAAGCAAGGCATATATAGTCTTGACTTCACAGAATTTGCTGTTTTGTGAAGGACTCAGACAATCTCAAAGGTAAAAAGGATGCATTATGATAACAGCTGTTAAGAAAAGAAATCAAGATAAACAGACTGTTAGGAAATGTAGGTGGGACCAGGCGTGGTAGCTCATGCCTGTAATCCCAGCACTTTGGGAGGCTGAGGCGGGAGGATCACCTGAGGTCAGGAGTTTGAGACCAGCCTGACCAACATGGTGAAACCCCATCTCTACTAAAAATACAAAAATTAGCCCAGCGTGGTGGCAGGCACCTGTAATCCCAGCTACTTGGGAAGCTGAGGCAGGAGAATCACTTGAACCCAGGAGGCAGATGTTGCAGTGAGCTGACATCACGCCATTGCACTCCAGCCTGCAAGGGGACAAGAGTGAGACATCGTCTCAAAAAAAGAATTAAAAAAAAAAAAAAAAGAAAAGAAAAGAAAGTGTGGGTGGAACCTAGAGAAGATATCTGTCCAGGAGAGACAGCCATACTTGGAACTAGAAAATGGGTAAGACATAATCATGAGCTATATGGGCCATTTCAGGCAGAAGGAATGTTGTTCAAACACCTCTAGTGAGAGAGGAAACATGGCATTTTTGAGCAACTGTCAGGAATGTAGTATCGTGGGACAGCAGAGTAAGGAGAAAGTGGCTATGACGTAAGCAGGGTGGGGATCAGCAGAGTCTTGTCGGCAAGTTTCAAGAGCTTGGGCTTTGTCTTGAGTGCAATAATGTAGCCTTGAAAAATTTGCAGCAGGAAGGGATGACACAGGCAAGGGAGACTGGTTAGGAGGCTATTGAGTTATTTAATATGAGAACGCAGTGGTAAAAGGGTGGGCTTTATCCATTCTCTATTAGCCTCCTCAAATCCATTTCAGATAAACTTAAGTTTAAACAGAGTATTTGCTGAACAAATTCAACTTCAGATACACCAGATCCCCTTCCAGTCCCATTTCCATATATCCCTATATTTACATACTCATTTTTGAGGCAGAGTTGAACCTTTGAATAAAGCAGTCGAAATTAAAAGTTCAAAAATACATTTCTTATATACTTAGTTGGTGATGATTTGTAAATACGAGAACTATATTCTTCTTTATAGGACTACATTGAGTGTGCCGAAAAATTATACGATGCCAAAGTGGAGCGAGTTGACTTTACGAATCATTTAGAAGACACTAGACGTAATATTAATAAGTGGGTTGAAAATGAAACACATGGTGAGTATTGAAATACCCTATTTTTCTACAAGATTTGTCAGTTATATGTGAATACTGGGAACAAAAGCTGGGAGTCTTTTGTACATACAAGGAACAGCTCCTCCTAGTTCAAAGTAATGATTGCTGCTACTTAAAATTGCTTTAGTATTTGTCTGCAATGTGGTTTGGAATAATCTTAATAATTTGAATGCTTTGTACTTTTCAGAAGTTCAGTCTTTTACATTATCTCATTTAATTGGCAAAACCCTGCAGGACAAACATATTATTGTGACCACTTCATATATGAATAACAAGCTGAGTTAATTTGATAAATTAACCTCAATATCTCACCCTCGTTAGTGAACAAAAACTAAGAGTTATTATTTTCTTATTACTTTCAATGACCACATTATTATTTTCAATGACCACAGCATAACATTTCATTTAATAATCAACCTATTTTTTAAAGATAGGGCTGATTTTCATACTTTATAATTGCTTTATGGACTGAATCTTATTAAAGCTATAACATTCTACTGTCAAAGAAATGTATTTTCATGATATTGCTTTTTCCAAGGATGTATAGTATATCTCTCATTTAAAAATGTTCTTTATTTACCAAAATAATTTATGTAACAAAGGTAGTACCTTCCAGAAAAAGTACAGCTCTTTATTGGTAAGTCTCTGTCACAACTAAAAACGTAATTCCAGCTAATGTTCTGGTTTAGTGCAAAGCAAATAAAGAAATTTATTAATCCTTGCTTTGTTCATCAACCAATTCCAAAGCTAGTAGTTGTTTCATTACCTAAGGGTTGGCCTTGATTTGTACTCTAAATATTGTACCTGTATTTACTAAGCCTAGCTGTGCCTCAGAAATATGATATAATATATCTTGCACTTTTAAATGCAAACTTTCAGCAGCATACACTTAGTCCTGGGACTAAGAATGCAGTGTATAAATTTTCTTTTTATTCATTCATTCCTCATTATATTCATAGTGGGTTACTTTGATGTTTAGCCATCACCTGTTTCATATATAGCACTTATAAATCAAGACAAACTATGTAATTATTACTCTTCTAAAATCTAGGTGGGATTCTATTTAATATTTAACATAAGGGTGTCAGATTGCTAACAACTTTTTCTATTTAGACTAGTTATTTATTTCTCTTCCTTTCTCATGTAAATCTATGCATAATTACTCTAATTTTTCATAAGCATATCTACTCAATATTTATTTGAGGAAGCACTTTAAAATGTTGCCAATATTCTAAACAACCCTACCCAGGTCTTGAAGCCCACATCCTCTACACAATATCAGAGCCATCCTTTTGAAAGGCAAATCAGATCCATCATGACCATGACCTTTCTTGTCTTTCAATGAATCCTGAGCAATTATTTCCCATCATCTTCAAAATAATCCACAATTCTTACCAGACATTCAAGCCTCTTCATTATCAGGCCCTTGCTTCCAATCTTGCCAACCTTATTCTCCCCGACAAATACACCTTGCTCTTTCAGGTTTCTGTGCCTTTGAATAAATAGTCTCTGCTTTATGGAAGCTCTTCCTGCTCCCCACTGTTCTTCAGCTAAAGCAGATAGCCACAGAAAAAGTTGGGTGACTTTAATCTGTGCTCCCACAGTGCACTGAGGTCAGACCTCTATGTTACTGGTGGGTTACAACTGCTCTTTGGATGTTGACTCTTCTGTGCTGGACTGGGAGCTCAATGATGGCACAGGCTATGTCTTTCATATTTGTAATTCAAATATGCAGAATAGTGCATAGCATCCAGCAAAAATTTCATTTATGTGGAATGAAGGAGGGCATTACCTTTCAATGGATTGAAGTACTGTAGTAGCAAAAGGTGGCCTAGTCAATGCAGTAAAGGCACTTTGGTACCTATGAGCAGGGACCCTGGGGTTGTCTCCCTGGGTTGGAATCCTATTGCTATCACTTTCTTGTTGTGTGTCTTAATCTCTTTGTGCCTTAGCTTCCTCAACAGGAAATGGAAACAATAATAGTGCCTACCTCACAGGGATTATGTAAGGATTAAACCAAAGATTGCCTTTAAAGGGCCTAGAAAGTGCTGGACACATTAATTGCTCATAGGTTATTCTTAATATTCTTATTGGTGTTATTATGTGTTAAGAAAAAAACTTCATACCAATTAATGGTCTTTTTAAATCATTTTTAAAATTATATTAAAATAAACATTTTTCCCTCAATTTTTTTTTCAAAAGGCAAAATCAAGAACGTGATTGGTGAAGGTGGCATAAGCTCATCTGCTGTAATGGTGCTGGTGAATGCTGTGTACTTCAAAGGCAAGTGGCAATCAGCCTTCACCAAGAGCGAAACCATAAATTGCCATTTCAAATCTCCCAAGGTATGTCGTCAATCTCCTATTTAATTTAGAACTTTTCCACAATCGTATTCCTTTGCAGGACTGTGATAGTTACATAGTAAACTCTAGGTTCACCGTTTTAAACCCATTTCTTCTTTTGCATTACCAATATCATATGGTCAGTTGCTTTATAAAGCAAACTTTCTATTTTCCCTGTCATGCAGGCTATGAAACACCACCAAACGTGTCTTGTAAATTGGTATTCTTTAAAATACATTCAAAATTGAAAGAAGTGGTATGAATGTATCTTAAGATATTATAATTGGAGACCTATAAGAAAATATATGACAAAAGTGTATTTTTCATTTTTCATTTTTTTAACCATGAGGTCTATACTTAAAATCATTTACCATCAATGATTTTCCTGAGTCACAGCAGGGAATGTGTTCTCTTTTGCAAGGGGAAAAGTTATATTTAGTAAAGTTATGCATTTCCAAGTACAAGCCATATGTATTTCTTCATTTAGTTCTGTTTTTGATCTAAAACATCTTATTGCCAACCTTTATAAAACATATATTCTTGGGTTTTAAAATCAATTTGTACACAGTAATCTTAGTACAGCAGAAACAACAAAGCTCTTGCAGTCAGGAATGTTGTATTGGGGCCCCTGCCTTGCTTCACAGAAGCTGCATTCCTGTTTCATGTGTTATTCTTTTTCTCCTAATTTCTTTTTATTTTAAAAAGCATTACTATATCATAATATTGTTTTAAACACTCTTCCTGCTAGTCCACACACCCTATGTAATGTAGCTATAGCAGACAGCTTGTAATGTAATATGCTGTTGAATCTAGATCTCTGATATCAATGTTAGTTCTATCATATTAAAAATTGGTGACATAATCTCTCCAGCATAACCCAGATGTGTGATTCTTTCCCTGCCCCAGTGAGACATCCTGTCTATCACATCCCAGTCCCCATGTGTATCAGGCTCAATTCTGGGGACCTGTCTCACTAAGCAGGTAGATTTCATGTGTGTTCTTTCTGAGGATTGGACTTTAAGTCAAAAAAGGCAACCTTTCCAGAGAAGGACCTTTGGTTCAAGGACAGAGAATTATCTGTCCTCCCCATGTAGGATGTTTTTTCCTAAAAGGGGATATTACAGAAATGTTGACAAGTTTGCAGATCGTAATATTACTAGGAGAAAATTTATTGCACCTCAGTGTTGTCTCTAAATCTATAAATGATATTCTCAAGATAAGAGCTACTTATTTTTTGCCCTAGTGAATTTGAGGGACATTATCAAATACCTTGCAGGAATCTCTATTTTTCTGAGACCTCATGCTTAAATAGCGTATTTTTTTTTTTTTTGAGACAGGGTCTTAAGCTTGCTCAGGCTGGAGTGTAGTGGTGAACTCACTGCTCACTCTAGCCTTGACCTCTTGGGCTCAGGTGGTCCTCCCACCTCAGCCTCCCAAGTAGCTGGGAGTACAGGCATGTTCCACCACACCCAGCTGTTTTTTATTTTATTTTATTTTTAGTAGAGATGCAGTCTCGCCATGTTGCTCAGCCTGGTCTTGAGCTCTTGGGCTCAAGTAGTCCTCTTGCCTGGACCTCCCAAAGTGCTGGGATTACAGGCATGAGCCACAGCGCCTGGTCTTAAATCATGTAATTTTGTTAGTACTAGTCTGTGTTTTACTTCTGAGAAGAAAAAAAAACCTATAGCATTCATTTTTCATTTTAATGTTATTTAGTAAATTTTCATTACTTATTATAGAGACTTTTCAGTTAAAATACTAAGTACAAGGCAATGTTCCAAGTGCTAGCTATATTAATTCACATAATCCTCACAACAATCCTGTACAGCAGGGATTATAGTCATTCCCATTCTATAGATGAGGAAATGGAGGAACAGAGAGGAACAGTAACTCACCCAAGGTCACATAGTTAGGAAATTTTAAACTCAAGGAATCAAATTTGAAGTCTTGGCTTTACCACTAAGATTTGCACCAATGCAACCACTATTGGTAACATGTCAGGAAAAAATCTGCAGGGTCAACTGAGCAAAAATTTATTGACCAAGTACAATATTCTTATATGTATTTGGTTAATAAAGTAAAATGAGGTGGGATCATAAATAATTTTTTGTGACTTGACTTTCAGTGCTCTGGGAAGGCAGTCGCCATGATGCATCAGGAACGGAAGTTCAATTTGTCTGTTATTGAGGACCCATCAATGAAGATTCTTGAGCTCAGATACAATGGTGGCATAAACATGTACGTTCTGCTGCCTGAGAATGACCTCTCTGAAGTAAGTTACGACTGTCATTTTCACTATTGGGAAATAAGACTTTTAGGATACTGTTGATTGAGTTTTCACTGATAAACTGTAAGATTTCAGGGTATTGAGATACTAGAGACTTACCTGCTTATTAATTTATTTGACAAATATTTAAGGGGTACCTAGTATGAGCCAGACATCATTATAGTTGCTGAGATTGACTTAACTCAGTTTAGCATAATTTCAGTTGAGTAGTGATCAAATTGGAACTCTCTCAAATGTCAGCTATGGAATTAAAAAGACATGAGTTTAGGCCTTTTTGGTGTTTGGCCATGAATACAGTCTTCTACGTGTCATTGAAATTTTGCTAGACTGAGCATCTTTAGGCAGGTATGATATGATAGAGTCCTGAGCCTTTTAGAATTAAAATGTATGGTCTCACTGTAATTGGACAAGAGGGTCTCCCTGCCTGCTGCACAGACAAAATCAATTCACTGAGGGCACAGCATTGTAGTAAAGAGAGTTTAATTGATGCAAGGCCGACCATGCCACATGGGAGATGAAGTCACTACTACTCAAATCAATCTCCCTGAAGGTTTGGAGGTTAGGAGTTTTCAAGGATAGTTTGGTGGGCAGCGGTCTAGGGAATGAGCACTGTTGATTGGGTGGGGATGCAGTCACAAGCGTGTGTAAAACTGTCCTCATGCACTGAGTCCACCTCTGGACTCTGTGGGGGCCAGAGGACCGGTTTAGTCATGAGTCATGAGTCCAAGTGGAGTTAGTGTCAGAAATGTAAAAGTCTGAAAAGACATCTCAAAAGGCCAGTCTTAGGTTCTACAATAGTGATAGTATCTACAAGAGTCATTGAGGGGGTTACAAATTTTATGGCCTCCATAACAATGATTGGTTAATGTTTACTATCTCTACATCGTGGCGGAATTCAGGCCTCTCTCATAATCATAATCATGTGGTCTTTCATTAGTTTTACAAAGGTGGTTTAGTTTTGGGAAGGGCTACTATGATCCTTGCTTTACATTCAAACTATAAACTAAATTTCTTCCAAAGTTATCTTAGCCTATGCCAAATAATGACCAACAACATCTTGGAGGTTAGCAGCAAGATCAAGTCAACTATGTCAGATTTCCTACTGTTATAATTTTGCAAAGGCAGTTTCATCACTCCATGCTGCTGTGTCTCAAGTGAAAAGCACAGTTTAGGGACTGCCCTGTGACTGATGTGGCAGGAGAAATGGACCAACACAGTGCAATGGGGAGACGGTGGGGGCCGTGCAAGCCAGACACCACCACTGAATCTCAGAGCCTGATCTTTTTTCAGCCCTTTTTCTGCTTTTCCTCCTCCTGAACTTGGCTCTTTGAGTTTGATCTGCAATCTCAGAGGCCTGGACTCATCTCCCTTCTCTATTCTCTCATTAAAAAGGAATAATAGGTGCCATTTATTGAGCACCTACTACATCCCAGGCCATGTGCTCTGAGCTTCATTTATATTACCTTGTTTGATGTTTATAGCAAGCATGTGAGATAGGGAAGGGAGGCTGACAGAATTTGGTCAATTTTTCTGATAGATACATATGTATAGATATGCATATTTGTGTGTATGTATGTGCACACACATATATGTATGTCAGCTATACTGAAAAGTTACATACACTTAAAAGTATTTGTTTTGTTTTGACTTGGAAAATAATGAATATTTGCTGTGGAATAACAGGACAGGGGAATGAATATAAAGAAACAGACATGCCTACCATCCAAGGGGCATTAGTATGATTTAAAAACATGACTTTAAAGCTTTGGAATGACACTTTCTGCATAGACAAAGATTACGGAATTTTAGCAACAACTTTCTTTCATTACGTTTTCATCTTAATTATTTTGACATGAGAAGCAAGAGAAATGTCATAAAATTGGTACTATTAAATCTAAAGTATGACCATATAAAATATTGGTCCTCATATTAAACCTATAATTCACGTGATAATCTTCATAACAGTCAGATTTTAGCATACAGCAATTAGTTTAACTTGAAATAATCTGCAACAGAAAAAGTAGCCCAGATAAAGCAAGCTAACAATATAGTTTTATTCTTGCACTTACTGTCTGAATTTTCCTTTTCAGTAATAGATTTACCTAATAATGTTTGAATCTGACTATTATAAACCTACATACTATACAATCTTAAATACCTGCATAATCTTTCATAACCAGATAACGATGAGGAAGTTGGATCTCAGTGCACTAAATGAAAAAAAAAATTCCAACAGGGTAAAAATATATTACAGATTAACCACAAAACTGGATAACTAAAACAAAAAATTCAAATTAGACTAAATTTGATTGTATAAATTTAGGTCCTTGATAAGAATACAAGTTAAATTTAATATCAGTAAAAAGTTGTTTAGGATTGAAGTTGAGCCTGAATTTAGGAAGAAATGTCCTTATGTAAGATTTCTAAACAATGTTTATGAAAAATCTTCTTATTCTAAATTGAGAATTTATGATCAATTCTCAGTATTCAAGAGCTGGTGAATTGGCTTTGTGAATTGTTTGTGGGCAGCGATGCTGTTGGAGAGAGAGATAAGGACTCTTCTAGCTGTGTAACTAAGGTTGCTTGCTTTGCATTCAGGCATATCCAGCTACATCCTCCTGCACTTCAGTTGCCTCATCTGTTGAGAACAAGAAATTGATTTGAATTCAAGCTTCCCAGACAGTATGGGTAACTGCACTGGGAGATATTGGTCACCCAAACCTTTGAGGCTGGAGCTCTGGCCTCCTTGCCTCAGGCCACGTGGGGTTCCTTTGGTTTACTCCAGTAAGCTGTGCAAACATTATTTTATCTGTCTTTCATGATGAGGAGATGGCTAGGAAATATTGATTTAAATGACCACTGGGCTCCTTTCTCCCTCTAATGGTCTCAAATTCCCAGGTTCCTTCACCTGTCTATTGCTCCACGTTGGCTGTATCTGCTCATGGGTGAGCAGAGAGTGGAATTGCCCTAAGGTGCAAATAAGTCATGCCTTCTCATAGTAGAGCAAATTAAACATGGGATTTGTTTAAAAGTACTTGAGCTATTCATTTTATTCATGTTCTGTTTCAAGACTGCCCAAGACACATTCATGTACTTGAACACAAATATCCAGGAAGCGATAATTATAGAAAACTATGTATCTCTGTAGCTATTGTTTTATCTATCACTTGACCATATGATTCTAAATTATCTCTGAATTATTTTTACAGATTGAAAACAAACTGACCTTTCAGAATCTAATGGAATGGACCAATCCAAGGCGAATGACCTCTAAGTATGTTGAGGTATTTTTTCCTCAGTTCAAGATAGAGAAGAATTATGAAATGAAACAATATTTGAGAGCCCTAGGGCTGAAAGATATCTTTGATGAATCCAAAGCAGATCTCTCTGGGATTGCTTCGGGGGGTCGTCTGTATATATCAAGGATGATGCACAAATCTTACATAGAGGTCACTGAGGAGGGCACCGAGGCTACTGCTGCCACAGGAAGTAATATTGTAGAAAAGCAACTCCCTCAGTCCACGCTGTTTAGAGCTGACCACCCATTCCTATTTGTTATCAGGAAGGATGACATCATCTTATTCAGTGGCAAAGTTTCTTGCCCTTGAAAATCCAATTGGTTTCTGTTATAGCAGTCCCCACAACATCAAAGAACCACCACAAGTCAATAGATTTGAGTTTAATTGGAAAAATGTGGTGTTTCCTTTGAGTTTATTTCTTCCTAACATTGGTCAGCAGATGACACTGGTGACTTGACCCTTCCTAGACACCTGGTTGATTGTCCTGATCCCTGCTCTTAGCATTCTACCACCATGTGTCTCACCCATTTCTAATTTCATTGTCTTTCTTCCCACGCTCATTTCTATCATTCTCCCCCATGACCCGTCTGGAAATTATGGAGAGTGCTCAACTGGTAAGGAGAACGTAGAAGTAGCCCTAGGGATCCTTTTTGAAACTCTACAGTTATCGCAGATATTCTAGCTTCATTGTAAGCAATCTAGGAAATAAGCCCTGCTGCTTTCTAGAAATAAGTGTGAAGGATAAATTTTCTTTGTTGACCTATGAAGATTTTAGAGTTTACCTTCATATGTTTGATTTTAAATCAGTGTATAATCTAGATGGTAAAAAATGTGAAATTGGGATTAGGGACCAACCAAAATATTTCATTAATGCTTTCAATTGACAAATTTTGGTCTTTCTTTGATAAGACAATATGTACATAGTTTTTTCAAATATTAAAGATCTTTTAACTGTTGGCAGTTGTTATCTACAGAATCATATCTCATATGCTGTGTAGTTTATAAGTTTTTTCTCTATTTATCAGAATAAAGAAATACAACATACCTGTACAGTGTGATTGTTTTCCTCTGACCAATTGTAGGACAACTAGGGCTTTCTTTGTTTTCTAGGCAAAGCAAGCAAGCAAGCAAGCAAGCAAGAATTCTTTTATAATATGTTTGATTTGATTCAATGTGGCTCGTTTATTACACATAAAATTGCTTATACAGATATATAGACTGATGAACTAATTTTAAGCAGTAGTATTTAAATTCATGAGGGAAATGATTTGTGTATATGAATATTTATAATAAGCCATCTGTAATTTTATAAACAGAAGAAAAATAAATTGAGAATCAGTAGATCATGCTGAACTTACTTATGAGTTTGTAAACAATGAGTCCATTGAATTATATTTTCATCAAAAAACACTTTTACCTGAATAGGAACTGTATAAATCAATGATAGCCTACTGCATGTCTCTGCAGTGCTTAATACCAGACCTGGCAGATACCTAATTTTCAACAAATATTGTGGAATCTAAAAATATGATATAAATGAGTAAATATGACATGACTTGAAATATGTAGAAAATCTCTTGACCAAAATAATTTAACCACTAACCTGTGGCACCCGAACTATTACAGCTTTCAGGACATTTATGGAGAGTGAATTTCAGTGGCATGTTTTGAGAGAGGAATTGATTTTTCTGATCACCATTCCAATCTATGACCGTTCAAAGCATGACCTCAGGAAATAGGCGATGGGAACATGCATTCGGCTGGTGGCCATATTGTGTTGGGGGTTAGGTATCGACATACGGACTTGGGGAGATCACAAACATTCACACGTAGCACTATAGACAAACTAAATACAAAATTTCTCTGCAATTTTGGTTGGTTCGTCCTGCCCATATGTCCATCTCATGTTTAAGGGTCCCAACTTATTCAGAGAATGGCTATATTGTGTAGTCATGATCTAGGCTTTAGTTTAGTGGAACTTTCATAAGCTTGAAACAGCTTCTGAAACTGTGGTGCCTGTGGAATCATCGATCTTTTCTGTTGAATGTTGTCAAACATCAGGATCAACAGCAGCAAAGGTAACATCTGTTCAGCTCCTCTCTTACCATTGAAGTTCATGCTTCCTGGGACAGGATTCGTGTCTGATTTGTTTTTGTATCCTCACAATCCCAGAGCAATACTTGACATATGGTAGGCACTCAGTATATCTTTAGAATAAATATAGTCATTCGTTTCAAGAACATGATTTGAGTTGGAAAGAAGAACATAGGGACCACTTTAGTATAAGGACATGTCACTGACCTTGTAATGGATTCTTTTTTATACAAAGATGACTTTTCGTCTTTCAGGTTCATAATTCTTTAATCTGTTTATTAACCACAGTTATTTGCAGGGTTCTTCTCCTCTTTTTCAAAATTCTTTCTATATATAATTCCATCCAGTCACATGGCTTCAATAATTGCTGGTGACAACTATCTATATGCTTAACTTCATCTTGATTCACAATTGCCTCCTGATAAATCCACCTGAATGTCCTAGGGTGAAACTAAACACATCTAAGAGGAAACACATACCCCTTTCCTTGAGTTTGTTATCCAGTCTTCGGTGCTCATTGTGGTCCTTTGACTAAAACTCAAACACGAAACATCAAGATGATCCTTGTATCTTCCTCCTTTTTCACAATGGAACTGTTTATTGGTGTTACCATGAAAATGACTCTTGAATATATCCTGTTTTCTTCTTTTTCATTAACACTGACCTTGTTTAGGCTGCATTTCTTCTCTGGATTCGTCTCGTATCTGTTCTACCTGTCTCTTGTGACTCTTACTTTTCTCTCACTTTTAAAGTTGTGAAGATATTCTATGTTTTCATCTATAAATGCCAGTTTTCTACCTAAAACACAGATCAGATCAAGTTCATATTCTTATAAAACACTGACAGCTCTTCACCCTCTCAGGATAGAGTCTAAACTTTCTAATACGACATTCAAAGCCTTCCCACAAGGTTACTCTACCTTCCTTTTCCTATTTGTTTTGCCACTCTCTGCCAAAGACTCTAACCTGAGGTAACTTGTACTATTTGGAAACCAAATCCACTACTCTCACATTGTTTAGCTTGTCCCATCTGACTGGGATGCTCTCTCTATCTTTGTTTGATAAGACTCATTTAATTGTTCAAGAAACTGGCCATGTTCATGTTCTCTGTGTAGCTTTTCACTCAGCTGGACTCAAAGAACACATTGTGCATCCTTGTATGAGAGCTGTGTTCAGATTTCTTGCTATGTGTTGTTTGTGTGTGTGCACGTCTATATGCGTATGTATGTGCATGTATGTTGTGTGGTGTCTCGCTAGCTAACAAACTCTTTAAGGACAGAAAATGGCATATGGTAGGTATCCCTTTCAAATGTCAAATGAAAAAACTCCCTTAGAGTCCTAAGAAAGGAACAAAGTCAGAGTACAAGTGCAGACTGTATCCAGCCCTAATTCCCACCTCCACCAGGGGCTCCTGAGAACTTTCTATGTTCTGCTAGTCATATGCCAAAGCCCATATGAAGGCACAATCTTGATCTCTAAGGTGGGCGAAGGAGCACTACTGGATCTTCTGTTATTAGAGGGGTAGGAGGAAGTGTGTTTCATTCATCTCTCAATGCCCAGGCGAAGCATTACTGTCATCATCTTCACAATCATTTTCTTCATTGCCATTCCTGCTTCATCACTTACAAAACAATTTCCCAGGCTTCATCTCAATTGTCAGTACAGTTGTGTGAAGTGGGAGTTATTATGATTATTATTGTTATTTCTATTTCATAAGAAAAATAATGTTCAGAGAGGAGAGGCAATTTCCCAGGATCATGTGTGCTGTTTCCCTCATAACATGCTGTTGTGGACTTCATTACAAATCTTACTTATGCCTCAGCTGTGCTCAGAGTCCTCTCATTTCATGCCCCAGAATGTCACATGGCTCACTTCTTCCCTGGCATTCGTACTGACTGATCAAGCATCGTTGATGACCTCAGATTTTCTTGGAACACCGCACCTCTTACAAATTTGGACAAGTCCATAATGGCTATGTGTTCTCGTGTTTGGGTAGTTTAGACATTTAGGTGATTTCCCTTGGCTTGATATTATTTATAATAATCTTCCTGAGAGTTTCTATAACAGGAATAATATTGTAAACTCTCCAAATAATAAACTCTTAAGTATAAACTCACTGAGAGAAGAGACAGCTTCTGCTCCCTTTGTAATCTCTGGCACATTGTAGACAACTTCACTGACTGATTGATGCTACTTATCCAGGGAAAGGCAGTATATGTATCTTTAATCATTTGGACATTTCTTGACACTAATGTTTCATTTCTATTCCTGCAGACAAAACTAGAATGTGTGAAAACCCATGGCTAGAATAGTATTTATAAACCTAAACCTCCTGTTAGATATCATCAGCACCTTCAAAAGAGAAAGCCACAGAAGTCTTACCTAATAAAACAGGTAACAGCCTGGTTAACAAAACTTAATTGCATAGTTGGACATTCCTTGTTACTCTTTGTTCCTTGCCTATAGCATTGTGAACCAAAACAAGAATACCACTGTCCTTGAAATATAAGAATACTTTAGTGAAACTAAAGTGACTAAACCTTTACAAATAGTTTGACTCTTAATGAATGTTGTATAATTTAAACAAAGCAAAATAACATAACTCTATATTATCAGTTCATTGAGAAGAAAGAAAAAGTGATCCGAATGGAAAGGGAAGTGTGGATGGAGCAGAAATTCTTTCTAGATATTTTAAAAACAATCTATTTTACATTATACCATTCTCCCACCCCATGGTTGTGCCTCTTCAGACAATACTCTTCAGTGTGACTAAGAGTCTTAGTCTTAGGCTAGAAGGAGTGGTCACAATTTCCACAGGCATAGCAGGGAAATAAATGTGATGAGTGAGGGCAGATGAGCTATGGACATGTGAAGCAGGGGTTTCTACACTATTCCCGAAGTTTGGGAAGACTTCCTGGAGGAAGGGATGCTGTGGCTCAGATGTGGAACAATGAGTAGGAGTAGGAGGAATGGGAGGAGAAGGAGAGAGGGTTCCAGTGGGTGCAACAGCATGATCCAGGGCCCACAGTGAGAGAATACAGTCTCCTCGGATTCCTGCAAGGATGTAGAGGGCATAAGCGCAGTGAAAGGTGGGTTGGGGAGGGGCAGTAGGCAGGCCACAGAGGGCCTTGGACAGTAGGATGAAGAGTTTGCTTTGGTTCTAAGATGACTGCAAAGGCATTGAAGGGCTCTAAGGAGAGGAGTGAACCTCTCTGCTTTGAATTTCTGAAGGGTTGTGTTTGCTGATTTGTGGGCATGGGGCTAGAGTGTTACGAGACTTGACAGGGAGAAATGGACAGTGGTCCAGGTGAGAAGCGATGGTGGCCTAACCTAGAAGATGGGTCTTGGGAATGCGCATAGTGAATGAAGGTGACAGATTTGGGAGGCAGCCTGACTGGTCAGGACTCTGTGAACGACTGGATGAATGTGGCAGTAAAAGGGGAGGACTTCTCAAGATTCAACTTCACAATCTTTAAACAACTGTAACATCACCAGCCAGAGCAGAGGGGAGGGGAAGACAGAAGAAGGGGAGAAGCTGGATGGCAGGGGCATCCCTGTAAGGCCACTGGAGCTGTTATTGTAACGGTTCTTTACTTTTGAACTAAGCACTCCTTTTGAAAATCAGATTTAGGGGTATCCAAAAATGCACACGAAAGAATTTAGGTATATAATTTTAAGAAGTTCAAAGAGCTCCTGAATCCCATTCATAGATTCCCTAGGTTACAAATCCCTGTCACTTATACCTAAATTAGGGCATACCGGATGGGAACCATCCATCGTAGCACAAAGAAAGTGAAGTGTAAGAGCCATGGACCACTAGATAGATGCACTTTCTATGGGACTAGGGCTCTAGGATGATCTGTGCCTTTAAACATCCTGCACAATAGGCAGGGATGCACCACCTCACTCGTAACTATTAATTAGAGTCTTTATAGACAATAGACTTTATAGGCAAGAGAAACCGGTAAATGTTTCATTAAAGATAATACCATAGATGTCATTGACCACACCCAGCCACCTCTTTGCAAATAACCTCTGGTTCTGTGACTAGACATTTAGTGAATATTAACCTTTTAAAAAGTATCTGTTCCTTGGGTCTATCAGAGAACAGTGTCTCTAGAGGCATCAGGGTCTTTGAGAAGTTGATAGCATTTATTCTTTCATTATGAATTCCTTTTTTTTCCCTCTTTGTCCTTGAATCCAAATCCTCCTTAAGACTGTAGATGAGAGAAGTCAGGTTCTTCAAACTGCTGGACTGATTCAAGGTGTGTTTCTTTGAGCCTAGAGACGATTTTAATAGTTGTTTTATAGTTCATCTCTCTCCAGAGCAAGATGAATACTGTCCCCTTTTCTTACTCAAGTGTTTCCACACAAGTCCTTAGCTCCTCAACGAGTGATCCCATGCCTCCTGTCTCTGTTTTAAATGGCTCCTTTGCTAGAAGTGGGTACTGGTATTTGGAGTGTTTCAGTGAGGTGAGTTGGCTCTCTGAAAGAGCTAGGTCTTCTTGAGAATATAGACCATGCATCCTGGATGTCTCTCACTAACGTCGTAAATGATTAGTTTGTTTCCTTTTTTTTCCCTTCCCCTTTTGAAAATTTCAGAAACAAGCGAACCATTAGGCATTTTTCTACTGGCTTCTGTGCCATTTCTTTTCACACTCCTTAGGGTAAAGCCAAACAGTGCTTAATTGTTTGAGAGGGAAGGCATTTGTCATTTCTGTTTTCTGAAAACCATAACTTAAGCTTTTACTCTTGTGTGTACAATAATTTTGTAATATTTACTATCAAGTTACATAAAGTTTTATAAAGGAAACTATTGGGTTAGTTTCCTTTGTAACTATACTTTGTGCCTATTTTTACATTATTTATACAAATCAGGCTCATTTTATGAAAATACAAATATCTAAATCTTGCCTTTTCTCTTTACTTTTTATTTCCATGAATCTTTTTCTTCCATTAATTAACCTCTTCTTCCTCTGTAGATGTCCATAGTTTGGATTCCCTTTTAAAAAGTAGAAGCTTTTCTTTCTGTATATGTTTATACATGCGCAATTTGATTAAAAGGAGTTAATATGAGTGCCTGGCTTTGATTTTAATTACACCCAATTAGTGTTAGCTAATAATTTGTTGGGGATATTCTTTATGAGAAAGTCAAAAATATGTATCTTTAATTTTAGAGAAAAATATGTTCAGGATATAGTTGTTTAATTTACAGGGGTCAAATGAAAGACAAAACTTCTTAAGGAATACAGATGAAATGAAACAACTCAATCAAGATGCCTAATATCAACATACAGATAGGATCTTCTGTTGGTCAATTGGACACAAACACACAAAATTATCCCTTATAGAAGTTAACTGCTATGCACTGAACAATTTGAGAAGACTAATCTTTTTTTTTCTTTTTTTCTTTTTTTGGTTTTTTATTAAGACAGAGTCTTGCTCTGTCATCCAGGCTGGAGTGCAGTGGCACAAGCTCGGCTCACTGCAACCTCTGCCTCTCTGGTTCAAGTGATTCTCCTACCTCAGCTGGGATTACAGGCATGTGCCACCACACCTGGCTAATTTTTATATTTTTATTAGAGATGGGGTTTCACCATGCTGGCCAGGCTAGTCTTGAACTCCTGACCTCAGTTGATCCATCCACTCCCAAAATGCTGGGATTACAGATGTGAGCCACCACACCAGGCCATCCTTTCTATCCATGCACTATGTTAAAGGACTTACCTAGTGCTTAATTCTTCTTTTGAAAAATGAAGTTGTTCATGGTGTCTCATGCTTATAATCCCAGCACTTTGGGAGGCCAAGCAGGAGGATTGCTTGAGGCCAGGAGTTGGAGACTAGCCTGGGCAACATAGAGAGACCTCATCTTGACAAAAAAAAAAAAAACATTTTGAAAAGTGCTCTGAGTATGGTGGCATATGTCTGTAGTCCCAGCTACACAGGAGGCTGAGGAGGGAGGATTGCTTTCAGGAGTTCAAGGCTGCAGTGAGCTATGATTATGCCACTGTACTCCAGCCTGGGTGACAGAGCAAGATACCATCTTTAAATAAATAAATAATAATAATAAGCGAAAAAACATGAGGTAATTGGGCCATATCAGTGTTTTGTAATGTTGGGATGGAACCTATCTGTAGGTTGTAAAAACAATTTAGAGAATTGCCACCAGTGTTTTAAAAATATAAAATAATACAGTAGAAAAGGAAATATCAGAATGCATTAGTAGTAGTAGTTAGCAGAAGTTTTTTTGTAAAACACTTGAATATGTATTCTGGATCACTGTTGGAATTTCTTAGTTGGAATCCCAAATCCCTGAAGAAATGCTTTCTAAGGCCTTTAGTTCTAATATTTGAAGACACAGTATTGGTCTCTGAGTTGGGGCTGCAGCTGATTTGTAGTTTGCTTTAAGTGGGAATCCTGCCTACATTTGTTGTGAGATATGTTTGAAACCCTTATGCAACAAAGATTTCAGGGAAAGCAATTTGTTACCAGTTCCCAAGACAAAGTGCTTCCTCTCTGGCTTTTAAACACCAGTAATTTATTGTCATAGTCAGAGGGTGTATATAATGTAATATGTGTGTGTCTCTGTGTGTGTATGTATCACATTTAATTTTTAACACCTAATATATTTTATAATTATAAAACAACATTTGATTTGTTGTATAGAATGCATGACATTAGATGTTTCATTAATATTCTTCTACATCTTTTGGGCCATTGTTTTGACCCAGGGAAACTGTGTGTCTCACAATGTATGCGTCAGCTAGCTCATGCTCTACCCCGTTGTACAAATACTTTAAATCGCTTCACAATGCAAGGAAAAAAGACTTGTGGAACCAAATTCTAAGAAGACAAGGGAGGAGCCAGCTGAGTGCTGGTGTAGCTGTGTATTTCAGACTCAACTCTGGGCTCACCAAGCAGAACTTGAGAAAACTTGAAGATGAAGTAAAAATGTGAGCACTAAATTGTACTTTCTTTGAGGTGATTTTTGTAACTGGTGATGATTTTATACAGGATAAAATATTTAGTTGTAATCAAAGGAAAAGGGCAATGTGAGGCACCTGGTGTGGGGGGCTATAGGTGTGGAGAGGGAGACACAAATTTATAAGAATGCTGCATACTTCACTTTCAAGTTACTGAATGAGCTTGTTGATGTCATGGTTTCCAATACTGTAGAGAGCTGTTCCTGTTGCCAATCTTCATTTTCAGGTTAATGTGAGGATTTAAAGGATGATAGAACTAAGACTGAATGAGTAATTTTGTAAATGCCTATGAATACCCAAAGGAGAAATTGTACCATGCAGTACCAAAATTTAGATTCTGTTTTTTTTCTCTTAAAGTTTTATTTTAGATGCAGAGGGTATGTGTACATGTTTATCACATGGATATATTGCATGATGCTGAGGTTTGGGGTATGGATCCCATCACTCAGGTAGTGAGCATAGTACTCAACAGGTCGTTTTTCAACTCATTCTCCCCTTCTCCCCACTACCCCCAGAAGTCCCCAAGGTCTATTGTTCCCATCTATGTCCACGTGTACTCAATGTTTAGTGCCCACTTATAAGTGAGAACATATGACATTTAGTTTTCTGTTTCTGGGTTAACTTACTTAGGATAATGGCCTCCAGCTGAATCCATGTTCCTGCAAAGGACATGATTTTGTTTATTTCTGTGGCTGTGTAGGATTCCATGGTGTATATATACCATGGAATCTTTATCCAGTCCTCTGTTGCTGGTCATCTTGGTTGCTTCCATGTTTTTGCTTTTGTGAATCGCACTGTGATGGACATTTGAGTGTGTGTGTCTTTTTGGTAGAACACTTTATTTTCCTTTGAGTATATATCCAATAATGGGATGGCTGGGTAATGGTAGCTGTGTTTTAAGCTCTTTGAGAAATCTCCAACATGCTTTCTACGGTGGCTGAACTAATTTACATTCTCACCAACAGTGTATAAGTGTTTCCTTTTCTCTGCAGCCTTGTCAGCATCTGCTATTTTTTGACTTTTTAATAATAGCCATTCTGACAGGTGTGAGATGGTATCCTGTTGTTTTGATTTGCATTTCTCTGATGATTTGTGAGGATTAACATTTTTTCATATGTTTTTTGGCCATTTGTCTTCTTTTGTGCAATCTGTTCGTGTCTTTTGCCCACTTTTGATAGATTTATCTGTTTTTGCTATAATTTTGTTTATCTGATGAATCATATTTATTGATTTGTGTATGCGAAACAGCCTCGCATCCCAGGAATAAAGCCTACTTGATTGTGGTGTATTAACTTCTTGATGTTTTGCTGGATTTGGGTTGCTAATGTTTCGTTGAGGATTTTTGTGTCTATGTTCAGCAGAGATATTAAACTGAAGTTTTCTTTTTTCATTGTGTCTCTGCCAGCTTTTGCTGTCAGGGTGATGCTATCTTCATAGGATGAGTTATGGAGGAGCCCCTCCTCCTCAATTTTTGGGAATAGTTTCAATAAAATTGGTACCAGTTATTCTTTGTACATCTGGTAGAATTTGGTTGTGAATCTATCTGGCCCACGACTATTTTTAGTTGGTAGCTTTTTATTACTGATTCAATTTCAGAACTTGTTATTGGTCTGTTCAAGTTTTCACTTTCTTTCTGATTCAGTCTTGAAAGGTTGTGTGTTTCCAGGAATTTATTGGTTTCCTCTAGATTTTCTAATTTGTGTGCATAGACTCATTCACAATAGCCCCTGAGGATCTTTTGTATTTCTGTAGGATCAGTTGTAATGTCATCTTTGTCATTGCTGGTTGTACTTACTTCAGTCTTCATTGTGTTAATCTGGCTAGTTGTCTAGCAATCTTATGTATTCTTTCAAAAAACCAACTCTTGGTTTTATTGATCTTCTGTATGGATTTTTGCATCTCAATTTCATTCAGTTCCTCTATAGTTTTAGATACTTCTTTTCTTTGGCTAGCTTTGGGGGGTTTTTTCTCTTTTTTTTTCCTCTTTGTCCTCTAGGTGCCATTTTAGTTTGTTAGTTTGAGATCTTTCTAACTGTTTGATGTAGGCATTTTAGTGCTATAAACTTTCCTATTAACACTGCTTTAGCTGCATTCCAAGGATGTTGGTTAAGTTGTGCCTCTATTTTCATTAACTTCAAACAA
The DNA here is from genome assembly GCF_000001405.40 of Homo sapiens. Taxonomy (NCBI): domain Eukaryota; kingdom Metazoa; phylum Chordata; class Mammalia; order Primates; family Hominidae; genus Homo; species Homo sapiens. The sequence goes on from NC_000018.10 coordinate 63,815,545, forward strand.
TTTTTTTTTATTTCTGCCTTAAAAGAGTTGTTCAGAAGCAAGTTGTTTAATTTTCATGTATATGTGTATGTTTGAAAGATCTTCTTGCTATTGATTTCTGTTTTTAATGCACTGTGGTTTGAGATTGTCCTTGTTATAATTTCAATTTTTTGAATTTATTGAGACTTGCTTTATGATCAAGCATGTAGTTGATCTTAGAATATGTTCTGTGTGCAGATGAGAAGAATGTATAGTTTGTGGTTGATTGGTAGAGCATTCTGTGCATGTCTTTTAGGTCCAATTGGTTGAGTGTCAAGTTCAAGTACAGAATTTCGTCGTTAGATTTCTGTGTCAATGATTGGTCTAACAGAGTCAATGGGATGTTGAAGTCTCCCAGCATTATTGTGTGGCTGTCTAAATATTTTCATAGGTCATGAAGGACTGGTTATAGATCTGGGTGCTTCAGTGTTGGGTGAATATATATTTAGGATAGCTAACTCTTCTTGTTGACTTGAACCCTTTATCATTATGTAATGCCCTTCTTTGTCCTTCCTGAATGTTGTTGATTTAAAATCTGTTTCATCTGATATAAGAGTAGTGACTCCTGCTCCTTTTTTTTTTTGTTTTCTGTTTGCATGGTAGATCTTCCTCCATCCCCTTACTCTGAGCCTTTGGGTGTCCTTACATGTAAGATGGGTTTCTTGAAGACAGCAGGCAGTTTGGTATTGCCTTTTTATCCAGTTGCCATTCTATGCCTTTTAAGTGCAGCATTTAGACCATTTATATTCAGGGTTAATATTGATTTCTGAGAGTTTTATTTTGTTATTGTGTTTATATCAGGTTGTTTTGTAGACTTGATTGTGTAGTTGCATTATAGTGTCTCTGGGCTGTGTGTTTAAGTGTAGTTTTATGGTAACAGGTGTCATTCTTTCATTTCTATGTTTAGCACTCTCTTAGGACCTCTTGTAAGGCTGGTCTAGTTGTAATGAATTCCCTCAGCATTTGCTTGTCTGAAAAGGATTCTATTTCTCCTTCACTTAGGAAGTTTAGTTTGGTGGGATATGAAATTCTTGCTTGGAATTTCTTTTCTTTTCTTTTTTCGTTCTTTCTTTTTTGAGACAAGAGTCTCGCTCTGTCACCCAGGCTAGAGTGCAGTGGCACGATCTCGGCTCACTGCAAGCTCCACCTCCTGGGCTCATGCCATTTTCCTGCCTCAGCCTTCTGAGTAGCTGGGACTACAGGCAACCACCACCAAGCCTGGCTAATTTCTTTGTATTTTTAGTAGAGACGGGGTTTCACTGTGTTAGCCAGGATGGTCTCGATCTCCTGACCTCATGATCTGCCCACCTCTGTCTCCCAAAGTGCCGGAATTACAGGCGTGAGCCACCATGCCCGGCCTTGGAATTTCTTTTCTTTAGGAATGTTGAAAATAGGCCCCCAATCTCTTCTGACTTATTAAGGTTTCTGCTAAGAGTTCTGCTTCTAGCCTGATGGAGTTCTTTTTGTACATGACCTGCCCCTTCTCTCTAGCTGCCTTTAAGATTTTTTTCTTTCATGTTTTCCTTGATGAATCTGATGACTATGTGCCTCAGAGATGGTGGTCTTGTATAGTATCTCACCAAGGTTCTCTGTATTTCTTGAATTTGTATGTCAACCTAACAAGATTGGGGAAATTTTTGTGGACTATATGTTCAAATATGTTTTCCAAGTTGCTTACCCTCTTCCCTCTTTCAGCAATGCCAGTGAGTCATAAATTCTATCTCTTTGCAAAATCCCATATTTCTTGGAGGTTTTATTCATTTTTTTAAATTATTTTTCTTTATTTTTGTAAGGCTCCATTGATTCAAAGAACTAGTCCTTGAGCTCTAAGATTCTTTTCTTGGCATGGTCTATTCTATTCTGCTGTTAACACTTCTAATTATATTATGAAATTCTTGTAGTGAATTGTCCAATTCTAGAAGTTCAGTTTGGTTCTTTCTTAAAATGTCTATTTTTGTCTTTCAGCTCTTGGATTGTTTTACTGGATTCTTTGGATTCCTTGGTTTGGGTTTCAACTTTTTCCTGAAGCTCAATGAACTGCCTTGGCAGCCATATTCTGAATTCTATGTCTGTCATTTCAGTCATTCCAATCTGCCTAAGAACCACTGTTGGGAAGCTAGTGGAATCATTTGTAGATAAGGGGATACTTTGGATTTTTGAGTTGTAGAGATCTTGGACTGATTCTTTTTCATCTGAAAGGGCTGATGTATCTTTAACTATGGCATAAGTTGAGTATAGTCAATTGGCTTTATTTCTGGATGCTTTCAGAGGGCTAAGTCTCTGTACAAGATCTTTATTTGTGATTGGATTCTTGCCCTGAGTGTCATAGGAATGTTTATTGGAAGAATAATTTTTTATGTGATTTGGGCTGTGATCCAGTGGATGTTGCTTAAGAGTAATGGCTAGCAGATAGGCCCTTACTCAGCTGCATGGTTATTTTGTATTTCCACACGTTTGTAGCCATGCTCTGTGGTGGGGATGCAGAGAGATGATCCCCTCACTAGGTTCACTCCTGGGCCTCAGGAGAGCCCCCTCCAAACACTGGCACTGTCTGTGTTTCTTTTATTGGGTTAACAGGGCTCCCTCTGTGGGGCTCCCTCAGGTAGATGCCATGGCTAGGAGACAGGCCACACCCTTCCTGGTCTGGTCTTATGTAGGGAGGCACATCCTGTTCCCATGCCAGTCTGCAAACCCATGAGTCTCACCCCTCTCAGTGTTCTGAGAGTGGGGGTGTCCTCCTCCAGTTGAGTGTTAGCCATAGATCTCTGCTTGGCACTCCTGAGCTGCACACTGCAGCCCTGGAGTGCCAGGACTGGACTGAAGCTCTGTCTTCTGGACTCTTGGAATCAGGCAACAGTTATGCTGGGGGATGTGAAGTGCTTCCTGGCCACAGGGAAGTACTCAGGTAGAGCCTCTGGTAGAGCACTCATACTGAGCAGTGGAGGCTGTGTTGTGCACTGGCTTCTGTGGGAGTGGCCAGGCAGCGTCCCTGGGAGGGCCTGTCAGGCATGAGAGCCTGCAGAACAGAAGCACCCCAGTCCTGCTGAGAAACTGGTCCCACTCTCTCTTGGACCTGCAGTCTGCTGGGGCTAGAGCTACTCAGAGGGAGATGGGGTGCCCTTGGGGATGGGGACCTCTGACAGCATGCTGCTACAGCTGCAACATGTGCCAAAGTCCCTGGATTCTGCCCAGGTTGGAGCTGGGTCTCTGCCTACTCTCCAGGGAGATCTTCCTGCCAGCTGAAATGTTTATGAGGAGCATGAGATCTCTTGTAGCTAATATCTCAGAGGTCTTTGGCAACAGTGGGAAGCCCCTCCAACCCTACACTCACCCCTTCCCTAGAAACTGCTCAGGCCTAGAAATTAGCCCTAGCATTCAGCAACCCCACGCAGGGTTCCTAGCTTCCTCCTCTTCAGGCTTGGTGTCTGCATCTTTTCTCTATCAACTGTTGGTGTTGCCACTCCAGAGGTCTCCTCAAAGTATGTCGGTTTACCGACTATTTTGTTCTCTCTTAGTGGGGGCAATGTTTCCTGGCTGTGTTTAGCTGGCCATTTTGTCTCTATCTGTCAAATTAGAGGGAAAGGTACTGGAAAATTAGAGGAAAATTAGCTTTTTATTCTGAATTTGGTGTTTTCTGGATGTGTGGACTTGAGCAAGTCAGGTAGCCCTCCCTTCAGTTTCTCCATTTGTAGGATTTGGGGGTAGACACTTTTCTTTTCAAATCCATGACTCCTCTTTGGGTTAAATCTATATTTCTTAGAAGGGCAAAGGAAGATAACATTATTGAGTGACTTTTCTCTTTAGAGGCTTTCTAGTCACCATTTAACAAGCTTTGTAAAAGTGTAAGGTATCTTCTATTATCCCTAGTTTATGTGTACAGGTGCAGAAAAGTAAGTTGCTACATACATAGCAAAAGACAGATTTTGTATTAGAACTTAAATTTGTCTGATTTAAGCTTTCCATTATAAGGATCTATGATTGGGCATTTCAACTGATCATCCCTACAGCAGAGCAAACATGCTTCTTAGATTCTGTGGATCTAATTATAATGATCCATATGACTTAGCAGGGGGCAGGCTTCTCAAACAGTTGAGTGAGGAGGAAAAACCAATAAGTCAGTATCTTGCAAGCTCTTAGAAACAGGGCCACGCCTTTACCTTTATTTCTATTTTCTTGTGACTTTATCCCCATCTGACCCCCACTTTTTCCCCTCTCCCATTTCTTCCCAGTTGTGTGACATTCTAGTCCTGGGACAACTAGGCAACAGAGATACATGGTGTCTTAGAGGCTTTTATTTCTGTGTTGATATGATGAGAGTGTTAGCTTTCCAAACAAGTGGTAAAATTTCTGGTCTCTGTGAAATGTCAACCAGCCAGCCAGTCAAATTATTTAAGCTGACTCTTGTCTGTGTAGGAATTCTTAAGGCAGTTTTATTGGAATCACATCCCTAGGCTGAAAGAGTTGCTGCAGGGCCTCCGGATGCTGGCAAGACAAACGTAAATTAAATCTTTCAGAAGAAAGGATTATGACTTTTCCATTAATATTCTCATCCAAACCCAGCAACCACAAGTTTTCCTTTTCAAGTTTTTTTAAAGGAATCTTTTCATAATGAGTCTTCCCCCTTTTAAAATCTGCAGGATGAACAAGGCATTTTTCTCAGTTTTCCTCAGACTTTTTGACTTTGCTTGACTGAGGTGCTCCATTTGCATCAATAGCAGAGGGCAGAATCACTTTAATTCTGATACTCTAGGAGCTCTCTGGAGCATCTGTGATGTGATATAAGACAACAAACAATACAGCCACCAAAAGACTTGCTACCTGCTGTATCCAAAGACCTGACCAGGTGTCTCAAGCAGGGGCAGGAATAGGGTGAGGCAAAGGAGGCTGCTATGGTGCAAAAGTTAAGGAGACGCTGACTTTCAGGTACCAGCCCTGTACTCGTATGGCCTTGAGTGTTAGTGCCTCCTTAAATGTTACACAAAATGTGGCTCATTCTTAAAGAGACGCTCACTCTCAGCATCTCAGGGTCCTGCAAGGACAGAGTCCACACAGTGGAGCGAGGACACCCTAGGGTGTCCCTTCATCCTAGTCCCAGCACTAATCCCAAGAGGCTGTAGACCCCACCATGGTTTTTTAACACGGCAGCCTCAGGCAAGGAAGGGAGATGCAGAACACAGCGCATGGGCTCCCATTACCTGATTCCACCTGCAACTGACTTCAGTGCAGGTGCCAGGCAGCAGCAGCAATGCTGAACTTCCCGAGTTGTTCTCCAGCCTTATTCCTCCAGACAGTTCCCAGTGCAAGGGAGGGTTTAGTGAATGGAGGAAGGAAGGCAGGAATGAAGGAATGTTCTTCCTGGAATTCTCTTACATGGCTTTATGTTAGCTCCTTTGAAGAGACTCAGAGTTCCAAAACCCTATTGTGGCTGTGAGCAACCACTTGAGAAGGCATTAAGCCCAGGTGAGCTCTGCCAGTTCCAAAAACCTTAGAACAGGAAACTCTGTCTCTCAGTAAATATTTGAAGAAGACTCCAAAGAAGAAAGTAGAATATTCATTCTATAGGATGATAATACACTTAGTTATATTTTTCCCCACCTTAAAAATACAGATAAAATAGTATACTCCTTTATTTATGTTGATGGCACTGCCAACCCACTGTGAAAGGATGTGTACTTTGAGATGTTTTTCCAATGGGAAATGGGGATGGGAATTGGCTTTGGCTGGTGCATACTTACCCTCTCCTTCAGCCCCTTTTGTGTACTTCTGCAAGATGCAGTGAGGTCATGTGCCTATTGGGATCAAAATTATAACATTGTCTTTTTTGTTATTACCCTGACAAAGGGAACTAAACTAAGCTAACAATAACAACAGCAATAGTAACAAAATGGCATTACTCGACCACCATTTGCAGGCACTGTCCTGGGAACCCCATAAACATCACATGATTTAATCATTGCACTAATCCTATAAGGAAGCTGTTATTTAAGCACTTTTCGAGAAAAGGAAATAGAAGCCAAAAGATCTTAGGTAACTGGCCATAAAATTAGAATATGGCAGAGTAGGAAATGTATTTGGTTATAAAATCTGCATTATTTTTGCTTCCCCAAAGCCCCTCGCTGAGCACTTATGTTGACAAAATAAAAGTCTTGCCCTAATTTGAAATAAACTGTTAAATAGTGGTGTTTCAATTTATATTTTTATGGTTGTTGTTGACGTTTGCCTTTGTATTCCAGATGCAGGTAGAGAAAGAGGCTCTTTCAGTGCAGCAAATGCACAATTCTGCTTTGATGCCTTTAAAGAAATTAGCTATGGCCACGCAACTGAGAATCTCTTCTTTTGTCCCTTGACTCTCCTGTCTCCTTGGCTGTGGGGCTTTTTGGAGCCAGAGGCAACAGTGCATCTCACATGGAGAAGGTGCATCACAACACACTTTCAGTCATGTCTAGAGGACAATCAGGTTACAATTTCAAACACTGTCATGATATGGAGATTTTATAGATGCTGGACTCTGTAAACACAAGAGAAGGTCCACTCTCGCCTAAAGTTTCCTAGGAAATTGCCTCCCTCAAAAAAGGGTGTAAAAGGTAAGAGTGTCCATAGGCCGGGCGCGGCGGCTCACGCCTGTAATCCCAGCACTTTGGGAGGCCGAGGTGGGTGGATCACAAGGTCAGAAGATTGGGACCATCCTGGCTAACATGGTGAAACCCCGTCTCTACTAAAAATACAAAAAAATTAGCCAGGCGTGGTGGTGGGCACCTGTAGTTCCAGCTACTCGGGAGACTGAGGCAGGAGAATGGCGTGAACCCGGGAGGCGGAGCTTGCAGTGAGCCGAGATCATGCCACTACACCTCAGCCTGCGCAACACAGCGAGACTCCGTCTCAGGAAAAAAAAAAAAAAAACAGTGTCCATAGCTCTCTTCTGTGGAGCAGTCGAAGAAGGGATAGCCGAGGCTGGAAGGAGGAGACACACTCAATGATGCCAACCAGGCCCATGGAAAATTGGGAGTCCCCACCTCCATCCCTTCCTGTACATTCTTAGCTACCAAGTGCCATCCTGGTGTAAGTCAGCATCCCAAGATGCTTCCTAAAATTCGGGCCCCTTTAACCTCCTTTCTTCTACTTCCTCTTATGTGATCTGTTTTCTCAAAACACAATCTAGGTGCCAGGTGGACTGAAATTAATGTGTTTTAAGACACAAGTGGATAACTCAAGTCAGATGATAAGTATACAATATTCAGGATTGTGCTGAATTGTGCTCTGTGCATAGTAAATGACCAGTGCCTCTAGCACCCAGCGCTAAGGAGGCTTTACAAAACTATTTTTGCCCATTGACTCAATAATTGCTGGATGAATAAACAAATGACTATAGATCACATAAAGAATATTTCATAAGGCTTCTGTCCCCAAGAGGCTTATAATCTAATGAAAGAATTTACAATCTTCTAAGGGTAAATAGTACTGCAACTCAATTGAGAATTTTAGGTGAGTGGAGAAAATATTTCTTAGTAGGGATCTTTCCATTTGCCTTAATTATCTCTCTATTTTAGAGGGGATAATTAACTAATGGAACAAGCCTTCTCCCAATTTGGGTTTTAAACTGGAAGTTAATTGAGAAGCTGTAGTCTAACACGGAATTTAATGTTATTTTTAAAAACAAGAAAAATTGGCCAGGCCTGGTGGCTCACGCCTATAATCCCAGCACTTTGGGAGGCTGAGGCAGGTGGATCACTTGAGGTCAGGAGTTCGAGATCAGCCTGGCCAACATGGTGAAACCCCGTCTTTACTAAAAATACAAAAATTAGCCGGGCATGGTGGCAGGCGCCTATAATCCCAGCTACTCAGGAGGCTGAGGAAAGAGAGTCGCTTGAATCTGGGAGGCAGAGGTTGCAGTGAGCCGAGATTGTGCCATCGCACTCCAGCCTGGGGGACAAAAGCAAGACTTCGTCTCAAAAAAAAAAAAAAGAAAAGAAAAGAAAGAAAAATTAAATGTTAAGGCTGTTGTGTTCCATTTTTTTCTCTTTGCGTGCATTAGAAGAATAGCTCCTGAGTGACTCACCCATAATATGTGTTTGGTAAGTATATATATGTGGAGATGGAGACATAGTTGAGAATGAGGAAGCTGTGGGAATCTTTACAATCATCTTGGGATGTGGATGCATAGGGTAGAATCCCTCTGTCCTCACCCGCTTTCTTCAACGTGAGAGACTGGCTGGCCGCCTTGGCTGCACTTGTGCTGCCTCAGGTTTTGCAACCAGAGATATGGTGTGGGCTGCAGTGCTGCGGGCACAAGTCAGACAGAGAGTCTGGAGTGGAAATAATTATTTGTCTCTGACAGCCAAGCTGACCGAGTAAGAACAGAATCAAATCAAACTTTTCCTTCTCTTCTTCCCATACAAAAATGAAGAAGAATTCTCATATTTTTCCTCTTAATGATTCTTCCCCCAAAACATTCAGAGATTGAGCCAAATGCTTAGAATTGCAGGCTTAATAATTGCACTTTTCTTTTGATGATGGCGGTAATGGAAATGATGATAATGAGGATGATGATGGAAGCAACACCAGGGGGCGCCATTCATGCATTCCCTAGATTATGGAGCAGCGTTGTGTCTTCTAACACGAGCCTTTCAAAAACATTCAGACAGCTCTAAAGGTTAGAAAGTTGTTCCTCACATTGAGCTGGAGTCTACCTCTCTATAATCATTGCTCCATTATAATTTTCTTGCTCTTCAAAGCACATGCACAGCAAGCTCTCTTCCTTGTTTTAATATCGGTTATTATATCTGTTCTGTATCTGCTGCCTGTGTATTTCATTTCTACTTTTAAAAACCACACAAAACATAATAAAAGCACTCAGCGTTTAAATATCTGAAGAGATCTGCAGGTTTTTGATTTAGCTGTTATCTGATAGAGACCTTAGGAAATTATGGTTATACCTCAAGTAAGCCAAGTAGTTGTGTATTAGTCCATTCTCACACTGCTGTAAAGAAATACCTGAGACTGGGCCGGGCGTGGTAGCTCACACCTGTAATCCTAGCACTTTGGGAGGCCAAGGCTGGCGGATCACCTGAGGAGTTCGAGACCAGCCTGGCCCAACATGGGGAAACCTCGTCTCCTACTAAAAATACAAAACTTAGCCTGGCGAGGTGGTGGGCACCTGTAATCCCAGGTACTCGGGAGGCTGAGGCAGGAGAATCACTTGAACCCAGGAGTTGGAGGTTGCAGTGAGCTGAGATCGCGCCACTGCACTCCAGCCTGGGCGACAGAGCAAGACTCCATTTCAAAAAAAAAAAAAAAAAGAAAAGAAAAAGAAATACCTGAGACTGGGCAATTTATTTTTTAAAAAAGGTTTAATTGGCTCACAGTTCTGCAGGCTGTACAGGAAGCATGGCAGCATCTGCATGGCTTCAATTATGGTGGGAGGCAAAGGGGAAGTCAGCACTTCGCATGGCCAGAGCAGAAGGAAGAGAGGGTGGAGGGGAAGGGGCAACACACTTTTAAACAACCAGATCTCATTAGAACTCCATCACAAGAACAAAACCAAAGGGGAAAATCCACTCCCATGGTCGATCCAATCACCTCTCCCCAGGCCCTATCTCCAACACTGGGGATTACAATTTAACGTGAGATCTGGGTGGCGACAGAGATCCAAACCATATCAAGTTGCCTTGTGACTACAGTACTACAGGAAACATGTTAATAGTAGTGAAGAAAAATAGTACCAGCTCCTGGAGTCTCAAAGGGATACTGTGCAGAGCAAATCAGATAATATTTGTGAAGGCAACCTGAAAATAATTACCAATTATGTGAATTCAAATCATTATTTGTATATGGCCAGAGAACAATAAATAATATTAACTACCTGCAAATGATATTAAAATGCATTCATTTATCCATTCACTATTTATTCATCCTTCATTCAACAAATATTTATGAGGTTCCTACTATGTTTCACAACTAGCAAAGCACAGATGAACAAATTTAAGTGAAACACAAATAAGCAAGCCTGAATTGGTTTTAAAACATCTTTTTAAACCTTCAGTTTGCTTTTTCTATACCATCATAGATTGGGTTGCCTATTCTAAAATTTCAAATAAATGGAATAATATAGCAAGTACTTTTTCTTCTGTCCTGTTTTTTTTATACCCAGCATATAATTCTGAGGTCAATGTGAAATACAATTAAGCAAGCCTGAATTTATTTTAAAGTCTTTTTAAACCTTTAGTTTGCTTTCTAACGCAAGGGTTGTAATGGTGAATATACATATATAAGAGTTAATGCCTACCCCCCATTCTTAACTTTCCGACACTCAGAACACTGCCTAAGAGCACTTGAAAGGTTTTATTTTCAAACTCACCTTTCTTCTTTCAAATAATATGATTTTTTAAAGATGAGGAACAAAAGTAAGAAACAGAAAAAAAGACAGGTGGAATGAATAACAGAAAATTCATAAAAATGTAAAAAGTGTATCATTTATGACAAGAAAATGGCCTGCTGTGTCACTATCTGGTCTTTTGGCATAACATTTGCAAAGCCTTTGAAAATCGTTCTTTGTTTTCCATTGCAGGTGCTCCACTTGGATGAATTAACAAGAACTTCAAGTTCTTCCAATGAGGAGGTATTGTTTCTGTTTTCATTTTTACTTCTATTACAGCAGTCCATCTTCAGTCCATGAGGATTAAATGTTTATGGAGATAAACAGTATTTGTTCCATACATCCTTTGCATCTAGAATGTAGATACATACACAAACTCCTACCATGCTTCTTTGAAAGAATTAATCATGTTAAGATTTGGAAATAAGAGGTGACAATTAAAAAACTCAAATAGTTAAGCTGGACACAATGTGTCTTGAAGAAAAAGAGCTATTCTCTCCCATGAGCAGTAAGTGCAAAAGGGAGATTATTCTCACAGACATTTCATAACGCAATCCCAAAAGCCACCCAGAGGGTAGAATTGCTTCAAACAGTCCCTAGATGATAGTGAGTTTTCAACAAATACAAGGATCAAAAAATGTAGATGAATATGGGAATGTCAACCACAAAGAGATAAATATATCATATTTTGAAATTGTAACTATATGAAGATGGTTTGACTTTATGAGTTTTATTGATATATGTTCATTTCTGGGGGAAATGTATAATGTATACCTTCATTTGTCTACAGCCATCTGTCACTTCATAAAAGATGTGGGCTTCCCCAGTATCATCCATGGTGGGGCTGCTAAGACCAGATTTTATGGCTCATAATTCTTACGTATTAAAACACACAGCAAATACATTTTCCTGATGTCAACTGTACTAAAATTAATACGTCAGTATTGTTTGCTCTGGGCCAGCTGGTGGGGAAGATAGGATGAATTCTGACTTGGGCAGGGATGTGCCAAGTCACCCTTTACTCCTTTATGATTGTAACATGTTGCTCTGATGCCTGCTCTCCACGTTCACTCAGATTGTCAGGCTGCACATTTTGGTGAAAAGCAAGAATTTAAGTTATTTATTGCAAACTGGAAATAAAGTCAGGTAATGAGAAATAACAGCAATAGACAATATAGAGAGGAGCTAGCAGTCAGGCCACCTGTAAAATGGTCATTATCTCTTTCAGAAGTAAAGTAGAACTGGTCAATGAAATTCACAGTAAGGACAAAAGACTCCAGGTTTACCACCCTTCCATCACCCTCAGCCTTCCCAACCTCTATTTTTAGTGTCCAGAAATTGTACCAAATAACAGACCACAACCAAAATAAGACATGCTACTTAATAAGAAAGAATGGATCTGTATATAATAACTAAGTCACTGTGCTATCAAGCATGTTCATTCTAGCTCACCAAGAAGTGCTTGAAATTATAGGTAAATATAAAATGAGTTCTTGTCAAGTGTAAAATTAGAGTTTCTATTTCTGAATAAATACTTTTCATATAAAATAAATATGTACAAATAGTGGAATTAATAGTATTTGGTTCCTTTTTTGTCAACTTCAGTTAATACTAAAGTACCAGATACCACAATTCCCATTTTCAAGTATTTTCTAACACTATCTTATGTGATCAAGATAGAAGAGTCTATTCACGTATTCAAGCTTTCCTCTCTGAAATCAGTAAGTCCAGCTGCAATCAAGCCCACATGGCAAGTGGAATTTTTGCAGAAGCAGCTCATCCACTTCTCTTGGTAAGTTAGAATAAAACATGTTTCCATAAATAAAGTCGAAACCTTTTCTTTCTGTCTTTATTTAATCTACTCTAGAATTGTCTGTGCTATCAAAACTGTGGCAAAATAAAAAAGATATTACAGATAGATAAATGCACGCAAAACTATGGGAAAATAAAAAAGATATTACAGATAGATAAATACATGCTAATATAGAATATAAAATATATTTTATACATGCATTTTGTTTCATATAAAATACAAAAGAGTTTAGGATTCTAACTTTCAGTTGCTAGCTTGTAACAACTTCAATCATACTTTAGGCAGACCCAGCTGAAGCATGAATTTTTCAGAGTTTATGATATGGTTTTGATCTGTGTCTCCACCAAATGTCACGTAGAATTGTAATCCCCAGCGTTGGAGGTGCAGCCTGGGGGGAGGTGATTGGATCATGGAGGCAGTTTCTCATGAATGGTTTAGCACTATCTCCTTGGTGCTATTCTCACGATAGTGAGTTCTCATGAAATCTGATCATTTAAAAGTGAGTAGAACCTCCCCCATCTCTCTCTCTTGCTTCTGCTCCTGCCATGTGAGACGCCTCACTCCCTCTTTGTCTTCTGCCATGACTGGAAGATTCCTGAGGCCTCCCTAGAAGCAGAAGCCACTGTGCTTCCTGTACAGCCTTCAGAACTGTAAGCCAATTAATCTCTTTTCTTTATAAATTACCCAGTCTCAGGTATTTCTTTAGCTATTATGAATAATGCTGCTGTGAATATTCCTGTAAAAGGCTTTTTGAGTACATATTCTTTCACTCCTGTTAAATAAATATCTACTAGTGGAATTGCTGGGTCATAGGGTACATGCAAATGTACATGTAAGAAAATATGCTAGATTTTCTCAGAAGATTTTGTCTTTTATTTTACATTTGAGTTTTTGCTCCATGTCATTATTATTAGTCAAGGATTTTACTGAAGGTAGAAAAACAAAGACACATTAACAGTATAACATTTATTAACAGTATGACAAGAAAATTTCATCCACAATTTTGCATGTTTCTATAAAATAGATAAATAGGCTATACACTCACTTTCTTTTCTTCTGCATCTTCCACATTCCTTGTCCATTATATAATTGGGAATGCTTTACATATTTGCTCAAAAGTCTTGTTTTTGGTTCATATGAAGATATCTGGTGTTAATTATATATGCCAGTTAAAAATAGATCTAAAGTCAAAACAAAACCAGTGAAAATAATTCATATTCAATTGTTGATTAAGTATGGTCTTGCTTTGTTTCACTTCCCACGGGTGAAATCTAGGATCTCTTATCACCCCACAGCCTCATATCTCCCAATCAGCTGGTGTTGGTTAATGCCATCTCCTTCAGAGAGAACCAGAAAAATGCACTTCAGAAAGACCAAACAAAAGCAATGGCTTTCACGTTGGATGAGGTGGTCTCATGTAGTCTCATGGCTTAATTTGTTTATCTCTTAAAAGTAATCCTCAAAATTTTTGTCCTTAAGAACTGCTAAATTATTTCTGGCCTTAGGGAAGCAAATTAATTTCCAAGTGGCTATCCTAGCTACATTTGCAATAAAAAGCAGATTTTGATTTATAAAATATTTATTTTTTTGTTGAACCTTTCTTTAAAATTTTCCACTGTTTTTTACCCTGTATAAAAATAGAAATTCTATTTTAGCAATGCAGTTGTACAATTGAAAAATGCTATGAAATATAGACTTTGAAAGTATTTAAAATAAGTCTTGGTTAAGACCACTTAAACTATTATCAAGCCACTTACCTCTTGCTAACTGGAAATAAGGTCAGGCAATAGAAAATAACAGCAAGAGACAACTGAGGAACTAACAGGCAAATCACTTCTTTTAAAATTATACTTTAAGTTCTGGGATACATGTGCAGAATGTGCAGGTTTGCTACCTAGGTATACATGTGCCATGGTGGTTTGCTGCACCAGGCAGGTCACTTCTAAAATGAGTTTGATCTCCCTACAAAGCCAAGCTGAACTGGTGAACAAAATGCACAGTCAAGGTGGAAGGTTCTAGGCTTACTGCCCTTCTACTTAGCACCCTCAGCCTTCCCAACTTTTCTAAGTGTCAAAAATGTCCCAAATATCAGGCCACAACCAAAATAAGACATGTTATTTAACAAGAAAGAATTGATCTGTATATAATAACTAAGCCACTGTGCTATCAAATGCATTTATTCCAGCCCACCAAGGAATGCTTGAAATTACAAGTAAATTTAAAATTTGTTCTTGTCAACTGTAAGAATAGACTTTCTATTTCTGAATAAATACTTTTCATATAAAATAAGTAGTAAATTAAGGAGAAACATAAACCTCTAGCCAAACACATTAGTCATATCTGGAAGTATGTAGTAATGCCCTTACAAAGAATATTACCATCACATTCACATTTTGAGGTTATAAAATGAACAATAAATTATATAGATGTTATGGCTGTGATTTTTGAAAATACAGATTCTAGGGCCACCTTCCTGGGGACTCTGATTTGCATGATGAACTTGAGTATACATATTTTCAAAGAGCCCCTTAGGTCCTTCCAAGGATCAGCCCGGTTGGGGAATCACAGTATGTAGAAAATGGGCTATTTTAGCAGGATTCATAAAGAGATGCTCAAAGGGGTAAGCATACCCCACAGCAAATAGATTTGCTAGAGAAAGCAGCTAACAAAACAGAATATTTTATTTCACAGAAAAATCTCATCCATTTGGCTTATATACACAATGCAGGTGTATATACCTGTTAACTAGCATTTCAAAGATAAAAACATAAAGTATCATTATGGTCATAACAAAATTTCCTTAAAGTAGTCCAATTATGAGAGCTCACCTAGTGCTTTGTCACATTCTTAGCTATTTTGTAACTCCAGAAATTATCAGAATCAGCTCAATGCTGCTGACTAGTTAAGATTAGTCAGATTTTACTCGAGCTGGAGAGACTTCTAAATTATGCTCTTGAAAGGACCTATTTGTCCTTTAAAAATGGTTATCCTGGTAAGATCTTATGGTGTGGGTATTTCCCAGCCCTTTGAAGTGAATTAACTGCATCTGGAAGTCAAAAAAGTACACCTGAATGAAATTAATATATTGGGGAACTTGAATACTTTGGACTTTAGTAGCAGCTTTGTTTAGGTTCCTCCCCTCTTTATGTCATCAAAATAACGTTCAATCGTAGGTATTTCTAAAGACGGATGGATGGTTTTCTTTTGCCACCAACTGTAGGCAATTTTGGAGGATGAAAATAAACATAAATTTTCTATGTCCTAAATAGCAAAAGAAAGAGATTGGCTTTATTATTTCACTGTTTTTACTTTTGTAGTCTCAGAGCAGACCTGTGGAGATGATACATGCTCCATTTAGCTTTAAAAGGAGGCTCCATTAAGGACCCTCCTTTACAAGTGCTTGAGATGCCCAACGTGGAGGATCACCTGAGTGTGGTCATTGTCCTACCCAGCAAAGACATCCACTTGGAACAGATAAACCACTGAGCCTCCGCAGCTGTAGTTACAAGAGAAAGGCTCTGTGCTTGAGAATGACACATGCAGAAAGCTTGAGGTTAAAGTAACCGCATACACTCCTACTTCCTGTGGTGTCCTGTCCATTTACAAAAATAAGCAGAACCCCCAAATAAAGTAAATGCCCACATATTAGAATTTGTTGCTTGTACTTTTTAAAGTTTAGGTGTTCAAAACATAGTCATGTGCTTTTCTCTTTTGGTCCTCACAGGTTTTTGTTGTTGTTCTACATGCATTTTTGACATGTTACGTATTGGCATCTCCTTCGGACCTGTTGCCAACCAACTGAATCTATTTCCATCAACACTCAAGGCTGCAACATGCAGATGCAATGCTCATCTTTGCTCCTTTCTTGCTTCTCTGACACTTTCCTGAGTCTCATGTAGCCCCAGCTGTGCCACATTGTGTGTTCTTGCATTGGGAAGTGGTGATCTAGACCAACCTCACCATTCCTCAGCAGCTTTCTTTAAATCCCTGCCTTCCTTTCATTTATTCCGCTTTTTGTGCTTCTCCTGGGTTCTGCATTGCTCACACCTGTTTCTCTCCTGCTGGGAACATCTCATTCTCCCCTCCACCCTGTCTCCATCTTTGGTGGCAAGATCCTCGCTGATCCTGCGAGGCAGGCTGGGCCGGCACTGCTAGCTCATTTGGCAGAGAAAGAAACCTGCAGACCTGGCAACTCTATGATTTGCTCAAGTTTTCATAGCAAGTTAGTGTCTGTGACATCTTAGAGGCCTGTTTCTGGCTTCTCAGCCCACTCTAGACTTGGTGTTAAAACATCTGCCCAGAGTCACTAAGACCATGGCTGAAAAATCAAAATCTCAGCTCTTATATGTAAATAAACACATTTATATATGAGCAAATAAACAAATGTAGAAATAATATCATCGCTAGATGCTATGAAAATAAAAGATGGACATGGGATAGTGACAGGGTTGGAAAGCATCTATTTTACACAGGACGATCAGGGAAAACCTCTTTTACAAAGTGATATTTGAGTTATTATTGGTAATTAATGATTATTAATGTTAGATTATTACTATTGAAGGCTTCTTTCCCATGGTTATTATAGGAACACTAAATTTGTTGGTGGCAGAATTGGAATCTGAGCACAATTTTGCCACAAACTCATACTACCTACATAATTATATTCTCAACACTCTGGGTGTACTTAAATATCCTTGGGTTGAGTCATGAAAATGGAACACTTTAGAGCAATGTTAAGATCTCTGAAAAGTAGGTAAATCCTCAAGTGTGAGTACAGTTTGATACAATGATCCTAAAGGGGGAAGATTAGGGCAGGGAGATGAGTATAGATCTTTATGACCAACTAATTTTTTCCTGTTAGAATGCCTAACATTGATTCACCACTCTAAATGAAAACAGTCATCCCTGGTTTCTGAAATGAGTATGAGTTGCAGGTGGTTACTCACTGGTATATGGTTAATGTAAATTCCATGCAAATAGTTTTTTTTTTTTTTGCTTGATGCTGCATTGGTTAATGTCTAAATGCCTATCTCCCAATAAATTCCATCCCCAAAAGAGTCTAAATGAGTCACTGCAAACATGAACCTCCTTCCACTAAGGACAAACGGAATGAAGAAAAGCCAGAAAAGACAGTATGTGAAGAGTGGACGAGAAATAGGGCAATCTCTTTCCCAAGTGGCTGGCACCACAGGCATGCCACCATACCTGGATATTTTTGTATTTTTTCGTAGAGACGGGGATTTGCCATGTTACCCAGACAGGTCTCAAACCCCTGGGCTCAAGTGATCCTCTGGCCTCAGCCTCCCAAAGTGCTTGGATTACAGGCATGAGCGACCACTCTCGGTCTAAACTGTGCTTCTCAGCAGTGTTTTTCTTTCCACTGTCTCATGTAGGTATCCCTCCCATTTTTCCTTGGTTCAGTTTCCAAGGGTTAAAATTATAGCATACTAATAATTGCATTTATTTAAAAATTAAGATCAACACAATTTCTTAGGCAGTTTACAACTTACTCAGAACCTCATTTATAGGTTGTCAAAATTTAGAATGGCTTTTCCAATAAAACAATACTATTGTGTGATTAGATTACCAAGTTGGTTCACAAAAGCTTGTTTACCTAAGCTAGCCCTCACCGGGTGTATGGTGTCTACCAGGCACTCTGCAAAGGTCACACAAATGACCCGATTTAATTCTCACCCAAATCCTGAGAGGCACTAACTTTTTTTCATTTCAAAGCTAGGAAACGGAGACTTAGGTTTATAATGTAACACACAAGTAGAAAGGGTCAGACTGAATTTTCAAACTCAGAAGTTTGGATAAAAGACCTCCACTCTTAACCACAATCCTGCCCTGTTCTATTCACCAATTCCCCCATCTTCATTTTGAGGCCCAGAGCCAGGGCTCCTATAGCAGAAGATGAAACAGAAAAAAAAGGCAGGGGAGTGGTTGCCCTTGTTTTCCTTGTATAAGACTGGACACGATTTACAAATACATTTGTGAAACATTGTCAAGTTTACAAAGAAGTTCCATACTTGAAATCACTTAGGGGGCAAAATGTGTTTTTATTTTATGCTCATTCTTTTTTTGCTTTTGCTCCTCTCCTCTTCTCAATTCCTACCTTCTTATCATCCAGCTCTGTTTACCCTTTGCCTCCAGGTACTCGTGGTTCCTCTCAGGGGATCCCACTGAAAACATGATGGGAAAAGCGCTGGATTTAGTGTCTGCAGATCCAAGTTGAAATCCTGAATCGGTGCATTTAGTAATTGACAAACTTGAGGAAGGCAGTGACCTCCCAGAGGTGATTTTCCTCCTCCGCAAAACAGACATTCAACATTGCCTCCTTCACAAGGTTGTTAGGAGAATCAAAAGTTTCTTTCTCATAAAAGAAAATGCTGGCTAAGTTGTTAACTTTATAATTATACGCTGCCAAAATGTGCACCTGTCTAGGAGCACTGTGCAAGGAGTCCAGAGAATCTTCTTCGGGTCATCCCTTCTTTTCCTGTGTCTCTCCTCTTTTTCCTCTTTGCTTTCTATCTCTATGGGAAGAATTTTATTCCTGTGTCATATTGTTTTCAGGCTTAATTATCTAATGACAATTACTTACTTACCCTTGGGATATCATCTTGCTTCATTCTGCATTTCTGATTTTATCTGATGGGATTGATTCAGAGAAATAGTTTTGAGTATTTGCCCCAGATTTTAAAAATTCGAATTATATCTCTCCTTTTAAGTGAGTTGTGGGGGCAGGAGGTGGTCACAGTTCAATGCACAACTAGTTCAATCTCTTTGCTCCTATCAGAACTTTAAAGAAGTTTTTTTTTTTTTTTTTTTACCATTTGGCTTTAAATTTACTGCTACAATAAATTTAATGTTAACCACTTCCTTTAATCCATTTCATTGGTCACTTTGGTCAGGTGAATCATTCTGATGATGCCTGTGCAATGCAATGAGATTGTTTGTCAATTTCCTCTACCTCATATTTAGATTTTAATGGCTTTCGATGGGATATAGCAATTATATTTTGACATAACTAAACAATAATCTGTATTGTGTGACTACTTAGGAAGTATTGGTAATGTTGTACTATTAAACGTTTACTAGTTGCCTAGAGTATTTCTCATTGAGTAACTTTGCATGCCCCATGCTATACAAGTGACTTGATAGACTCTAATAAAACAGTCCCAGAATTTGTTGTAAATTCCCCCTAGTGCTTAAGCTGATATCTGAGTCACCATAGTTTCCAAATTAAGTACTTCCAGAAGCAGCCAAAGAGATACAAGACGACAATTAATGCTGATCAAGCCAAGAAATCAAAAATATAAAAATAAAAAAAATAGGAGTGGGGAGCAAGGGGAAAGTATATAATACGTTGAAATATTGCAACTTTTTGATTTTTTCATTTTAATGCTGATAAAATTTTTTCTTTCTTTCTTTTTTTTTTAAAAAAATTTACACTTATGTCCCTGGTCAAGTCTGTAGGAAAATAAGGAAAAAAGAAAAATGTTATTGGGGGAAATGAGACTCATATAATTATAGAAACTACTTCCTGCAAAAATAAAATTCTGGGAGCCTAATGGTTAGTTCAAATGGAACACACAGAGACTGAGCACAAAGCCCTTCTTTCTCTAATATAAACAAAATAAACAAGGAAAAAGAATAAGCAGATTCCCAAGAACTGAATGATGTGAAAAATTAGATACTCCTCCCAAAGGCTCTTCATTGCCAGGGCACCCTTCATGTTTCCAGAGGGTGAAGCAGCCAGTTCTGCTGAAAGGAACGTCGTTGTTCATAGGATGCCAGTCCTTTCTACTCCCAACAAGTAGAATCATGAAAGTTAATTGGCCATGACTTTTTATGTGGTGCCTTTGGTTCTAGTCACAAAAACATAAATGTTGTCAATAAGAAGAGATTTTGAAATAATTTTAGTACTTCATTCATAAATGAATTCCCTAAATGCATAGATTTGTCCCTGAATGAATCCACTGATTATCTTCTATCTGAATTCTACATGGGCTATGCCACCACTTAACTGATCAGCTGTCTTATTCCATTAGTAAGTTTTTTCTCTTCTGAAATTCAAACCATTCTGACATTTTTCCTGGACTTGCTTTTCTTTCCTTTTTTTTGAGACAGAGTCTCACTCTGTTGCCCAGGCTGGAGTGCAGTGGTGCAATCTTAGCTTATTGCAACCTCTGCCTCAAAGGTTCAAGTGATTCTTGTGACTCAGCCTCCCAAGTAGCTGGAATTACAGATGCCTGCCACCACGCCTGGCTAGTTTTTGTATTTTTAATAGAGATGGTGCTTCACCATGTTGGCCAGGCTGGTCTTGAACTCCAGACCTCAGGTGATCCACCTGCCTCGGCCTCCCAAAGTTTTGGGATTACAGACATGAGCCACTGCGCCTGGCCTTGGACTTGCTTTTCAATGGTAATTGGACAGCGTGGGTTGTAATTTTGTCTTTACATTCATTATTTTATTCCTCGAGTTCCTCTGCCTTCTGCCTCTAAACTCTGGTTCACTTCACCCCTCTCAGTACCTTTTCATACTCTTCATCTTTTATCCTCCTTCTGCCATCCTCCACTCTTCCATTTTCCTTTGCTTT
Source organism: Homo sapiens (assembly GCF_000001405.40). Classification (NCBI taxonomy): domain Eukaryota; kingdom Metazoa; phylum Chordata; class Mammalia; order Primates; family Hominidae; genus Homo; species Homo sapiens. The sequence continues at coordinate 63,836,347 of NC_000018.10, forward strand.
GCCTTGTTTTTTTTTTCTGCTTCTCCTTGGAGGAAAAAGAAATTGTTCTGTGTCTACTCAAATATCACTAATTCCCTTATAGACCTATCTTCCAAACTGAAATTTTGCTTTACATAAGAATAAGAAAATTTTCTTTCACTGTAACCTGGTAGAGTGTAACTTTAATCACAAAATCATTGCTGAGTATATAAGTAGTTTAACATCTTTGATTAATATATTTTGTTTTAAACAGCACGGAATCCATTTGCTAGAAGGAAATGCAATGTAATCAAAACTTAGACTGCAGTTTCTGTTTCCTGAAAACAGGCATAGATAAGAATGTTGCACACAGGACATGCCAAAAGTCGCATAAGCTAACCACCACACATGAATACACCAAATTTCTTAATGTCCAAAGACTAAAATTGCAAATAGAATTCTGTAAATTAAATTTGCCTAATGAGGGCAAGTAAAGTAAAACAGAAGGAACGTATCCAGCTATTAAAAGAGAGAGAGAATCTGTAAAAGGCAAAAGAACAGACCCCCAAATCAATCATTAAAAAAGCAAAACAGAGAATTTAGAAAGCTAAATATTATTTAGTATTACTCCTAACAAACACTGATTTTTTGAACATAAATGCTTCTTTAAAAACTAATAGTGGTGTGTGATAGATAGCATAGATTAAGGAAAAATGTCTTTACTTCAAATAAAAAAAGATATATTTTGGCCAGGCGCGGTGGTTCATTCCTGTAATCCCAGCACTTTGGGAGGCTGAGGCGGGCGAATAACGAGGTCAGGAGATCGAGACCATCCTGGCTGACATGGTGAAACCCCGTCTCTACTAAAAAAATCAAAAAATTAGCCGGACGTGGTGGTGGGCGCCTGCATAGCCAGCTACTTGGGAGGCTGAGGCTGGAGAATGACTGGAACCCGGGAGGCGGAGCTTGCAGTGAGCTGAGATCACGCCACTGCACTCCAGCCTGGGCGACAGACCGAGACTCCTTCTCAAAGAAAAAGAAAAAAAAAAAGATACATTTCAAAAGAGTTTAAAATGTGTACAAAATACACAGCCAGGCAAAAGCAGCTATGAAGTAGAATAACAGCATGATGTTTTTAGTTCATGCCTGTGGTTCAAAGAAATTCCTTATGTTGCACTTGATAAAAATGCCTTATCAACATTGACCTCTTTATAGGTGCTGCATCTTGTATGCACCCGACTCACTCTCTGAATGTATAACTGTACCTGGGTCTGTACAATGACAGATAAAAGTATGAATGAAGTTTGTCGGGAAGTCAGTCAGTCACATCCTGTAGTTTGAGTATTCCTAGGGAACATGGCACCACCCAAGGATCTCAGCCTTCAACATGGCACCGGGAGACTTCATCGCACCTGAAGGAAAGACTCAGCTCCCTGAAACAGCTGTTATTGCTGGGGTAACGCCCAGAGGCTGCCTGAGGGCAGTTCTGGGTGCAACTCTGTTCTGGCAGATGTATGCTGAATCATTGTGAGTGTCTCAGTTTTAAGAAAACTTTGGCATAAGATGAAAGATAAAATTTGAGATGAAATATTTTATGAATTAATCTCTTTGATCTTGACATTTAAAGACTGAGAAGAAGGAATGAGGGGAGAACAGATGCCAACATAATAAACCGATCATTAAATTGAACCCTTAACACAAGCTTCACCTGGTGCTATTAAAGACCAAGAGACTCCTGAAGGATCAAGAGTAAACCCTGGTAGTTAATTTTAGAGAATAATTAAAAATTCGAAGCAGAAAATCATATATTTCTGTATGAGGGAATAATACAATCTGAGAAATAAATAACTGTACATTGTCTAGAAACAAGTAGTCTATTTAGGATTGTTTTTAAACAGAGTCATAAAAGCGATGGGCTTTTATTACAACCTCACATTTATCCTAATGAAGCATAGAATTTTCTAGAAATCATCCCTCCACTCCTGTAACTGTGATATGGAATCGTAACAACCCATGCCACATATTCTACCATTATACTAATGACCAATTCTAGTATAGGTAATAAATAAGAATATAAGAATAAGCAGTAATGATAATAAAATCAACCAAAAATAAAAGGAATGGTATTTATTAGCTTTTGATTTTAATTAACAATTCCATCTGTGTCATGATTTGCTTAGATCAGAGGCTGGCACCAGTTTTCTAAAACTGGGTAAGTCTTTTGAAGAGACACAGAGGAAGTAAAATAAGAAGGGTGAAACAAGCAAATACCCCGGGGTTGTACAGCTCCGCTGAGGAGGTGAAAGCACTTGGTTGGTGGCCTGTCATCTTCACTTTTAGAGAGAACCCAGGCATTTACGTTTAATTTCCAAACTGACTAGGGACCTTTATTTAAGTTACAATGTTCTTTTCATTATGTTGTAACTCTCAGTGAATTAATAAAATGCTAATTAATGAAGTGAGGAAAGAGGTTTGAAACTACAGTATGAATCCTTTAGCATACAGATTTCAGAGATAATTCCTGGTTTATAAATGGTTTAATTTTTGTGTGGTTCTTTTTAATAAAATGCTCTAGTAGAATCTGTAAGAATCCATATATTCAGTCTTGTGATGTTACCTATTGCTATAGTATATTATATAAATTATTGTGTAATGTGTACATTATATATATTATATTAGTACAATATTGTCATATCCTTTGCCAAGTTAGCGAATTGAGTGGAATCAGGTGTATGACAAGAGGAATCAGTGGGAAAACCCAGTAAAAACTTCTTTTCTCAAAGCATTTATCCACAAAGGCTATACTTAAAGTGGTCTATTTCTTTGTAATTATGACCACTTCCATTTTAGCTGAAGAGATATACTTTTTCTGTGTGAAAAATCATTTCAGTTACAGCTTATATGCTATTTTTAGAAAATATAGGAACTGAGAGGAGAGATAATTTTGTTTTTTCTTTTTTTTTTAATTTTTTTTCTTTTTTGAGACGGAGTCTCACTCTGTCACCCAGGCTGGAGTGCAGTGGCGCGATCTTGGCTCACTGCAACCTCCACCTCCTGGGTTCAAGCTATTCGAGGAGAGAGAATTTTCAAACACACAATTTATTATTATTATTATTTCTTTTATTGAGATGGAATCTTACTCTGTCACCCAGTCTGGAGTGCAGTGGTGCGATCTCGGCTCACCGCAGCCTCTGCCTCCCAGGTTCAAGCAATTCTCCTGCCTCAGCCTCCTGAGTAGCTGGCATTACAGGTGTGCACCGCCATGCCCAGCTAATTTTTTTTTTTTTTTTTTTTTTTTAGTAGAGACGATGTTTCTGTTGTTCAGGCTGGTCTCCAACTCCTGACCTTGTGATCTGCCCGCCTTGGCCTCCCAAAGTGCTGGGATTACAGGTGTGAGCCATCGCGCCTGGCCGCACAATTTATTTTTATTCAGGCTCTAATCTCTGTAGTCCTGGTTTTGTTTTGCTTTGTTTTTGTTTTTTAAAGACAGGACCTCCCTCTGTTACCAGGCTTCTGTGGTGCAGTGGCATGATCGTAGCTCACTGTGGCCTTGCACTTCTGGGCTCAAGTGATCCTCCTGCCTTAGCCTCCCAAGTAGCTAAGACTAGAGGCATGTGCCACCATGCCCAGAGGGTAGTCCTGTTTTTAATCATATCTTTCAGGTGTCTATCACCTAGTAGTAGGGCGTGGTCACCCTTGCCCATAAACACAATCTGGACTCAGACAACATTAGGGAAGATTAGGAAAAATGAATGACAACACTAGCTAAAGACTGGATTTCTCTTTAATGAAGTATTGTTGTAGCATCTAGGTCAGAATAAGAGAAACCGCTTCTGTGCAAAATATCTTGTTAGGACTCTTTTCCCCCTGCTCACATCATACACACAGAGAATTGAAAGGGTGTCAAAAGTAATCCTGTGGGCTTTAAGCCAGAATGTGTATACACTTTTCATTTTCATTCACAAAACGAAACAAAAACTTTATGCTGTTAACTTATTTTCCTTCTGTGTATCATAGTAGTCCCACTGAATATAAACTATGGATTTTATTTATTTGATACCTGAAAATGCCAGATCCAGAAATGTAGCAGGGTTTGTTTGTTTGTTTTTAATGGTCTTAGGCTCAAAGAATAAACAGGCAGAGACCTTTCACCCCAAAAATGGCCTACTCTGGGAATTCTTTAGTGCACCTGAACCTGAGGATTCTTCAAATTTACCAAATCATAAAAAAACTCAGCCATCTTCTGTACAATGGTGGACTGAAATACAAGTACATAATAAAATTTTAAAATGTTTCTGTTTCAAGGGTAACAAAAAGACACAATGATTTTATTTCAATGAGCAGCAATATATTTTGTTCAAAGAGTTTCCATGACTTAAATAGTGCTTCTACACATTGATGTAGCAAAGTGCTTAAACCTTTAAACACACACTTAGCGTAAATACGTGTAGCTATGCATTAGAGGAATGTTCTTGATTCCAATGGACTTTTTAAACTCACAGACTCCTTTTTACAATCTTGTGGAGGCTACCAACCTTTCCACCTATAAAAGGCACACATACACATTCACATACAACTTTTCACATAGTTTCCCAGACCTCTTTAAATTGTTCGTGGATCCCAGGCTAAGAAGTCTTGAAGGGCGTACATATACATTTGTGTTCATAGTTCTCAAGCCCATACAGGTGGCAGTGCATCTGAACATTTTGATAATTTTTGTGGAACATAATCTCTGTGTATTCCATCATATACTCTAAAAAATGAATACTATAAGTACATATATATGTATATGACAATATTATATATACTAAAATGTATGATATCATTTACATTACTAAACAGCAGTGGAATTAAATACAATTGGCTGCCTCAGTTCTTTTATTAATAGTTCTCTGCTACTTTTTTAGGCAGTCGTAAGCCCCAAAATGTTAATTATGTATACATTTCTAGGAGAAAAACCTTAACATTGATAGAGTTTTATTCCTGCATTTAATATATGTTGGCTTGCTGGTTTGTTTTCTGATAATTTTTAAAGACTGCCAGTTTTCTGCAGAACACATTGGTCTACTTTGCAGTTGTAGCTTCTGTGAAAACCTGGCTGAGGAACAATGAACAAATATAGAAAGCAGTGAATTCCTAAGGAAGAGCGGAGATGTACATTTGAATATTGAGTAAAATCATATAGAATTTTATTATTGATCCTTTGTCTTTTGGAGCCTATCCCTACATTTCAGCAATTTCACTTGCATCCTGTGGCTATGTCTGAAGGTGGCTTCCACATATGGGAGTTTGAGAGCCCCTTCACCTTTAAATTAATGTCTCTGCTCACCTGAGGTCTCAAACACACCCCTTTGGGAGCAGCCTGACCAACCCCCAAAGTCATTCAGTCAACAGATATTTATTTATGCCTTTTGGGTGCTAGGCACAGGTCCCAGCACAGGGCTGGGTACTGAATACATGGTGAGAACAAAAAAGACCTGGCCCCTGCCCTTGGAGAACTTAGAAACATTTTTAATAGCAAATACGGAAATGTGTACACAATTATATGTATATTATACAATCATAAGCATTACGAAGGAAAATTAAAGTGTATTAGGAAATAAATCAAAGATGGAATCTTCTCAGAGTGAAATCTCAGAGAAACTTCCCTGAGAAAAATAAATGAATTAGAAATGGGACCCTAATTTGGGTGAACATCAGAATTCTGCCTTGTGCAGTGTGAAGATTAGCATAAAATTGCTTCCCCTATGTGGAAAGGGACTGATGCATAGCAAGCAGTTGATCCTGTTAATCAGCTAATTTGAAAGTTCTCTGAGTTGGTAGCTTTAGTTGAACATAAATCCTGGCTCAGCGGCTGCAGGTGTGCCTGGACCCCTTCTGGAGCTTCTTTGGACATTCTGTCTCCTTCCTTCGGGTAAGTCACTGCAGATTGTCATTGTTCAAGCCATGAACTACCCATGAAAATGACTGGAAAAGCCATGTGTCTCAAATGGAGCATTTGAAACTTCCTTAAATGTCAGGAGTTTGAAAATCTTATTTTATATTTTAAAACTTAAGGCCATTCATCTTTGGCAGAATAGGGTGGAGGCAAAGCACTGCCTTCTATGTTAAAATGCATTTATGTAGACACTAAAGTTCTTCCAAAGCTTATAGAGCTTAAGAAAAAAATATCATTCTAGTAATGGTGGTAATGAAAATTAAAATCTTTCTTCATTTTAAAAAATCGCCATTGAATGGTGTAAAAACTTTACATTTTCTTTATTTTGGAAGTTTTAAAATTGCAGAGTAGTTGAAAGAACTGTATAGTAAACACTTGCGCAAACTTCATCCAGATTCAGCAATTGTTAATATTTTGTTACATATGGTTTATATCTATTATCTATCTGTCATCTGTCTCCTGAACAATTTGAATGAAAGTTGCATGCACCATGATACTTTCCCTAAATACCGTAATATGCCTCTCTTGAGAATAAGAACATTTCCTTCATACCACAATACCTTTATTACGCTTGAGAAAATAAGCCTTAATTAAATGTTTCATATAAAATATAGTACATACTTAAATTTTCTATATTGTTTTAAAAACTCCACTTGCAGTTATTTTGGGAGAATTCGGGATCCAACAAAGATTTTCACATTGCATTTGGTTATATATTTCACTAATCACTTTGACCTGATTCTGTCCCTGACTTTTTGGTTTTCTTTTGTTTTTCCTGGTCTTGATCTTTTTTGAAACGTTTGGACAGCAGTCTTGTATAAAGCTCCACATCCTAGAGTTATCTGATTGTTGCCTCATAATGAGATTCAGGTTAAACATTTTGGCAAGATGATTACATGGGTGATGTGTCATCCTCAGTGTATTAAATCAGGGACACATGATGTCAGGTCGTCCGTTCTTGATAGAGCTGTTTGACGACCCAGTGCAGGGATGACTGGCCGATCTTTCTGTTTTAAAAGAAAAATTTTCCCTTTTTCATTAATAAGTAATCCATGGGGTTTTGAGACAGTGTAGTACTCTCCCCCAACAACATTCCACCTAGTGGTTCTGTCGTCTGTTGATAATCCTTGCCGAAGGAGCAGCAAATCTATTTGGGATTAAAAATCATATCTTGGCCGGGCGCAGTGGCTGACGCCTGTAATCCCAGCACTTTGCGAGGCTGAGGCAGGTGGATCACCTGAGGTCAAGAGTTCAACACTAGCCTGAGCAACATGGTGAAACCCCATCTCTACTAAAAATACAAAAATTAGCTGGGCGCGGTGGTGTGTGCCTGTAATCCCAGCTACTCAGGAGGCTGAGGCACGAGAATCGCTTGAGCCCGGGAGGCAGAGGTTGCAGTGAGCTGAGATCGTGCTACTGCACTCCAGCTGGGTGACAGAGTGAGACTCCGTCTCAAAGAAAAAAAAAAAAAAGAAATCCTACCTTAACATTCTATCCCTTCTTCTATTTTATTTAGCTAACATTCTCATAAATTTATAGCTTTTTTCTCTCTCATTAATATGTACCTTTTAAATTAATTCAATATATTATGTCTATTAGCTTTTTAATTTTTTTTATCATGCACAAATTGCCCAAATTTGGAAGCCCCTTCAAAGGACTGTGTTCTTTTGAGGGGTCTCCATCATGCTTTGAGTGCTTCCTTACTCTCTTACCCAACGAGATATCCCAGGCTCATCCTGTCTCATTCTGGAATCAGCCAGTTCTCTGAGAAGCTCTAGTTCCTTTAAATAGAGAATGGTATCATCTAAAAACAAGATTTGGGGTCCAGAATTGTTCCTTGTTTATTAGAGTCCTCATTTCTAAGGCTTTTCTTTGAACAGATATAGGAAATCAACATGCCAGAATAAGATAAGATAGGATAAGATGTGATATATAACACAATATAATATATTAATGTATCTACACTATCTACAAATCAAATCCAATCCCACAGGGTTCATTCTCACCTTGCCCCATTTCCTATGTGTATCTCTGTTCCCCCATAGTGAAAAGCCCTGATTCCTAACATCAGTACATTTACTTGTTTCTTATAATCTATACAAGAAAAGTTTTAGAATCAATGTGGACTCTTTGACAGGTTGGAGAGTGCTTCGGAAGCAACATTTCATGACTTCGTACTGACCCCTAGTGTTTACTTTTTTGCTTTTGTAGTTTTCAAGGGATTATCCTTAAAGAGGTTGCCTGTTCTGTATCAGGTTTTCTCAATCTCAGTATGACTGACATTTTGTGCCAATGATTCTTTGTTGTGGTGGGCTGTCCTGTGAACCGAAAGGTATTTGGCAATGCCCATTGTGTCCATCCACTAGATGAAAACAACACCACTCCCTCCTCTGCCCTTCCAAGCTGGGACCATCAAAAAGGCTTCCAGACATTGCTACCACACCTTGGGGGTCAAAATCATCCCTGGTTGAGAACCACTGCTCTACCCAGACATGCAGTAGAGAGAAATGCTATTACAAATACTTTCTAAATGTGAATATTTAAATCTCTGGTAAAGAAAATTAGTCATTACTGAATTTTTTGTTCAATTAATTTATTGGTGTTTCCCAAGGTGCTCAGGATTATGGAATTTGTTAATGTTGAATTTGGTCATTTGTTAGGCAGTTTTCAAGCAGAAGAATTTTAAAATAAAAACAATTGTGGATTGTGAATATGCCTTCAAAATACCATTTAATCATCAAGTAGACAAGTGAGCTAGGAATGGCTCTTTTCTGCTGCACTGTCAATATGATCTATCACTGATTATGTTCCCAGTGAGTGTCAGTTTGGTTAATCTCCAAAAGGCAAGTGTAAAAATTTCCTTTTTGGTTTGGAAGCACATCATACTTCGTTATATTTTCATTGCACTTTGTTATGGCTATTCTGATATTATGGGAAGGGACCAAACTGCAGGAAATATAAATGTGTCATGCTGTAAAGGACAAATTCAGGAGCAACTCACAGAATTGCCTCTTTACTTATCTCCAGAACGGAATGACATCACTTTTCAGAAAGACACAAACTACTCACCTGAACCAAAGGAGGTAAATAGGAATTGTGATGCCTACAGTTAACAGATATCAGTAACAAGAAGAAATAATAATTGAAAATAATAATCAAAAAAATGATTGAATTGCAGCTGGGCATGAACCACAGCCCACTTTATCCATGCTGTAGCCCCTCAGTGTGTGATGAACACACAAACTCTCCTGTGTATTGTGGCAGAAAAAATGACTAAAACAGCTATTTTAGATTTTCCAGTGACTTCCCACACTTAGTTCTAATTTTGAGTTAAAGGCCAAAGTAATGATACCTTTAAAGAGCTTAAAATAAGTGACTGAATAAAATAGAAGTGAAGAGAGGTGGTATTCAAATTGTTTAATTGAATTGTTTAATTATTTTGCCAGTGGGCGTCAATCCATCAGAACGACTCCAGATGCAGCATTGGAGCATGATGGAGGCCCCTTCCTGTGACACACAGTAAAATTACTGGATGGAGAGGTGACTGGGCCTCCCAAGGAAGGGACAGGGACAGGAGCAGGGGGGGATTTGGAGAATGGTGCATCAGCAATTTACTGGTATGAAAGTATTGTAAGAATTTTGCTTTGAGTCTGCTGTACTGTACAAACCAGCTGAATTTCAGCTCTGAGTACTTACATAGTAAAAGAAATCCCTCAGCCCAGTCCTAAGAGGGGCATTCAATGAGTCCCAGAGGTGATAGACAGTTAGAGGTATAATTAATCAGTTATTGACAAATAAATGCCTAAATCTGAATCTTACTCATTTAGGTAGTCATTTCCTAGGTGCTTTGAGATATAAGAGTTGTCCCCCAAACCATGTTATCAGGGAAGCTTTATGGCAACCACTGTCCTTGGAGTTATATTTTTGGTCTTTGTTCCTAAATTTTTAGTTAACTGTGATATCATTTTTGCCTCAGAGAAGATGGAATGAAACTAGCAACACAAATCTCTTTTTTGAGATTTTTAAAAAAGAAATAAAAAAGGAGATCAAGATCATTGAGGCCAAGACCCTCAGCTCAGAAGTCAGGATTTTGGAGGCTTGGCTGACTCAGGTAGGAGCTTTTCTTGACTAGAAAATACTGTTTATAGAGTGGCCAGGGAAGAATTAGACATTATGATCAGATTCCCTGGGCACTGTGATCCTAAATTATGTGGAATATGCATGTCATTTTTACATTCTTGAGGTCCTTACAGATTTATAAAGCAAATCAGCAATTCAGCATCCTTCTGGCTTCATGCAGAACAAAGAAGCCGACATCCCGAAGTCCAGGGATGTAGTTCTTGATAAGCCTACCCTTCGGGTCTATCTGGGTGACACTGGGGTCTCAACTGGTTCCAAATTCCATCTCTTACCTTAGGCTTCCTAACATCTTTAGGATGGAAATCATAGACATTTCTTGCTATCACTTACACCCACCCCTTTCTCTAAGTAGCCTGAATTAGAGCCATGGATAATCCCTTTCTAGTCTGGGCCAGAAGTTCCCCTCGGGTGTACTCACACCCTCAAGTCTATTGTCTTATTTTTATATGCTTGCATTCTCTCTCTAAATCATCCTTATACAGTTCTGAGGGCTTCAAAAAAATCTGTACCTATTAAATTTAACATTTCCAGATTTGGTATATCCTGAATGTGTATTCCAAACTTTTCCTCTTAGATTGTTTTCATTTACAAATTCAAGCAACTTGTCATCACTGTCTCCAATGCAGTCATTAAATAACATAGCCAGTGACTGTTTGACCCCGAGTGTGATATGAGTAGCCTTTAAAAACCCTGTGACCAATACAAAGATGATATTTTATGAACTGTTTCTATCTCTTAATGATGCATCATAAATATTTTTGTAAGTAAAACATGTTGGAAATAATTGTGTCAAGAAGTGTAAAGGGGCTTAAAATGTTATTCGTTTTTATCACGTCTGAATTTACAACTGAAAACAGCTTTACATGAAATAATCATGCCATTTTACGTTTTTGTTTTATTTATTCATTTTTACTAGCAAAGACCAAGAAAACAAGCAAAGTATCCAAAACAAAAAGAGGAATATGGGTTAGTGAATTATGATGAATTGACAAGATGGAATATTATCATTCCATGGAAACGATTTTAGAAGAATTTATATCAATATGGGTAAATGCTTCTTTTCTAAAGTTTAGTGTAAAATTCAGGTTAAGATGTATCATTAGTGCTGTCAAGATGATTAGTAGTAAAAGAGATAACATTTTGAAGAGTGACAAAATGTAAACTAGTATGACATTTGGACACTTAGATTTAAGTATAACATATAAGAACAATGACAAAATATTATCTCTTCAGTTCCATTGAAAGAAGGTCTTTGGCCAAAAACTTCAACCATGGCTGAAAATTGCTTATATTAATGAACTATACATTTCAGTTAGGGCTTAGTCTTGTTAAAATAAAAATGTAATATCTCGCAGTGGTGAATTAGGTTTTGGAGGCAACAAGGCTCCACTGACTGGGAACATGAAGACGTTATTTGCCTCTCTGACAACTGCTTCCTCCCCAGTGAAAGTAGTAGGGCTAGCGTTAGCCTCAGACGGTTGTTGTCAGGATTAGTATGCTGACACGTGTAAGGCACCTACTACAAGCCCAGGCATTTAATAGATCCGTAATAAGTTATTGCTCTTTATTAAATTGTTCCAACTTTCACTTCTGGAAGAAAATAACCGATATAGCTCAGGGTACCTGGGTTTTGCTACAGTGCTTCTGGCTTAAAATCTGCATAGAACCAGGTTTTCCTGATTTAAGGTCCTTTTCAGACTCCTTGAACAGGTTATCTTTCCATAAAATGCTAACTCTCATCATCCTTACTCTAGGGAAATGTGGGGTTTTTTTATGTGGGGATAGGGTCTCATACTAAACCACACTAATTTTTTTATGCAAATTACACACACACACACACACACACACACACACAAAGTATTTCCTCCAACATAGTGTAAGGCTACTTTCAAGTGAGCAAGTGTATTTACCAGTTTCTGGAATTATTTTCCTGGACAAGCCTGACCTCTAGAGGACAGGAGTTGCTTGTTACCCACTGAGAGCCAACATTAGATACCGTTTGTGGAACATTAAGGTGCCGTGAAGTCAGACAAGTGCTGGGGTTGGCATGATGTGAATATAGGATCTTAATTCTGCACCAACTAGCTTGAGCAAAATTCTTTATCTCCTTGATCTTAAATGGGTTTTAAAAACTTTATTGAGGTATAAGTTACATCAAATAAACTGCACATATTTATAGTAAGCCATTTTATTAGTTTGACGGTTGTAAACATAGCAGTACAATCAAGATGCCACACTTCCATCACCTCCTAAAGTTTCCTCATCCCCTTTTGAAGTCCACTCTGCCTCCATCCCCATCCACAGACAACCAATAATCAGCTTTCTGTCACTATGCATGAGTTTGTATTTTCTAAAAGTTTTTATGAATGGAATTATGCAGCATCTACTCTGTTGTGTCTGGCTGCTTTTACTCAGACTAATAATTTTGAGATTAAATTGTGTGTATCAGTAACTTACTCCTTTTTACTGCTGAGTAGTATTCCACTGTCTGGATACACCACATTTTGTTTAACTTGAAAGGGATCATAGTCCTAAATGTAAAAAGTTAGAACTGCTAGCAGAAAATACGGGAGAAAATCTTTGTGAGATCTGGCTGGGCAAGGATTCCTTAAAATATGAATTGCACAGATAATAAATGAAAAAAAGGATAATTGGAGTTTATCAAAAGTAAAAACATTTGCTCTTCCTAGTAAACAAAAAGGTGAATCAGAAATTGGGAGAAAATATTTGTACACATATAGCAGATAAAGGTCTTATATTCAAAATAATAAACTCAAAGAAAAACATTCAGTTAAAACACATGCAAAATATTCTAGCAGACACCTTACATAAGAAAATATACAGATGGCCAATAAGCACATGAAAAGATGGACAACAACATGAGTTATCAGATAAATGCTTAAGGTATTTTTAAAGTCTCTGAAATCGGGTTATGTCTTACTATTTAGGTGCTTGCAATTGGTGTGCTCCTTTTGATGTAAAGTTAATTTTATTTTTAGAAGCAATATTTATTGGGTACTAAGGTTTGGGCAATGTTTTAAACACTTTGTATGCATTATGTCACTTAATTCTCACAAAACCTATGAAGGGAGTACTATAATTAAATCCATCTTCATGGGTGAGGAAATTGAAGCTCACAGAGTGCTTATAACTTGCCCTAGTCCCACAGCTAACAGATGGCAACACCAGGCCTGGAACCCTCTAGCTACCACTATAGCCCATGGGCTTAACTATTATGCTATTTTAAAAATTATTACACTAATGGTGAATGGTCAGTGGAGAATGCCTCAGAAAACAGAGCCTTCTCTGGAGTCCTGATATTAACTTATTTCATTACATTTTGTGGAGAATACCTCAGAAAACAGACCCTTCTCTGGAGTCCTGATATTAACTTATTTCATTACATTTTGTGGATCATTAGATGAATCACTGTAAGGTAAGTGCCTAGTGCCTAGTAGGTATGATCTATTAATGCTACTTCCCTTTCTTCCATCTATTTTGAGGCTTTTGGAAATTGCCAAAATAAATGTTTGAAAATTACATGATTCAATCAATTTAAGCCAGATTTTTATTTATCACTACTATCATTCAACTTTTAACAATCATCTTTTTTTGTGAAAGAATTTTGAATGATGCAGTATTCTTTATTTTTTAACCTGAAAGCATTTTGAATGCTGCAATATTCTTGATCATGGTTCTCAACTAAGGGTGATTTTGCCCCTGGGCGACATCTGGCTCTGTGTCTAGAGACATCTTTGATGGTCAGAATTGTAGGGAAGGGCTGCTACTGCCATCCGGTGGTTAGAAGCCAGAGATGTGGCTGAACATGCTACAATGTAAAGGACAGCCCCACAACAAATAATTACCCAGCCCAAAATGTCAACAGTGCTGATGTTGAGAAATCCTGCTTTACACAATATGCGGGACTTAATTATTTATTGACATCAGTTGAGAATACTGAAATGCTGCAGGAAATGAAAGAAGACTTGGTCTCTGATAGCGTATAGTTACCAAGCCAATGAGGGAAATAAAGAAAATAACACCATGAACTCTACCACTATTATTATAATAAATGTTACAACAGAAAATAATAGAATATTTTAAGGTTTTAAACAAGGGGACTGTAGTCGGATAACACAATGAAAAAAATCAGAAAATGCTCTTTGAGAATCAAGTATGGAAGTACTGTATTTCCTTAATAAAAATAAAATTCGGCTTCTTTAGGGTTGATAATAGAAAATAATTCTTGTTTGCCAAACTTCATTTTCCTTTTAATTCTCTGAGGTATGATGAGACAAAATAGAAATTGTTTAAGGAGACTTAACTAAAGGATGTGGAGTCAACCAAACAGAACAATGTAAAACTGGATGATATCTTACAAAATATGCTTGCACTCTGGGGCTTGAACATGTCCCATCCTGATCTCGGGCCCTCCTCCACAGTCAGGGTGACTCTTAATACCTAGTACACACAATCAAAAATCCAGGCATTTAAATGTCTTCAACGCTGGACCTAGAGAGAAATACAGTTCCCTCCCCCCTCACTCATAGTTACCTCTGAACTGTATTTTCTGTTTTAGCACCTCCTTCACTTTCCAGTGATTGACATGTTCATTGAAATTGCTTCCCCTCTTACAGTGGTGTGGCCTTAATCTGTGTGCTGAACAGGATAACTCTCTTAGAATGTAATACTAAGCCCCGCACAGTCATGTCCTAGATTTAGACGTGGATTAGCAGAGACAGTAGACTGTGGCCGCATTGATGGTAAGATTTTAGACATCGTCTAGTCTAGTATAGGAGATTATTCCTATTGACAGTATATTTAGGTGGAATCCATTTCTAATGCTGTCTTTCAAGAATAATGCAAGGTATGCACTAATCATATATAGATTGTCAGAAACTATTGTATCTAATGGAGAGAAGCCACTGTTAGCACCAGGGAAGCATCAATAGGAGACAAGGTCAAAGGGTGAGCTAGGAATCCAAAGGTAGGGAAGAATTAGGCAAACGGTTGCTATATGTTGATTGTGAGTGATAAAACAGGGCTTGTGCTGGGAGTAATGAGATATTTGATAACATATTTCTTCTTTTTATGAAAACAATAGGTCTTGCCCGGGCACGGTGGCTCACCCATATAATCTCAGCACTTTGGGAGGCCGAGGCGGGCAGATCACCTAAGGTCAGGAGTTTGAGACCAGCCTCACCCACATGGTGAAATCCCATCTCTACTAAAAAAAAAAAAAAAAAAAATTAGCCAGATGTGGTGGCAGGCATCTGTAATCCCAGCTACTCAGGAGGCTGAGGCAGGGAGAATCACTTGAACTGAGAGGCAGAGGATGCAGTGAGCTGAGATCACACCAGAAAACAGGGAGATCTTGAGGCATAGCAGTTCCCGGTAACTTTAAAACTGATGCTGGCCAGGAAAGGGACCCAACGGTTTGCACTTGTTTAACCTGCATTTGAGGTTGTAATGTTACAGGCATTTGAACTGCGGGAGGAGGAGTTGATGGCCCTTGTGGTTTAAGCTCTGATGGCCCTAATAATTCTGGACCTCCTTCCTTTAATTTTGATGATTCAGGATATATTACCTCCTGTAATTGATTGTAGTCAACATTTTGCGTTGACCGAGCCATTACAGACTCTGCTACATTTTTAAAATGTGAACTTTCCGTTCCTTTCTTGAACTCTGTCCTTGCTTCTTCTTCACAATGTATTACACAGCTTTTAGGGGCATCAGAGACTGAAACACTATCTTCTGTTTGAAACGGTTCTAAAGTTGCTTTAATAATGGCCCAATCATTCCATACCGTAAGTGGGATGATTTTACCTTCCCTATTTGCTTGTTTTAATTCTTTGCCAATTTTTTCCCAATCTTTTCGATCTAAAGTTCCCTGTTCTGGAAACCATGGGCAGAATTGTCCTATTGTTTGAAATAGCGTAATTAGATTTTCTGTAGAAGCTGTAACAGAGATCAGACTGTTACTGTGTCTATGTAGAAAAGGAAGACATAAGAAACTCCATTTTGGTCTGTACCCTGAACAATTGTTTTGCCATGAGATGCTGTTAATCTGTAACTTTAGCCCCAACCCTGTGCTCACAGAAACATTTGTTGTATGAAATCAAGGTTTAAGGGATCTAGGGCTGTGCGGGATGTGCCTTGTTAACAATATGTTTACAGGCAGTATGCTTGGTAAAAGTCATCGCCATTCTCCATTCTCGATTAACCAGGGGCACAATACACTGTGGAAAGCCGCAAGGACCTCTGCCCAAGCAAGCCTAGGTATTGTCCAAGGTTTCTCCCCACTGAGACAGCCTGAGATATGGCCTCGTAGGAAGGGAAAGACCTGACCGTCCCCCACCCTGACACCCGTAAAGGGTCTGTACTGAGGAGGATTAGTAGAAGAGGAAGGTCTCCTGCGGTTGAGATAAGAGGAAGGCCTCTGTCTCCTGCATGCCCCTAGGAACAAAATGTCTCGGTATAAAAGCCGATCATACATTCGTTCTATTCTGAGACAGAAAAAAAAAACCGCCCTGTGACTAGAGGCAAAATATACTGGCGACAATACTACTCTGTTACTCTTTACTACACTAAAATGTTTAAATAAAGAGAAACATAAATCTGGCCTACATACACATCCAGACATAGTACCTTCCCTTAAACTTATTTGTAACACAGATTCCTTTACTCACATGTTTTCTTGCTAAACTTCTCCCCACTATCACCCTGTTCTCCTGCCACATTCCCTTTACTAAAATAGTAAAAATGATAATCAATAAATACTAAAAAAACTCAGAGACCAGTCCGGTACAAGTCCTCTGTATACTAAACACCGGTCTCCTAGGCCCACTGTTCTTTCTCTATACTTTGTCTCTGTGTCTTATTTCTTTTCTCAGTCTCTCGTCCCACCAGACAAAAAATACCCACAGGTGTGGAAAGGCAGGCCACCCTTTCACAAAATGAAGAAAACCCATACCTAAAAATAAGGGGAAAACTTTAAAATGTTTTTAATTTTTAATTTTTTGTGGGTATGTACTAGGTATATATATTTATGGGGACATGAGATATTTTGATAAAGGCATAAATGCATAATAACCACATCAACATAAATGGGTATCCATCTTTGTGTTGCGAACAATCCAAATATACTCTTTTAGTTATTTTTTAATGTACAATAAATTATTATTGAATGTAGTCACCCTGTTGTGCTATCAAATACTAAATCTTATTTATTCTAACTATATTTTTGTACCGATTAACCATCTTTACTCTTCCAACCTCACTAACCTTCCCAGCCTCTGGTAACCATCTTTCTACTCTCTCCCTCTCTCATGAGTTCAATTGTTTTCATTGTTGGCTCCCACAAATAAATGAGAACATGTAAAGTTTGTCTTTCTGTGTCTGGTTTATTTCACTTAACATAATGATCTCCAGTTCCACCCATGTCGTTGCAAATGACAGACTCTCATTTCTTATGACTGAATAGTACTCCATTGTATATATGTACCACATTTTCTTTTTTCTTTTTTCTTTTTTTTTTTTTTGAGACAGACTCTAGCTCTGATCTTGGCCCAAGAGTCTCCAGCCTGATCTCCACTCACTGCAAGTTCCATCTCCTGGGCTTAAGTGATCCTCCCACCTCAGCCTCCCTGGTAGCTAAGATTGCAGGCAGACGCCACTATGCCTGGCAAATTTTTGTATTTTTTTGCAGTGACAGAGTTACGCCACATTGCCCAGGCTAGTCTCAAACACCTGGTTTCAAGTGATCCACCCACCTTGGCCTCCCAAAGTGCTGCAATTACAGGCATGAGCCTATGTGCCTGGCCACATTTTCTTTATTCATTTATCTGTTGATGGACACTTAGGTTGTTTCCAAATCTTGGCTATTGTGAAAAGTGCTACAATAAACATGGGAGTGCAGATATCTCTTTGATATATTAATTTCTTCTCTTTTGGTATATACCAGCAGTGGGATTGCTGGATCATAGGGTAGCTCTATGTTTAATTTTTAAAGGAAACTCCAAACTGTTCTCCATAGTAGTTGAACTATTTTACACTCCCACCAATAGTATATAAGGGCTCCTTTTTGTCCACATCCTCACCAGCATTTGCTATTCCCTGTCTTTTGGATAAAAGCCATTTTAACTGAGGTGAGATGGATATATTATTTTACTTTTGATTTGAATTTCTATGATATCATTTATGTTGAGTACCTTTTCATATACCTGTTTGCCATTTGTATGTCTTCTTTTGAGAAATGTCTATTCTGACATTGTTGATTGTTCCCTTTGCTGTGGAGAAGCTTTTAAATTTGATGTCATCTTATTTGTCCATTTTTGCTTTGGTTGCCAGTGCTTTGGGGTTATTAATCAAGAAATCTTTGCTTTGGTTGCCAGTGCTTTGGGGTTATTACTCAAGAAATCTGGTTATTACCCAGTCCAATGTCCTAGAGAATTTCCCCAAAGCTTTCTTTCAGTAGTTCCATAGTTAGAGGTCTTATATTTCAATCTTTAATTCATTTTGAACTAATTTTTGTATATGGCAAGAGAGAGGGGCCTAGTTTCATTCTTCTGCATATGGATATCCAGTTTTTCCACCACCATTTACTGAAGAGACTCTTTCCCCCAGTGTGTATTCTTGGCACTTTTGTCAAGAATGAGTTCACTGTAAGTGTGCGGATTTGTTTCTGGGCTCTCTATTCTGTTCCATTGGTCTATGTGTCTGTTTTTATGCCAGTATCATGCTGTTTTGGTTACTATAGCTTTGTCGTATAATTTGAAATCAGATAATGTGACTCCTACAAGTTTTGTTCTATTTGCTCAGGATAACTTTGGGTATTCCGGGTCTTTTGTGGTTTCATATAAATTTTAGGATTGTTTTCTCCATTTCTGTGAAGGATTTTATTGGTAGTCTGAGAGAGATTGCATTGAATCTATAGATTGTTTTGGGTAGTATGGACATTTTAATGGTATTAATTCTTATTAATTCTTTATATCCATAAACATGGAATATCTTTCCATTATTTTGTGTGTCCCCTTTAATTTCTTGAATCAATGTTTTATAGTTTTTATGTAGAAATCTTTCACTTCTGTAGTTAATTCTTAGGTACTTAATTTTATTGGGAGCTATTATAAATGGGATTGCTTTCTTTTTTTTTTCAAGGCTGAGTCTTGCTCTGTCACTCAGGCTGTAGTGCAGTGGTGCAAGCTTGGCTCACTGCAACCTCCGCCTTCCGGGTTCAAGTGATTCTCCTGCCTCAGCCTCCCGAGTAGCTGGGATTACAGGCATGCACCAACATGTCTGGCTTTTTTTTTTGTTGTTGTTGTTAGAAACGGGGTTTCACCATGTTGGCCAGGCTGGTCTTGAAATCCTAACCTGAGGTGGTCTGCCGGCCTCGGCCTCTCAAAGGGCTGGGATTACAGATGTGAGCCACCGTGCCCAGCCTACTTTCTTGGTTTATTTTTCAAATTGTTTGCTGTTGGCATATAGAAATGCTACTTATTTTTGTATGTTGATTTTGTATCCTGCAACTTTACTTTATTTGTTTATCAGTTCTAATAGATTGTTGATGAGGCCTTTAGGTTTTTCCAGTGTAAGATCATAGCATCTGCAAACAATAGCAATACAATTTGACTTCTTCCTTTCCAATGTGGATGCCCTTTATTTCTTTCTCTTGTCTGATTGCTCTAGCAAGGATAGCCAGTAATATGTTGAATAACAGTGGTGAAAGTTGGCATCCTTGTCTTGTTGTAGATCTTAGAGGAAAGGTTTCAGTTTTTCCTAATTCAGTATGATACTAGCTGTGGGTCTGTTGTATATGGCTTTTATTCTATACCCAGGTTTTTGAGGATTTTTATCATGAAGTGATGTCGAATTTTATCAAATGCTTTTCCAGCATCAATGTAAATGATCATATGGTTTTTGTCCTTCATTATGTTGATATTATGTATCACATTGATTGATTTGCACATACTGAACTATCCTTGCTTCCTTGGGATAAATCCCACTTGATCATGATGAATGATCTTTTTAATGTGTTGTTGAATTCAGCTTGCTAGCAATTTGTTGAGAACTTTGCATCAGTGCTCCTCAGGCATATTAGCCTGTGGTTTTCTTTTTTTGATATGTCTTTGTCTGGTTTTGGTATCAGGGTAATACTGGCCTCGTAGAATGAGTTTGGAAGTATTTCCTCCTCCTCTATTTTTTGGAATACTTTGAGTAGAATTGGTATTATTTCTTCTTTAAAGGATTGATAAAATTCAGCAGTAAAGCCATCGGGTCCCGGGCTTTACTTTACTGGGAGATTTTTTATTATGGCTTCAATCTTGTTACTTGTTATTGGTCTGGTCAGGTTTTTTATCTCTTCATGGTTTAATCTTGGTAGGTTGTATTTATCTAGTAATTTATTCCTTTCTTCTAGGTTTTACAATTTATTGGCATATAGTTGCTCATAGTCGCCACTGATAATCCTTTGAGTTTCTGTGGTATCAGTTATAATGTCTCCTTTTTCGTCTCTGATTTTATTTATTTGAGTCTTGTCTCTTGTAGTTAGCCTGGCTAAAGATTTGTTTACTTTGTTTATCTTTTCAAAGAAACCAACTTTTTATTTCATTGATCTTTTGTGTTATTTTCTTTATTTCAATTTTATTTATTTATGCTCTGATTTTTATTATTTATCTTTTACTAATTTGGGGTTTGGTTTTTTCTTGATTTTCTAGTTCTTTAAGGTGCATTATTAGGTTATTTATTTGAAATTCTTTCTACTTTTTTGATGTAGGTGCTTATTGCTATAAACTTGCCTTGTAGTACTGCTTTTGCTGTATCCCATAGCTTTTCATATGCTGTGTTTCCAGAATCATTTGTTCAAGAAATTTATTAATTTCCTTCTTAATTTCTTCATTGACCCACTGATCATTCAGAGCCTATTGTTTAATTTCAATATATTTGTATAATTTCCAAAATTTCTTGTTAGTAATTTCTAATTTTATTCCATTGTGATCAGAGTAAATACTTGATATAATTTCAATTTTTTAAAAAGACATTTTGTGATCTAGCATATGATCTATCCTCGAGAATGATCCAAGTGCTGAGAAGGATGTGTGTTCTGTAGTCATTGGATGAAATGTTCTGTAAATATCTATTATGTACATTTGGTCTATCATGCAGATTAAGTCCAATATCTCTTGTTTTTCTGTCTGAATGATCTGTGCAATGCTGAAAGTGGGGTATTGAAGTCACCAGCTATTCTTATATTGGTATTATATTGGGATCTCTCTCTCTTTAGCTCTAATAACATTTGCTGTATGTATCTGGGTGCTCCAGTGTTGGGTGTCATATATTTATAGCTGTACTATCTTCTTGCTTAATCGACCCCTTTATCATTCTATAATGACCATCTTTGTCTCTTTTATTAGTTTTTGTCTTTACATCTATTTTGTCTGATATAAGTATAGCCACTCCTCCTATTTTCTGGTTTCCATTTGCATGGAATATCTTTTTCCATCCTTTTATTTTCAGTCTATGTGTGTCTTTAAATGTGAAGAGTGTTTCTTGTAGGCAACAGATAGCTGAGTCTTTATTTTTTTTTTGGTCCATTCAGCCAATCTATGTCTTCAGATTAGAGATCTTAGTTCATTTACATTAAATGTTATTCATAAGTAAGGAAGGACTTACTCTTGCCATTTCATTATTTGTGTTATGGTTGTTTTGTGGTCTTCTCTTCCCTCTTTCCTTCTATCCTGTCTTCCTTTTAACAAAGGTGATTTTCTCTGGTGATATGTTTTAATTTATTGCCTTTGATTTTTTGTGTGCCTGTTGTAGGTTTTTTTAAAATTTGAGGTTACCATAAGGCTTGCAAATAATATCTATAACCCATTGTTTTAAAGTGATGACAACCTAATACTGATTGCATGAACAACCTAATTAACAAATAAGTAAAGAAGAAAACTAACAAAAAATCTACACTTTAATTTTGTCCCCCCACTTTTTAACTTTTTATTGCCTCTATTTGCATCTTATTTTATGTTCTATGACTTAAAAGTTGTTGTAGCTATTATTTTAGATAGGTTTGTCTTTCAGTCTTTCTACTCAAAATATGAATAGTTTACACACCACACTTACAGTGTTACAATACTCTGTGTTTTTCTGTGTACTTACTATTATTAGTGAGTTTTGTACCCTTAGGTGATTTCTTATTGTTCATTACCATCCTTTTCTTTCAGATTGAAGAACGTCCCTTAGCATTTCTTGTAGGGTAGGGCTAGTGATGATGAAATCCCTCAGCTGCTGCTGCTGCTTCTTTTTTTTTTTTTTTTTTTTTTTGGTCTGGGAAAGACTTTATTTATTCTTCATATTTGAAGGATATTTTCACTTAATATACTATTCTAGGATATATATATTTTTTCCTTTAGCAGTTTAAATATGTCATGCCACTCTCTGTTGGCCTGTAAGGTTTCCATTGAAAAGTCTTCTGTCAGACTTGTTGGAGCTCCATTGTATACTATCTGATTCCTTTCTCTTGCTGCTTTTAGTATCCTTTCTTTGTCCTTGACTCTTAGGAGCTTGATTATTAAATATCTTGAGGCAGTCTTATTTGGGTTGTCTGCTTGGTGTTCTGTAACCTTATTGCACTTGAATATTGATATCTTTATCTAGTTTTGGGAAGTTATTATAACTTTGAATGAACTCTCTACCCCAATCTCTCTCTCTACCTCCTCTTTAAGGCCAATAACTCTTAGATTTGCTCTTTTGAGGCTATTTTCTATATCTAGCAGGTATACTTCATTCTTTTTCATTCTTTTTCTTTTGTCTCCTCTGACTTCATGTTTTCAAATAACCTGTCTTCAATCTCACTAATTCTTTCTTCTTCTTGGCCAGTTCTGCTTGTAAGAAGCTCTGATGCATTTTTCAGTATGTCAATTGCATTCTTCAATTCCAGAATCTTTGGTTGATTTTTAAAACTTATTTCAATCTCTTTGTTAAATTTATCTGATAGCATTCTGAATTCCTTCTCTGTGTTATCTTGAATCTCATTGAGTTATCCCAAACAGCTATTTCGGATTCTCTGTCTGAAAGGTCACATAGCTCTGTTTCTCCAGGATTGCTCCCTGGTGCCTTATTTAGTTTGCTTGGTGAGTTCATGTTTTTCTGGATGATCTTGATGCTTGTGAATGGTCATCAGTGTCTAGGCATTGAAGAGTTAAGTATTTATTATAGACTTTGCAGTTTTGGGCTTGTTTGTACTAGTCCTTCTTGGGAAGGCTTTTCAGATATTCAAAGGGATTTGGGTGTTGTAACCTAAGTTTTTGGTCATTGCAGCTATAACTGCATTAGGGCATAACCTCAAGTCCAGTAACACTGTGGCTCTTGCAGATTCACAGAGGTACCATCTTGGTGGTCTTCAATAAGATCTGGAAGAATTCTCTGGGTTACCAGGCAGAGACTCTTGTTTTCTTCCCTTACTTTCTCCCAAACAGAGTCTTACTCTCTGTGCTGAGCTGCCTGGAGCTGGGGGAGAAGTGACACCAGCACCCCTATTGCCACTACCACTGGGACTGTGCTGAGTCAGACCTAAAGCTCACACAAGACTGTGTCTTGCCCAAGGCCCGCAGTAACTACTGCCTGGCTTCCATCTGCATTTGCTCAAGGCACTAGGGCTCCACAATCAGCAGGTGGCAAAGCCAGATAGACTTATATACTTCCTTTCAGGGTGGTGAGTTACCCCTGGCTCTGGGTGGGTCCAGATATGCCATGTGGGAACCAGGGCCTGGAGTCGGAAATCTTAGGAATCTACCTGGTGCTCTAGTCTACTGTGGCTGAGCTGGCACTCAAACCACAAGATAAAGTCCTTCTCACTCTTTCTTCCCCTTTCCACAAGCAGAGGAGCCTCTCCCCATGGCCATCACTGCCCTAGGCTCACAGCAAGTCCTGCCAGGCTATCACTAATGTTTATTCAAGCCCAAGAGCTTTTCAGTCAGCTTGTGGTAAGTGCTTTCAGGACTGGGACTTTCCTGTCAGGGAAATGGGCTCCTCTCTGGCCTAGGGCAGGTCCAGAAATGATATTGAAGGTCCAAGGCCTAGAATTGGGGACCCCAAAAGCCTGCATGGTGCTTTACCCCACTGTGGCCAAGTTGGTACCTAAGGTGCAAGACAAAGTCTTTTTAACTTTTACTTCTTCTTTTCTCCAGCAGAAGGAATCTCTTCCCATATACAGCTGGGAATGTGCTGGGTCACACCTGAAGCCAGCACAGGCCCAGGTTCCCACCCAAGGCTCAAGACAAGTAACACTTGGGTATTTCTGCTGATTATTCAGGGCCCAAGGGCTCTTTAGTCAGCAGCTGATAAGTCCTGCCAGGACTGGGTCCTTCGCTTCAAGGAAGCCGGTTCCCTTCTGGCTCAGGGTGTGTCTAGAAATGTCATCAAGGAACTAGGGTCTGGAATAGGGACCTCAGAACTCTGGATGGTGCCCTGTTGTGGCTGAGCTGGTTTCCAAGTTGCAAAACAAAGTCCTCTTTACTCTTTGCTGTTTTCTCCTCAAGCAGAGGGAAGGAGGCTCTCCCAGAACTTAAATCTTAACTGCCTAGGATTGGGGAAGAGGTGATGCAAGCACTCCATTGGCCATCCTGGCCAGTGTCTCACTAGGTCATGGGCACCCCACATCCACTGGTTCTGAGCCCAGCACAATTCCAGGACTTTCCCAGGAATTGCAGTCCTTGAGGCTGAGACTGCTTTTCGAGTTTATTTAGGACTTCACAGCACTTTAGCCTGCAATGGTGAGGCTTTCCAGAACTCAGGTTCCAACCACTGAGATGGGTGATTCCTCCCTGGCTCAGGCTGGTCTAAATGCTCCCTCTGTGGGCATCAGCTAAGTTCTGCTCAGTGTCGGTAACACTGAATTCCAATGCAAAGCCTCACAATTGCTATGTTCTCCCCTTCCAAGAGCACAGAGTCTCTCCTGCCATGTGGCCCCTGCTGGGGGATGGGGAAGGGTGGCATCAGTAATTCAAGACTGTTTTTCCTACCCTCTTCCCTTCCACTTTCAGTGATATAGAGTTGAAACCAGATGCTGTGATGGCTTGCCTGATTTTTGATTCTTATAAAGGTGCTTTTTGGTGTGGATAGTTGTTGAATTTGGTTTCTTGTGGGAAGAATGATAGTGAAAGCTTCTATTTGGCCATATTGCTCTGTCTCCTCCTTGAGAATATTTTTTTAAGAACAAAATTAAGGGAAAATTAAAACCTGAGAGAATGATATTTACCACCAAAAACAACACACAAATGGTTAATATTCTTTACCTAAAAAGAGTTCCTGCGTATCAGTATTTTTTAAAAATTTGGTAGAAAAAAGGAAAGAAATGTTCAATGGATATGACCGAGTAATTTACCAAAGACAAACAAGTGGTTAATAAATGTGAAAAATCTTTATATTCTTTAGTAACACAATAAATGTAGCTAAAACAATGAGATGATATATTTTAACTATTAAGTAATTTTTAATTATAACAATACTGGCCATAAATATGCGTGTTCATACAATATTTCTGAAAGGAAATTTGAAAATATGTATGCGGAAATTTAAAAAATTTATACCTTTTAATTCAGGATCTTCATTTCTATGTATCTCCTGTGAAAGATGTAATGACTATGTTCCCACATGTTTACCCAAGCAATATTTTGAATGTTGGGAAATAACCTAAATGCCCAACAACAGGTAACATATGAAACAGTTGTGGCGTTAAGAGGTATTACAAGAGGAACCAGTACCTGGATTTCAACAAATCTCTTGAATCTGCTATTGTAGTGACTTGAGATAATATTACCTAGAAACTAACCAGAAGAGTTAAGTGGACATAATAAAGCCTATTTATAATGTTATAATTATATGTAAGTTTGGATTAACCTGTTCATTACAAGGTGGCTATCTATGACACTGTTGCTTTATTGTTCTGTTTTCACATGTCTAAAACTGTTGAAGCTTTTAGCAGAAAACATATGCCTCAATTATTTTTTAGTGTAAATCATGTAAATTGGAGTTTGTAGACAAATACACACATATATTGTTCACTCCTGATTATTATAGTAAGTTTGTGTACACAGACATACACAGAGATGCCCACTTTAAAAAGTGACTTTATGCAAACCATAATAAACCCACTCTTCAGAATATAATGCAGGAAGGAAAACGCTTTCCCACTACTATACACTTTCAATAGGATATATAATCCTACCACTTGTAAACTGAAAACTTTACTAGTTCTGACTATTGCAACTTAGTCAATTGTTTAATCAGGAATCCATTTTTGGGGTACCTACAATGTTTCAAGTACACTAAAAATACAGAGATAAATACAAAATTAACAATCTTTTTAGGAGATTAAAATAAGCAGGCAGATGGTCACTTAAAAGTTTAATTAATGTCTAATAATGGGAGACTTTAACACCCCACTGTCAACATTAGACAGATCAACGAGACAGAAAGTCAACAAGGATACCCAGGAATTGAACTCAGCTCTGCACCAAGCAGACCTAATAGACATCTACAGAACTCTCCACCCCAAATCAACAGAATATACATTTTTTTCAGCACCACACCACACCTTATCCAAAATTGACCACATAGTTGGAAGTAAAGCTCTCCTCAGCAAATGTAAAAGAACAGAAATTATAACAAACTATCTCTCAGACCACAGTGCAATCAAACTAGAACTCAGGATTAAGAATCTCACTCAAAGCCGCTCAACTACATGGAAACTGAACAACCTGCTCCTGAATGACTACTGGGTACATAACGAAATGAAGGCAGAAATAAAGATGTTCTTTGAAACCAACGAGAACAAAGACACCACATACCAGAATCTCTGGGAAGCATTCAAAGCAGTGTGTAGAGGGAAATTTATAGCACTAAATGTCTACAAGAGAAAGCAGGAAAGATCCAAAATTGACACCCTAACATCACAATTAAAAGAACTAGAAAAGCAAGAGCAAACACATTCAAAAGCTAGCAGAAGGCAAGAAATAACTAAAATCAGAGCAGAACTGAAGGAAATAGAGACACAAAAAACCCTTCAAAAAATCAATGAATCCAGGAGCTGGTTTTTTGAAAGGATCAACAAAATTGATAGACCGCTAGCAAGACTAATAAAGAAAAAAAGAGAGAAGAATCAAATAGACACAATAAAAAATGATAAAGGGGATATCACCACCGATCCCACAGAAATACAAACTACCATCAGAGAATACTACAAACACCTCTACGCAAATAAACTAGAAAAGCTAGAAGAAATGGATACATTCCTCGACACATACACTCTCCCAAGACTAAACCAAGAAGAAGTTGAATCTCTGAATAGACCAATAACAGGCTCTGAAATTGTGGCAATAATCAATAGTTTACCAACCAAAAAGAGTCCAGGACCAGATGGATTCACAGCCGAATTCTACCAGAGGTACAAGGAGGAACTGGTACCATTCCTTCTGAAACTATTCCAATCAATAGAAAAAGAGGGAATCCTCCCTAACTCATTTTATGAGGCCAGCATCATTCTGATACCAAAGCCGGGCAGAGACACAACCAAAAAAGAGAATTTTAGACCAATGTCCTTGATGAACATTGATGCAAAAATCCTCAATAAAATACTGGCAAACCGAATCCAGCAGCACATCAAAAAGCTTATCCACCATGATCAAGTGGGCTTCATCCCTGGGATGCAAGGCTGGTTCAATATACGCAAATCAATAAATGTAATCCAGCATATAAACAGAGCCAAAGACAAAAACCACATGATTATCTCAATAGATGCAGAAAAAGCCTTTGACAAAATTCAACAACCCTTCATGCTAAAAACTCTCAATAAATTAGGTATTGATGGGACGTATTTCAAAATAATAAGAGCTATCTATGACAAACCCACAGCCAATATCATACTGAATGGGCAAAAACTGGAAGCATTCCCTTTGAAAACTGGCACAAGACAGGGATGCCCTTTCTCACCGCTCCTATTCAACATAGTGTTGGAAGTTCTGGCCAGGGCAATCAGGCAGGAGAAGGAAATAAAGGGTATTCAATTAGGAAAAGAGGAAGTCAAATTGTCCCTGTTTGCAGACGACATGATTGTTTATCTAGAAAACCCCATCGTCTCAGCCCAAAATCTCCTTAAGCTGATAAGCAACTTCAGCAAAGTCTCAGGATACAAAATCAATGTACAAAAATCACAAGCATTCTTATACACCAACAACAGACAAACAGAGAGCCAAATCATGGGTGAACTCCCATTCACAATTGCTTCAAAGAGAATAAAATACCTAGGAATCCAACTTACAAGGGATGTGAAGGACCTCTTCAAGGAGAACTACAAACCACTGCTCAAGGAAATAAAAGAGGACACAAACAAATGGAAGAACATTCCATGCTCATGGGTAGGAAGAATCAATATTGTGCAAATGGCCATACTGCCCAAGGTAATTTACAGATTCAATGCCATCCCCATCAAGCTACCAATGACTTTCTTCACAGAATTGGAAAAAACTACTTTAAAGTTCATATGGAACCAAAAAAGAGCCCGCATAGCCAAGTCAATCCTAAGCCAAAAGAACAAAGCTGGAGGCATCACACTACCTGACTTCAAACTATACTACAAGGCTACAGTAACCAAAACAGCATGGTACTGGTACCAAAACAGAGATATAGATCAATGGAACAGAACAGAGCCCTCAGAAATAATGCCGCATATCTACAACTATCTGATCTTTGACAAACCTGAGAAAAACAAGCAATGGGGAAAGGATTCCCTATTTAATAAATGGTGCTGGGAAAACTGGCTAGCCATATGTAGAAAGCTGAAACTGGATCCCTTCCTTACACCTTATACAAAAATCAATTCAAGATGGATTAAAGATTTAAACGTTGGACCTAAAACCATAAAAACCCTAGAAGAAAACCTAGGCATTACCATTCAGGACATAGGCGTGGGCAAGGACTTCATGTCCAAAACACCAAAAGCAATGGCAACAAAAGCCAAAATTGACAAATGGGATCTAATTAAACTAAAGAGCTTCTGCACAGCAAAAGAAACTACCATCAGAGTGAACAGGCAACCTACAACATGGGAGAAAATTTTCGCAACCTACTCATCTGACAAAGGGCTAATATCCAGAATCTACAATGAACTCAAACAAATTTACAAGAAAAAAACAAACAACCCCATCAAAAAGTGGGCAAAGGACATGAACAGACACTTCTCAAAAGAAGACATTTATACAGCCAAAAAACACATGAAGAAATGCTCATCATCACTGGCCATCAGAGAAATGCAAATCAAAACCACTATGAGATATCATCTCACACCAGTTAGAATGGCAATCATTAAAAAGTCAGGAAACAACAGGTGCTGGAGAGGATGTGGAGAAATAGGAACACTTTTACACTGTTGGTGGGACTGTAAACTAGTTCAACCATTGTGGAAGTCAGTGTGGCGATTCCTCAGGGATCTAGAACTAGAAATACCATTTGACCCAGCCATCCCATTACTGGGTATATACCCAAAGGACTATAAATCATGCTGCTATAAAGACACATGCACATGTATGTTTATTGCGGCACTATTCACAATAGCAAAGACTTGGAACCAACCCAAATGTCCAACAATGATAGACTGGATTAAGAAAATGTGGCACATATACACCATGGAATACTATGCAGCCATAAAAAATGATGAGTTCATGTCCTTTGTAGGGACATGGATGAAATTGGAAACCATCATTCTCAGTAAACTATCGCAAGAACAAAAAACCAAACACCGCATATTCTCACTCATAGGTGGGAATTGAACAATGAGATCACATGGACACAGGAAGGGGAATATCACACTCTGGGGACTGTGGTGGGGTCGGGGGAGGGGGGAGGGATAGCATTGGGAGATATACCTAATGCTAGATGACACGTTAGTGGGTGCAGTGCACCAGCATGGCACATGTATACATATGTAACTAACCTGCACAATGTGCACATGTACCCTAAAACTTAGAGTATAATAAAAAAAAAAAGTTTAATTAATGTCATAAATTATGATGATGATGGGGAAAATAGGGATATGACTGCATTTATGGAGCCACTTCCATGTGCCCAATACTAAATATGAATAAATGCTTTATGTATTATTGCATTTAATTTCACACAAAAACTAAATGATAGATCATATTAAAGCCCATTTTACATATAAAGATATGAGAGAGCTTAATAAATTGTCCAAAGTTATCCAGGTAAGTTGGAGTAGACGTTAAAAGTTGATTGGGATTTTGTTAAGATACAGTTGATAAGAATGGGGCCTTGACATCCTGACTAACTAGCTGTGCAACCTTGAGCAAGTGCTCTACTATCCTTAAGCTCTGTTTTTCTCCTCTATGAAATGGGGCAATCATAGTACTAATACATATGGTTATCATACAAATTAAATTAGATAATATAGCTAAATTGCTTAGTACCATGAACGCATATAGTAATGTGCAATTTCAGAATTGTCATTATGCACGTAGAATGTTATTCATCACTATGATTTTATGAATCGACTCAAAGCTTGTGTTCTTTTCACTATTAAACACACTGTCTACATATAAGTACAAAAATAAGGGCGTGCGAAGTAGGTGGTTACCTCAGCCCAGCATTGATAGAAGAGGGCTGTGAAGGGGAGGGAGGAGGAAGGAAGAGCTGGAATGAATCCTGCAGAGTTCACAGCGAAGGTGCGGAGAATGATGAGGATGGCATTGAGTAGGTGGGGAGGTCAATTTCATACTGTGAAAGATAATTCCATTACATTTAATTCAGCCAACATCTGCAGAATACTTACATTGCTCAAAGCAGAGAGAAACATGATTTAACTTCCACTGTAGAATTATAGTGTAGTGAACAAGTCAGACAGGTATACCACTATCTGTTTAAATTTGGGGTGAGGGAAGCAAGTGTATGTGGTGAGGGGTTTTGTGAAGTTCTCATCCCAGGCAATGGTAACATCAAAACAAAGAAGCAAGACAAACTAAAAGCTAGATGGAAAAGTCTTTATCAAAAAGAGAAAAAAAGAAACAGAAAGAGAAATTTTAGAATTGTCATAGCCAAAGGGTCTCAAAAGCAATCATTAAACCTGGGACATGAAACCAGAAACTGGGAGTCAGAAAGCTAGAAATGTGTTGAAACAAGCTGAGAGTAACTGGGTGGGGTAAGGAATTGGGAGAGGCAAATATTTTGCATAGCTGTTTGTGCTCATGTTTGAGTTTTATGAAAATAACATAATACTTTTTAATTAATATAATGTAAATCTTCATTTTAAATTGAATTAAAAATTATGAACGGCTTTTCATTAAGTTAAATGAACACATTAAATTAAGTTAATGAATTAGTGTTCACAATCTCCACCACAGGTCTGCCTCTCTCTATTCTCTTTGCTTCTATTATGTGGGGGAGGTTTCTTGCTTCATGGATTAGTTTCTAGGCAGGAGAAACTGAGTAATGTGTATAACCCAGAGGGTAAGTTAACAGATCTAATTAAGAGCTAATAAAAAGGAGGAAAAGGAAGAGGCCTGAGGAATTTTTGTAAAGCAAGGGGTTTAGGTGTCTGAGAGGGCGTGTGAGAGTAGGGAGCAGAGAGAGACATCGAAGAGCAAAGGCAAGAGGGAGAGGCAAAGGTCCAGGCACAGGGCTGTTGTTGATAGAATTGGAAAAGAGTTGCAAAGGGATTTTTGATGTGGTGTCATGGAGGCCTCAACTGGAAACCCTCTTTCTTCCAAGAGATGGAAGCAAAGATTGGAATTGCTTTTCGATTATTTCTGGTTTGCTGGACTATCCAGACAAGGTGCATTGTAACCTGCATGTTTCCGTTGGGGTTAGCAGTAGAACTCAGATAGCTTCATCTCTTGGGAAATAGATATCAAAGAAAGATCCAGAGACAGAAAGCTTTAGAAAAGGAAAGAACAGGTAACCTCAGAAGAAAACTATGTGCAAAATTACCAAGATTTCCAAATTTACATTAATCCATCGATAGTGGAAAAAGCAATGACTTTCACGTACTTGTGTTGTATTCATAAGGGTCATGCCATAGCTTCGGATGTGACTAATTAGGGAGACCAGGTTTATTTGAGGTTTTTATTATTTGAGAGTGAAACTATAGCCAGATGTAATAACCATGTTATTAATGATCCCAAGATGCAATTTTTTTCCCATACTCAAAGTGCTTTGTTATATTAGAAGCAAGGAAGAGCGTTAGTTTTCACTTCTACACAACAAGGTTTCATAATCTATTATAAAAGCCTGTAGCAGGCTGGGTATGGTGGCTCACGCCTGTAATCCCAGCCCTTTAGGATGCCAAAGCGGGCGGATCACTTGTGGTCAGGAGTTCAAACCAGCCTAGCCAACATGGTGAAACCCCGTCTCTACTAAAAAAAAAAACAAAAATTAGCCGGGCTGTTGTGGGCTGTAGTGCACCTGTAGTCCCAGCTGCTCACGAGTCTGAGGCAGGAGAATTGCTTGAACCTGGGAGGCGGAGGTTGCAGTGAGATGAGATCGCACCATCTCACTCCAGCCTGGGTGACAGAGACAGGCTCCAGCAAAATAAATAATAAATAAATAAATAAAGCCTGAAACAATAAGCAGAAATGAACTAGAATGGGCCAATGCTACAAGAAACTAGGAAACAAAAGGAAACTGCAGAATCAGCAGAGGCAGACAGCAACGCAAGGTGTAAAATAGAAACTCCCTTGCCACCCAAGTGGATAGAAAACAGTTTTAGACAAACATACTTTGTCATTAATTTAACTCCTTTGAAAGCCAAAATAAGATGCCTCAAACCTCTCCTTGGGATTGGAAGTTGCGACTTGAGCAAAACTTTTGTTTTCCCTTTTTATAGTTTATATTTGTGTGTGTCCAATATCAACTGCATCTATAATTCTGTTATTTTGTATTGTCCGTATGCACCACAGTGCACATTCACTTTCCCTTCCATTGCTTCTTAAACTTTGCAATCATTTGGAGGAAACCATAAAAAATAAGATTTTGTAAATGTTTTTTTCGAAATGCCCTGTGTAAACGCATTGTTCTTAGAATGATGAGGCTTCCTACATGTGTACTTGCTGGGCCTGCATTCCAAAAATGTTGCAAGAATGCG
The DNA here is from genome assembly GCF_000001405.40 of Homo sapiens. Lineage (NCBI taxonomy): Eukaryota > Metazoa > Chordata > Mammalia > Primates > Hominidae > Homo > Homo sapiens. The sequence goes on from NC_000018.10 coordinate 63,869,526, forward strand.
TGCACTGCCATTTTGCCACATGACACAGCAGTCGCGTGATGTGCTGTCATGACAAATAGGCAGGAAATGTGGTTTGCGTGTGGAATGAGCTTCCGGTCTTTCCCCAAGGTTAGAAGGATACAGTATTAAAGAGGAGTCCTGGGTCAGCAGCTCTGTTTTGATGTGGCAATTATTGACGCTCTGCTGCTCTTTCCCGGAAGGTAGAGGGCAAGCCAAAGGGAAGGAGTTGGGGGGCCAGCAGTTGATGCCTTGAGCACAGATCCTATGGTTAAAGGAGGAGGAGTGGGGACATTTGTTACTGAACCTTCTATTCCACCTAGAGATCCGAAAATACATTTGGGTGGTTTTGAGGTAAGGGAGCAAAGGAGCCAGCCCTGTCCAGCCTGGTATTTAGGTATGATGAGGGCTCAGGTATTGCTCTAGCCCCATAATCAGAAAGTCAGGTAAGGTTTTAAGTCAACTCTATCAAGAAATTTGATTCAATCATGCAATCAATGATTCAGCCTAAGTTGATGAATCACTTACTGTGTGTCAGGGCACTCACTGGGTGCTGGGAAACATCAGTATGCAGTCACTTAATTTAGAATTTTTCTGCGAGAGTCACTCTCGTTAGGTTCCTTTAGATCCAAAAACAACTTAGGAGGAGGCTGTCTGTTTTAGGTTGAATTCTCCTGAAAGCCAGCTTAAGCCCAGGATTCATGTAGAAGTTCTTAATGAAGGAAGTGCCCCCAGAAGAAACCAGAAAGGGTGTAAAGGAAGCAGCACAGGAAAGGAAATGAAGCCGAATGAGGGTGATTTTGGGTGAAGTCTCAGACTTGGACTGATCCCTCTGAGAGCTCTAGGGGGTAATATCTTTGAGATTTTGTACCATACCAGAATAAAAGAGTTGGGGTTGTGAATTCCCACACCAGTCAACTATTGGCTATGGGCTTACCATGGGAGACGTAATACACCCGGCACTTCCAACTCACATACCAGAGACATGGCTCTAGCACCCAATGGAAATATGCTGAATGTTGCAGGTGCAAGACAGCAACAAAGCAGACAGAGGCACATAGACAAGGCACCAACAGTGTCCACTATACCCTGACAGTGTGGAAAGTTGTAGATAGGATGAAGAGAAAGAATACACACACACACACACACACACACACACACACACACACACACACACGGTAGAGACTTACTACTCAAAGTGTGATCCTCAGACCAGCAGCATCTGGCCGAATGGTGATCTATCACCTTCCAGGAGCTTGTTAGAAACGCAGAATCTGGCTGGGCACAGTAGCTCACGCTTGTAATCCCAGCACTTTGGGAAGCCGAGGAGGACAGATCACTTGAGGTCAGGAGTTCAAGATCAGCCTGGCCAACACTGTGAAACCTCATCTCTACTAAAAATACAAAAATTAGCCAGGCGTGGGGGTGCACACCTGTAGTCCCAGCTACTCAGGAAGCTGAGGAAGGAGAATCGTTTGAACCTGGAGGGGTGGAGGTTGCAGTGAGCTGAGATCATGCCACTGCACTCCCGTCTGGGCGACAGAACAAGACTCTCTCAAAACAACAAAAACAACAGCAACAACAACAAAAATGCAGAATCTCAGGTCTCACGAAAGACCTGGTTCATCAGAATCTCATATTAATAAGATCTCCCCAACATTTGTATGCACATTAATTTTTAAGAAGCTCAGCCCCAGAGTATTAGAAAACATAATTTGCTGATTTTTTTTTTTTTTTTTGAGACAGAGTTTCTCTCTTGGTGCCCAGGCTTGAGTGCAATGACACGATCTCAGCTCACCACAACCTCCGCCTCCTGGGTTCAAGCGATTCTCCTGCCTCAGCCTCCCAAGTAGCTGGGATTACAGGCATGTACCACCACACCTGGCTAAGTTTTGTATTTTTAGTAGAGATGGGGTTTCTCCATGTTGATCAGGCTGATCGCGAACTCCCGACCTCAGGTGATTTGCCCACCTCAGCCTCCAAAAGTGCTGGGATTACAGGCGCGAGCCACCGCGCCCGGCCAATTTGCTGACGTTTTGCACTGCAGGAAGAATAAGCTTCCAAGCCAGAGTTGCAATGTGGTGGCCTGAGAAAGTTCTCAGTCCAAAGATTCCTTGGCCTAGCAGATGAAGCCAGGAGGAAGAGAAAGCATTCCCAGCTGAAAGCAGGGTTGTGCCCGCTTTCCTACTCAGTGCAATTGTTCCAGGTTTGCAGGTCCCAGGTTCCAAGACTTTGCGGTCTTCTTTTGTTCACTTGGAACCGATATCTTTTGGAGGTGGTGAGTGTTGCGGGGCTTTGTGGAGAGAGGCTGAGGAGTAGGGGTTTGGGTGTGGGTGCAGGAAAGAGCAAATATAAAATAAGGCAAGAATTAGAGCTGACCCTACAATTTAAGCTTGAAAAACATTTTGGAAAGTCACAAGTAAATCACTTGACTTAGATATGCATCATTAAAGAGTCATGACACAACTCATACAAGAAGGGACTGTGGTAAAATATGGTAGCCACAAAAAGGCCCCCCAAATATTACAATGTCTCTTCTACAATGTTGGAAATTTCTATTAGTCACAATGGGGGTCAGTCAACTGGGATATCATTGTCATGGGAGGGCTACTACAAGGAACTTAGGGAAACATCTGGCTAAAGATGGCAAATTAAAGACACTCATTTAACCTCAGGTCCCTTCTAAAACGAGAGAATAATTAGCAAAGTTTTCTTATTGTTGCTACTGTTGTTTTAAAGCATTAACCTAGGAAGATAAAGGGAATTGAAGAGTATGCAACAGTCATCCCTTTTTGAATGCTGTAGATTGGTTATTATGAATGGTAGAACCAAAAAAGTTTGATGCTAGAAAGGAAGCTATTTGGAAAGTAGAAAATAAATTCAATTTACCCATGGAATATTTTTAAAACTGAAGAATCAGTATCAAGTACCTCAGGAATGAAGGGTTGAAAACAAGTTAAAAACAAAAAATTGGCATTCTTTTGGAGAAGCAGTTGGACTGTCAGATCCCCTCGCACACTCCACACAGTCAGCTTAGCGACCCTCCCCTGCAGGAAGGCAGGTGATGGAGCTTGATTCTCCAGGGAGAGTTAAATAGAGGGTGACACTCCAGATTGCAGTGCAACAGACAGAGATGGGATCAGGGTTGGCATACTGAAAAAGGAGGAGTAAGTAAAAGTTTAAATTCTGAATTCTTACATAGGCCTTACTGGGCTCCAGAAATCTGGCAGCCATCATTCTCCAGGGACAAGATTGGAATAACCTTCTCAGAGATCCAAAAATAAGAACAATGGGGATTTCCCAAAGAAACAGCCCAGCTAGATCATTCTACATTCAACACTTTTCTCCCTTCTTCCTAGGTTCCCTTCCAAGCAGAACTGCCAATTTGCCTTTTTGGTGTCCCATTCTAAAATGAGTAGACTGCAGAAGCATTTAAGGAGCATGTATAAAATGGAAGTATGACATCAAAATATTTTTTTAGGTTGAAGATGTTTCTCCAAGGAGCTGCCAGAGGGGCTAGGAAACACAGCCTAGAAGGGTGGAAGAGTTAGTGTTCCACACAACAAATATGGACCAGTGAGGGGCAGGACACTAGAATAAACCTGTAGATAAAGTCTTCTCTTCTTTTTATGCAAAAGACTCCTCCAGGGTTCTCTATTCCCATGCTGCTTCTCTAAGATGTCCTGTGTGTGTGAACATTTGGCTGGTTTTTCAAGCAGTAGTCACCTAGGTAAGGAACCACTTGATATCAGTTTTCCTTCTTTGGCATCACTTCTGATCTTCTTTCACTCTTGACACTGTGGAATTGGAATCTAAAATAACCATTAGAATGACAGCTTTGTCTTGGGCTCTTTTGTTGGGTAACACAAAATAATATACTTGGGGACCTGAATGAACGCATGGAGCAGACCACTCATCCTCTGCCAACGGACTCCCATTAGACCATGGAGTGATTGAAAATGACATTTTATTTTATTAATGGATAGGTATTTTTTACTTTTTATTATGGAAACTTCCAAATGGAGACAAAAGAAGAGATAATAGTTTAATTAACCTCAAGGTACTCCTTAACTAACTTCAGTAATTATTACCCCATAACCTCTCTTGTTTTACCTATACAACTGCTTTCTTTCTCCCTCAACTTTGATTATTTTGAAGCAAATCCTAGGAATCACTTCATTTTATCCACAAATATTTCAATACATCTCACTAAATGTAAGGACTCTTTAAAATTATAACACAAATTCTTTATTGTAACTAAAAAACAATCTATAGTATCAAAAAGCCATTGTTCAAATTTGTCCACTTGATTTTTAATTATGTCTTTTTGTAGTTGCTTTATTCAAATCAGAATCCAAATAAGATCCACAAATTGCATTTTTGATATAGGTTTTATTTATTTTGATCTAGATATTTCCCCCTTCTTTTTGTCCTCTCAATATAATTTTTTGAAGAAAATGAATAGTTTGTCCTAAATATTTTCCCACAAATTTCCATTGTTTTGTTGATTCCATCCTTGTGGTGTTATTTAACATATTCCTCTCTTCCCTTGCATTTCCTATAAACTAGCAGTGAGAAAAAGACTTAATTAGATTCAGATCTCCTCCCTCCCTCCCTCCCTCCCTCCCTCCCTTCTTCCCTCCCTCCTTTCCTCCTTCCCTCCTTCCTTCCTTTCTTAAATTCCTTCCTCCCTTTCTTTCTTTCTTTTTTTGGTCAAAAATACTTCATCGGGGAGGGGGATTATACATGTCCAATTTGAGACATTAATATCTGGTTGGCTTTCCTTTTGTGATATTAAGATTCAACATTGAAATCATGTGTGGTCAACCTGACATTATGAAATTTCTTTTTAGCCTTTTAGCCTAATGGACTTAGCAATAATTGAAGGTATGATGTAGACCCTTTACTTTATTACAAATTGCAAAATAGTGATGGTTTAATTTTGTCAGTTCTTCTTCATTTACTAGTTATATTTCTAGGAAGAAAAACTCTTCCTCCTCAAGGAAAAGTGTGATGAATATTTTAATAATTTATATCATTTACCAGTTTCCAGAATAATAATCTGGTCTATAGTATCAACTGAATTTGACTAATGGAGTTTTATATTTTTTCCCCTGTAAGTATCATTTTTAAGTCATGGACTGTAATATATTTAAAATTTTAAAATTCACTACCGTTATTATTGTCTTTCATGCTCAAAGTTCCTCAATTTTGGCCACTGGGAACTTTTTCAATTGGCTCCTAGGTCCTCTTGACAAGATTTTAGTTGCCTTCAATGGCCTCTTTGCTTTCTGGTATGACAGAATAATCCCAACTCATCTTCTATATTGCTTACCCCATACCTAGAATTTATAATTTTTTCAAGTATCCCTCATCCTCTATTTTAAATTTAATTTTTTTAATTGTTTTAACTTTTAAGTTCAGGGATACAAGTGCAGGTGTGTTACACAGGCAAACTTGTGTCATGGGGGTTTGTCATACAGATTATTTCATCACCCAGGTATGAAGCCTAGTACCTATTAGTTATTTTTTCTGACCCTCTACCTCTTCCCACCTTCCACCCTCTGAGAGGCTCCAACGTGTTGTTCCCTTCTATGTGTCCATATGATCTCATCATTTAACTCCCACATATAAGTGAGAATATGAAGTATTTGGTTTTCTGTTTCTGTGTTAGTTTGCTAAGGATAATGGCCTCCAGCTCCATCAATGTCCCCGCAAAAGACATGATCTCATTCTTTTTTATGGCTGCATTGTATTCCATGGTATATATATATAAACCAAATTTTCTTTACCCAGTATATAATTGATAAGCATCCCTAGTCCTCTTTAGAGGCAAAAGTTTTGTAACTTAATACAAAATATTTTTCTGAGTTTGGGATAGAAAAGTTTTTTTTTTTTTTTTTTTTTTTTTAAGATGGAGTCTGTCTCTGTTGCCCAGGCTGGAGTCCAGTGGCCCATTGTCAACTCATTGCAAACTCTGCCTGCCGGGTTCGAGTGATTCTTCCACCTCAGCCTCCCAAGTAGCTTGGATTACAGACGCCTGCCACCACGCTCTAACTTTTGTATTTTTAGTAAAGAAAAGGTTTCACCACGTTGGCCAGGCTTGTCTCGAATCCTGTGACCTCAAGTGATCCACCAGCCTTGATCTCCCAAATTGCTAGGATTTTGCTACAGGCGTGAGCCACCACACCTGGCCAAGAAGACATTTTTTTAAAGACATAAAATGCTAAGCGGACGGGCGCGGTGGCTCACGCCTGTAATCCCAGCACTTTGGGAGGCCGAGGCGGGCGGATCACGAGGTCAGGAGATCGAGACCATCCCGGCTAAAACGGTGAAACCCCGTCTCTACTAAAAATACAAAAAATTAGCCGGGCGTAGTGGCGGGCGCCTGTAGTCCCAGCTACTTGGGAGGCTGAGGCAGGAGAATGGCGTGAACCCGGGAGGCGGAGGTTGCAGTGAGCCGAGATCCCGCCACTGCACTCCAGCCTGGGCGACAGAGCGAGACTCCGTCTCAAAAAAAAAAAAAAAAAAAAAAAAAAAATGCTAAGTAAGATGAATGTGACAGCATCAAAAGTCATCTTAAATGAAGGTTAAAAATGGCAAATTAGAATATTTGTGCAACCTATATAGCTAGCAAAGCTTAAATATCCAGTACATATAAAGAAGTCCCATAAGTCAATAAAAAGACAAATAACAACAAAAAAAGCCTTTCAAATCTTCTCCAAAAATTTTAAGTAAAAATTTCACAGAATAGGAAATATACATCATCATGATATTATGAAATATTAAGAGCTGTTCAATCTCTTCAACATTCTGAAAATTGCAAATCAGGACATGCCACCTTATACATACTATAATGGCTTGTCAAAAATTAAGACATTTGACAAAATTAAGTGCTGGAGAGGTGTGTATTAGAAATGTCTTTGTATATTGTTGATGGGAATATATATTTTAAAAAGCATGTCAGAAAACAATAACTAGAAACAGCCTAAATATGTATTGACAGGAAAAAATGAATAAATTATGATACTTTAATTATTTCAATGGAGTAGTAAAGAGAAAGTGAAATATACCTACAAGAAACAACTGGCTGAATTTTGAAAATATAATGTAGAATTCTCTAGAGGACTTGTAACATTTTAGTAAATAATTTGGCATTCTTTTCTATATACACTAGAGAAACTCTTGCATTTCCCATGCGCATGTTCAGAGTTTCTCTAGAAGAGTCCGTATCCTATAGCATATGGCCCACCACAAGTATTTTGTAGGTGAAATTGAGTTAGAACACAGCTATACCAACTTGTTCATGTCTGCTTGCCTATCACAAGGCAGGCATAAGTGGTGGCAACAAAGACTGAGATATTTACTATCTGACCCTTTTACCAAACAAGTTGGCTGGCACCCTCTCTAGAATATTTATAAGGTAATGTCAATTTTTATAAAGTTTACACACAAACAATACTAAACAATATACTATCTGGGCATACTTTCATGGATAAAGATATAAAAATAAAACTAGAGAATAATGAATATAAATTCAGAAGAGTGTTTACTTCAGGTAAGGATGGAAAAGCTGATTTCTTTCTTTGGGAGAAATCCATAGTAAATGGAAGTTAATAGAAATAGTACCTTCTATGCATTAAATAGTATATTAGAAACATAAAAAAATTAAAAAGACAAAAGGAAATAATTCAAGAAAGTTCCCTGAGACTAAATGACACAAGCTTCCAGGCTAAAAGGTCTTACTAAGTGCCAGTAAAGTGGATAAATGTAAGCCCACCCCAAGGCACATCACTGTGAAATTTCAGGACGTTGGAGACAGAGGGTTTGTAAGCTTTCAGAGACCAAAAGTAAGTCACAGATCAAAGATCAGAAATTAAGATGACATTGGACTTCTAACAGCAAGACTAGAGGCTAGAGTATGATGGTAAAGGTCTTCAAATTTGGAGCAATAATATTTTTAAATCTAGGATTGTATACATCACCAAATTACCAATTTGGTGAAAGAGAGAGATGAAGCATTTTCAGACATTTATGATCTCAGAAAGCTTTCTCCCCATGCCTTTTTTTTTTTTTCTCAAGTAGCTCCTGGAGCATGTGCTGCTTAAAAATGAGTCAGGGAACCATGAAGAGGATGATAAAAAGATGTAGGGAAAAGAGAAGCCGACCCAAGAGACAGGTAAAGGGATCCACCTCAGGATTCTGCGTTTTCTTTAGCAGTCAGATCTTCAGGGGCCTAAAGAGCAACCCCCTTCAGTCTGGAGCCCGTCAGAGGCTCTGAGTGTGATTATTTTAAGAAAATGAAATTGATTAGATATTTCAAGTGTTTGAATGCATTAAAATAATGCTTGTCCAGCTAGGAGAGGCTTTGTGGTCAAGTTGGTGATAAGTATATATAACAGTAAACAAATTTTTTAAAAATCTGAGATAATGCTAGGAAAACAAAATGTGCAGAAAGTAAAATTATAGAATATGGCCCAGCAGTGAATTCCATGCACATAATCATGATAATGTAAACTGAAAATATTGATCGAAGTTTGGCATTACTACAGGTATATTTGAAATATGACAGGATGGGAAACGTTCACATGTGTATGAGAAATAGTCAATGCCTAGAGCTCTTTAAGAAGTAGCAATATAATCATGTTCTTTAGAGATATAGAGTTAAATACCAAAAAAGAAAAAAAAATTAGCTGAAGTAGTTTTAAAATTTGTCTTTTTAAAGGAGTGAGAAATGAGAAGAAAAATAATATGCATGTCTGGTTTTAATTAAAATTTAAAGACAAATTGCAACAATAACAGTGTAGAACAAAACTCATGTATTAAATATGATCATCTTCCTCCCGTCTAACCAACCAACCAACCAACCAACCAACCAAATATAGTAATACTTGGAGTTGACCCTTTCCTTAATAGAAATTAATTAAACAAGTCTGCTTGAACCCAAGAAGATGAGATATCATCTTTTGTAATCTTTTGAGCACATTACGCAATTCTTGAATGCATGTGAAGTTCGTTGCTCCAGAAACAAAATGCTGTTTGTCAGTTGAGAGAAAAAAAAAAAAAGAGCAGCATCTGCTGATATTTGTAAGCTGGACTGACACAGTTAGACCATGGTACTTACCTAGAAGACATAAACCACATAAACAAAATACCATCCTCAGACAAATTGCAAACCTCAGACAAGGTTACTCTGGGACCATGATAAAATGAGATCATTTAATAATTTTGTCTACGTGCAAAACATCACTGCACCACCCATAAAATATTACCAAATATCCACTGTCTCACTCAAAATGATTGACTACTACTTCTTTAACATTTATAATCTTATCCTCTTTCTAGTTCCTCCTTCCTGTATATGAGATTTACTGAGATACCAATCAAAGACTTAACTCCACTTTCTGGCAGCACCCAATCTCAGGCAAAACCCAGGCACAAGTAGGGGTGGGATGTCAGATAATGTCTGATCAGAGGCAGCGTGACTAAGAGAAGATTCAATTTGGCAAATGTCTTGAGGACTTACCATTTTCTAATGACAACGCTAGGCCCTGGGGAAATCAAGATCAAAATCAAAATCAGGAAGAGCGATTATCTCTGTCTTTGAGGTTCTAACAGCTCCTTAAGCAATCACAGAAATGGAATCACACATAGTAAAATTGGAATGAGCAAGCAAGGTATTATCAGTGGAAAGAGCATTGGCCTAAAACATCTGGGTCGAATATACTCTGTCACAATTCATTAATAATGAGGCAACTCCCTTGACCACTCTACATGTCTGCTTCTTCAGCTGTACAACATTTATCTCATTCAAACAATTGTTGAAATGATTAAATAAGATAATGTACATTGAAAGACATTATAATGGGGGCATTACAATGTAAAGAAGGGGAAGTCTGAAGAAGTTAAGCGACCTACCTAAGATTACATGGCTATTATCAGATTTCAGTTTAACACTCACGTGTAGGTAATTATCAATAATACCTCTATAATAATAATAATATCAAGGGCTTATTCTGATTACACATTCTGCCTAACATTTCACCTGCATTATTTCATTTATAATAACAATGCTTTAGTTTTATATATATATATAAAATATATATGGTGTATGACTTTTTATATATATATATAAAATATATATGGTGTATGACTTTTTTCAAATCTCTCCTACTTCATTATTTTAATCAGAGCTACTGGAACTCATAAGCATGATTATATTTTAAACAACTATATAAGAAATTTTGGGCTTGCAGGATTTGTGCTTATCTTTCCACATTGAGAAGAAGAAACAGGATCTTACTTCAACATTATGATGCCATATCAAAAATCACGCAATGTGATTTCAGTATGAGTCAGAGATAAGGCCCAAGGGGTCATGACTCTTCATTAGGAAATGTGATGACCAAAGGTTCTTTATGGATGCTGAAGTCTTCCAAAAAATGTTTCAAATGGGTTTTATGTGCTCAAGTCCAGGAAAACAGGAATTTGTCATGGAGTTAAGAGTGTTCAAACATTTATAACTCTAGGAGAAGATCACAAAGATATGCATACTTGAGCGCTGGGGAAAGTCTATCACCTTTCTTGAGTAAATGGGATGCATTTATTACCTATCTCTCCACGTGTTTGGGTTTCTTAGCAGAGCTTGGTGAGGCATGAGACTAATATAATATGTAGTCAGTTCTGAGTCAAAGAGACATTGGACACTAAGAAGGCAGTGCTATAGAAAGGTTAAATTATCATACTCTTCTGAGCTTTGCCCATAGAATAGTGAGCGATGTTTTCATACTAAAAGAAACAAGCATACGGGTTTGGATATTGAAATTATCCAGAAATGTGATTGAAATAGTGTTGGAAGGGGAATAAGAGTAAAACATCACTGAGAAATAACATGCTTTTGGAGGTACTAATTCCTTTGACTCGGGCTTCATCTTAGCAAAAGCTTTGAAGGGTTAGATTCAGTATCTAGAAGCAAATGTCAGGAAAAAAAAAAATAGGCCATCACAAGTCCTGACCTGAAGGAAATCCAGTATATTCCTTATCCTTATTTGATTTCATTAGCCTAGTTACTTACATGTCAAATAAATCATTTAAATTATCTCTCACTCTGAAGCCAATGTTCTTGCAAATCATATGCAATCTATGAGCTAGAGCACAGTGTTTAGCAGCACTTTCCAAAGTTGGGAATTTTTTTGTCATTAAAAGGTTTATTTTCTTCTGTTTATAGCCAAGTATCTAATATAAAACTTAGAACATTAGGATAAGTGGAGTAGCCTTCCCCCCTTGTGACTTCTCCTTTTGTTGCTTTTAACCCTTACCATCTTCTCTTTCTCTTTGTCTTCTTCCTTAGTACTTAATACGTACTCACAGTTTAGAACTTTTGTAATCCTATCTCTGGTGAGGCCTTACCCTAATCCAGGAGTGGGGACAGAGTTCTCTTGCTGCTGGCCTGATGCACTCTGTGCCTATTGCAATCAGTCAAGTTCAAAGTTTCTGTTTCGTTGCCTATGGATCCACCCCAGCACCTGCCCCTAAAGTCCCCTAAGCTCCTAGTCCCAGGATCCTAACATTTACCCAAAATCCAGTTCATGAGACTCAGCCTTAACTGCTCCCTGTCCTGGAAGATGGTTTTCTATCCTCATAGCAAAGCGGGGAAAGCAGGAAGGCCATACTTTGAGGCTGTCTCAGTAGTGCTGGGGAAGATCAAAATTGAAGTACAAAAGTTTGTTTTCAGTTGAGTTCAAAAAATATTAAGTCGGGCATCCCCAAGTGAACACATAGTCTACTAAGTGCTGTGTATATAAAAAATAAAATGTACATTTTCTGCTCTCAAGAGAATTGAGGAAACAAACAGTAAAAGCATGAATTGGACACAATGTTCTAAGTATATTAATAAAGGTAAAGAAATAGTAATCCTTAATGCTAACAATTTTTATGTACCTATGTGCCAGATATTATGATAAAAACTTCATCTAGAGTGGTTATCGTGATTAGAGAGGTGCCAGATAACTGATGGCCTTGGACACATATGAACCTAGCTAAGATATATCCTGTATTTAATGGAGACTCATTGAAAGATTTTAAGAAGAGTCATTGCTGGATCAGATTAAATTTATGGATTAAGGGACAAGACACCAGAAACACAGAACCCAGGGCTAAGATGATGAAGACCGGAGCCAGGGCGATAATTTTAGAAAAAAAGAGGAGCACATTGACTCAAAAAATATGTTGAAGCTAAAATGATTGTTAAATTGTAGATGTGGAAATTGATAAGGACAAAAGATGCAAGGATGTTGCTTCGATATTAGCTTGAATAAATAACAGGCAAATGGGAAGTGAATGAGGACAAACAGGTCTGGGAAAATGATGGAAACATGATGTGTCCAGCTTCGGACCATGGACATGGGTGCAGCCATAATGAGGGGAGGGGTCATGGCTGGAGATAGAGTTGCGGGAGTCTTTGTTGTCTCTTTCTTTTTCCCCCACCCACCACTCACATCCGATTCACATTCTCATCTTCCTGCCCATACACTCAGTGTATTATGACTAATCAACAGGGGAAGAACTGAGCAATAATTTTTTCTGCCTCCTCCTCATTTTTCTACAAGTCTAAATAAGGGTGTCATGATTAGAAAGCAACGCAAATTATCTGGTCCAACCCTAAGATAAAATGCATGACTACCACAAAGTTCCTTTAGTTTCTCCTTGCCATTTCCTTCCTAGAAATCAAGGGATTCCCCACATTATTTTATATAGGATCAAATGAAATCTGCCTGCAGGGCATGCATATATGTATTTTAGTAGAAAGTGTCAATCTGTTTCTGCTCTTTTAGCCACCCTTAATAAAAAAAAGATACAAAAAGTCATAAGAAGATAAAACAAAAATAATTGACATCTGAATTTAGAATGTATCTTATTTAGTTATTTAGTTATTTGTTTGTCATCTGAGTACATACGTGCTATGGCAATTAACACTGAATAGGCTACTTCCCCTAGGCCTAGAACACTGGCTGAGATGCACTAGGAACATGCTAGATAAGAGAGAGACTAAATTAAGACTTGTTAAGTAATATGAATAATTCATTTAATCATAATTAATCCACAAGGATAATGGAGAGGTGAGTGATGCATGGAATCAAGGTTATATGAGTCTAATATTATATATTAGGCCCTCCAAGGAAACACACCATTGTAAGCCCGGAGTTTTACCAGTGTGTACAAGGAGTGAATTCATGACTCACAGTGTTCTGAGGCTGCTCTGGACATGCAATCTTGCATGCTTTTGTCATGACAGGTCTTAAGAAGTTTATCAGCTTTCTCAAATAGCTGAATGACAGAACACTGGATTTTTGTTCAGATAGCCTATCAACTTGGCATCTGTGTTGCGGTTGTCACTTGGTAACAAGATAAGTACTTCGACAGAGGTGTTACACTCCCTAACAAAGCTGACTTCATGTGCAGACTTTCTCACACTCATAGCTGGCCCAGGGCCACTTCTTAAAATAGGTGAGGTTTGTTTTCTTTGCCCTGTCTCTCGGGACCTTGCCTCCCGGTGGCCTAAGCCTATGCTTATTCAAAGCCTTCTCATTCTCCTATCCTCGTCACACACCCCGAAACTCCTTCCTGGACCACCCCTTTCTCTGTAAAACCCGCTTCACAGGAATTTAGATACATGTAATATTTCTCCCAAAGCCGTTAACAAACAAAGTGTTGTTGCTAATTTATTCTCTGATAAAGAGATTTCAAAAAGTGTATATTGGAGAATGTTTTAGCCAAGATGTCCCAAATTCACACCATGGAGGTGACTGCCTTCACCTCCATTTGGTTCGGCTCACAGCAACAACTACTTAAATTTCTGGAATAAATCATGCTATCTAACTACTAAGGCTAATTAATACTAATGATCTTTGCTATAAATTAACATAGTTTCAATATGTCTAACTGGAAGTCATTAAAAATAAGGTTATTATATAGAATTTTATATTAAAATAGGACTTTCTTTTGACCTACATTCATATCATGTTTGAGATAATTTCAGTGGTGATATTACTGCTGATACAGAAATGATGCATTTTCCTAATTTGTACATTCCCCATATATCCACAAATCATGTAAAATAGGTAATTATGGAAGTATCACTGTTTGCTCTTCAAAGTGAAGAGGATAGAAATGCATTACAATGTGCCAAACATGAGTAAGTCATTCAGCAAACACTAAGTGAACACCTAATATGAGCCAAATGCCTGTCCTAGCCACTGGGGAAAACCATTATAGTCTTGGAGTTCATGGTTGTTACCATCCAGCAGGGAAGATAGGCACTGAAGAGTAAACTACACAGGTTATGCAATCACAGTTGGTTAGATGTTTCAAAGAAAAAGCACAGTGTATGCAAGTCTCAGATTAGATATTAGAACTTTATTACTTATAAAGTTATTGTCTTCTTTTGGAAATTATTTCTCCTTTATATATGATTCATTGTAGTGATAGTCAGGAGAGAAAAAACACCTCAATACAGAAACTTTGGTAAATTATTTCTGATTTTAAAAGTAATGCATGCCTATTATGGAAAATGTGGGACTTTTTTAAGGTACAAAGAAAGACAATGGTAAATCTATAAAGTTACCACTTAGACATAAATCCTGTTTATGTTTTGAAGAAATATTATGTTAAGTAATATTTCTTCTGCATGTATTGTATTTATATAATTAATATCATACTGTCCATATAATTTTATTTCCTTTCATTTCCCCCTTATGATTATCTTGTATACATTTTCCTAGAAAATAAGACACTTTCTGTTTCATTAATCTCATATTCCGTAGGAGTGACCTGCTCTGCAATTGTTGCCTGTATTATTTCAGGTTATTTGAGAAAGCTTAATCTGATGTATTTTCTATTGGTAAGGAACACTCTTTAGTGACTGTGCTTTTTTTCTAGTTGACCTACTGGCTGGGTGACTGCTATAGTCTCCTAATACATTTCTCACCCTTTAGATTCTTTCTCTTCTGAATTTTCAGATTTTTCTTCATAAAACACCACTTTTTACAAGTCACTTCCCTTCTCCAGAGTTTACAGTAGACTGCCTTTAGCTTAGATCCCAACTCAGCCTGAGATCAAAGGCTCCTCTATAAGATCTGTTCCTTTTCTCCTTTCCTCCTCTATAAGATCTGTTCCTTTTCTCCTTTCCTCCTCTATAACACCAACTCGGATCCAGACAGACCTCAGGAAGCTATTCGATGATCTTTGCTTCCCACTTCTATAATATTAGTGCCTTCCTCTCTCTATTGTCTATTTTTCATTTATCTCAGCTCTTTGCTCAAGACCCTAACACACATTATCAATCGTTTCCCTTCTTTCTATGATACTTACTATTAGCACCACTCAATTTGGGTTTAAGTTACATATTATCTTTTACAAGTCTCTCTAGTTGTTTGAGGTGTGAAAGTCTAGTCTTCTTATACTAGAGCTCATAAATTGCTCTAATCTAGGCAGAAAGGCAGCTCCCAAACCGGACACTAAGAGTCACCCTATTATATATCAGCTAATATTATGCGGCACTCACTACCAACGAGAATCTGCTAAGGACTTGGCAGGCATCATCTCGTTGATTATTCACAGCAGCCTGTATTATTTAGAATGCTTTTGGCTGCAAATGACAGAGAACCCATAGCGTCGAATGCTGCTTAAACAATACAGACTTGTTTATTATAATATCTCAGCAACAGCAAGAACAAAAACTAGAGGTAGGTGGTTTCTAGCACTGGCCAATGTCAGAGCTCTTGTTTGGGATCGCTGCAAATTTCTCAGTCTTCCTATATGGTTGAAATATGACTGTGACTGTGGCATCTTCTGGCATCACATCCTCGCACAACCATGCTCAAAGTTGGGTAGGAAGGGATGGTATAGATATGGAGGTTCTTTCTTCATGCTTTCTTCTGTTAAGGAAAGAAAACCTTTTGCCAAACATTCCCCAGTGGATTTCTCCCAAAACGCTTTGTCCAGAATTGGGTTTATATGTCCACCCATTTCCAACCCACCCCCACCCTGCCCAACACACACACACCCCCTACAAGACTGGCAGCTAGGCTTTCCTTTCCTGAGATCAAGGGCTCTCTGAATAATACCCGAAGAAAATTAGGAAGAAGGGTAGCAGAAAGGCATTGATTGGGGTAGGCAATCAACAGTACCAGCTGTATAGAATTATTAGAAAATTAGAAGTTAGAGTAGTTGAGAAATACGTGCAAGATTATACAACTAGTAAATGGCAAAAAGAAGATTCTGAGTCTGAGACTTTTCTGAGTCTCTCAGTATTCATATCCTTGTTCACCACAGTATAGGGCCTCTCTAGAGAGTTTTAGCATGTTACTCCACCCATTAAAAATATTTGGTAAGAATTTGCTTGATGCTCACCACTGTTCTTGCTGCTCAAGGGAAACCAAGTATATATTTGTGGATAGATCCTAACTCAGATGATACTGTCAGAATATATAAGATTCCTATACCACATCCTGAACTCTGAAAGTTGCAGTTCTACGTAGAAGTTCACTGAGGGTTGTAAGAGTCAGAATGGACTCCATGGAAGTTATGGGGTGTGAATCAAACCTCACAGGTGAGTCAGTGGGGAGAAAGAAGCATGACATTCCTCTTGAGAATAACTGGAATGAAAATAATACGGTGAGAAAGAGTAGCACCTGAAAAGTGAGTGAAGGAAAGGGTGGTGGAAGTTCTAGGTACATTGATATCTGTCCCAACTTGTTGAGCTGTCAATGTGTGGTTAAAAAACAGTTAAACAGGCCAGGCCCGGTGGCTCACACCTGTAATCCCAGCACTTTGGGAGGCCGAGGTGGGCGGATTGCCTGAGGTCAGGAGTTTGAGACCAGCCTGGCCAACATGGTGAAACCCCGTCTCTACTAAAAATACCAAAAATTAGCCAGTCGTAGTGGTGGGCACCTGTAATCCCAGCTATTCAGGAGGCTGAGGCAGGAGGATCACTTGAACCCAAGAGGCGGGAGTTGCAGTGAGCAGAGATCACGCCATTGCACCCCAGCCTGGGCAACAAGAGTGAAACTCGATCTCAAAAAAACAAAAACAAAAACAAAAAACAGTTAAACAGATGGTTGGTCACATAGACATTACCAGAGGGGTCTTCTTGGACAGAGGCTGAAAAGAAAGAAGGGACTTAGCTCACCACCAGACTCCTCAGCACTCACGGGAGAAGAGCACTAAGGACAAAGGGGCACTTAACACGTGTAAAAGGGCAATGGCTCCTAATAAAGGATAAGATCTGTTTTCTTTTTATTTTATTTTTTGTTTTTGAGATGGAGTCTCACTCTGTCACCCAGGCTGGAGTGCAGTGGCACAGTCTCAGCTCAATGCAACCTCCACCTCCCAGGTTCAAGTGATTCTTCTGCCTCAGCCTCTCAAGTAGCTGGAACTGGAGATGTGTGCCACCACGTGCAGCTAATTTTTGTATTTTTAGTAGTGACAGGGTTTCACCATGCTGGCCAGGCTGGTCTCAAACTCCTGACCTCAAGTGATCCTCCCGCCTCGGCCTCCCAAAGTGCTGGGATTACATGCATGAGCCACCACACCCGGCCATAAGATCTATTTTATAATCAAGAGAAGATGAAAAATTCTTCTTGTGTCAGGATATTAGGGTAGAATCCGAGTTATTTCGAAAATTACAGCTTGAGACAATGTAAGACAGATTAAAATAGAGAATTTCTAAGACAGAAAATGGATTTTTTCTTCCCTCCCATGCCCTAAGCATCGCTTGGGTCTCCCTAGGCTCAAAAGAGAGAGTAAATCTCATTATATTTATATATTGGAAGAAGCCCACAGGCCATGGTTGTCCAAAGCTAGAAGAAGTATTGTAGAATTTGATACTATCCTTGAGCACAAGTATAGTGGGGGAAATCTTGAAACTGGGGCTGACAGATTTTAGCTAACTTTCACAGGCATGTGTAGATATTGACAAATTCTTAAGTTTCAGAGTGACCTCATCCTCCCCCAAAATTTCTTAAACCATGCCTTTACAAACAAGTATTTCTATTCTAATGATGTCTTCCTGAGTAAAATGTTGAATCACTCAAAGGACACAGATCAAAAGACAGAGGGAGAAAAAAAAATGCCATGTGGGAGGGGCAAAGCTGTATAAAACCAGTCATTACCATGTCTGAACTGTAACAACTCTCAGAGGAGCATTGCCCGTCAGACAGCAACTCAGAGAATAACCAGAGAACAACCAGGTATTTCAATGATTTCCATGCCATGTCTATGGGAAATAGGGTTTCATGTTTTCTCTTCCCTCATGCTGGTATTAATAGATTGAAAATTTGGATGTGGGGTGTTTGTAGAGGGCGAGTAAAATTTAAGTGGTGTTTTCTTGTTTAGTTGTTGAATTGAAAATATTTTATTTCAAGATTTGAATTAAATTTATAAGGTTTAATTTTGAATCTCAGAAGCCAACAAATACCTTTGTAGCATTAACCAAAACAAAATGTACATTCAGATTGTGATGCCAATTTTATTGAACAGATTAGATTATATATGTTCTCTACTAGCTACTGTTTTGACACTAAATTTGATGGAAACAACTAGATACATTAAAATATTTTCATTTAAGCAATTGAATGTAATCTCTACATTGTATATAAATAATAGGAAAAGAAGACTTCATTTGCACCTTAAATGAAAAAGCAGGAACTGCAAAAATTAAGTAGCAATTTGGGCTGGGTCAATCTAGTACAACAATATGTTTATTGAGTTTAGTTCAATAATGGGTCAATTTAGTGAAAGAGAATAATCAGCCAAAGTAGTTGCAGGGTTGACTGAAGTATGGTTCAGTAAATAACTTAATATCCCATAAAAAGATACTTATTCATTATGAAAGCCATCAACTAGGAGAAATTGCTTTTAATTCTGTTGGGGGAGATGTAGCAGTATTTGATGAGATATTCCCTTGAAACTGTTGTTTTCTCTTAGTTCTCATTAATTTTTGTGGTCAATTTCAAAATATTTCCACTGTCTAATTGTAAACAAAATTTGTTTTAAATGCTACAGCAAACTCCAATCTAACATCCAGGGCCAACAGGGTGAGAGACAATGGCCGTGTGCCTGGTGACTCCTCCCAAATTCTTCCTTCCCTGTGCCAAGTTTCAGTGGTGCATTTGTCAACTTGTGTTGCAGGAACCAACACACACACCACCAGGAAGCCCAACCCTGCATATTACTCCCATTAATTCATCCCAGTAATACTATTAAACCTTAATTAAGAGCATACTATTTGGAAGTTAATGAGATCATATAAATTACTATAATGTTAAAAAATTCACAACAGGTATACCTGTTCCAGGAGGCTGTGGTATTTCACAATACCCCATGACTTCAATTTTGCCTTGTTTTGAAAGATTTTCATTCAAACATAAAGTATGGCCTTATCTGAGAGTCAGGAAACACTGCATATGGGTGCCTTCATAGATTTCTAAAATTATGAAACTCTCAGACCTTATTTGAAAAGTTTGTAGGAAAGCATTAGACTTGGAATCAGAAGTCTGTGATCCAGTCTAGGCTTCTGAAATGGACCAGCTGTGCAATCTCTATTTTCATATTTTCATTCATATTACAGAAATTACTAAGCCTTACTGGACAGGTAATTATGCAAATTGAAAAGGGAGCTGAAGGAATTTGGTGACTGCCATACAGACATCAAATATTATTTTTACATTAAATGTAATTAATTACACCTTATTTAAAAATATAATTGAAACTATCTTTTTTGAAAGAAGTAAATGCATCCAGGAAAATTTGCTTCTGTTCTTATTAATTTTTTTCTTTATCAAGTTACCTTAAATTCTAACTTAGTATTAACAGAACTTTCTGTTAGTTTGTCTTTAGAGTTAAATATTTTTACTATCAAAGTTACTATGTGGATTGTTACAAAGAATCCGGTATGAATTGTTACAAAGAATCACGTATTTAGGTATGGGAGAAGTCTAAATTTATGTTTGTGGCTCTGATCTCTTATTTACATTTCTCACATGGGGATCGAGAAATATTTTATTTGTGTTATTAATACTCAGTTTGTTTCCAAAAGATATTGAGATAATTAATTTTAAAAATCTGTACAATAAATCTATTTAATTATGAAGACAATTTTAAGAGGAAGAGGAACAAATTTTTGAGCCATCCAATGTAATCTAGTATCTATGATGAAGCAAGAGAAAAAAAAAGTGACTTTTTGTTTTTACTTCCTAATAAGCCTTCTAGTAGAATTACAGGTTTACTACTTTTTTCTTTTGACTTCCTCTTTCTAGCATTTCTTGCACTACAACTTGCTTAAGCTCTTACACTTCATAGTGAAGCTATGCACCACCGAGTGAAGCGATGTGGAACATTGGAAAGAGTGGGCTTCCTTAGACAGACCTGGGCTTGAATCCCTGCTCCACTACCTACCAGCTGTGTGACCTTATACAAGTTACTTAATGTTTCTGAGCATCAGGATATAATCTATAAAATAGGGAGAATCACCTCTACCTCATACAGATTCTGCAAAGATTAAACGAGGAGAGGAGGTGAGAGAGTTTTAGGGATACGTTTTATTTAATTTACTATTTTTGTCTTGATAAAATAGTCTGGTTGTATTCCAAATGAGACATTTTAATACAAATAAATTCCAATCACTTTCTTAAAAAAAAAGAGTTCATGAATCAAGGGTTCACGCAAGAAAGAAGCGACCAATGGTCCTTGTTGGAGAGCAATGCTGTGTGAGACCACAGGTGTACACAGCCAAGACCAGAGCCAGAGGACATGCTTCCTCCTGGGTACTTCCAGCCCCTCCCCAGTTCGGGGAAGGCACTGTCATAAGAAGGTTTCCTGAGGGATGATCAGTATCAGCATTGTTTGGTATATTTACATATTTTGATAATTATCGGGTATGTTGCAAGCTATGATGAAAGCAAAACATACAGCTGGAAAGACGATCATTGGTCAGGACCAAAAAACACACACACCTTGGGTGTGAGCATGCATTCAGTTGCCTGCAGAGCCTGAGGTCAGGGAAGGTCTCAGATGGTTCATACCTTGGTGTATACATGAGTTTCATAGGCCTGGGATTAAGGATTATCCCTGCAATCTTGCCTGGCATTGACTTTCTACCTGGTGGGGTGGCAGAAGAAGGGGGTCTTCTAGTCCTCCCAGTAATGAACACCCCAGTATAGGAAGTCTTTTTTAGTAAGGCTGTGGTATGTGTGGTGCATATAGGGAAGGGGTTCTGGGATAGGGGCTGGGTGAAACTCCAAACCTTCAAACAATGAGTCAAAGTCACTTTAGAAGCAGGAAAGCAGAAAGAAGATTGACCGTCTTACCAGATGCAACAAGGTATGTATGCAGGTGGCATATATTTCAATATGTGTATATCTTCCTGTGTGGCAGTGTGTGTGGTGTGGATGTGTGCGTTGTGCTTGTGGGGGCAGCATAGAAGTTGAGAGCATGATCCTAGGGTCTGCCTATCTGGCTTCAATTCCTACTCCTGTCCCTATATATTGTCATTGTTATTCTATGGAATGCCACAAAGTGTCGCTGCTCATCATACAAAACACTTCATGTATCTCAGGACTGGCTATGTAATTTACAGCGTCTGGTGCACAATGAAAATGTGGGCCTTTTGTTTAAAATTATCAAGAATTTCAAGATGGCGATAGGAGGGCATTTGGCTAAACAAGGGGCTTTTTACGGCTGCACAGGTGGTATGTCCATGAAGCTGTCCCTGACCTGCCTCATGTTGTTCCATGAGGAAGAACAGACAGGGAATCTGTCCCTACACAGAATGCAGCCTGTCCTACTGTTGCTGACCTCACCCAAAATGTTACCTTATGTTTCAGAGCTGTTTTTTTCTTCCTCTCTTTGCTTCTAGATTGAAACAATGGAGGATCTTTGTGTGGCAAACACACTCTTTGCCCTCAATTTATTCAAGCATCTGGCAAAAGCAAGCCCCACCCAGAACCTCTTCCTCTCCCCATGGAGCATCTCGTCCACCATGGCCATGGTCTACATGGGCTCCAGGGGCAGCACCGAAGACCAGATGGCCAAGGTGAGTTTGAGCTGAAGCTCCACATTTGGGCCGAGTAGTTCCTGAATGGAATTGGAGAACTGCTCTTGTTTTATGCTAAAGACATTTTAACTCAGGAGGTCAGCAATCATCACAGGTAATGAAGCACTGATCCTTACAACACAAATTCCTTAGATTCAAATCTATAAGACAGCCAAGCCCCCGAATCCCTCAACTGTAGCTGTTGAAGGCATATGGGAGTTGAATAGCCTGCAAGGCTGGACACAGTTATGAGTGACCACATCTTATATTTTAATAATATAATATTCTTATTTTTCAAAGTTAGTGTTTTGTACCCATTATCTCATTCAGTTTTAAGACAGATATCATTTTACAGATGAGAGCCCTGGTGGTGTCAGAGAAGCCCCCACTGTCTCCTAACTCCTAGCCTGGGCTCCTTCCCATTACTGTGCCACTGTGGTGTTTGTTCCCTATTCCTATGAAGAATTCCTTCTAATAATGTTAAGAGAGTATCACAAAGGGAAAAAAAAAAAAACATACCAGGGTGGTGCTCACTATACCCACAGGATGCATGGATAGTGTTGTAGCTGCAGAAGATCATGCCTGTGAGGTCACGGTAGCAGAATGAGACCTGGCATTATTATGGCCAGCCCTGAAAACCAAGGTAGATGGGATGCACAACATCATTGTGAGGGATTTCTGCAAGGCCACTGCCTGCCTTCCTTGGTGAATGGACGTGGACTCAGTCAGGAAACTCTTTCCACGGAGTCTGGGCCCTTGAAATTATGCCGGACTACTTCAATTATACACTGCAATCGTTACTGTAATAGTCACTCAGCACATACAAAATTCTTGTGATCATG
This sequence comes from Homo sapiens, assembly GCF_000001405.40. Taxonomy (NCBI): domain Eukaryota; kingdom Metazoa; phylum Chordata; class Mammalia; order Primates; family Hominidae; genus Homo; species Homo sapiens. The sequence goes on from NC_000018.10 coordinate 63,892,455, forward strand.
TTACTTCCAAGGTTAGTGACCTCGATGTGGCCATGATATCATTAAAATTCCTTTGCATTCACACATACAAACATTAACATTAAATGCTTTAAGGACACGCATGCATTGTGCATGCAGTCACACCAAGATGCCGCCGGCTGGTTTCCAGTTTCCCACGAGAATGTACCTGAGTGTAAATACATTCTTTCCATGCACATGGTGACCCATGTAAGGTGGGCCTCATTTGAAGTTTGAAGTTTCACAGAGAGAGCATTGGCCAATATTGCTGCAGGAAGACAAGGGATGGGTGAATCAATCTCTGTGTTTGTGACAGTTTAAACATTGAGACTTACAACAAAACTCAATTGCTCAACTCCCTGACACAAGTAGTCTTTTGCAATATTCTTTCCCCATTATTTTTTATTTTTTGCCTTGAAAGAATAAAGATAGTAAATTGGCACAAAAGCTTTAGAAACATCAGGTCTTAGGTTTTTTTCTTTTTTCCTTTCTTTTTTTTGAGATGGAGTCTCGCCCTATCACCCAGGCTGGAGTGCAGTGGTGCGATCTTGGCTCACTACAACCTCCAACTCCCAGGTTCAAGCCATTCTCCTGCCTCAGCCTCCCGAGTAGCTGGGATTACAGGCGCCTGCCACGATGCCCATCTAATTTTTGTATTAGTAGAGATGGGGTTTCACCATTTTGGCCAGGCTGGTCTCAAACTCCTGACCTTGTGATCCACCTGCCTCGGCCTCCCAAAGTGCTGGGATTATAGGCGTGAGCCAGTGCACCCGGCCTAGGTTTTTTTGTTTTTTAAATGTAAAGGAATCAGTAGCAATATATTTTGGGAGCAAATGCTAAATGAAGTGCTCTGGGTTGTTAAAGTAAAAATCTTGATTTTGGTACTAGAGGAAAATAAACTGATTGCTCTGGACACAAGACAGCTTTTCTGTGTCTAAGAAGTGCTTTAAGCCTTTGGGACTATGCGAGGATTCTATATAGTCTTTTTTTTTTTGAGACTCTATATATATCGTCTTTTGACAACTCTGTTGCATGTGTAGATTTTGAAATTCAAATGTTAATATGATTGCTTCCCAGATAAAAAGAAAAAGACATTTATTGGCTGGAGAAAGCAGCACAGACTTTGGGGACAGACGTATCTGTGTTTGAGTCATGGCTTTGTTCCTTACTACATGTGTGTGAGGACATTGAAACCATTTGCATCTCAGTTTTCTCATCTACAAAATGGGAATAAAAATGTGTAGCATGCAAGAAAGTTGTGAAGATTAGAGGTACTATGTAAGGCACTTAGTAGCAGTTGCTATAATAACAACCAATACTTATTAGTGCCTTAGCCAGGCATCTTTCTAAGAACTTCTTATAAATTTACTCACATAAGACAAAATATTATGAGGTAGGTACGATGATTACCGTACTCATTTTACAGATGAGGGAATCAGGGCAAGAAGAGGCCACACAGTTGAGAATTGCTGTAGCTGTTAGAAGTGGTACATTTGTAGTGAAAGAAAAGAATACATAAAAGATATAAGCTCCTGGATGGCATAGGTCTGTGGGAATTAGGATATAAGCTCTTTTCCTTACAGTGAGGCAACAGACCCATCCAGGCCAAACTGCCTCACTATTTTCTCTGTGGCCTTTGTGTGGACTAGGGGCAGCTCACAGTCCCACTTTTGCAGGGACATCTCCCTGAGTGACTTTAACACTGATTCAGGAAGGCTTTAGTGCTAGCCCAAAGAACCCTGATTTAAGGGTCAATTTCCTTGGAAGAGAGGAAAACCAGCCAAGCTGTCGTAGGAAATCTTCTTCTTTTACGTGAGGGTGGAGTTGCACCACTTCTTTTCAGAGAGTACTAGGCAGGACTTACGATGTATGACTCAAAGAGCAGAAAAAGACCTCACAAACCCTAACACCTCTCCTTCTAGCCCAGAAATTCACCAACTTGCTGGACAAGGCTGCCTTAATTAACTTCATTAGCAGAACCCCAACCATCAAGCCACTTACCAGATCAGCTTCTCCTCAGGGACCCCATAGGGAGGTGCTGCAGGACCAAGGGTTCCCAAGGAGGTGGGATGGGGTGGGTGGCTGGGAGGCAGGGCCAGCTTGCAGGTATTAAGACTGGCAGACCAAGGCGGGCAGGCAGCAGTGTTGTGGGAAGGGGATCTGAGGAAGCTTCAGAGGGGACAGTCCTTGCTGCCAGCTTCCCCGTGTCAGCCAAAACTGCCTACTTACTATACGAAGAGATTCACAGTGTCATCAGACCAACTTGTCCCTCACATGGACATAAATTTCTCTGTGTATGAATATGGTATGTGTAAATATTTTAGGTGAACCCTGTTAATATTGCATGACCTGTTTTATGCCTTAGCTGACTCTGGCTTGTAGTTTTTGACAGATTGAAAGTATTTTGTGTATAAGGCCACTGAAAAGAGAGAGACACACAAGGTTCTGAGTTAATCTTGTGACTTTCTTTAAAATACTGGCATTTTTTTTTCAAGACCATTTATTGGTTGGATATAATTTAGATAATTTGGGGAAGAGGTTTTAAATCATTTCATAATAACAATTTGTTTTCCAAAATGGCCAGGATATAAATTAATCTAAAACACCTCATGCTGTTTTCTATAAGGGAAATTTAGGTTGGCTGATACTTTTATATTACACAGAAAGAGTATTGAGTATCTATGGTTGTTCCCCATGTATAAGGGAAGGGAAAAGATCTAGGACCATTTTAGAGCCACCTGATAGCCATCTGTTTTAAAAGTTCAGTAAATCCGTGGGCAAGTGTAACCGTTTTCTCTAATTCTGATTGCAGGTGCTTCAGTTTAATGAAGTGGGAGCCAATGCAGTTACCCCCATGACTCCAGAGAACTTTACCAGCTGTGGGTTCATGCAGCAGATCCAGAAGGGTAGTTATCCTGATGCGATTTTGCAGGTATCTGACTTACTGGTCCAAATTTCTTTTGTGGTTTATTTTTGCAATCTTCCTGTCTTAAAGCCACAGTGTCAGACTGGGAAGGAAGCGAATATACCCTCCCCCATTCACAGAAAGAAAACTAAGACTCAGAGTCATTAAGAAAAACATGTCCTAAGATGATACCCATAACGAGAGACGAGCCAGGACAGAATCCAGACTTCATGAGTTTTAGGCCAAGCCTATTTACTTCTAAATTCTCTCATGCCTCTCTGTCATTGGTGAGGTATGTGTAATTTATCATAAATCCACAGTAGAGACTCCTAGAATACACGTGTATGGATAAGGATTTCCAGAGGAGAGAGGGTAGGGACTGACAATTGATTGAGAAATGGCAGAAGGCTGGGCCCAATGATTGCATGAGAAATCACTGACCTTCAGGTAACTTTCCTTCTATCTATCTAATCTATCATCTATCATTGATCTCTCTCATCTATCTTACCTATCATACATCTATCAATCCTATCTATCTATATATTTTATGAATCATCTATTTATCATCTATCTTCTCTGTCATCTGTCTATCTTATCTATTTATCAATCAGCTATCTCGGGGAGTAACACCTTTCCTCAGTACTCCATTTCCTTAAATGTCAGCTATCCAGTTAAATTATAAAAACTGAGTATAGACTGCTCCTGTTGGCAACCAACTTCCACAGTCATGCTTATGAGGTAGATTATGAAGAGGTATCTCCCAAAGCTCTCTTCCTGGGCACTCTGAAGCTCCTTCTACCCATTGCCCAGGGAATTATGGGCTAGAGGAGGTGGACAGGATCCTGATCATGTGGAGATTCCGCCAGGTGTTCTGTGGTACCTGGCAGTCCATCAGGAGGGCTCTGTCCCCTGCCCTAGGACAGGCTGCTGCTGTGACCAAGCCCTGTGTCTGACATGGTGCTTACAAACTTCAGTTTGAGAACTGAAATAACCATTCACTTTTGTGGTTTTCTAAAACCCATGTTTTCCACTGCATAGTTTGCCCCATAAAATAGGTATCTAGAGAAGCTATATGAACTTTGTAAGATCATTACTAAGGCAACATTTCCTCCCTGCCAGCTTTACTGAGGTATAATGGACAAATAAAAATTGTACATGTTCAAGATGTACAGTGTGATGACTTGCTATACCTATACATTGTGAAATGATTACAGTCAAATTAATGAGCACATCCATCACTACAATTACCCACCATTTGTATGTATGTGTGTATGTATAGTGAGGACACTTAAAAAATATATTCTTCACAAATTTCAAGTAAACAGTTTTATTAACTATAACTATTAATGAACACAATCTTATTAACTATAGTCATTATACTGTACATTAGATCCCCAGAACTTATCCATCTTATAAATACAACAAAAATTCCTTAGAGACTTTGAAGTTTAGGAAACTGAGAAGGGGCCTTTCTTCTAGGCTGTTGGTCACCTGGTTAAATCCAATCCATAGACAGAGCAAAATTGGAAAGAAATTAAAATTCACCTTATTAGTTTTAATGTACCACATCCTTATCGAAATGATTTTCTCAAAGATTCCTCTAATGTACCAAAAATAAAGTATGTATTAATATAGCATTTCATGATTGTATTCAAAAACTATTACCATGGCTTAAGAACTATCTTGTTTAGTAGTTCTGTGTTATATATAAAGAATTCCTTCTTTCTTTTCAAGGCACAAGCTGCAGATAAAATCCATTCATCCTTCCGCTCTCTCAGCTCTGCAATCAATGCATCCACAGGGAATTATTTACTGGAAAGTGTCAATAAGCTGTTTGGTGAGAAGTCTGCGAGCTTCCGGGAAGTAAGTGAAACCTGTAATTGAAATGGCTGGATCCCAAACAAGTAATGAAGTCACTTTCAAAGCAGTTCTCTACAATTCAACAGTTCATAAAAGCAGAGTTGGAATTCCACACCAGCTCCCTAGGGCTGGCCTTGCGTAACAGCTGCCCTTCCTGTACCCTCTGGGGCTTCCTCCTCTTCCCATTGCAAATGTCCCAATCTCAGAGTCATAAATCAGGAAAACAAATGCAACTGTTTTCCAGAGACACTATCCCCCAAGTCAAACCTCTTTCCTTTTATTCTGTCTCTATAATGCAAGGAGTACAAGAGGGTGGATAGAGTTGGGGAGTAAGCGTGGACAAAGGGGTCTGCACTCTTTCCCCCTTCAGCACCTGCCTTCCATAGCCAACCTCCACTCCCACCCTACCCCAGGTCTCCTAATTTCAATGGGAAGACCATAATTCACCATTATGCCATGGCTTGTTTGGTATGTATTTTATGTAGCCTTTGTCATTTTCTTGCTTTAAAGGAATATATTCGACTCTGTCAGAAATATTACTCCTCAGAACCCCAGGCAGTAGACTTCCTAGAATGTGCAGAAGAAGCTAGAAAAAAGATTAATTCCTGGGTCAAGACTCAAACCAAAGGTAAATCCAAGAAAATATTTTATTTACTTCTTTCCAGTTAGAAAACTCTGATCTATCTTTTTCCATCCATGAACTTAGTTAGCCCTCACCCCTTTACAATTTGTCCAACTGCAGTTACTTTGGTGGATGTGAATTTATTCCTGATTAGCTCAGTGGTGTTTTAACTGAGAAGAAATAATTGAGGCCTACTAATAGAAGACATATGTTTAGTACTTAAATATTTGATTTTGGATATTGCTTGAGGATAGAATATGAAAGGAGGCAGAAGCTTTCAAAATAGGAAATATCAGCATTGAAATAATTGTGAGTCTATGCCCACTGTGGACAAAAAGAAAACAAGGCTTGACCCTGAGCTTAGTAAATGGTGTGAGCTATAAAGAATACAGGCAGTGGAGGAGGGAAGAATCATAAAATTATTTTCACTCTTTCTTCTCTTTCACCATTCAAAGCCAATCCATTGTCAAGTTTTTTTGGTCTCTGCTTCATCCCTCCTTGATTATCTAAGTCACGTCTACCATTTTAACTCATGCTTTTAATTGTTTCACAGGCTCCTGCCTCCCTCTGTATATTTTACAATGAATAAATTATTTAATTGAATCATTTATTCATTGTAATTTAGTTTATTAAGTCATTTATTCATTGAATTCATTCATTCATTAAGTTCTATTAAGTTCATTCACTTAGTCAACAAATATTTATCCACCACACACCATATTCCAGAAACTATATGTGGAGATAAAGATAAAAATGGTAAATCCTGCCACCATAGAGCCTATAGAGGAGGGATTCAGTCATGTTGGCAATTGCTATAGAGTAGTAGTCAGTGCTTTCATTGAGAAGTACAGGTGCTATGTGGGAGTACACAGGAAAGGCATCTGACTGGATTTAAAAATGATTAAATTGTAATTGGGAAGACAGGCTGGAGCTGGCCAGGTGGAGGGTGCATGCCTGGGGGGAGATTTCCAGACAGAGTGCACAGAATATGCAAAGGTCCAGAGGTAACCCTAAGGAGAAGAATAGAGTCTGGTCTGACTGCAGTGTGGAGGGCCAAGGGAAGGAGGTGAAATTAAAGAGGTGATGCAGTACACTTATTATGCTATTCCCACACTAAAAACTGTCAGTGACCTCCTACTGTCCTCAGGAGAAGGTCTCATTCTTTACCTTGACTTCTGAGTTCTCAGTAATCCAGTTGACTGTGCTTGGCTACCACTGGCCCTTGGAGCTCCTTAAACACTCATTGCTGCCTCTAGACTTTGTTTCTGAGGATGCCTCAACTACAGGATTTAAGTTGCAGTTTAAATTGCAGCCAAAGTCTTACTCTTTCCTGGAAGTGACTCCCAATTACTTCCTGATCTTTTCTTCTTCTCATCTCCTCATCTGCTTTTTCAGCTTCACAAGTCACATTAGTGTTAGCCATATATGGCCTTAAACAATTATGGAACTGATTTTTGTTAGTTTGTTTTGCTTTTCCTCTCAGGCTCTAATTATTTTTGGGTAGGTCCAGTATGTCACACTTATCCTATGCCCCCACAAAAATTTGCACAGTTTTTTGCTGACAGTGAAAATCCTTCATTCTTCTGAATTTCCAGGTAGAGTTGTAGGCCTTAAGTAAACAATTGCTGAATAATAACATATAAATGTATTTCTAAGAAACAGAGATGATTATGAATTCAGAATTGTGTAAGTATTTCATTCATTTATGATCTGTTAGGATTGAAAATGTCCTAAGAGAGCTCCTATCCATCTTACCAATTTGTGGTTGGAGCATCCTGTTCCCAGGGGATTAGCCGGCTCCCCTAAGATCCCACTGGTAGCGGTAAAGCCAGGGTTGCTTCTTCTTCTGATCCTTAGTCTAACTCCAGAATTCCTCAATCGGATGTTTAAAAATTTTATAACTTATTTTTTTAAGGATTTTCATTTAACTCTTATGTTTAAGACATTGTTTCAAGAAATAGTTTGGTGTCTTGCTTTATTAATTACCACAATGGAAAATGCACATAAACTAAGTGCTATGGGATTTCAAAAAATATATATTTATTTGTTTATCTGAAAATAATTGATTTCCTTTTAGTTCTTCATTTTCATTGTGGATTTGTGAAATACTGTTCTAAAATATTGACAGACCACTGACACAAAGGAAGCAGAGAAAGATGATTTAAATCAAAAGTTCAAGTAAAAATGGAGAGCAAAATTAAAGAGACACATGGAAGTTTTGCCTTCTTTAAAGAATGGCATGAATTGTTTTTCTCTTTAGACATTGTGCTAAATGGCTGTAAGTCAATCAGTTATTTTGCCAAAATGCCAAGCAGCTATTTTGGCAGATTGTTTTACCAGCTTTTGTAAGAATTGGAGAGAATTGTCTGTTTCATCATGCTATGATCAAATACTAGTTTTATCATATACATCACAACATTACTATACCCCAATACTAACCAAAAATTTTAATAGCTTGGGAAATATATTGAATGTATATATTAAATGAATACATTGAAGATGAAACTGATGCAAGGCAGGCAAGCTCCAAAGTGGGGCTTAGCCTTCAAGGGTTCTTGGCTTCACCCAGGAAAGTATTCAAGGGTGAGCTGGAGGTAGGGTAGAAGAAAACAGCTTTATTGAAGTGGCAGTATTACAGCTCCATGATTCCTCCTGCAGAGAAGGGCTACCCCAGGCACTGTGCTGAGAGGCACAGCTCAGGGCAGTTTGGGGGTCATATTTATACCTACTTTTAATTACATGTAGATTAAGGGGCAGTTTACGCAGAAATTTCTAGGGAACGGGGAATAACTTTTGGGTCATCAGGTCATTGCCACAGAAAGAGGTGGTAACTCCAAGGTGTTGCCATCACAATGGTAAACTGACATGGTACACTGCTTCCATCCTGTCCCTGGTCCCCATTTTAGCTAGCCCTCAATTTGGCCTGGTGTCTAAAACCTGCCTCCAGAGTCAGGTCCCACCTCCTACTTCAAAACCACATTGACCTATTAATTTGTTAAGAGTCTTGTATTTGTCAGTAGTTTTGACTGTGGAGGCAGAATTTTTACAAGCTTACCAGCATTGTAACGTTGGGAAGACTGCTAACCTGGTGGTGTCCTTTTGCATAAAATGACACTAATAAAACCCACCTAATAGAGTATCAAAATAATATATTTTGATGCTTGGAATACTGCAGAGCGAGTACTAACTATAAACAAACTGCTTCTTAAACCAATTTCATTTTTTTAAATGACCACACTCATTTGTCATTGTTTCTGTCAATCTTCTCGGGCTTACTCCTTCACTCCCTTCTCTGTATGATCATAGTACTCAATATATTATTTAGCTCAATTACAGAAGTTATCACACAGGGTTTCACAACTGATTTTGAATGTCTCCCCCAGTGTTCTAGGCTCATCCAGGATAATTCTTCCTTTCTCATCTCTTGTATCTGCACTACTCTTAATTTAGGTCTAGTATATTTTTTACAAAACGTTTTTGAATAAATGAGTAAGTCAGATCCTCAGACTATCTAGACCAGATCTAGCAGTACATGATATATTTTGGAAAGGCACTATTATATTCCCTAAGAACCTCTCTTTCACTTCCCTCTGATTTGAATAACTTTCAACTGCCAAGCTTTGAGAAAAGAATATAAAAGGGAGTGAAAATCTCCATTCCAAACTTGATAGGCGGTCTAAATTTTAAATGCATTATTTCTTCATTTTTTCTTGGATTTTGCAAGCTTTTGGGAAATTTGTTTCAATTTTAATTTTGCTTTAAATAAACCTAAAAAACTTTAGCTTGAAGATTAACAACTCTGCAATTTGAAGAATTTAGTTTGATGGCTACTCAGAAGATTCAGTAAGTAATTTCACAGTTCTTGATTATGAAACCTAAATATATGTTATGTTTTCTGTAGGCAAAATCCCAAACTTGTTACCTGAAGGTTCTGTAGATGGGGATACCAGGATGGTCCTGGTGAATGCTGTCTACTTCAAAGGAAAGTGGAAAACTCCATTTGAGAAGAAACTAAATGGGCTTTATCCTTTCCGTGTAAACTCGGTATGAGACAACAAAATACATCTTCCTAGCATATATTTTAGGGCTTTTGACAAGATATAGACAGAAAAATTAGAGACCGCTCATTATAGACTTGCTAGTTAGAAGTTATGCATGTTGGACAGTTGATTGACTCTTTAGAAACAGTATAGGTAAAGGGGAAGACTGTGGCTTTTTAATTATACATGCCCAGACTCCAACGTTGGCTCTACCACTTATTTCAAAGGGCTGTAAATATTGAGACATGGCACGGTTCCTGGCCCATAGTAAGAACTAAACAAGTGTTTTAGAATTATGGTTGTCATTACCATTGTTGTCCATCTTACTAAATAATGGGTATAAAGTTGAACAAGCTAATAACATCAGAGTACCCACTGTAAGGATGTACAAATAATTTATTTTGTTGATTTAAAAAAATCACATTTATCCTACACTAAAGTAGAACCAATCCTCCTTTATGTCTAATTGTAAATCTCTTGATATCTTATAATCGACTTCCATATTTTACCTTTTAATAATATTAGGCTCAGCGCACACCTGTACAGATGATGTACTTGCGTGAAAAGCTAAACATTGGATACATAGAAGACCTAAAGGCTCAGATTCTAGAACTCCCATATGCTGGAGATGTTAGCATGTTCTTGTTGCTTCCAGATGAAATTGCCGATGTGTCCACTGGCTTGGAGCTGGTAAGACATTCAGATATTTAAGTTTCTGGGGCTATACCTACCTTTCGTGAGATGAGATGAATATATACTCCTTACAAATGGTGTGGTAATTTCTCATGGAAATATATGAAACAGTTGATAGTAAATATGGCATGCCTCTACATTTCATTCAAAGCCTTAACTATGTCATACGTGTTACCTTCTTGTAAAAATCTGACCAATCTGTTAACTTTCTATATCACCCACAATATAGTAAAGTCACTGATTTTTAATATTAGACTTAAAGTTGTTTTCCTTCTTTCTAATACTTGCTGTATTTTCTTTTGTTTGTTTTGTTTTGTTTTGCTTTGCAGCTGGAAAGTGAAATAACCTATGACAAACTCAACAAGTGGACCAGCAAAGACAAAATGGCTGAAGATGAAGTTGAGGTATACATACCCCAGTTCAAATTAGAAGAGCATTATGAACTCAGATCCATTCTGAGAAGCATGGGCATGGAGGACGCCTTCAACAAGGGACGGGCCAATTTCTCAGGGATGTCGGAGAGGAATGACCTGTTTCTTTCTGAAGTGTTCCACCAAGCCATGGTGGATGTGAATGAGGAGGGCACTGAAGCAGCCGCTGGCACAGGAGGTGTTATGACAGGGAGAACTGGACATGGAGGCCCACAGTTTGTGGCAGATCATCCTTTTCTTTTTCTTATTATGCATAAGATAACCAACTGCATTTTATTTTTCGGCAGATTTTCCTCACCCTAAAACTAAGCGTGCTGCTTCTGCAAAAGATTTTTGTAGATGAGCTGTGTGCCTCAGAATTGCTATTTCAAATTGCCAAAAATTTAGAGATGTTTTCTACATATTTCTGCTCTTCTGAACAACTTCTGCTACCCACTAAATAAAAACACAGAAATAATTAGACAATTGTCTATTATAACATGACAACCCTATTAATCATTTGGTCTTCTAAAATGGGATCATGCCCATTTAGATTTTCCTTACTATCAGTTTATTTTTATAACATTAACTTTTACTTTGTTATTTATTATTTTATATAATGGTGAGTTTTTAAATTATTGCTCACTGCCTATTTAATGTAGCTAATAAAGTTATAGAAGCAGATGATCTGTTAATTTCCTATCTAATAAATGCCTTTAATTGTTCTCATAATGAAGAATAAGTAGGTATCCCTCCATGCCCTTCTGTAATAAATATCTGGAAAAAACATTAAACAATAGGCAAATATATGTTATGTGCATTTCTAGAAATACATAACACATATATATGTCTGTATCTTATATTCAATTGCAAGTATATAATAAATAAACCTGCTTCCAAACAACAATACATTTGTTGTCATTTCATTAGGTCTGCAGATCATAGACCTTGACTCCTAGGAGTTGAGCATTATGACTCACTTGTGAGAACTCAGAAAAAATAGACAGGATGAAGGAGCCAAGGACATAACAACCTTCATTCAAAAAGACCCAATGTTGAGGGTCAGTGGGATGGGGTTGTATGAAAAATGGGTTAGAGCTGCTTTCTCACAGCAGCAAAGACATAGCAATTCAGAATAGTCTAGGTTAGAGTCCTTTGGGGAAACCACTGTCTAAACATTAAGGACACCAGGATTAATGACCAAGTCCAGTGGTCCAGACACAGAAGAAGGCCTCAGTCATTGAGCTCAGAGTTGCAAGCAGTGAAGATGGGAGATGGGTTGGGTGCAAGAGCAGGAGGGGAAACATAAGATGGCTCTTTCTAAGTGTGTTTGTTTCTAATAGCAGTAATGCTTTTGAATGAGTCAGAGGCAGAGGAGAACATAATTGAAGACCTGAGAAATAAGGCAAATTGTAGGTTGGGGGCCTGAACAACAGAGTCTGGCTGCAGAAGTGCGGCTGGATCCTGGAAATGCAGCACACTCCCTTTGATGGCAGGCAGGGATGCTTGATGCACTAGAACATGGTAGCTAAAAAAGTGGCCTCAAGACTTAGACTCTCTGCCTCCAAATCCCAGTTGTAACACTTACAAGTAGCTTCAACACAGGCCAACCATGGTGCTTCTTTGTGCTTCAGTTTTCTCTCAGTGAAAACTAAAGAAAAAACTGTTTTTATCATATTGCTATAATGACTAAATGAGTTCATATATATCCAGCAATTAAAAGAATACTTGGCATATATAATATTTAATAAATATTAGTGATTATGATCTATCTTATCTTTGTCAGTAATAAAACTGTCTCACTCTAAGCTGGTCAAACACGAATCCCAGAAAATTACTCAGTTAACTTTTTAAGGCTTGAATAATGGTGTATTTCTTCTAATCAGACATTCCTGAAAATTAAGAGTTGCTGTTTCTTGCATTCTTCTACTTACTTTTAATTTCATTTCTCTATGTGCTTTAATAACTCTGCAAGGTGGTAGGTGGTAACTTTGTGAATTATCATGAGTCTTAAAATATCCATATTTCACTCTCATTATTGAGTTAGAGTATAGATATACAATTCTGGGTTCCAAGTGCTTTTCAGCACTTTGAGGGTATGATTTTATTGTCTTTTTGGTACCCAAAATTGTTGATAGGAAAGTTGATGTTAAGATAATTCTTGCCCCTTATAATTTTCATTTTTTTGTTTTTGATTTTTTTGATATTTCATTACATTAAGGATATTTTTTAAATCATATTTTAAAAAGCTTATCCTGTTCAGCAGAAGAATTTTCTATCTGGAAACTTATATCTCATTTCAGTTCTGGGAAACCTCAGCCCTCACTATGGGCTCAATATATCTTCCCAAAATTAATATGTTGAAACTTTAATCCCAAGTGTGATGGTACTTGGAGGTGGTTCCTTTGGAAGATAATTAGGGTTAGATGAGGTCATGAGGGCAGAATCCATGATGGAATTACTGCCCTCATAAGGAGCTCTAGGCACCAGATCTTTTTCTATCTGTCATGTGAGGATATAACAAGAAAGCAGTCATCTGTGAATCAGGAAGAGGCCCTCACTAGAACCTAACCATGTGGAAACACCCCTCTCAGATTACCAGTCTCCAGAACCATGAGAAATACATGTTTGTAGTTTATGCCACACAATCTATGGTATTCTGTCATAGCAACCTGAACCGACTAAGACAGCAATTATCTACTCAATTGCTTGGCGCCAGTTGATCTACTCTCTTCTTCTGGATTCCTACTAAGATAATATTGATGCATCTGATGCTCCTCTCTCTGTTTCCAAATTTTTTGAGTACCTAATAAATTCACATGGCCCAAACATCAAATATCATAAAAAAGACTAGAGTGAAAAGTCTTCCTTCCACTCCTGTTCCCTATTCATTTAGCTCCTATTTCTCTGTCTTTACTAGTAATATATGTGCATATTGCAGTATACACACAGGGTCATAAATAAAAACAACAAACAAACAAAATTGTTCTAATAATACTGTATTATTAACTTTGTACATGATTACCCCTTTCTCTTTCCTAGTCCCCCAACAGGCAACAAAATAATGTACAGCTATGATTTTACTATTGTAGGCAGTATACCTATACGTAGGGTGATATAGTTTGGATATTTGTCCCTGACCAAATCTCATGTTGAACTGTAATCCCCAATACTGGAAGTAGGGCTTGGTGGGAGGTGTTTGGATCCTAGAGGCTGATCCCTTATGGCTTGGTGCTGCCTTCATGATAGTGAGTTCTCATGAGATCTGGTCACTTAAAGGTGTGTGGCAACTCCCCCAACCCTCTCTCTCTCTTGTTCCTGCTTCTATCATATGGTATGCCTGCCCCCCCCTTTGCCTTCTGCCATGATTATAAGCTTCCTGAGGCCTCCCCAGAAGCTGAGCAGATGCCATCACTATGCTTCCTATACAGCCTGCAGAACTGTGAGCCAGTTAAACCTCTTTTCTTTACAAATTACCCAGTCTTGGGCATTTCCTTACAGCAATGCAAGAATGGCCTAATACATAGGGGGTTTAATCAAGAAGTGAGGAAGAAATCTGGAGAAGGTTTTGAGGGAAAAAATGAATAAAACTTAATCTTTGACTTTAGGGAAGATGAAACCATTTGTTGCATAAATCCGCAAAATCTACATTGATGCCTTTACTATAACATAAGCAACACAAGCAAGTTTTCATGCTGGGTGGTGTTGCAGCCCAAGTCACTGTGGTGGACTGCTGTCAGTCAAGGCGAGCAGTCCTTCTATCTGGAGGCTCCATATGATGCTTTTTCTAATAGCAGTCCTGGAGGCATCCTTGGATAATCATATCTGCTCAGTGCAAAGTTGGGCAGGCATCATGGAACTTTCTAGCACACATCTCATTCCCTAGTGAAATCCAGAGTACCACTTTGCTCTGGGTTCCATATCAACATTCAAATATTAAAGTCTGAGCCATCTTGCCAGAAAATAAGTATGCCTCTGTGAAGAGAAAAACAGGAACTACGTGAGAAAAATATATAAAATAGTTTATAAATAGAGAGGCTCCTTCTTTGTCTTAATCCCTCCTGGAGATGTCTTCCTGTTCCAATCCCTCTCCCCATGACCCTCCCCGCCTTCCTCCATACACATGCAAATGAAACAAATGGCCTGTTATTTTTCTTTTGTAATAAATAAGGAGTGAAAAAGCATTCCTTGGGAAAAATAAAAGAGAACCAGAAAATGATGAACTAACATCCGACCCAATAATGGTGTCTAAAATTTTGATCCAAAACCCTTGTCCCTGCTAGTGGGGAAAACAGACATCCCAGTCATTCAAGTGATGCTCTGGGTTCTACACCAATGCTCTAAATGAGAACAGAAAATCTTCCGGGGTGCCTTTCACATAGTATCTGAGAGCCATTTTTAACAGGCTTACAATAAAGGCCAGGCATGATGGGTTGTGCCTGAAATCCCAGCACTTTGAGAGGCCAGAGGTGGGAGGATCACTTGAGCCCAGGAGCTAGAAGCTGCTGGGAAATATTATTGCACCACTGCCCTTCAGTCTGGGTGACAGAGTGAGACCCTATTTCTAGAAAAAACAAAACAGACACAACACAAATTAATAATTCAGTAATATTTTCAGTTTCATTGATCATTATTATTCCACTAATTTGAAGCTTTCTATTTGTGTTTTATAAAAAAAATACTACCTGGGAAAACCATGCCAAATATTCTCTGTTGGCAGACTAGAGAAAGGATTAAGCAAAAAAAGGATGAGTTACAATTTGTCAGAATCCAGGTCTCTCATGTGTACAGAGATGGAAAATGTGAGTAACTAAACAACTCAGGCAAACCCTTAACTGTCTCTTTCTGTCTTTTTATTGAGACTTCTGACAAAAATAAGCCTGAAAGAAAGAGTATACATGCTTGTGAAACTGAATCAAAGGGTGGAGCTAAGAACAGGGAGGTGCTAAAATTTTTTTTTTTTTTTTAATTTCTTCAGTTGAAAGTTTCTCAACTCTTCAGCCACAATCTCTTACTACAGGAGCAAATTGCCAATTCTGCTCCAGTGGGAGAAAACAAGGTATTGTAAATATTTCTTTGGTTAATGATTTTATTTATGTTTTTCTTCTTGGTTGAAGTGCCCAGCTAGGTAACAAATAATGAAGACCCCTTCCCCCAAAAAAGTCCAGAAATAATAGATAAGGCCCAATCCCTTAAGAATTTGTCTGTATAAGTCAGAGAGTAACCTGAGCTGGTTTGAAGTTTGTACTAGAAAAAGGGATATGGGAGAAAGAACATTCATTCCCAAAAAAAGTTAGAGAAATTGTTTTTCTAGGAATTGTGGAGTGGAATTTGCTCCTTGTTTTACTGGGAATTGTGAAATCATCAGTGGAGTTTCCTCCAGTCACATTTATGTATCTGTCAACATAGGCAGAGATAAATAAAATATTCTCTCAGGACGGTTGAGCCAAAACCCTTCAACTCTTTAGGAAATGTGAGCTTGGCACCCTGAATTTGGATCCTATTCATTAATATATGGAATTCATGGTTTGACTCTTTAACTGTTACCCCCACAAACCCAAAACCCCACTCTCCTCTCCTGGCCACCATTTCATGGGCCATTAGCTTTCTTCTCTTCTGTGGAATAATAAATGTTCCTAATCCCCCACATCATACTAGGTGCTCTTCATAAACCACCCCAAACTATTACCTGTTTCTAAAAAAGGCCTTAGGTGAATAGAGAGGTGCTGGGGATTGGGGAAGCTGTCATTCTCTGATATGCACAACTCCATGAGGAGGTAATATTATCAGTATCATCAGAAAGGCAAGAGGCCCTTGGGAGTGTCTCATGGAAAACGGGACAAGAATCCTCCCCACTCTCCAGATCTTCTTTCTCCTCCTGATGGTTCTCCATCATGTAATCTCTCTCTTTAGCCACTAAAATCTTAAACACAATGAGATACAATGGCAAGAGCAACTGTATTCACAGTCAAGATAACACAGTTGCAGTTTTGACTCTGCTGTGCATCCTTTGCTCAATCAACCTCTCTCAGCTTCAGTTTCTTAGCAGACAAAATGGGGGAGCTGGGTTAGGGAGATTCTAAGGGTCTTTCCAACACTGATGTGCTAGGGGCATGCGATGATGAAATGTCTATGATGAGACATTTTGATGAATGACACTATCCTTTTCTTGCTTTCTTAATTCTCTTTGGCTTCTCCTCTGAGCCTGTCTACAGGTTAAGCTCATAGATGATCAGTTTATAGCTCTTGAAAACTGCAAAAGAGCAATTAATTTTGAAAATAACCTGGTAGACTTCTGACCTACACATTTGCAGTCTTCTCTGAAAATATAATTGTCCAACATTTGTATGGAATAATTATTTCCTGTAAAATTTCACCTCACAATTCTACACCCTTCAGAAAGTATTTTTCATTGTTGGGTTAAATATCACTAATGGATGGCTTAGTACTTCATTAGATTTCTTTAAAAAAAGAAAATAAAGAATTGTTTCTCTTGTATGTTCTGGGTAACATCTGATATACAAATAATGATATTAATAAGGGAATTAATGAAGATGAGTACAACTAAATATTAAGCTTACATGAGAAATTAGCTTTTATAATAGAGAATTATTGTTTTCAGGAACATGTTACAAGTAAATAAACACTGGAATAACCATACACTGAGGTAGAAAAACCCCAGCCTCTGAAATGGTACTTTCTCCCCATTTCATGAAGAGTGTGGTTTGGCCAAAAACCAAACATTTTCCGTGTAAATTTAATTCATGAGTTTTAAAAATACAAAGCTTGATATATACTGTATGCAGGTAACAAAATGTTATTTGAATGAGTAAGAGCCTTAAAGGAAATACAGAGTTATTTTGAAGATGGCATTTGATCTGTTGAGGAAGAAAGTCACAGGCAAATATTCAATATTTTATGAGAGTGTAGAATTACTACAGATCTACAGTCTTTTTTGTTTTCTATTTAATCAAATAATGTCAGCCTGGGATTATCATAAGCTTTTGGAGTAGACAGGAGCCACACCTAGGGCATGATTTAGAGGTGGGGAAGCTGTTTGGTTAAGTGTAAGTTTATGGCTAGGGGGGATTCCCACAGTATCACTATTAACTCCAAGTTATGATGAAACCAAAACTTTGTCTACACATGCCTCTCTCATGATTAAGTTATTTGAGTATAGAGAATTCCTGACGTTTTCCAAAGCTCTCATTCTAGGTTTCTCAGAAGGCCAGGTGACGTTCATGCAAGACCTAACTCTACACAACTTTGGCATTAATGAGATTTCCTAGGTATAAGAATTTGAATTATTTTATTTTTTAAATAATTTCAGTTTTTACTTTTGACTCAGAGGGTACATATGCAGGTTTGTTAGAAGGGTATAATGTGTGATGCTGAGGTTGAGGTTTGATTGAGTCCATCACCTAGGTAGTGAGCATAGTACCCAATAGTTAGTTTTTCAATCTTTTCTCCATTCTCTGCCTCCCCATTCTAGTAGTCCCCAGTGTCTATTTTTGCCATCTTTAAGTCTATGAGTACCCAATGCTTATGTCCCACTTATAAATGAGAACATGTGGTATTTTGTTCCTGTCATAATTTGCTTAGGATAACAGCCTCTAGTGCATCCATGTTGCAGCAAGAGACATGATTTAATTCCTTCTTTCGGTTGCATAGTATTCCATGGTGTGTATGTACCAGGTATTCCTTATCCAATCCAACACTGATAGGCACCTAGGTTGATTTCATGTCTTTGCTATTGTGAATAGTGCTGTGATGAACACTTGTGTGTGTGTGTGTGTGTGTCTCTTTGGTAGAATGATTTATTTTCTTTTGAATGTATACCCAGTAATGGGATTGCTGGGTTGAAGGGTAGTTCTAACTTCCTTGGGAAATCTCCAATCTGCTTTCCATAGTAGCTGATCTAATTTACATTTCCATCAACAGTGTACCCTTTTCTCCACAGCGTCATCAGCATCTCTTGTTTTTTGACTTCTTAATAATAGCCATTCTGACATATACAAGGTAGTATTCATTATGGTTTGGACTTGCATTTCTCTAATGATTAATGATGTTGAGCATTTTTTCATGTTTGTTGCCCACTTGTATGTCTTCTTTTGAGAAGTGTCTGTTCATGTCCTTTGGCATTTTTTAATGGGGTTGTTTTTTGCTTGTTGAATTAAGTTCCTTGTACATAATGGATATTAAACTTTTGTCAGTGGAATAGTTTGCAAATATTTTCTTCCATTCTGTAGTTGTCTGTTTACTCTGTTGATAGTTTCTTTTGCTGTGCAGAAGCTCTTCAGTTTAATTAGGTCTCACTTTGTTTTTTGTTGCAATTGCTTTTGAAGACTTAGTCATGAATACTTCCCCCAACACTGATATCCAGAATGGCGTTTCCTGGATTTTTTTTTTTCTAGGATTCTGATAGTCTGAGATCTTACATTCAAGTCTTTAGTCTATCTTTAGTTAATTTTTGTACATGTTGAAAAGTAGGGTCTACTTTCATTTTTCTGGATATGGTTAACCAGCTATCCCAGCATCATTTATTGAATAGAGTCCTTTCCCAATTGCTTGTTTTTGTTTACTTTGGTAAAGGTTAGATGTCTGTAGGTGTGCAGCTTTATTTCTAAGTTCTCTATTCTGTTCCATTGGCCTATGTGTCTGTTTTTGTGCCAGCACCAGGCTGTTTTGGTTACTGCAGGCTTATAGTGTAGTTTGAAGTTGGGTAAAGTGATGCTTCCAGGTTTGTTCTTTTTGCTTAGGGTTGCTTTGGATATTGGGGCTCTTTTCTTGTTCCATATGAAATTTAGAATAGTTTTTCCAATTCTGTGAAAAATGACGTTGGTAGTTTGATGGAAATAGCATTCCATCCGAGGTTTGCCTTCGGCAGTATGGCCATTTTAACAATACTGATGTTTCCTGTCCATGAGCATGGAATGTTTTTCCATTTGTTTGTATTATTTATGATTTTTAGCAGTGTTTTTTTTTACCTCACTTTGTAGAGATCTTTCAATTTCTTCATCAGGTGTATTCCTGGGTATTTTATTTTATTTTATTTTTTGGCTATCATAAATGGAATTGTAGTCTTGAGTTGGCTCCCTGTTTGAATGTTATTGGTATATAGAAATGGTACTGATTTTTGTACGTCGATTTTGTGTTCTGAAGCTTTACTGAAGCCATTTTTCGGTTCCAGGAGGCTTTTGGTGGAGTCTTTAGGGTTTTGTAAGTATAGAATTATATAGTCAATGAAGAGAGATAGTTTGACTTCTTCTTTTCCTATTTGGGTGCCTTTTATGTCTTTCTCTTGTCTCATTGCTCTGGCCAGGACTTCTAGTACTATGTTGAATAGGAGTGGTAAAGAGTAGGCATTCTTGTCTTGTTCCAGTTCTCAAGGGGAATGCTTCCAGCTTTTGCCTATTCAGTATGATATTGGCTGTGGGTTTGTTACAGATAGCTCTTATTATTTTGAGGTATATTCCTTCAACACCTAGTCTGTTGAGGGTTTTTATCATGAATGGATATTGGATTTTATTGAAAGCTTTCTCCACCTCTATTGAGATGATCAGATGTTTTTTGTTTTTAATTGTGTGGTAAATCACATTTACTGACTTCTGTATGTTGAACCAATATAGTACTCCAGGAACAAAGCCTACTTGATGGTGGTAAATTAACTTTTTGATATGCTGCTGGATTCAGCTTGCTAGGATTTTATTGAGCATTTTTGCATCTATGCTCATCAGAGATATTTGCCTATAGGTTTCTTCTTCTATTGTGTTTTTTCCAGGTTTTGGTATCAGGATGATGCTGGCTTTGTAGAATGAGTTAGAGAGGAGTCCCTCCTCTTTAATTTTTTGAAATTATTTCATCAGCATTGATGCCAGCTTGTCTTTGTACATCTGGTAGAATTCAGCTGTGAATCTACTTGTTCCAGGGCGTTTTTTGGTTGGTAGGATTTTATAATTGATTCAATTTTGAAACATGATATTGATCTGTTCATGGTCTCAATATTTTCCTAATTTAATCTTGAGAGGTTGTGTGTTTTCAGGAATTTATTCATTTTCTCTAGATTATCTAGTTTGTGTGCATAGAGGTAGTCATAGTAGTCTCTGAGGATCATTTGTATTTCTCCAGGATCAGTTGTAATGTCACTTTTGTTATTTCTGATTGTGCTTATTTATATCTCCTCTTTTTTTCTTTGTTAATCTAGCCTGCAGTCTATCAATCATGTTTATACTTTCAAAAAACCAACTTTTGGTTTTGTTGATTCTTTGTATGGATTTTTGGGTCTCGATTTCATTCAGTTTTGCTGATTTTACTTATGTTTTTTTCTTTTGGAAGTTTTAGCATTAGTTTGTTCTTGTTTCTCTAGTTCGTCTAGGTCTGATGTTCGATAGTTAATATGAAATATTTCTAACTTTTTAAGGTAGGCATTTAGTGCTATAAACTTTCCTCCTAACACTGCTTTTCGCTGCATCTTAGAGACTTTGGTATGTTATGTCTCTGTGTCTATTTCAAAGACGTTGATTTCTGCGGTAATTTCATTGTTTACCAAAAAGTCATTCAGTAGCACGTTGTTTAATTTCCAAGTAATTCTGTGGTTTTGAGAAATCTTCTTGGCATTGATTTCTATTTTTATTGCACTGTGGTCTGAGAGTATAGTTGGTACAATTTCAGTTTTTAAAAATTTGTTGAGACTTGCTTTATGGCTGAGCATGTAATCAATCTTGGAGTATATTCCGCGTGCAGATGAGAAGAATGTATATTTTGTGGTTGATGGCTGGAGTATTCTGTAGATGTTTATTAATAAGTTCAATTGGTCAAGTTTTTCTTTGTTAGTTTTCTCCCTCAATGATCTGTCTAATGCTGTCAATGGGGTGTTAAAGTCCCCCACTATTGTTGTGTGTCTGTCTAAGTCTTTTTGTAGGTTGAAGAGTACTTGTCTTATGAATCTGAGTGCTCCAATGTTGGGTGCATATACGTTTAGTATAGTTAAGTCAGTTAAGTCTTCTTGTTGAATTGAACCTTTTGCCATTATATAATACCCTTCTTTGTCACTTTTTACTTTTGTTGGCTTAAAGCCTGTTGTATCTGATATAAGAATAGCACCCACTGCTCTATTTTGTTTTCAATTTGTGTGATAGCCCTTCCTCCAACCACTTAGTTTAAGCCTATGGGTGTTATTACATGTGAAATGGGTCTCTTAAAGACAGCACATTAATGGGTCTTGTTTTTTAATCCAACTTGCCACTCTGTGCTTTTTAAATATGGTGTTTAGCCCATTTACATTCAAGGTTAATATTGATATGTGAGGTGTTGATCCTATTGCGAAGTTATTAGCTGGTTGCTTTGTGGTTTCTATTGTGTGGTTGCTTTATAAAGTGTGTGTGCTACGTACTTAAGTAACAGGTATCATTCTTTTGTTTCCATTTTTAAAACTTCCTTAAGGATTTCTTGTAAGGCTGGTCTAGCAGTAACAGATTCCCTTAGCACTTGGTTAAATCGTTTAACTTATTCGAGAAATTATTTTGCCATAAAATCAAAATAGATGGAATTAACTATAGAAACCTAGTTTTAAAAGGCTTTTAAATTAAAATATTATGGTATTGCTTGGGTATGGTATATTGGCTTTGGTTTAGGGTGGACTTGGTAGCATAATATCCATGCAGTTTCCTCAGTTGTAGTCTTCATCAATAATGTCTGCAGTTGCCTCAGTGGTCCAAGCTGTGAGTGTTTGTGATGGAGTGGTGGTGGTGCACATTTGCTGTGGATTGGGGCACCTGTCATTTTCAGGCCAGGTACATGCAGGTGTGGTAGGCTGGCCAGCTGTTTGGTTGCTTCCATTAGAGATGACATTTAGATGTTGAGTATAATATCAAAAAAGATGAGGAAAACTGAGTACTCTTGTTCCAGAAGACTAGTTTCAGAGGGTCTCAAATGAGTGAGAATAAAGACAAACAGTCTTAACTTCTCAATTTCTCTACAAGCATTTTCCAATTAGTTGTGCATGATTCCATGTTTGCATAAATTAAAAATGGTAGTTACAGCCCAAACCGTGAATATCGTAAATGAGTAATAAATATTTACAAGCACCCATTTTGTGCAAAATCCTTAGCTAGGTGCTGTTGGGTGCACGAAGCAGCATAAAAAGAATATTTTGCTCTCAATAAGCTTATGCTGGAGTTGGAAAAACTAGATACAAACACATGGAAACAAAACTGGTGGTGTGAAAAATGTCAAGAGAGTGGCAAAAACTATGTTATGGGACTCAGCTTTTAACTGACCAGCATCCATTTATTCTCTAATGCACATTAGCACTAAAATTTGAGGCAATTCCCGTAAATTCTCTAAACTTCAGTGTTTTAATATATAAAATACTATTATTGGACTAGAATTTTGCTAAAGTCTATTCAGCTCATATGACAATGTATATGGATATGTATGCAACTATGAATACATATTTTTTCAAAGGTGAAGTGGAAATAAATATTAATATGCTCTCTAATTTTTGCTTTATTTTTCTTAGGTTTCCTCAATGGACTCTCTAGCAACATCAATCAACCAGTTTGCCCTGGAGTTGAGCAAAAAGCTAGCTGAATCTGCTCAGGGTAAAAATATCTTCTTTTCTTCCTGGAGCATCTCAACTTCCTTGACCATAGTGTATTTGGGCGCCAAAGGTACCACTGCAGCCCAAATGGCCCAGGTGAGTGGAAAAGGTCAACTATCTTCTGTTTCTTGTAAGCTAAGTGCTTTCATTGCCTTTTAACTTCAGTTTTCTCTTGACAACTCAATAATTTACATTTCACAATAACATTCTCTAAAACAAGACATACATTAAAACATTCTATACCATAAAACAAATCTTGGTAAAGAGAATCAATTTGCAAACTGTTGCTAGGAAAACCATTTGAGAACCTGTGTCCTTTAGCAAAATAAAATGGAGAAAGGATAAGGTTATCAATTTTTGTTCAACACCAAAACCAATTTTATTTTGATGATATTATTTCAAAAAGTAATTGGTCAAACTTTAAATAATAGAATTATTCAGCATCTTTATAATCACATAAGGATTTTCTTGAAGACACAAAAAAGAAAAATAAAAGAATTCTGTTTCTCATGCTTTGTTTGATTCTCTCTTTGTTTAGTCCCTGGTTATCTGAATGAATCTAAGGAGCCCATTAAGATCATTACAATAACAATATAATACTATTATATACAGAACTATTTTTGCAATAAGCATCCTCAAAACATTGTGCGTATGTAAATATATATATGTAGTCATAGATAGCAAAATAGCCATATGTGTGTGTAAAAATATATATGAATACATATATATATGCAACAATATGTATATATAAATGTGATTTTAAATAAAAAAAAAAAAAAACAGAAGGAGTAAACTCGGCCCTAAATCTTGCAAAACCAAAAGGCCAAATGACAGAATTTTCACCCAAGAAGGTGACTTCCTCAGAAAGTATGGATATGAACACGGTTGGTAATTCTGAGGGAAGTGGGCAGAACACATGCTATATTAGTCTGGACTTGGGATAACATCCTTACTCTTGTAGTTCACAAGATATCAGGTGGTTTAAAAACAACAACAGCAACAACAAAATCCTTGTTCACAACTTGTTAATGACAGGTTCATTAGCTCAAAAGTCTTAATCATTAATGTGATAGACAATCTTAAGTGGATTCCAATGTGAATCTATTTCATATAAATATATTGCTGGGTGTTGCTTGTCCTTGTTTCGGATGTTAACACTTTTAGTTGCAAATGGGCCTCATGAATTAACTGTGCACCCCTTTATGTATGGCAGGTGGCCCTTGTTCTGTTAACATGGGTCAATGCAACCGTTGAAGCAGTATACCGTATTTCTTATTGTCAGCCGGGTCCAGGACTTGGCAGATAAAAGTATTGCCTTCTGTTCTATTGTTGTACAATTCCAAGGAAAGAAGAGTATCTACATCTTTCCTGTTAACTTTCCAGTGAAATGCTGGGGTAAACACAAACATTGCGCCTAAATATGTCAAGTGGTGGTAGACAATAGGAACTGAGCATTTAACTAGAAAAAAAACAACTAAAATTCCTTAATTTTCCACATAATTATGGCTTTTACCTAAACTGTCTAAATGATGGTCTCAGTTGGACACCTAGCATTCTTCTTAAAACAACCATGAGTAAAAAGGAAATACGGAAAATAAGAGAATTTTACCTCAAGGTTTTCCTAACATCATTCTAGTTACAAAACATAGGAAAATAAAGAGACTAGCAACTTAAATTCGACTTTAGAAAATTTATTTAAGAGCAGTTCTTGACTTATTTTATTACACACATTAAGTCAAGTCAGAGCCCCTTTGTTTAACTAATTATATGTTCTGCAATTATAGGAATGACTGACTTGTATTTACAGATGATGTATGATTTATATAATTACTTCTCTGCAGTCTATTCATTTGTATTTTTATTGAAATTACAGGTGCTTCAATTTAACAGAGACCAGGGAGTCAAATGTGACCCTGAAAGTGAAAAAAAAAGGAAAATGGTATATCTTATCCTTTAATATATATTTCATAATTAAGGAAAAAGTACTTTTAGCACATGTATTTTAGTGATAACTGAAGCAACTTTTAGCAGGTAATTTTTCTTAGAAACATATATTAAAGTTACAGAAACTTTTTTTGGAATACAAAATATCTACACCTTTTGAAAGATCTCTTGTCCCCACGCCCTTTTAATCTCTCTAAAAATTTCTCTAGTTTCAAACTTTTCCTTGCCTGCTTTTGCAAACTAAATGTGAAGAAAATTATGGCCTCAATAACATTTCATTCTTTTGCACTAACACTAAAGAAAACATTTTTATCCACTTTAGGAACATTTTCAACTTTTGTTTGCAATTCCCCAAATAATTTTATTTAGCTTTAGTTTGCTAACATGTACGTAACTCTTGTTCAACATTTTATTTGACTAGTTCCTTCTCTTTTAAAGGAATTCAACTTGAGCAACTCGGAAGAAATACACTCTGATTTCCAAACACTTATCTCAGAAATCCTCAAGCCCAACGATGACTACTTACTTAAAACAGCCAATGCGATATATGGAGAGAAAACGTATGCATTTCACAATGTAAGTGCAAATGTCTTATTTTAAGCTAATGGAAAAGAAAGAGCAATGTGAGACCAATCAGTAAACTCTGTATATTTCTTTAGGGATCCAGGGACAATCTTCATGTGGTCAGTACTTCCCTGCAAACAATCAATTAGACCAACCAATGAGTGTCTAGTGGTAAAGGAAACCAATAACAGGTCTCAAATCAGATCTAGGAATCAGATATTTCTGTCTAGAATAAAGAGGTAGCCCCTGAGAATGGCCTACAAATACATATGGAGACTTGGCTGGAGACTGTCTACTTGAGAGCAAAACTGACCTTGGGATGAGAGAAGTGAGGAGTTTTCACATCAAGACTTTACAGACTTTGGGAACATGAAACATGAAATAATATCAACCTCTCCTCTTTACTAAGGGTTGAAACCCCACCAATGCAGACCATGATGACTCTGTCCTCTGTTAAGAGGGTCACATGACAACCCAGGTCAATAATTTCCTTCATTGTCCAACATCTCTTTGGGCAGGAGGACCCGTGTGTCCAGTGGGCAAAGAGCAAGGAAATTAGATAGGGTAGAAGAATAGCAATAAGATAAAATAAAGCTACCTTGTGATTTCAAGCAATGCTATCTCTGTTCAAATCTAGTGAATTCTGGGGAGTTCAGGAATTGAGCTTTGTTATTACTAAAGACATAAAATCATCCAAATGGAATCTTAAAGACAGTTTCCTTTCTTGTAGGCTCATGGACTCTCGTTTGATGCAGAAGTAGGAGACATGATTGACTCAGTGGGCACTTAGAAACAAGAGGGACACAGAGATAGAGACAAACATATTTTTATATGTCCACAAGCCCTGAATTAAGACAGGCAGTGGTCCCTCAAAAATATTTAAGTTTTCCTTTTATTAGATTTTAAATTCCACAGAATTTAGACTTCATAATCTTCAAGCCACTTCCTGGCAACAGAATTAACTCATCACTTTTTCTCCTACAAGCCCTGCATAAAGTAAGCAAATTGAAGGAATACTACAATGTCTTGAAGAATAAATTGTGTTCCCAAGGCAGATGCCTCCATAACAGCAAACTCAGTCATAGCCTACATGTGATGACTGCCACTGGGTGAACATCAGAGGACCAGGAGGAGGTGAAGGCCTCATTTTTTTTTTTTTTGCCTCAGAATGCCTAATATAACATTCAACTCTGCTTAGAAATCCATTTTCATGGCAGGATATCATTTTCTTCAAGGGTCCTCCACAAGATTCTTGTTGTTTAGAATCCACAGAAGGAAGCTACCAGTATCACAAGCCTCACTTTGGTTTCATACCTACCATAAAAAGTCAAGTACAATGCCCAGTACCTCTTGGCCACTGGGGTCACTCTTGTTATTTGTAGTCCCTTTCCATTCTAGCCTCATTTCAAGGCATGGATAAAAATAGAAAGGAAGAGGATGTGGAAGCCCCAAAAATGTGGGCATCCGTACTTCCTTCCACAGCTGGAGCTCTGCATAGCTAGCCAGTGCCCTGCTAAGTTTGAAGAGTGAGGTGTTTAGTTTTTGACCAAAACTGGGAGTCAGGAAAGAGAGGATGGAGTGATGGTGTGGGAGTGTGCAATTGCCCGCCTACCTAGTTCTTTTGATAATCTAAATAGATTTGATTTCTCAATTTTGAACAAACTCTACAAAAGGGGATTTTTATCTATGTCTTTCAGAAATATTTAGAAGACATGAAAACATATTTTGGTGCAGAACCTCAGCCTGTTAACTTTGTGGAAGCTTCTGATCAAATCAGAAAGGACATCAACTCTTGGGTTGAAAGACAGACCGAGGGTAAGCTTTCACCAAGGGGTTTGGCAGCGTGCTTTTCCCAAACATCCTTGTATTTATTTTAGTTTGTGTCATATGTAAGTATGTATACTCCTTAAATAGAAGTGTGGACACATTGTAAATATTCAGAACATTTATTTCTATTCATGTACGTAATTTTTAGATTCACTGCCTTCCTAATAAGTCTTATCTAAAACAAGTAAGTCAGGCCATCACTTTACCAAATAGACAAGAAAATTATCATCTCCCACTAATTCCAAAGAAGAGCCCAAGGGTAAAAAGCAGAAAAATGCAAAAAGGAAATTGAAAATACTGCCACATGCATGGTTTTTAAGGAAAAATATCTACTAATAACAGAAATGTGGCATTAAATGTGCTATAGAATCTTAAATACTTTTCAAAGTAAGTTCAAGTATCAGTTAGAGTATGGATTAAACTACTCTAAAGAAGAGACCCAAAATATAGTGGCTTAATAAGACACAAGTATGTCTTTCTCTCAAATAATAGTTCAAAGGTAGTTAGGCATCCTGGCTTAGAGAGAGCATTTTGCCTCCCAAGGCCATCCAGAGATCCAGGCTGGTGTTCAGCACTGCCATCCTCAATACATGGCTTCCATCTCTAGGTGCAAGATGGTTCTTACAATAGCCAGTTGTAGTAGCAGCAGGAAGTGGGGAAAAGAAATTTCAGCAAAAGCTAATTTGTCTTTAAGGGGATGCCCTGGAAGTTTCACATGTTAATTCCACTCATCTCCCACTGGTCTAAACTTAGTCCATAGCACACTTTCTGCTAGGGTGACCAGTGCATTCTGGTTTGCCTGTGACTTTCCTAGTTTTAGGATCAAAAAGCCCCTAATTCCAGGCAAGAGTGACCAACCACATTCCAGTCAATTCCAGTCACCATACTTGCTAGAAGAAAGACCTGCAAAATGGAGTTTTCAGCTGGGTTGCCATTTGTCACCTAAATTTCAGGGTTTTATTTCTAAAAGGAAGTAGTAGAAGGATTCTCCCAGGCAATTTAACAGTCTTTTATTGTTATCCTTATTTTAGAAATAAGGAAGCTGAGATTTTAGAGAAATTATCTATGATTACACAGTTTAAAGCTTCAGCAATAGGATTTCGAATATAAGTCAGCTTAGTTCCAAAGTCTGAACTGATTTCTACACACCATGCTGCCTTTTAAATCAACATTTCAATTGATATTATATTATATCTTATGAAGAAATACAAAGGCATCATCATTAATGAAGATTAATTAATCATTCATGACTTAATGAAGATTAATTCATCATTTGTCATTAATGAATATTAATGATGATGCCTTTGCTTTGTGTCTAAGCACATGGAATGTTTTGCTGTCTTCTCCTCTGAACTTCAGGGCTCATAACAAACACCTGCTAGACATATTTGCCAAGGGTCCCATGCATTTCAAATTCACCATACCTGAAATCACATTCAGAATGGTTTTCCCAGACCTTGTCTTCCTCATGTATTCTCCATCTTGGTGAATGGGTACACCAATCACACACTTGCCCAGAACAGTAATCTGAGACATACTCTAAATTCTACCCTTTCCTTTGCTTCCTCTTAAATGTTTCTCAGAGTTCACTTTTCCTTTCAATTCCTTTCCTCCACAGCCTTTCTTTCTTCGCTATCTTTTATCTGCACAAATGCAATAATTTGCCTCTAATCTTGTTCCCTTCAAATCTAACCTCCATTTACCACCCAAATTACCTGCCTAGAATACAAATTAGACCAGATAGGCCATGTCACTTCTCTACTCAAAACTGATTCATGCTGCCCCATGACCTATGGGATCAACACAAAGCCCTTAACCAGACATATAAGGGCCAATATGACTGTGGAGCCTTGCTTGTCTCTCCACTTAAACTCTTGTCACTCCCTGGATTAAAATTTATATTTCAGGGATTCTACATGTCATAGAATGTCCCGAACTCCCTGTGCTACTTAATGGCCCTGTACTCATGCCATTTCTTCTATCTGAAATACCGTTCCCTGCCCTGCCACCCCCAACCCCTCCTTTGCCCCCAAATAACTTCTCAGGGCTTCATTCAGGCTAAACATCCTCCTCTTTGCTCCCAGACATTTATGCAAACCTTTACTTTGACACTTACCACACTGTTATCAAAACTAACTG
Organism: Homo sapiens; assembly: GCF_000001405.40. Lineage (NCBI taxonomy): Eukaryota > Metazoa > Chordata > Mammalia > Primates > Hominidae > Homo > Homo sapiens. The sequence goes on from NC_000018.10 coordinate 63,922,057, forward strand.
CTTATACATCTATGTCCCCTGCTAGACTCAAGGACTCTATGTGCGATAACTCTGCCTTCAGCTTTAAATCACACATAACAGGCCTGCTCATAGCAGTTGTTCAGAACATTAATGTTTATTGGAATGAATTGATAACATTGGCAGCCCTAAGTGCTCAGTTCCTTTTACATTGAGCCCATGACTCAAAAGCCGTGGTGAAGCAAGAGTGACTATGATATTTAACTTCCATCCTGATTTGCATTCATCTGAAAATAAGTTTGTTTTGTTTAGAATTATAGATTAGCTAGCAGTTACTAGGTACTTGCACTTTTGTAGCTTGTGTGAGACCACATTTGATTGTACAGGCAAAAGTATGTTATGACCTAAACACAAATTCAACATAGCAGGAGTAGGAGTAAGAATGGTGCTGGAGTTGGGCAAAATGTTATGTTTTAGATTCCTAGCCTGGTGACTGTTATGTTGTTTGGAAATCAGGTAGGGATCCTACAGATTGGAAGGCTGGGGCAACTAATCTGCTAGCTTTGCATCCTAGCAAAGCCTTTTAGAGCCAAGAAGACAGCTGTTGTCTGGTGCCACATAAGCATGGCTCTTAGGGGTTGGTCCTTGCCTTGCTTCCCCAGCTTAGACTGATGCACTGAAGGTACATAACAAAATCCAGGTGTCTGAATTACAGAGCTGTCCAGAAGATCTTCCTATGATGATGGAGACGTGCCATAAATCTGCACTGTCCAGTGGAGTAGCTTCTATTCCCATGTGAACACAGGTGATTTGAAATGTGGCTAATGTGACTGAGGAACTGAATTTTCAACTTATTTCATTTCAATTAATTTAAATTTAAGTAGCCACATGAATCTAGTGGCCACCATATTAGACAGCATAAGTCTAGAAGTTTCATTTCTGAAGAAGAACTGAGCAAATAATCTTTTACTTTATGGAAGAAAGGGCAGACTGCAGATTATAGTACTATATGGCCACAGTATGGGACATCCACACTTTAAAAAATTCTCTGTTATCATACCACTGGTCAAATGAGAGGCACCAAAAAATAAGCTCATGGTGGACACAGTTCGAATCTTTTACTGAGCCTTGTTTGCCACATCCCATTATTTCATTCCTCCAGCTGACCCTCCTCACTCTATTCCTCAGAAGCAGAATTGTCTAGAGAGGGAGAAAGCTGTAATCCTTCTGTATTTTCTATTTTGGACACAAATATCTGCTATTTGGAAGCATTCAACATGAAATAAAATAAGGAATTAATTAGTTCTTTAGGAACTTAGACTTTGTCGAGGCAGAGTTCCATATGTCCTTAAGGGAAAGTTGCTAGGGTGTTTGGCATGACTAGGTTCTACCTGAACCATCTCAAAGATACTTCTTTCCTTGAGCTTTCAACAGGTCTTCTCCAAGGTCTTCATTTTTCCTTTAGATAGTAGCATCCAGCATCATTAATAAAAACAACAAACCTGCACCCTGAACCTTCCCCAGAAGATTTTAGAATACTTTTCTTTCTTTTTTGGTGTTCTGAGGTTTCAACATTATGTTCTAGGCAGGGGTCTTTTTATTTTTATTTATTTACTTTATAACTTTGCTGGCAATTATTTTAAATCTAAATATAAAGGCCTTTAGGTAAACAAAATTGTGTATATTATTTATTTCATGATTTTCTTCTTTTCATTCTGTCCCTTCTTGCCTTCAGTACTTCCAATAAACAAATTTGAAATTTCACAATCTATCCTATCTGCTTTGATTTTCCATTTATATTTACTTTTCATTGCTTTGCCCTTCTGTTATCCTTTTCCAGCTCATGATTTTGCTCCAGCCGTGTTCATTCAACTATTCAATCTATTCAAGAGTTTTATTTCCACAGTTATTTATGTTCTGCTTTGACAATTATTTCTTTTCTCTTCAAGACTTATGGTTATTGGTTATTTCTTTTTCATTAGTGAGATCAGTCAGCTTTATCTGAATATGTAAATTTTGCTTATTGTTAAGTCTTTTTGCTGTATTAATTCTGCTTCCTGTTAGTGCATGTTGATGTTGGTGCTTCTCTCTCATAGGGTGGATTTTCTTACCTGTTTAATCCTTTTGGTTTTCTGTGTGTCTTTTTGTTTGGCAACCCCAGTTTACCAGTCTTAGTTTATAATACAGATCACAATAACTTGTCTATGGTCACTGTTGGGCTGACATTGATGTGCTGTGTTTATAACTTGCCTTCTGGGCATGGGAAGCTTCCAGTTTTTCTTGGGAATTCCTAGTACCTTGGGAACACTGTTCTAACTCCACTGTGACATACGGTGTCCTCACTCATTACTCTAGACAGTAAGCTAATGTATTTGTAGCCCATTGCTGGTACCCAGGGAGGTATAGAAAGTCAATAAACACAATTTCTGTAAACCAGTGACTCTCAATCGTGGCAACATATTAAGTTGAATTTACTGATTACTAAGCCTAACTCCAGATGAACTAATTCAGATATCTTGGAGTGAGGTTCAAGCATCAGTATTTTTAAGTCTTTAGGAGATTCTAATTTGCAGTCAAAGTTAGGAGCCACTGCAATAAATGGAATTATTTCATTAATCTCATTGATGTTCCCTGCCCCCAACAAGCTCCATGAATGCATGGCCTTTGAGTTTCTAACTCCCTGAGCAACACCCCAACCTCCCAAGAAGTCATCTGTGATGCCTTTTGTGTGTGTATGCTGTGGTTTCCTCTATCAGTCTAATCCATCTGTATTTTCTCTTTCGGGATTCTTCAAATTTTCCAGTCCTTTAATGGCATCTTGGCTTGTAGCACTGTTTCAGATACATTCTTTTAAACAAACATATGGTCTAAAACATTAAGTAACCTTGTAAAACAGCATTTTTGACTATAAATTCAAAGGTTAAAAAAAGTAAGTATACTTCGACTATATATTTTAAGGCTGAAAAAAAGTACACAAATATTGTACCCTAGTTTTTAAATTTGTTTTTAATAGAAGAATGGATTTGCAATCCTGAAACTACTTTATGTTTGTTCTAGGATTAAGCAAATAAGGAAATATATTGGAAATCATGAGAGCCAGGAAAGAAATTACAAATAAGGCAAAGACAAAGGCTACAATGAACCCTGTGTTATTAGATTGGAAGTGAAAGTATCAATATGACCTTCTAGTCTTCAATATATATGCAGAAAGATAATTCAATAGATAAATGTAGAAATAGATACAGATGTGTGTATAATGCATACATTTCCTAGCCCCATTTGCTGAGAGGATCTGGAAGCAATGACATCCCAATAGTAATCAGCATATCTGACACCAAGATCTTGATTTCTAAACTCCTTCTTTCAAAAAAAGAAAGCAGAGCTCCTGGACAAAATGGTGGTAACAGAGCTGGGACAAGCGAAGTACAAGATAAGGACTTTTTGTGGTGACAGAATGTAAGGAAATGCTCAAAATACTTGGGAATATGTCAGAAGGACACAGGAGCCAACAGGGGAGGCTTCCAATGGCAAAATCTGGAGCAATTTGTGCAACAAAATAAATAATGATAGTAATGGATTATAACCCATAGAATAAAGCAAATACCCATGAGTCTATACTGATATAAACAAATAATTGAAGATCCAAATAAATGAAGAAGGGAAGGCTCTTTCTCACAGTAGAATTCTAGTTAATGAATACAGAAGAATGATGGAAATAGAAAACCACCATCTGCAATAGTAACCACAGTAGTAATTGTTTTAGATAGGAATTATAAATGGATACTAAAATTAGTGGACAAAAGCCTGATGGGAAACAGTATATTACACGCTCTCAAAGTATCTTCCCACATGATACCAAAAAATAAAAAAACCAGCCAGTCCTTTTACATTGGAAAAATCAGTGTTCAAATTAATAGCACCAGTAATAGGACATATGGGCATCATGCACTTCCTTACATGATTCATTGAGAAGAACACAGCATGACTTTGGTGGTTGTATTAGTTTCCTAGGGCTGTCATAACACATTAAGGTAAACAGAGTGGTTAAAAACAACAAAAATGTATTCTCTCACAGTTTTGGGGGCTAGGTGTCAAAATCAGGCTGTCAGCAAGGCTGTGCTCTCTCTGAAGGCTCTAGAGAAGAAACTTGCATGAGCTTCTCATAGCTTCTGGTGGTTGTTGACAATCCTTGGCACTCATTTGCTGGTTGATACATCACTCCAATCTTTGCCTGCATTGGTACATGGCTTCCTCTTGTTATCTGTATCTCTCTTTTGTCTCTGCATCTTCTCATGGCACTCTCCTCTCTGTGTGCCTATGTCCAAATTCCCCCCTCCTTACAGAGAGACTAGTCATTGGATTGGGTCTCATCTTAATCCAATATGACATCATCTTAACTTTATTTCATCTGCAGAGACTGTATTTCTAAATAAGGTCACATTCACAGGTACTACGGGTTAGAAGTGGGACACGTGTTTTTGGGGGACACAATTCAACCCACCACGGTGATACTCTCACAAAAATGCATAACTTGAATATTATCTTGATTAAACATCAGACAAACCTAAACTGGGAATTCAGGAGAATTCTACAAAACAAATGGGAAGTCTTTCTTAAAGGTGTCAAGGTCATGAAAGACAATGAATGAGTGAGAAACTGTTCCAGATTAAAGGTGAATAAGAAGAAATTACAACTAAATGCAATGCAAGGTCTTGTATTGATTTCTAACCCAGAAAAAAAGGACTTTATTAAAACAACTGATGAAATTTAAATATGACCTGTCAATAATATTCTATTAATGTTAACTTCCTGGTTTGGATCAGTGGTGTATATAAGATGTTATCATTTAACGATATTTTATAAGCATAATTATTATAAATGTGGTGTATCACTAGGATGTAATTATATCATTTTCTAATTGTTTATTGTTAGAAGATAAGAAGATAATTTTTAGCGTAATAGTGTAACAGCACCTAAAAGAACTTCTTATTAGTTTTCATTGTTTTTTAGTTGATTCTCCTTGCTTTCCTTATTATTTGCAAATAATAATTTTGTCTCTTCCTTTTATATAATATCTCATCTAATTTTTTTTGCTTTACTTAGTATTTTGAGAAAAATGTTAAATAACGGTAGTCATAGCAGGCCATAAATACCACTAATGTTTCTGGGTTAGCATTATTATGGGTTTGTTGAAGAAAAATATTATTTTTAATATTATAGAAGTATTCTTCATTTTAATTTACAAAGTCATCATTTTAAAATTAGAAATGAAGGTTGAAGATCAAAAGTATTTTTGCAGATGATGTTATGATTTTTTTCTCCTATCAGTCATCAAAGCAATTGTCTCAGTCCATTACAGCTGCTATAACAAAACATCTTAGACTGGGTAATTTATAAATAATAGAAACTTATTGCTCACAGTTCTGGAAGCTGGGAAGTCCGCAATCAAGGTGCCAGGAGATTCAGCGTGTGGCTAGGGCTTGCTCTATAATTCCAAAGTGACACCTTCTCATTGTCATCGCATAGTGGAGGGGGCAAACAGGCTCCCTCAATCCCTTTATAAGGACACTAATCCTATTCATGAGGGCAGAGCCCTCCTGATCTAATCCTTTCCCAAAGGCCCCACCTGTTAATTCTATCACACTGAACATTAGGTTCCAACATATGAATTTTGGAGGAACACAAATATTCAGGCCATATCAGCAACACGCTACATTAATAGATTTCCTAATATATGTTTCTTGCATTCCTAATGTATATTAATTAGATTTATTTACTAAAATGTAATTTAGGGTTTATTTGTTTATATTCACAAGAGAAATGGGTTTACGGATGGGAATTTTGTGCTTTCTTGTCATTTTTATACTAGGTATATGCCAGCTTGATAAAAGTAATCAGAGAATTTTCTATTTTGTGCTTTGAAACTGTGTGAATAGTGTAGAGATTTATCATTTACTTGAAGGTTGAAAAGAATTTACCTGTCTACATGTCTGGGGTTGATGCTGTTTCCACGGGAGGTAATCACTTGAGAGTTGTACAATTTCAATCATGTTTAATTTTTTTTTTCAGATTTTCTACTATTTCTTGAGATTCTATTAATATTTTCCTGGAAAATTATTTTTTAAATTAAGTGCCACAAGCTGTCTCTTATAATTTTAACAGCTTTCCCATGTCTGTATTTTGGCAGTTTAAAAGATCAGCCCTTTATTCTGAGTAGTGTCTGTTGCAGAGTGAAGCTGGGTTGGCCAAGAGGTTCTTCTCAATCCAGTTTTATCTACCTCAGTTATCAAACATGTGCCTCTAGAGCAAACCTATAATACCTGATTCGAGAGATATATATTTGACGTATTTTTATAAATCGTTCAAGGTGCTTTATTAGAGAGTTTGGAGAGAATGTATTCGGGGTTGATAGCCAAATATCAGTTTAAGTTGTAACTATAACAATCTGATAGAAGCAATTGCACACAGCAATATTTTGGGCAACAGGAAAACATTGGCACAGCCTTTCAGATGTTAATCAGAGCAGCTCACGGTTTGTGGCTACAAACAGAAGTGAAAAAGAAGGAAGTATTTCAGTCCCCTCGAAATAGGGGTACATTGAATCTGTAAATGACCTTGGGCAGTATGGCCGTTTTCACGATATTGATTCTTCCTACCCATGAACATGGAATGTTCTTCCATTTGTTTGTATCCTCTTTTATTTCCTTGAGCAGTGGTTTGTAGTTCTCCTTGAAGAGGTCCTTGACATCCCTTGTAAGTTGGATTCCTAGGTATTTTATTCTCTTTGAAGCAATTGTGAATGGGAGTTCACTCATGATTTGGCTCTCTGTCTGTTGTTGGTGTATAAGAATGCTTGTGATTTTTGTACATTGATTTTGTATCCTGAGACTTTGCTGAAGTTGCTTATCAGCTTAAGGAGATTTCAATTTCGGTGGCCTATGTGAACTTTCCATGTTCACATGTAAATCAATTTGGTGAGAAACCCAGCTAAACCTGCTTTTGTGACAATACTTGGCTCTTTTTAGTATGATTATGGATGAACATATGAACCATAGTATCTCTTGGATACCAAATACCAGAGAGTCCTACAGAAAGTCTTTCCAACAGCTACAAATACGAAATGCCAAAACTCAAACCCTATCTAATTACAGCTTTCCACCTTCTCTTAATCTCCATATATGTATATATTTTTTCCATCATTTTAGCCAGTAAATTTTGAAGGAAAATAAAGGTTCATATGAATTAATTTTCAAGAGTATTTATTTTATTTTTTTGTTAGAAATTTAAAATTTTTGGCAGGAGTTTAAATGCCACCATTTCCCCCTCTGAATTTCAAAAAGGAAAGAAAAATCCCTTCTTCCTCCAGGGCAGTTAAGTCCTGTTATTGAGCAATTTTACAGATCTTGATTTATACTCTAAGAGTAGAGGAGGGGAAATGATGAATAGAGTATATTAACAATGACATAAAGGTACAGAGAAAAAGAAGGACATTTTAGCACAAGTGTCTTGCCCAGAGGTAGTGCTAAGAGAAATGTTCTTTAGATTTCTACCACAAACTTGGAAACCTTGAAGTAGAGAAGTAACTTCCTTTTTTACCACTATGTTTCACAAGTTGTCCAACCTAAATCAGTAGGTGCAAAGAGTTGTTAGTCAAGTAGTTGTAATTTTCTGGAAATAAAAAATCTTTAGCTAAAGTGCAAAAAAAAAAAAAAAAAAAAAGAAAAAAAAAAAGAAATAGGGTTACAAATCAACTTATATTACAGGGAAGTTTTTATAATTAAAATGCAAATTTGTACTTTATGTGGAATAATGCTTACTGACAGTCCAGCATATTATTTCTTCAGGGTTTCTCTATTTATTCACAGCAGCTATTCTGGACAGGAATAGTACTTGTCCATTTCCAGAAAATCAAAAACCAGGACTTTTAAAGAAAACTTTTATAGTTCCAGAAAAAATAGAAGCCTGGTTGTCTTTAGTTAAAATATACATATTTCTACAAGTCATTTGCAACCTGCCTTTTGTTCTTACAGGTAAAATCCAGAATCTCCTGCCTGATGACTCTGTGGATTCCACAACCAGGATGATTCTGGTGAACGCCCTATACTTTAAAGGAATCTGGGAACATCAATTCTTAGTGCAAAACACCACAGAAAAGCCTTTTAGAATAAACGAGGTAGGAAATTTTTAAAGATCAGTTTGGATTTTCACATGGCATTGTACAAGTGATTCTCTTATAAATTCACTCTTCTTTTAGATTGTATGTTCTAGTGAACTATGGCTCTTACCAGGGAAGTGATGGCTGGGCTAAAAGCCTTCAGTTCCATGGGGAATTCATTGAAATTCCCCTGTCCTTGTTTTTCTCTGAATATACAATCACTCAGTCCTTGCCACCCATGTGAGCTGGGTAGGGTAGTTTTCATATTTATTTCCTAGGTGAGAAATATAGTGTGGCCAAGTGACTGGAGGCATGCCTGAGTTAGAAGCAGTCCAGAACAAGAACCTAAGAGTCCTCACTGCAAGTTCTGTACCTGCCCTGCTAAACCAGTACTAACTTCTACCAAATTCTTACCCTTACATAAGTAAAAGCAATAAAAACGGAGACTAAAGTAAGGTTATAGATTTGACTCTCGTGAATGGGCTGGAGTGTGGCTGGGCCTTGGGACCTGATTGGAAACAAGGACTTAAATGTTGTCAGGATTTTTTCCTCTATTTTTTCAACTCTGTTTCTACCATCATTCTTCTCTCAGGTTGTGGTCTAACTTTCTCTGCTTCCCAGTTCACAATGACAGAACATAGCTACTCACAGGACCTTCGCCATTCTAGAGACCAGTTGGAAAATCCCATTCCAAATTCCTAGGAAAGGAACTAGTTGACCAAGGTTTGTTACAGTTGTTTAGTCTAGGGATAGGCCACAAACAGTGCTGCTGTGGAACTATGGCTGTAATGAATGTGTGCAATAGGTATTTCTCAATCAGTGGGGTGAGGATGGGGAAGAAACTGAACACATAATCGAGTAGGTTAACGAGAAGTGAGCTGGATAGTTACCTGGGTTTATATATTCACTGGAAATTTTCAGTTGCAAGTGATAGAAAAGTATTCCAAACTAGCTCTGGCAAAATGGGAATTGTATTGGAATTAGCTGAGGTGACAAAAAACTGGGAAGTCCAGGAGTGAGTGATTGGGGTATTTAGAGTCTCAACACATAATCCCAGTTCATTCTCATGCTGTCTCTTTCTCTTTTTCTCTCTAGTTGCTACTCTCATTCTCTAATAATGATCAGGGAATATGGTTGCCTCATATTCAGTCTTCAAGCTTCACAACTCTAGTAGACAGAGAAAGTGTTTGCCATTAGTTCTAGGAGGGCTCTGGTTGGGGCCATTCATGGGCTCTCTCTGGAAACAACCACAGTATGCTAGAGTACTCGCAGTAAACAGCCCTTGTCGTATGGCCACCACCTTAGCATACGGTGGGGCTTTGTGATGGACAGTTCGACATAGAATGGAAAAGTAACATATGTCTACAACATCTAAGTTGCAGGGGTGTTTGTTTTGCTTTCATTTGGCAATTGGTCTTATTTTAAAATAAGCTTGATTTTTAGAGCATTTTTAGGTTTACAGAAAAAATTGTGCACGAAGTATAGGGCTCTCATATGTCCCCCCTTCAACACACACACAGTTTCCCTTATTATTAACATCTTACATTAGTGTGGCATATTTGTTATAATTGATGATCTAATATTGATACATCATTATTAACTAAAATCTATAGTTTACATTTGGGTCCACTCTTGATGTCGTACTGTTCTATGGATTTTGAAAATGTTCAATATCACGTAGCCACCATTACAATGGCATTCCGAATAGTTTCACTGCCCTAAAAGTGCCCTGTGCTTCACCTGTTCATCCATTCCCCCTAAATTCCTGACAGCCACTGATCTTTTTTTGTTTGTACAGTTTTGGCTTTTCTGGAATGTCACATAGTTGTAATCATACAGCACGTAGCCTTTTGAGGCTGGCTCCATTCACTATGAATTTAATGTTCCTCCATGTCTTTTCAGGGCTTCATAGATCTTTTTGTTTTATTGCTGAATAATATTTTAGGGTACAATTGTACCACAGTTTGTTATCCATTCACCTATTGAAGCACATCTTAGTTCCTTCCAATTTTTTGGCAATAATAAATAAATTTTCTATAAATACTACACTGTGTGCAAGTTTTTCTGTGGACACTGTTTTTAACACATTTGAGTAAATACCTAGGAACAAAATTGCTGCATCGTATGGTAAGACTAGGTTAACTTAGTAAGAAACTGCCCAACTGTTTTCCAAAGTGGCTGTGCCACTGTGCGTTCCCACCAGCAGTAAATGACAGTGCCTGTTGCTTCATATCGTCATCAGCATTTGGTGTTTCATATTTTAGCCATTCTAGTAGCCGTGTGTAATTTGCAATCTCCTAGTGACATATGATTGAGCATTTTTCATGTGCTGTATGTCTTCTTTGTGAGGTGTTTCTTAGATCTTTTGCCCATTTAAAAAAACTGGCTTGTTTGTTTTATTATTGTTGAGTTTTTTATTATTTGTTGAGTTTTTATTATTGTCTCATATGTTTTGCAAATATTTTCTGCTCATCTATTGCTTGTCTTTGCATTCTCTTAGTGAATGTCAATTTTTATAATACTAAAATACTTTCTCAAATATTTTCATGTAAAATATGCCTTAGTTTTTGGATTATTGGCATTTCCATAATTTACACAAGATCATATATTAAGAGTTTGATTTAATACATGTTGCTGTGATTTATAGAGGTTACCACAGTTGTGTTAGAAACAGAAACTCACATATCTGCTATTGCTGATACTTTTCAGTGGAACAGATATTTCCATAAAGGAAGGTCTGGATAACTTTATTCAGCATTTAGCAGAGAATCAGCAGTTTCACCAACTGAGAGCCAATGATGGTAGAGAATTAAGGAGTTGGTGGAATACTTCTTCAATGACCTTGTTACCTGTTTTTTTGTTTTTTTGTTTTTTTTAGACTACAAGCAAACCAGTGCAAATGATGTTTATGAAGAAAAAGCTTCACATTTTTCACATAGAAAAGCCAAAAGCAGTGGGCCTTCAACTCTACTACAAAAGCCGTGACCTCAGCCTGCTTATACTACTGCCAGAAGACATTAATGGGCTGGAACAGGTAAATAACATCAGTGTGTCTGATGTGAGGGTGTTTCCAGTGTTTACTAAGAAAAGAACTGCTTGGCCAAGGTTTCTCCCAATTGTCCTCAGGAAGAATGTTCTCCCTATTATTTAATTCCTATAGAGAAAGGTCACCAATGTACCTTGAGTTCTAGGCACTTCACCTTCACAATATTATTTAAACTTTACAACACTCTATAAAATTAATATTACTGTTCCTCAGAAAGGTTAGGCAATGTATAGACAGCTCCAGCCTGGGGTCATCACACACATAGCCACATGTACAACAGATACAAATATACCTTGTCAGTCACAGAACTGTGTGGATTGATCATAACCATCTTTCAATCAGTCTAGGTTTCCCTCTGGTAGGACCTATGTAATTTGAAATTAATATTTTAACCATTTGCATTAGTATACACACACGTACGCAGACATCAAGCTGTCTTCCAAAACTTATTTGTTGAACATTTTTATCAAGTAAGCAACCTTCAGGAGAAAAAGTCTCTATCAATACTGTCTTCAAGAATTATTTAAGCTGTTTACCAGCTAAATTTCTATTAATCTGGACACAACTTTTGTCAAACCATGCTTCTGAGCAATTTGCATGCCTAAACTGAACATGAGTCTCATGCAACGGATGGCCTGTCTTTCTTTGCACAGTGTCTAATTTTTCACATGTGTCAGACTCTTAATACTTATAAGTTTCCACGATCCTACTAGTATGTAGAAAATATTTCCAAATTATGTCATAAAATTTGTGAAACTGGAGAGGATAGTGAAAATAAAACCAGTGTGGACAAATAACCATCAGAGTCAAGCCCTTGTAAGATAAAAACCTAGAAGTGCAATTTCCTGAGCTGAAGATACTGTCATGTTATTAATGTAAGTGGTTTACAGGTATGCCATTGACAGCCAAAACTTCCGTCTAGAAGATGCATGTGCATTGAAACAAACATGTCATTTAAAAAATCAAACATACACATATATACATGTGTATTTTTGTGTATACATATATACATACATATATAGTATGTACACACATATTTATCATTTTAAAAATTTAAAATATAAAGAAGAGGGAAAGCATCCTTAAACTCACTGTAAAATAATTACTTTTGAGATTTGGAGGATTTTCTTATCTTTTCTTTCTTTTTTGACTTAGTCTATAATTATTAATCTCACGTTGTTTTGATTAGAGTATAGACGTGTTATTTTATTCCAAATTTTGTTTTCAAAGAGCTGTCTCCCATGTCGATAAACAAGATTTTTTGTGCCTTGGCTTACAACTTGAACTAGAGTATATGCTTTTGTATAGCTAACATCTAAATGTATATTTATATTTATGTATTTGAGTGTATAGCTGATGTCTTGCATACTATAGCAGAAGTACTTCCATTTTGAATTAAACTCTAATTCTCCTATATCCGGATAGCAATTAATCTGCAGAAAAAAGATTTTGAAGGTCAACATTATACAACCAAAGGATTTCCAGATGTGTGTGTGTTGTCACCCTGAGTAACGGGAGTGATCATAATTCACCTATGTAATTCCTAGGGTGCTCTCTCTACTACTGTTTTTCATTCCACTTTGGAATTACTGATTCTTTCTTTCTTGGTTCCAAATGGGCAGCTGGAAAAGGCCATCACCTATGAGAAGCTGAATGAGTGGACCAGTGCAGACATGATGGAGTTGTATGAAGTGCAGCTACACCTTCCCAAGTTCAAGCTGGAAGACAGTTATGATCTCAAGTCAACCCTGAGCAGTATGGGGATGAGTGATGCCTTCAGCCAAAGCAAAGCTGATTTCTCAGGAATGTCTTCAGCAAGAAACCTATTTTTGTCCAATGTTTTCCATAAGGCTTTTGTGGAAATAAATGAACAAGGTACTGAAGCTGCAGCTGGCAGTGGGAGTGAGATAGATATACGAATTAGAGTCCCATCCATTGAATTCAATGCAAATCACCCATTCCTCTTCTTCATCAGGCACAATAAAACCAACACCATTCTTTTTTATGGAAGATTATGCTCCCCCTAAATCCTGCATATCTCTCAACAAACAAGACCATCTTACAGTGTGAAAAATGTACCATGAGATGGAAAAGCACAATTTTCACAAAAATGAGTTTGTAGTCTAAACCTTTTTCACATTTGAATATAAGTAAATAGATCTTGAAATAATGCATTCTAATGATCCTGTCATATCTGTACAGCTGGAGAGAATGACGATTTTTATTTTTAACACGTTAACATTTTGTCTAATGTGACTTTCATTTACATTTCAGAAGTACTATGCTATTCAACTGAATGCCTTACAATTCTTGATCACTTGCAATATCCATGATACTTGTTATCATATATTTCATATACATCATTAAATGAAAAAAAATCTTTATAAAGGTGATATGATATTGATAAATACGAAGTTTCTCAAGAATATCGTTTTGATCAAAAATTTAGCCCGGCATGGTGGTGCACACCTGTGTTCCCAGCTACTCAGGAGGCTGAGGTAGGAGGATTGCTTGAGCCCAGGAGGTTGAGACTGCAGTGAGCCAAGATCACACCAGTGCACTCCAACCTGGGCAACAGAGCAAGACCCTGTCTCAAAAAAATCATTTTGGTGGCTCATAAATTATGATTGTAAAACTAAACCCCCTTTTTCTGCTATTTAAAAAATACTTATATTGACATTAGCTTAAAAAACTAGTGAAATCCAAATGAAATTTGAAGTTTAGCTAGTAGCAATCTCTCAATGTTGGTGCCCTAGTTTTGACAAATGTACCGTGGTCATGTAAGATGTTATCACTTGGGGAAACTGTACTGGAGTATATGAGAATTAGCTGTATTATCTCTGCACCTCTTCTGCCAATCTAAAATTATTCCAAAATAAAAGTTTTATTAAAAATAGTCATTATGGATGGCTGAAATACTCAATACCAACATCCCCCAGTAGCCTTAGCCCCGGCGAGCGCAATGCAGCGCGCGTTCCTCCTCCTGGGCGCCCATCCTCGGCTGCTGCCTCTTCCTTTCGGGCCCCGGGACCTGACCTTCCTTCCGGGTCCGCACAGAAGGCCTGAGCGCGTCGCCTCTAACACTGGTCCAGGGCGGGGGAACGCGGTGTGCCTCGGCTGCCACCTCCTGGTGACTAATTCTAGTGGACGTGGAGAGCGAACCACAGCCTCAACAACACCTAATTCTAATTACAGCTGGTGATCGGTGAGGTGACGGAAATAAACGGGGCGCTATGGCGGGAACTAATAGATGGTCTCCTTAGGGTGTATGAGGTGTCCCTTGACCCTTCTCTCCCCGAAGTGGACATCAAGGTGATCCTCCCCCCATGACCTCCTACCCGTGGCATCCTGCGACCCCCACCCCCGCTGCCAGCCCAGTCCTCCCAGGAGCCCTCGAGGGGAGCACGGGGTTGGCTGAGGGGATGGGGGAGCTTCCGCGGACACAGTCCAGCCCCGCAGAATGCAAGCGGCGCAGAATCCTTGAAAGAGCTTCCGAGTGAAACCCACGCCCGCCCGTGGGGCGGAGCCCTAGCAGGGGCGGGCGAGTTCCCGCAAGGCCAGCGCGGAAGGGAAGAACACGGTGTGGGGAGGCAGGGGCTCAGGAGGGCGCCATCAGCTGGTGCTCAGAGCCCGGAGGAAGGAACTCCCCCCGGAGTTGGGGGGGGTGGCCCTAGGGATGCCTCACCGGCCCCATCTCTCCACGGAGCTACGGGTAGCATCGCCCATCGCTCCTACACCCCACGCGCCCTGGCCCAGAACCGGCGCTAGGCTCGGGCAGGGATCACCTCGAGGCCGGGGCTACCCCAATTTTAGGGCCTGAAGTTACCTGTTGCTTTCAGGGACTCCGAGCCCTGTATTTCTCCGTCTGACTCAGCTCCTAGACCACACGGGAGCCTCTGCTCTTTTCCCGACATCTCCGGATTTCAGCATCTGGCTCAGCTTCCTGGTCATCGGTACCTGCACCATCATCTGTCCACACATCTGCAGCTTTCAGTTCCTCCTAGATGCCCGGCTAACCCCCAACCCACAAGATTCTACACCCGCTCGAATCTAGGCACTTTTACTGCCACTTAACTATGGCCACGCACTCTGTGATCCCATATGAACCTGGTCATCTCCCCAAACTGCTCAACTTCCTCCTCAAAAGTCCTCCTCCTTTTATTTGTTGTTTTCAGTAACTCTCTTATCTAGTTCTTTCTGTGCCTCTCTTGCCTCTCCAAGTGTCTTTTTCCGGCTCTTTTTTCCTCTATTGACCGCTTATATTTTGGCGTTCTTAGGGCTCTGGTGCTCTTCACACACCCTCTGGAAAATCACTCCATTCCCGTGACTTCAACTATATCGATTTGTTGAGGACCACTAAGTTTTTCTTTTTTTGTAGAGAAAGGGTCTCATTATGTTGCCCAGGCTGGTCTCGAACTCCTGAGCTCAAGTGACCTTCCCACCTTTGCCTCCCAAACTTCCCCTGAACTTTCCATATAACCTTAGCATGTCAAAAACGAAATTCATTTTCTCTTCCAAATTCATTCAGTTTCCTCTTTCCCCAATCTTGCTTATTGTCACTGCCATTCACTGGCTTGTCCAAGTCAGTAAGTCTGCAAATCATGCCAGCTTTCTCCTTCCTCACCCTCCTACCCAACAATCCCCAGGTCCTGTCCATCCTCCTTTTTAAACAGCTCTTCCATACATTTTTTAGTTTAGGTTTTTCATTAAATCAAAGACATTTCCCTAATTTCCTAGTATTTTACCTGCTGTTTCTGATTGTCACTATTCAGAAGGCAAAAGACATGGTAAATGCCATCTGTCCTTACCATACTATCCTTGTTCCAGCTTCCCTCTATCTGTAGACAGCATGCTCTCTCTAGTTCCTCATGGCTAGGTTTCTTGAAAGAGTAGTCGAAGAGGGCTGTCTTCACTTTTCCCTTTTATATCTCAATCCAATTCAATTTGATTTTTATCCCAACCACTCTCACTAAGGTAAGTAGTGACTAGAATACTGAGAAGTGGGCTCTCTTCAATCTTAATGTTCCTTTTCCTCTAGTAGCAGCTGCTGATACTATTCACCTCCTTCTTTTTCTTTGTCCAGCTTTTTCTGTATCTTCTCCTTTTTTACATCCTTTTTGCTATGTCCTCTTTCTGAAGCCATATCTTAAATGTTGGCATTGCTGGGCATGGTGGCTCATTTCTGTAATCACAGCGCTTTGGGAGGCAAAGGTGAGAGGGTCACTTGAGCTCAGGAGTTCGAGATCAGCCTGGGCAACATAGTGAGACCCTGTTTCTACAAAAGAGAAAAAAAAATTAGCCGGGCATGGTGGTGCATGTCTGTGATCCCAGCTACTTGGGAGGCTGAGGGAGGATCACTTAGGCCTAGGAGGCCAAAGCTGCAGTGAGCCATGATTGTGCCACTGCACTCCAGCCTGGAAGACAGAGTAAAGACCTTATCTCTAAATAAATAAATATTGGCATCATCATCTAGGCTTCTTTCATCAGACCAATGTCTTATTTATATGCAAGCTGCCTGGGCCAATTTGTGTCTCCTGAAACTTCACTTGGTGCCTCTACACCATACCTTAGTCTTTACTTCTGTCTCCAGGCATTTTTACTTGCTACTCCTTTCCCCCATGTTCTCTCTCTCTGTTAATAAGGTCATCATTTATCCAATTATGTATGTTAAAAAACTAAGTCATATAGTAATCTGCTCTTTTCCTTGCCCTCTCCCCCAAAATCAACTTGGTCATTAGCTCCTGTGATTTCTGCCTTCTAATGAGTTCTTGGCATCAGCATTGCTACTGTCTGGGCTTAGGCCCAAAATACTTGTGTTCTGGTCTCCTCCTGCATCCTAAGTATTGACATTAAAGTAAATCAGACAGAGAGAGAGAGAGAGAGAGAGAGAGAGAAATCAATAAATCATGCTATCATGCCACTTCTCTGGTTTTAATTCTATAATGGTTTTCCATTGCTCAAAGAATAAGCCCCAAATTTCTTAGAATGGCAGACAGAATCTTTCCCAGTTTAGGCTTGACCTACTGACTGGGTTTAACCTCATTCAATGTCACCATGTGCCACTCCCCAGTATACACCTTCTATTCCACCCTCAAAATATACCCATTCTTCACCTGCTACAAACCTTTTCACAACCACATTTTAGAAATATGTCCCCTCTGCCTAACATATTCTTTCTCCACTCTCCATCTGTAAAGTCACTCATCCTATAAGACTCAGCTCAACTGATGCTACTGTGGATTCATCCCGAGTCCCCAGAGCTACTGTTTCCATCATTCTCTTCTCATACTGCTGTGTACCTGCTCCATTAAAGCCGCTGTCCACTCTATTGTAAATACAACCTGTCTTTCCCATTCATCTGAGATACAGAGAAAAAGAAGGTACATATTTTATTTAGTTTTGTTTCTTAACTTCCTTATGGCCTGTTGCAGTGCTCAGTACAATAAAAGTCTAATAAATGAAGTTATGGACAACTAGTAAATGGTTTGTTTATATTGTTTCCCAAATCTGTTATTTAGTGAAGAAGGGATTTCAAGGGATGAAAAGATTTGATGTGGGAAGGATTTAGAAAATATCTAAGCATCTAAATGTAAAAGATGGTCTGTGGTTTAAAAAATACAATCACTTTTTCTCTTTTTAAAACAGTACAATAGAAATCTAGAGTGGAGCAGGAGAGCATGGCCTCATTGCATCGCTGAGTCCTTTTCCCTCAAAAATGAATTATTTTGATTCTTAACTGTGGGAACAAGAGAGGTAAATTTATTCAGAATTTTTCCATGAAATTCCAGTAAGGGGGAGAAAAAAGCAATTTGCATTTATATTGATGGACTGTGAATTTTCTTCAATTCCAGATCTATTATTTCAGTTCAGGGAATGGAAGCCACTAGAGATAAGGAATCTTCTTCACCACTTGGTTGTTACCAGTCTGTAAGCTGAGGCGCGGGTTGCTGAGTGCCGGAAAAATATGTTCCAGCCTCAGTGCTTGACCCTCCACTAAGATATTTGAAGATATGGCCGGGCGTGGTGGCTCACGCCTGTAATCCTAGCACTTTGGGAGGCGGAGGCCGGTGGATCATAAGGTCAAGAGACTGGGACTATCCTGGCCAACATGGTGAAATCCTGTCTCTACTAAAAATACAAAACTTAGGAGAGATCAGGTTCCAAGATGGTCCAATAGGAACAGCTCCAGTCTACAGCTCCTAGTGTGAGCAACGCAGAAGATGGGTGATTTCTGCATTTTCAACTGAGGTTCCGGGTTTATCTCACTGAGGCTTGTTGGACAGTGGGTGCAGGACAGTTGGTGCAGCCCACTGAGTGTAAGCTGAAGCAGGGTGGGGCATCACCTCACCCGGGAAGCGCAATTGGTCAGGGAATTCCCTTTCCTAGCGAAGGGAAGCCGTGACAGACGGCACCTGGAAAATCGGGTCACTCCCATCCTAATACTGCACTTTTCCAATGGTCTTAGCAAATGGCACACTAGGAGATTATATCCCGCGACTGGCTGGGAGGGTCCCACGCCCACGGAGGCTCGCTCGCTGCTAGCACAGCAGTCTGAAATCGAACTGCAAGGTGGTAGCGAGGCTGGGGGAGGGGTGCCCGCCATTGCTGAGGCTTGAGTAGGTAAACAAAGCCACCAGGAGGCTCAAACTGGGAAGAGCCCACCACAGCTCAAGGAGCCCTGACTGTCTCTGTAGACTCCACCTCTAGGGGCAGGGCATAGATGACCAAAGGCAGCAGAAACTTCTGCAGACTTAAACATCCCTGTCTGACAGCTTTGAAGAGAGTAGTGGTTCTCCCAACACGGAGTTTGAGATCTGAGAACGGACAGACTGCCTCCTCAAGTGGATTCCTGACCCCCAAATAGCCTAACTGGGAGGCACCTCCCAGTAGAGGCCAACTGACACCTCATACGGCCTGGTGCCCGTCTGAGATAAAGCTTTCAGAGGCAAGATCAGGCAGCAGCATTTGCCATTCTGCAATATTTGCTGTTTGGCAGCCTCTGCTGGTGGTACCCAGGCAAACAGGGTCTGGAGTGGACCTCCAGCAAACTCCAACAGACCTGCAGCTGAGGGTCTTCACTGTTAGAAGGAAAACTAACAAAGAGAAAGGACATCTATACCAAAACCCCACCTGCACGTCACCATCATCAAAGACCAAAGGTAGCTAAAACCACAAAGATAGGGAGAAACCAGAGCAGAAAAGCTGAAAATTCTAAAAATTAGAGTGCCTCTCCTCCTCCAAAGGAATGCAGCTCCTCGCCAGCAAGGGAACAAAGCTGGACGGAGAATGACTTTGATAAGTTGAGAGAAGAAGGCTTCAGATGATCGGTAATAACAAACTTCTCCGAGCTAAAGGAGGATGTTCAAACCCATCGCAAAGAAGCTAAAAACCTTGAAAAAAGATTAGACGAATGGCTAACTAGAATAAACAGCGTAGAGAAAACCTTAAATGACCTAATGGAGCTGAAAATCATGGCACGAGAACTACATGACACATGCACATGAGACATGCTGATTTGATCAACTGGAAGAAAGGGTATAAGTGATTGAAGATCGAATGAATGAAATGAAGCGAAAAGAGAAGTTTAGAGAAAAAAACAGTAAGAAAAAACAAACAAAGCCTCCAAGAAATATAGGACTATGTGAAAAGACCAAATCTACATCTGATTGGTGTACCTGAAAGTGACAGGGAAAATGGAACCAAGTTGGAAAACACTCTGCAGGATATTATCCAGGAGAACTTCCCCAACCTAGTAAGGCAGGCCAACAATCAAATTCAGGAAATACAGAGAATGCCACAAATATACTCCTCGAGAAGAGCAACTCCAAGACACATAATTGTCAGATTCACCAAAGTAGAAATGAAGGAAAACATGTTAAGGGCAGCCAGAGAGAAAGGTTGGGTTACCCACAAAGGGAAGCCCATCAGACTAACAGTGGATCTCTTGGCAGAAACTCTACAAGCCAGAAGAGAGTAGGGGCCAATAGTCAACATTCTTAAAGAAAATAATTTTCAACCCAGAATTTCATATCCAGCCAAACTAAGCTTCATAAGTGCAGGAGAAATAAAATCCTTTACAGACAAGCAAATGCTGAGCGATTTTGTCACCACCAGGCCTGCCTTACAAGAGCTCCTGAAGGAAGCACTAAACATGGAAAGGAACAACCAGTACCAGCCACTGCAAAAACATGCCAAATTGTAAAGACCATCGATGCTAGGAAGGAACTGCATCAACTAACGAGCAAAATAACCAGCTAATATTATAATGACAGGATCAAATTAACACATAACAGTATTAACCTTAAATGTAAATGGGCTAAATGCTCCAATTAAAAGACACAGACTAGCAAATTGTATAAAGAGTGAAGACCCATCAGTGTGCTATATTCAGAAGAGCCATCTCATGTGCAGAGACACACATAGGCTCAAAATAAAGGGATGGAGGAAGATCTACCAAGCAAATGCAAAACAACAAAAAAAGAAGGGGTTGCAATCCTAGTCTCTGATAAAAGAGACTTTATACCAACAAAGATCAGAAGAGACAAAGAAGGCCATTACATAATGGTAAAGGGATCAATTCAACAAGAGGAGCTACCTATCCTAAATATATATGCACCCAATACAGGAGCAACCAGATTCATAAAGCAAGTCCTTAGAGACCTACAAAGAGACTTAGACTCCCACACAATAATAATGAGAGATTTAACACCCCACTGTCAATATTAGACAGATCAACGAGACAGAAAGTTAACAAGGATATCCAGGAATTGAACTCAGCTCTGCACCAAGCAGACCTAATACACATCTACAGAACTCTCCACCCCAAATCAACAGAATATACATTCTTCTCAGCACCACATCACAATTATTCCAAAATTGACCACATAGTTGGAAATAAAGCACTCCTCAGCAAATGTAAAAGAACGGAAATTATAACAAACTGTCTCTCAGACCACAGTGCAATCAAACTAGAACTCAGGATTAAGAAACTCACTCAAAACTGCTCAACTACATGGAAACAGAACAACCTGCTCCTGAATGACATCTGGGTGCATAATGAAATGAAAGCAGAAATAAATAGGTTCTTTCAAACCAATGAGAGCAAAGACACAACATACCAGAATCTCTGGCACACATTTAAAGCAGTGTGTAGAGGGAAATTTATAGCACTAAATGCCCACAAGAGAAAGCAGGAAAGATCTAAAATTGACACCCTAAAATCACAATTAAAAGAACTAGAGAAGCAAGAGCAAACACATTCAAAAGCTAGCAGAAGGCAAGAAATAACTAAGATCAGAGCAGAACTGAAGGAAATAGAGACACAAAAAACCCTTCAAAAAATAAATGAATCCAGGAGCTGGTTTTTTGAAAAGATCAACAAAACTGATAGTCCACTAGCAAGACAAATAAAGAAGAAAAGAGAGAAGAATCAAATAGATGCAATAAAAAATGATAGAGGGGATATCACCGCTGATCCCACAGAAATACAAACCACCATAAGAGAATATTATAAACACCTCTACGCAAATAAACTAGAAAATCTAGAAGAAATGGATACATTCCTGGACACATACACCCTCCCAAGACTAAACCAGGAAGAAGACGAATCCCTGAATAGACCAATAACAGGCTCTGAAATTGAGGCTATAATTAACAGCCTACCAACCAAAAAAAGTCCAGGAATGTTTATATGGACTTCAGAGGAGAGAATAAGTTGGCATTGATCAGGAGAACTGTAAGGAAATTAATTGTTTAGGAGAGAAATGAGATGTGATGAAGGTGAGAAAGAGCGGATTGAAGCAGCATGAAGGTGATAGAAATGGCAGAGCTGTTGATCATTTAGTGAAGAGAACTGGGAAGGGATGCACCCAGGTTTCTGAGAGATGTCCAGTTGTACACAGGTAACGTCTACAGCTCAAGAGCCAGGTTAGCGATATGGATGAAATAAGTAAAATTTGAAACTTGAACCTATGGATACAGTTAAGGTCATATGATAAGATCATGACAAGATCATATTATAATGAAAAGTAGAGGGCCTAGAATCGGAGGAAAGGAATCTGGATACCAAGCAAAGGAGTTGAGCAAGAAAGGAAGGGGGCTCTGGACATCCTTGGAAGGCCGAAGACGAAAGGGCTAAAAGTCGCCAACAAACAAAATGAGATAAGACCTGGGGCATATCTTTTGGCCATGGCAGTTAAAAAAGGAGTGGTGACCTTATCAGGAGGAATTTCAGAGAATGTTGGGGTGGACTTCTAACTGCAGTGGGGTCAGGAGAGAATCAAACGTGAAAAAAAGACAACACTCTGTGTATACACTTTTTATAAAGAAGCTTGATGGAGAATGGAAAAATGAAAAGGCAGAGTTTTATTTCCAAGGTATAAAAAATGAAGACTCCCAATAAACTAGGTATTGATGGAATGTATCTCAAAATAATAAGAGCTATTTATGACAAACCCACAGCCAATATCATACTGAATGGGCAAAAGCTGGATGCATTCCCTTTGAAAACCGGCACAAGATAAAGACGCCCTCTCTCACCACTCCTATTCAACATATTATTGGAAGTTCTGGCCAGGGCAATCAGGCAAGAGAAAGAAATAAAGCATATTCAAATAGGATGAGAGGAAGTCAAATTGTCCCTGTTTGCAGATGACATGATTGTATATTTAGAAAACCCCATTGTCTCAGCCCCAAATCTCCTTAAGCTGATAAGCAACTTCAGCAAAGTCTCAGGATACAAAATCAATGTGCAAAAATCACAAGCATTCCTATACACCAATAATAGACAAACAGGGAGCCAAATCATGAGTGAACTCCCATTCACAATTGCTATAAAGAGAATAAAATACCTAGGAATACAACTTACAAGGAATGTGAAGGACCTCTTCAAGGAGAACTACAAACCACTGCTCAAGGAAATAAGAGAGGACACAAACAAATGGAAAAACATTCCATGCTTATGGATAGGAAGAATCAATATGGTGAAAGTGGCCATTCTGCCCAGAGTAATTTATAGATTCAATGCTACCCCTATCAAGCTACCAGCGACTTTCTTCACATAATTAGAAAAAAAAAACTACTTTAAATTTCATATGGAACCAAAAAAGACCCCACATAGCCAAGAGAATCCTAAGCAAAAAGAACAAAGCTGGAGGCATTACGCTACCTGACTCAAACTATACTACAAGACTACAGTAACCAAAACAGCATGGTACTGGTGCCAAAACAGGTATATAGACCAATGGAACAGAACAGAAGCCTCAGAAATAACACCACACATCTATAACCATCTGATTTTTGACAAACCCGACAAAAACAAGCAATGGGGGAAGGATTCCCTATTTAATAAATGGTGTTGGGAAAACTGGCTAGCCATATGCAGAAAACCGCAACTGGACCCCTTCCTTACATCTTATACAAAAATTAACTCAAGATGTAATAAAGTATTAAATGTAAGACCTAAAACCATGAAAATCCTAGAAGAAAACCTAGGCAATACCATTCAGGACATAGGCATGGGCAAAGACGTCATGAATAAAACACCAAAAGCAATGGCAACAAAAGCCAAAATTGACAAATGGGATCCAGCTTCAGCACAGCAAAAGAAACTATCATCAGAATGAACAGGCAACCTACAGAATGGGAGAAAAATTTTGGCAATCTATCCATCTGACAAAGGGCTAATATCCAGACTGTAAGAAGAACTTAAACAAATTTACAAGAAAAAAACAAACAACACCATAAAAAAAGTGGGCGAAGGATATGAACAGACACTTCTTAAAAGAAGACATTTATGCGGCCGACAAACATATGAAAAAAGCTCATCATCGCTGGTCATTAGAGAAATGCAAATCAAAACCACAATGAGATACCATCTCACGCCAGTTGGAATGACGATCATTAAAAAGTCAGGAAACAACAGGTGCTAGAGAGGATGTGGAGAAATAGGAATACTTTTACACTGTTGGTGGGAGTGTAAATTAGTTCAACCATTGTGGAAGACGGTGTGGTAATTTCTCAAGGATCTGGAACCAGAAATACCATATGATCCAGCAATCCCATTACTGGGTATATACCCAAAGGATTATAAATCATTCTACTATAAAGACACAAGCACACGTATGATTATTGTGGCACTGTTCACAATAGCAAAGACTTGGAACCAACTCAAATGCCCATCAATGATAGACTGGATAAAGAAAATGTGGCACATATACACCATGGAATACTATGCAGTTCATGTCCTTTGCAGGGACATGGATGAAGCTGGAAACCATCTTTCTCGGGAAACTAACACAAGAACAGAAAACCAAACACCGCATGTTCTCACTCATAAGTGGGAGTTGAACAATGAGAACACATGGACACAGGGAGGGGAACATCACACACTGGGGCCTGTCATGGGGGTGGGGTCTAGGGGAGGGTAGCATTAGGAGAAATACCTAATGTAGATGGCAGATTGATGGGTACAGTAAACCACCATGGCATGTGTATACCTACGTAACAAACCTGCACGTTCTGCACATGTACCACAGAACTTAAAGTATAATAATTAACAGTAATAAAAAATTAATTAATGAAAAATAAAATATATAATCTGATACATTTGGATATATGTATATATACACGTACACACCTGTAAAAACAAACTAGATAGTGAACATATCCATCACACCAAAGTATCCCCTTCTCCTTTATACTGCCTCTCACCCACCTCTCTCTGCCCTCTCCTCAGTTCCATGTTCCATGCAACTATTGATCTACCGTATGTCACTATAGATCAGTTTGCATTTTCTTGAAATTTATGTAAGTAAAATCATATACAAAAGTAAAGAAAGTGTGTTTTTAAAAATATATAAGATATTGAGTATAATTATGAGATAAGACTTCAAAAAAGTGAAGAGGTTAAAGATGAAGGAGTGAAGGTAAATATTTGCTTAACTAATGTAGTGAGTTAAGTAATGGATTCAATCACAGATGATTTAATCCACTAGTTTACATATTTTACTCACCCAAGGTTAGAGTTTACTATTTAGACACTTAACATTTCTTGGCTTACTGGACAATGTGAGTCACCTCTCCAGAAAAATTCATGGCATTGAATGGATACGTTAAAAAAGTAGAAACTTTGTTTTAAAAACTCTAAAATCAATCACCACAGCTTCTACTTTAGAATATCAGAAAAAGAAGAGTAAATTAAACCCAACTAAGCAAAACAAAATAAATAATAAAAATGGGGGCAGAAATGAATGAAATCCAGAGAGAAAATCAATGAAAACAAAAGCTAGTTCTTTTAAAAGACCAATGAATTGATGAGACTGTACCCAGGCTAAGCAAAAAGAAAAGCCTAAATTACTAATATCAGAAATGAAAGTGGTGAAATGCTAAAAATCCCATGTACAGTAAAAAATCATAAAGGAATACTCAGGACAGCTCTGTGCCCACAAATTTGATAAACTACATGACGTGGATCAATTTCTTGAAAGACACAATCCGCCAAAAGTCACACAACAGGAAATAGAACATTTGAATAGGCCTATATCTACTAAAAAAATTAATCAATAATTAATAGCCATCTAAAATAATTACCAGACCCAGATGGGCTCACTGGTAAATTCTAAAAACAAATTAAGAAAACGTTTACTCCAATTCTCTAAATCTCTTTCAGAAGATAGAAGCAGAAGAACTACTTTCTAATTCATTCTATAGGGCTGGAATTACTCTGATAACAAAACCAGACAAAGACATTAGAAGAAAAGAAACTTAAAGACCAATATCTTTCATTAGTATAGATGCAAAATCCTGAACAACATATTCACAAATGAAATCAAACTATGTGTAAAATAGTTGGATTATACATTGTGACTAAGTAAGATTGATTGCAGGTGTACAAGACTAATTCAACATTTGAAAATCAAAGGAATCCGTCATATCAACAGGTAAAAAACAGAAAAAATCCTCAAAAAATTGCTAGCAACTCCAATTCAACAACACATTAAACAGATCACTCACCACGATCAAGTGAGATTCACCCGGGTATGCAAGTATGATTCAATATACACAAATCAATAAATGCGATACATTGCATTAAAAGAACCAACAACAAAAACTGCACGATCATTTCAATAGATGCCGAAAATGTATTCAGTAAAATCCTACATCTCTTTATGATAAAAATCCTTAACACATTGGGTATAGAAGGAATATACCTCAAAACAATAAAAACCAAAATGAAAAACCCACTGCTAATATCATACTGAACAGGGAAAAATTGAAAACCTTTCCTATAAGATCTGCAACAAGACAAGGATGCCCAGTTTCACCCCCTTTATTCAGTATCTGACTGGAAGTCCTGGCCGGGGCAATTAGGCAAGAAAAAGAAACAAAGGACACCCAAACTGGAAAGAAAGATGTAAAATTAGCTTTGCTCACCAATGGTATAATCTTATAATCGGAAAAACCAAAAGACTCCCCTCAAAAACTACTAGAACTAATAAATGAATCAGTAAAGTTGCAGAATACAAAATGGATATAAAATATCCGTAAGATGTCTATACATCTACAGTGAACAGTCTGAAAAAGAAATCAAGAAAGAAATCCCACTTACAATAGCTATAAGAAATATGATGTATAAAATACCTAGTAATCAATTTAATTAAAAAAGTGAAAGACTTCTACAAGGACAACTATAAAACACTGATGAGAAAAACGTGAAGAACACACACAGAAAATGGACACATATTCATGCTCATAGGTTGGAATAATTAATGTTAAAAGTACAATGCTACCCAAACAATTTACAGATTGAATGCAATCCCTGTCAAAATACCAATGTCATTCTTCACAGAAATAGAAAAAAAAAAAAACCCTATAATTTGTATGGAACCACGAAAAACCCCAAATAGCCAAAGCGCATTATCGCTTCTTGACTGAAAACTCCCGGACAGTTGGGGCTTTTTCCTGCACAGAGATTGGCCACTTCCTGCACATCAGGAGATCCCCGCGGCCTGCGGGACCCGCCCCGCCCTCCTGCCCAGGCGCCCGCTAGGTGGTGCCTGGCTGGGCCCGACTCCGCCCGCCTCCCCATTCACTGGGAACTAACACCCGGCGCCGCTCAGACATCTCTATTCCCGCCTCTCCGACCCGGTCTCACTTCGCTCCTGGGCAGCTGCGCGGAGAACTGGGGTAGGTGTTTGACTTTGGGAGTGGTTCCCACACGCTGGATTCTCGTTACCTGCTCTTGAGCCCAGGAAAAGGGCGGGAACCTACGAAAGGGAAGCCCAGTGAAGTGCTCAGCGCACCTGTTGCTCCAGACCTTTCCCTGGGGCTGTCCTTCTTTACTCGGTCTCTGGCGGGGGCTCCCTAAGGGCAGGGACTTGGCTGCACTTGGCTGTGTGCCCTATGGGTCCAGGCGCGGGGAGGGGAGGCCAGGGCGAATGGGCGCGGAGCTGGGGGGTGAAAGTCCTGCCTGGGCTCCACTCATCCTGCAGGAGCTGGAAGTAGGTACAATGAGGCCTCCCACCCTGGTGAAGTTTATGTTGGGCGCTGGAAGGGGCTGTGAGGCCTGGGACCTCCAGGAAAAACAACAGCAGCAGTATTTATTTGTCGGTACCGAAACTCGTATGCTCTCAGTATTCAGAATTTGTACTTGACATTCCTCCTCCTTTAAAAGAAACCAGGAGAGGCGTTGATAGTATGTTTTTGGACTGGAAAAAAATCAAAATGAGGACGATACTGTTGCCAGAAAGCAAAAGTGTTGGGATAGTGTAAAAAGAAAGTAACCAATTTACAGAGATTCCCAGTAGACAAGTTGTGAGAATTTGCTCAAGAACAAAAACCAGTATGTGTTAATTGAAATACATGTTACAACAAAGCCAAGAAAGAGTCCTTTAGTAAATTCAGATAAAACAAGTAAAATGGGCCAGGCGCGGTGGCTCACGCTTGTAATCCCAGCACTTTGGGAGGCTGAGGGGGGCGGATCACGAGGTCAGGAGTTCGAGACCCAGCCTGGCCAATATGGTGAAACCCAGTCTCTACTAAAAATACAAAAATTAGCCGGGTGTCGTGACATGGGCCTGTAGTCCCAGCTACTCAGGAGGCTGAGGCAGAAGAATCGCTTGAACCTGGGAGGCAGAGGTTGCAGTGAGCCAAGATTGCACCACTGCACTCCAGCCTGAGGGACAAAGCGAGACTCTCTCTCAAAAAAAAAAAAAAAAAAAAAAAAAAATGTAAGATGAGTTTAAAGGAGGCAGGAAATAATTTCAATAATGTTTACAAGAAATGCTGTGTGATGATTCATATACGACTGCTGTGTAGGAATAGTGACTATAGGCACCTAGGTTGACAGGCACAGTGGTTACAAAAACCAACCTGAAGGCCTAAATATTAAACCAGGAGACTTTGAAAGCCAACTTGTGGATAGAACTCTGTGTTACGCAAATCAGATGCACGAGAACCTCAAATAGTATTTCATTTCAAGGAAAGGCATTTGGCAAAAAAAAGAAAAAAGCAAATTTAATAGTTGTCTTTGCAAAATCCCAATGTAGGACCAAACTGCAAAATGGTCCTTACATTTGTTTGGCTTTAAAAAGCAGTATGACCTGAAAAGTAGCAGTGTCAGGTCAGTCAGAGCCCATGTCCCAACCATCAATCTGGCAGCCCCATCCTATTGTTTTTGTGAATAGGAGATGGTCTGTTATTAATTTAACCCCAGAAAAGTATTAAAATAAGCATTACCATCACCCTAGGAAATATAAAAAGATAGAGTGAAGATAAAGTGTATAAAACCCACAGTATTACTAGTGGGGTGCTAGAAATAAGTTTTATAATCACTGTTGTACAGTTGTATTTTAAAACATGTTTGAAAGTCTTAGGAGAATCTAGTTTAACAGATTTATAAGTGTTGATTTATTCAGTTTATTATTGTACAAATGCTTATATTAATGATATAGTTGTTAATTTTGTAAGTTTGTTCTTTAAAGTGATTACATCTTTAAAACATCTGATACATTAAGCTTTATCATCAATGCTTAAATGTTTAAAATAACGTATTTGCTGTGTTAGCAGTGTGCTTTAAAGTTTAAGGAAAACAATTTGTTTACCAAATTAACAAGAAATTAATTGATCATTGACTAAATAAGGTATAATAATAGAAAAAATTGGTCTCTGTTTATGAAAATTCTGCTTCGGGAATGAAAATCTTACAGACTAAATAAACCTGCACTCACCAGCAGGGGGGAAACTGTGGGAGATGAGAAATGGGAGTGATAGATTACTCATATGTGGTTGAGCATACGAAGAAATTACTGAAAGAGCTTGAGTGATCTGTAGAATATTTGGTGGGAGGGGAATTTGCCATAGATTTTTAAAAAGTGAAAACAAGAAAAGAGGGGAAGGCAATAGTGACATAAGGAAAAACAGACGTGTAAAAAAAGCAATGCATCCATTATTGATTAATTGGCTTAGCAGCGAATACTATTTAGTTGCAATAAGGCAAACACTTGGAGAGAGGAAGTGAAGTACGGTAAGTGATAAAAGAAAATTAATCATCAGCCCTAAATTAGGAAGGCAATTTATAATGTCAAAAATTGTGGGGTTAAAAATAGTCATATACACAATTATTTCTAAATATGAAAGTAAATACCAAGAGAAAGGGTGCACTGAGGTTTGATTGTTTCTGGGGAGTTGGGAGTAGTGGGAAGACACTGGTTGATTTGTGTAACACCATGGAATACTATGCAGCCATAAAAAATGATGAGTTCATGTCCTTTGTAGGGACATGGATGAAATTGGAAATCATCATTCTCAGTAAACTATCGCAAGAACAAAAAACCAAACACCGCATATTCTCACTCATAGGTGGGAATTGAACAATGAGATCACATGGACACAGGAAGGGGAATATCACACTCTGGGGACTGTGGTGGGGTGGGGGGAGGGGGGAGGGATAGCATTGGGAGATATACCTAATGCTAGATGACGAGTTAGTGGGTGCAGTGCACCAGCATGGCACATGTATACATAACTAACCTGCACAATGTGCACATGTACCCTAAAACTTAAAGTATAATAATAAAAAAAAAAGATCTCGCCTAGTGTTATCTCACTTTTCAACTACATGCAAGTCCATTAATTTCATAAAAGCACAATGACCAAATGACACTGAAACAAATATAGGCACATTGTAGGGAAAATAGCAAAGGATATAAATAAAATTAGAATTACTCATTATCCAGAAATATGTGATGTTCAGTGTTTCCCTGTAGTCTTTTTATCTATGAATTATACTTACATGTAACTTTATTCTTAATTTATACTTAATATTGTATTTTCTCATGGCATGACTGTAATTTTTAATATCTCCATTTATATTCAATCATGGATTTGACAGAATCTAACTGGTTCTCTGTTGCTGGGTATTTAAATATTTTCTCTGTAGCATATAAAGTGCTTCAGTAGTCATCTTTCTGCATACTGTTTTTATCAGTACTTGTGAGCTTTATCTTTAGTGAAATTCTTTGAAATGGAATTTTTCATCCTAAAGGTATAAATATTTTCATGGCATTTTCTTTTTCCTACCCTTCCACCATCCCTGTGTTCCTTCCTCCATTTATAAAAACATAATTCTAAGTTACATTCTGAAAATATTGGTGTCCCAATTTACATAATCACATATGGAATATAGGAGGGAATACCTATTTTACCAGTATTGGAAATCAATAGTTTTTCTTCTTACAAATTTCATGTTTTAAGCAAGTAACTTTCTTGCTTTCTGCTGCTGCTTTTGTTATAAGTCCTTATACCATGGTGATTAAGAGGAGCCCTGGAACCACAAAGACCTGGTTTCTAATGCCTACTTTTCTGTTTGTAGTTGAGTGATCTCAGGCACAACAGACTTAAACAGTGAAGGCTCAATTTCTTTGCTTGTAAAGTGCAGACATTCACTCACAGCACCTATCTCATCAGCTTGTATGGATTAAATGACATCTTGTAAGAAAAGCCCTAGTGTAGTTTTTGTGTGTGTACCTATTTGTTCAATGAAAACAAGTATCCATTTAACTAGTAATAAATAGAGTGAAAAGTAAATACACATGTAAGCCTATATTAATGTAATATTGTTTAAAAATCCATTGTTTCAGGCTCACCGTCATGGATGCTCTATCAGAAGCAAATGGCACATTTGCATTAAACCTTTTGAAAAAGCTAGGGGAAAACAACTCAAACAACTTATTTTTTTCCCCATGAGCATATCATCAGCCTTGGCCATGGTTTTCATGGGGGCAAAGGGAAACACTGCAGCTCAGATGTCTCAGGTACGTAAAGCCACTTCAAGACAACAATAAGTGCTATCAATTTATCAGTTGAGCTGGACTTCTGCATTTCAAGTCTTGAAGAAATTCCTCCTTTAACAGACAACTCTGGTAGTCTCACAGGATGTGGATGGAGAATTGGCAGGATGGAGCATGTTTTCAAGGCCTGACCTTCTTGGTGACCTGGGGTCACTCATGTGGGTGCTTCTGCAGGCAACTGGGCTAGAAGGTCCAAGAAGATACCACTCCCATGTCTGGGCCTTGGTTCTGGCTAGTGGATGGGCCCTCAGTTCCCTAAAAGCAAGTCTTTCCATTCCTCCTTTTATGTGGTCTTTCCTCAGGATAGCTTGGGCTTCTCGACCACGGTAGCTGGGTTACAAGAGAGGGAAAGTGGAAGCTGCCAGACTTTTTAAGGGCTAAGCCTGGAACAGAGCCAGTTCTGCATTCTGCTGTTTAGAGCAAGTCACATGGCCAGCCCAGATTCTGAAGAAGGGGAGAGAGACTCCATCTTTTAGTGTCAGGAGCACCATGTGTATGCAGAGACAGGACACATGGTTGGCAGCTGCGTTTTTAGACCAAGTATCATAAATAGCACAAGAAATCCGAGTCATTTTGTTAGGGTTTGCAAAAGGCATATCCACTTATACCAATACTTAGATAACATTCGTTTCTTTTAGGATGTGCTTATAGGGAGGCCTGAGAAGAGGCATAGGTAGGCAGACAGGGTTGCTTTTGAGACACTCTCTATCTTTTATTAGATTGATCATCTTTTAAGCTGTAGTAAGCATCTGTAAATCTCATATTGCTGAGTTTACTGTTGTGCCTATATTTTGAAGTCACAGAATACTGAGAATGTGTATGTTTATTATTATTTTATTTTCAGGCACTTTGTTTTAGTAAAATCGGAGGTGAAGATGGAGATATTCATCGAGGTTTTCAGTCACTTCTTGTTGCAATTAACAGAACTGACACTGAATATGTGCTTAGAACTGCCAACGGGCTCTTTGGAGAAAAGTCTTATGATTTCCTCACAGTAAGTCATACTTGTTTATTAGGAAAATAAAGATAGCAATGTGGTGGGAAGTAGGAGAATGAATATGGGCTATGAATTCCTGCAGGTGGTCCTGAACTCAGAACTCCACGCACGAATCTCACACGCATCTTGTGATTCAGTTTGATCATCTGTAGCACAGGCTATATAGCAAATACCGTTCAGAATTTTGTGAAGCTTTAATGAGATAATCTTCATAAAAGAACTGACACAGAGCGTAACACAGTTGAAAATGAATCAGCCAAAACAAAGATGTGGTGAAAATGACTGTTTCTCGTAATTGCTTTGCAGATATTTTTAATTTTCTATGCATGATGACACTATAATGTATGCATTAAATAGTTTGACTAGATGTTTCAGCAATGAAAATCTTTTAAAACTAATTTTGGCTAATTACACTGGTTGCATTCGCTGACAATGCTTTCATGACTTTTCTAGTTTTTGAAAAGAAAAGTACCGAAGTAATTTCTTGTTATTTAAAAACACAAACAACACATATAAACCAAGAGATGTCATCAGCTTCTTTCTTATGCCACAACTCCCCTTTTTAACGTTAGAGCTTTCATAGATTTGATGTTTCCTCCTTCACATATAAAAACTTTGCTTCATGAGTTTTTCTCCTATGTAATGTTATTGTACTATGCATATTGTTTTATACTTTGTTAGCTTTTCCTTAAAAATATGTCCTAAATTCCTTCCATCTCAGTATATGTGGATCTGTATTACTCTTTTTAACCCTTGTCTGGTATTCCTAAGTATGGCTGTACCATGGTATAATAGACCTTTCTTGCATTGACGAGTATTTAAGCTTATTTACTCTGGCCCATTACAGACAGGAGTATTTCTTTACACAGTTTTGTGCATATGTGTATGAGTTACTATCTAAAATGGATTTGTAGAAGGGAGGAAGGGAATGAAGCTTTGAGGTTTTCATAAATATTGCCAAATTGCTCTCCACAGTTTTGTAGCCATTTACATTCTGCAGGGGGTATTTATAGGATCCTCAGTTCCACCCACCATCAGCAGAACTGCATAATGTTAACCTTTAAAACTTTTGGAAGGGTGGGGCCAAGATGGCCGACTAAAAGGAGCTCCTGATGCTGGCGTCACCGAGAGGAAACAAAAGGGGTAGTGAACACTGACCCTGAAAGCCGATCATCTGAGAAACCATGTCGAGATCCATCTAGGCAGCAGGGGAACACACAGAGCAGACAGGAATGAATCTGGGCACCAGCCTGTCTGGGATCAGTGCGGTCAGGAGGACCCCTACAAAATGGGGAAGGATGAGTGAATGAGAGTTCCTAGTGGGATTCACACTGTCCACAGGGACCTATGCAAGATTGGGAATGGGAGAATCCTCCTGTCCCCACCGCATTTCCCCACTGTGCTTTTAGACTGGGGCAGAGTGCCACCTGGACGTTTTCCAGGGGTAATTCTGGAGTCCAGGGGGACCTCTACAAGCCTTGGGCCCTGTAGCAGACCAGCACCAAAGCCACAGCCCCAGTAGAGGCCACAGTTGTGGTTCCTGGGAGAAGTAAGATTGCTCTACGCCCTCCTAGGAAATAACATTCTGGACACAGGATTTGGCAAATATTTTATGACAAAGATGCCAAAAGCAATTGCAACGGAAACAAAAATTGAGATATGGGACATAAGTAAACTGAAAAGTTCTGCAGGGCAAAAGAAACTATCAACAGTGTAAACAGACAACCTATAGAAATGGAGAAAATATTTGCAAACTATGCCTCTGATAGAGGTCTAATATCCAGAATCTATTAAAAAAAAAACAAACTTAAATTTACAAGCAAAAACCAAACAACACAACTCCATTAAAAAGTGGCCAAAGGACATGGACAGACACTTTTCAAAAGATGACATATGCGTGGCCAACAAGCCTAGGAAAACATTGCCAACATCACTAATCATTAGAGAAATTCAAATCAAAACCATGATGAGATACCATCTCACACCATTCAGAATGGCTGTTATTAAAATGTCAAAAAACAGATGCTGGTGAAGCTGCACAGAAAAGAGAACACTTCCATGCGGCTGGTGGGAATGTAAATTAGTTCAGCCACTGTGGAAAGGACTTTGGTGATTTCTCAAGAAAATTAAAAGAGAATTGCCATTTGACCCAGCAATCCCATTATTGAGTACATACCTGAAGGAATAGAAATCATTCTACCATAAAGACACATATGTTCATTGCAGCACTATTCACAATGGCAAAAACATGGAATCAACCTAAATGCCCATCAATAGTAGACTGGATTAAAAAAATGTGGTACATATACACCACGAAATACGATGCAGCCATAAAACAGAATGAGATCATGTCCTTTGCAGCCACAGAGATGGAACTGGAGGCTATTAATCATAAGCAAACTAATACGGGAGTAGGAAACCAAATACCACATGTTCTCACTTATAAGTTGGAGGTAAACATCCAGTACATATGGTCACAAGGAAAGGAATAACAGATATGGGGGCTTACTTGAGGGAGAAGGGTGTGGGGAGGGTGAGGATTGAACAACTACCTATCGGGTACTAGGCTTATTACATGGTTGATGAAATAATCTGTATACTAAACCCCTGAAACATGAAATTTGCCTATATAACAAACTTGCTTAGGTATCCGTGAACCTAAAATAAAGTTTTTAAAAAAGAATCTGAGATGGAATATTTACAACATATGCGATAGGGAAGGGTTAATACAAAACAAGAGAAGCAACAAAAAAAAAAAATAAAAACTTTTGATTATAAATGGGATTAAACACTTTTATGTGTATTGAGAATTTCTATCTCTTCTGTGAATTGCCTATTTACATATCCTCTTACACATTTTTCTATGGGGTTGTATGTCTTTTTCTTATTGACTTATAAGAATTATTTTTGTAGAGGATATCTCTCTTACTGTGATATGTATTTTTTCAAACTTGCTTTCGACTCTAAATTAATTGTTTGCAAACAGATTGGTATAAAGTGAAGGTGGTAAGACATAAAAGTGAAATATTTATAAGATTTGTATATGATATTGTGATTTTACAACTTCACTTATTTTACTAGTCTTAGCACTATTTAGTTTATTGCCATCTTTTTACTAGCTTACTAGTTTTCTATATAAAGACAACCAAAATGTTAACAACCAAATATCAATTCGTGGTGGATATTTTGAAAGAAAAGCATTGATATTTAAAATGTTATTTTGATATTGGAATATAAATTAAAAAGATGAGAAATATTTGTAAACCATTTCAGATTAATTTATTATTTATTCTTATTTTCAAGAATCCCATACCAATAGCAATATATAATTACATGTTCTTTTTGTTTGATTTGCCACACTTTGTCAAATAGTAACTTAAAATAGCAGACAGTTATTTAAAAACACGTTTAACAGATGGAAAGATCACCTAGGCGTGCAAGAAGTCATCAATATGTGATTCATCAGTTTGCCTTCAGATTATTTTCTTACACTGAGAGATTTAAATAATTTCCAAACCACTGAAAAATAGGCAGAGGCAGCAATTTTGGAAAAGCATGAATTATGGGAGGATTAAGTGAAATAGTGTACATCGATCAGTTACGTGGTACTGAGAATTCAAAAACGTTACATGAAAAGGTGATATTTCATCAGGACTTCACAGTTATCTTGTGAGGTGTAGCTATTACTGCTTCCTTGTTCTACAGGAGAGAACATGGAGGCATAAACAGAGGAAGCAAATATTTGAAGGTCACACAACTAGTAAGTTGCAGAACTTGTGTTCCTAACTACAGTCACATTTCCTCTCCATGCCATACTGATACAGAAGTATAAAATTCCAAAGTAAAAGCAAAATTATGGAAAGGGAAATTAAATATTTAGCTGTGAGCAGTTTGAGAGAAAGATTGGGAAACAATTCTATAATGCATGGTTCATAAATTAGTTGTTTCAGCTCATTTAATTTCCACCAAATGTTCTGCTTTTATGTGGCATAGTGTAGGTTTCTGTTAAGATCATTATAATTCTACAGAATATATTAACTAAATATAGTTTGAACTTTTTTGGAAAGTTGATCATAGTTTGAAACACCCATAATGCTATGCATTATGTACATGAGTATAAGGTTTCCATGAAATTAATTATTCAGTTCCTCAGTCCAACTAGCTATTAATATATTTCAAGTGCTCAATAGCCTATGTGGCACCGCTCTGGACATTGCAGATTTACAACATTTTCATCATCCCAGAAAGTTCCGATGGACACTGCTGGTCTAGGATTGTATATGTTTCCCATGTAATTTATGGAACAACAGACTCATATTTATAGTCTGTTGTTCTAAAATGTAGAGGCAAATATAGCACTTGCTGTGTTAATCCTCACTCAACAAATTTAATAATTTACAGGAGTGACAGCTTCTATAGTCACCATTTGTAAAAAAGAAAAAAAAAGAATTTATTTTCTAAAGCAATTTTAGGTTCACAGAAAAATTGAGCAAAAGGTACATGCATAGTCCCTCCTGTGATTAACATCCCCTAGTACAGTCATGGGGGACAGCTTTCTTGTTTCTACCTTGGCCGGTTAGGAATAAAGCTGTTATGAATATTTGTGTGCAGGTTTTATCAGCTCCTTTGGGTAAATGGTAAGGGTCATGATTGCTGGATCATATTTTTAGTTTTATAAAAAACTTCCACACTGTCTTCCAAAGTGACTATACAATATTGTATTCCCACCAGCAATGAATGAGAGTTCCTGTTGCTCCACGTTTTCACCAGCATTTAGTGTTGTCAGTGTGTTTTCACTTTCATTTAGTTCAAACTGTTTTTAATATCACTTGAGATTTCTTCTGTGATTCGTGTGTTATTGAATCTCCGAGTACTTTTGGAATTTTCAGCCATCTTTCTCTTATTGATTTCTAGTTTAATTCGTTATTGTCTGAGAGCAGACGTTGCATGATTTCTATTATTTTAAATATGCTAAGTTGTGCTTTGTGGCCCAGAATGTGGTCTCTTTTGGTAAATGTTTCATGTAAGCTTGAGAAGAATATAGATTCTACTCTTGTTGGATGAAGTAGTCAATAGATATCAATTATATCTAGTTACTTGATGTTGTTTTTGAGTTCAACTATGTTCTTTACTAATTTTCTGCTTGCTGGATCTGTTCATTCCTGATAGAGGGATATTGAAGTCTCCAGTTATAATAGTGGATTCATCTATTTCTCCTTTCAGTTCTATTAGTTGTTGCCTTATGTGTCTTGATGGTCCACTATTAGGTACTTACCTATTAAGGATTTCTATGTCTTCTTGGAGATTTCTCAGTGTTTTAAATTATCTCATTGATGGGTGTACTGCCACTCTCATGAAGGATCCAGCAGTTGATGAAAATCACTTGATATGCAGCCCACCGCGTTGCTTAGTTTATAAGCTAAGATTAGGAATAGCTGAAAAGAATTTGGACTTTAGGTTAATTCCTCATCTTTATTTGCAAATTATATATGGTAAATCATAAAATTATTGATTTTCTGATGTGGCACAATGAAGAAGTAAGCCAGTGATATTAGTTGTTTCTGTAGCTGTGAAATTATGTTTTTGGTTTTTCCTAGGGTTTTACAGATTCCTGTGGCAAATTCTACCAAGCAACGATAAAACAGCTAGACTTTGTGAATGATACAGAGAAGTCCACAACACGTGTAAACTCCTGGGTTGCTGATAAAACTAAAGGTGAAAATATATTGTTATTCTATTTCGATAATATTTTAAACAGTTTTATAGTCAGTTCTTTACAAAACTGTCAAATATAAAAAGGAGTCCTTTTTTCTCTAAACAACTATGCAAACATTAAAACCTTTCTTTGGAAATATTGCCAACTCGTAGACCTTTTCTCTAGCTTTAGCTTTTCCCTTATCAAGTATCTGTGATGTCTCTCTAGATGAAATAATCTCTTCCAGGTTTTTTTGCTTGTTAATATTAGGTAGTTTTTCTTTTCACAAATAGCGTTAAAATTTGAATTTAAAAATTTCTAGCTGTCTCCCTCACTGGTATTGCCATACTGTATGGTTTACAGGCTTGAAATGCAACTGCTGTGATCAGTGATAAGGGAACACACTGATGATTTAGATTGAACAGGGAGAGTTATATTGTTTTCTAGGGCACAGCTAAAAAGACATTCCATCAACCCCCTTGCAGCCAGAAAGACCCTGAGCCCTCAGAACTTCACTGACACAACCCATATTTTCTTTCCATAACTGGCCAACTTTTCCCTTTGTACCAAAGCCAGCTACTTAGCTTCAGGGAGAGAATGAGACTGAAGATTACAAGGAGACATCCACATTATATGTGGGCTGAGAGAGGAAAGAGGGAGTATCAGAGGTTGCCGGGTTTGCTACTCTCATTCCTCTTCCTCCTCTGCCCAACACTTGGACTTGGAAAGAAGTCTGAAAGGTGGGGAATAATCAGCCCATATGATTCTTCCACTGCAGAGAGAGCCTCTGAGTGTTACAGCCAGGAGCAACAGGGTGGCACCCTCTTCTTCAGGGAAACACACACCTCTTTGCACTGCCTTGTGGATAGTCCAGTCAAGTGGAGTAAGAGGTGGGAGTGGGGAGTGTAAATGGAGTAACCTCTAAGTATCCAAGCAGGAGGGTGTTTTTTTTTTTTCTTTCCTGGAATGAGGATAATCAAATCATTTCAATATGAATTATGAAAATGAATGATAATGGTTTTATCTGTTATAGAAATATAATATAATCAGACTTTAGCCATGTAAATCATAAAACATAGAGATAACAATATGCATATTGTTCCTAGAGGGTCTTGTGAAATTTTGTTTGTCATATTCTCTTTGAAGAGTTATCATTCACTATTTTATTTCTGTCTTGTAAAGCCTGAAAGCTCATGTGCTGCCTTGACATCTATGGGCTTCTCAGGGCCTCAGAGGCCTGGCCATGAAGTCCCCTGCTCTTGTCAGATATGTGCACCCTATTCACCCACTGAGCAGGAAGGCTCTTCCCCCTTCTAAGTTCCCTTACCAGGCAGTCAGCTGTACCCTCCCTGGGTCTCAACGTGGCTCACTTCCCTCCAGCCTGGAAAATTATTCAAACAAGCCTGTCACATCTGGAGGAGCCAGGAATCGCCTCTTCCTCTTGTTACTGCAAAGCCTGCCTTCCACAGCCCCTACTGGTTCACTCTATTCCCAAATGCAACTCTCCTGTGACCCCGCATGGCATGTGGTGACCTCCCTCCCTGTGAGCAGTTGTGACTAATAAACTGCCGCCAATTTCATCTGTCCAGTGTGTCATGCCATGTGTCTAGTTATCTCCTACTATTTAATGGGGGAGATCCCTCCTTCACCAACAAGGTGAATATGAGACAATCAAAACAGCTACAATTCCGTGAAAGGTCCAGCCTCCCAAATAATAATTCCATGTGTTTTGTGAAATTGCACTAAGACATTTCCCTTACACTATGTAGTGTTTCTTGTAAGTATCCACAAAGTGAGTTCCATTTAGAATTGAATTCTAGGAAAAAAAGTTGATCTGACCTCCTCAGATATGTTTACTGAATACCTTCTTTGCATTGGACATTTTGCATAGATTATTTAATCCTTAGTGATAATAAACCCATGAGGAATCTGAGACTCAGAAGTTAAGTAGCTTGAACAAGTTCTTGTAGCTAGCAACGAGGTAGAATGTGGATCCAATGTCTGGTAATGCCAAACACTGGAAAATTACTCAAACAAGCCTGGTACATCCAGAAAAGCCATGAGTAATCTCTTCCTCTTGTTATTGTGAAACTTACCTATATCAGCTCCTACCAGAAGGGCAGCTGTCAGCACAGTGCAGGAAGAGTAGGGACCAGAAACCTGTCTCCCTTTAAGATGAAGTCTGATTTCTTTGGCTGTGTTATCCCATCTGAAAAGTGGAACTCAGAAACTTCTGGCACCAAAAGCACATCATCCTGGATCCAGGGATGAGCATCCTGGGATATGGAGCTAAGGTCAGGTGCATCTGGGCGCTATGAACTCTGCAAGCATTGCTACCCCCTCCAGGAGTCCTGAATGGAGGTCCTGAGAGCCTTCACTCCTCCTATGCTTCAATAAGTGGGAACTCTAAGGCTCTTGCATCCCTCTTCTCAAAGAGGGCTGCAGGGCCACAGTTGAAAAGGAGAGGTCCAAAGCAAGGGATGGTTTGGAGACTGAGAAGATGGAGGCAGTACCTTCATGAAGTACCCCTCCAGAAGCTGATGCGCTTCTGCATGTGAAAGGTGGCCTTTCCTTTCCTGAGCTGAAGCTTCTGTGTTGAAGGAGATGGAGGGGGCAGAGGACTTGAGGGAGGTTTCCAGTCCTGAGGGCTTGCTGAACAAGCTGACGTTGATCTGATACTCACAGATCATAGCATGGACCATGCACACCTGATTGGCGTATCTAGTGGCTGTTGGGGAATGCAGCATAAAATTCCTCTCCCACCAATACTAGTGTTGACTTCAGATGTAGTTTTCTTTCTTTCTTTCTTTTCTTTCTCTTTCTTTCTTTCTTTCTTTCTTTCTTTCTTTCTTTCTTTCTTTCTTTCTTTCTTTCTTTCCTTTCTTTCTTCTCTCTCTCTTCTTTCTTTCTCTCTCTCTCCCTTCCTTCCTTCATTGCTTCCTTCCTTGCTTCCTTCCTTCCTTCCTTCCTTGCTTCCTTCCTTCCTTCCTTGCTTCCTTCCTTCCTTCTTTCCTTGCTTCCTTCCTTCCAAGACAGAGTATCGCTCTGTCACCCAGGCTGGAGTGCAGTGGTGCAATCTCAGCTCATTGCAACCTCCACCTCCTGGGTTCAAGCATGTCTCCTGCCCCAGCCTCCCGACCAATTTTTGTATTTTTAGTAGAGACGGGGTTTCACCATGTTGGCCAGGCTGGTCTTGAACTCCTGTCCTCGTGATCCACCACCTCGGCCTCCCAAAGTGCTGAGATTACAGACATGAGCCACCGCACCAGGCCGGAAGTAGTTTGCTTTCTCTAGCTGCTTGTGACCAAGCATAAAATGTTTTACCAGTGAATTCCTTAGATATTGTCCTTGAGATGAAGGATTCTGGAGAGGATCAGGAAAAGAGACAGATTCAGTAGTTATCATCCAGATTTAATGACAGGCTTGCCTGAGAACTCCATTCATTGCTGTGCCAGATATCAATTTATTGTCTATCAGCTCTAAATCTACCTTTGTGGACTTTGTGATAGTAAACCTGGATCCTGTAACAAGAACTTGACTGACTGGCCCAGTGTTCAGCTTTGCCAATAGAGGGAGCTGGAGAGACACTGTAAGAAGATAGAAGTAGAAATGCACTTTCTGGATTCTGATCTTCTTAGGATTATTCAGTGTAGGCACCCAGCAGCTCACTTGGTCATCTGTAGCCACATTCTCAGGGAATGCTTTCTCCACACAATGGCCATTTCTGCATTTGGTCAAGATGCAACCTCTGGCAACTATATCCCTACCAGGCATTTGCTTCTATGGTCCAGCCCCAGCCTGCCCACACCCTCCAGCAAGGACATATGGCTTCTCGTAAGCCAGCTTTGGCCATCTGACAAGTTTCATAGCCACTGCAGACTGCATGTTCCTGTGGCAGCCACACCTTCAAAGAGCTCTGAATATCAGCCTTGGGACATTCAGTCATGTTAGTTTGCTCAGGTGGGTATAATAAAATACCATAGGCTGGGTGTGGTGGCTCATGCCTATAATCCCAGCACTTTGGGAAGCCAAGGTGGGCAGATCACCGGAGGTCAGGAGTTAGAGACCATCCTGGCCAACATGGTGAAACCCCATCTCTACTGAAAATACAAAACTGAAAACAAAAACAAAAAAATTAACTGGGCATGGTGGCACCTGCCTATAGTCCCAGCTACTCAGGAGGCTGAGCCAGGAGAATCGCTTGAACCCAGGAGGCAGAGGCTGCAGTGAACCAAGATCATGCCACTGCACTTCAGCTTGGGCAACAGAGTGAGACACTGATTCAAAAAATAAAAATAAAATACCATAGACTGGGCAGTTTAAGCAACTGACATTTCTCAGAGTTTTAGAGGCTGGGAAGTCCAAGATCAGGCTGCCAGGAGATTTGGTTTCTGAAGAGGGCTCTATTCCTGGTTTGCAGAAGGCCACCTTTTAGCTATGTTCACATGGCAGGGAGAGCAATTTATCTCTTCTTCTTTTAATGCCACTAATTTCTTCAAGAGGGCCCAACCCTCCTGACTTTATTTTACCCCAATCAACTCCCAAAGGCCCTATCTCCAGAAACTATCATCTTAGGGGTTAGGGCTTTTACATAAAAATTTTGTGAGGACATAATACAGTCTATGACCTATGTCTTTTCCTAAGTCCTTAGTTCTTTTTTTTTCCACTTACCCCAAGACATGAAGTGACAATTTCTCTTTTGTACCTTCTACATCTGCTGCCATTACAGTATTTTTAAAAAATCTATTACTTAATAATTCTTTGTATTAATTCTCTTCTCTTCAAATCTCTGATGTAGTTTGTTTGCAAAGTGAACACTGCCTGATGTAACTGAATAAGCATCTCTCCCACTATTATGAAAGAGTGTGGCAGGAGACTGAAGTCCACAGTGTGGATCTAGCAAACACATTCTGGCTTGAGGGTGTGCAGCTATTAGAAAAACTACTCCATTAAAAACTGAAAATTCTGAGATTAATGCTGAACCAGACAGGACACTAGAACAAGTGGCAGGAACTCACACTGTTTCAACAATCAATGGTAACTCTATTGATAAGCTAAAATCTGAGAGGCTATCAGGGATCTCCTATTCAACTTTCCTATCTGCAACACATTCAATCAAAGCACGAAAAGATACGTTTAGAAACCAAAGAGATCTTTCTAATTCCCTCCAAATTCTTTGTCACTTAATACTTCCCCTTAACCCCCTTCAAATTAATGGAGAGACTGACGATTCACTAATGAGGGACTAATGGCAGTTTCCAGGCAATGCCATATCAGGAGCCTTTTTTTCTTTTATAAGTTCCTTGAAATACAATACCAGGCATATTAATGTAATGCTTTTCACATTAAGGTCCACTGGGTTCTCCATACCCTTGATCAGCAGAGGCTCTACAACATGTATGTTTCATTGCTTACATTTGTCTTGGTAACAATCTAGACATTTTCATATAAGCATTGTCTTAGTCTGTTTTGTGTTGCTATATAGGAATACCTGAGGCTGGGTAGTTTATAAAGAAAGAAGGCTTATTTGGCTCATATTCTGCAGAATATACAAGAGGTATGGCACTGGCATCCCCAGGCTTCTGGAGAGGGCTTTTGTGCTATGTCAAAAGACATTGAACCTCAGGAGGCGGAGGTTGCAGTGAACCTTCATTGAACCTGCAGGTTCAATGAGGGAAAGGTCAAAGGGGATGCAGGCACATGCGAAGAGGGACCAAACATGGGGAGAAACCTTACTTTATAACAACCCACTCTTGGAGGAATTAATCCATTCCATGAGAGCTAATTGTACCTCACTGACTACCAGGAGAACAGGACCAAGGCTTTCACAAGGGATCCACCCACATGACGCAGACACCTCTCCCTAAGTGGAACACTGGCACAGCAGGGACTGAATCGCAGTGTGGGTTTTCGTGGAGACAAAAATCCACACCCAAACCACAGCCATTATGTTTTGGATTGTCCAGACATCCACTTTATAACTCAGTAATCTTTTGAATTTAGGATTGTGCTGTTAGTAAGCAGTACAAATTTGTCTGGGGAATGTTAATGAAAAATGACAGAAGCAGATCCTGTAAAATTGATTCATTAACTCAAAGGACTAACCAAATAATATTCAAGAAGGTTTTAATTGTTTGAATAAAGAGAAGTGGTGGGAGAACTGAAAAGAGAATGTACTTGTGTAAATCGAATGTACCTGATAGGATAGGTACACCGGTCTCAAAAAAATTGGCACTAACGCAGTCAGAACACATTTCAAGTTAA
This sequence comes from Homo sapiens, assembly GCF_000001405.40. NCBI lineage: Eukaryota > Metazoa > Chordata > Mammalia > Primates > Hominidae > Homo > Homo sapiens. The sequence continues at coordinate 63,966,520 of NC_000018.10, forward strand.
AAATAGGAATTAACTACAGCAAAACAGCACCACAGATCACATACACGGACACTCCATTTCATCATTTAGCCCAACTTCTCCTAGAGAGTGAACACTCCATTCCTTAAGTGTTATCACAATCGAATTAATTTTTCCTGACATTTATTTATTTCAATTAAACTCTTCTTCCATCACTGAATATGTGAAACACTGTCCAATTGTCTTGTGACAATATTATTACCACAGGGTATGGCAGAAAAAGCAGTTCTCTGGGAATGTGGCCATACTGACTGTAGTCTCAATTCTTCTGTGAATTCTTCATGGGACTCTGGGCAAATCACACAAACTACCTCTATTTCACCATCCTCTCCTGCAAAATATAAGGAACAGCGTCAACAATATGGTTCTTTCAAATGCTTACATTTTATGATGCTATGTTTGTTTCTCTAGCATTAATTAGCTGAAGCAAGTGTGTTTTGTTTTTGCTTTTTGTGTTTTTTTACACTTTCTCAAAACCAGGGAAGATTGCTGGGAATCTCATGGGAGATTGAGAGCTGTGGCCGGGCATATATGAAGTAACTTTTGCTAGAGTATATGGTCAGTCACTGAAGGATATTTTGGAACTCCGGTGAGACTCTTTGTTTTTTGTTTGTTTGTTTGAGACAGTCTCGCTCTGTTGCCCAGGCTGGAGTGCAGTGGCACAATCTCAACTCACTGCAACCTCCCGAGGTTCAAGCAGTTCTCCTGCTTCAGTGCCCCCTAGTAGCTGGGGTTACAGGCACCTGCCACCACGCCTGGCTCATTTTTGTATTTTTAGCAGAGACGGGGTTTCACCACGTTGGCCAGGCTGGTCTGGAACTCCTGACCTCAGGTGATCCGCCCGCCTCGGCCTCCAAAAGTGCTGGGATTACAGGCATGAGCCACTGTGCCCTGCCCCGTGAGATTCTTTAAGGTGGAGTATTTGTGCATTTTACAGCAAGGAGTACAGAGACCTCGAATCACCCCAGGAAGCTCCAATTATGCCTGGACTCTACTTCCTTCTTGACAAGTGGAAGTCTAATTTGGAGACGGTGGTAGCTCAACCTGAGACTAGCCTAGGAGTGTGCCCTTCCTGAGGTCCACAAAGTCAGGAGCCGAGGGAGTCAGACAAAACTAGGTCAAGGTTGAGTCGGGAGTTGAGAACCAGCAGATACTCCCTAGTACTGACTGAAGAGATGTGAAGTTAGGTATGAGGCAAGAAGACAGAAGATGAGGCTGAGGACAGTTTCTGAGGCACTGAATTATATACTCTGGAACCTTATCAGTTACCTGTTGTGTCCCCAGTGGGCCAGGGTGGAGTGGGGAGCCTGTTCAGGCTCACTCTGAAATTGGGCTTTAGTTATTCTGAGAGATGGGTTTCCCTTCAGGGCCCAGCATTTAAATTGTCCATACTCAGAAAATAAATACAATTAATCCTCGTGAATATCGACTTGCAGACAAATTCCTTACCTAGGAAAACAGACCAGTTCTACTTTTCATTGCATTATTTCAAAAATTAGATTTGTTCATTCTTGGATTCATCTTTGATTCTTCCTGCTCCCTCTTCCTCTCATGGTCCAAGAAGTGATGCCAAATTTATGTCCTGGAAATTCCTCAAGGCCATGTCCTCCTCTCCATTTCTCCTGCCTCTGTTTCATTTCAGCTTTCCTCATCTCTCATCCATGCTGCGTCCTTAACGCCTCACTGCAGGCAATGGTACCCTCCTACAATATACTCCATGTTGCAGCCAGAGGGACCTTCGTAAATACAAATATGATTATGTTTCTCCCCAGCTTAAAATCCTTTTGTGTTTCCCCATAGTCCACAAGGGAACGAAGAAACACCACCAACAGCGTCCACATGGCCTTCACGACATGGCCCTGTGGACACATCAGACGTTGTCTTGCAGTGCCTCATCCACACTATCTGTACCACTGCAGGCCTGGATACGTCATGGTTTTCATGGTGCTATCTTGTGCCTCTTTGCACCTGCACGCACTGTGTTTCCTACATGGGATATCTGTGTTTACAACCAAACTCCCAGGGGCCAAATTATATCCTTTGTAAAGGACTTCAAACCACCAGGCATTTGCTGGAAGTTTCACGGAGGAAAACAAGCATTTTTCATCTTTTAATCTGTTTTGCTGGTCAAAGAGGAAAAGGAGTGGATGGACAAAGTGGGGCCCAAAGTCTGGATCTAGTTCTGACCAACAAGGAGAAATTGATGCACAATGGGGAAGTGACCTTGGCATTTTCAACTGGCAGAGCCGGTAAGTTTGGGCACAGTTCAAATGTGAGTCTGTAGCCACTAGAGAGAGGGGTTTCAAAGTCATGGAGAAAAGATGGGGGTGAATCCTGCACCAAGACTTATTGAGGAGAGTTCTTGGGAACAGTTACTTTTAGGATTCCACAGGGAAATCACTGAGCGAGTTTTACAAAATACTGCTGCTGGGTTCCCTCCTCCAAGAGATCTTTACTTAATTGGTTTGGGGTGCAGAGTGGGAATGTGCATCTTTAAAAGCAGAATTCCCAAACTGGAGAGCTCTGTGAGAGCTTCCTGCAGGAGACATTATTTGAACTGAATTTTGAAAGACAAGCTTGCATGCCAGGAACCCCATGTATATGAACAGAGGATATGAAGGAATGTAAATAATTTGCTATGGCTCTAAAGAAAAGAAGGGAGAAATCAAGACGTGAAGAGGCTTACACTCCTTGCTCAATAGTTTCTAATTTATCTTTTTGGATAAGAGGATGTTATAAAGGATTTTAAACTGAGGTATAAAATAATTAGAATTGGAATGTTTACCTGAACTTCAGAGTAGGCAATAGGTTGGCATGGATCAGAACTGTAGGTAGGAAAATTAATTGTTTAGGAGAGACATGAGACATGATAGAGGTGACAGAGTATGGACAGGAGGAACACAAAAGTGATAGAAGTAACAGGACTGTTGATCATTTAGTTAAAAGAACTGCGGAGGGACACACCCAGGTTTCTGAGAGATGTCCAGTAGTACACAGGTAACATCTACGGCTCGAGACAGGTTAGAGATTTTGAAGAAATAAGTTAAAAGTTGAAACATGAACCTATGGATATAGTGGAGGTCATACAAGAAGATCATATTATAATGAAAAGAAGAGGGCTTAGAATGGTAGGAAAGGAATCAGGATACCAAGCAAAGGAGTCAGGAAAGAAGGGAAGGGTGCTCTGGAAATCCTGGGAAGGTCAAAGAAGAAAGGGCTAAATGTCGCCAACAAACAAAATGAAATAAGACCTGGGATGTATTTTTTGGCCAAGGCAATTAGAAAATGATTAGTATCCTTATCAGGAGCAATTTCAGAGAATGTTTGGGTGGACGTCTAACTACAGTGGAGTCAAACGTGAATCAACGGTGAAAAAAGGACAATAGCCAATGTGTACACTTTTTATAAAAACCACCCTCCAAGGACCAGGCACTGGCCCTCTCTCCGGTGCCCACAGACATCCACACAGGCCCAAAGAATCAGGGATTGCACAAGCCAGAGCAATCGAACGGTTCTGAGTCATCTGCCGGAAGCCTTGCCCTCAATCAAGGCGGACGTGAAGCATCTACAAAGGAGGAATAGTCAAAGCAGCAGCGGCGGCGGCGGCGGCGGCAGCAGCAGCAGCAGCAGGAGGTGGGGGCCTCTGCCAGGTACCGGGCGGGGCAGGCACGGAGGTGCCCAGGTTCCCGCGGAGGCCACCTCTTCCCTGGAGTGCGTGAGAGAGGGGAAGGGAGGAAGGCCAGAGCAGGAATCAGAGCGAGGCAAAGGCGGGCAGGAACTAGGAGAATGACGGCGGGAGGCGGCCGGGAAAGAGAGTCGCGGGGCTGTGGGGGTCGCCCTGGCACCAGCCGGGGTCCCAAGCCCCACCGCGAGACCCGGCGAAGGCCGAGGGCCGGGTCCCGAGAACAGGTGCGCCCAGACCCGCCCTGAATAGGAAGCTGCCCCTGGAGAGGGAGCGTCTGTTTCTAGGCTTGCGATTTGCTGCGCTGTGATTTGCTGCCGGATGGGAGCGGGGGGTGACGCGAGCAGTGAGTTTGGAAGCGCCGGAAGCTTGGGCGGGAGCCCCGGGAGGGCGAGTGGGAGGAGCCGCCGCTGCGGAGGAGGCTCCGGGAGTGCGGGTGGCGGGGCCTGGAATTTCCGTGGCGCCTGGGGCAGATCGGGGAGGCGCCGAGTCCCTGCTCCCCTGGCGCCCAAGCTTGCCCCTGTGCTTACAGCCTATTGGTTGCACCTTCTCCTTCCCTTCCTGTCCCCCCCCTCCGTTCTTTCCACCCCTGCCTTCATCTTTCTGTATCTTTCATATTCTCTTCTTCATTGTCTGCTTCCTCTCAAATGGGATGGGGTTGGGGGTGCTTCTTCACCTACGCCCCTCTCTGTTGCAGCCACCGGCGTTACTTTAACCAATTCCTCACTTTCCAGACACTCTCAGTCCTCTGGCTGCTGCTTCACTCCTGAGACCTCTCCATTCCAAAGGGCCTCACCCAGGGCTGCTCTCCGGGCCCCTCCCGCTTCCCTGCCTCGGGCTCTGCGTAGACCGCGCCCTCTTCCCTGGGTCCACTCGCAGGGGCAGACTCGTCTCCCCAGTTCTCCCAGCACACCCTGATGGCTGGGTCTCAGTCTCCGTTTCGCGCGCGCGCTCTCCCCTCGCCCTCCTCTGTCTCTTCCTTTTACTACCTCCAGATATTGGAAATTCCACAGAAATAGGTGGATTTCTTCCCTTGTGCCTCCACTAGATGTTCTGTGTAGTTTCATCCATTCTCATGGAACCTCTCGGAATCGGGATGCTGATGGCTCCAGGTCTCTGGCTCTAGACAGTCTACTCATCCCCGTCCCTAACTGTTTACAAACATCCTTGGCTGTCTTTGTTACAGGTTCACCTGGTATGGTGTGTTCCACGCATCTCAAATGGAACAAGTCATATTCCCCATTCCAGCCTGACTCCTCATTTAAAATTCCAGTGGTTCACGACCCACCCTGAGTATGAATTTATAACAGCTAGGCGCCTCGGGACTGGGCCCTCCTGTGCTCTGTCCCTATGTGAGCAGTCACTGCCTGGCAATTCCAGCCCCCACTTCTCTATTGCAGACAATCCCTCTGCTTTCAGCAGTCCCTGGCCCATGGTGGTGGCCTACGCGCCAGCTCCCCAGCCTCTTTTCATACCAAATACTGAGCCGGGTTATCTTTCTAAAGCCCCAATGCACTCATATGAGACGTTTGTTTAAAAACCATGCATGGCTTTCCAGACCATAATCTCAAGTTCAAACTCCTAAATGTGGCATAAGGGTCCGTCCTATCTCACTACCACGTGGCTCACAGGAAACCATAGAAACCCACCCCAGGGGCACCACACAAACCATGCCCTTTGTCTTCCTGCCACATTCTTGGCACCTGCTAATTCCTCAGCCTATTATTTGCATCCCCCATTTCACCACCTACGGAATGCCTGCCCGGCTTTTCTTTTTTCTTTTTTTTTTTGATATGTGGTTTTAATAAGTTTCATTACCTATTGAATAAATACAAAAGAACATTTAAAATGTGTATTGAATTATAAAGAACAGCAGTACAACCCATCACCCAGTTTAATAACTGGAATATTGTCATCGCTGGAGGCCGTGTTTCCCTACTGATCACACCCTCCTCCCTCATCACATCCGCTTCCCTCCCCTCTGTATCACCACCTTCCTGAGTTTCATGATAATAACGACATAGTTTTACTGTCTACACATGCATCCAGAATGATTTAGTTTAGCCTGGTTTTGAACTTTACGTATATGGAATAATACTGTATTACTCTGTGGCTTAATCCTTTAATACATTATTTGTGGGAATTGTCCATGTCAAAAACTAAAGAACTTATAGATATGGTTCTTTCAGTTTTTATTGTTCTGTATTCCATTATACTAATATACTACAATCCATTTATCCATTCTGTTTTTGATGGACATTTGGGTTGTTTCTTTTTTATTATTATACTTTAAGCTCTAGGGTAAAAGTGCACAATATGCAAGTTTGATACATAGGTATACATGAGCCATGTTGGTTTGCCGCACCCATCAACTAGTCATTTACATTAGGTATTTCTCCTAATGCTATTCCTCTCACATCCCCCCCGCCCACCCCACAGGCCCCGGTGTGTGATTTTCCCCACCCTATGTCCAAGTGTTTTCATTGTTCAGTTCCCACCTATGAGTGAGAACATGTGGTGTTTGGGTTTCTGTCTTTGTGGTAGTTTGCTGAGAATGATGGTTTCCAGCTTCATCCATGTCCCTACAAAGGACATGAACTCATCGTTTTTTTATGGCTGCATAGTATTCCATGGTGTATATATGCCACATTTTCTTAATCCAGTCTATCATTGATGGACATTTGGGTTGGTTCCAAGTCTTTGCTATTGTGAATAGTGCCGCAATAAACATACATGTGCATGTGTCTTTGTAGTAGCATGATTTATAATCCTTTGGGTGTATACCCAGTAATGGGGTGGCTGGGTCAAATGGTATTTCTAGTTCTAGATCCTTGAGGAATCGCCACACTGTCTTCCATAATGGTTGAACTAGTTTACAGTCCTACCAAGAGTTTAAAAGTGTTCCTTTTTCTCCACATCCTCTCCAGCACCTGTTGTTTCCTGACTTTTTAATGATCACCATTCTAACTGGTGTGAGATGGTATCTCATTGTGGTTTTGATTTGCATTTCTCTGATGACCAGTGATGATGAACGTTTTTTCACGTGTCTGTTGCCTGCATAAATGTCTTCCTTTGAGAAGTGTCTGTTCATATCCATTGCCCACTTTTTGATGGGGTTGTTTGTTTTTTTCTTGTAAATTTGTTTGAGTTCTTTGTAGATTCTGGATATTAGCCCTTTGTCAGATGGGTAGATTGCAAAAATTTTCTCCCATTCTGTAGGTTGCCTGTTTACTCTGATGGTAGTTTCTTTTGCTGTGCAGAAGCTCTTTAGTTTAATTAGATCCCATTTGTCTACTTTGGCTTTTGTTGCCATTGCTTTTGGTGTTTTAGTCATGAAGTCCTTGCCCATGGCTATGTCCTGAATGGTATTGCCTAGGTTTTCTTCTAGGGTTTTTATGGTTTTAGGTCTAACATTTAAGTCTTCAATCCATCTTGAATTAATTTTTGTATAAGGTGTAAGGAAGGGATCCAGTTTCAGCTTTCTACATATGCCAGTTTTCCCAGCACCATTTATTAAATAGGGAATCCGTTCTCCATTTCTTGTTTTTGTCCGGTTTGTCAAAGATCAGATGGTTGTAGATGTGTGGTATTATTTCTGAGGCCTCTGTTCTGCTCCATTGGTCTATATCTCTGTTTTGGTACCAGTACCATGCTGTTTTGGTTACTGAAGCCTTGTAGTGTAGTTTGAAGTCAGGTAATGTGATGCCTCCAGCTTTGTTCTTTTTGCTTAGGATTGTCTTGGCAATGTGGGCTCTTTTTTGGTTCCATATGAACTTTAAAGTAGTTTTTTCCAATTCTGTGAAGAAAGTCATTGGTAGCTTGATGGGGATGGCATTGAATCTATAAATTACCTTGGCCTGCCCAGCTTTTAAAGCCAGCTTCTCTGGAAAGTCTTTCCAGGATTCTGTAGAGGTTTTCTTCTTATTATTTATTTATTTACTTGTTTTTTTCTGAGGATTTCCATAGCACTTTCAAAATTATCCTGTTATAGAGCACCTGACTGGCTTGAAACTACGCATTTCCATATGTGTGTCTTCTTTAGGGTGTAAGCTTCTGGGCAGTGATTAACGCATTTATTTTTCATTTTCTCCTCCCAAAACAGGTAGTGAACATTCTACATAAATGCTCTTTGAATAAACTCACTTTTGGATGTTGTATGGGGATGGGGGAGTGGAGGAGGTAGTTCGTAGGTATTTGGGGCTCCCAGGAGGAGGACAATATCATATACTTGGAAACGTAAGGCTTGCTTTTGAGGCTGACTCTCACTTTTTCTGTGAGTCCTGTGGACAGTATTTAATTGCCTCTGTCTTTGTTTGTTTGCCTGAAAAGGAAAAACTAGTTTAATGCCAATTTATTTGGTTGGCTGGAAATAAAAACTTCTGATTCCTGTGTTTTTATAACACAATCTAATTGTGGCATTGGCACCTAAAGTATTATTTTGTATTAAAATTAATTGCTTTTTAGAAATATTGGGTAAAGTCCATTTTGTTTAAAGTTCCAACCCTTTCAAAAGCTATAAAGTCCAAATGAGATTGGAACACCAGGAAGACAGGGGGAAGAGTCATTCTGTTACCTGGTTTTCTCCCCTGCCTGACTTCTGACCTGAGCAGAGGCCAAGGGGGTGCACTTGTGTGTGAGTGTGTGCACATGTATTGTGGCTGCAGGGTAGATATTGATGGGAAATACCACATACTGACCAGCACCTGAGTGTTGAAAAGGAATGGAAGTGGGGACATGAGATGAAGGAAGAGGAAAGATGGAAGAAATCAGAAGTAGCAGTTTGCAACTAAGAGCAGTTAAAATGTAAAGATGAGATTGATGCAATAGTTCAGTTCATTCAGAACTATTGAAACTATTGATTCAATAGTTCAGACAGGATGATTAAACACACCTACACACACACACACACACACACACACACCCCAACCTAAGTTCATGCTTGCTTCACCCTGAGTCCAAAGCTCTTATGCTAAGGTTGGATCAAATCCAAATTTATTTGTGTCTCTGTCTTACCCAGTTTACCCAATTCTCTCCATCTTTAAGTTTCTTTGGTGCCACCTTCTGGTTGGCCCAGTTCTATGAAGTCTGAATATTCCTTCCTGCCTCCCAGTCTCTGAAATGTCCTCGAGTGAAAGATGAGGTTGTGGAGGACCCCGGGACTTGCCTGCACATACTACTCTGCCTTCCAACATCTGCAGACCCTAGTATAAGCTCTGGAGAGGTCTTATGATGTGAGGATAGTGAGAAACAGGAATATTTTGTTCCATAATAAACAACCTCTTAAGTATAGAGTACTGTTGTGCAAATTATGTCATGATTGTGTTTTCTTGGTTCACATTTATTTTACTTAGTTTTCTGAACCCTAACCATAACCCTAACCCTACTTGTTTTTTTCTGAACTGCACTAACATTTATTTTAAACTTTAAAGAATTTGCACTGCTTTAGACTGTTGTTCTATATTTAGAGTGTTGCCTTTACACTTTAAAAAAATATATAAGCTCACTTTTTTGTTTAAGTAAGAGACACCCTTCTGTTGAAAAATATCTTAGGAGGAAGCGAAATATCTTAGGAGGAAGCAAAACATCCAACAGTGAAGATACTTTGGTTAATACAGTTGTTCCCCACTTCCTTGTCTCAGCCACTCAATTCCCCTTTCCTCCTGTGCTCTAAGAGACCCAGAAGACCTGTCCAAGACCCCCACTAAGGGCATACAGTTTCAGAGCTGCTGCAACAGGCACTTTGTAGGCCGCTGGGAAACTGGATGAGGCTCCATCTGTTTATAGAAATGAACACATGCACGATAATTTATATCTCTAGATAGAGTTTCCAGGACTTTTCATTTTGCTCATTTGCTAATTTTCCAAACTGGAGCATATTTTTCTTGTTTGACTACATTTTTCAGTTAAAATTATACATGTTTATGAAAAAAAGGATAATATAATAGAAAAAATATCTGTAGGATCATGAGATTATAGATAATGATTTGTCCTTTTATTTTCCCAAATGTTCTCAATTGTAAGAACAAAAAGGCTGAGGGAAATTGAGATGAGTTGGTGAACTGCAATATTTTATGAAATAGCCCACGTTTTTATAGGGTTTAATAGATATAAACAACAATGTAGGACTTATAATAATGCACTAAAATTATAATAATAGTAAACTGTAATAGCTTTTTAGCACTTTAAGCAAGGTGCCCCCCTAGATTAGGCTCCTACCTTCCACAGAACTGGTTGATAGGGATGCTATCTTTCTTGATGATTACATTTCAAAAGGATGGCTTCCAGGTCTTTGAGAGACTGTCCTGGGATGTAAAACTAGCAAGAAGCTTTTTTAAAAGATTTACATCTCAAAGGGGCTGATAAAGAATTTACAATGACAAGTTCTCTAAATAAAATGCTTTAAGAAAAAGGAAGAAAGGGCCTAGAGGCAGGAGGAAGCCTGTTTAGTTTGTTTATTTAGTCAAGTTTAGGTTGTCTAAAGTTAATTCAAGCTGAGGGGAATGTTAAGACCCTCTTAGCCAGGAGGATCCAAAAATCAATGCATCTAATTAAAAGTGCTCCCTCGATGACAAGATTAGGGCTTCATATTTTATATCCATGCCTATGGACTTTCTTTGCAACTCCGTAACCCAGTTTCAGCAACTCTTGGGGAAAATGGGGCATCTTTTTGGAGTCACTTTAAAAAGTAATTTTTTTTTTTTTTGTCTTTCCAGTAGCCTCATATTTCAGGCCAGCCTATCTCAAACAAACCCTCCAAATTTGGTGAAATGTATCTAGCTGTTTTCACAGGAAGTGATGACAGAAATACAGTTTTTATTGATAAAGAATTACATATATAAGTTTTAGAACATTCTTTATAGATTATATTGGAGACATTAAACTGAAAGATAATTAGCAGCAATAGGGGGATTTTGTGTAATGATTAAGAATTCAGGCTCTGGAATCAAACTGTGGGTGCCAGGCGTTTATGACTACCTGAGGGTTCTGGAATGAGTTACTAAACCTCACTCAGTCTTCTCATCTCTAAAGTGGGGCAATAACTATACTGACCTCAATGTGTTATTGGGTGATAATGGAAAGTGCTGAAAACAGTGCCTGGCACCAAGATCTTTTTTTTTTTTTCCTGAGATGGAGTCTCACTCTGTTGCCCAGGCTGGAGTGCAGTGGCGTGATCTCGGCTCTCTGCAGCCTCCACCTCCTGGGGCTCAAGTGATTCTCCTGCCTCAGCCTTCCAAGTAGCTGGGATTACAGGTGCCCGCCACCATGCCTGGATAATTTTTGAATTTTCAATAGAGATGGGGTTTCACCTTGTTGGCCAGGCTGGTCTCGAACTGCTGACCTCAAGTGATCTGCCTGCCTTGGCTTTCCAAAGTGCTGGGATTACAGGTGTGAGGCACCACACCCGTCCGCACAAAGACCTTTTGGCTGCTGCTATACCAAGGGAGGAAGTAAGCAGGTGTTGCAGGGTGTCTGTGCCCCTGTTGCTAAGAGGGATACAAGTCATAGGCCCTGAGATTGGCTATTTTATGAATAAACCAGTGTTTTTGTTTCCTATTGGTGTGATAACACTTTACCACAAATTTAGTGGCTGAAAAATGACACACATTTATTATCTTATGGTTCTGGAAGTCCTAAGTCCAAAATGGTACAGCATAGCAATGTTATTTTCTGGAGTCTCTAGAAGAAAATCTGTTCCTTGCCTTTTCTGGCTTCTCGAGGAGGTTGCATTCCTTCATCAGTGGCCCCTATCCCTCTGACCTCTGCTTCCGTCCTCATGTCTCTGTCTCTGACTCTGCCCCTCCTGCCTCTCTCTTTTAAGGACGCTCGTGATTCCATTAAGCCCACTGGGATAACTCAGGATAATCTCAGATCTCAAAATACTTAACTGAATACCATTTGCAAAGTCCTTATTGCCAGGGCAGATCATGTAGTCACAGGTTTTGGGAATTAGGAGTGGAAGTCTTTGGAGGGTGGTTCTTCCACCTACCACCTCAGCGTCCACTGACTGGGGGATGAATGACTGCGTGGCTACCGGAGTCATTGGCTTATGTGCTTTTCCCTGCTGTGCCTTTGATGCAGACCTTCTCTGATGGATGACCTCTGTGAAGCAAATGGCACTTTTGCCATCAGCTTATTTAAAATATTGGGGGAAGAGGACAACTCAAGAAACGTATTCTTCTCTCCCATGAGCATCTCCTCTGCCCTGGCCATGGTCTTCATGGGGGCAAAGGGAAGCACTGCAGCCCAGATGTCCCAGGTATGTGTGCTTGTCACAAAGGAAGGAGAACAGTGTGTTTCCCTTGTGCTTCCATACAGCTGTCTTTCTGTACTTTTGCTCTAGCTGAGGCCTGTGGAGCTGGAGGTAGAAGGAGGAGCAGCTCGGCAGTGGAGAAGAGCAGAAAGGGGTAGAAAGGTGAAATGTGTTGGACAGATCATCTCCTCTGATGTTTATGGGAGAAGTCAAGCCATAGAGTTATTTTCTCTAGATCAGATCATCAATACAGTCTGGCAAATTCACATCTTTGATAAGTAGGATAAAGTATAATTCTGTCCCACAAGAAAGCAAAATATTCCAATTTTGTTACATTTTAAACTTTTGCTAACATTATATTTTTAATAGACATGTGGGTGCGTAGATTAACTTTTTGTTAAGTGGGTTATTTTAGTGCATGATTATGCATCCTAGAAGAGGAATGTAACACAAGTGTGGACTTATATCTTCTGGAGTGATTTGAGGAATATATAATCTGTTTGATTCAAAATGGTGATGTATGACCTTATCTACAAACGAGGTGTGGGATAATGCTTTAGGAACAGTTCTCTGACTATTGGTGAAGATGTCCCAGATAATTGCCAAATGGATATCATTTTGCCACCAATATCAGGAGTGTATAGACAGTCTCCTAAAATGCACCCAGGGACCCCAGTTGACATCCTTCTGTGGTTGTTTCTTTCAACTGATTGGAGGAGTGAGGCTTTGGACTGGGGGTGATCGAGAGATATAGGAATAACCTTAATTCTCACTCTGACTTGACATTTAATTTATAATATGGTCTGGAGAACTTCTGTAAAATTGCAGATGAAACATTTTTAGTTTTATTGCTGCTTTTGTTTGTATTACCCGAGTTGTAATTCATCCCAGTTACTTACTTTTTTCTGTTCTGCCTTCCCCCTGAATTATCGCACACTGCCTTGCTGGCATGAATAAATTTGCTAGACTAGTGGTTCTCACCTGGTGGGTGGGAGGTAGGGGTCGGTGGGTGAATTTTTCCTTCCTGGGGACCCTTGCGAAGACCTGGAGTTTTAGATCCCATAACTGAGAGGTGCTACTGACATCTAGTGGATGGAAGCCAGAAGTGCTGCAAAAATCCTACAATGCTTATATGAGACAAGGAAGTGTCCTGGCCCCAAATGTCAATGCTGCATTGCCCACGTTGAGAAACCCTGTGCTAGACAATTAGGCCAAACCTTTTTAAAGTAGGATCCTGTGTGGTTTTTTTAGTACAGAGGTTTGTTTGGAGAAAGCTCTTTGGGAGAGTATAATGGCAGCGTTAAAAGTCAGTGTTGGTTTCTGTTCCCAGGCACTTTGTTTATACAAAGACGGAGATATTCACCGAGGTTTCCAGTCACTTCTCAGTGAAGTTAACAGAACTGGCACTCAGTACTTGCTTAGAACTGCCAACAGACTCTTTGGAGAAAAGACGTGTGATTTCCTTCCAGTAAGTAGTATTCACATATTGATGACAAAGAAATTGAAAGTAAGTTAGACTACAGAAGAGCAGATAATAAAGTATAACTGTACTGACTTAAAACGTGCTTGGAATTACACTTCTGAAATTACAATTTTAGATTTTATGATGACTTCTGAATTACGTCCTTTGTAAATTGTTACTGATACACCCATCCCTGTTATCAATCCCAATATGTCAATTCTCCTGCACGCAGCCCTGCTTCTCCCCCTTAATTCCCTGTCCCTGAGTGACCACATCATTCAACACGCTGTACAGAGCTCCTCCCCAGTCCCAAGTGTGGTTATTCGGCTGCCTCCTGCTGAGGTAGCCTCTCAAATTCTCTTAAATTTGCCCGCCCTCTTCTGAATTGCACCTACAACTGACACAATCGTCTTTCTAAAATGAAAATCTGTTCATAAAATTGAGGTTTTAAATCTAAGCAGTTTCTATTTACTTCAGCATATAATTCCAAGGTTCCCTAGTCCAGCCTGGCATAATGCAATCAGTGAGGTTCAAAAATCATGCCACCTGATATGCAGGGTGATGTTGTCTTAAAATTAGTGAACTGATTGCAGCAAGCTTGGCCATCCTATTGGCTGGAGGTTCTGAGAGGACTCCTCTAAGGCTCAAATACATCCCTGTCCTGGTAGCTGCTGGGTGCTGTTCCCGGAATTTGCCTGCTCTGGGTTTATCTACCTCAGAAGGTGACTCTGGATCCCAGGAATCTCCTGATGAATCCATTTCATTTTTGAACATCAGCCTGATCTACTACTGTTGTAATACTTGGGACACAGGGAGCCAACCTCTACTTTTCCTGGTGGCTTGGCTCCTCCTTCCCTCTATATCCTCTTTCTTTGGCTGAAATTAAAATATTTGAGAACAGGGAATGGACAGAGGCTGGGAGCCAGTTTCCAGGCCTATTATATCCAAAGCCAGGTTTTTGTGAGGTAAGTTATCTGGGTTTTAATGTGTTGGGTACAGGACTTTTCTGATTGGACCCCAACTTACATTTCAAGGCTCTTCCCCTGCCACTGTTTCCCTTAATCCCCTCCCTGATACACACAAACACACATACACATGTACACACACACACAAACATGCATGCAATCCACACACATGCAGGTGCCCAAGCACTCACATGTACACATGTGCACTCATGCACACAGATGTTCACACGCATGCACACGTATGAACCCAGTTGCACACACACCCTATGATCCAGGCCTATCACGCTCCATTCCCATGGGGCCTTCCTTGCTCTGTATTCTTCCAACCAACCATATGACCCAGATCTAAAATGCTATTTCCTTCTTTGCAGTTCAACACGATTTCTTAACAATCTAGTTCCCTTATAAAGCCTCTCGTTTAACCAAAACCACAATACTGTAGTTGGTGCTGGTGATGCAAAATGAGTAAAAGTGTGTTAGACTGCCTAGTGAGGGAAGCAATATTAAAGTCAGTGGAGAGCGTTTGACAAGGATGCTCCTGTGATGTTTTGTGGATAGTGGCAGCTCATGATGTCCTGTAAGTGTCTGGGTGTCTCAGCTGCCTCTTCTCAGGCTGTGGACCTCCTCAAGCCAAGCACCTTGCCCAGTACCAGGCAAGAATAGGTGGCCCATACATTTTTGTTAATTGCACGCATGCACCTTGAAGTGGAGTGTGACCTGTCCAAGCACTTATTGTAGAAATGCAGTAAGAGAAAACAAAATGCTTTTGCATTTGTGGGAACCTTTACCAAATGAGACTAAACTCAGTGTTTTGTGTTTGCAGGACTTTAAAGAATACTGTCAGAAGTTCTATCAGGCAGAGCTGGAGGAGTTGTCCTTTGCTGAAGACACTGAAGAGTGCAGGAAGCATATAAATGACTGGGTGGCAGAGAAGACTGAAGGTGAGACAGTTTCATTTCTGTTGATTTGGAATTACTATACAACGAGGCTTAGATTGACTGGGATGGGACTTCCCAGGGTGTTGCCACTGTGACCTGCATACCACAGGCCTGTTTGTATGTGTTTGCTGAGTTTACAGGCCAGCAATGCAACTCTGTCATTTCTTATCAGATCATGAAGTACTGATTTCTAAAACTAATGTTGAATCTCTGACCTCCTCCCCTGTGGACCGTGCTGGAAAATCCCTGGAAAATGGCTCCTCCTTGGAATTCTGTTAATCTTCTATCTGAGAGGCCCTTCCATGCTCGGAGACAGAATGGCATTCAATTAAGTTGCGGCTTAGAGAGGGCAACATTTCATGCTCTCATGTTATCTCCTCCGCGTGGTAATGGGACAGCTCAGTAGTTTGATCTGCAGCCTTCTCCTTCCTTTTTAACTTGGCCATGGCTACATTTGCTCTCAGAGTGTGGCCTTTTCTGAATTTGTTCCCTATTCTGGAGGTGCAGCGACATGGAGCCTGCAGTGTTCCCTGCCCAGACCACATTCCATCCCACCAGAAATATTTCTGCCAGTTCTTTACTTCAGTAGGAAAAAGGGGGAGTCATACTTTAAAGCATCCTAAATACCTAACAAGTAATTTCGATACTTGTAAACGGTGGAGGAATTAAGTCACTTATTTCAAGGGCCAACCTAGCACTCATTATTGCATCCATTCCATCCTATGTCGCAACCACTGTGTGTCCAGCAGAAGTAATGCCCCTGATTCTACTGAAAGCCAATACAATAATTACCATGGGAAGGGAAGAGCCTTTTGTGTTTTCATACATCATCTGCCTAGTGGTCTTTCCAGTTGTTCAACAGTACTGTCACCTGAGGAACCTAGAAGTTTCTCCACACCTTCCCCCCACTGCCCTATACCTGTCACTGCTCTTCCAGGGCTGCTTATGCCCTTCCTTCCCTTAGGCTGACCACCCACATTTCCCCCAGAATATTAGAGCTGAAGGGGACCTTGGAGATGACCTTGTTACCCTCTCATTGGACAACTCAATTTGGGCCCCTCTATTCTACCCCCCTAATTCCTTTGCCCCATTCACCCCCTTCAGAGAGGCTGCCTTCTCCCATTGACAGATCTGTGTTCTCTCATCCTTTGGAAAGCTTTCCTTGTCTGATGAGGTTTGAATATATGCATAGAGCAATGATCCTCAACCAGGGGTAGCTTTGCCCTCCAGGTGCCATTGGATAATGGCTGAAGACAATCTTGGTTGTCAAAATGGGAAGAAATGCTGCTGGCTAAACATCCTACAATGCACAAGACAGCCCCCATAACAAAGAATTATCTGGCTTAAAATGACAATAGCGGTGAGGCTTGGATATGATAGTGCCAAGGTTGACTGCCCCATAGTCAGAATCAAGACTCTGGGGTGATGTTCTCAACTCAGCCACTTGTCACCTGTGTGCACTCAGCAAAAGTCTGGCAAATGCTCTGGTCCTGAATTTCTACATCCATAAATTGAGGGCAAAATGATAGTTGCCCTTCCTACTTCAAGATTTTTTTCTTAAGCACAAATGTTACACTGTGTATGCCACACTGCTAAACACCATCGCCTAATTCATCAGGGGCCCAGAAAGACAGAACTCCAGCCTGTCTCTCAACCAAGCCTCTGCCTTATGTGTCAAAGGGATTTTTGTAAAAGAATGCTTATTTCCCCACAAATTGCAATAAACTCTCATATTCTTTATAGGTAAGATTTCAGAGGTACTGGATGCTGGGACAGTCGATCCCCTGACAAAGCTGGTCCTTGTGAATGCCATTTATTTCAAGGGAAAGTGGAATGAGCAATTTGACAGAAAGTACACAAGGGGAATGCTCTTTAAAACCAACGAGGTAGGGAAAGATTTTTCAGATATACTGCTACTTTCTTAAAGTAATATTACAGGAAATATTCTCTTGGAAAAATGAATAATTTATTTGACATGATCTTGATTTTAATCTATTTCTGAATTATATTATATTATTTTATTTTCTTTGAGACAGGGTCTCTTTTTGTCACCCAGGCTGGAGTGCAGTGGTGTAATCTCAGCTCACTGCAGCCTCGACCTCCCAGGCTCAAATGATTCCCCAACCTTAGCTTCCCAAGTAGCTGTGACTACAGGTGCACACCACCAGGCCTGGCTAATTTTTGTATTTTTTGTAGAGATAAGGTTTTGTCATATTGCCCAGGTTGGTCTCAAACTCCTGGCCTCAAGTGATACACCTGCCTTATCCTCCCAAAGTTCTGGAATTACAGGCAGGAGCCACTGTGCCTGGCTTCTTTTCTGAATGAATTTAATGCCTCCTGTGTATCTTTAATGGCGGAAGGAAGAGAGAAACAAAAATAATTTTGGTATTGATAGTTTTGTTTTTCCATCTTTGATCAAATCTACCTTCCATCTCTGGTCATATGATTTGGATTGGAGGAGAATTTCTTCTAAGCCTTGGAATTATGTTTGCATGATGCTATTACTCTCTGTATTTAGTTAGAT
Source organism: Homo sapiens (assembly GCF_000001405.40). Lineage (NCBI taxonomy): Eukaryota > Metazoa > Chordata > Mammalia > Primates > Hominidae > Homo > Homo sapiens. The sequence goes on from NC_000018.10 coordinate 63,984,360, forward strand.
ACCTTTTTGCAATATCAGTGGCAACTATGCCTATTTATTGCCTTAAAAGTCAAAGTTATACAATCCTGAGCACAAGAAAAAAAAGTTAGCAGATGTAAAGCCTAACTTTACCTTCCCTTTTGAATATTAAAATGGCTGGTATCAATAGTTGTTAGCTTGGGATTTGACATCCATCAAATATGATACTCTCATATTGCACAAAGATATGAAAGTTAAAAATATATTTGATGCAGGCTTTAAAAACAGCAGACCTTACACATCTCTTCAAGGTCCCCTTCCTAAGAAAGCCAAGGCCATAAAACCAATTCTACAACAAGGCAACTTTCCAGAGTTTGGACCGTACATCTTTTCTAACCAGATCCTTCAGCCCAAGGGCCTGAATATTTATCTTAACTTCGATAAAGAATTTTTAGTTGGAAGCTTCCATGAGAAAGCTTCTCTGTGAATGTTCTCAAAAAAGCAAACACAGCTTCTTCCAAGGATAATGTCAATTTTTGTGTCCTTCTCCATTTACCAAACTGTTTTTTTTTTCTCACCTGGTAATATTTGATCTGCTGGAACAATAGCTTGTTCTATTCAATACTAAGATGTACTAATGAAGATTTTATATCTATCAGCATAAATGTGCAGAAACAGTAATTATACACACCTAGAGTTTCTGTGAGTTAGATATATCCTATTTTTAGTAAATTATACCCACTTTTCAGTAATCGAACTTTAATTTTTCCGTTAGGAAAAAAAGACAGTGCAGATGATGTTTAAGGAAGCTAAGTTTAAAATGGGGTATGCGGATGAGGTACACACCCAGGTCCTGGAGCTGCCCTATGTGGAAGAGGAGCTGAGCATGGTCATTCTGCTTCCCGATGACAACACGGACCTCGCCGTGGTAAGCTCCAGGCAATGAGCCTGAGTATCTGTGGAGTCCAGCTGAGCTCATTTCTTTATGTTCATCTACCAATTGGCATTTGAGGAGTTTCCAGTTGGGGTTATTACAGGCAGTGCTGGGTGAACATCATTGTGTGTCTTTTGATGAACATGTTCATGCATTTCTGTTGAGTGTATACATATATGAGTGGACAAGTTTTGATGAAGCTAAGAAGAGAGAGTTCTAAATATATTATTATTTGGAATATTATTCTTTATTCTGCATGGAAGGTCTATTTGAAAGCCCAATGATTATTGCACAAAAGTCCTGGAAGAAGGGTAGGGATCAATCTTGGCAGTGATTCTCAAACACTAATGCACATATATGATTCTAGTGATCTTGTTAAAGTGCAGATTTTGATTCAATGGAGTGTGGCCTGAGATGTTGCATTTGTAACAAGATTCCAAGTGATACAGATGCTTGGAACCACACTATGAATAGCAAAAGTCTAAAGTACAGGTGGGAAATTTACCTTATACAAGAGGAGAGAAAAGTCTTACTGTGACAGAAAAGGAACAGAGTCCAGGAAGGGAAGTGGTAAACTTGCAAGGTAGGAGGTGCAAGACTAATAGTGCACTTGTAAACCAGCTCTGGGAGGTGGGAGAAGCCTTCATTTATAAAGTTTGCTGATTCTCATGACATGGTAAATACTCCCACCATGGCCGACTTTAGTCTACTGAGGGTTTAACAATTGATAGGGGTCAGCTCTGGCACACCAATGCACAGGATGTTGAGGGTGGGCTGCTTGATTTTCCTGGCTTCCCTTTGGAATCAGAAAGCTACTGCCCTAAGTCAGGGATGACATCTGTTGTGGCCACTTATGAGAAAATTAGGAGAGTCTAGAAATAGAGTCAAAATCAAAACAATGCTCGTTGGAGAGGAGTACCCACCTGGGCTCCAGTTGTTAAAGGGAAGGGGAGATGCTAGTGGAAGGCCTTTCTCCCTTTTTTCTTTCTACCTTATTGATAAATAGAAAGAGTGATGGATCTTGAAGAATTTGAAGCTAACTCCAGGACAGGCAGAGGACAAACAAGGATGCTGATGAAGTCTTCTTGCATTCCCCATTTCTCGTCTCATGCTCCCTTCTCATGCCTCCCTTCATCTTCAGATGAAACACAATTCCCTCTCTTTTACTCTGAGTTGCCCTCTGATTTAACCCTGAATAGTCCCCTCATTAGACTCAGAAGCAGAGTTCTGAGCCATGCTCTTTGTCTTTTGTCAAACAATCTCTCCCACTCACAGTAGTATGTATTGCATGAAGATTAATGTAATGAATTGGTTAGAATTTTCTAAACTGTTAAAAAATGTTTTTAACATTTGAAAGGAGTTAGGTACAAATTGTTTTTATTAAAAATTTCTGCCTGTCTCAGGTGTTTACTAGCTCTTTTACACTTGTCTCCATAAAACTGTGAAAAGATGAAAATTTGGGAGAAAATCTTGGTGTGTTTATAAAAGAAAATATCTGTAGATTTTCTTGGACCAGAACTCACCATCTAATTGCATGTCATTGGGGGAGGGGTAATAAATGGGTGTGTGGGTATCAGGCTATTGTCATCTAAATTTTAAGGTTTGAGTCTTTCTTATCCTAGGTGGAAAAAGCACTTACATATGAGAAATTCAAAGCCTGGACAAATTCAGAAAAGTTGACAAAAAGTAAGGTTCAAGTTTTCCTTCCCAGATTAAAGCTGGAGGAGAGTTATGACTTGGAGCCTTTCCTTCGAAGATTAGGAATGATCGATGCTTTTGACGAAGCCAAGGCAGACTTTTCTGGAATGTCAACTGAGAAGAATGTGCCTCTGTCCAAGGTTGCCCACAAGTGCTTCGTGGAGGTCAATGAGGAAGGCACAGAGGCTGCCGCAGCCACTGCTGTGGTCAGGAATTCCCGGTGCAGCAGAATGGAGCCAAGATTCTGTGCAGACCACCCTTTTCTTTTCTTCATCAGGCACCACAAAACCAACTGCATCTTGTTCTGTGGCAGGTTCTCTTCTCCGTAAAGAGGAGCAATTGCTGTACATACCCTCCTTTCCTTCTACCTATCTTGCCTTAATTAACATTCCCTGTGACCTAGTTGGTGCAGTGGCTTGAATGCCAAAATAAAGCGTGTGCACTGGATAGTGTGTGAAAGTCTTTGCTGAAAGTTCCAGAGCCATTGAGAATAACTGAGGCCGCAGATGCATGAAATTTGGGCCTGGGAAGGCTATGCTGGTTTTGGAGTGTTTGGGGTGCCTGCCATTGCCTCTGCCTTCACCTAAGTCTGTGCCCATTGTTTCAGGGGATCTTATGGAGCATCTCAGGGCTTCAGGAGCCAGCCCTCTTCCATCCGCCCGGCTCTGCCCACCACCACTGCCAGGCTGAACAGGGGACTAGTGCCCAGGTGACACTGCACACAAAGCCAAGGGCAAACCCTATAGAGTAAAGCTGCAGCCACCCTGTGTCTCATGTGCAGCTGAAATAGTGATCTGCTTCTGTCACTGTCACATAGACAGCCCTGCATGCCCCCTGTCTCACACAGTTTGTAATGAAGACAGCTCCTTCTCATCTTTCCATAAGCCTGAGATACAAGTTCAGGGACTCAGCAATGCACTTTAGGACTGAGCTAGGAGGCAAATATCTGAAGCTTGCTATGCTGTTCTTTCCATTCCTTTTCCCTCTGAAACACACAAAATACCAAAGGAACTTACGCAACACACCACTGAGTCCTCTAACTAATCATATGTGCTCAGACACAGCTCAAGCACACCCCTTAGTTAAGAAAGAACCTCCATATACATTAATTTTTTTCTGCCTAAAAATAAAATTGCGTTGTGGCAGCAATTTGGAAACTACAGCAAAGTCTCCAAAAAAATTGAAGTCACCCACAATTCCAACACACAGCAATCACTGCTGTTAATAGTGATATACATCCTTCCCTATTATGTGTATGCAAATAGAAATTTATAAGCATTTTACTACAAGTTAATCATATCCTTCAGTAGCTTATTTCTTCCCTTATGAAAAACCTCCCTTAAGATCTTTCCAGGTCATCAATTTGATGTGCATAGTATTCCACTGTGTGGCTGGATTTCTATAATTGAATCTAATTTTAGACAGTTTGAGTAATTAAAATTATTTCTATTAACAAATAATAGATTGCTAATAATATATATTATGCTGTTTTGGATATACTAAATATTTGCTCACATCCTTAATATATTTTTTAAAATTCCTAACAATAGTACTGTTGAGATAAAAGTTGAGCACATTTTGAGACTTCTTCCAAATTGGTCCCTAGAAAGTTACACTGGTTTGTACTCTCACTTATGTCACTGTTTATACCACCACTGACTGCTGCCTGCTTTATTATTTCTTTAATGAGTTGGACTGAACAGTGGTTAATCCTGACTCTGTTTTTGACTGACAGTTAACAGTTACATGAACCATTCATATTACAGCTCTTACTTAAATTTGACCAAGCCAGGATATATCTGTTAGGCCACATTCATTTAGGGATCATGTTTTCCAAAGCAGGTTTGGGCAAAATTAATCCACAGGACTGAAAGGTATACATCTGTGAGTTTTGTTCTCACTTCCACCTCTAATTTGAAGAACACTTTAATTGACACAGAATACATTTCACATATTTAACCTCTACAATAAGTTCTGACACATTTTCCATGAAACAAACCATCGCTATATTCAAGATAATGAACCTATCTATCATACTCCCAAATTCCTTCTTGCATCTTTGTAATTTCTCACTCTTCCTTCTCCCTCTCCCCGTCCCATCCCAACCACTGATCTGCTCAGGCAACTACCAATCTTCTTTCTGTCACTATAGATTAATTTGCATTTTTAAAGAAATTTACATACATGGAACCATACATCATCTATGCTTTGTAGTATGACTCCTGTCACTCAGTACAATTATTTTGAGATTCATTTATGTTATTGTATGTATCAATAGTTCATCCCTTTTATTGGTAAGTAACATTTTTTTGTATAGGTATACCATGATTTGTTGATGAACAAATTTACCTGTTGATGAACATTTACGTTGTTACCAAGATTTTTGCTATTGAAAATAAAGTTTTTATGAATATTTATATATATACATCTTTGTATGGACATATGTCTTCATTTCTTTTGTATATAGATACATAGAAGTAGAATGGCTGGGTCATATGGAAGGTGTAAGTTTAACTTTTTAAGGATCTGCCAAATTGCCTTTGAAAGTGGTTGTATCATTTAACATTCCCAGTAAAGCCTAGGAGAGTTCTGGTTTTTCTCTCTTCTCACCAATACTTGGTACTACCAGTGTTGTTACTTTCAGCGTGTACCGGCTTTTGGTTGCATTTCCCTAATGCCTAATTATGTTCAGCATTTAAAAAAATGTGCTTAGGCCGGGCGCGGTGGCTCACGCCTGTAATCCCAGCACTTTGGGAGGCCGAGGCGGGCGGATCACGAGGTAAGGAGATCGAGACCATCCCGGCTAAAACGGTGAAACCCCGTCTCTACTAAAAATACAAAAAATTAGCTGGGCGTAGTGGTGGGCGCCTGTAGTCCCAGCTACTCGGGAGGCTGAGGCAGGAGAATGGCGTGAACCCGGGAGGCGGAGCTTGCAGTGAGCCGAGATCCCGCCACTGCACTCCAGCCTGGGCGACAGAGCGAGACTCTGTCTCAAAAAAAAAAAAAAAAAAAAAAAAAAACCAAAATGTGCTTATTTGCTATCCATATATGTTCTTTGATGAAATGTCTTTTTAAATGTCTCATCGATATTTTATTGCTTCTTGCTTTATTTTGTTTTCGTGTTTTTTTTTTTTTTTTTCTTTTTGAGACAGAGTATTTCTCTGTTGCCAGGCTGCAGGGCAGGGGCACGATCTCGGCTCACTGCAACCTCCGCCTCCTGGGTTCAAGCAATTCTCGTGCCTCAGACCCCTGAGTAGCTGGGACTACAGGCGTGTGCCACCACAGCCGGCTAATTTTTGTATTTTTAGTAGATACAGGGTTTCCCCATGTTGGCCAGGCTGGTTTTGAACTCCTGACCTCAGGTCATCTGCCCTCCTTGGCCTCCCAAAATTCTGGGATTACAGGTATGAGCCACCGCACCTGGCCTTTTGTTTTCTTATTGTATTTTGAGAAATCTCGTGATATGGCTACCAAATCTTTTATCATATATGTGATCTGAAAACATTTTTCTCCCAGCTCATGGCTTCAATTTTCATTTCTTTTTTTTTTCAATCTTTATTTTGCACACTTTATTTTTTTACTATACTTTAAGTTTTAGGGTACATGTGCACAATGTGCAGGTTTGTTACATATGTATACATGTGCCATGTTGGTGTGCTGCACCCATTAACTCGTCATTTAACTTTAGGTGTATCTCCTAATGCTATCCCTCATCCCTCCCCCCCACCCCACAACAGGCCCCGGGTGTGATGTTCCCCTTCCTGTGTCCATGTGTTCTCATTGTTCAATTCCCACCATTTCTATAACAGTGCCTTTAAAAAGCAGTTCTTAATTTTGATGAAGTCCATTTTATCATTTTGTTTCTTTGTTTATGCTTAATGCTTTTGTTGTCATATTGAAGGAATGCTTTGCCTAATCCAAAGTCACAAGGATCTCCTATGTTTCTTCCAGAAGTGTTACCGGATTTAATTTTCCTTTTTGGCCTATGATCAATTTTGAGTTCATGTTTTGCATATGATGAAAATGCTATCCATTTTCCACTGAATTGCCTTTGCATCTTTGTCAAAAATCAGTTGATCATGGATATGTGGTTCTATTTCTGGATTCTATTGGATTCCATTGATCTGCTTGTCTATCTTGATGTCAATTCCACATTGTCTGAATTACTGTAGCTTAATAATAAGTTTTGAAAACACTTAAGTGACATAAGTTTTCCAACTTTATTTTTCAAAGTTGTTTTATCTGCTTTCAGTCCTCTATCTTTCCCTGTGAATTTTATAATTTGCTTGTTGACTTGTACAAAGCCTGCTGCAATTTTGATTAGGACTGTGTGAATTCTAAATATCAATTTGGAGAGAATAGACATACTAGCAATATTGAGTCTTCCAACCCGTGAACAAGGCATGTTTCTCATTCTTTTAGGTTTTTATTGATTAATCTCAGCATAGTTTTGTAGTTTTCAGTATACAAGTCTGGCACAAATTTTGTCAGATTTATCCTTAAGTATATTCTATTTTGTGCTATTATAAGTGGTGTTGCTTTTTAATTTCAATTTCTGATTAATTGTTGCTAGTATATGGAAATATAATACAGGTTTTTTTTTGTATCTCAGCCTTATATCTTGCAAACTTGCTAAAATCACTTAGTTCTAGTAGCTGTGTTTCTAGTTCCATGTCTGCTAATAAAGACAAAATTTCCTCTTTCTTTCACATTTAGATAGCTTTTTTTTTTTCTTTGCCTTATTGCACTGACTTGATTAGAAGTAGTGAAAACAGACATCCTTGTCTGGTTCCTGATCTTAGGGGAAAGCACGAAGGCTCCCATCATTAAACGTGATATTAGCTGTAGGCTTTTCATAGGTGCCCTTTAACAGGTGAAGAAGGTCTCTTTTATTCGTAGTTTGTTGTGTTTATATCAGGAATAGATGTTGGATTCTGTCAAATGCTTTTTTGTTTCTTTTAGATGATCATATGGTTTTGTTAATATTGGGATTAATTTTTGAATGTTGAAACAATCTTGCGTTACTGGGAGAAACTCCACTTGGTCATGATGTATTTCCTATTTTGTCTAGTATTGGATGCAATTTGTTAAAATATTTTTAGAATTGCTCATCTCCATTCATGAGAGACATTAGTCTGTACTATTCCTATTTTGTAATATCTTTGTCTCACTTTGGTTTTAGGTAATTCTGGTCTCAAAGAATGAGTTGAGAAACATACCTACCTTTGCAATTTTCTGGAACAGATGTTGTATAATTGGTATTATTTCTTCCTTTAATGTTTGGTGAAACCATCCGAGACTGGAGTGGCTTTATATTGCAACTCTATTTTCATTAATAGATAGTGAACTATTCAAATTACATATTTCTTCTTGAGTTAGCTTTGGTAGCTTGTGTCTTTCAAGGAATTTGTTCATTTTCTAGTCATCAAATTTACTGTTGTAAAGTTGTTTATAATAGTCTCTTATTTTTCTTTTAATAGCTGTAAAATCTGTAGTAATACCATCGCTCTCATTTCTGAGATTAGTAGCTTGTGCCTTTTTCTCTTTTCTGATCAGTATGACTAGGTGTTGATAAATTTTATTGCTGTTTCTCAGAACCAGCTTTTGGTTTCATTGATTTTCACTATTGTTTTTCTGTCCACAACATTGATTTCTGCTCTGATCTTTATTATTTCCTTTTTCTGATTACTTCACATTTAATTTTTTCACTTTTTGATGTAACCGACCACGATCCCTGATGCACTGAACAAAGTAGGATGAACGCGGGAATAAAAGACAAAGACAAAAGAGTATATTTGGAAGAAGGGGTCGGGGGCACCTTGCCTCTAGTAGGCAAGGGCCCTAAACTTTTTCAGTCCTCCGTATTTATTAGGTAAAAGAGATAGCAAAAAAAGTGGGGGTGATTGTCGGGTAATTGTCAGTCGGCCGTTTGGTTCACAGCAGGCTTGTGACACTGCATCCTTTGAACAATAGGCGCTAGATTTTCCAGTAGATAACTTCAAGGAGCCTGGTGCCAGGGAGTGATGACCCTCAGCAAACCTCTTGGCGGCAGGTGCAGTGTGAGTTTACCCACATCCTGCATTCATGATAAACAGTTTGCTGTTTGATCATATAGCCTCCAGTGGAATGCTGAGTTGGTCATGATCCCTTTGCTGGCTCTCTACATTTTGGGTATTTTTTTAGTTTTTTTAAGGTGAAACAGGTAATTGACTTGAAACTTTTCTTGGTTTTTAATATAGGTGTTTACCACCATAAAAAATTTCCCTAAGTATTGATTTAGTGGCATCAATAAATTTTGATATCCTTTGCATTTTTATTCAGTTCAAAATACATTCTGATTTTCCTTTTGATTTCTTTTTTGACTCATGAATTATTTGAAAGTGTAATTTTTAGTTTCCAGTTTTGATGATTTCCAAAGATTTTATGTTATTGACTTCTAATTGAATCTCACCATAGTCAGATAACATGTTTTTAATGACTTGTATTCTTTTAAGATATTGAGATTTATTTTATGCCCCTAAATATGGTCTATCTCAGGAAATGCTCCATGATCACTTGAAAAGAATGTATATTCTGCTGTTTTGGGGTGTAGTGCTCTGTAAATGTGAATTCCATGAAGTTGGTGATAGTGTTGTTCAGGTCTTCTATATAATTACCAATGTTGTGTCTGCCTGTTCTAGCAATTGTTGAGAGATGAGTGTTGACATGTCCAACTATAATTGTTGACAGGTCCAGCTCTAGGTCAAAATCCCATATGTGATCCCATAGGCCTGACCATAGGCAACTACAAGGCAGGCTGCATGGGGGAGGTGGGGGGAAGCTGCCCTGCTCACAGATTTGGTGCACAGCCAGGGCATTGAAGTGTCCAGTGGGAGCTGCAGTCAAGGACTCAGGCCCTTGAGCCAGGCCATGCCTTTATGCATCTCTACATTCCGAGCTCAGACAGCTTCACTCAGAGCCCTCCTTATGAGGGGAGCAGAGGCCTTCGCTGAGACACTGTTCAGGAGCCTCTGAAGAGACTTTCTTATCAGGAGCCTTGAAGACACTCTCTTGCACTCAAGCTCAGCACTCAGTACTTTTCCACTTCTAGTCCATCCTTCCCCCATCCCATCCCTCCTGTCCCTCCCCTTGGCTCCTGGGTCCACAAAATGGCAGGAACCTTGCGTTTGGGACTTCTAGGCAATGAGACAATTCTCCCACCTCTGCTGCTTGTCATCTGACCCTTCCTGGTGCTGTTCCATGGGGAAAATAATGGCACCATGTCCTGGGTAGCCTCTTCTTATCACAGTAAGCAAATAAAAGCTTGACTGTTACTTTCAGTGGGGCTAGTTGTCCTAATTCAACACCTTAACACCTGAAAGTACTCACATACATGCCCCCTCTCTCTTTCTCTCTCTCTCTCTCTCTCAATTTGACAAAGGAGCTGAGTGGTCAATTAAGCACAATGCCTTTTTGGAAAAACAAAAAGCCTAAAAGTCCTTCAGGGCACAGTAGAGGTGCTGGTGGTTCATCTGCAAGAGTCTGAGGGTACCGCAGAACACTTGCCAGCCATGCCACGGGGTGTCTGGGAGGTGCCAGTGGACCCCGCAGGGCACCCTTAGAGTGTGCTAATGTGTTGTTTACAGAAGCTTTTCGGTTCCGAGGGGGATCATTGGTCCTCAGCTGGGTACTACTTGGGCTCCGACAGATCTGGCAGGTTTGGTACACTGTAACAAGACCCATGCCATTGAAAAACACTTCTGGATGCCCTTCGCAGAGGCTATAGTAGCCCCGCAAGTCACCCTGGGGGTCCTCTGGGTCTACAATGAGGGGCTGGGGGAAGCAGAGGATAAGACTGTTCACCAGACTCAGATTTCAAGAATTTTTATGCCACTACTGCTGGTTATCAAGCCCAGGTAAACCTCATAAGGCCAGCTCAGTCCGTCCCAGACACAATCCAGCTATTTTAACAAATGCCTAAGGCATGGAAAGAGTGGCTGCTTCCAAGAAAACAGATTGCAGAAGCAGGGAGGCAAAGATGACTATCCGGCGCCCTCTACTGGACGATCTAGGCAATGACATTCCCAAATTGCTCTCTGAGCCTGATGATTCAATAAAGGGGCTCTCAAAGGAGGAGACTGAAGAGTTCCTCACCAAGATACCAGACCATGGGGGGCCCAGCAGGCAGCTCACGAGGGTTTGCATGGTGATAGCCCCTATGACTGATTCAAGCATTATGCTTGTTGTCATCCCTCCCAGTGACTCTGGAGATGACTTGAAGAGCCTCACGATCCTCTCCCCAGACAGCTAGACTTTTACAAATTAACAAGACTAGGGGTTAGGCTGAGGTCCCTCTGTCCCCAGGGATGACTAGAAGCCCTAGCCAATGTCAGAGTTCAGTGAGGAGGTGGGAGGAAATGTCCTTCTTGGCCATGCTGAACATCTGTGCACTGCTACCTCTGATCCCCACAATCCCTGGCACCAGGATGAGGGGGAAACAGATAATGTTCTCTGGTTTAGGGTCTGAGACCACCACCACCTGCTCTGTCTCTGGGAAGGGACCTTTGGGCCCCTAGAGGCCTTTACGTTATGGCTCCCATGACTGCATGTGTTCTTGGTATAGATGTATTGTCTATATGTGCCCCTACTGGCCTTCACCCTCAATCCCTGATGGAAATTGCTGCACTTAGGGTCATCTTAGTGGGACATGGGAAAGGCTGTGAGTGTACCCAATTACTGTCGCCTAGGCCATTGTATCCCCACCTGCTTTAGAGAGGAAAAAAATAACTGCTGTCATTATGTCACTAAAACATCAGGAATTCCATCTAGGTCCTTCTGTTCACTGCACAGAAAGCCAATCAGTGAGACAATGAGTATTGCAAAGACGAATGAAAACTTTAATTGGGTGCTACAGCTGAGGAGATGGGAGATAAGTCTCAAATCCATCTCCCTGACCAGCTAAAATTAGGAATTTATATAGCAGGGAAGAAATGTAACCATGTGTGGGGAAACAGGAATTAGGGAGAAGTAAGGAAGAGGAATTGGTCAACAGGAAGCAGGTGGTTGCGTAGGCCATCATGATGGGTGAGGGGTCGGGTTTCTCATTGTCCAGATGTGTAGACCTGGTGGGTTTTAGCTGCTTGATAATATCTGCAAGCACTGATGGTTGGCTTCCTGAGAAAGGAACTCAGATAACTGTAATTTTCTTGAGTTTTAAGACTATGAGGGTTAATTTATATGCTTTTTCAAAATAAACCATAAATATTAGTTTTATGGGACAATTGGGCTGGTTTCAATTGCTAAGCTTGAGGCAAAGTTCCTGAGAAACTGTTCCTCCATACAGTAGCTCTGTCTGGCCTGCGCACATGGCCTCAGGTACCTGGTGATCCTCTGTCTATTACAGGTGGCTCAAGCCTGTGGTGCCATTCTTTGCATTGGCAGTATCTGACATTTTGATTCTTACAGAGGCTACTGGAGGGAACTTGGTATGGGACAGTTGATATCATCAATGCCTTTTTCAGCATCCTCCCACACGGAGAAGTCCAGGATCAACTTGCCTTTATGTGGAATGGGTTGCAATCCACCTTTAATGTCCTTTCACAAAGTGACCTAAATTCCCCACATAGCTGCCATCAATGAATAGGTTATGCTCTGGGGAGAGTTGCTTGCCTGGAGGAAGCACTAGCCTTGCACTCTATTGATGACATCCTCCTTGTGAACCCAAACAAAGACATTGCCAAATAAGGACTAGGTGCTTGAGGACTGATGACTTTCACGCAGCAACCCAACTACACCATTAACAGACAGAGACCCCAAGTGAATTTCCTGGTTGTAATCTGGGCAAGTGGCACAACATCTCGTTTAGAGGAGATGACTGCCAAGCTTTTGGCTGTCTCTGCCCCAGCAAATAAAAAGGATGCCCAGTGATTTGTGGGCTTATTCATCTACTGTTACTGTCACATTTCCCTTGTGGGGATTTTGATGGGACCCAACTAAGAGGTTACTAGAAAAGGCTGCTATGTTTCAATGGGGCCCATTCAACAGGCTACCACAGCCATCCAAGTACCCTCCCTTCCCCTGGACCCCATGGATCCACATTTGCCATTCGACTTACAGGTCTCAACAACATTTCAGTTCCTTTACTATCGCTCATAGTAGAAAAATAACATCAGACACTTGTTGGGTTTTTCAACTTATAAGATCCTGGAGTCAGCTGAAAGGGAGTCAGCCAAAAGGCACATACACTTTGAGAAACAATTATTGTCCTGTTATTGGGCCTAGGTAGATATGCATGAGTACGTGACTCACGGCTGTGACATAGTTTTATGATCCCAAATTCCAATCATGTTATGAGTGAGCAGAGGCCTCAAATATCCAGGTGGGTGTGGCTTAAGAGTATTCTCTAGTGAATGAAAATGTTCTACACAGAAGCAGGTAAAACCCAGCCCAGCTGGGGCCTTCAACTCAATGGCAAGGACTCAGGAGTGTTGTCCCCCTCCCAGGCATGTCGTCCAATGAGCCACTGCCTTCACTTGGCCAATGGGAACTCAGATACAAGGACCTTCTGGGCCACACATAAGCCTGGTTCACTGACGGTGTCTCTTGATTAACATTTACTATGCTGGAATGAGGTGCAGCTGTCATACAACCTGAGATAGATCTATCCCTTGGCAAGTTCAGCATAAATGTGCAAAGCTTTATAAAGTATGGTTGGCTACCCAGGCTCCCTCAACAAAGGAGCCCTGCTATATTTTCACTGACTCATGGGCTGTAGTTAATGGTCTGAACATTTGATTGAGCTACTGGCAAAATTGTGCTGACATGTAAAACACATCCCTCTCTTGGGATGAGACATTCGGATAAAATTCAATTCTACTCCTAATAAGCTCTTTGTTATCCTTGTGGGTGCTCACCAGAGAGCTCCCTATGCTGACAAAGGCAATGAGCCAATCAAGGCAATGAGCAGACCGTGCATGTCAGCTAAACATGGAGAATGATTTGTCATCTGCCCCAGAGATAACAGATATTCAACTCATTGCCTCTGATCCATGAGAGGAAGGGCCCTGGGAATCAAGATGCCATCCTAGCCTGGATCTGTATGCATGAACTATTATCTTCAAAAGATGCCAACACAGCATGAAAAAGATAATCCACCCGCCAGACCCTGAGCAAGGCTAAACATTCTGCTCAGGGACAGATCCTTCTGGTCAAAAAGGCCAGGATGTTCTTTGCAGGTTGATCACACTAGTCCCCTCATCCCATCCAGAGCATTCTGCTGGATCCTAAATGTAGTTGATGAGTTCTCTGTATTTGGACTAGTCATCCCCATGTGTTTCCCTGACTCAGGCAACACTCTTCAGTCCCTCCAAAACCATATTTGTTTATTTCTCTGGCTTCCTGAATACATTGTATCTAATAATGGCCCAAACGATACATTTGCAGCCCAAACTATACATGGGTCAAATTATGAGGCATGATGGATTCTCCATGCTCTGTATCATCTACAAGCCACAGCAATGATCGCATATTTTAACAGGAAAAGAACAGGTTGAAGTGGCTGATGGAAATGGACAATATAATCCCAGCCTGGCTACATGTCTCAGGTGTGCAATTTGGGGTCTCACTGCGGCAATTCTCTAAGTGCACTTCTCATTTGTGCTGTGTGATTGATTGGGCTATCTGTCTCTTTCCCTCAGTTGCACACCCCTCTTTTAAAATTATTGGCAAATCAGTTTCCATGGTGGATCATGCAAGTTCCCTCCATCCTTTTTGAGCCCTTCCTGAAGACCAAAATCAGTGGGAGATCAGGAAGGCTACTAAACAGCACAGATTGGGAGGCATGAACTTGCTTCTCCATTTACTCCCTGGTTGCAGTGCCTGAATTTTGCCTACAAGGACTTCAAAGATAATAACCATCAATTCAATGTCTCAACATTTTCCCTAAGGTGGCCCTGCTGCTTTACTCCGTGTAGCCCCATGGGATACATATCAAATATCAAATAGAAACTTTGATGGAACCCCAGGAGAAGCCAAGCCAGAATATTTAGGTTCACCATTCTAAGAATGAATTAAGAGCACTATTCTTGCTCATGGCACGGGACAGACTGCCCATGTCACAGTCAATGAGGAGTCTCCTGAACTAATAAGACATGAGAACCTTTGGTCCTGTGAACTCAGATACGGGGCAAGAAGTGGGATCTAACCTCTCTCCTCTCTCTCATGGGTAGTCTGTGTGACTCTGGCCTTACAAAATTCATTCGTAGGCCTGACTCAGGCAGCTGCCATCATGCTGAACTTGACTAGTAGTTGGATATGCCACTCACTCCTTGACCCCATATGTAAATCTTTGGCTGCCATGCCACTGAATAGCATGAGTGGACATTTCTTCAACTATGGAGCTTTCTGGCATCTCAGGTGCCCTAACACACCCGGACCCAATGTGTTACCTGATATGTGGACCCTGGTACTGTAGGAACGAAATGACTTCCTAGTTGTCAACTCAATGCTGTTCCACATGGGAGCAACTGGGAAGAGGAGCCTGGGTCTGTTACTGGGCTATTTTGGCCTTGATGGTGGTGACCTTCTCCTCTCCTCCACTTGTCCCCTCCTTGTACAGACTCTTCAGTTCCACTCAGGGACTCTGCCTACTGCCTACCAAGAAGGACTTCTAGGGGGTTGAACCTTATGGTAGTCAATGACTCTTACACTCCCAACCCGATGTATACCTTTAGAGTATTCTTTCTTTTCTAAACACCAGGCCTTTACCTTCCTTTTTGATAGCCTTGTAATCTGCACGAATGGGGCATTAATAAGAGTTTTTCAAATATTCCAAGCAACCTCTCCCAAGGAGCATGTTGCACCAGGCTGAGTAAGGCATGAGCTCCAGAACCAAGCCTACCCTGGTTACTTGGAGGGCTTACCGGGTGAGAAGCACTGCTGACCCTCTTTGCTCATGTGTATGCTCTGGGTGGTTTTTCCCACTGCTCAGGTCCCTCAGTGAGAAAAGGTTGTGCACCTGTCTCTTACCATCACTGAGGTCATTAACAACACTACCTTAGTTTTGGAGACACAACAGATCAGCCTCAGCTCTTTGGTTTGAGTATTTGAGCAGCTGCATAGCCCTGGACTTCCAGCTGGCCAGCCAAGGAGAGTCTGTGCCACTGTCAACACCTCGTGGTGCACCTGGATCAATGAATCTGACAAAGTGGAAGAGTCCGGCTCTCTAAAGCAGACTCTGCTGACCTTTGAAACATCTTATCCTGGATTGGCATTGTTGGGGGCTCATGGCTATGTTTAATCTTCCAAGAAGTCCTTATCATCCTATTTGGAAACATTTCAATGATGAACTTGGTCCATTGCTGGCTCAGACTAATTACCGGGTTATTGTCATAATCCCGCAAATTCCATTTATTTAGGACCATGATAGGGTAGTCTTTGCTTCTTTCAAGGATCCTGAAAAATTAAGAGGTGAAGTTGAAGAGTACAACTTCAGGACAAAATCCTAAATGGAATCTTTCAGGCCCAACCATATGCAATTACAGATATTCTACTCTTGGGTGAAATCTGCCCTTCTCCCACCAGACTTCATAGCTAGTGCTTTGTGATCTCGGGAGGGAGGCACCATCAAAGGCTTAGGACCCCCTGGGCCAGCCATGCCCTGTGCCTACCTGCATTTCTAGCTCTGGCCCCTCCATTCAGAGGCCTCCTTATGGGGCAGGGGCTCTGTTGGGACACTGCCAAGACCTCCTTATTAGGGGGCCTGGAGATACTTTTCTCCACTCTGACTCAATACTCGGTGCTTTTCCATTACTAGCTCTTCCCCTTCCTCCAGACTCCAGCTCCAATCTCCCTCTCTCCCCTGCCCCCACAAATGAATAAAAGCCTGACTGTCACTCTCCCATTTGGCTCAGTGTCTTAATGGACCACCTCAACACCTGGCAGCTCTCTCTAACAATTGTGGACTTTTTATCTTCATGGTTACATTTGGTTTTACTTCATGTATTTCGAATCTCTCTTACTAGCAGAGGAATAAAAATGTAGGATTGCTATGTAGGATTTGACCTCCTTTATCATGATGAAATAACCTTCTTCATCTCCAGTAATATTCTCCACTCTGAGATATACTTTGTTAGATGTTATTATAGTCACCCCAGCTTTCTTTTGATTAGAATAGTATGTTGCACATTTTACCTTCATTTACTTTTAACCTATTTGTGTAAATGCAAGGTGAATTTCTTGTAGACAGTATATGTTTGGGTCTTACTTTTAACCAGTCTGACAATCTCTGTTTTTTAACGGAATCAAGAATGAGTACTAAGGAAGTGAATTTTTTTATAATGTCCTAGAATTAGTGGTGATAGTGTCACGAGTCTGTGAATATACTAAAAATCACTGCATTGCACGTATTAAAAGGGTGCTTTTTAGTATGTGAATTATATCTCAATGAAACCATCATTTAAAAAATCAGAGTGGGGACCTAAGGCACTACTGTAAGGAGGCACTCGATTTAAGGATTCTGCTTTCTTTTCTTTTCTGTTTGTTTGTTTGTTTATTTATTTATTTATTTATTTATTTACTTAGAGACAGAGTTCTGCTCTTGTTGCCCAGGCTGGAGTGCAATGGAGCAATCTCTGCTCACTGCAACCTCCGCCTCCTGGGTTCAAGCAATTCTCATGCCTCAGCCTCCCAAGTAGCTGCGATTATAGGCGCCCACCACAGTCGCTAATTTTTGTATTTTTAGTAGAGACAGGGTTTAATCACGTTGTCCAGGCTGGTCTCGAACCCCTGACCTCAGGTGATCCGCCTGCCTCAGCCTCCGAAAGTGCTGGGGTTACAGGCGTGAGCCACCGCGCCCGACCCGTGCTTTCTCAACTTTTGTACCCTAGACACCTGCTTGCCCCACCCTAATCCAGGCTCAAGTTAGAATGCACGGATTCTGGCTACTTTGAAGGGCATCTACTGGGGGACAGGTCTGGGAAACGCTTTCTACTTCAGTAAGTCATTTGTTCTGTTCTCTTCCTCTGGACATCTTGTCCTGGACGTGAAATGCTTCCAGTTGCGGAGGCCCCTTGTGACCAACCTGAGGATGAAGTTGGGGCAGTGAGTGAGGGAGAATGTGAGTCTCTGATGACATCACGGGCTGCTGAGTCAGCCTGAAGCCCGCCCTGCCTCTGAACCCCCCGATAGAGGACGTAGCAGTGTCCCCAGCCACTCTGTGTCTGAGCCACGCAGTCTGCACGTGTTTCTGTCATGTGCAGCCCAGGGACAGAACCACTCACACTTAGCACCGTGGCTCCAGCGCCAGGGGTGGAAAAGAGCTTAGGTGTCAGGAGTTAGGACGCCTGGCTCTGTATATGGGGTCAGGAATGCTACTAATTACTTGTGGCACACATCATTTTCTTTTCAGGTGAGTCCCTGATACATGTAAGAAATAAAGACCCAAGGCTCCTCCCTACTCTGAAATAGGAGTCCGCCACCCTCCCTTTGCTTGCTTGAAACAGAAAAGCCCAGGGTCCCAACTTCTCTTGCCCCTCCTCCAAAATCCTCTCTATGTAACAGCCCAAAGCGTGGATGAGTCCTTTGCACCACCAGCTTCCCCTGGGTTTCGGCCTCCAGTTAATTTCAAGACACTTTCCCTTTCAGAATCGTTTTGGAGTCCTCCTTGCAAGAGCAGGAGGCCAGTGCGCTCAAGCCAGCCCTGGGTCCCCCGCGGGGCCCTCGCGTGCGGTCACCTGCTCTTCCCGCGGCGGGGTGAGGCCTTGGAGAAGCCGGGGAGGGCGGGTGCTGGGGAAGGGGCGTCGGCCGACCCCGCCCCGGGTCCCCCACGCGGCCCCAGCCTCTCCCAGGAGGTAGGGACTCACCCCGACCGCGGGTCCGCCCTCGGTGCCGACTCGTGCCCCACCGCCGCCTGCAGTCGCCGCCGTCTGTGGTCGCCGCCGCCTGCGGTCGTGCCCTTTGAGAAGGAAGGCAGAAGGCCCCCAAGCCGGCGGGGCCGGGATAATAAGGTCTGTGGGTGTCTGCAGGCCCGAATGGAAGCCCCCGGCACGCTCAGCCACCAGTGCCCGGGAGTCCTGCGTTCTTGGCCGTCTGACCGCATTTCCATCTCCTCTCCTCGCATTCTCTTCTCAGGCACCTGCCTACTGACACCTGGCCTCAGTCTTCTCAGGAAAGGTCCTGCTAAAACTAGCGCTCCAAATCCACTTCTAAGTGCAAGCACTTCTTGTCCCTCCTAATTCTTTTATTCAGTTCCACGTTGTCGAGCCCCCTTTTACCCAGCACTGTTCCTGATGCTGAGTTGGGGCCACCGGGACTGATTTTAGAGAGTTTGCCTGGTAGAGGAGCTGCCAATCACAGGAGTAATGACAATGCAGTGATTGATGGGTTAGTCTGAGGAAGTGCAGGTGGGAAAGAGTGAAGTGGGGACCATCTCCAGGGTAGGGACTGGGGAAGCCGCTGAGGCAGTGATGTTGAAGTAAAGGCATAGATTATGTGCAAATTCCATGGCATTTTATATCAGAGACTTGAGCACCGGGGGGTATTAGTATCTGTGGGAGGTCCTAGAACCAAACTCCATTGGATATTGAGGGACAAATGTGTGTGTGTGTGTGTGTGTGTGTGTGTGTGTGTGTGTATTTGTTATGAGAAATTGGCTCATGCAATTACGGAAACTGAGAAGTGCTAAGATCTGCAGTAAGCAAGCTGGAGATTCAAGAAAGCTGGTGGAGTAGTTCCAGCCTGAATGTGAAGGCCTGAGAACCTGGAGAGCTGGTGGTGTAAGTTCCAGTCAGAGGGCAGGAGGAGACTGATGCTCCAATTCCAGTGTCAGGCAGGTGAAATTTCCTCTTACTCAGACATTTTGTTGTATGCAGGCCTTTGGTTGACTGGAGGGGGGCCACCCACATTAAGGAGGGCAGTCAGCTTTACTTGGTGTACCATTGCAAAATGTCAGTCTCACCCAGAAACACCCTCACAGACATACCTAGCATAATGATGTTCCAAATGTCTGGGCATCCTGTGGCCCAGAAAAATTGATAAACAGAATTAACCATTGCACATTTTAAAATTACATTCTATTTGGCCTCTGGAGGATATACACACTCTCTTTCTCACTCTGACATGGTATTGCTTTCCTAGTGGGTATTGATTTCTTGTTTAAAATAAAATAATCTCTTTTTAAAGGAAAAATTTTATGGAGTATTTGAGAAAACTGTTTTGCCTATATCTTTTTTGGAGACCGGAAGACAATAGTGGTAATTTTAAAGTGTTTTTCTCAACAGATAAATTTTCTTAAATATAGAGGAAGACATTCACCAGAGTTTCCAGCCACTTGTCATTAAGTTAAAAAACCTGGCACTCAGTATTTGCTTAGCATGGCTAACAGGCTTGCTGAAAAGAAAAAAAGCCTTGAAAATTCCTCTCAGTAAGTTGAATTGATATAAAATAAAAGCGGTATAGAGAAGAGGAAAAAAGCCCTAGAGAACTTGAGAAATTTATGGCAATTAAATAATTACAATAACTATATTTTGAATTATTTCCAAATTGGCTACTTCTAAAATTCACTTACTAATCTGTGGTTATTCATGGTTTGGCATATACCTATTTATAAACTGTGATATTTTAACATTTAAAAGATTATGATAAGATCACTTTTAAGAGCTATGTATATTATTTTAAATAAAAAGTATATTTTAATATTTCAGAATATTTGGAAATTTGAAAGCTTGCTGATTTTTATTTATTTTTACTTCACTTATTTATTTACATTCATTTTATCTAGCAATGGTGCCACACTGAACATTTTTCTCTACAGAAACTTTAAAGGAATGCTTCTGTTGTTTAGTGTCATTATCTCCAAGAATGTAACAAACTCTCATCTTGTGCCTCCTAACAGGATACACTGAGAAGCACAAGCTTCTTCTGTGACATTCTTGCCAACATTATCAGCACCTGAGTGTAAGTACAGAAACATCAGACGGCATTGAATTGAGGGATATTCTACCAAATAATTGGCTGAAACTCTCTAAAAGAGGCAATGTCATAAAAGACAAGCACTGTGGAAGTGCCACAGGAGGATGTGTGATAACTAATTGCAACCTGCGAGCTTCTTTGGGTCCCACAAAACACCTGAATAAATACAAAAGAAGACATTCAAATGTCCAAGAAGGAAATATAAAAGGATTTGGTTATGGTAGTTATCAAGACATTCATATGAAATGCACAGTGAAATACCACCACAACTCTACCAAAGTAGGTAAAATTAAAACCACTGACAACATCAAGAGTGGGCAACGATGTAGAACAACTGGAATTCTCCTACATTTTTCTTGGGAATAAATTAGTAAAGACACTCAAAAAATTGGCCATATCTACAAAAGCCTAATAGTGTTGAAGCAAACGTTGCACTAAGCAAAGTTAAGCATGTCCTATAACCTGAATGCCGTCTTCCACCAAAATTTATATGTTGAAACCCAACATCCAATGTATCAGTATTAAGAGGTGGGACCTTTGGGAGGTGATTAGGTCCTGAGGAAAAAGCCCTCATAAATGGGATTGATGTCCTCATAAAAGGGGCCCCAGAGAACTACCTTGCCCCTCTGCCATGTGAGTACACAGTGAGAAGGTGCCATCTATAAAGCAGAGAATAAGCCCTTACCAGACATCAAATATAATGGTACTTTGATTTTGGACTTCCCAGCCTCTAAAATTGTACGAAATAAATTTATGTTGTTTATAAGCCACCAAATTTATGGTCTTTTGTTTAGCAGCCTGAACAGACTAAGATAGCCTGTAAGGAAGTGTTTATTCAATGCTATTACTATAGGGGAGAGAGATCAGATCTCAGTCTGTGCTCAACTTCACTAAAACAAAGGGCTGGAGAGTTTTTGAGAACTGGGGTGGGGAGAGGTATTAGGACATGTGGGTTTTCTACTTGGCCTTACCTAAAGGAAAAATAAATTTTCTCATATCTTCATGGCAGGAGGTAATTTTACAACTTCAAGCAAGGTGCCCGCTGATATTATTCTCCCACCCTCCCACAGAAACAGGGAAATAAGATGCTATCTTCCTTGATGATTTTTGAAACAGCTCCCAGGTCCTTAGGAAAGAGTCCTGCATTGAAAAATTGTCAAGAGGCTTTTAAAAAGATTTACATGTCCAAGGAACAGAGAAATCATCGACAATGACAAGTTTTCTAAAGTCAGTGCTCTGATAAAATGGCCATGTGGTTATGTCATCTGGATTCCGTGAGTGCTGGGATGAGAGGGAGATCAGGCACCTAGAGGCAAGAAGAAACCTATTTAAAGATAGTCAAGCTGAGGGAAAGTTAAGGCTGCCTTAGTACATAGGTATATTCTGTGGCCAAGTGTTATGGATTGAATGTTTTTGTTTCAAATTCATATGTTGAAGCTCTAACCCCCAATTTGATGTTTTTCAGAGATGGGGCCTTTGGGAGGTAATTTGAGTTATATGAGGTCTTGAGAATGGGAACCCTCATGTGGGATTAATGCCCTTAAAAGAAGAGAGACTAACACACCGAGGAAATGCCACATGAGGACACAGAGATGGCAGCTGTCCACAACCCAGGAAGAGGGTCCTCTCTAGAACCCAGACATGCTGGCACCCTAATTGCAAACTGCCAGCCTCAAGAATGCAAACCAAATTTCTCTTATTTAAGCCACCCAGTCTGTGGTATTGTATTATGGCAGTCAGAGACGATGGAAGTAGCGTGGGGTAATTGACTAGGAGTCTGGAAATACTCTATGTCTTGATCTGGTGATAGTTACATGGATTAAAATTATTAGCTATTATTTTGAAAATCACTAGGTATATACTTATGACTAGAGTACTTTGTATAAGTTCTAATTCAATGACAAAATAAAGTAAAATAAAAACTTTTGGGGTACAGCTAAAATGGAACTTCATGGGAATTTGTAGATTTTGATGTCTGTATTAGAAAAAACAAGGCTGAAAAAAACCTATGCATCCAACTTAATTAGAAATGTGTAAGTAGAATAAACCCAAATGACTCAGAGGAAAGAAAATACTAAAAATAAAAGAAGATACTTATGAAACAGCAGACAAACAATATAATAGAGAGGATCTAAAAAATGAAAACTTGATTCTTTGAAAAAGTAAAATAACCTCCAGAAAGATTAACTGCAATGAAAAAAATACAAGATGGCACAGATAAAAAAGAGTAAAAATGAAAAAGGAGACATAATTATAGATGCAGCAGAGATTACAATATAATAAAATAATACCATAAACAACTTTATGTCAATATATTTGAAAACCTAAGAGAAACAGAAAAGTCTTCAAGAAGATGTATAATTTACAAAACCAAATTTGTAAGGAAAAAAACAACCTGAATGAGCCTATAAACATTTAAAAAATTAAATCAAAAATTTAACGTTCTCCCATAGAGAAAACACCAGTTTCAGATGATTTTACAAGTAAATTTCAGCAAACGAAAAGAAAGAGATGATCTACATTTACAAAAAGAATATCTTGCCATTATTTTAAAAATAAAAGCGTACTCTTCAACTAATTTTATAAAGCTAATATAACTTTGATACCTGTATTAGTCCGTTCTCTCACTGGTATTATAAATACCTGAGACTGGCAATTTATAAAGAAAAGAGGCTTAATTGGCTCATGGTTCTACAGGTTGTACAGGATTCTGCTTCTGGGGAGGCTTCCAGAAACTTAAAATCATGGCGAAAGGTGAAGAGGAAGCAGGCATGTCTTACATGGTTGGAGCAGGAGGAAGAGAGAAAGGGAGAGGTGCTATGCCCTTTTATACAATCAGATCTCATGGTAAGTCACTCACTCTCATGAGAACAGCACCAAGAAGGAAATCTGTCCTTGTGATCCAATCACCTCCCACCAGGCCCCACCTCCAACACTGGGGATTACAAGTTGACATGAGATTTGGGCGGGAACACAGACCCAACCCATATCAATACCAAAATCAGATATGAACTGTACAAGAACAGAACATCAAAAGCCAGTCTAAACTGTTGGATAATAGGTATGTTCTTAATATTTTGTTACTTAATTTTTAATTAATTAATTAATTATGACAAATCAAACCCAAAGTTATTATAAGACTATTATATGAAAAGTATTTTGTATCATAAAATGTAAGGTTGGTGCAACATTTAAAAATGAATTTTTATGCTTTACCAAGTTGACAGGTTAAACAAAATGAAAGAATTGCTCAATTACTTCAAGAGGTGTGGAAAAAACATTCATTAAGCTTTAACACGTATTCAGGAGAAAAATTCTTAATAAACAAAGGAGAGAGGGGATTTCCAGTACCTTTTTATTTTTTTGACACAGAGTCTCGCTCTGTCACTCAGGCTGGAGTGCAATGGCATGATCTCGGCTCACTGCAACTTCCACCTCCCAGGTTCAAGTGATTCTCCTGCCTCAACCTCTTGAGTAGCTGGGATTACAGGCCCCTGCCACCACGCGGGCTAATTTTTTTTTTTTTAATTTTTACTAGAGACAGGGTTTTACTATGTTGGCCAGGCTGGTCTCGAACTCCTGAGCTCAGGTGATCTGTCTGCCTTGGCCTCCCAAAGTGCTAGGATTGCAGATGTGAGCCACCATGCCTGGCCCATTACTCTTATTCAGTAGTGAACCCTAGGTTTTGGCCAGAACAATATACAAAAGCATAATAATTTGAATAACAAAACAAAACCGTATTCCTAGATTATATGATTATAGGACTGCATCACAAATAATAGAGAATTATTAAATTCTCTATTATTCAAATATAATTATTTAAAATTTAAGTTATTCAAATATAATTCAAAAACAATTTGAGCATAGCAGATGCAAATCACGATAGGCCATACACTAGAGCCTAAACACTGGTCAGATTCTGGGGTTCAAACTCCAGTCTTGCACTTGCTAGAGCTCGTAGAAGGGTGAATTAACGAACCCTCTCAGTGCTTCAGTCTCCTAATCTGAGACGTGGTTATAATAACAGGACCTAGCTCATAGAGTTGTCGAGAGGATTTAATCAGTATATAAAGAGGTTAGCTCAGGACCTGGTACAGTAGAACGCAGCATACAGTTAGTAACTATCATTATTATACAAGAGCAATTTGCATTTTTATGCATCTAAATAGCAATAGTTAGAGAATGTCATTAAATTTGCACTAGCTCAAAAACCTTAAGATTCTTAGGAATGATAATTAACAAAAAATAAGCAAGATTGTTATGTTGAAAATTATCAAATGCTATAGAATGTCATTAAAGATGACCAAAATAAATGGAGCTATTTCATGTCATTCATAGAAAGACCTTGAGTTGAAAAGTTGTCAGTTCTCCCTCACTTGTCTTATTGATGCAATGTAATTCTAGTCCAAATCCTAGCAATGTGTTCTGTGGAACTTGAAAAATGTATTTAAAAATTTACATAAATAAGCAAAGGGCCAAAATAACCAAGACACTTCTAAAGAAAAAGATCAAGTTGAGAAGATTTGCTTTAGCAGACATTAAAACTTATTATAAAACTCTAGTGATGTAGCATGGTGTGTACACAGGGATAGACAAACAGATCAATGGCACAGAATAGAGAGCTGAGCTCAGAAGCATAGTTCTCTTCATATGTGGAAATGTGAGATGATAAAGAACTGGCATTAGAGATCCGCAGGGAAATGATCGCCCAGTGTAGTGTGCTGGGAAAACTGATTTTTCTTATGTAAAAGATGAAAACCAAAGAATTGCTGACAACCCATTTATGCCGGAAGCTGCAAAAGTTTTTTTGTGAAGAATCAGACCTTGATGATGACCTTGAGCAGTTGGATATCAATAATGCCCACAAGCTTAGCATTCCGATAATGGGACACTAGGTATAAATGGGCTAATAAGTTAACTGTTGAAAAAATTAAAGTTCTACCAGAAAGTATGGCAAAATAATTTATAACCTTAGTGAAGTGAAGGATTTTTGTCATATATTTGTGACAAAACAATAAGAGGAAACAATTGAAAAAATCAACATTAAAATACATGTATTTAAATTACTTTAAAAATATATCATAAAAATTATAAAAATACAAACAGAAACTAAGAGATGATAGTTTAGCACATTTAACCATAAAAAGATAATTATCTTAAATATGAAGTATTTCCATGAAAGAATCTGTGAGAAAAAGGCAAACAACCACATTGAAAAATAGACAAAGATCTGAACAGCTACTTCACAAAAGATAAAATAATAAAAGGCCAATAAACATATGAAAAGATGTTCAATCTCATTAATAAGAGAAAACAAACTAAAATAGAAATTAGAGAACGGACTCTAAATTTTAAAAGTCTGTTGATACCAAATCTTGGCAAACATCAATAACAGTCCTTGCACATGGCTGGTGGGAACAGGCATTGGTAAAACCACTTAGGAAAATGATCTCGCATTACTTAGTAAAGCTAAGATATTCTACTCCTAGTTAGAAACCCTAAAGAAGCTCTTGCATATATGTTCAGAAGACATGCAAAATCATACTCATAGCAAGAAAAATAAATAGAAATAATAAATAATGAATTATTCAAAGGAACAAATGATATTGCACTCATACAGTAGAATCACAGTCATCATCTTGCTCAGTTCTGGTGCGCTGTTCCCATGGTCAGCACTATTCATATAGAACACAATGTTACTAATACTGTTGGGAGGTTGTACAGCTTTGGATGGAATACCACACATTATGGAAAATTAATTAATAACAGCTACCAACACAAAACATCATGCAGAGCAAAAATAGCAGGTGTCAATTCCCTTTGTATAAAATCCAGGAATAGGTAAACTGATCATTATGTTTTTTTAAGGTGCATATATATGGCAAAGGCATAAAAAATAATTATTAACACAAAATACAAGATAGTATTAAATCTGGGGGAAGGAATGAATGTGATCCATTAGATCAATAAGAACTTCAAAGTCATTTATGATCTTCTGTTTCTTAAGCTGGGTAGTGGGTATTAGATGTTTATTCAACTTACTATTAACATATATATATATATATGTATATATACACACACACATTGTTTTATGAGCATGATATATTTCACAATAAAAAGAAATTTAACAAAAGAATGAAGAAATCATGGTATAAAATGATGTGACAAGAACTAAAATCAGCTAAGGGAGATGAATCTAAATTATGTAAATTTTATAATCAAACTAAGTGTAATTTCCCTACTAAAAGACAAAAATCTTTTAGATTGGAAATGAACAGCAGTGTTTTGCCAAATGTGGTTTTCAGTTAGCTTATCTCAAATAAAGTGACAAGAAATATAAATGTGAAATGATAGGCAAAGATGTATCAAGTAAATTTAAACAAAAAGACATCAGGTGTCAAGCTATTAATATAAAAAAGTAGACTTCAATGAAATAAATAAAAAAGCAGAAATGCTGTCATTTGGTATAGAAAAGGGTATGATTCATAGTGAAGATAAAATTCAAACTTTAATATGCCTCTTTCAATGTTGGACAGATGAACATAAAAAATAGAAATTTAATAAAAAGCTGAATATTCCACTGTGCTTAAGGCCCATATTAAGATCTATTTTTGTATATCTTCATGCTTCTGAAATTAAGATCTTGATGTAATTATCAGTGTCCATACAAGTGTGTATTTCATCATTGGTGCCTATATTGTTGTCACCGCAAGTTCATGTTGGTGCTGTATTTGTTGAGTAGAGCTGCCATTAATTTTGAAACAATGTATTGTTATTTGAAGTCGAAAATTTATTGTGAATGCTGAAAATTACTGAAATGGAATGGTGATGCAATAGTTGATATTAGGGAAGCAAATACTTATATTTGGATGAATGAGTGAAATTTACTGTTTTCTTGCAAAGCAATGCCCATGCTTTATAGGGACTAAGAAAGGCAGCCACCCTCCTTACAAGTGGAAGCTGGGCTATTGTATTAACTATACATACCATATGAAATAATGCCAACATCAAAACTTGCAGAAATGGTTTCAGAAGCTTGGAAGAAAATCTGAGTTAATAGTATTATGTTTGGTGACAGTTAGAAGTGTTTCATAATGCCCATGTCCTAAAGTTCCTGATGGTACAATAAGCAATATTGGGGTGAAAAATGAGCATATATGACCTTAAGACCCGTAACTATTTAAAAGAGTCAGACTGAATATGTTTTGAAATTATTTTACAAATATTTAATTTTATATATGATCAAGACTAATATATAATAAAATATATGTCTGAACATATCTAAAAGAACTCTTTACATATTTTAAAATAACAATTCAAGTGGATGAAAATGTGGCATCATAATTCAATTGCCAGAGCTTTTATTTCCTTAGTAATATGTGAAATAATAATGCATTTTAGAGATGAGGTCATTTTAGCATTTATGAAATATGGTACAATTTATTTAATTATTTATTTCCTTCCCATCTTACTGTCTAGAAAGTATACACATCAAATGCTGGGCCCTCTGAATTGATCTTTTACATCTCAACTTTTCTGTTTTCCATTCTTAAATCCTGAGATATTTTCTGAACTTTTTCTCGTAGCTCTTCTGGTTTATTTTTTTCAACAATGTTCTAAACTTCACGAACACTATCTTGCCTTTTGGTTATTCCTTTTTAATATCTGTGTATGTATGTGTGTGTGTGTGTGTGTGCGTGTGTGTGTAATGACTTCTTGAGTTAGCTAAAAATCCTATCAAAATTTTTAATATTCCTGTCTGAAATGTTTCTTTCGGAGTCAGCTCTTCTGAGTGTCAATCTTGGTTCTTGCATTGCAAACTAATGATGTTCTCCACAGCTCCTTGTAAATTTTGATTGTCCATTCATATCTAGTAATGATAATTTTGATTATTGAGGTAGGTAGCTGGTTTACGTAATCTCTACTGCTGAATACATGGGACACGTGTCTCAGAAAGTGTGACTAATTGGGCAGCCTGCTTTTTATGGACAAATATGTCGACCTGCATGTTGCGCAGGCAAAGAAGCCCGGAGGGGTGGCCCCTTCTAGCTACTTCCACTCCCCTTCCTCTGCCTTCACTCCCTTGAATTTCAGAATTAGAAGAGTTCTACTATTGGGCTCTATCAGCCACATTCAAATCTCCTTTTCTCTCAGGGCAGCTTTTAAGAATTACTTTCCAAAGAAGTTCACAATTTTTTTTTTCTTTAGGGAGTAATTCTGGGTTGCCGATTACTCTGCCAACAGAAAGATGGGAGCCATGGATCCATTGTGGTTCTGTCTCTTTCTTCCCCCCGCTCCAGTCAGTGTCCACTGGCTCATGAGCCTCTCTGAGAATTCTGATTCCCCCCAGTGCCTGGCATTCTTCTTTATGTGTACTGAGCAAGTTCCTCCACCCTGATTTATCCATCAATAGCCATATACATTATTACTTTCGGAAATCAACCCAAAACCTTCCAGCTACCATGGAATACCCTCCTATCTCCAAACCTTCCAGCTACCATGGAATACCCTCCTATCTCTCCAATTTTCTTTGGTATGTTTCCTTTTCCATTCTTACAGTCATTACAATAGGATATTTAGAGGTAAAGGAGGCAAGCTTATGTTCTTTATCTAATTTCACATGCCAACAGATTGCTATTTATGGATTGTCTCCTTGTGCCATTTCCTATTGTGGTAGTGTAGGTTATAATAATAAGCAAAAGAGATGCAAAACAATATAATTATTAACTGTCCTAACTAAGTGTTAAGAAAGGAAGCAAAGAATGCCATGAAAAGGTAACCTGGGAGACATATTTAGATTGGCAGTGAGGGAAACCCTCTTTGAGAAAGTACCATTTAAGATCTAAATTTTGGGTAAGGCTATGTTAATGGGGAAAGGTGTTCCGGAAAGAAGGAAGAGCATGTGCAAAATCCTGATGGTGAAAGATGATGCTTATTGAAGGAGAACAGAAACAGTGTCTATGTGGAAGCAGAGTTATGAAACAGAAGGGGAATGGTAGCAAAAGAAACTAATGAGGCCGGTAGATTTGGAACATCAAAGTTGTTAAGTTAGGCCAGGAAAAAGACTTATATTCATAATTCATGCTATTGGCACCTTTTAAAGAGTTTTGAGTTCAGGAGAGAAACACTTAAATTTGCAGTGTCTAAAGGTAATTTGGACTACTATATGGAGAATAAAATAAAAGGAGGCAAAAATAGAAACAAGAAGCCCAGTGAGAATATCATTTTAATAGTTCTTGGCAAGAGATGAGGGATATTAATTGAAAGTAGTGGAGTAGTGTATGCAGAAAAGGAAATTGTTAGAGACATATTTCAAGGAGGAATCATAGGTTCTCATGTTGGACAGAATGTACCAGGATAGGTATGGGAATAGTGAGGGCAGATAAATTATACAAGGATTTGGGATAAGCAAAGGACTGAAAAGAGGTGCCTTTCTTGCTGAAGGCTTTGGGTGAGATGGGGACCAAGGGTTCCATTTTGAACCTGTTACAATTGAGGTTCCTGCAATGTATACATTTAAATTTCACAAAGGTAGCCTCATAGCTGGGTATGAAGCTTGGGAGAGAATTCTAGATGGATGAAAGGGCCCTGGGAATGGCTGGGAACGCTGAAGACCTCAGAAGAGAGAGTGTGGGCTGAGCATCCTATCAGCAATCCTTCCTCATGCCAACTCTCTCAGTCTTTTCATGCCAGACTCCTTTCACTGTGATCATCCTGTTTCATAAATAATATATCTTGTTTTTGTTGCATATTCCAAACAGTTTCCACACATTATCTTTGGATTCTACGGGACATCATTTTCAGATTATCTTTTTTCTGAGTATTTTGCATGCTGCTTCTTTTCCTTTGATCGAAGATTGTTCATCTCTTCAGGCTCCATGCCGTTTTTAAAAATTCCTACTTATTCTTGAAAAAATGTGAGACCTGTATATCTGGAAGGCAAATTGAGCTACCCAGATTCAAATCCTTTAGCCAGTTTCTGAAAGGCTAGCAATCTGAATATCTCGCCTCTTGAGTCAGCCTCAGGCCCTCTCCTATTAAGCACATTTTTTTAAAATAATAAATTTTACCTTTTGGGCCTTTTTATCTTTTCTCCTATCTATAATGTTTAATTCTGTAGGCTCCAGGTTTTAGGATGCACCATGCCTTCGCCAGCCCTCCATTCTTTTTGCCCATTATTCTTCCAGAACATACCATATTCTAGAAGCATAATGGGCAAAAAGTTTTTGTCCCTGTGGCTGTTGTCATGTGTCAGACAGACCTAACTTCAGAGAGCATCGGCCTGCCCAGTTGTGGGGGTGGACAAATACCAGGGTCCAGCATTTGGTGAACTTCAACTTCAGCCCTGACCAGGGCTGTCTCAGTAACCGGGCAAGGGTGGATTTGTAGATAGACTTCAGGAACTGGCTCCACGGAGGTAGGGAAGGCAGTTGCTAACAATTCCGAAGTCACTAACTAGTTATATGACCTTGAGCAAGTTACTTAAAATCCTTTGGGCTCAAATTCTCCTTTGAAACATAAAAGGGTTTGCCTAGATGATCCCTAAGTGGCTTCCAGCTTGACGTTCCTAACAAATCCGCAGCACAACACTATTTTGGGCCATATGCTTTCCTTTCTGCATTGAGATTTTTCATTACTTTGTAAGCTTTTCTTATTTCAAAGATGACTTTCGTTGTTAGAAATCTAACTTCACTCTGGTGTGCTTGTTATGTCGATACCTTTTTCATTTCAGTTAAGGGCTTTGATGATAGTTTCCAGTGAGAGCATGGCAAAATAAAATCATGTTTTCTGTTCTAACATTTGTTTCATCTTCATCTTTTGTCAGTGGAAATACCGCTATTTGTCATTTCAACATTTTCCAGCGACACTTCTTTCCTCATTTGGGGCCTTTGAAGTTTCTCTCATTAGAATGAAGCCCTTTGCTAACAGTTCTCCAGGGCTGCTGCTTGTGTCAGAGAAAGGGGTTTAGGCGAGCCTACTTAAGTGTTAAGCAATGTCTCTAGGCAATCTCCTTCTCCTCCTAATAAAAAGAGTGACATTCAATTAGAGAACCAAGGCTTGGAGGAAACGCCTGCCACAGGGCTCAGTGGCTCAAGTTGCTTTGCTGCTACTGTATGTTAGAAAGCTTATTTATACTAGACAGACCCTAGACACTTTTCCCCCCTGGAAAGTGTCCATGACCTGACAATTCCTTCCCAGAAAGAGGGCTGGGAGTCTGGGCCTGAGGGCTGAGGGGAGAGCTGACCCAGTATCCCTTTCTGAGAAGCACACTGGTGACTGAAGTGCTCAGTCAAGTCCTTCATCTGGGAAAGGCTTTGCTTATCCAATGGTTCACATGGTTTTCAGCAGGTGCAGAAAGAAAGCTTTCTAGCTATCTCTACTGAGACCGTTTTTCCCAAATCCCAAATTAGGGCACAACACAAGTGTGTTTTGGGAGACAACAGGTTTAAAATTATGTTTATTCCATAAAACCCAGGACCTACCTATGATATAATTCTTCAATGCAGGGTAGATTGCAGTAAGGTTTTTCATTTTTGTTTTTTGTTTGTTTTTTATTTGTTTATTTTTGTTTTTGTTTAGGTAGAGAGAAAAATCAACATGGGAGGAAGAGATAAACTTTTTTATTCTAAGGGAAGTCAGTGATTAAAAAGCGGTTTATGGGAAAGTCACAAAGATTCAATATTTGAATAGGGAGACAGTTTAGGAATATGCTAAATGCCTCCCTTATTTTATGGAATCGAAACTCAGAGAGTTTATATGGCTTGCTCAACACTAAGCACAGGTCCTTAAACATGACAGCAGTTAATATTTTCAGATTTCATCCAGGAGCATACATCTTGTTGGTGGAAGTCCTGAATTATGGGTATGGAAGACAAATGGGAACTGTGAGACCACTGTTGAAGAGCTGCTGAAGTTTCAAATCCCTCATTTTCCATGATATGTTCTAAACCTTGCTCTAAGCCCTAAGATTTGCATTATTAGAAGTAGTAACAGAGAATTGTTTTTGCACTTCCTTCTAGATTTGTAGATCTTCTTCTGCCAAGGTATGAAAAGAGAAATAGCAGCATCATCCTTGATTTCCACCTCTCTGGTGTTCCCATAGCCAATAAAAAACCTGTCTGTTCACAGCTCCACACACATTTTCCCTCTTCCCAAGGCCTAACTAGCTCTACTGCTTTAGTCTGAAGACTAGACTGTCCCTTCCTGAACCTATTCTTTAAATTGATATTAGGCTCATCATTTTACAAAGTAAATACAGTTATATCACACTCCATTTTTCGGTGACGTGAGGACATTTGAGCAGAAGCTTCCTGTTCCCCTGCTCTTCTCTTGACTTGGTTACAAATAGACCTCCAGGAATAGAGTCAGGATTAGGCCAAGGATGATTTCTTTCTATATGAATTCTAGTGTAATTTTAAAACTGCTTTAAAAATACTCAGGTACAAAAATACTGATTCTAAAACAAGCGTTTCCTATGAGGGTAGGAATCAGGTATAAATTTTATTGTATTCCATCAAGGAAGAGAGACAAACTTTGTGTATAGAGATCCATAGGTCAATCTGATTGACTTGATGATGATGATGAAGTTAACAAAAAGAAGCACAATTTTTCAGTATGTTCTACAATGCTAGGCACTGTATTAATACTTCCTGTACATGAACTAGTTGAATCTTCACAAAGCCCCAATGTGTTAATATCACCCTCCATTTTATATATGGAAAAAAACTTATTACTGAGAGATTTGAGATAATGGACCCCAAATCAAACACCTAATAAGGAGCAAAGAAAGATTTGAACTCACTGGATTGAACTTCCCTATGGAAACCCTGATCATTAGAGATAGCAGCAGCCTCTGCAGAGTGCTGAATCACATTGCACACCATCAGCCTCCTACCTTCTTTCCAAAAAGGATAAGTAAAATGACTTTTGCTCATTTATCTACTAATCATGACTGTGCATATGGAATTTTTTTGACTCTTATTTTGGCTGGAGACAAAAATTTTATTAGAGAAATACTAGTTATAATAATAATTTTAAAACTCCACCCTATTTAGAGCTACATTACAAACCATGCTGGTCACAATCACAATTGTCCCAGGTTAGAATTTCTTTCAGAAGTTCAAAAACAGACTAAAAACATTTCCAATATGATACCACTTGGTGTCGCCATTAGCCTGTATGAATTGAATGAGTGAGCTTTCCTTCTCATATATTCTAGACAAATGACAACTTTTTTATTTTAAAGAAGTACTTTCAGGTTAACTTGGAATGGATCTATCAGAATTCAGCTAACATTCTTGGTTTTTAATTTTATTTTTTCACAATGTAACAATGATCAACTTTAGGTTTATTTCAGAAGACACATTCCTGAACAAACAAATCTTCTGTAATTAAAAATAAAAAGCCTCAGTTATTGCATGCAAGTCTCTTGGTGCTTTGAATGGAAACAAAAGAACCAGAAGGAAACCCTTAAAAGTGTTTTCAAGAGCAAATCAATGCAAAGTGAATTGGAATGCTTAGAATTGATTTTTTACAACTAGTAATTTGATTAATATTACTCATCTAGTTTTATTCTGCAGAAGATTTTGTAAACATGTAGATCTATTAAAGTGGGTAGAAAAAATATTTATTGAATAATTATGAGCTAAAGACATTGTGTTTAGTGATTTACACATATAAAGTCTCATCATCATTATGACCATTTTAATTCTTTACTTTTGTTTACTGTTTTGCAGATAAATTTTAACGACTCTTATGAGGCAGAGGGCAAATATTAAAAATACTCAGAGAAACCATTGGAAACAAAGGGAATACAGGGAAAACATCTATGAATTACACTTCCTATTTTTCTGGTTTTATGAAAGCGTTCCAACGTTTATTAGACACACCTTGATATTGAAGTGCATATTTTCCTGGTTCTTGCTAAGATCATCAGAATACTTCAGGGCTTTAAGAAAAATATTAAAAACAAACAAAGTCAAAGAGAAAATGAATGTCTCTCATTTTTTTTTAGTTCTAAGGATTCTAACCTCCATTTATGATCAAACACCAGCTGGGTGAAGATCAAGGGCGGCCCAGATGCATGAGTGCCAACTACATCATGACTGTCACAATCTTTGTGCTGGTACAGATTTCATCTTCAGGTCTGGAGCTGTATAGAAAACTGCCTACTGGAAATTGTCCTTCAGATGTCTGCAGGCATTTCACACTTAACTTTCTTTCAAAATAAAGACATTTTCCATTCCTGCATCTGCTGCACCCCATACAGCCTTCATCTGATTTACCTCCTGTGATTCCAGTCTGTCTGAACAGCACCATCATCCAGTCAGTTCTCCAAGCCAGAAGCCCAGCAGTCATCTTAGACTTCTCCTTACTCTTGCCTCCTGCATCCAGTCACTTCTGTCTTCCTTGCCTACTTGTACTGTGTGTACTGATACATCTCATAATCTGTCTTCATCTCTCTGTACCTAGGGCCAGTGCTCTAATTCAAGTCCTCATCATTTCTCTCCTGGAAAAAGGCTGTTACTTCTTCATTCTTGCTCCCACTTCTCCTCGACTCCATCCTCCAGATTATTGCCAGAACCAATCACAGAAATCTAATTGAACAATACATCTGTTCACAACTTTCCAGTAGCTAACCAGTAGCTATAGGATAAACCACTCTCTTTCACGTTATATAAGAAAAGCCTTCAGTATCTACCCCATGTTTAATACTACACTACGCTGTTAAGATTTATGCCACAGCAACACTGATCTACCCAGTAAGTGGTCAGTACATTTTAGTTGAATTAATAAAGATAAGTGACAGTGTGATTTGATGGCCCATGAACTCCCGTATCAACCTCATCAATTGTCACCTCACCATTAAAACTATCTCCTTCCAGTCCTGAAGGTTTTATTGGGTTCAAAATTCCTAAAAAAGTAAGAAAGAAAGAAAGAAAGAAAGAAAGAAAGAAAGAAAGAAAGAAAGAAGAAATAAATAAATAAAGAAAGAAAGAAAGGAAGGAAGGAAGGAAGGAAAAAAGAAAGCAAGAAAGAAAAGGAAAGAAAGAAAGAAAGAAAGAAAGAAAGAAAATGTGAAAAGCTTTGGGAGTATTCAGCTTTCCTAGTAACTATGTACAACAGTTAGCTAACTAAGGATCTTCATTGTGCAGAGATGGATTCTGTGTTTAGAATCTGGGGCATGGCCAGAGGGTGCTGCAGGTATTCCTGACTTGCTTCACAAGGTGGCTTGGGGCCTTTGCTGGGAAGAACTCTGCTTTTGTAATTCTGACAGCTGGATAACCTTGGGTAAGTTACTCTAGTTTCTTTCAAGCAAAGTTAAAATAGCAACATTAACCTACCCCCCACAGGCATGTTAATAAGTACATTCTTCCCCAAAGTGCAATGTACGGATTTTCATTAGTCATAGGGCTACAATAATAGTTAATTGTCCCTAGTTCTTCTTGTTATTTACTGTTCACTCAACCAAAATATGTTACTGAAGGGACTGAGGGGAGAAAGTTGCAAAATATGCTGCTGTTCCAAATAAGTTGCCAAGATAATAAAAAACAATGTAATCAGACTGTGAGAAGACCTTCTGATTTCCATCCCAACTAATCATTAGAGATTCTATTGCAAACTAATTTTCTTATCTCTTATCTCTAAGTCAGCTCCTCTGCCAAGGACTTAAGGACTCAATTTATCATCTCCCTTAACAGGTGCCTTAGCTGCCAATGTGCCTGGGCCCTGGACCTGCCCAAATGATTTAAAGCAAAATTGATCGTGACTCACAATATTTATACTTTCGATCTTAAATACAAATGCCTAAATACTGAAGTAATAGACAATGCAACACTGATACTACATACTATATATACAACTTTCGTTCTCCCGATTTCTTCTTTTATATGACGTATAGTGTTCTTATAATCAACCAAATGTGTGATACCACAAAAGATCCTCTCTTTCCCCCTCATTATACCAGGATATGAGAAGAAAAAGGCAGGACAAAAGGAACGTTCAGAAAGCTGTATCTCTAGACACCAAAAATCAAAGCAGCTGACTTAGGCATATATTTCAGTTGACCCATCTCAATCTTTCCAATATACTCATTAGTCAACTGACAGGCCAACCAGACTGATTGGTTCTATATATTAAAGAAAGACAAACAAATCAGTAATTGCACTGAGTTTCTCAATAGAGGTGAATCATCACGGCATCAGAAGTATTAGAAATTACAGAAAGTTGGCCATTAAGGAGATTTTTACCTTGTTGACTTTTAAAAGTTATAACTAACTAAACATAGTGTGTATCTAGTCCAGTTTTGGACTTGACTGGATACATGCCTCCCAAGCATCTAGTCTGGAACCTTCCTTTTAAGCCCAGTAATAATTCCCTAACAAGAGGGTTCTGTCTCTTGACGTTTTATTACTCAAATTTACAGCCACCTCAACTATATTTTTACTTTGTTGTAAATTAATTGAAAATCATACTATCTGGATTTATTAATGTTTGAACTTTTAGATATTAGATATAATAAAAGCAGTTATTTTGCAAATGAGAAAAGTGAGACTTGAGTTTGTCCAACATGCATAGTTAATGGCACAGAGAAACAAGTATGGAAGTCATTCAAGAAAAAAAAATCAGATTTGAAGGGGCAAGTTTAACTTTACTTGGAAGATAATCTTCATTTCAATTTTGATTCCAGATAAAATGTGGCCTATTTCATCTACGTGTTGAACCATATAGACTGACAATTTTGTAGGTTTAATACATTGCAGTATGTTGTTACTTGTATTCCACTAAGCTGCGATCACAAGTAGCATGATTATTTCATATTAGTTGAGCATTTTTAAAGAAGGCATATCAGATCTAGCTTATTAATCACCTGTTCATTCAATCCATAGTAGACATCTTAGACTTATCTTTCTTCCTACTCCACATTTAACCAGCCACAAATGATTCATTTTAACTGCTTGATATTTCTGAAATACTTTCTCCTTCTCTATAATTTTTTTTTTTAGATCAAGGGGTGGCAATGTTTCTGGTCAGTGCCATATAGTAAATGTTTAAGGCTTTGCAGGCCAGTCTCTGCTGTGACTCCTTGGCTCTGTCATTGTCTCACTAAAACAGCCACAGATAATACAGAAATGGATGTGTCTGTGTTATAGTAAAACTTCATGGGCAGTGAAAGTTTGCAGACTCCTTCTCCCTTAGATCATTTTACTAGTATATTTCATCTGGATTGCTGCAGTGGTCAATATTGATTACTATAGTAATCAATAATCTTATTCTAAATCCTCAATACAAGCCTTAATAATGCTAATATGATCATAGTATGGTCTGCTTAAAATCCTTAACAGCTGCTGTTGACCACCAGCAAAAGTCCAAATTCTGTTGCAGGTTGTATAAAGTCATTGAAAACGTGGTTTCTATCAAGCCCTCCAGTTTCATCTCTCTGTAAACACAGGATGACATTTTAAAATTTTACCTAAACTGAACTGTGCTGAGTTCCAAAAATCTGGTATAAATGTCTCTTCCAGGTGTTTGAACATGTCATTTATTCTGCCTAGTTGTCCTCGCCCATCAAAACCTTCTCTTACTTTCCTAAGTTTTACACATCCTTTAGTTCTTGTCCTAGATATCACCTCCTCCAGGAAGACTTCTTTGACCCAGGAATGGAATAAGTGTATTTCCCATGTACAACCATATTTTAAAAAAATCAGAATCATTGTCACATTGCACTAAAATATCACCTTCTACCCAAGAGTATAAATTCTCAGGGCAGAGAACTGTTTTATTTATCACCGTATTCCTGACTCACTACAGTAGTACACTATTGGGAGGTAAATGTTTCTTAAATGGTCCATGTATATGTTAATACTTTGGGGGAGAGTTGTACAAACATGATCTAATGAGAATGATGGGGATGATAACTGGTGCATATAACTTCAAAGTCTGTGAACAACTTTACCATGGGATAGCTCAGGTAATTTAACCTTTACACTCATCTTGATAAGTAGATCTTTTAGGAAACCATATGTATTTTACAACTGAAAAACAAAACAGAAACTCAATGAAACTAAAATGTTTGTCTGATATTAGAGGTATCGATACATTTAGATTTTTTTTTTTTGATAGAGAAATGGTCTTTTTCCTTTAATTGTTTGGAAGTGAGAAGAAAGCTACTCTTAGTCTTGAATCTGACAAAAACCTCACAAGAATGTGATTTACTATTATACAAGGTGGCTCTGTCTTTATTCCTCCATGGCGTCTGTGTCTATTTTATATTCTGCCCAAGAATGTTAATACTAGCTGCTGTCGTTTTCAACAATATTAAGGTAGTTATCCCAAATCCGCCACAGTCAGAGTCCCCTCAAGGCCTGGCCCAGTGTGCATGAAGACAGTTCTGGTATAGTCATTGCCTTTGCCGGGAACCGTGGAGTGGGGAGAGGACAGCTCCCAGCAGCCCGTGGGCTCCATTCTAGTGAATAATTCATTAGCATTGCTCAGGAATATCCTTCCACTGATTACTTGCTTTTATCTACCCATTTATCTTCATTAAAGATTTTATTTCCTTTCAAATACTTGTTTCCAATTTTCCTATTTAAAGCTGTTTTTCCCTGGCTGTGAGGTTTTAGATACACCCTTTTTGTACTCATACCAATGTTAACCACAAATTCCCAGTGCAATGAAACTTTAAATCCTAAAATTGCTCTCACTATTGAGGTATAACCAAATGTCACAATGTTCAGTCTTGATATCATTAGTGAATGGTATACACTAATGGAAATTAGCTCTCTGGTCAACTATTGTGACCCTTCACTAGAGACTTCTTTTACATGAAGGTAATGATTAGTCTTCCCTTGCCAAGGACACATTTCAATTTACATAGCTGAACTTCTAAACAAATTAAGAGTGATTTGGTAAGTAAATGTTTGAGTGCTTACATTCTAAAATTATAAAAAATACATATTCACTAGCCAGTGTAAATTTTATTTTCCTTCCCTCTATCTTAATGATGTTGAGGGAATATTGAATATTGTTTTGTTATGTGTGCTTTTTTTTAAATTTTATTATTATTATACTTTAAGTTTTAGGGTACATGTGCACAATGTGCAGGTTAGTTACATATGTATACATGTGTCATGCTGGTGTGCTGCACCCATTAACTCGTCATTTAGCATTAGGTATATAACCTAATGCTATCCCTCCCCCCTCCCCCCACCCCACAACAGTCCCCAGAGTGTGATGTTCCCCTTCCTGTGTCCATGTGTTCTCATTGTTCAATTCCCACCTATGAGTGAGAATATGCGGTGTTTGGTTTTTTGTCCTTGCGATAGTTTACTGAGAATGATGATTTCCAATTTCATCCACGTCCCTACAAAGGACATGAACTCATCATTTTTTATGGCTGTATAGTATTCCATGGTGTATATGTGTCACATTTTCTTAATCCAGTCTATCATTGTTGGACATTTGGGTTGGTTCCAAGTCTTTGCTATTGTGAATAGTGCTGCAGTAAACATACGTGTGCATGTGTCTTTATAGCAGCATGATTTATAGTCCTTTGGGTATATACCCAGTAATGGGACGGCTGGGTCAAATGGTATTTCTAGTTCTAGATCCCTGAGGAATCACCACACTGAGTGCTTTATTTCATTTTAACATGCTCAGGGTTATTACGGCTCTGGTGCCATAATCTTTTTATCTTGTGCTGAGTTTCTAACCTTATAATTTTACTAATGATGACTATGATTAGTGGGAAAATTACCACTGGTAATATTTGAGTTAATTTCTCCTAACCTTTTACTGAAGGTGGGTACCATGTTGCCAGTATCCAAACTACCATGAGCTTTGAAAAAATCATTGTAAGTTAATTAAGTTGCTTGACTAATTTCCTTAATAGCCTAGGGTATTTGTCATTCAGATCTATTGCTTGATATATATCCATGTTTCCCAAGCATTTTCTCACTTATTCTTTCTAAATAGCAATTTTTACAGTCTTCATCAGTTCCTAATTGTTTAAATTTATCTTCTTTCATTATACCTGCTAACAACTAATTTTAAAATGAGTTAATTTTTCCTGCTATTTTAGAGTTGTCATTATATCTTATCTCTTTTGTTTATAACAGGATTTAAATTATTCCAGTATATTTTGCATTTGGTTTTAAGAACAGCTAAAATAGCCTTTGCTTGTACTTAGTATGATCCATAACTAAAATTGGGCATTTCAAGAATAAAAGTTTTTTTTTTCTTTTTAAAAAGTGTTATGCAGTAACTTTTCATTTACAACATGTAAATAAAGAATGCGTTAAACATGCTGCTGAAGCTTGTAGCTCACTCAGCTCTCATTTTAAACGTATGTTACTGCCAATCAAACCAACATGGTTTACTCTGGTATCCTCACTAGAAATCTCCCTTGCCACTGACCCCCAACCCTCCAAAATCAGGTACTAAGCAATGACATTTTAATTCCTTGGAAGTTACTTATTATATATTACCCAGACGCTAGGGGCTCAGTACAGATCCCGTCGGTAGAGGTCTCATTGCTTTCTGCACCAAAAGCCAATCACTGAGACAATGAGTATTGTTAGGGAAAAAGGCTTTGGGTGCTGCGACCTAGAGGATGGAAGATCAGTCTTAAATCCATCCACCTGACCAACGAAAATCAGGGTTTTATATAGTAGGGAAGAAATGTACCTATGTGTAGGAAAAGAAATTGGGAAGGGATAAGGAAGAGGGGCTGCTCAACAGGAAACAGGTGGTCTGTTTCAGAGTCACGGTGGGTGAAGGGTCTGGCCTCTCATTGTTCAGAGATCTGGTGAGTTTCAGCTCCTTGATACTATCTGGGAGGCCTGATGTTTGTTTTCCCGAGAAAGAAACTTAGGTAAGACAGATGGAGATACAGCTTTCTCAAGTTTTAAGAATGGGACGTTTAATTTTTATGTTTATTCAAAAAAAAA
The DNA here is from genome assembly GCF_000001405.40 of Homo sapiens. NCBI lineage: Eukaryota > Metazoa > Chordata > Mammalia > Primates > Hominidae > Homo > Homo sapiens. Next base: position 64,025,844 of record NC_000018.10, read on the forward strand.
CCCGGTAAACATTAGTTCTGACGGACAATCGGGCCAGTTTCACTAAGGCAATGTTTATCTTGATGAAAAGTGTTTATATCTTTGTATTTTAAGCTGTTCCATGTCACTTCTGTCTCTATTTGTTAATTTTAATGTTTGCATCCAAATGAATTTTAATATAAAAAATGTAAAATAAGATATTTTAAATTGTTATATATCTGCAGAAGTATGCGTTTACTTTCTAAGTCTGAGTGCTGTAGAAGGCAGGGTCTGAATACATGAGTCTGCATTTGATGTTAGCAGAAAAGCGGGGAAGCGATGAACACGTGAGTCTAATTCTCACGTCTGAATTAATGTCTCCGGAAGAGCCCGTTAAGCCCAGGTGTACTCAGTAAGCGGCCTCTGAGCAGGGTTGTAACACTGCCATAATCCACGTCAAAAATGTCATTACAGACGGCTCACTAGGATATGAGCATTAAGCCACGGGGATCCTGACGCCGTGTCCATTTTTAACTCTCATCCCTTATGAGTAAGGAGTTTGGGGCCACTCTCCCTCCTGCCCCAGTCTTCCAATTTCAAGCCTAAGCTGACCGCCCTGCATGACTGGACAAAATATCTCCGCTCTTGGAGTCCCAAATTCACCCCCTTTTAGGCTTCAAGTCAAAGGCAGACCCCCGGTGCACCGGCCGGCAGACGAGGTGCCCGGGTCTCCTCCCGCTTTTGCGGTGGTTCAGCTCACCCCCGCCTCTGCCCGCGGTGCCCACCCTGGCTTCCCACCGCGCGGTCCCTCCGGCTCCGCTTCCATCTGGAGGAGCAGATTCCGCTTCCCTCACGGCTTCTCTCAGAATTGACAGTTTCACTAAAAACAAACAAAAAACGCCCCACACTAAAAACAAAACAAACAAACAAACCAAACAGTTACTATCTCCTTTCAGGGACAGCCCCAGACATCCCAGCCGGGCCTAGCGCTTCTCCCAGGGGCCAGAGCCTCTCCCTCAGGCAGCACGGGAGGCACTGGCGTGTCCCACCACCTGGCGTCAGCCAGGCCTGCCACACCTCATTTCCTTCTCATTCTCCCAACACATTCACTCAACAGCTCTTCCAGGCCCAACTTTTTTTTTTTTTTTTTTTTTTTTTTGACAGAGTCACCCAGGCTGGAGTGCAATGGCACGATCTCGGCTCACTGCAACCTCCGCCTCCTGGGTTCAAGCGAGTCTCCTGCCCCACTTAGCCTCCCGAGTAGCTAAGATTACAGGCCTGCACCACCACACACACACACACAGCTATTTTTTTTTTTTTTTTAGTGGAGATGGAGGGGCGGGGGTCTCACCATGTTGGCCAGACTGGTTTTGAACTCCTGACCTCAAGTGATCCGCCCACCTCCGCCTCCCGAAATTCTGGGATTACAGGCGTGAGCCACGCGCCCAGCCCCAGGCTCAACTTTTGATGTGACTTAAACATGCCCCCCTCCCTCCCCCTTTTCATGTCACCACAGTCACCCCTCAGTGCCAGCTGCTTGGGGAGGCATCATCCTGAGGGCACTCGTCACTGAGTCACAGAGTCCTGACAGCATGTGGGACCCGAGATCCATTCATCTGAACCGAGGGTGGCTTTTGCACCCATCCCTGCATGTCACCCAGGTCACTCTTGCCATTCTGTCACTTCCGTGCAGCAGCTGGAGAAATGGGGTCCAGGGTGATAGCCAGTTCTCCTCCTAGGTTTCCTTGTGAAACCCATTTTCCTTCCTCGCTTTCTCGTGTGTGTGCCCAGCCCTCCCAAGTTTTCATTTTCTTCCCGTTTTCAGTGCCCTACAGTTCCTCCTGACGCTCCGGGGTGTCTGATTGCCTCCGACTGGTGGGTACTACCCGGCTGTCATGTCCTTCTTTCTCAGTGTGCTCCCAAAATGTGGAACTAGAAGTTCTGCATGATATTTTACAACTGTTTATGTCACAGCAGAGGCATTTGTCTCGGGGCCCAATAGAACCTTGGTGTGGAGGAGTTGCTTTCCCTGCCCTATTCTATAGCATGTGGATTTTCTATTATTCTGATCAAGGTCACCTGTTCCTGGGGCTTGCTGCTTTGGGTCTCACTGCTTCTCATTCAGAATCGGAGCAATTCATGGCGGGCCAGTCCTTCCCTGACAGTGAGGAAAGACTGTGTGGCCTGTGAAATTTTGAATACCTATCTGACAATAAATAGCAAGGCTGGAGTTGCATACAGGGAAACATTTTTGAGTGCTATTAATATCTTAGAGTGGTTGGCAGATGTATTATTTCTGGAGATACCACAGGGCAGAAAGTGGGTTAGGTACTCTTTTATGCACCGTGCACACACAAAATGTCAATGCTGTTCTAAAACAGGGAAGTGTGATTGGTGACAAGAACAAAGTAGTACAAGATGCAGAGGTTAATGCTGGGGAGAACCAAAGTAGAATGAAATAGAAAGCAAACTCTACACAGAAAATAGATCCTGCTCTGGATGTTATAAGAAAAACTTGAATTAGTCCTAAAACCTATTACTTTAGAAAAATATATATGTTAGACTAGTACGAGAATGTGTGGTAGTCTATCAGGGACTACTGGGAAGGAGGGTCTTTTGATTGTTCAGCACCTCTGAGCCTTCCCCCACCCACACACTCACAGCCTCAGGTCGCTGGAAAATCCCAGCTGTGTCTTTGATCAATGATGGTAACTGGAACTGACCTCTTTACCTTAATAACTCCCCCTCTCTTGCACTCTCTGGCTTTCCATGGTCATAGGGAAGGCTTAGCTCTGGACACAATCTGTGGCTCATGGTCAGATTCCCCCTAGCCCAGTCACCCTGGCAGCTTGGGCATGCCTCAAGGAATGGCTGTGTGTGCCTAAGTGAAGGACACTGAGCTTCCAGAATGCTTTGGCATTTGAAGCTCTGCCTATCTGGGCATGGAGTGACAATATTTGAGCATCATACTGAGGAAGAAAGGCCACTCTTTCTCTCTAGCATCTAGAGAAACCATTTTCAGTCCAGAAATTATAGTGAGGTCTTCAGTCACTCTAACACCTGAAAAAACTGCTAGCAGCATGTGCTTCAATGAGCACAGGATCCTCAGGCACTGAACACGCTTTTCATTTTCCCTTCTTGGACGGATACCAGCCAAACTGATGCTTTGGATTTGAAGAAATGTAGAGAAGGTCCCCATTTCCTAGTGAAGAAAGGCATTCTCACAAAGAGGGAATTGAGGAAAAATTTAATCTGATTGGTAAAAAAGGTTGGCACTTTGTGGTACTGGTGTAAGACAGGTGAGCCCCAAAATTGGGGATTACCCTGGAAGGGTTCTTATTTTCACCCAGGAAAGAATTCAAGGGCAAGCCTAATCTTCTTTGGAATGGTACTGCTTCTTGCAGGGCAGGGCTAACTCACAGTCAGTGCACCCAGAGTTGGCAATGTATGGGCTCTTGGCAACTGTGTTTATACTCATTTATACCCTCTTATAATTACATGCAAATTAAGGAGTGGGTTAATGCAAATTGAGGAGTGGGTTATGTAGAACTTTCAGGGAAAGCAGTCAGTAACTTCTGGGCCATTGCCATGGAAAGGGGTGGTAACTTTCGGGGCATTGTCATGGCATTTGTAAACTCTTATGGTGCTGGTGAGAGTATCTTACACTAATGAGCTGTGAGGGCAGCTAGGGATGGCTTTTGTCACGATCTGCTGGTTCCTGCCAGTTTCTTCACATCATCCTGGGTGGACCAGATCCTGTTTTGGTCAGCAGGGTTGTGACCAGAAAACAAGTCCTGCCAGTCTCCTACCTTGGTATTACTTAAGACTTATCAGTGGCAAAATAATGAAAATAATGTTGTTCCTGACATTTTCTTTCTTGTGTGATGCTTACCAAAGAGACGAAATTATGTGATGAAGTAAAATCCATGAGGTTTTAATTGTGATGTTTTGTGCTAAAACATTCATTTATCTTCACACTAAATCTGCTTTGCTAAAAATCTTTATTAATCTGGACTATACAATGAAATTGGACCAGTGAGTTCTCTTTTACTCACTAATAACAGAAAACAGACACTGGCAAAAAGGAAAATTGATAGTTTCAGTCGTTGCTATTGATTTTTTCAGAGTTGGGTGCTTCTCCATTTTTTCGCTCTGCCTTACATTGAGTAGCTTTATTCTCAGATATTATCTGGTGGCCCCTAACCGTTCTGGGCTCATGTATTTACAGGTTAAAGTCTACAGATTTGAGAACATGCTTCTTTTCCAATAGTCTCAGAAAAAGCCGTATGCAGCCAATTGTTCGTGACTGAATCAAACACCAATCCCTAAACCTATCTATATAGATGGGTGAATCCTCTGTCCTGATAGGTGGGCCATGGGTCACATGTCCACCGTAACACTAAAGATTGGAAATGGCATAGGTGTAATAAGAAAAATAAAGAGAAATGGATGCTGGGAACTGCCCACCTCCCCAAGTGAAAATTTAAAAAACCCCATAAATATTCAATACAAAATAATAAAACTCTCCCAAATATAAAGTATAACATGATTTAAGATCATTTTTGCTACCTGTGATTAGGAGGGAAGTCTATTTTATAATGGAACTTGGGAAAGATTTTTATCACCTACCTCCATGTTAATGATGTTACTTAGTAGACTTTGAAACTTCAAGGTCTTTAGCTTATTTCAATTGCAAAGTATTTTAATGAATTACAGTGTAAAACAAAGCATAACCATTAACATATATTTTATCCAACACAACACAAATTTACAAAGCTGACTATGACTGACAGGAACACAGTGTGATGTTTTGGATTTAGTCAGACAGATTGGTTTTAAGTTCTACTTCACCCATTTGCTCACTGAATGGCCTTAGGCAGGTGACATAAACTCTCTGAACTTTAGTTCTTTTATGTGTAAAGGAGAGATATCCATACCTTTCTTGGAGGGTGCACTGAAGGCATTACATATGCGGAGAAGCATGGTGCCAATATTGGAATATCCTTTCTTTTCTCTTTTTACTTGTCATTTATTCATTTTCTTTCCAGTGTCACCATCTTGTTTTTCCTTGATTTCCCAAATCTGCATTGATCTGCTTTCCCTGGTGAGCAGACCAGCTGACTAGAGGGTGTGTGAATCAGAAAGGTCCATTATTCTGCAAATAATGCGTGACTCCTTCCCCAGATCTGCTGCTGATGGTGGAAAGTGACAGTCCCCCTCATAATACCCATTCCTCCAATCTAAGGCATTTTCTGCTTGGAGTGCAAAAAAGGTTAAAACTGAGATATTAACCCCAGTGCTAGTCAAAAATGTGACTAGTGAAAAGCAACATGAAGAACTCCCTTTACGGCTTATGTGTCCATTTAAATCTCTAAAATAATACATTCTGAGTAGATGCTGTGATTTGTCCTAGAACCACTTAACATTGGTGTCAAAAAGGATTTGAAAGACAGTGAGGTCTAAGCATCTCATATTATAGATGAGAAAACTGATTCCTAGAAAGGCTGAGGAGATTTGGCTCACAGGGAGGCCTGCTAGGGTTGCTGATGAGATCGGATCTTGATGGCGACATAAGTGTTTATGCCATGATCTTGGGGACATCAACTCTCTGGAAGCCCCGGTTCCCCATTTCTGGTCTCTCCTTGGTCTGAGTGATAATTGCTCTAAGGAGGATCACATTTAGTCATTTAGCTTCCTCTGGAGTTGAGTTCATTTTTGTGAGCTGGGGGCCACAAGCAGGTTCTTGTTCCTCCTCCCTTCTCTGCACTCCCCTCCCTCACTCCCATCCTTGGGCTCAGGTATCAGGCAGTTTGACAGAGAATCTAGTTGAAAAGAATTATTTGACAATTATTCTGACAATGTCCCAAGGCTTAATGGAGCGATGCAAACTGTTCTCCTTCCTTTTCCCTGAATACTCTGGCTTATCTGTTGTTAACAAGTAACGAATAATTACACCCATCTGATGCTGTCATTGTAAGATTTAAAATGAGATAAACATGGAAGCACATTGAAAGTTATAAAATAATTTGATAATATCAAATATGTGTTGACGTGTGAACAGAAGGCTGATTCCTCCCAAAATACTTGGAAGAATTCCATTATATGGCAGCAATCTGTGTAGTACTGGCTATGAAGACTTAAAAACCACCCTCTTTTGAATCTAAAATTACATCACCCTCTCCACCTCTTATTATTGTCCTCCACTTCTGAGGGAAGAAAGAGGGGAGGATAGAGAAATGATTTGCACCCATCACTCTGCTCTTTAGATTGGAAAAATTGGACAGAGGGATCATGAAAAGTGGAAACATCTAAGAAATAGAATTCAGTGTCCCTAGCCCTCCCCTGACAATTTTAATAATTCCTTACTCTTTCCTGATTAGATAGGAACCTATCTTTTTGATCCTGTATCACCACAGCACATGGGTGTTAGAGGGAAGATCCAAGAAAAATAATTTTACAAATATACCACGATAAAAATAATCACCAAAAGTAACTGGAGCGGGAGAGAGTAAGAATGTGAAATTAAACCCCAGTAGCTGGGGTGTCAGCCTGTAGGCAAGCAGCTGGCTTTGATGGTCCCAGCCCTGTTTGCTCTGCCCCAGGCTGGGAGCGAGGAAGGCTTTTGAAAATTTCTTTTCACACTCAGCGCATCTGTCTGCCCGAGGGCCCTGTGTCCTGGGGAGGCAGCCCTGACAGGCCCTTCTTATCCTCCTCACTAATGGACAGGATGAACTTGCTGCCTCAGGAGGAGCGCTGTTGCAGAGGTTTGTACCCACTGTGAGGCAGCCTTGACGGGAGCATTTTTTTTGACTGTTCATTTGAAATTGAGATGCATTCACGAGCAGGCATCTTTCATGTGCAGGTGAGTGGTGGGAGCAGATGGACCCCACAGAAATGAAGATTTATTTATTTTTTATGTGACTGTCCTTAGCAATTAAATGTGAAGGGAAGAAACCCCAGAGAAAGAGCCTGTGCAGAGAACTAGACTGTGCTCTCTCTCTCTCCTGCACCCCTCACACGGGCTAGAGGAAAGCTGAACACCAAGGATGCCTGGGCTGCTCATTTCTGTCCTATCCTGTCGAGGAAATGCTAGACCTGGAGGGCTTTGTCTGGACTGCAGAGAGGAGAGTAGACCTAGGAATGGTGGCAGGAAGCTAACTTGCTCTATGATCTTGAATAAAACCCTTGCTCCCTCTGGATCTGATGTCAGTTTGAGTTTGATTAGGGAACTGTTAAAGGTCCTCCCAGCAGCAATATTTTCAATTTAATTGAATCTCAATGTTCTCTTCATCATCATCACCACTGTCATGTGCTGGGCATAGTGCTGCCACCTTGACATATGTGATTCCATTTTATCCTCACTTTAGCCTTACATAGTCTATGTTACTACTATAATTTCACAAATTAGAACACTGAATCCCAGAGAAGTTACGAGGCCTGCTTTAGGTTACCTAGCTATGAAGAAGTAAAGCCAGGAAATAAAGCCATGATTCCTTTAATTCCAAAATCTATGGTACCTACCTAGAGGGAGGTAATTTCTCTGCAATTTAAAGAATGTATTTAGTTTTAAAATTCATACATTAATTTATGACAGTCCTTCAGTTGAGTCAACATAACATCAAATGTAGGTCATTATATCTTTGAACCAGGAACAGTTGGCTTTTAAACAATGCCTATTAGCTTCCCTGTAAAGGGAAAATGATAATACCATGATTTGATTAGAAGAATTAAATTAGATGAAGAAAAGAAGTGTGCGGAAAGTAGATAACACATGGTTACTGTCAACAGTCTATAGTTCTTTTCTTTCTTCTTGATTAAAAGAAGGTAAGACCTCAAGAAAGAACCCATCACTTCGATATTGCTGTGCTGAGCAATTTCAATTGGTTTTTTAATAATCTTTTATTAGGATTTGTGAATGAAAAGACTTAAAGCTTGTAACAAGTTCAGTCTGAAATCAAATATGGCCTAGACAAGGCTCTCAAATCGATAGCAAAGCATCTTCTGAGGGATTGTATTTACTCACTGAAAGCCCTAAGGATGCAGCTAGAATGTATGGGAGGAAGCCAGAGTTGTCAGCTTGTTAAAACAAACAACTTTCTCATTTAAGCCTTTCAAAGATTAGTAAATGGCCTTAGAAGACAGTGAGTCTTCTATCACCCTAAGTCTTCAGATGACACAGATAAGAAGAGGGTTGTTTGATGAGTGGGGTTACACCTGGAGGGCTTTAACAACCCTCTCTTGCTATGCTTCAGAGATTCTATTATTCTGCTAAGATGTAATAGATACCATGAAGGCCCCAAATACCTCAGGATGGTTTTTAATTTATTTACTCATTCATGTAGTTTTTTTGTTGTTGTTGAGTGCTTCTGTACCAGGCCCTGGTCTAAGCACCAGAAATGTAAAATGAGCAAGAGATATTCCTTCCTCTTAATGAGCTAATTTTCTAACAAGAAAGAGACATATGTGAAATAGAAAACCCAGTAAAATATGGCTGGTGTTATATTAGAAGACTGTATGTGGTATAATGGGATCCACAAAGCAGAGGTCATCAGTGCTCTTTATTTTACATTTAGTACTTTTTTTTTGTTATTTTGATCTAATCTCTTAATTTTGAACATTCTGACTCAGCCGCTAGGTTTTTCTTCTGAACCAGCTCTGGATATCTGCTTTGTAAATTGCAATCAAGAAAAAGAGACATCCCTCAACACCATCCACATGGAAATTGTCCTTCTTGCTCTGGTAGGTCTAGCCTGAAGACATGAATTTGAGATTTAGCCATGTAGATAGTGGTTGGAGTAATGAGAGGAGGGTGAGCTTATCCTGGGAGAGGAGGTAGATGGAGAAAAGAAACCAAACAGTAATAGTAGCACTGCTCCATGGATACCCTTGAGTTTCTTTTCCATGCATAGCATGAAAGCATGTAGCGGCTGTGAAATGACACAGCTTTGGAGATGCGAACCACAAATGTAATGCATTTTTTGATAAAGATTTAGAATGAGCTACCATCACATAACCTGAGAATGTTGTTATGACCTTCTTCCAATATGATCAGAGAGGAGAGCCTTCACGGACAAGCTCAGTTCTTCTACTTCCTTAATTTTTGGGAAATACTTTCTCCCTTTTTTATATCTTGAAAATATCAAGAAGAGGGAAAATCTCATTCTTGTCTGCCTAGCATCCATTACTCGTGGGGTAAAATCAAAGCCAATCATCACCTAGCTTATTGGCCAAGGTTTGGAAAAAATTTCACTTTTGGATCTTTCCTCACTCTTCTAGATACGATTAGTTATCGCTCCATTCTCTGTGTTTTCATGACTATCTTTATTTCTGTGTTTTGGCTTTTACCATGTTATATTGAAATATATTTTTGCATTATTTTTGTCTTTCCCACTTGATTACAATCTCCTAGAGGGCTATAACATTAATTTTGAAATCTTTATAATCTATTATAGTGCCCGAAAATAGATGTTCAATAGATATTTAATAAAGAACCAGATAAATTTATTTATTTGTTTTAGTGTCTTAAATATCTTTATTTTTTAAGGAACAAATGTCTAATTATATACATAGAAACCATGTAAAATATCCATTTTTTTCTGTGAGCCAAATCAACTTCTCTATTTTATTTTATTTTATTTTATTTTATTATTTATTTCCATAGGTTTTTGGGGAACAGGTGGTGTTTGGTTACATGAGTAAGTTCTTCAGTGGTAATTTGTGAGATTTTGGTGCAGTCATCGCCCGAGCAGGATACACTGTAACCCAGTTTGTAGGCTTTTATCCCTTACCCCCATCTCACCCTTTCCCCCGAGTCCCCAAAGCCCATTGTATCATTTTTATGTCTTTGCGTCTTTATGGATTAGCATCTGCTTATGAGTGAGAACATATGTTTGGATTTCCATTACTGAGTTACTTCACTTAGAATGATAGTCTCCAATTCCATTCAGGTTGCCGCAAATGCCATTATTTTGAAGAACAAGATAAATTTGGATATAACTGTGAAGTAGGCAAAATTCTCTCCATACTTTCAAAATATGTCTTTATTTCCTGTCATAGAAAGCACCAAATAATGGACTTGCTATGCTGTTGTGGAAATAACATCCCTCTAAGAATCAAGATACTTGAACTTGTTGCCATCCCTGTCCGTTACTTGTTGAGCAAGCTTTAGAAAGTCAGTTAACTTGGAAAAAACAAAAACAAAACAAAAAACAAACATACAAAACTTCCCTTGGTTTCCTTATCTGTAAAGCGAGAGTGTGGAAGGAGATAATCTTTGAAGTTCCTACCAACTCAAAAATTCTGTAACTCTTAAAAGTGGCCCATGGTCTCATAATAATGTTAAGTTGGTGCTATTAAGTGTTATTCTAGAGTAACAGGTATAACAGATATGAAGCCACGGCAACTAGGTTTGTATTCTAAATCTGCAACCAAATGGTTGTGTGACATTGGACAAATCACTTAATATCTAAGCTTCAGGCTGGGTGCAGTGGCTCACGCCTGTAATCCCAACACTTTGGGAGACTGAGGCAAGCAGATCACCTGAGGTCAGGAGTTCAAGACCAGCCTGGCCAACATGATGAAACCCCGTCTCTAATAAAAATACAAAAATTAGCCGCGTGTGGGGGCTCGCACCTGTAGTCTCAGCTACTTGAGAGGCTGAGGCAGGAGAATCACTTGAACCTGGAAGACAGAGGTTGCAGTGACCCGAGATCACACCACTGCACTCCAGCTTGGGTGACAGAGCGAGACTCCGTCTAAAAAAAAAAAAAAATGCTAAGCTTCTGTAATCTAAAAAATGAGAATTAAATGATAATATTTGTCATAGCATGCAACTTAATTCAAAACACATTTCATTTCAAAACACATTTCAAATTTGTTTTTAACTGTGCACCTCATACTTGGTTATTCATTATGCCACGGCAGCTAAGACCAAGCCACTTTCATGTTCTGCAATATTGTCCTACTGCAATAGTCTCCTGACCAGCTTCCCTGCCTCCAGAGTGAAAATTTAAAAGCTGAAATCAAATCACATGATTCTCCTGCTTCCAACCTTCCAATGGCTCCCATTTTAAACTTAGAATCAAATTCCAATTCTTTGTATGGTCTATAAGAACTGTGTGGTCTGAGCTGCTTACTTCTTCAGTGTCCCATCTGATCATTTCCATCCCTCTATTCTGGGGCCCACTAACCTGCTGATCTTCCAAGAAATGAGCTTGTTCTGTATTGTTCTTTCTGCTTGGTTTTTCCCTCAGACCTTCCCAGGGCTGGGCTTTTCATCATTTTTTGTCTCTGGCCATATATCAGAGAGATAGTCCCTGTCTACACAATACCTCTCTTTACTTCCAAGAACTTTGTGTCTCTTATGCTAAGATTTGCAGACATTTAGTGACTGATAGTGACTTGTCCAAAGTTACTCAAACTTTAGAAATTAGAATCCAGAGGTCCCATGTTTTTTAAAAAAATCACATGCAGACAGATTGCCATTGTATCTTTGTAATATAAGAAGTACCCACTTCCTCCGGGTTTACTGAGGGAAAACTTTCTGTAACGGAGTCACTGATCATCATTAGATATGGAGGGTGGAACTTTGGACTTCAAACTATTTTTCATATCCTGCAAAGCATGGGGCTATTCTTGAGTTCCAATTGTTGCACTTAAGCATAAGAAGAATATGACAATCAGGACTGTGTTTTTTCCAAAAGACATGCTAAGACAAAAATAAAACATTAATTTAGTAATCACCAGATTTTTCCAGCAAGCACAGTTTTGTGTTAGAATGTTTCAGAGATGAAGGGAAGGGGGAAAAAAACTGACAAATGCATTTCACTAGCTGTAATTGACGTGTGGATAGGTAAATGGACATGAATTAACAGCTTTTAAATGGTTATGGCAGATGTTTTAAATGGGCCACACTGGACATACATCAATATCCAATCTTCCAATCTTTTTTGTAGCAGAGTTAAGAGACACTAAAAGTACTTTTAAGTTAATGAGTGACTAGCAGGTAAGCAACGAGCAAATTGATAGGTTATCTGTCCCAATTTCATCTGTGCATCTGACAGGTCCCACACAGTATTTAAATTGACTTCAAAAATATTTTTTGTGTTTGCTATTATGAAGGTAATTGGTGTAAAATTCCCTTGTTTCACAAAGACAAGTTAACCAAAAAAGAGTAAAATAAAAATCTCCACCAGAGGTCAGCAGTGTACACATTTTCACCATGGTTTAAACTCAAGAACCCCCACTACAGGTGGGATCTGAGCTTTATCAATAGGGTGAGATGAATTCCCTGACGATAGCACTCTTTTGCCTTATTTCTAAAGCACTCAACTCCAGTAAAAGTTCACAAAATACATCTTTGAAATTTAGAAATTATGAATGCTGCTCATTTTGGTGAAAAGATGAGAGTATGGGCCATGTGGTATGGAAATGGACAGTGGTCTGATGACTGACAAGGGAATAGAAGCCTGGGTTGCTCTTTCCCTGTCACAGGACTGGTGTTACTGCCACATGCAAAAATCTCCTTTTCAGGAGTCTTTTAGGTTATAGTTCGGTGAGAAATATGTCAGAAAGTAGCCACAGAGATAAAGGGTCTTTTTCTTATGTATAGTAAAATAAGGAAAAAAAATATATAGATATAGCTTTCAAGTAATAGCTATATACTTTGTAAATGTTTTTGATAGTCATATTCCTCTAATTTTTGAATATTCTTTCTGGTGAAAGGCAGTCAGTCAAGTTTGTGTTTCTAACTCTTGTCCATTACTGGGATGATGTCTCGTGAGTTAGAAGGATATGAAGGCTTTAAAAGTTTCCCTTGGAAAGGGTGGGATTGAAACTGTTGGTCTCAATGTCTTTCCAGCCATTGAAGTTTGTAATAGTTTTGTTGAAGTTAGCAGTCTTTTGGTAGTTTTTTGATTGGCTTTACTCAGAAACTCTGTGGTCAAAATAGGCATTTGTAATGTGTTTAACAAAGAACATTTTGCAAAATGTCTGACAATATGGAGTATGAGGCAATTGACACTCATATATGAAGTCATCATCATCATTACCCAGAGCAGCCATACCAAGTGCCAACACAACACTGGCTACCCAGCATCACTGGAGGGTGCCAACAGGACCACAGGAGGATGTTGACTTGGAGGATGTTTCTCCAGCGTCCTAGACAGCATTATAGTCACATCAGGATATCTACAAAAAGCAAAGCTATGTTACCACACTAGGGTTTCTTACAATCTTTTGCTTAATTAACATTAATTAACTAAATCTACAAACATGCCACTTCCTTTTTTTTTTTTTTTTTTTTTTTTTTTTTTTGAGATGGTGTCTCACTGTGTTACCTAGGTTGGAGTGCAGTGATGCAATCTCAGCTCAGTGCAACCTCTGCCTCCCGGGATTAAGTGATTTTCCTGCCTCAATCTCCCAAGTAACTGGGATTACAGTTGTGCACCACCACACCCAGCTAAGTTTTTGTATTTTTAGTGGAGATGGGGTTTCACCATGTTGGCCAGTTGGTCTCGAACACCTGACCTCAAGTGATCCAGCCTCCTCAGTCTCCCAAAGTACTGGGATTACAGATGTGAGCCACCACACCTGGCCCCACTTACTTTTTTATCAATAAATCTTGAATGCTTTACATTCCAGAAGAGTTCGAGAGAGAAACATGGGTGCTTTAATCTTAGGCTGTGCATAATATATGATATTTCCAAGTTGTTTCTCAAGAGTTTTAAAAACTGGTCATGAGGCTTAAGTATATTAAATCAGGCTTATTTTCAAAAGCCCTAACTTTAATTTCTATTGACAGTCTTTTAAATAGCAAGCAAATTTTAGTTGAATCCAAATATAAACTCTATACATTCATTATTTTCTATAAAATTGTAAATGACGGTAGTACATAAAGCATATATATATATATATATATATACCCAAAAAAAAGAAATGAAATAATTATTCTTTCTTTGTCCACAGAAGCAAAAGATCACTGAGAAATTCAGTCAATAAATATTTAATAAATATCTACTTGAAAAGATCACTTTAGAAGTTATTGGAGGAACAATAGCAAATAACTGAGTCAATGTCAACAAGATAACCATTTAAGGTAATCATATATATATATTTAATAATTATAAATTATTTATTCAGAAAACACTTAATGATTACCTGAGGAGTACCAGGCTTTGAGAAGAACAGTGGAAATCATTAGTAATAATAATAATGATAATAATGGTAATGGTGATGCCACTAATGACAGCATCTATCATTTATTGAGAGCCTTTATGTGCCTGGTACTGTATCAAGCATTCTCCATTTTGTTTTACCTCCATTTTAAGTTAAAAAACAAAGGACTAGAGAAATTAAATCTCTAATACAAACGTTCAGATATATTTGCAGAACATTCAGCCAATGTCTGATGTGTTTGGCTCAAAAGATGTTACACTGTATGGTACTACTTCTCATACAAAGATATAAAAGACAAATACACTTTCCTTCAAAGATCATAGATCATGAAGGATGTGAAGAAATATTAATAGCTATAAAACAATGTAATGATTGCTGTGATGTAGGGATATCTACACCATAATATCCATCAGGGTGAAGGGAGCTTCTAAATGCCTTGTGGTCCATTCACAGAGGAGAGGATGATGCTCATTTTGAGGTGGCGTATGAGTAGGAGTTCACTGTACAGTCAAGGGTAGGGAGACTTGCAAATGAAGCGAATAGGAGAGCAAAAGTTCCTTGCATGAGAGAACAAGCACATGCTTTAATGAGCCTTTGCACAGAACGACTTTGTAGAATGAACAGGGAACAATGCTAGAAGAATAGGCAGACTGAGGCCATGAATAGGACTGGGTATGCCTTGCTAAGGAGCTTACACTTTATTCTCTAAGCAATGGGGAGAAGTTAAAGCTGAGTGTTGACCCAGTTAGGTTTGACTTGCCAAATAATCACTTTAGTAGCCGTGTGGAGAACAGGGGAGAACAGGTAAGAACAGGAAGAGCAGTTGCAATATTTTAGGTGAGAAATTACAAGGGATTCAACTAAGACAGTCACATGCAGTAGAAATGGGACTGGCTGGAGGGTTGCTGGCTAGATTAAATCAAAAGAGACCCCCTGAAAGTACATATATGGCGCATGTGTCTCATAATTCTGGCTCGAATGACTGAGCATAGGGTGGTACTACTACGTTTGGGAACACTAAGAATTGAGGAGGTTTTAAGGTGGGTAGGAATAATGAGTTGAATTTTAAACATGTTGAATGTCAGGGGTTATGTTACATATAGATTGGTAAGTCCAGTAATGATCAGAAATCCATGGATGCCTGCAAAAGAGAAAAAGTTTTGTGGCATAATAAGCAATTTAGTTAGGGAGTCAGTCTTCCGGCTTCAGAGCAAGGAAGAGGAGAGGTCATGGGTGAACTCCAGCTTTTAAAGGGAAGGTAAAGGATGGTAAACTAATGGAGTAAAAGAGAAAGCGCCAATACGAAGGGAGATAATCGGTGCAAAAAAAATCATTTATTTAGCCATTTTTATGTGCGTTGACTCTGTGGGGGACTGAGTACATAAAGATGAAGAAGACATGGTTTCTCTCTTAAGGAGCTTATAGTGTAGTGGTGGAGAAGTGATTTCAAAGACGTGGAGATCAACAGCATGTCATACCACAGAAGGGAAATGTAGGAAATGGACTGAAAAGTATGTTTGATTTGGCCATTGTCTTAGCTCAGAATTCTATAACAAATTACTACGGACTGGGTTGCTTAGAAACAGACATTTATTTCTCATGGTTCTTGAAGCTGGAAGCCTGAGATTAGGATGCCAGTATAGTTGGGTTCTGGTGGGAGCTTTCTTCCAGTTTGCAGAATGCTGGCTCCTCCCTGTATCCTCACACAGTAAAAAGAGCACTAGCTAGTCCTCTGGCCTCTTCTTTTTGAGATGGAATCTCACTCTGTTGCCCAGGTTGAAGTGCAGTGGTGCAATCTTAGCTCACTGCAAGCTCTGCCTCCTGGGTTCAAGTCATTCTTCTTCCTCAGCCTCCTGAGTAGCTAGGATTACAGGAGCTCACCACTACGCCCAACTAATTTTTGTATTTTTAGTAGAGACGGGATTTCCCCATGTTGGCCAGGTTGGCCTCGATCTCCTGACCTCAAGTGATCCACCTGCCTCAGCCTCCCAAAGTGCTGGGACTACAGGCGTGAGCTACTGGATCTGGCCAGGCCTCTTATAAGTGCACTAATCCCATTCATGAGGGTTCAGTTTTCATAAACGAATTACCTCCCAAATGCCCCATGTCCTAAAATCATCACTTAGGATTAAGGTTTTAACATATGAAATTGGTGGGGGGACAAAAACATTTTGTCCATTGCAGCCACTAAGTGGATGGCCATTTTTCTGTAGGAAAGCAGGTTGGTATGGTGTGAAAGCAGCGGGCAGAGAGGTAAGTGTTAGTTTATATTATTTTTGCCAAGGAATTTAGCTATGAAAGAAAGATAGATGGTGGGATGATCAATAAAGAGCACAGGAGACATAATTAAGACTGATTATTTTTAAGATAAAAAGAAATTTAGCCAGCTTGAATTTCAGGGAAAATATGAAATAAAGAAGATGGAGAGGCAGGATGGAGAGGAAAATTTGATGGAGCAAGTCTTGGAAAGGAATGACATTGTATTAGTCTGTTCTCATGCTGCTAATAAAGACATACCTGAGACTGGGTAATTTATAAAGAAAAGAGTTTTAGTGAATTCATAATTCCACATGGCTGGGGAGACCTCACAGTCATGGTGGAAGGCAAAGGAGAAGCAAAGCCACGTCTTACATGACGGCAGGCAAAACAGCACGTGCAGGGGAGCTGCCCTTCATAAAACCACCAGATCTTATGGGACTTATTTAGTATCATGAGAACAGCATAAGAAAAACCTGCCCCCATGATTCAATTACCTCCCATTGGGTCCCTCCCACCACATGTGGGGATGATGGGAGCTATACTTCAAGATGAGATTTGGGTGGAGACACAGCCATAGTGAGAGGTGACGGCGTGCTGGCAGCCCTCGCTCACTCTCGGTGCCTCCTCAGCCTCGGCGACCACTCTGGCCGCGCTTGAAGAGCCCTTCAGCCCACCGCTGCACTGTGGGAGCCCCTCTCTGGGCTGGCCGAGGCCAGAGCTGGCTTCCTCTGCTTGTGGGGAGGTGTGGAGGGAGGGGTGCGGGTGGGAACTGGGGCTGCACAGGCTTGTGGGCACTGTGGGCATGGGCTCAGCAGGCCCTGCACTTGGAGCTGCCAGCCGGAGCTGCCAGCCTGGGGCAGTGAGGGGCTTAGCACCTGGGCCAGCAGCTGTGGAGGGTGCGCTGGGTCCCCCAGCAGTGCTGGCACTGTGCTCAAATTCTCACCAGGCCTCAGCTGCCTCCCCGTGGGGCAGGGCTCAGGACCTGCAGCTCGCCATGCCCAAGCCTCCCCCACCCCCTCCCCTCCCCGTGGGCTACCGCACGGCCCAAGCCTCCCCGACGAGTGCCGTGGAGCACACTCGGCGGCGCCTTGTCCCATAGACTGCCCAAGGGCTGAGGAGTGAGGGCGCACGGCACGGGACTGGCAGGCAGCTCTGCCTGCACCTGCAGCCCGGTGCAGGATCCACTAGGTGAAGCCAGCTGGGATCCTGAGTCTAGTGGGGACTTGGAGAAACTTTATGTCTAGCTAAGGGATTGTATATACACCAATCAGCACTCTGTGTCTACCTCAAGGTTTGTAAATGCACCAATCAGCCCTCTGTGTCTAGCTTAATGTTTGTGAATGCACCAATCAGCACTCTGTATCTGGCTAATAGGGTGGGGACTTGGAGAACCTTTACCTATAGCTAAGGGATTGTAAATACACCAATCAGCACTCTGTGTCTAGCTCAAGGTTTGTAAACACACCAATCAGCACTCTGTATCTGGCTAATCTGGTGGGGACTTGGACAACCTTTATGTCTAGCTAAAGGATTGTAAACACACCAATCAGCACCCTGTGTCTAGCTCAAGGTTTGTAAATGCACCAATCTGCTCTGTGTCTAGCTAATCTAGTGGGGACTTAGAGAACTTTGGTGTCTAGCTCAGGGATTGTAAATGCACCAGTCAGCACCCTGTCAAAACGGACCAATCAGCTCTCTGTAAAACAGACCAATCAGCTCTCTGCAAAACAGACCAATCAGCTCTCTGTAAAATGGGCCAATCAGCAGGATGTGGGTGGGGCCAGATAAGGAAGTAAAAGCAGGCTGCCCAAGGCAGCAGTGGCAACCGGGTCACATTTCACACTGTGGAAGGTTTGTTCTTTCACTGTTTGCAATAAATCTTGCTGCTGCTCACTCTTTGGGTCCACGCTGCCTTTATGAACTGTAACACTCACCTCAAAGGTCTGCAGCTTCACTCCTGAGGCCAGTGAGACCATGCACCCACCAGAAGGAAGAAGCTCGGAACACATCCAAACATGAGAAGGAACAAACTCAGGACACGCCGCCTTTAAGAACTGTAACACTCACCGTGAGGGTCCACAGCTTAATTCTTGAAGTCAGTGAGACCAAGAACCCACCAATTCCGGACACAATAGGACGTAGGAGATTAAAGCATAAACCTAGGGCAAAACAAGAAGCAAGTCTGCCTGATAACATAGGGATTGAGCATTTAGGTTGGGTCTATGGTGTAGATAATTTTGTTTGGTTGGAGGCACATCGATTTAGAGGGAGTTGTGAAGGCCTGTAGGAGATATGAGGGTTTGAAATAGCCAATGTGGGGAGGGGAAAACAACCTGATCAAAGACCAGAAAAGGCTTGTGGAGAAGTTTTGAGGGTCTACCTGAAATTGGAGATAACTAAATTGAGATGCCATCAATCTTTGCTATGGGAAGGTTTTTCTCCTAACCTTGCCTCAGGAAATCCATGAAAAAGTGACTAGGAAAACTGCTAGATAATCAGTGTTGGCAAGGTGTGTGTGGCAGGGCAGGGTGTAGAGGGAGCTGCAGCTATTGGCAAGAAAAGTGTTGACATGATAAGCCGTGAGATCTGGGCTGGGTATGGGAGTATGCAGGGAGATTATTCGCCATGGTCTGGCATTTGCACGTGTCTTCTGAGCAAAGGATGTTTGCTCAAGGTTATTTGCATATTGGACAACCTTGGGAAGTTGTAGACAATGTTTCCGTCCAGAGAGATTCAGATCTTTTTCTTCCTGGAATCATTCCAGCGTAATAATGTCTCCTTCCCATCACTAGAGCATTCTAGATAATAAAGGTAATTGTTTCTCCCTGGAGGGGAGGACTAGCAGGTTGGCCAGTGACCCATAGATAAGATCCAGGTCTCCTTATTTTGGAGTCCTCAGCTGTGACACAGATCCATGTGTGTGCAGCACTGACCTCACCCCTGTGGTACTTGCAAAGCTAGTTAGGGGAACTCATGTGAACAAGAAACCCAGGCCTTCTGTGCTGTGAGCAGTAAACTGTTGAAATTCATTTGGAATCATTACATCCTTTCTGCTTGAACTTATGAAAGTGTGGGCACCAACCTACCAGCTATAGCAGTTTGTTGCTACTGCTTAGGGACTGCTTGACTGCTTGACACAGTGAAGTGAGGACAGAGGAGGCCAGTTACAGAGTGGGTGTGAAATGAAAAGAAAGGAGACTTTGATGGATGTGAAGAGCAATGTGTGAGTGCAAGACAGGATATAATAAGTGCCTACAGCTTATTCCCCCCAAAAAGGTAACATGCCTTGGGAAGGGTTTGTGAAGGAGGTTCTATTTCAAGCCATTCTTTGATGATTGGAATGTTGTGGTGCTCAATGATTAAGAATGATGGGAGTTTCTTCAATGTGGGTGAATAAACAGCAGATGCAGAAGTTGAAAGCTAGAAGGTAAGAGACCAAGCTTGAGTGGAATAGCTCGGGGCACATGGAGAGGGCAGAGTTGCCCAGTTTAACAGTTACGAGGCCCGATGAAATGATGCTAGAAATGGCTTCAGTGAGGCCAGCATCCAAGTAGCAGACAAGCTTGACAGCAAAGTGCATGAATCAAAGGCTAAAATGATTAAACTTCAGAATATTAATTTTTTTTTGACATAGAGTTTCACTCTTGTTGCCCAGGCTGGAGTGCAATGGTGCAGTCTCAGCTCACTGCAACCTCCACCTTCTGGGTTCAAGCAATTCTCCTGCCTCAGCCTCCCAAGTAGTTGGGATTACAATCATGTGCCACCATGCCAAGCTAATTTTTTGTATTTAGTATAGACAGGGCTTCACCATGTTGGTCAGGCTGGTCTCGAACTCCTGACCTCAGGTGATCCACTCGCCTTAGCCTCCCAAAGTGCTAGGATTACAGGCGTGAGCCATCATGCCCAGCCAGAATATTGTTCAGTTGAACAAAAACTAGGGATCTGTAAAAGGGAAGTAAGAGAATATAGCACTTATTTTTGTGATGTTTCTTGTATTAGAAGTGCTTTTGAGACTCACTGCCTGCCTTCATTTCTGGAGTCCACACACCCAATTTAGAAAGTTATAAGTATTTATTGTCAAGGCTGATCTTTAAAGCAGAATGCTGCATTTGAATTGTACCCCTTTAAGAAAAATAAACCCCGGGGAAAAGTAAGAGCTACTTAGGAGTTGGGATCTTTGCAGTGACAGAGACACAGCTAGAGGATGCAAGTTTACACAGAAGCCTTGAAGCCAAGGAACTTTGAGTGATTTAAATAATTGCTTTTGTAAGAGAAAAAAGTTTCCTGTCCTATTTTTTTTGCTTTAGTATCTGCTCTGTGTAATATTTTTTCCTTTCCTTTACTAATTTATTTATTTAGCAAGAATAATGTTGTTACTTTTAAATTTTGGTGTTTTATCTACTTTTCCTAATCAAAAACGTCAAGCAGATGGCTTGTGTGTTTTTATATTGCTTATATGAATGTCAAGTAAATATATTAGAAATGTTTTAATTTTAACTAGGATTCATGCTTTCCTGAGAGATGCTTTTAAAAATATTTTTGGGTTTATTATACTTTCTCTTGTATGACTTTTTTCTTCATTTTCTTCATCCTCTGGAAATGTCATTAGCAGAGCAAACTAAAAAGGCAAATAAAGATGTCTAGGGAAGCAGACTGCCCTCGCTTTTCCAACTCTGGATAAATTATACAACAAGGTTACTCTCCCAATTAGATAATGTCTTGGGATATAACCAGTCACTTCTAAATACAAGCACATTTGAATTTTAAAATGTTAGTTTTCTAACAGGTAATGCTTTTAGAATTTCTGTCTGGGCTAAGTACAAAGTATAGCAGGCCAATCTCAGTGTAGAAAATGGTATTACATAATTCAGGCCAAGAGACTTTTGCAGTGGTAAGTACAAATTCACCAAACATGCATACGTACATGCACACATATACACAAATCTGTATGACTTGTTTTAAACATTTTTCTTTGACCATTTTATTGTTGAGTCATCGCTTGAATGTTTTTCCTTCGGTGTTCCTCTATTAGTTTTTGACTAGTAATAATTCTATTATTATTCACATTTTTGAAGGATGAGGGGAATTAGAGGAAGACTATTAAGAGTTTGTGTCATTTTTAGGTTGGATGAAGACGTGGTATTTCTAGGACAGGAAATCTCTAAATATTTTAACATCTGATTTTTCTTGAAGGATATCCTTTTTCTGGGCATTCAATGAAATAAACAGGAGTTTTTGAAAATTCAGCAACTAACACCTAAATATAATAATAAATATATTTTAGTGTATATATTTATGCATATTTAACTGAAACACACATTGTACACAAGGCTCTTAACTTTTCCATTCAAAAACTTTTCTCCATCTGCTTTTGTAACTCTAATCAAGATATTAAAATACTTTATATACTTTCAAAACCACTTTTATTTTAAAGTCATTTCTGGAAATATTTACATTTTTCAGCAATATAAATCATAGTCTTCATTTAGCCTGACACTGCTGGCTCAGGAATATGGAATACAGTATTAGTTTCTGTAAGACTGAATTGACTTCACTATGAAATAAGGCTTTCTCGGTATCAGTCCTGCAGAAATATATTGGTTACAGCTAAAATGTATGGCTATGCTTACGCTAAAACATACAGACATTATAAAAGTGTATATTGGTTTCGGTAACAATGTATTCTTTCCAATGGATTCATGTGGCTTTCAGCAAGAATGTATTGATTTCATTAAAATGTGCTCCTTGAGATAAACAAAAATTCAGTTAAAATGCATTGGTTTCTGTTAAAGTTCATTGACTGAAGTGAAGAACATTACACTATTATTGGGTAGCCTCAGGGTTTGGTAAGTATTGAATAGAGAAGTATACTAAGTAATAATAAAGGCTGGGGAAAACAAAGATATTATAAACTGTATAAAGATGTAAAAATATTCAACACGTATTATTAGACTGAGTTTTCCCAGAGGCACTAAGAGCTGCCTCAGATACTTTTTACAAAGTCACTTCGACCTCAGTGTATTTGAATTCATAGGAAGTCCAAGTACCTTACTGTATAGAGGAACTCTTCCTCTGTTCAAATTATTCCTCAGGAGGGCATTGGATTCATGAGGGTGCACTTCAGATCACACGTCTGCAAATTCTACACGAAATATGTGTGCATTAACTCTTTGAAGCACCATACTCTGTGTGTGCGTGTGCGTGCGTGCACGCACGCGTGGGTGTGTGTGATATGCACAGGACTTAAAATATTCACATATAGTGGGCCACACTCTGGGAAAACCCAGTTTATTTTGTTCAACCCACATATGCATGTTTATGCTTGTTGTAGAGAAAAGAAAGACCTAGAGAAGGTAGAGGAAGGATAAGTACGGTTACCCACATTTCCTCACATTTTGATTTCTAAGCAAACAAGATCAGAACTTAAGACTCCTTTGGGTGAAATTATATTTAAATACTGTTAATTACAATACCACCTAGCTTTTATTCAAGCAGAAGGTAGATATGTGCATTTCACTTGGGGAAATATTTTTCTCATTATTATTGTTTTATATAATCTAAGCAATCCAAGATCAGAGTAGAAAACATAAAAACATAAGCAAATATAAGTTATTTTTAATTACATCAAATCCTATTATTGATGAATAATCTCCCTGTTAATATATTTTGGCACTTCTTTTTAATAGACATTTTAATGCTCCATAAATACCATTCTATCTTTATATATTTACACGATTAGAAATTATACTACATGAACTTTATTCTAAACTGTCTTTTTAGTGTATACAGGAAACTGTGTAAAATGTAAGGTCACAGATAAATGACTTATAAAGCTGACACTCATGTATGTATCATGCAGATGAGGAAGTATAGAGTTGACAGTATCCAGAACCCCCGTGCACCCTTTCCAATCCAAATTCCTCCCTTCCCTTCAAAGTTAACCATTATCTTGACTTCCATGCTAATCATTTCCTTGCTTGTCTTCATACGTTTTCTTCCTACCTTTACTAAGTGTGCCTTCCCAAACACGATTGAAATTTGATTTAGTTTTGAAATGTATTTAAATGGAAACATAAAGCAAATATTATTTTTGACTGGCTTCTTTTATCCAATATCATGTTTGTGAGATCAGTGTACATTGTTGCAAAATAGCTGTAATGTGTTAATTACGATGAAGCATTCCATTAAATGATATGCCAGTGTTTGTTTATCTACACGACTGATGGACATTTGGGCTGCTTTTGCTTTGGGCTCCTATGAACAAGGATGCTGTGAACCCATGTCCTGGGAACATGCATGCATTCATTTCTTTGTGGTATATCTTGGTGTGGAGTTGAAGGGTTGTGAGGTTTATGTATCTTAGTCAATAATGCCAATGAACTTTCTAAAGTAGTGGTACTAATTTACACTCTCAACATCAGTACGTTACTCCTCAGTTCTGCTTGCTTACTCTAAATCCTTGGCAACACTTGGTATTTTCATTCTAATTTTAGTTATGGGGAGGGTATAAAATAATATTTCCTATGATTTTAGTTAACATTTATCTGGTGATTAACACTGTTTAAGAGCCTTCCTTCCTGTCTTTCTTCTTTATTTTGGGTTGCCAGTCTTTTAATTGTTTTTTAATTGTTTTGAAGCAACCTTTTATATATTCTATACACCAATAATGGGTAAACTCTGGACTATGGGCCAAATCTGATTTGCCATATTTTGGTGAATGCAGTGTTATTAAAACTCAGCCACACTTACTTCCATGCTACAAGGGCAGAGTTTAGTAGTTGAGACAGAAGCTGTATGGCTTGCAAAGTCTGAATTATTTACTATCTGGCCTTTTACAGAAAAGGTTTTCTGACCTCTGGCACCCACTAATCTTTTGCTGGACATATATTTAGCAAACATCTTTTATCTTTGTATGGCTTGCCTTTTCACGTTCTTGATGCTATTTATTTGATAAGCATGATTTCTTAATTTTAATGTGCTCATGATGATTGCTCTGTGCATTTCAATTATAAATAAACTGCCCTTATCCTAAATTCATGAGAATATTCTCTGGCATTATTTTCTAAGAAAACATTTTGATTTGCTTTTCACATATATTTCCATAATCTAATTGGAGTTTTTATGAATAGTGTGATATAGGAGTTTAGCTTCATTATTTTTTCCTGATGCATACCAAAAATGTCCCAGAACTATTAATAAAGACCACTATTATCCCATGCGTGTGCAATGCCACCTATTAAAAAATTAAATGTTTATATATGCATCATATATTTTCACACTCTTATCTTCCTCCATGGGCATATTCTCTATCCTTATGCTAATATTGCAATATCTTCATTACTGTAGTTTTATTATAAGATGTCATAACCTAGATAAAATCTTGACATCTTGTCCTTTTCAAAGGTGTCATGAATATTCTTGGCCCTTTGAATATTCATATAAATTGTATAATCCACTTGTCAAATTCACTCTCTAATTGGGATTGTGGTTAGAATTCCTTGACCCTATAGCTCAGTTTGTAGAGAACTGACGTATTACAATTGACATATTACATATTGAGTTTTTAATGCATAGGCTTGATAAATATCTCTATTCAAATATTCTTTCATTTATCTTAGCAACATTTCATAGGTTCCTACATAAAGGCCTTGCATTTTTTTTAGGTTTATTCCTTTACATTTAGTATTTTTAATACTTTTGAAAGTGGTTCTAAAATTTCATTTTGTTTCTTGCTGGTATATACAACTACAATTCATTTCAATATTTTCTTTGAAAATCTTTATAGCTTTTGGGCTGGGCGCGATGGCTCACGTCTGTAATCCCAGCCCTTTGGGAGGCCGAGGTGGGCGGATCACGAGGTCAGGAGATCCGGACCATCCTGGCTAACACGGTGAAACCCCGTCTCTACTAAAAATACAAAAAATTAGCCAGGCGTGGTGGTGGGCGCCTGTAGTCCCAGCTGCTCAGGAGGCTGAGGCAGGAGAATGGCGTGAACCTGGGAGACGGAGCTTGCAGTGAGCGGAGATTGTGCCACTGCACTCCAGCCTGGGCGACAGAGCGAGACTCTGTCTCAAAAAAAAAAAAAAAGTCTTTAAAACTTTTGTTTTATATATAGCTATTGATGCAGTTTTATTTTGCCTTACTGGGTTACTTACTAGGTTGATGCAAAAGTAATTGTGATTTTTGCCATAAAATAAAAAGGCAAAAACTGCAATTAGTTTTGTACCAACCGAATAGAATCTCCAGTGCTTATTGAACCTCAGTGATGCATGTAGGTAAACATTTTGGTTTTTTTGCACCCAGTAACAGAGAAAAAGCTTTCAATATTTTTTAAGGATACTTTTTATCACGTTTAGGTACTTCCCTTCTATTGTTAGTGGAGATCATTTTTTAAAACCATCAATAATATTGGATTTTATTATTTTTCCAAGATTGTATAGTTTTATAGCATGTAGGGTGTTTATGGTCTGTGCACACACACATAAAGGCTTTAATGAAAAATTTCATTTCTTTATTAATGAGAGGATTATTCATATTCACAATTTTGTGTGATGTTTTGATATTGTTTTTTGGAGGAATTTGTCAATTTTATCTAACTGAACTTATTGGCATAGAATTCTTAATAAAATCATTGAATGTTTTAATCTCTTTAGTACCTATAGTAATGAAAAATTTATCAAAATAATGAAAAATTTATTTATTGAGAGCAACTTTCTCCCAGTCTACATTCTGAAACAGAATCTCCAAGACAGTCTGGTAATATATTGTGTCAATGGGTTTTCGTCTTAGCTGCACACCGGAAATGGCCAATTCGAAGGCCCCATCCAAGACCGGTGTACTTAGAATGCTGTGGGTAAGTCTCAGGTGTAGATATTTTTAAAAGGCTCTTCAGGTGATTCTGATATCCAATCAAGGTTGAGAAGTATTGCACTGGCACTTCTGGAATACTGAATTCAGTTTCTACTTATCAAGACTGGGAGCAAAATTATTTTACTTCCGTGAGCATATAACTTCATTTAAAAAGTAAAATGAGGGTTTAAGCATAACAACCCCAAAGGTTTTCATGGATAAGGAAAGACGGTAAATATGGTCTGGGGAGCAGCCAAGTATAAGAAAATAGGGCATTTTCTGGGATAAACCGGACGGCGTGTCCCACCAGAAGCATTTCAATCCTCTTCTTTTCATCTTCTAACATTGTAATGAGCAAACAAAACATCTCTGAGATGACTTTGGCTCTTGAATTCTGGATTAAATGAACATCTAGGTCCCTTCTAGCTTCTATATACTCCATAAAATTATACCCATCACTCTAGGGAACTAGTGTGTGATTTAAGTCTTTCTTATGTACTTACAGAAGTAGTCAGAGTTTGCAAGACAAGCAGAATCTAGATAAAGTACCTGATAGATTTGCAAAGAACTTTAATTGTTTCCACATTTTTTTCATTTAATTCGGTGATTTCTAAGAAATAGGATGGAAATTATAGAAACTGTCAGGTACTTGGGTTCACATTATCTTTTTACTGGAAAATACATGTATGGGCTTTGCCAAAGAGAAATTGCACTGGATACTTGTGAAAAATGGCAAGGAAGACTTATTCGACTTATTCAGGACTATTGCAATGAAGGAGAGAGATGGAACTCAACTGCACTGAAACAAAAGGCAGGAGAGCTTGTAATCCCTGAGGTGAGCTAGTGAGAAAGCACTGCAGGATAGTAAGGCAGAGGCTGGTCAGTGTGATTAGGCCATCTGTGTTTGCTGATTGTCACTGATTGAAGTTAGGTTCTGAACTTTCCACAGAGACTGGGAGATAGGGGTACTATCTTTATGATCACATTTCAAAGGGATGGCTCCCACATCAGATTTATTTCTCAAACGGGCAGAGAAAGGACTTACAATGCATGTTTTCTAAAGCAAATGTTCTATGAAAAAAAAAAGAGGTCAGGGACCTATAGTTAGGAACAAACCTGTCTAAAGTTTAGCCAAGCTGAAGGGAATGTTAAAGCCATGTAGGTCAGCTTTTTAAAAGTAAGAAATAAGATAGAAATTGATTTTTCTCTTCTGGGGATCTGTAAGCAAAGCTCTATTAACATTATTCTGCCTATGTGGGGTGTGTGTGTGAGCATGTGTGCACACATATGTACATGTGCATGTGAGTTTGTTTAAGAAAACTGAAAGCTCAGTCCTGAAGGTTCACTGGGAAGGTGACATGAGGCCGAGTTGATTTCTGTGGACTTGGGGCCATAGTATTACAAGCCTGCTTCAGATAAACACATCAGTTTTTTCCTGTTTCATATCTAGAGTTCTTCTTTGAAAGGTTGTCTCTTTTTGTTTATACATTCTTTTACCCCAGAAAACTACTTCAGATATAGAGCCTTTTTTGGATGTTATTAATGCAGTATATGGGTCAAAAGCAGATTTGTTTTATGTTAGCTCAATGGAGACCTTAAAAATTGATTTTTATGAAAATTGTCACAAAGGTCATGCCATTTACTTTCTCCCAAAATGGCTTTCCTTTAATATGAAGGTTCTAAATGAAAGGCTTTGGTCTTGGAAAGCGTTGCAGATTAAATTTGCCTACATTAAATTCTAATATTTTCTGCTCAGTGTTGGTGGTCTGTCATTTCCATATTCTGTTTGAAGTTTTTCAGACATACAAAAATTGAAAATATTTATCACCAGCTGACCTACAGTACAAGAAATGTGAAAGGAAGGCCTCCAAGCAGGAGGAAAGCAATACTAAATGGAATCTGGACTTACATGAAGACACTGGAAGGTAACCACATAGGTAACAATATAGGACATTTTTCTTTTTCTTTTCTTTTTTTTTTTTTTTTTTGAGGTAGAGTCTCACTCCTTCATCCAGGCTGGAGTGCAGTGGTGCAATCTTGGCTCAATGCAACCTCCACCCCCGCTGGTTCAAGCAATTCTTGTGCCTCAGCCTCCCGAGTAGCTAGCATTGCAGGCATGTGCCACCATGCCTGGCTAATTTTTTGTATTTTTAGTAGAGATGGGTTTCACCATGTTGGCCAGGCTGGTCTCGAACTCCTGTCCTCAAGTGATCTGTCTATCTAGGCCTCCCAAAGTGCTGGGATTACAGGTGTCAGCCACTGCATTCGGCCAAGGACATTTTTCTTACGCATTTTGCCATTCAATGCAGTCTGTGGGTTAGCATAATAGCAATAGGAGTTTTCTAGGTATTCCCCTCAAACTTCCGCAGCCTCAAAGGCTCGCTCTCCTTATGCGGACAAGCTCCAGTAGAAGAGTTTATCAGAGGCAAGGTTACCAGAAACCCTGAATTAATGTTTCTAGTAAAGGAGCATCAGTGATAACCAGAAAGGGAGGGCACTGGAAGCCTAATGGGAGTTCAAGCTGTGTTTTTGATAACCACCTACACTTGCTGCTGCTTATACAGTGAACTATTGACTGGGATGAATGTTTCCACGAAAGGCCATTCTTCTTGTAAAATTTCATCAGAATTTAAACCCTTCTGATGCTGACCCACTTGCGTTTCTCTGCTTAGTCCCGGACTCTTATTTGACAGTTAATTACAGTAAGCCTGAACTGTTGAACTGCCTCACAGACCAGTTCAAACTTTCCAACAAAATAAATTGAGCTTCACTTCATCTGAATTAAAAGGTTGAAGCTTTCATCAGGAATCTGGACTCTGCCCCCTGCTTTGGGAAATGAAGCATGCGTT
The DNA here is from genome assembly GCF_000001405.40 of Homo sapiens. Classification (NCBI taxonomy): domain Eukaryota; kingdom Metazoa; phylum Chordata; class Mammalia; order Primates; family Hominidae; genus Homo; species Homo sapiens. Next base: position 64,054,934 of record NC_000018.10, read on the forward strand.
GAGACATTATTTTTCTCTCTCAAATACCCAATTGCTGCAATAGTAAAAAAGAAGCAGAAAACATTCAAGTGAAAAGAAAATCATGCACTAATTACTGGATGTGCTGTTCTGAAGTTCTAATTTCAAGAAAAATGCACAGCCAGTATTTCTAACGGGAAATGAACCAACTTTGAGACCAGCCAGGTTTTTGCATCTTTAATTTGTACTGGGTGCTTTTGATATTGCAGGCCTAGAGAGATAAAAAGCAACTGAGACAATAGGCAGGTGCTGCAGTCCTTTTCAGATGCTGAGCTCTCCCTGGTATCCTAATTACAGACTCTTTACATGAAGAATTCTTTTTGACGCTAATCATAGTGCTGAAGGTAATGAGAGTGAAGGTATCCAGAGGATGCTAATGAAAAAGTTGAGAAATCTCTTTCGAGGATGTCTTAATTAAGAGGTCTGTCTTTCAAGGGAAAGAGAACAAACATTTATTATTGAGGACCTACTATACACCAGGCTTTGTGCTTAGTGTATTTCACTTGAGACCTGTATTCATCCAGTCCTTCACTGACTGTGAACATACAAATGAGGTTACCTTACTATATATGCCTTTTCTATCTCATGTGCCTATGGGAACACAGGCTCATTTTCAAGGTTTCTTCTATTCTATTATCTATGAGAATTCTTAGGGGTTGTTTCCCAGGCTCTCATGATCCCGTTCTCATAGCTGCCCACTTTGGTTGCACTGGTAAGGAAAGAATCCACCCCTCTGTTGCACAGTGTTTCATTTATTGAAAGTGTCATTGCAGCAGAACTGATGGATCCCAAAAGTTCTGAGACAACTCTTCTAGTTTACACATTTTTAGCACCTATTCCCCCAGATTTCTGGTGCCAAACTTCCTTCCCTGTTGTCCTGCAGAAAAACTTCAAATTTGTCCTATGTTTCTGTCTGTTCTCATACATTATGGTGAAATCTGGGCACTACCATCATGAAACAATTCAAATTTATTTCCCATGGTATTCTTCAGCTCTTCTCTCTCTGGAGTAAATCCTTGCCCATAATAAATACTTAACTGTACATGCCAGATTTATTCAAATTTCAAGTTTGACCTAGTTAAGAACACTGCTAGAGAAATATCATCTCACAAAATTCTTGCAATAATACGTCAAGGAGGTGACTGTCCTTATCTCCTTTGACAGCTGAGGAGCCAATTAAGTGATTTCCCCAAAGTCAACATCTTGTAGAGCTGAGATTTGAACTCTAGCATTGATATAGTTTTAACACTGAATGTTTTGGGATAAATACAGACCTTGAGAAAAGAAAATAACATAATGCATATAGTCTCCCTCGCTAATAAAATAAGCTTTAAGGAAATACTTTCTTATGGAGTGGCCAATTGTCGATGTTTTCAACTCACTAAATGGTTAACCTTCAGCATCCAATTATTCACTCGACACCTCTCTTTTCTGTGTCATCATTAATGTTTATAAGGCTGAGTATTTACAGTTTATAGAGCACAGTTTTAGTCCTGGTGGGGAAGAACCAAAAATTCACACAAGTGAGAAAAGGGTGAAGAGAAAACACAGGAAACAAAATAATATAGGCCGATATGGTTTGACTGTGTCCCCACCCAAATCTCATCTTGAATTGATAATCCCCACATGTTGTGAGAGAGACCTGGTGGGAGGTGGTTGAATCATGGGGGCGGTTACCCTCATGCTGTTCTCATAATAGTGAGTTCTCATGAGATCTGATGGTTTTATAAGGGGCTTTCTCCGCTTTACTCGGCACTTCTCCTTCCCGCCGTCATGTGAAATAGGACGTGTTTTCTTCCCCTTCCACCATGATTGTAAGTTTCCTGAGGCCTCTCCATCCCTGTGAAACTGTGAGTCAATTAAACCTCTTTCCTTTATAAATTACACAGTCTCAGGCAGTTCTTTATAGCAGCGTGAGAATGGACTAATACGTAAGGCCATGATCAAATGTTGAAGCTCAATGTTATAAAAGAGCTACCTTTAACCAAATGCAGAGTAAGGTGTCTTTCCTCTCCTCTCTGCAATGGGAGTTCTAAAGCTTTAAAATTTCCCCACCATGTATATAAAGGATTGAAGTGTCACAGTACTGAGTTGGGGAGTTTGGAAGACACTTTGGGATCATATACCTTTGTTTGGCATTTAATTGTTGGAGTAGGGTGGGACCAGATGAGCAAGTATATGGGGTTGTTGGGAGAGAAGGTGCTACTTAAAGCCACTCTCTGAAAGTCCTTTGCTTTGATGTCACCATTTTAAATACATTATCCCTTTTCAAATAATTAATGCCATGTGTAATACCTACAAACTGGAATGTATATGGTCTAGTTTTGGAGCTATAATATTGGGAAAGGCATGGTTGAAACCAAAATTAAGACTTTTACTCACAACATGTAAGAGACTTCAATTGCTTAGCTCACAGCCAATTGTACTAACCAGGCTGGATCCTTCTTATTCTCTGGTACCTTCAAACCTCCAGGGGCCTTTTATTCTCCTGCCTTATACACAATGTCTCTCATCTACAGCCTTCACCACCTTGGTTCCTTGAGCACCTCTCCCTCCATGCCCTCTTGTACATCCCACATATCAACAAAGCCCATTTCCCCTTCACACAATCTCTTTGATTGCTTTTCCTTTAAAAATCTATGCATGTACCTTTCGTATATTTTTTGTAAAGGGAAGTCAATATAAATGTCTGGAAGATGCCTAACACCAACCATTGCTTGTTCAATCATAGGTGGCTATAGGGAGAGGGCTGTGAACCCTCATACACTGTAAGTATTCAGTCCCCACACAGGTCAAACAGCTCTTTTCCAACAAGAGCACTCTTTTTTTTTTTTTTTTTTTTTTTTTTTGAGACGGAGTCTCGCTCTGTCGCCCCAGGCTGGAGTGCAGTGGCGCGATCTCGGCTCACTGCAAGCTCTGCCTCCCAGGTTCACGCCATTCTCCTGCCTCAGCCTCCTGAGTAGCTGGGACTACAGGCCCCTGCTACCATACCCGGCTATTTTTTTTTTTTTTGTATTTTTAATAGAGACGGGGTTTCCCCATGCTAGCCAGGATGGTCTCGATCTCCTGACCTCGTGATCCGCCCGCCTCGGCCTCTCCAAGTGCTGGGACTACAGGCGTGAGCCATGAGCACTCTTATAACATGATGCTGTTTTGTCCTCAGAGACCCAAGTGGCCATACCCCTGTTTACATATCCCCGTTCCAATTGATTTGCCTTAGTGTTACATGTCTCAGTACACAAAAGCGTGTGATAGTGTGAGTTGTTAATGAAGTTTTTAATGTCAGGATTCATCCTGTTCTAAGTCGAATAACTTGGACTTTTTTTTTCCCTTTGTCCAGATAAATGACCTCAGGTTCCCTAGTTTTAATTTCTTAGAGTATAGAGTATGCAATCAGTGTTAAAGAATGCCAGTAAAATCTTCTTGCTGTACAATTTCACCAACTGACATCAGCCGAATGACTAGAACTTTATTTCTAGAGTTATTCTTTTGTTTCGGGAATGGTGATCCAGAATTTCCCTCTTAACTTTCCGATCACACTAAAGATAAGAAACAACCAGTTCTTTTTTGTTTGTTTGTTTGTTTGTTTGAGATGGAGTCTCGCTCTCTTGCCCAGGATAGAGTACGGTGATGCAATCTCAGCTCACTGCAAACTCCGCCTCCCAGGTTCAAGTGATTCTTCTGCCTCAGCCTCCTGAGTAGCTGGAATCACAGGCATGTGCCACTATGCCTGGGTAATTTTTGTATTTTTAGTAGAGACAGCGTTTCACCATGTTGGCCAGGCTGGTCTTGAATTCTTGACCTTAGGTGATCCACCCACCTTGGCCTCCCAAAGTGCTGGGATCACAGCTGTGAGCCACCATGCCCAACCATAAACAACCAGTTCTTAAATACAAAAAGTTAATGGAGGAACTAGAAGTGAAAATAATTATTCTAATTTTATTTTATTATTTTAATTTTAATTTTAAAAAATAATTTCAACTTTTATTTTAGATTTTAGGTGTACATGTGCAGGGTCATTACATGAGTATATTGTGTGATGCTGAGACTTGGAGTACAATTGATTTTATCACCCAGGTACTGAGCATAGTACTCAATAGATTGTTTTTCAGCCCTCTCTTCCCCATCTAGTAGTTCCAGTGTCTATTGTTGCCATCTTTATGTCTATGAGTACCCAATGTTTAGCTCCCACTTATAAGTAAGAACATGTGGTATTTAGTTTCCTGTTCCTCTGTTAATTTGCTTAGGATAATGGCCTCCAGCTGCATCCATGTTACCGCAAAGGATATGATCTCATTCTTTTTTATGGGTGCATAGTATTCCATGATATATACACACAACATTTTCTTTATCCAATCCACCACTGACGGGCACCTAGGTTGATTCCATGTCTTTGCTATTGTGAATAGTGCTGCAATGAACATACAAGTGCATGTTTGTCTTTATGGTAGAAAATTTATTTTCTTTTAAATATATACCCAGTAATGGGATTTCTGGTTTGAATAATAGTTCTAACTCCTGTGAGAAATCTCTAAACTGCTTTCCACAATGGCTAGACTAATTTACATTCTCTTCAACGGTGTATAAGCCTTCCTTTTCCCCTTTTCTCTGCAGTCTCACCAGCATCTATTGTTTTTTGACTTTTTAGTAATAGCCATTCTGACTGCTGTGAGATGTAATCTCATTATAGTTTTGATTTGCTTTTCTCTGATGACTAGTGATGTTGAACATTTTTTCATAGTTTTTTGGCCCCTTGTGTGTCTTCTGTTGAGAAGCATCTGTTCAGGTTTTTTGCTGACTTTTTAATGGCATTGGTTTTCCTTGTTGAATTGTTTAAGTTCCTGATAAATTCTGGATATTAGGCCTTTGCTGGATGAATACTTTGTGAATATTTTCTGCCACTCTGTACGTTGTCTCTTTTCTCTGTTGATAGTTTCTTTTGTGGTGAAGAAGCTCTTTAGTTAATTAGGTTTCACTTGTTAATATTTGTTTTTGTTTCAGTTGCTTTTGAGGACTTAGTCATAAATTAATTCCCAAAGCCAACGTCCAGAAGGGTGTTTACTACGTTTTCTTCTGGGAATTTTTTTTTTTTTTTTTTTTTTTTGAGACGGAGTATCGCTCTGTCGCCCAGTCTGGAGTGCAGTGGTGCGATAGTTTGAGATTTCATGTTTAAATATTTAATCCATCTTGAGTTAATTTTTGTGTATGGTGTAAGGTAGGAGTCATTTCATTCTTCTGCATAGGCCAGCTAGCTGTCCCAGCACCATTTATTGATTAGGGAGTCCTTTCTCCATTGCTTGTTGTTGTTGACTTTGTCAAAGATCAGATGGCTGTAGGTGTGCACCTTTATTTCTGGGTTCTCTGTTCTGTTCCATTGTCCTATGTGCCTGTTTTTCGTACCAGTACCATGCTGTTTTGGTTACTGTAGCCTTATAGTACAGTTTGAAGATGGGTAAAATGATGCCTTCAGCTTGTTCTTTTTGTTTAGCATTGCTTTGCATTTTGGGGTTCTTTTTTGGTTTCATATGAATTTTACAATAGCTTCTTCCAGTTCTGTGAAAAGTGACATGGGTAGTGTGACTGGAATAACATTGAATCTTCAGATTGCTTTCGGCAGTATTGGCCATTTTTACAATATTGATTCTTCTAAACCATGAGCATGAAATTTTTTTTTATTTGTATCATCTGTGATTTCTTTCAGCAGTGTTTTGTGGTTCCTGTAGAGATGTTTCACCTCCTTGGTTAGATGTATTTCTAGGTATTTCTTTTTTTTTTTTTTTTGCAGCTCTTTTAATGGTATTGCATTCTTGATTTTATTCTCAGCTTGAATGTTATTGGTGTATAGAAATACTACTGATTTTTGTTCATTGATTTTGTATCCTGAAACTTTACTAAAGTTTAGTTACAGGAGACTTTTGGCAGTGTCTTTGGGGTTTTCTGGGGATAGAATAATATCATCCTTGAATAGAGATAATTTGACTTCCTTTTTTTTTTTTCTTATTTGAATGCCTTTTATTTCTTTCTCTTGCCTGACTGCTCTGGCTAAGTCTTCCTGCTTTTTATTTTGTATTTCAGATTCCAAAGGGTGACAAAAGTACCCATTGCCTATTTAGAAGAAATTTTAGTCTAATTTTGTCATGTCACTATATACCAAAGCTGTGTTATTTAAATCCATGAAGGTTGGTGACTTCCTCACAGTCACACAATATGTTCAGGTTCATCTAAGGATAATATTTTGGTCTTTTCCTACGATATCATTCTGCAAGTGTTATGAAGAAAAGGAAGACGGGAAAAGGGGCAGGTAGGGAGAGAAAGAGGGAGGGAAAAGGTCTCATTATATAATCAGGCAATGCATATTTGATTTACCTTTAGAATCTGAATTCTAATATTTTATATATTATTTTACACTTTATGTAGTGACAACTGCTTCATTATCAAACTTGATTAAACACCCTCACTCTGGCCCCTACCCCGCAATGGTAGTCAGAATCATGGAATATAGATCTGAACTGAAGCTTGGAAGAAATAGACATTTGTTTCTTTTTCTTCTCTCTCTGATTATTTTGTTAGAATAATCAGAGTATGTGTGAGAATTTGTCCTTGTCATAGAATCTGTACTCTTAGACATTTTGTTCCCAGAGGATTCTGCCAAGATATTCATTGAAGAAAGCAGAATTATTGCAGTTTCAAAACTCTTTGACAAATGTTTTTTTCCTATAGTCTAATGCCTATATGTCAGTATTAAAAATAGTCATGTTTAAGGACTAAAGTCATCATCCTCTGTAAAATCAGTATCTCCAATTTTAATGACTGTGATTATCTTTGATAAATGTCATTCCATTTCTTTTTGGTGAACCCCTGTGGCAATTCATCTTTCATAAGAATGGCTGAAAATAACTAGAATTTTTAAAAACAGCATTAAATGTGAATGAAACAGTGAAAAATAAATTCCTGGAAAAAAATCATCAGGAAATTGACTTGTTGGAAATCAAATATTTTCAAGGGAAAGATTTACCTCAAATAAAGAAATGTGCTCAAAGCCAAGTATTGTGGCTGGTACCTCTAATCTCAGCAATTTGGGAAATTGAGGTGGGGGGTTTTCTTGATGCCAGGAATTTGAGATGAGCCCAGAAAACATAGCCAAATCTTGTCTGTACAAATATATATATACACAAATACATATAATATTATATATAAAATACATTATATATAATACTATATATAATACATTATATATAATACTATATATAATATATTGTATATAATACTATATATAATATATAATACATTATATAATACTATATATAATATAATACATTATATATAATGCTATATATATAATATATAATACATTATATATAATGCTATATATATAATATGTAATACATTATATATAATGCTATATATATAATATGTAATACATTATATATAATGCTATATATATAATATGTAATACATTATATATAATGCTATATATATAATATGTAATACATTATATATAATGCTATATATATAATATGTAATACATTATATATAATGCTATATATATAATATGTAATACATTATATATAATGCTATATATATAATATGTAATACATTATATATAATGCTATATATATAATATGTAATACATTATATATAATGCTATATATATAATATGTAATACATTATATATAATGCTATATATATAATATGTAATACATTATATATAATGCTATATATATAATATGTAATACATTATATATAATGCTATATATATAATATGTAATACATTATATATAATGCTATATATAATATGTAATACATTATATATAATGCTATATATATATAATATGTAATACATTTTATATAATGCTATATATAATATGTAATACATTATATATAATGCTATATATATAAAATATATAATACATTTTATATAATGTTATATATAATATATAATACATTATATATAATCCTATATATATAATACAGAATACATTATATATAATGCTATATATAATACAGAATACATTATATATAATGCTATATATAATATAGAATACATTATATATAATGCTATATATATAATATAGAATACATTATATATAATGCTATATACAATATAGAATACATTATATATAATGCTATATACAATATAGAATACATTATATATAATGCTATATACAATATAGAATACATTATATATAATGCTATATACAATATAGAATACATTATATATAATGCTATATACAATATAGAATACATTATATATAATGCTATATACAATATAGAATACATTATATATAATGCTATATACAATATAGAATACATTATATATAATGCTATATACAATATAGAATACATTATATATAATGCTATATACAATATAGAATACATTATATATAATGCTATATACAATATAGAATACATTATATATAATGCTATATACAATATAGAATACATTATATATAATGCTATATACAATATAGAATACATTATATATAATGCTATATACAATATAGCATTATATATAATGCTATATATAATATAGAATTATATATAATGCTATATATAATATATATATATAATGCTATATATATAATGCAATATATATAATATATATACTATACATATTTTATATATATATATGTATACATATATATACATCAGGTATGGTGGTACACACCTGTAGTCCCAGATATTTAAGATGCTGAAGTAGGAGGATGGCTTGAGCCCGGGAATTTGAGGCTGCAGTGAGCTATGGTTGCACTGCACCATTGCTAGTTGCATCAAGAAATTAAAAAATCAACCAGAAGGGATCAGTGTCAAATATGGAGAATTTCTTATTTTTTCTTTTATGTACAAATTTGTGTAAGAAATGAATTTATATAAAATACAACAAACTGGACAAAAGTCTGTAAAAATAGCTAAAGTCAAAAATAATTTTTGATTTATTTATTTGTGGGGAAATTTCTGTATTCTTTTGTAGCAATTAATGTCATGGAAAGACAGTATCCATTGAAAATCTAGTTTAGGAATTAAAGTAAGATTAGAAATTAGTCTTTAAAATTGTTTTTTGCCTTTGTAGATCACATCAATAGGAATATGAAAACATTATTGGCTTCACTAAAATATAGTCTTATATTTAAGGAGCCATTTAAGAAAAACACAATTCAAAATTATGAATTAGGACTTTAAACATTGCAAAAATGCTCCCTGCTTATACTTCACCCAGTTTTCAACTTATATGATGTAAATTTTGGAGGAAGAGCTCATATAATTCCTTGCTTTCCATTCAAATTTTCTGTTCCTATTTTCTATGCTCAAATGCAGAAGGTACAGTAATGATACCTGAATCATCATTCATCCAGTAAAATCCCCGCTCTTCATTCATTCAATCAATACTCTTAATTCATTCCATTTAATCACCAGTACCCATTTTGTATTCTTCCTTCTCAACATAAGCATCTATTCTCATGTCTTTTTGTTTATAAGTGCTTTTGGAAAATGCATATTATTTTTTATGTCTGTACATTTTCAACTTATGTAAATGCTATTAGTTTACATATAAGATATTATGTTTTTAAAAATATTGTTACTTGGCATTATTTTATAAGATTCATCCATTCTGTTTATAAGATTCATCCATGTTGCTACATGTACATCTAGTCCATTGCTTCCTTTTACTCTGTAGTACCCTATGAAGGGCATCCATCAACCTTTATCTATCCATTCTCCTTGCAATGAACTTGCCAAATCTCACCTCCAACACCAGACTTCCCCAAATAATGCTGTAATAAATATTACACATGTCGTCTTAGAAGTCTGCATGAGAAATTTATTGGCATATCTAACTAGTAGTGGAATTGCTGAATCACACTGCAGGTGGGATTATACCAAGTTTAGTCAAATGTACCAGATGCTCTCCACAGGGTCTGCTGCAGTTTACAATCCCACTAGCAGCGCTTGAGGGCCCCTATGTCTCCACACCCCATCGGTTATCCATCTTTCCAATTTTTGTTAATCCAATAGGTGTCAAGTGATGTTGCTTTGCTTTGATTTGCATGTCTCTGATTTCTAGTAAGTTTGAGTGTCTCTTTATGTATTCATATACAGTTAGTCTTTTGGTGTCCATGGGAGATTGGATCCAGAACCTTCCGCAAATACCAAAATATGCAGATGCTCAAGTCCCTGTTATAAAATGGTGTAGTATTTGCATATAACATATGCATATGCTCCCATGTGATTTAAATTATCCCTAGATTACATATAATACCTAATACAATGTAAACTCTATGTAAATATTGATTATACTGTATTGTTTAGGGAATAATGACAAGAAAAAAAGTCTGTGCATGTTTAGTACAGACACAACCATTCATTTTTATATGTGAATATTTTCCATCCTCAGTTGGTTGAATCACTGATGTAGAACCCATAGGTACAGAGAGCTGACCATACTTCCTAAGTTTGCAGTTTCTTATTCAGACCTTTTGACCATTGTTCTATTGCAGTTACTGTCATTTTCCTATCAATTAACGATGTCTAGACATTTAGACATTGTATTTTCTCAATATTATTCACTTTTTTGCCAAGACATATAAGAATCTTCTCTCATTTTTTTCATCTATGAGAACCATCCATAGTATATGTCTTTGAATAGAAATCTTTAATTTTGATACAACCAAATTTATCATGCATATGCCTTATTATTTTTGCTTTTGAAATTTTACCAAGTCATGGTTTATAAATATATATATGCATATAAATCCTGTATTTCTATTAACTTTAATATAAAGCTTTTTTCCTCTTACACATTTAGTTTTCATCAATTTTTTATGTGTAATGTAGGGGTTCAGTTTTATTTTTTAAAGAAGTTAGTTTTTCAAATACATTATTTTTTATTGATCCATAATATTTTACATATTTATGGAGTAATGTGATATTTTGTTTCATGCATAAAATGTGTAATGATCAAGTCAGGGTATTTGGGATATCCATCATCTTGAATATTTATCATTTCTATCACTTGGGAACATTTCAAGTCCTCTCTTGTAGCTACTTTGTTACATGCCATATGTCATTGTCATTTCTAGTCATTCTAGTTCACTATCAAACATTAGAAGTTATATCTTCTATCTAACTGTATGTTTTGCACCCATTAACCAACCTCTCTTCATCCCCCTTCCCACTCACCTACTCTTCCCGGCCTCTGGTATCTATCATTCTACTCTCTACCTCCGTGAAATCAACTTTTTTAGCTCCCACATGTGAGTGAGAACATGAGTGTTTGTCTTTCTATGCCTGGCTTTTTAAACTTAATACTTAACATAATGACTTCCAGTTCCATCCATGTTGCTGCAGATGACATGATTTTATTCTTCTTATGTCTGAATAGTATTCCATTGTGTGTGTGTGTATATATATACACACACACATATACATATATACATATATATATACACACACATATTGTGTATATATATATATATACATTATACACATTTTCTTCATCCATCCATTGCTGAACATTTAGTTTGGTTTCATATATATGTTATTGTGAATAGTGCTGCAGTAAACATTGGAGTGCTTGTATCTCTTTGTTATACTGATTTCTTTTCTTTAGGATAAATACCCAGCAGTGAAATGGCTGGAGTGTATGGTAGTTTTATTTTTAGATTTTTGAGAAATTCCACATTGTTTTCCATAGTGGCTATACTAATTTACATTTTCACTAATAGTGTGTAAGAGTTCTTGATTACTCCAGCAAGTGGCTTATTGATGTTATCTTTTCAAAACACAAACTTTTTTGTTCACCCTTCGTATTATTTTATTTGTCTCTATTTTGTTTAATTCTGCTCTGATCTTTATTTTATTCCGTCTACTAATTTTGGTTTTGGTTTGTTCTTGCTTTTCTAGTTTCTTTAGGTGCATGGTTAGATTTTTTAAGAAATATTTCTACTTTTTGGATGTAGGTGTTTATTGCTTTAACCTTCCTCTTAGCACTGTTTTTTGCTGTATCGCATAGGTTTTGGTATGTTGTGTTTTTATTTTCATTTGTTTCAATAAATTTTTTGATTTCCTTCTTAATTTCTTCCTTGAGCAGGTTATTTAATTTTTAAATTTCATCCTGAATTTCTCCCAGGACATGTTATTTAATTTCCATGTATTTGTACACTTTCCAAAGTTTCTTTTGTTAGTGACTTCCAGTTTTATTGATTGTGGTCTGAAAAGATAATTGATATGATTTATAATTTTAAATATTTGTTGAGACTTGTTTTGTGTCCTAACATATGATCTCTTCTGGACAATGTTCTGTGTGCTGATGAGAAGAATGTGTATTCTGTAGTGGTTGTATGAAATGTTCTTTAAATGTCTGTTAGGTCCATTTGGTCTAAGTCTGTTTTATCTGATATAGGTATAGCTACTCCTGCTCACTTTTGGTTTCTGTTTGCATGGAATATTATTTTACATTCCCTTACTTTCTGTCTATATGTGTCTTTACAGGTGAGATGAGATTCTTGTAGGTAGCATATAGTTGGGTCATTTTTAAAATTCATTCAGCCAGACTGTATCTTTTAAGTGGCAGGTTTAATTTATTTACATTCAAGGTTATTATTGATAAGTGAGGGCATATTCCTCTCATTTTATTAATTGATTTCTGGTTCTATACTTATCTTTTGTTTCTTTCTCTCATTGTTTGTCATTGTTGTTTGGTGGTTTTTTTGTCTTGGTAATATTTGTGTTTTATCTCTTGTGTGTTTGCTTGACCAGTGGTTTATATATATATATATATTTTAAATGATGGTAGATATTATTCTTTCGCTTCCAGGCATAGGACTAAAGAGTTTCTGTAGTGCCAATTTAGTGGCGATGAATTCCCTCAGCTTGTTTGTTTGGGAAAGACGTCAGTTCTCCTTCATGTATGAAGAATAACGTTGTTGGTATAATATCCTTGGCTAGCAGGTTTTTTCTTTCAGGACTTTAAATGTATTATCCCATTCTCTCTGGCCTGTAAGGTTTCTGCTGAGAAATCCACTCTTAGTCTGATGAGAGTTCTCTTATAAGTGACTAGACACTTTTCTATTGCTGTTTTTAGAATTCTTTCTTTGTCTTTGACTTCTGACAATATGACTATAATGTGTTGTGAGGAGCTTTTTAACTGCATCTGCTTGGGGATTTCTGAGCCTCCTATTTGTGGATGTGTAAATCTCTTACTATACAGAAAGTTTTCATCTATTATATCATTAAGTAGGTTTTATTATCAATTCATTTTTTCTTTACCTTCTGGGACACCAAATATTTGAATATTCAGTCATTTTATGGTGTCCCATCTGTCAGGTAGGCTTTGCTCACTAAAAAAAAAAAAAAATTCTTTTTTCTTTTTCTTTTTTCTTTTTCGAGATGGAGTTTTGCTCTTTTTGCCCAGGCTGGAATGCAATGGTTCAATCTCAGCTCACTGCAACCTCTGCCTCCCAGGTTCAAGTGATTCTCCTGCCTCAGCCTCACAAGTAGCTGGGATTACAGGCATGCTCCAGTACACCCAGCTGATTTTTTATTTTTAGTAGAGATAGGGTTTCTCCATGTTGGTCAGGCTGGTCTTGAACTCCTGACCTCAGGTGATCCACACGCCTTGGCCTCCCAAAGTGTTGAGATTACAGGTGTGAGCCACTGTGCCCGGCCTCTTTATTCTTTATTTTTGTCTAACTGGCTTACATTAAAACACCTGTCTTCAAGTTCTGAGATTCTTTCTTCTGCTTGATCTAGTCTATTGTTGAAGCTTTTGAACATATTTTGTATGCATTCAATGAATTCTTCAGTTCCAGAATTTCTGTTTGGCTCTTTTTTATGATATCTATCTCTTTGGTAAATTTCTCATTCATTGTTCTCTTTCTCTGAATTCTTTTTATTGTTTTTCATAATTCTTTTGTATCTCACCGATCTTCTTTAGTATCAATATTTTAAATTCCTTTTTTTCTATAATTTCTTAAATTTCATTTTAAAATCAAGATATATTGCTGGAAAATTATTATATTCCTTTGGAGATATCATAGTTCCTTGTTTTTTCATGTTTCCTGTGTCTTTATGTTGATATTTGCACATGTGGTATAACAGTCGCTTCTTCCAACTTTTTAAATTTGCTTTCACAGGGGGAGGACTTCTTCCTGAAGCTGTATCTATAGTATTGGTTGTGTAGGGTGCATTGGCTTTGTTTCTCGGTATATGCAGTAGTGTAGTCTCTGTATGATTTCTTTGATGGTAAATAGCATCAGTGATGTCTGTGATTTCCTTGGTGAAGTTTTGCTGAGCCCTGAGATGCTACATGGGCCAGTCTTCAAGCTCTAGTCATGGCAACAGTGGGCTGAGTGTTCCTGTCCTTGTGCTTCAGAGTGGCATATGCTGGCACTGGTGTTAGTGGGTTCAGGCAGGCAAATTCTCGGGCCTTCATGTAGCTTGCTTGGGTGCTGGAAATGACAGTGGTGGGCTGGATGAGTGGTTGGGTTCTTGGCCCTTGGGTAGTGTGTGTGGTATGGGCAATGGTGGTAGCAGTAGTTGGCCAACCTTCTGGGACCCAAGTGGTTCACGCTGGTGTTGGCAGTGGCTGTGATGGGTGGGCTGGGTGAATCCCCAGGCCTGCATGTGGGTGCCTTCCAGCTGTGTAGGTAGTGGTAGGTTGGTTGGGCCCAACTTCAGATCCCAGTAGGAGTGCTCAGGTGCCAATGGTTGTGGACTGAGCTGGGCAATCCCCGGGAACCTGGATGGCATGCTTAGGTACTGGGAGGGCCAGAGCTGGGCTGGGAGGACCTGTTCTCAGGCCTCCTAATGGTGCATGCAGTCACTGGTTGTGGTAGGCAGGTACAGGGTGCAAATGTATATATTTTAAAAACTTGTGCTTTCCTGATGATTTGTGGAACACCTTTATCAAATATTACCTACATGTATAAATAAATGAGTATATTTCTGAGCACTCCATCTTATTGGTCTATTTGTCTGTTTTTACATGCATTTCATACAGTTATTACTATGGCTTTATACTATGTTAATACAGGTAATGAATGACTCCTTCTCTTCACTCTTCTTTTTCAATGCTGAATTAATTTTTTGTAGCCATTATAGATTTTAGACTAAGATTACAAAATCCTCAAAAAATTTCAACTGGGACTTTGATAAAAATCTGTATTAGTGGCCGGGTGTGGTGGCTCACGCCTGTAATCCCAGCACTTTGGGAGGCCGAGGCAGGTGGATCATGAGCTCAGGAGAGTGAGACCATCCTGGTTAACATGGTGAAACCCTGTCTCTACTAAAAATACAAAAAATTAGCCAGGCGTGGTGGCGGGCACCTGTAATGCCAGCTACTTGGGAGGCTGAGGCAGGAGAATGGTGTGAACCCGGGAGGCGGAGCTTTCAGTGAGCCGAGATTGCGCCACTGCACTCCAGCCTGGGTGACAGAGTGAGACTCCATCTCAAAAAAAAAAAAAAATTCTGTATTAGTTTTCTATTGTTGCCATAATAAATTACCACAAACTTAACACAAATGTATTGTTTTACAGTTCTGTAGGTTAGAAATCCCACATGATTTCACTTGCATAAAAAATAAGTCACCTGCAGGGCTGCGTTCTCTTCTGGAAGATTTAAGGGTGAATCTATTTCCTTGCGTTTTTCAGCTTTTAGAGGATATCTTAAGCTCATGACCTTCTTCTTCCATCTTCAGAGCCAGCAACATTGTCATATATCCCTCTGACCACAGCTGGGAAAGGCCCTCTGCTTTTAAATGTCCTCGTGATAAAATCTACCCACTTGGATAATCCAGTATAATCTCCTTATCTCAAAGTTGATAATACTAATCACATTTGCAGATTTTTTTTTTGTCATGGAAGGTGACATATTCACAGGTTGTGGGGATTATCATGTGGGCATCTTTGAGAATCCATTATTTGGACTATCCCAGAATTGCTTTGCATTTACAGAAAAATTTAGGGAAAATTTAAGGTGGCCTACTTCTCTTTTTAGAGAGATCAATCACTGTATCCTGTATGACAGTTTCATACTTTTCCCCAGAGTAGTATTGTGCATTCTTCGTTAATTCCCAGATTCTCTATAATTTTTGTTACTAATGTAAATAGTATCTTATTTTTAGTTGCAGTCTCTTATTGTTATTGCTATTGTGTAGAAATACTATTATTCTTGTAATTGATTCAATATCTGGCAGGCTTACTAAAATCTCTTATCAATTCTAATAATTTGTCCATTGATTCTCTCACACTTTTCTATTTTCCTCATTTCTGTAAGCCAGGGGTCAGGCAGCTCTGGCTTTAGTACCAAATCCATCCTGACCACTGTTTTTGTAAATAAAGTTTACATGTTGCCTGTAGCTGCTTTTGCCCCATGATGGCAGAGTTTAGTAGTTGTGACAGAGATGGTGAGTGGCCCAAAAAGTCTAAAATTTTACTATTTTTCCCTTTCCACCAAAGTTTGCCAAGTTCTGCTCTAAGGCTCTTACTCCTCCTTCCCATAGCTTATAGAAATAGGAGTAGTTGGTATACTTTACGAAGTCTTATAAAGTAATGCCTAAAATCCATTAATCCTTACAAAACTTTCTGAAGTCATACAAGTTTAGTGTGATAAAATTTAATACATTTCTTTTCAAAATTGCAACTGCCACTAGGCTGTAAAATGTAATTTTGAAGACTGAGGCAGGTATTACAACCCTGTGACACTTTGAGTCATTCATTGACAAGATGGGACGGCCAGACTGTGGATACTTAGCTATTGGAAGATCCTACAGTTGAGATCCCATTGAAATGGGAAAATTGATCACTCTAAACTTAAGAGCTTTGCTATGTCATGTAGGGCTGCCCTGGTTTCTACTTCAGATCAACTAAATTTGTATTGATAGAGATGCCCTCTCTAGGAAGAATGAGAACAATGCTAAAGCAAGTATTCAGAGCTTGAAGCATACCTTTTGTGCCTCCTCAAGTGGTCCTAAATTGAAGGACACTCTTTCTGCATTGCTAAATGTGGCATACTTAGACATCATAAGTTAACTTTTAATAAACAATTCTGTTTCTTGTGTATAAAATGAAAGAACTTAGAAGAAATAATCTATGGGACAAGCACTTAGAAAAACTTGTTCAGCTTCCAGTTTTTGGCTTGAAGAAAGCCAAGGTGAAACTTTCTTTATTTGTCTCACATCCAAGTTCATCCCACACCAACATCCTCTATTATTCTGCCTCAGTTCAACCCCAAGAAGATCATAGATGTATACCTGAGGTGTACTGGTGGAAAACTCATGCCACATCTGGTGAGGTCCCAAAATTAGTCTTCTGGATCTGTCTCCAAAAAAAGCTGCTGATGACATCATCAGAGTAACTGGAGACTGGAAGGGTCTAAAGATTATAGTGAAACTGACCATTCAAAACAGACAGAAACAGAGGGAATGGGTAACTTCTGCCTCTGCCCTGATTATCAAAGCCCTCAACGATCTGCCAAGAGACAGAAGAAAGTAGAAAATCACTAAACACTGTGGGAATATCACTTTTGATGAGATTGTCAACATCTCCTGACAGGTCACTACTGATCTTTGGCAGAGAACGCTGTGGAACCAATAAGGAGATCCTAGGGACTGCCCAATCTGTGGTCTGTCGGCTGCAGAGTTGATGCTTCCACCCTCATGATATCACAGATGACATCAACGGTGCTGCGGTGAAATTCCCAGTTAGGTAAGAGTACAAAGAAAAATATTTCAACCACCAAAAGTTTATTCACTTCAGCTTGACATTTAAAGTCCTCTATGATTTTCCCATATACTAGTCATTCCCAAACATGGCAGAATCACCCATGGTGCTTTAAAACAATTACAGATTATTTGAGCTCAATTCTGAACCTACTGAATCAAAATCTCTGGAGGCGTGGTCCTAGAGACTATATTTTTTAGCAGCTTGCTAATACATTCTTATGTAACTAACCCAGCTTACTGTCCTAAATTACCTCTTCAGTCCTGCTATCTTGCTATCCGTTATTAGTCCTCACATAACTTTTCAGAAAAATTCATTTCTCCTTTTTCCACCTGTCTTTTCTATTAGTTTATTTGTCCTTTCCTTTTTCTATCTTTTTTTTTTCTAACTCTATGCGTCCCTTTAAAATTTCCTTGCCCTTTTGACGTTTTTCCTCTCTTTGGAAGAGTGAGAAATTGAGAACAACTACAAAATTAGAGGGAACAGTTCCCATGAGACTGCTCTCACTGCTGATATCAAATGGAAGTTTGAAGGGTTTCCCGTAAACATCTCAGGTTTGATAATTTTCTAGAAAGACTCATATAACTCACTGACAGCTCCTATACTCATGGTTAAAGTTTATTATAGCTCAGATACAAATTAAAATCAGCCAAGGAAAGAGAGGCATAGGGCAGAGTCCAGGATGGGCTCAATATAGAGCTCTAGTTGCCCTCTCCCTGTGGCTTCAAGAGTGGCCTTCCCTCCTCCTGGCCACAGTGTGTGATGATATACACAGATAATTACCAACCGTGAAAACTCACCCAAGCCTTTGGTATCCAGAATTTTATTCAGGTCAATAACATACTACCTGTGTGGCTAAACTTCAGTCCCTAGCTTTCCTGGAGTTTGAGCTAATATCTTTAATTATCAGGTTCTTTGGAGGTCAGAACTGATATGGCCTTGCTCTAAGTTTTCATTACAAATCACATTGTTAGACTTCCTTTTTTTTTTTTTTCTTTTTTTTTTTTATTACACTTTAAGTTTTAGGGTACATGTGCACATTGTGCAGGTTAGTTACATATGTATACATGTGCCATGCTGGTGCACTGCACCCACTAACTCGTCATCTAGCATTAGGTATATCTCCCAATGCTATCCCTCCTCCCTCCCCCCACCCCACAACAGTCCCCAGTGTGTGATATTCCCCTTCCTGTGTCCATGTGATCTCATTGTTCAATTCCCACCTATGAGTGAGAATATGCGGTGTTTGGTTTTTTGTTCTTGCGATAGTTTACTGAGAATGATGATTTCCAATTTCATCCATGTCCCTACAAAGGACATGAACTAGACTTCCTGAAGGACAAAGCTCCCAGAAAATACATTCTCATCAGGCAGGGCACTCGAGGGGCCTGAAGATCACCTTCCAGTAGCCAAAGGCAAAGGCCAGATTTCCTGCTTCTCTTCTTTCAGCCTGTTGTCCCTCTGCCTCATTATTTCTTGATAGAACTTTATTTTGTCAAAATAGGCATGTTTTTAAAGTAATAGTTGGCAGCTGTTAGGAAACAATTGGCAGCGTCTTGCAGGAAGCGAAAGGGTTATGAAAATATACCCCAAGCCTAGAATGCTTACAGCACGTATGGAATTTAACTTTTACAAGAGTTTTTAAAGGAAGCTATTTTTTTTAGATAGGATTAAAAAGCAAAGTCTCAACATGATCACAGAGACAGTAAAGGAGACAGAATTTAAATTTGGGTCTTGCTGACTCCAAAGTGAATGCTGTTTTCTCTGTACCAGATGTCACTCTGGGTTATTATTGCTCTTCCTCACCATGGGTGAATATTCAGTGCAAGGAGCAGCCACTGCTTCTGAGAATGATGAGAAGGGAAAAGAGTCTAGGTCAGCCTGAACGTCAATCCAAGCCCATGGGTCAGTATGGGCAGTGCTTGAGCTGGATACGATGAGCTCTGTTTTCTCTCTGACTCCTAAATCTACTTTAGATGAAGAATTAAAGAACCACTGGAGGCCGGGTGTGGTGGCTCATGCCTATAATCCCAGCACTTTGGGAGGCCAAGGTGGGCAGATCGCCTGAGCTCAGGAGTTCAAAACCAGCCTGGGCAACATGGCAAAACCCCTTCTCTACTAAAAGTATGAAAAATTAGCTGGTTGTGGTGGTGGGCGCCTGTATTCCCAGCTATTCGGGAGGCTGAGGCAGGAGAATCACTTGAACCTGAGAGGCAGAGGTTGCAGCGAGTGAGATCATGCCACTGCACTCCAGCTTGGGCTACAGAGGGAGACTCCAAAAAAAAAAAAAAAAAAAAAAAAAAAAAAAACAAACCATTGGAGAAAACCTCCACCTATGACTTTGTGCTCATATTTCAATTATTAAAACTTACTAAATGCCTATATGTTATTTTTTATTGCAATGCATTATAAAGTAGCCATGATTATATTTAGTTTTACACATGAACAAAGTGAGGCTCAAAGGACTGGAGAGCGGATGAACAGAGAGCTGAAATCAAAATGAAGGTGAGCTTGACTCCCATGCTCACATCTGTCTGCTATACCACACTGCTTTATCTTATCACTGTACATAGATAATTCATGAAACAGAAGTTATTATGCATGTGACCTTTCCCACTTCTTTTGTTATTTATATGGAGGGGCACTGATGCTTTTCCAGTAATGCATGCTCCTGGTATTTTGTGGATAGGAACAAGCTCTGTACTTGTCAAGCTTTCAAAGCAAATGAAGGCTCTGCCCATTGTGTTTCTGGTTTGTCTGCGGCTACCCTTTTCTGTAGAGATAGAGTTGGTTAGACCTGTGGAGGAAAGAATGAAGGCAAAACATCTATTTTTTATGGCATGATGTAATTTTAGATCTTAACTATTTTATTACTTAACCTTCTAATACAGAAGCACTTCTGCAGTTCTTGAGTTTATAATTAAATTTGGAATTCAATGCCTTCTTAGAACATGGTTTCAAATCTAGGGGAAATTAAGAGGAAAAAGTATTCTGAAACTCACAAGAGTTGCACTTAAAGCAATCAATCCTACCAAATTTTAGGACTCACAGCCCAGAGAAAAGTCCAATGCATTAATCTGAATGCTGGGTACCTGTGAATCGGCCAACCCATATCAATGTCATCCTATAAATCATCTATTACCCCTAGAGGAGGTAAAAACAGCCAAACACTATATTTAGTAGATCCTAGTCTTGCAATTAAATGACAAAAAGGGAAGCAGGAGACAAGGTGACTAGCTAGAAATATGACTCAGTAGGACATACAATCTCTACTTCAGGAATGTCACACCATGGTTATTTTGGGAGGAAAAAATGATTTGAATGACTATAAGGTCCCCAACATTGGATGAAGTCATACTTATTTTAAGGAATGAGCATAAAATCAATGGTGTAGTATATTTTGCCAGAAAACAAAATTTAAAGAGAAGCTCCTTAAAGCAGCCAAAAGGGAATTTTCTGAAAGAATGTATTTTCTCTTGTGTTAATTTCAAAATAATATAACCCAAGTAATTTAATTGATCATGACATTTTACTGACTGACACTTTGCTGAAACCAACATTTTGATTTTTTTGGTGGGGGAGCCATTGATGGGTGTGAGAACATCATTTTACAGGTGTCTCAAATTTTTTACTTAACAAGTTAGTGTTTTATATTCAATTCATATTGAAGCCGCCATTGCAAAATTGTAACTGAGACATTGAAAAAGAGCTGACCTAACCAACTTCATCTTGCTTCTAACCTCCAAATTGTCCTGTTTATTCCTGGGTGTAGGCTGAACTAACTTTGGGAGGAACTTAGTTTATAGTTTAAAACACAAACGATAACAACCCTTTCCCAAAACAAACCTCCTACTTGCCTGGGGACTAGACTGCCTTTGTAGGACTAACAAATTAGCCACAAGATTAGAAACTACCACTTAGGAGTCATTGCAGCTGGAGGCTACAAGATTCTGATGCTCCCTAAACTTTTCCTAAGATCAATGCTTGAGATATTTTGGAGACCCTGCTGTTGATGGATCAGCTGGCACCACCCAGATCATAAACTGGCTCATCTGATCTTGTGGCCCCCACTCAAGAACTGACTCAGCACAAGAGGACAACTTCAATTCCCTGTGATTTCATCTCTCACTCAACCACCCAGCACTCTCAACTCACTGGCTTTCCCTCACCCACCAAATTATCCTTAAATCCTCTGATGCCCAAATGCTTCGGGAGACTGATTTGAGTAATAATAAAACTTCAGTCTCCCACACAACTGGCTCTGTGTGAATTACACTTTCTCTATTGCAATTCCCCTGTCTTGATAAATCAGCTCTGTCTAGGCAGCAGTCAAGGTGAACCCACTGGGCAGTTATGGTAATATGTTATTTCAATTAATATAGTTCATATTATACGGTATCATATTGTGATACAAATATATTGCTTTACTTTTTAATTTTTAATTAAAGTCATTTAAAATACTTTGCATGGTGAAAATGTATAATAAGTGTTGATAAATCTTCTCACATTAGTAATATCTTCATAACAAATGTGACTTTTGGAAACTACTTGTGGGGAAATGATAGTTTAGATTTAGATTGAACCTTGCAGGGAAAATTGTGTGCTTCAATGGAAAACTAAGTGCTTTGAGCATACCCTTCTGGGTTATCTGATTCTGATTCTATGGGGACTCTTGGCATTGCCTTTGATCCATTTTACAACTGTGTAAGTTGTAGATAACTGATAGCAAGATGCGATAATTCTTGTCTATAGGCATGCAAAATAATTTTGTTTGGTGATTCAATTGAATTCCCTCCCTCCAGGGAAAAAAGCAGGTCTCTCTCTATTTGTAAATGCATTTAAACATTCCTTTACTACACATAACTTTCTGCTCCTTTAACTTATTTTTAAAAGTGATTGTAACAGCTTACTGTTTTCCTCATTAATGAGTTTAAAACAATCTTTAACACGTATTCATTTTATATCTATGTGAGACTCATGATTTTACCTGATTCTTGAAAATTATCCTTTAATAAATGACACTTAAATGTCATCCTTTTAAGAAACCAGAGTGGTATTTTTCTGTAGTTGTTACATATTGAATCATATTAATTGTTGCTTTTATTTTCATATCTTCTGATATTGCTGCTGTTTCATCTGTCATATTTTTAGTTAAATATTCACGTGTGTGTTTTGTTTTCCCACCCTCATTGTAAGCTCTCTGATGGTTAATGCTTCCCTGTATTCCTTGCTGTGCCTAACATAGCATGTTACACATAGTATGTGATCAGCTTGATGATAACTACAAGTTAAATACAATAAAAATACTGGGTTTCCTATTTCATCTAGTCTCTGTACCTTCTCTGTGGTCTTTTGCAAGAGTTACAAGACTAGTAGCTTCATATTGTAGATTGTGAACATCCTAGGAGTCCTATACTTCAAGTATGAAAAGGGCAATTGGGTATTTCCCAATGAGTTTTTAATTTTAATTTTTACTATTTTATGTTATTTTTATATGACAATAGTAGTATGTGAAAAAATAAATCTAGCCTACATTTCAAACAGATTTCAGTCTTTGCAGATGTTTGCTTTATGGTAATAAATTACTTGGAACAATTTCAACCTAAAGTTTCTTTCACCCAAGGACTGAGTGTCTGGCAAACTTCATCCCAGGGATGTATATGGGGAAGGAGTGCTCTCTCCTAACACATGAACCAATGATGTATACTTTCTAGAAATTTAAGTGGATTGGTAGTTTGTATGTTTTTAGCCTTTGATTAATTACTTTAACATGCATTTTCATATTTGATTTTCACAAAAATCTTATAAAAGACATATTTGCTATTTCTCCATTTTACAGCTGAGTAAACTAAGGGTTTATCAAGTTAAGTGGCTAGAGATTTGAACCTAGGCCTTCTCACATACTAACTCATTCTCGTTTCACTAAAGCAAGCTATTCTCTACATCTTGAGAAGGTCTTATCCTTCCAAGCATCACCTCATGGTATAGTCTTTCCAATATGCTCTGGGTCTATCTGTACCATT
Source organism: Homo sapiens (assembly GCF_000001405.40). Classification (NCBI taxonomy): domain Eukaryota; kingdom Metazoa; phylum Chordata; class Mammalia; order Primates; family Hominidae; genus Homo; species Homo sapiens. Next base: position 64,078,692 of record NC_000018.10, read on the forward strand.
TTCTAAATTTTACCCAGAGCATTTCCTAGAAAACTGTAAGGATACAAAGAAAATTGTTAGACCACAAATACGTATATTTTTTTTCACATAAATGAAGGCCTAAATAAAATTTGATATTGAATTTCTCTTCATCTGTTTTTCTCTGAATCGGAAACTTGACTTCATGGCAATTTCATGTTGAGCAACTCCAATCAGATTACTTGCTTTCCAAGGCCTGGCCTGATTACTGCTAGTACAGTGATAGGGAATCCTGGATCTTCCAAAAAAAAAGTAGGAGATCAAAGGTTAGTCTTGAATAGTTATTCCCAAATTTTGTTGCACGTTAGAATCCAGACCCTTAGGATCTGAGCCTCCACATATTTTTTGGGAGCTGCTGATCTAAGGCATTTAATTTAGGAAAGATCTAAGGGCCTGGGAACCAAAGTCCACCAGAGCCAGAGAACTGTAAGTTTGTCGGATGAGGTCACAGTTTTCCTAGAAAGCACTCATCTGATTTTTTAGAAGACTATTTATTTTAGAGCAGTTTTAGATTCATAGCAAAATTAAGAGGAAGGTACAGCTCATCTGATTTTAATGTGCTTGAATCTGTCCCCCTGTCTCTTCTGAGGTGACTAGAGCAGACCAGACATAAAGGTAATCCCAAACCATTCTCCCTAGCTCCCTAGAAGTTTATGTTCTTGAATGGATCTGCAAAGACTTACTTATGAATCATTGGTACAGCACTGTGTTCATAGAACCTGAGAGTTAACTACTGAAGGAACCAATAAGATGTTTTTTGCTAAAATGCTAATGAAACTGGTGCAGTTGTCCCATAGAACTGATGTTTATGGGTTTTTTTGAATAAACATAGAAATTGACCTTCCTAGTCATGAAACTTAAGAAAGCGACATTTCTCTCTTAGGAAACCAACCCTCAGGCTTCCCAGATAGTATCAAGGAGCTGAAACTCACCAGATCACTGCATCTAGACAATGGGATGCCAGACCCCTCACCCATCATGGTGGCCTAACTGACCACCCGTGTCTTTCTGACCAACTCCTCTTGCTTATCCCTCCCTGATTCCTATTTCCTCACATGTAGTTACATTTCTTCTCTACTACATAATCCCCTGATTTTAGTCCATCAGGGAGGTGGATTTGAGACTAATCTCTCATCAACTAGGCTGCAGCACCTGATTAAAGCCTTCTTACTTGTCAATACTTGTGTCTCAGTGATTGGCTTTTTGTGTGGTGAGTAGTAGACCTAGTCTGAAACTCTGGCATTTCAGGGACACTAATGATGAAAATAAGGAGAATAAATTATTATTTAGAAGAACAAGAAAGTTAAACAAATGTTTAATAGGAGAATACTAAAACTGCAACATTCTATTGAGAGATATCAAAGAAGACAAATAAATGGAGAGTGAACTCTGCTTCAGAAAGAAAAGATGAAAAATTTTAAAAGTGTTTTGCCACTTCCCTGCATGAGACCTTTCAATGGATTATGCTTATATTCAAAAAGAAAATCCAAAGTCCCTGCCGTTTATCCAAAGGTGCTTCACAGTATGACCTCTGATCTCTCCCTAACTTGTCATCTTCTCTGTTTTCAAAGAAACAGAAAACGTCATCCAGCTTAGTGATCTCCTTTCCTCTTCTCTTTGACAACCATGTGGCTTTCTTCCTTGCTTCCTTCAGGTCTCTGGTTGTAACCTTTTGAAAGGTTCTTCCTGCATGCTGTACAAACAAAAGTAATCCACATTATTGCAGTAGAGAAAGAGTTTAAACTTGATCAAATGATTCCAAATTCATACATACCTAAATTTAGAATTTAAATTTTAGAATACTTTAAAAAACAAATTCTACTTGCAGGCAGTGATTCTAAAAATAATTGAATAAATGTTCATTTATCTATACCAGGATTTTATCATAGAATTAGTCATAAAGCAGAAACTAGAAAATAATTTTAAGTACATTAATTGGAGCTAGGTTTGTAATTTATGGTGTATAAAATTGAAAGATAATCTCTGACAGAAACAATACAATGATAAGTGAAAGATGTTATCAAACAATATGTAGTGCAAAATTATTTAAAATATATAATTGCATATTTACACATATGCAAAACATGTCTGTAAGACTGTATATGAAGATATTAACAATATTTTTTATTGGTAAGTCTAGAATCACCTTCACTTATTTTAAATCTTTTTCTTTTCTGTCATAACCATGAATTATTAATAAAAGAAAAAGAAAACTATTTTAATTTTTTAAAAACAACAGTATCTAGTCCAATTTTTTTATTGTACAGATAAAAGAAATTGGTCTCAAGATACAAATTATCTGTGTGTGTCTGTGTGTTTAAGTATTGAAAATAGGGATAAACACATTTATCCAATATAATCCATCTGGAAAAGAAGAGCAGGCTTGGTTTTAGTGAAAAGTTGTGAGTTGTTTTATTTTTTCCTGAACCAAATAGCTATTTTTTTATAAACTTCAAGCTTAGCTGTCACATTGCCTTTTGGCAAGACACTTGATTTGAAGGTAGATGTACTCTGCAAATAGAGTATATCTATCACAGACTACTAATGTGGCAAAATGAAATCACACAAGTAATCTCTTTAGATAGATTCCAGTGAATCTTCTTGCTCATTTCAATCTAAATCAAATCTATATTAAAATATTAATGCAAGGATTAAACTATATAAGTACCAGGTCAGACTGGAGGAAGATTAAAGGGAATACAAGAATCAATCCTCAGGCATCAAGTTGTAACTTCAGGGTATGAGCTCATAAGATGTAGCTATTTGCATAAACCAAAGTCACAAAGGAAAAAATGTTCTCAAAAGATACCAACATTAGTAATTCCCTGGATTTATGTGCTGCACATAAAAATAAATATTTATTGTTAAACTTAAATGGCTTTTGTTTAACATACTTGTTTGATTTCATTTCTTGATTATTTCATGTATTCATATAAATATTGGGTTAAAAGAATTTGAGTAGTTAAGTAGTTAAAAGAATTTGAGTAGTTAAGTACTTAAGAAGTTCAATTTTGAAAAGCCCAAGCTGTGAAAATATTATGTGAGATGATGTGAACAATTTAAAAAAACATCTGGGGCGACAGCTAGCCCACGTAACGCCCTTGTACACAGTGGAGAAAGCTGCATCCTCCAGGTGGACATGACCACATGGTTTGGCAAGCCTGTTCTCTGGGCAAGTTGGGGAAAAAACCCAAAAACAAACAAATGAAAAAACAGCATGGCTGTGATGAAGGTGGAGGGAAAAGGGGCCTCTTTTAATCTTGGTCCTTTAAACCAAATCACATTTGGTCCTTTGAAACAAATGTGATAAAAGCCCTTTCCTGAAACAAAACCCCTTTTTGCCTGGGGACCAGATTGCCTTTGTAAGACTAACAAATTGGCCACAAGATTAGAAATTATGGTTTAGGAGTCATACAGCCAAAGGTCTCAAGACAAAATTTCTCCAATTGCTCCTAGGGATAACATCACTATTGTAAAACCTAAGATTGGTGCTCGAGACTTTTTTTTCAGATCCTGCCATTCTGAAGCACCAGATGGCACCACCTAGACTGGTAATCTGGCCCAATCAGGAACAGAAGACAACAGAACAGGGACAGAAGACAACAGAGAGAACCCACCAAAAGCCCCAGTGATTTCATCCATGGCCCAACCAATCAGCACTCCCCACTCCTGCCAAATTATCCTTAAAAAACCTCAGTCTCCACATTTTTGGGGGGAGACTGATTTGAGTAACAAAACTCCAGTTTCTCATTTAGCTGGCCCTGCGTGAAATGCATTCTTTCTCTGTTGCAATTCCCGTGTCTAGATAAATAGGCTCTATCTGGGCAGTGGGCAAGGAGAATCCTTTGGGCAGCTACAGTGGCAGAGACAGAAATGGATTGCACAAAGCTTAACCAGGAATTCACATCACTGGCTTGCTGACAGTGTGAATTCTGTATCTATCCTCAGCCTAGTCCTCTTTCCAGTCTTGTTCCCTCTTTCACCTGCACACTAACTATATTATCTTGTTTCTTTAATGCTCTGTTTTTTTAGTTTCTCAACACAGTTTTAGAACTTTCTGTTCTCTTTCTAAATGCTGATTATTTTACTTTATTTTCTGTTTCCATTTCAGTTAACTTCACCTGTTCATTCTATAGACTTCTTGCTTCTCTTTTCTTTCATTTTAATCTTTCTTCTTTTAAAATTCTTGTTTCTAAAATATTTGAAAAAAATTCCATTTTAACTCCAGATAAAACATTTAGAACTTTCTAATTCATGCTTGATTTGATTCTTAAAGTTTAACTTTTAAATATTATTGGGTTTTAAATTGTATTAAAAATTTTACTCCATTAAATTGTCCCTTACCTTGTCCTTAATCTTATATTTAGTCTCTTTAGCCATTCACCTTCCTTTAATCATCCTACTTTAATTTTCTTTTTGTATTTTTTACTCCCCTCCCCTTTAATAAATATTTTAAAAATGACCTTTAGAATGTTTAGCCAAAGAAGTGGTAAAAATGCAGACATTCCTCACCCCAGACAGGAGCTATGGAGGAGCTCTCCCACCACTGTCTTTGCAGCTTCCCCTTGCTTTCCCCTAATGGATTTCCTGGTCCACTTAAGGCTGGCTCTTCAAAAACCTCACCGCGATACCCCATTGTTCCCACTGACTATAATTCTATTAGTGTGCCTGACACTTCTGATTTCCGGGAATAGTGTTTCTTCCTAAGTTCTCATACCGTGTGGTCTTTACCTAGGCAATACGCATTTAAACTCTATAGTCTTCAATACACTGTACGTGCTATTAACTTTGAGACAAACAGCCAAGAGAAAAAGTATGTGACAGCACTAATAATCACACCAGAAACTTTATGTACTAGCCCTGTCTGGCAAGTCTTGCCCTTGGTAAAGAACCAAGTGGTGCTGACGTGCACATGGGAACTCAGAGAAAAGGAGCACGGGCCCCTTTTAATGCCCTTATCTCCAAGTTAACTGTCATTTCTCTTCTAGTAGAGCATGAGTGGATCCTAATTTTTAGCACCTCTTAGAGCTCTTCCTAAATTCCTGGTTCTCATTATAATGCTCAAAGGGAATCTATTTAGAGCAGCTTTTTAAAAGTGACAATTATAAACCTGCTTGATGGTAACCTTGATTTGTTAGGATTTGTATTTAGCAATTTGAATCTGACTCGAATGTCATTACCTAAGAAGAAAAGCCCATTTTCTTAGACATGCACTTTGTTCCCCAGGGAGAGTTCCTGTAGGGAGGATCCCCATGCTGGGCTTCTCTTACCTCTAAAGAAATGGGAATCTGGGGTGGCCAGAGTCCCTGAAGCTCCATGGTTTGCATGCAGGCTGTTAGTGGAAGCACCCACAGAAAACACACTCTCCTCGTCTTGTGTTCTCACACCTTGAAGCTAGTTCCCTTTTTTCTTAATCTGCCTGGCAGTGTCTCATATGCAGTGATCCAAGAAAGGCAATTTCTACATTTAAATAGCTGACTGAATTTTCTTGTCTCTTTTCTCATGTATATGGCATATAGTATCAACTCAGTTTTAAGCTTCCTGAGAACAGGGGTGATGTTTTTTATCCTTTCTAACCCCATAAGAATCCAATTCATTAAGCTGTATGCAGTGAGTACATAAAATGTAGGCCTCATACGTGGGTGACAAAATAGTTTGTACAACAAACCCCCGTGACACAAGTTTACCTAGGTAACAAATGTTACCCTGGTAACAATACCGCAAATGTTACCCTGGTAACAATACCGCACATGTACCGCTGAACTTGAAATAAAAGTTAAAAAAGTTAAAAAACAATGTTGCTGACCTCTTTTCTTTAGCCTTCATATTTTTAGATATTTTACTCCATATTATAAAAGTCAGTGAATAGTATCATTTGAGTATCTTTCATGGTTTATCAATAAATCTTTGCTCTGCAATAAACAACCACAAAATGTCAGTGGCATACTACAGTAAACATGCATTTCTCATGCATCTGCAGGGTTCGTGCATCCAAACTGGGCTTGCCTGGAGGGCTCTGCTCATTTTGGCTGTGCTCACTTAGGCAGCTGAGGCTTAGATGGTCTAGGCTAAACTTGGCTGATGAAACTCAGCCCCATATATCTTTCATCTGATAGAAGCCAGCCTTCTCATGATGCTTGTAGATGTGCCAGAGAATAATCCCCAAGCACTACTCTTCAAAGCTTCATCTCTCCTAGCATCACGACCATCAATGCAGGTATGTGGCTGAGCAGTTGTTTGGAAAAGAGTATGAGAACAGGGAGGTGTGAGGAATCAGCGCCAAATGATGTCATCAACCACACATAGTGTGGAATATAAGTGACTAGTGCTCTACGAAAAAATTGTGGATGTGCATTCGAGGAGAGTTGACTGTGATCACATAATGCCTTCTAATATTGTGCCCACTGACAACAACTTCACTGACTCTTGGTTAAACTGACTCCTTAAGCTTCCCCAATCAAGAAGGCCCCTTTCATCCCTTTCATTACATTGCTTATTCATTAAGCCAAACACATACAGATTGCATTTCCTATTCCTATTCCTATTCCTATTCTTATGTACCTGCTTGAATCCTACTCATTCTTCTCCATTCTTCAAGGCACAGATCAAGACCTATTTTCCATAGGAAGTCTGCTTTGAACTTCATGCTAAAATGTTTCCATGGATTTGTTAATGTCCCACTTCCCTTTGGATCTCCAGCATACTATTTCCATATAAACTGTATGTTGTGTTACTCTAATCTCTATGTATTTGTCACTTTTTTTTTTTTTTGAGACTGAGTCTCGCTCTGTTGCCCAGGCCGGAGTGCAGTGGCACAATCTCGGCTCACGGCAACCTCTGCCTCCCGGGTTCAAGAGATTCTCCTGCCCCAGCCTCCCAAGTAGCTGGGACTACAGGTGCACAACTATGCCCAGCTAATTTTTGAATTTTTAGTAGAGATGGGGTTTCGCTATGTTGGCCAGGCTGGTTTCGAACTCCCAACCTCAAGTGATCCACCCGCCTCTGCCTCCCAAAGTGCTGGGATTACAGGCGTGAGCCACCACGCCCAGTTTTATGTGTCATTTTTATCTGCCCAGGCAGCATGCAGGCTCATAAAAGAAGACATGGGGACAACTCTAGCTTTAAAGACTGGAAATTTGACTTTTGGTGCTGACTCTGCCATTAGCTAATGAGGAAGCTGTTTTAATCTATAAATGGGAATTGCCTTTCTTAAACTGATGGGGTTAAGAAGGCACTCTGCTGTATATCTTACATTTCTTTGCAGTTGTCCATAGCATTTCATTTAGCATACTGTTACACACAGAATATGTTCTTAATATATGCTTTTTGTTGATTGGTAAAATGTGGAATGAGATTTATAAACTGGAATCCTATAATGCACGCAAAGTTAGGATTGACTAAAGTGCAGAAAGTTTGTCTATGGGGAAGACTGAGCTGGCCCAAAAATGTTCTAGTTAGTTTAGTGATATTTTTATTACTAATAATCACTTAAAGTCATAATAAATATAACTATTCCTTTCATAAGCTTGATTGTAATCCATTAAGCTTTGAAGTTCATAAAGATGCTATTGCATTTTTGCCAACAGATTTATGTTAAGTTGGTAAGATAAATGGATATTCTAGATCAAAATATATGTCATATCAAAATCTGACCACAGTGGGGGACACTACAAAGTAACAGGAAAAACAATATGGATAATTTGATAATGTGGATAGGAACACTGTCATATTTTCCAAAAATTGAAAAAACAAATAGAGAATTTCTTGATAGTTGTAGCTTTGGAAATTTCTAAGGTTGCTTGAAAGGGTACCAATAGCTGCTCATTTGACCTTTGATTCACTAAAGCTACCCATCAGGATTGGGAAAGTTTACCTTCTGTTGTCTGTCCTCTATTGAGAGTGTGCATCTTTCTTTCAACTATACACTTTAGCAAGCTAAATATTATCATTGCATGTCAAAGAAGATTGGTGGGGCTTGTTTCAGGATGGAAGAGTCTCATTCCAAACTATTCTTGCTTGGATTTTCCCCTTGCTCTGTTAGGAAGCTACACACCATTTTTGATTGTTTAGGCCCATGTGATGTGTGCAGCAAACGAGAGGTGACTTCTTATCTATAAGCAGAAGCTGCCTGATAAACAGCAGGGATGAATAATTTATAAGGTAGCAGTATGGCAAGTGGCATTTCACACTTCTTTCCATGTAAAATGTCACATGAATTCCAAACAGGCTAAACAGTTTAGTAGGAAACAGAAACCTAATATTGCTAGCAAGAGAAGGGAAAGAGAGGGTCTATAATGTGGCAATTATGATATTACTCAAAAAGAATTCTGATCCAAATATTGTTCTCCATTGATTAAATGTGAAAGCAAATTACAGTTTCTCAAATCAATATTAGGAAATAATTATTATACACATGGAAATAGCATCCGTAAGGCAAATACACTTGGGTTTTATTCCACTCAATTTCAGTCAACTTACAGTAAATGAATCCTGAAAAACTGTATTTTTCATTTTCTAATCATGCAGTTAGCCCTCCATTAAAAAAGAGCTAAAAAATGGGGTTTGATAGATTATTATGCATCATATTGCATAGTTAACATTAGTCCACTTAATCAGAAAATCCAATCAAATTGGTTCTCTGAATTGGAATCATCAAGCCATTAGCAGCTCTTTATTACTAAAGATGGTTAGTAAAATTAAACTGAAACCATAGAAGCTCAAACTTGAAAGTAAGATTGCATTTTTATTCCATTTGATAATTAATATTTAGTAAGTTGATATTTTGGAAAGCTAAAAATTTAGAGTTACCTTATTGAATTCTTGACATTGTTACTTAATCTTGCTTATAGTGATATAACATTTTTGAAATATATTTTAAAAACCTAGATTCCTCAAAGAAATCTGTTAAATACCTTTATATATAAAATATATAGGGAACATTCTGGGGTATAGAAAAATATACGATTGCTTTTGTCTTTAAGGACCTATCTCTGGATCTGGGTGGAGGGAGGTCACTGATGAATACATAAAAGAATTAGAGATAAGGAAATGAGTTATTGTCTGGTGCTAACCATTACTCAATAGAAATTCAGAGAGAAGCAGCCAGGCGTGCTGGCTCACGCCTGTAATCCCAGCACTTTGGGAGGCCGAGGCGGATGGATCACAAGGTCAGGAGATCAAGACCATCCTGGCTAACACAGTAAAACCCCATCTCTCCCAAAACTACAAAAAAAAACAAAACAAACAGACAAAAAAAAACAAATATTAGCCAGGCGTGGTGGCGGGCGCCTGTAGTCCCAGCTACCTGGGAGGCTGAGGTGAGAGAATGGTGTAAACCCGGGAGGCGGAGCTTGCCGGGAGGCGGAGCTTGCCGTGAGCCGAGATCGCACCACTGCACTCCAGCCTGGGCGACAGAGCGAGACTCCGTATCAGGAAAAAAAAAAAAGAAAGTCAGAGAGAAGCAAGATCAGGCAGCTCTGGAACAGTCATGGAAGACTTGCTAAATAACCAGAAATTTGTGATTTTTCTCAACTCTTTCTTTTCCCTCACCAGTTGACCAATAATTTCATATGACCTTGCTGGCCAAATAATTCTTCTGTTTCCATCTCCTTATTTCTTCTCCCACCATCCTGAAATATGGAAGTACAGTTCTAAAGAATGGCCCTGAAACTGATCAGGAATTCTTCATGCATCTCAGTGCTCTTTCTTGGGCAGTCTTCCTAAATATTTCCCACATGTACAAAGAGCACCTCTCAATCTAGCTCTTTAGTGCAATGCACAAAATCCTTGTTGAGGGGTGCCTGCCTTGTCCATGTTCACAGAGTCAGTAAGTGGTAGAGCCAGGACTCATGTCCATGTGGTTTGCTTCCAAAGCATATGTGTTTGTCTAAAATACCATATTGTAATCATACATGGATTTGTCTGCCTCCCATGAGACTGTAAGTTCCTTGAGGACAACTGAACTATGTCTTACTCATTTTCTATCTTCAGTGTCATGCCCTCCTAAGATACTCAGAAACTACATGTTACATAATTTTTGGAAAACTTGCATTTTGAAGATTGCAATGGTGGAAGACCTCATCAGGAGAACAGAGCCTGTGCCAGCTATAATGAGAGGTGATATTTAATAGGGAGGATTAGCTGCAGAAGTCTTGAAAAAGCTAAACAGATAAAAAAAGGGACAGGAAGGTGACCAAAAGTCAGCATCAACAGAAAACGGGACCAACCTTAGGGCTGGGGCACAAGGGGAATATGGGGTTACCAGAGCCAAGGAGACAGAGCTACCTGTGGTGAGCTATGATCACAGAAGGATAGACTGTCAGGAAGAAGCAGGAGAAATGAAGATACAGGTAATTCCAGAGATAGAGACTGATATGGTTTGATTCTGTGTCCCCACTCAAATCTCATCTTGAATCGTAATCTGAATTTTAATCCCCAGAGGTAGAGAGAGGGACCCGGTGGGAGGTGATTGGATCATGGGGGCGGTTTTCCCCATGCTGTTCTCATGATAGTGGGTAAGTCTCATTAGATCTGATGGTTTTACAAAGGGCAGTTTCCCATGCTCACTCCTCTCTGTCTGCTGCCACCTTGTGAAGAAGGTGCTTGCTTCTACTTTGCCTTCTGCCATGATCGTAAGTTTCCTGAGGCCTCCCCAGCCATGCTGAACTGTGAGTCAATTAAGCCTCTTTCCTTTATAAACTATCCAGTCTCAGGTAGTATATAGCAGTGTGAAAATGGACTAATACAGAGACAGTGCAAACACACATGCTGGTTTTTTCTTTCTTCCACTGCTCTCTAGGCTCTCTGTTGGCTAAACCCAAGGGAAAGCCACTTGTCAAAGTAGCCTGAGAAATGTCATTTGCAGAATTAAGGAGTGGGGAAAAGGCAGGAAATGAGTTGTCCTGGATTGTGCCTGTATTAGTCCATTTTCACATTGCTGATAAAGACATACCCAAGACTGGATGATTTACAAAAGAAAGAGAGGTTTAGTGGACTTACAGTTCCATGTGGCTGGGGAGGCCTCACAATTACGGTGGAAGGCAAGGAGGAGCAAGTCGCGTCTTATATGGATGGCAGCAAGGAAAAAGAGAGAGCTTGTGCAGGGAAACTCCACCTTATAAAACCATCAGATCTCATGAGACTTATTCACTATTAAAAGAACAGCATGGGAAAGACCTGCCCTCATGTTTCAATTACCTCCCACCAGGTCCCTCTTACAACCTGTGGTAATTCAAGATGAGATTTGGGTGGGGACACAGCCAAACCATATCAGTGCCTGTTTCCAGACAGGCACACAATAGGCAGAGGGGAAAATACTTAAGGGGCAAATAGTGGGCTCAAAGACATGGATGGAAACATGCATTTGGGAGAATAGAGGCATATGTTTCAATAGGCAGGGAGAGGCCAATTTTGGAGCTATCTTTAAACCAAACCTAGGTGGAAAAGTTTATAGCCAATATCACTAAGTGTTTGGGAACAGAAAGCATTAAGTGAGCTTTTTAGTAGAATATGAAAATATCATGGCTACAATAGACACTAGAGGCAAATTAGAATAGTTGCCAAGCACAGAATAAAATTCTAAGAATCAAATAATAGAAAGTTGTGATATAATCTCTCACAACCTCATTCTTCTAAAGAGGCATTTTCTGAACTTACTTGATAATAAAATTCTCCTGGTGTTCCTGTTAAGCATGCAGACACACACCTACAATATCAGTCCTCCAGAAAAGAGTTTCTGTAATCTGTGCTACTATCAATAGTGCTAATGGTGATTTTTATGATCAGGCAAATTGAGGAAATGTTACCCGAAAGGGTTTATGTGAGAAAAATACCTGCTTTTTTCAATTGATCAGTATGTGCCACTAGCGATCACTTGCAGGACTTGGTGCAGAATGAAAATGTGGGGCCCCTTGCTCAAGTATTCAGAAAGTGATGTGATAATTGTACTGAAATATGAAGCTTCTTCCTTTCCTCTGCAGTCTCTCTTTATGTGTCATGGTATTTTTTATTTGCTTTTCGATGTTATAAGTAAAAAATAAAAATGTAAATTATCTGCCTGAATTGTATCATTCATCTTTATATTGTACAATGCCAGTTTTAAATGCAAATATTAGAGCATTTAGCTTGTGTGTGGAATCACTGACATGACACCATTTATGTTTCATAGCTTACACGTGTGTATGTATTTCTTTCCTACCAGACCAGTGGAAGTGCTGCACAAAACTAACTCAACTATCTTTAATTCACCTCTTGATTAGCATTTACCAACACTTTCTGCCATTGACTTATGAATGAAGCAGGACTGACAAGAAAAGGAGGTATGTGCTGCCCTGTCTTTCCCTTTTCTACTATGTGGTCATTGTCAACTAAGTGGGTGACTAATACAGGGAAATAAATGAGTAGCAAATAACATGCTAGTGTTCCCTGGTTTTTCATGTTTCTTAGAACATCATTGCCTCTTTCTGGATTGAAAGCAAGTTCTGGTTCAAATAGAAGGTGCGACCTCTCTGGGCTGTCTGCCCCCTGCTTACTGATAGACATAATATATGCTTTCCTTTTCTTTCCTTTGGATCTCTCTAAACTCCCAAACATCATGTGTTCACCTGAGCTCTGTGCTCATGGAGCATTGCCCACACAGTATGCAAATGGGGCAGCAAGGGTCTCTCTCTGCTCACATGGATGATGCTCCATTGTTTCGTTGGACTTCATGTGCAAAACGCAAGTTCAAAGATAATCATTATTTAAAATTTCAGGAGGAGTACAGCAGAACTTCAGATCAAGTGTGGGCCCTTCTGTGTGATGGCACAGGTCCCATGTCCATAAAGCTATCCTTGGGCCAGGGAGTTATTATTATCCTCATTTTGCAAATCAGGAAACTGAGGTTTAGAGAGGTCAAGTCATGTTCAAGGCCACTCACCTGGAAAGTGACAGACCTGGAATTTGAATCAGACCATTGGTCTGCAAAGCTCAGGTGCTAACATAAAATCTGCTTCTTCATTTCACCACACTCTCCCTGTTGCTATATTTAGACATATCTGAAAGCAGATGACATAGTTGTGGAAAGTTTGGTTCAGTGATTAATTAGTCACTCATAATCAATATGTGATTAATTTCCAAGTCCTGTTAAGGATGTAAACACACACCTACACAGTTTTCCAGAAAAAAAGCTTGCATAATCTGTGCTATATTGAAAGGGCTTTTTAAATTATTTAAGTAGAGACTATCTGCCCTGATAGTGGTATTTATTTAACTTGATCTCTTATTTCCACACAAAACCACTCCTATGCACTGGGTGCACTGAGGTATGAGAATAAAAATGGATTAGTTCATAAGGCACAATTTCTGCCCTTAGGAAACTTAAATATGTTTGAAAAACCAACATTTCCCTTAGGTTAATTTCACCTATGTCACCTCCTTTGGCTTTTCTCACAGGTTTTGTTTCTCCTCATTTCTCCTTGGTGCTTACTGGGTGCCTTTTCTAGTTTCATGTTCTTTTCAACAGCAACTGCATGGCTGCTTTCATTACTTTTTCTCCCGCATATTGTTATGGTTTGTAAAACATTTGCTGACTAGGCCAGGCATGGCGGCTCACGCCTGTAATCCCAGCACTCTGGGAGGCTGAGGTGCACAGATCACAAGGTCAGAAGATCGAGACCATCCTGGCCAACATGGTGAAACCCCGTCTCTACTAAAAATACAAAAAATTAGCCTGGTGTGGTGGCAGGTGCCTGTAGTCCCAGCTACTCAGGAGGCTGAGGCCGGAGAATCGCTTGAACCCGGGAGGCAGAGGTTGCACTGAGCCGAGATCACACCACTGCACTCTAGTCTGAGTGACAGAATGAGACTCTGTCTCAAACAAACAAACAAAAAACATTTGCTGACTAATCTGATTCTTCAAATTAAGGATGATGGGATGTTTTCCTTTCCCCTGGTCTTTGACGCCTCCAACAAAGGTGAGGTGTGAATGATACTGGGGTGATCTTCCCCAAGGGCCCAGTGAATTTTCTCCTCTCACGTGAACTCTCTGTGGCTTGTGTACAGTGATTATGCCGAGAGCAAGACTTGTTCTCCCTATTTAAAGAGGGAAAGTCATTTAAAATATTTAAGAAATGAGAAGCTGCTCAGAATACATTTCATTAAGGATGTACTTGGGGTGATTTTGAGTTGGCTGTGGGGAAGCAGTAAACAGTCACAGCTCTTAACCACTCCTTCTGAACAAAATCTTCTTTAGGACAGAGAACATATCTCAAAGCACATTTAGTGTATTATCACACATCCAGTAAGCAATTCATTATAATGTTTTAAATGGCTGTGGAGGACAGCCCGAGGCACCAATGCTTTCGGAAAATATATTTTGCATGTCCACTGAATGGTGTCATAGCGAGTCTATAAAAATATTAGCCTTAAAGGAATCATTCCACCCATACTTTACTCTTAGCAATTATGCCTGAAACCACTCCAGCGATGAGGACTTTTTAAAAATGTATAAGTATCTAGAGATAATCAACCAGGCTACTTTATTACAAAAAGTTCACAACTTCCCCACATGAATATACCTGACAGCCAGTTAGTTCACTTAGCTGCTCTGGTTAGCAGTTGTAGGCTAATCCTAACCTATTTTTATTTTTATTTTATTTATTTTTTTGAGATGGAGTCTCGCTCTGTCACCAGGCTGGAGTACAGTGGTGCGATCTTGGCTCACTGCAAGCTCTACCTCCTGGGTTCAAGCAATTCTCCTGCCTCAGCCTCCCCAGTAGCTGGCATTACAGGTGTGTACCACCAAGCCCGGCTAATTTTTGTGTTTTTATAGAGATGGTGTTTCACCATGTTGGCCAGGTTGGTCTCGAATTCCTGACCTCAAATGATCCACCTACCTTGGCCTCCCAAAGTGCTGGGATCACAGGCATGAGCCACTGTACCCAGCCAATCCTACCCTGTCAATATGTTCTTGTAGTCACAGGGGTTGTAGCCATGGGGAAAAGTGACTCATTTAATATATGTGTCATCAACTTCTGCTATAGGCAAGAGAGTTTTAAATGATGAGAGCTGGGAAGGGGCTTAAAGATAGAGCATATGTTGACCTTGAGCAGCATAGCCACCCATCCCTGTTTATAAGATTTCTGGTACAGGAGATTTTCAGTTTCAAAACATGAGAGGTTCTAGGAAAACCAGGAGGCATTGGTCACCCCACCTTTACTCAAAGAACTTACAGTTTAATTGGAAAGAAGTGCACACAAAATATGAGAAATAGAAAAGTACCATCAGTTGCGAAAAAAAGGGAAATAGTTTTCCGCTGAAGGGATTCTGGATCGGGGAATGCAAATCCCTTGCTATACCTGGGGTCTGTGGGAGAAGAGTTGAATGAATGGCATTTTGGTAAGATGAAACTTGATGGAGTCCAGGCATTTCATTTGTCTCCTCCTAGATCTCCTGTGAAATGGCCAAAATGATAGCAAACTAAAAGAACGTTATTACTAAAAACTAGGGAAAAGAGTCAATCATCTGAGAGAAAGTGCAAATAATTTCTGCTGGAAGAGAGCAATTGGAGGACAATTGAAGGAAAACACTGAAGACTGTTTCACAAGGTCCCCTTCTGAAAAGATGATACAAACATGGAAATTAAGGAAAGCAAGTCCTGGCAGCACCCCATGGATATTCCCTTATTTGGAGTGGTGAAGGGAGGGGTGAGGGTCGACTGTGGGCAGAGAGCACAACACCCTCAGAAGCACTTCTGCTGCTGGAGAGTAAGGATCAGCCCAGGGAAGATCCTCCAGGATGTCTGGAGCTTCCAGCATGGCTGAACCAGGCAGAGAG
This sequence comes from Homo sapiens, assembly GCF_000001405.40. Classification (NCBI taxonomy): domain Eukaryota; kingdom Metazoa; phylum Chordata; class Mammalia; order Primates; family Hominidae; genus Homo; species Homo sapiens. Next base: position 64,094,523 of record NC_000018.10, read on the forward strand.
CTGGTGGTGAGCCAGGCATCCCCCTAAGCAGTGAGCCTTCCCTTGGTAAAGCAGAATTTCTTCCTGGGCCAAGCTCACACCTGTAATCCCAGCACTTTGGGAGGCTGAGGGGGGCAGATCACCTGAAGTCAGGAGTTTAAGACCACCCTGGGCAACATGCCAAAACCCCATCTCTACTAAAAATACAAAAATAAACCAGGTGTGTTGGCAGGTGCCTGTAATCCCAGCTACTTGGGAGGCTGAGGCAGGAGAATCGCTTGAATCCAGGAGGTGGAGCTTGCAGTGAGCTGCACTGTACTCCAGCCTAAGGGACAGAGCAAGACTTCATCTCAAAAAATAAATAAATAAATAAATAAATAAATAATAAAATAAAATAAAAGAATTTCTTTCTGGGCAAGCAAGACTCCCAAGAAGCCTCAATCTGTGTACCTGTCATAGAGACCAGGACAAACAAATTTGGATACAGAAAACTGACCTCTGAGCCATACAGAGAAGAGACTGAACAGAATTAGCCTTGACTGATCATGGTTATGATTCTTCCCCATTTCTTTTAGGCTGCTGGCTTTACTAAAAGGGCAAAGCAATTTTAAATTAAAACAGCAAGGATGACAAAAAATACCCCTTTTGAGCTTAAAATTTGAGAGGCGATTTCTAACAGCAAGCAGATGGATAGTGAGGAGACACAGGGACAATCCTCCTACTCTATTTACAGGCAAGCATGAGGCTAGGAGAGACCTCTCCTCTCTCAAGGATGTGTAAATAGAAAACAGCCAACAGGAGGCCTGTGAAAAGATTTTGCAGCTCAAAATAAGGAGAGGGACATAGTACTCAACATCCAGGAAAGGAGCTAGTTTTGAAGAGATTTATTGCAGAAGATAAATTATATTTGGGCAATACCTGCTTTATGATCTCACTAAAATATAAGACAAGAGGAGATTTTTTTTTTGATAGAAGAAGTGAAAGATGACATGGAATCCTATGAGACTAAGGTGAAACAGGAGCTATCTGAAAACTAAAAACACACCAAAAGGAATCTAAAAGAAGTGAAATAATTTAAGAAAATTAAAAATGCAATTTTGGAATTTACAACTGCATTTCATCATTAAAGAACAGAACCAACACTGCAGAATTTTTACTTACTGGCTAGAAAACTCACCTGAGGATCCTAACAGAACACAAAGAAAGTGGGTGGAGAAAAGAAACAGATCAGAGAGAAATAGCAGATAGAATACATTTGGAGTTTCGATATATACATAATCAATGTTTCTGAATAAAAGACTAAAACAAATGGAACTATTTGAAGATATGAAATAAGGAATTTTATGAGCTGAAGAAATACACAAGCTTCATATAAAAGAGATCAATGAGTATCTGGAAAAATTTATGAAACATGGGAAATGTTATGAAAAGAAACAAAAATTTCAATTTTCCCCATGAACATTTGGAATTTCAACAATAAAATGGGAAAAATGCTAGAAGAATTCTCACAGAGTTCTGTAATGGTCCTGATAAAAAAAAATATTAAAAAATGAATAAAACTTTCCTATATGCTACTTAAAAGAGTTTATTAAGGATAGAGTTCATAGATAATATAAGATGACTCAAATAGACTTAAGAAGCAAGTGCCTATATACATAAGAATCTTTATGCATAATAACATAAAACTTGATAAAGTGATATGAAGAAATGAAGATTTAGTCTTTACTCTTAGATACAAAGACTCAGGATTGTATGCATATTAGTTTTTCCCAAATTTAATGCAATTCCAACAAAAATCTTAAAAATCTTAGAAGTTTTTAAAAACTTGGCAAAATGGTTCTAAAATGTAAAATTATCAATGTCCGAAACAGCAAAAATATTTTGAAAAACAGGGATAATAAAAAGTGACTTAACTAGACTGTTAAAATGCTTAACATAGCTGACTAGATAGAGAAATCAATAAATGAAAATAGTAAAACCAGAAATAGGTACATATACAGAAGTTTATAGTGTATAATCCTGTTGGTATTAAAATCCATTGAATAAATATGAATTATTTATTAAATGTCGAGCGTTAACTATCAGGAAAATGTAATGCTATTTGTATCTTTACAGTATACAACAAAGTTAATTCTAGATGAATTACACCACCAACTATAAACAATCATACCAAAAATTAATGAATATAATATGGGAATAAATATTTCCATTCAGGAATGTGGATTTGACTATATGACATATTAAAATCTTCTTTGTATTACAAAACGTAGTAAGTTAAAGAACACAATAATAAAATATTTAATGAACATATGAGGAACTACTGAAATTCCCAAGTAAATCTTGAATGCTTTCTTAGAAAAATGTTTAATGAACACAAAGTTAGTTTACAGAGAAGTACAATAATAATAATAATGGCCAAAATAACTAGAGGAATAATATTTTTATATAACTATAATAAAACTTTAATTTTTAAATAGCATTTTAAAAATTAATAAATTTAGTAAATATTTAAAATGCTAAGAATTCTGGAGGACATGGTGAGAACTCATGTACAGTCTACAGAATTGTAAGTTTGCATAATGCTTCTGGAAGGGACTTTATAAAGTTATGTTAGTGTAATGATATTTCCATCATTATAACTGGATATAACTATCCATATGTGATTATTTAAGAAAGTTGTAATATGTGTTTATCGTAGAATATTATGCAGCCATGAAAGATGTATTTTTAAAGATGCTAATAGCTGAATTAATTGCTGTGAATTAAATCTATTTGTATATTTTCAAGATTTTCTGTATTTGATTTATATTATATACAATTATGTTATTTTGTAAAAACCAAAGAGTCTGCCCCACCACTGGTGATTCAGTAACACAATATTTGCCACAAAAAGCAGCTTATAATTACTACTCAAGACAATGGATTCTTATTGTCTTAGAAATACAACTTACTGTAACTTTGGAGGGAAACAATAATGTAAAACTTGTAATTGCTATGTTTCCAGTCCAAGGTTTGAGCACAAGGTGTCTTTTATATAATTTCAGATTTGCTTGTTCTTATTATTAAGACTTATGAAAGTTTTTAAAGTAGAATATATATAAAATAAAGAAAAAATATAAAGAACATTCTTAAAAAGAGCCTATAAAGAACTACTCCGCGTGGTCAGAAGAGGGAGCTTTTAGATTGCAAAAAAAGTAAAATTTTAAGCACTCTATTATCAGAAGTAATATTATTTCAAGTCCTCATATTGAATACTAATAAAAAAGTAGCCATGGAAACATTCCTTTATAATAACTTAAAAAACTTTTTGTTTCATGAAATATTGAACTTACCTTTATTCTTCATTGAGAGCATGTAGAATCTCACTCTAACCACTGTCTTCTGACGCTTTGCACATTTGACCTTTGTAAGTGTGGCTGATAAACCAGAAGGCTGCTGACCAGTTTCCATCTCCTGCTTTCCCTTTTCATCTTTGCAGGTCGCAGAGATGGCTACTGAGATAAGGGACAGGAGAGTGGAGAGCAAGGTGGCAACAACTAACCAACAACAAAATTAAAGATTTATTACGTATTATTGAATAAAGGTACAGAGGCAAAGTTCTCTGACCAACATTGTCCATTAAAGATAATACTAGAAATATAAAAGTTGAAACTATCCATCTAATCTGAAGCCTTTTTCTATGTCAATATTCAGATTTTAAAAACTAGTATTTCAGTTCCTAGTGCCTTCGTAAGCGATTCATAAACCTGACCGTGTTTATAGGTACGGCAGAAAATGAAGACCCAGGAGTGAGTTCTGTTATTATAAAAATCATGGCAGTTAGAAGTGTAACCTAGAGTGCAGAATGCAACAATAAGGAGGATAATTCTTTTTTAATTGGCATGGATCACACACCAGTTCCACATTCAATTAGTGGCTTTACATCTTGAAACAGAAGTAGAAAATTTGAAGTGAGTTCATGTACTCATAAGTAACATTCTAATTTGGGAAACAAATTATGAGAAACTCTATAAATAGGGTTAATTTTTTTCTTAGGTTTGTAACTTTAAAGAAAGAATTTGAAATGGTTACTCACCATGTATAATGCACAGTCTATGAAGGTTGATCATATCCAGGGGTGGAACCAGATAATTTCCATCCTGCAAGTGAAAAAAGAAAATAAATTGTTGTTTTCAGTGAATGCTGCAAAACACAATGAAAGTGAGTAACCCTGGGAGTGTAAAAGTCCCCCATTCTTCTGTGTGAATCAGTGCTCATCTAAAGCCTGGACCTGAACAGCCTTAGACGTGTCCTCTATTTGCACCCAGCCTGGTTTAGATGACCCCAAGCCTCTTTCTGAAGTTATGTGTGCGGTTGGCTTAAATTTGACAAAAATATTGGGTAGGGTCAAGGCACTAAGCCAAGTGACAAGGAGCATTGAAGTTTCATACAATGTAAGGAAGGAGAAAGACCTGAGGGAGAAGGAACCTCAGTCATCCCATGAATAGAAGGAAAGTGGGGTGTTTGAGCAGAGAGGATATAGAGGGATATTATTCAAATCAGTAAGAGGAGAAGATATCCTGTCTCTATTCCTGTTGACCTTCTCCTTCTTATCACCAATCATTCATTTACTTTTACTGTCTGAAGAGGTGCAAATATTGTAATTTAAAAAGCAGATATTCCTTATAATAATATATTAAATGCTATATACCTGGAAACATTGTTTTAATGTTTTGTCTGTGTATTCTATGGTCCCTAAATATGGTCACATTTCATACATGTGTACTCTCTAAATTTGTGATTTTAAACATTTATTTAAAAGCCCTATTTATTAATCACTGATCTTGTGAGGTGGTGATGGGTGAAAAGATGAATGAGGCACAATCGTAGAAACTCATAGCCTCATAGGGGAATCAGAGAGGTCAGCAGATGTTTAAAACCTGCTGAGAACTAAGTACAGGTTTCAGTGGTTAAGATGCAAGGTGCTGCTGAGGCAGGGTTGGACCCAGAGATGGAAGAGGCACCGACAGTGATATAGTTGGTCTTAAGCTTTGAAATGATCTCACTCCTGAAAATAAAAATCTTTTTTGCTAGCTGGTCACCTGAATTCATTTAGTTTACCTTGTCTTTTTCCTGTAGTAGGATTTCACAGAGGATTTAACGTGTAATGGTAAGAACTCGGAACTGAGTGCAAACAGTTGGTTTTGACCATCAGGGAGAATAAAATCCAGCCCCTTGGTTTTATTAGGTACTGGGATCCTCGTTTCTCATTGCAGATGGTGGATTTTGTAATGTTTACATCCTTCAAGTTGTGAGTTGCCCTTTCCTGAATACTTGATATGTTCTACATGGCAAAGTCTGCCAGTCAAACGGCACAAAAAATGGTGTGTTCTCAGGTTCCTTGTTAACATACATACAGCTTTTCGGAACACAAATAAGTTCAAAGTTGTGCAAAGCTGTAAGGTGTTCCGTGTTGCCCTGGGCATTAATATAAAGTGAAAGCTAGTTACAGTTTGCAACTGAATTAGTAGCAGTCTCTATTTATAATGCAACCCTACTTCGACATAGCACATATATTTTTAAAGAAAGACTTAATATCCAATTATTTTTACAAGAAAGCTGGCTGGCTAACTCCAAGAAGTTTAAGTTTTCCATTAAATATTGTTTTTTTTTTCTTCAGGGGAGATGGTTGTTATGACAGGATTCTTTTGCCTTATAAAAAGCCTCGTGTAACAGATAAAGTAATTAGCTGTAGACCAAAGTAGTTTGCTCTGTGTGATTCTTTAACACCCCCTCAAAGCTACTCAAGCATCATATTTCATTTAATTAAATACACAAAAAGTCAATTGGAGCTCTCCGCTACATGAAACTTCTTGAAAGTATGAAGAAAGAACGTCACAGGAGGGCTTGTGTGTTCACCACAACCTCAGGACTGTCCCGGTGCTGGGCCTTTCTTTTCCTCAAGGGGCTTCCCAGTACAACTCGAAGCAGTCAGGGCCAGGATTGTGAAATCAGTCCATCTTCTTCACTGGTTATTTGTGGAAGCCCAATTTACCCTACTTTTACCCACATCCCTAGGCAAGTGAGTGCAAATAACTGAAATGACTCATAAAGTCTTTGAATGAATTGATTTTCTCTTTTTACTTGAAATCAAAAATAAATGTTCTCTTTTTTTCTCTGGCAAATTGCCTCCTATGCAGTTATAGCTGTGTATTTCTCCTGGGATTTACAGCATTTGAAAATCAGCACTTGAGAGACTCGTGCACCTGTGTGTCCATATATGGCTTCCTGTTTTGTCACATGAGGCAGTTGCCTGCTATGTTCAGATTCAGGGCTTTTTGAGAGGGAGAGCCATGAATGAATGTCCCATGGAAGGCTGCTGGTGAAGAGTGTCATGACTCTTCTGTTTGCAATAGAGTGTGTTTGTATCCTCATTTATTTTATGGAGAAAACAGGGTGCTTGCTTTCCAGAGACCTTTCTAGGATTCCTCTGTGAAAACCTCCTGTGAAAATTCCAAATGGTTTGAAAGACCCTTGGATCCTCAGGAGCACAAAGCTGGACATCTTTGCAAATGATCTGAGCAACCCCGTCTCTACCATTGCTAAGTGCTGTTTATCTCCATTAGAATTTGAGTCTCATGGTGGGTTTGTATTTGATAACCCCTTTTTATGATCACCTCAGTTCAGGACAGGGGATTGAGAAGCTGTATTTTCAGAATGAAATGAACCTGAGCAATAATCATTAACTCGGCATCGAGGAACAAGAATGTGACACCCACCTTAGGGTAAAGATAACAGTGCTCATATGGGAACAATGCCCTCTGTATTGGTTTCCTTGAGTTGATGTCACAGAGTTCCAGAAGCTGGGTGGCTTAAATCAGCAGAAAATTGAGTTGTTGAGAGGCGCATGCTCTGAGGGCTTTTGGGAAAAAATGTTGCTAGCTTCTGGTGGTTGCTGGCAATTTTTAGCTTTCTTTGGTTTGTAGCCACATCACTCCAATCTCTGCCCCCATTGTCACATGGTATTTTCTCTGTGTCTCTGTCTTCACATTGTCTTCCCTCTATGTATGTGTGTGTGTCCAAGTTTCCTTCTTATAAGACACCAGTCATTGGATTATGTCCCACCCTAATCCACGATGACTTCATTTTAACAGATTACATTTAATAAGACCTTTTTAAAATCAGGTCACATTCTGAGGCTGTGGGTGGAAAGCTTCTTCTGGAAGAAGTTTTTGGGGAACACTGTTTAACTCACTACATTTTTCTATGGCATCTTCATTTCCTTGCAGCAGCCTCACAGAAAAGCAAAACCAAATTTACAGGATCAGTTACTCAAATGGAAATCCATCTTCAGTATGATGTGACTGCATAGCCAGAGTTTTCCACATGGTAGGTTGTAGCCTACAAATGAATATGGCTGCTTGAATGTGGCTGACTCTTTTGGGCTACTACTTAAAATTTTTCCAGTCATATTTTTATAGTGCAAAATAGATTCCCCAGACATTTCCTGAAGTGCTCAGTGTAACTCCACACTAGAACATGTGCCTTCCCAAGTCCTGACAACCAAGTCAATTTCACAAACCGACAACATCATCCTGTGTTCCGATGCCCCCAGTGACCGCTGTTCATATCAGTAATATTTGAAATTTATCCTCACTTGTCCCATAAACATACACAAGCACAAAGCCCTCAGCAGCAACTGGACAAAATGCTTTCATGAGAGAAGCCTAAAGGTCTGTCAGTTATTCTCCCTTTGCTATGCTCATTCAGCATTGCTTCCCATGATCTAGTGAGCTAAGACATATAAACTGATACTCAAGGCCTAAAAAACAATAATAGAACTTAGCATTTTAATCTCCTACCTTTCCCTAGAGTTTCATAGCAACTTTTTGGATTCATTATAAGTAGACATTTAGAATGTCAGCTTCCAGCAATACGTACTCTGTGGTTACAAGTCCCCTGTTTTATATTGGGAACATAAGTATAAAGGGTAAAATATAATGGCATTTTAAATAAAGAACTGAAGAGACATACCCAAATGCCAGAAATGACCAAAATGCTAAAAATCAGGATAGGTGGGTATATTAGGCCATTCTTTCATTGCCATAAAGAAATACCTGAGACTGGGTAACTTATAAAGAAAGAGATTTAACTGGCTCATGGTTCTGCAGGCTATATAGGAAGTATAGTAGCTTCTGCTTCTAGGGAGACCTCAGGAAACTTAGAATCATGGCGGAGGGCAAAGGGGAAGCAGGCTTGTCTTACATGGTCAGAGCAGGAGAAAGAGAGAGAGTGGGGAGATACCACACATATTTTAACTACCAGATCTCACAAGAACTCACAATACAGTATCAAGGAAGGACGTTGCTAAGCCATTTATGAAAACTCTGACCCCATGATCCAGTCACCTCCCATTAGGCCCCACCTCCAACATTGGAGATTGCATCTGAACGTGAGATTTGGTTGGGGACACAGATCCACCCCATATCAGTGAGCCAGTGATCAACTTATGTTTGGCAGGCAGGACGAGCATGCTCTGTAGTGGATTAGTTCTCATGATTCCTAACACCTGAAGCAGCTCTTAATTCCTTCTTATTTGATTGTTTTTTCTTATTGACATACCTTCTTGGTCACATTCTATTTCTAGCTTCCTGAATCAGAAGATATAAAACACAAACAGAAACTTAAAATTGTAGTATATACATTTGTCCACGTGTGTCTGCCATTTTCCCTGCTCCATGTTGCTACTAATCTCCTCTGTCCTCATCAATTCCTGTCTTTCTCAAATAGTAGTCTCTCAGTCTTCATTCGTGTGTAGATTTCTTGATTCCACTGTTGAACTGAAAGTTCAAATGAGTGTGGGTAGACAATTATTTTTTCCTAAGCAGCCTGAGGATAGCATTTCTTATTCACAGTCTCTCTTGTTACTAATGAAAAGCCTCTTAATTATCTTCCTTTTGCGGCACTTCTCGTCCTGGTTGTTTTCTCGTTGTCTTCAGCACTCTCCAGTTTCACTAAACTGGGTCTAAAATGTGTTTGATTTTGATTTCATATTCTGTCCAAGGGCTTTGTTTCTTTCATACATTTCTTAAAAATGCATGTCTTTATCTTAGTCATTTTCTTGTAGAATATTATACTTACCCTACTTTCTCTCTTCTCAGCTCAGGAACTCCTGCCAAATGTGTTTGAATTTTTAATTCTAACCTCCATGGCTGATAACCAGCATTGTATGTTTTAAGACAAATATACTTACCCTACACCAAGGGGAGATTCCTAATTTGTTCTTTTTGAGTTATTGACCATGCTGTGTTTATCTATAACTACTCTTTTGGTGTTGCTTAGATACTAGAGTCAGTGGTGATGTTAATTTTAGCCTCAAAAAATGTAGAATGATCTGTGGACATGGACAGGGTCACAGTTACAGGCACAGAAAGCACTGTGAAGTTTTCAAATAGGCAAATATTTACATATGTATATGGTTATTTAAAAATGTATTTCTTATGTCAATCCATGACTTGCGTATGTCACAATGGAATCTGGTGTAGGTTTTATTTCTTGACAGAAAGAAAGATTCTATCCTCATAGTGTTGAGTCTTTTGCAAGGACCTATGGATATAGGTGGTACCTACATGGGAACACATTGTCTAATACCACCCAGAATGGGTAGCAAAGTTCATAGTGAAGTTTCCACTGTGAGCGGCAGGTGGCGGGCTCTTCTGAGAAAGAAGCTTCTAGATGCATATTGTGGGGAGCAGGTATGGGATAACCACTTGGAGTCTCCCTCATCCTCCTTGGATAATAAGTGGGTTTCTGAAGTCTGCATCTTCTCCGCCTTCTATTTCCTCTAGAAATTTGTATAAAGAAATGTAGACATATTGTATATTACAGAGGAAGGCAGACTTCAGCTTAATTTTGAGGCAGAGAAAAGGGAGTGTTCATTTATGTGTCTGAAATGTAAGCATCCATAGAAAGAAGATTCCTCCTCCTGAGAACCCAACCTGCACCTTAATCAATTACCATTCTTGCCTTCACGTGCTGGCATGTCAGCAGCTTTGGTTCAGATTTTGACAATGACAGGGGATGTCATAGAAGAAGTGTGATTGGGTTCCCTGACTGGGATTTATTGTACAGCAGATTTTGTTTTCTTTTGCTGGGAGAGAAGTAGCAAGGACTCTACCTACCTTGAAGGGGCAAATCCTCCTGGGGAAATTAGGAAGTGTTATGCTTGGGAGCCTCCTTCAGGAGTGGCAGTTCTCTGCTGCTTCTTCACTTCCCCAGGACAAACAAAATTTTCTTTGAGGCTGCCCAGGGACCGGTCTGGACACTCACCTTATGTCCGTTTCTCCTGAAATCTGCCAGGAAATCTGGCCCAGGCTGCATCCTGGGACCCGGAGGCCTCTCTACCCTTCCTCCTCCAGGCCCTGTGGAATTGTTCTATTCTCGGTGGTGGGGGCTGGAGGGTGTAACACCCCTCACTCTCCCCCTGCTTCTCCAGCATGCTGTTCTTGGTCTCCTTCTTTACTACTTCAGCACCCACCCCCCAGCTCCCCTCTCTTTACCTCCTCCACAAACCGTTTGGGTGCTCTAAGACCTCAGAGCAAAAGAGTCAGAAAAAAAAGGACAGTTTTTTATTTTTCTGCTTCAACCTGCCATGTAGCTTCCCTGAGGTATCACAGTGCATATAAAAAATGTTTTCTAGGCCGGGTGTGGTGTCTCACGGCTGTAATCCCAGCACTTAGGGAGGCTGAGGTGGGCGGATCACCTGAGGTCAGGAGTTTGAGACCAGCCTGGCTAACATGGTGAAACCTCATCTCTACCAAAAATACAAAAATTAGCCGGACTTGGTGACACACACCTGTAGTCCCAGCTACTAGGGAGGCTGAGGTGGGAGGATCTCTTGAACCTGGGAGACAGAGGTTACAGTGAACTGATTGTACCACTGCACTCCAGCCTGGGTGACAGAGTGAGATTCCGTCTCAAAACAAACAAACAAACAAAAAAAAGTTATCTAGTGAAATTGATCATTAAAAATTTAAAAACCCCTCAAATTGTATAAACATTATATATTATTTCTGTGGGTGGTGTGTATGTGTGTACGTGCACGTGTGTGTACGTGTGTGTAGAGTACATGTGTTCAAAGAAATGATGCCTTACATTTACACTATGGTAATGGTATGGGATAGGGTGGCAATGGTGCACTTATCCCCCAACATTTGCATTAAAATGAAATTTTGATCCATGCGGTTGCTCAATTCATTTTCTTAAAGAGGCCACACCTGATCCAATAATATCAATACTACGATAAATATCTCTGAAATGACACAGGGAGAACCTGGTTAGTAGGTGAGAGAAGCATCACAATTTCCAGTAACTCACAGTTACTTTTACATCAACCAAATTAAGGAGAAATAGCAGTTATGAGTGAAAATGGAGAGATATAATTAGAAAGGCTTTTATCCCTGTGCTTTCTCATGTCCTGCAATTGGCCATACCTGGGTGCTACCCTTTGCAGGAATGCATGTAACATTGTTTCCAATGACATTCTGGCTTAAGGGAAGGAAGGGAATACTAGCAATTTGTCAACAGAGTTAGCCTTTGAGATTTCTGCTTCTACAAACTGAAGCCCTGATTGGCACCTGAACTTTAGAAGGTTTATTTAATGCTACAGAACCTCAGCATTTTCAGGTTACCCTTCAATTTGGAAGTGTTGTGTATATTTTCTCCAGTGATCCATTGCTCACCTCTGCTTAGCCTCTGAATCCCCTTGCTCTTGAGGTTAGCATCTCCCAGCATGTTTCTGTAAACCTGGGCATGTCTGCTATGCCTGGAAGCCTGGACATAGGTTGGCTGAGATTGTGCCTACGCTCTGGCTTTCCTGGCAATGACGTCTTTACTCCACACCTGCTCCTGGCTATTTCACTCATTTCCACCTTTACAAACTTAGATCTATTTTGTCACCACCTAGAAGCTTCTGGTTCCAATAACAAATGTTCGAAGATGCCCTCTCCCTCTGCCCATTCCTCTTTCTGTCATTTATACCCCCTTCCTCCATTGTCATCTGGAGTTTCTGGGTTCTATCATGACACTTGCAAAATGCCTCTGCTGCCTCAATATATAAATAACACTAATTTGTCATTTGAATCAATGCTGCCTTGTCAGTGTTGTGATAATTAACCCATGGGCTGGCATCCCACGTGTGTGTCTCTGGAATGAGAACACACGGACCCAAGTATGATCATGATGCTTCCAGTGAGTCAAGGAGCAGAAAAATGACGCAGGAACAACTGGAATTAGATCAGCAAGCAGAATAAGAAAAGAAAAATGAAACACAACTTTGTTTCATTCTTTGTGTTCCTGATTGTGGCTCAGGTGGCAAACTTGCCAGCTGCATTGTTTATGTACTCACAGAAGAAATGAAGGCTCCTGGTTACCTTGGAGGATGATACATGAAGAAAAAATCTTGAAAGCTAGTGAGCAAATTGCTGTTTACAGATATGACATTTTGGCTAAGAAATAGGGTATAATTGATGTGCACCAATTCCGGGCCTGGCCCATAAAATATTTTTCAAAATCCTCTCCTCAATCTCATTTTCTCATCTCTGCATGGCAGAAAGAGAAGACATTCAAAATGGTGGAGCCCCATGGAGAAAAGAGCTCAGATCCTTGAATCATCACTGAAAATAATAGTCTTTGGTGGAGGTGAAGACAGATTCATTGCAAATGGACCTGGATTAGAAGTGACTAACCTCGACTGTTCTGGGCTCATATTCTGGGTCAGAGAAACAGACAAGTAATAGAATGCTTGGTAGAGGCCATGTGCTACGAAACACTGGGGACATCTGCAGGAGACAGAATGTGAAGGAGTAAGGGGGAGGACTGTGACCTATGATATGTGTTTCCCATAAAGGTGATAAATACTGGTGAATCAGCATAGTGTCGAGGAAAGAGAAAAATTGAAGGGAACTCTCTGAAATCCTTCAAGCTTCAGATGCTGGAGTGATGATGGCTGCGTACAGAAGGCATTGGGATAGATGCGCACGGAGGAAGCATTGGCTTTTGCCTACTGCATTTCTGACTGATGAAAATGAATGGACAAAAGTCCTCTGCACATGTGTTCCAGGAGACATGGTGGTGGAGGGTTTAGAGAATAGAAACCAGGCTTGCCCAAGTACAGAAATATACTCATTCTTCGTGACATCGGAGATACAAAAGAACTTTGGATTCTCATGTTTGTGTTAATTTGGCCAGAAGAAGAGGCATGTGGTCAATGTATCTTATAGGGTAGAGTCAGAGGACTGAAATCCACCTTCCAGAGGGAGGATTAAAGGTCGGTGAGGCCCTACCACCTGAGACCTGTCCATAATATCCAAGGCCATGGGAATGACAATAGGCTGGTTCTACATCTCCACGAGCAGGGTTCTCCAGAACAGGCTCAGGCCATTGAAGGTGGCTTTACCAATTATTCTGCTGTAACTATGGAGAGAATGAGCACAAGCAGGGGAGCTGAGACAAGGCAGGCAAACAACCTCTAAAAATCTACAATTGGTGATTGGTGTGCTACTGATTAAGGTAAAGGCACAGAATTATACATCCAGGTTTCTATTACTTATGGCAGAGCCTCAGACCCAGGTTGAGAGACCACTGGCCTTAAGAAAAAAAATGGGGTTGCTGATTTCTGGATAATAATCCAACTCTACAAATTGAAGAAGCAACATACCCTCTTTGTTAAAGTCGAAGGAAGGGTAAGATTTTCCTGGAAAATTGCCAGCATGCTAAGAACTTGCTTAAATCTATAAAGGAAGCTAAGGATGGCTTGGGGTGCTTGGAAAATGAGAGAGAAGGGGAATCATAAAAGAAAGAAGTGCAACACATGAGTATTATGGGTTAGCATGATAAGTTGACTGTGGTCCATTCGCCCTCCTCAGGTGGGTGCACAGAGAGAAGGAAAGATGAAAACTCAGGTCAGAGAAGTAGGTAACTATGCTAGTTCAATCTAACCATAACTGCTACTGCTGTTTTGGAGCCAAGGACAGTCTATTCCCATTCCTTGGTCACAGAAGGCCTCTTAGAGTTGTCTCCCAGGACTAATAAATTAGAACCAGATGAACAAATGTGAGGTGATAAGAAAATAAAGGGTGAAACAAACAAGAATTGAGAAACAACCCTTATCTGTGCTTACATATACAGCCCCTAGGGTGGAGGTCAAGAAAGTCACATCCACAATCTGATAGTGTTAGGTGTGTAGTAGACACTGTCACTGAGGAACCAGCCCCAAACAAGTGTACAGTTGGCTCCAATACATACTTTGATTATATATTTTTTCACTTATCTGTCTGTGTAAAAATATATAGGGTAGAGCCTTGGCAAAGACTGCGAAGTATTTATACAATGGAGGATGGAACCTGGAGAAAAAGAAAGAAACATAATACATCTAGGGCTATTTTCCCCATTCAGGGGATTAAAAACTAACTTTTATTTCTTTTCCCATTTATGTGGAGGAGGAGAAAGCTCTGCCTAAAGCTCATCTAGAATATGTTGCATCACATCAATCTCCCTTACCCCCACATTTGAAAAATCACTGCTGTAGATGTGTGAAATGGATTTGTGGAACAGTAATATTTCATTTAGGATTTGAGAAAAATGTATTTGATCCTATGGGAGGTACTCTATTGAGTAATTTAAGAGACTAACATTAGTGAGTAGGCTAACAGGGTCTTGAAACAGGGACACCAATACAAAGTTGTTTAATTGGGGTCAGTGCACAGGAAACAGAACTCAAGAGGGTTCCCATTAGTGAAAGAGTATGATAGCTTGTCATGTTAGGAACTGCCTGTAATGCAAGATGGTGTGAAAGGTTGGAGAAATTAAGTGGAAAAGACCATGATTCTTACTGATCAGGACAGCTTTGGTCAGAAGGCACCTGTCTCATTAGTAGTAGAAATAGGAATTACAATTGGAACTAACAACAAATTTGTGTTTCATGTGATAAAGCATGTGAATACTTGAGTAATTAAATGAAACACTTCTAATTTACTTATTTACATATTGAGCCATTTATTCATTGTCATCATCGGCCTCATCGTCATCATCATGATCATGCCTTCTATGTATTCAGCGTCTACCAGTTTTGAAAGTATACTGGGTATGCTGGGAAGATTTTTATCTATTACTTCATTAATCTTAACAACAACTCTGGTAGACATAACTAATGCTCAGAAATATCTTGGTTTTTTTTTCCTGTCACATGGAAGACTGCAATTCCTAGACTCCCTGTGGTTGGATGTAGCCATTTACTTTGTTCCGGCCGTTGGACATGGAAGAGGATTGATGTGCACCACCTTCAGGCTAAAGCACTCAATTAATTGCCAGTGCAAGACTCTCCACTCCGAGCTTGTCCAACCTGTGGCCTGTGGGCCGCACGTGGCCCAGGATAGCTTTGAATGCAGCCCAACACAAAATTGTAAACTTTCTTAAATCATTGTGAGTTTTTTTCTGCAATTTTTTTTTAAGCTCATCAGCTATCATTAGTGTGTTTTATGTGTGGCCCAAGACAATTCTTCTTCTTCCAATATGGCCCATGGAAGCCAAAAGATTGGAACCCCTGTTCTACTCCACCTTCTCCTGGACATCTAAAAGGAGGCTTTGTATTGAGATAGTAGAGTCAAAATTATTCGGTAGCTTGGATCCCTGAGAGGCCTTCTGGTCCCACAGAAGACTTTGTATGAATAAGAAATAAAATTTTATTGTGTAAAGCCACTGAGTGAAGGATTGTTTGTTATCGTAGCATAACCTTACCTCTCCTCACTCTGCAAAGAATATCTGCTTATTAGTTGCATTTTTCTGAGAAAACTGAGGCTTGGAACAGTAACATACCTTAAGCTGGTATTGCACATTCAGTTCAGCTGGAGTATAAGCCTATCTGTTTCTGTCTCTACAACCGGATGATAGTAAAACAGTTTGAACAATGTAACTAGCTTACTGGGTTCTACTAGACTGACAGTACTATAGAGGAATAGTAGCATAGAAAGGTAAATTGGAAAGACTTTGGGGGTATAAATGGGACATTTTTTGAAGAAGAAATGCTTGAGATTTTTTTATGGTGACCTACAAAGATACTGGCACAGAGGACTTGGGGATCTTCTTTTTGGAAGTGACTTAGCCTTGTCTGGATATTTACCTGTTATCTGTGTCCATATTTTAGATAATTTTTTTTTGCACGAGTTATTTAGAAGTTTAAAAAGATCTCTGCTGCTAAGTAAGAAATGCAGAATAAAATAAACAACAAAAGAGCCTTTGCTTTGGCCTGACAGAAACACTGGCTGGTTCATTCATGCTACACTTGGAAAACATTAGGAAAAACTAAGCCGTTATTACCTGTGGCAAAACACTTTGCTGTGGATGGACGCACTGCTAATGACCTCGCAGCAGGAAGTATGGCTCTGAAAGCACTTCTCCGTTTCCAATGCAGGGTGACTGGAGTGTTTTTCTACATCCTGATTAGTGCTTCAGAATCTCTGTGTGGTGCTTTCTGAGAACAGAGTGGGTCTGTATTTTGTTAAATGTTGCAAGGATGGATGATTGACAATCATGGATCAAATAAGCACTCAGTAATCCATCAGAGGAAAGACTGTGAGAAAAAATAGATGACAAACTACCTTCAAATATATAGTTTGCATACTTTAACACTTATTTCATCAGGATGGTTGCCTTATTGTGACATACCATGTTTTTCCATTTCCTCCCTTCAGAATGACTAACAGAACTTGCAGCTCTTTCTCCTTCAAGACCAGCTGTCAGTGTGAGATAGGGATTAAGGCAGGGCATTTTCATGATGAGACTGTAAATCTCTTGGCGGAGAGGATTTGACCTTCCTCACCTCTGTATGCCCAGATTCCAGCCTAATACGTGACACACAGTAGGTTCTCAGCCAACAATGGGGGAGAGCATGAGGACAGCAGAAGCTTCTGAATGCAGCTCAAATGGAAAATAAGCTCCCTGATACCCTGTCATTTTTAGTGTTTCAAATGTGAATTCTTGTTTATAGAATAGTAAGGAAAATACATAATCATAATATTTTAAAACAGAATATGAAAAGACTAAGTCAGCTGGCAGATTCCAAAGTAGAACACAAGTGTCTTAACCTCTAGCCCTGTTACCGTGTATGCTGCCTGGAGGAGGCAAACCTTAGGGTGGGAGTAGAACCAGGTGGTGGATGGCTGGGTCCCTGCTCTCTCTGGATGGCTTTCTGGTCTCTCAACCTGCCTGAGTCAAGTCGTCCAAGCTCCTTCAGGAAAGTGTTAGGGAAGCAATGTGTTTCCACGCCAGGTTTCCTAAGGATTATGAGAAGCTGGCTTTAATACTTTTTAATAGTAAAATTTAATTAAACTAAATGTACCTCCGGGAACAGTAATGTATGCAAACTTATCACAAAATCAAGGACCATGGTGAGAAAAAGTGAGAGCTTAATGTGGATGAATTCCAAAATATTTGGCTTAAGCAACAAAACCAATTTATTCTATATTTCCCCTTAATATGTCGTGTGGATCTTTTAACAGTTGGTTGTTTAATAATAGTAATCTTCAAGCTTATTTCTCGGATCAGCATGCGTGTGACAGTCCTTCATTCTCAGTAAACACTGTGTGATACAATCAGCCTGCCGCAGATGCTCCTTATTCTATTACTGCGGCATAATCATTTGGGGAAATCTGTGAAACTAATGCAAAATCTCACAAAGCTATTCAGAAATATGGATTGAAAATGGAAGACTGGAAAAATAGCTTGTCATAGCCCATTAGCGACTACACGCTGCGATTTAAGAAACTATTTTTCAAACGTTTCCATTTTGCACATTGCTCAAAAAAAAAAAAAAAAAAAATCCTACCTTGTTTGTTCCTGAAGAACAATGGGAACATCTATCATAGGATGTTAAGGCAGATTTACCAGGAAAATATTCATATTTCCGTTGGAAGAAAATATGTGGACTTGATTTAAGATTAGCATATGCATTTTCCTCAAAGATAAACACTATTTATGGTGTTTATTTTTATTGAGAACAGAGGACAATAATGTAATACAATTTAGTGGTATGATTTTGTTGATCTTGATAAGCAAGATTCTATACTTACGGATTGGCCAGCATTTTATCAGACTGGCTATTAATTCTTTCATTTCCCCTCTTTCTTCATTGTTTTATAAATATTTATTACAAATCTTGCCTATCTTCAACCTGCTCTAACCTGGGTGTCTTTCTCTAATCATTGATCTCTCTTTCCAGAAAGAATCTTTTCTATTTTACTTCATAATCAATGACTTTTGGTTTTTCATTTGGGCACATTATTCCCCCTACTGAGATGCCAGCAACTTTTCTAGGTTTTTCTCAATTCCTTGTTAAGAAAACAGTAGTTCTCCCCATCCCCCATACTCCAGGGAGGAAAAGAAGTAATAGTTACTGTGAACCTATTCCTATATCCTGAGCCTTCTACTGAGAGCTATCATGACAATTTCTTATATTTTATAGGTTGGAAACTGACAGTAAGAGGTGTTAAACAACTTTTCTAAGGTTATACATTGAGTATATTGCAGAGTTTGCATTCAAAGAAAGCCATGTTATTCTGACACTCAAACTCCTGGTCTTTCCGTTCTTGCACGGTATTCTAGAATTAACTACTCCCTACACTAGGCAGAGGCATCACAAGCGTGGGCTACAGTCAGAGGGACGAGGGAACTACATTTCACTCTGCCACTTACTGCCTTAGCAATTTACTTAGTTTTCTAGTGAAAATGATACTTAGCTTTCCAATTTAAAATAAAAACCTAGCAGATAATGTAGCACAATGCTTACGTCTGAGTAAAAAGCAGAAAAAGAGATTATTATCATTATTACCCCAAGAAGAGTAGTTGCATATTTATCCTGGAAAAGAGCTATAAATTATTTAATTATTTTCCTTGATTTGACTATTTCTTTCAAGTTCAAAATTTCTGCCCTCCAAGTTCCTGCCCCCTGCACCTTTCCCCAGGTGGCTTGCACATAATGGAAGGGAAGCACTTATAAGACTTACAAGACCCACAGGCTTAGACCTCTAAGTTAGTTACACTGCCCATGAGAGTGAGGAGACACGCTTTCTGCTGTCTTCCCAGTTTCAGGGAAAGGCGTAAGTGCTGTATTTGGGCTATATTACCCGAAAGACCTTGTTTCACCTGCAGGGAAAGGATGGCCAGTAATACTCAACCTCAGCAGTAGACCCAAATGTGTAGGGCAGATGTATAGAGAAGAGATCAATAACCTTGATCTTTGCTGCTGGGTGACCACCCAGTCATGGATACGGAGAGGCTGCTCTTTTCCATAATGTTTCTTTGGAGGCTGACTCTGTAGACTTTCTAAAGCACACTGAAACTTGTAATTCTCTCAAATATCCATTTCTACTGGTATATTCACAAATAATTATTTATAAAATCTTAAGCAGAGTTTTATGAAATTTATGGGAAGCACATAAAAATGAAAGAAAATGGCTGGGCGCGTTGGCTCATGCCTGTAATCCCAGCACTTTGGGAGACCGAGGCGGGCGGATCACAAGATCAGGAGAGCGAGACGATCCTGGCTAACTCGGTGAAACCCCGTCTCTACTGAAAATACAAAAAAATTAGCCGGGCGTGGTGGCGGGCGCCTGCAGTCCCAGCTACTCTGGAGGCTGAGGCAGGAGAATGGCGTGAACCAGAGAGGCGGAGCTTGCAGTGAGCCGAGATTGCGCCACTGCACTCCAGCCTGGGCGACAGAAAATTTAACGTTCAGGGTTCTAAAGTGCAAACTTTCCAAAGAGGTTCTCCCTGCCTGTATATTTAGGAATGTCTTCTGAATTCTACTTTGGGGGAGGAGACGGGTGCCTCAATTCCTTTTGCCAAGCCCTTAACCAGAGGATTGCTGAATGGGACTAAATGGACATTCCGGGTGTGCTATGAGTCAGGAGGATTCTGGTTTGATTGATGACATTTACACTCTACGTCTATACTGGAACTTTCTGATATCTCCTTTGGTACTTATTCATAAAAATATTCATTTATTTTATGGGTTTTGTTTGTTGGTTTGTTTGAGATGGAGTCTCCCTCTATCACCCAGGCTAGAGTGCAAGGCCGCGATCTTGGCTCACTTCAACCTCTGCCTCCTGGGTTCAAGTGATTCTCCTGCCTTAGCCTCCAGAGTAGCTGAGATTACAGGTGCATGCCACCACACCCAGCTAATTTTTGTATTTTTAGTAGAGATGGAGTTTTGCCATGTTGGCCAGGCTGGTCTCGAACTCCTGACCTCAGATGATCCACCTGCCTCGGCCTCCCGAAGTGCTGGGATTACAGGCATGAGCCATTGCTCCTGGCCTATTTTATGTTTTTTTGAAAATGAGCTTGTGCGTAAAGATAGTGAGTGTTGTGATGATCATAAACGAAAATATACATAAAGAGGTAAAAAGCCTGAAAACTTTCTGAGAGCTTCTACACACCCTTCTCCCTTCTCCTCCCACCCTCCTCCATGCAGGGCTGGGGTGATGCACCCATTTGTCGTCAGCCCTCTGGGATGCTTTACTGCCACCATTGGTTTTGAAAGAACACACCAGGGAAAGGGAAAGCCGTGTGCTGAAATTTAGGGGAGGCTCTGAAGACTACACTCATCTCCGCCTTATCTTCAACCCAAATTGTCTGCCTTGTTCACATTTCATTAGCACTAATTTCTAGAGGGCCTGTCTAGTGAGTTAGATATTGTGTTCCCAAATGTCCACTGTACATACGCAGGCATCTTAGAAGGATGACACAGTAATCTACCATGAGCCTTCCATTAGGGCATGAACACAGAGTTTATGGCATCAGGCAACCCATTGAGAACACAGGTGAGGTGCATGAGGCAAGGAAGCCTCACTGAGGAACAAAATTAGGTTTTCCAGCCTGAGGACTTTGCAAAGAAGGAGGAAAATGAGGTAGGAATGATTTGCAGGTGCATTTGTGTGTGGGGAGGCTGCTTATGGGGGTAAGGTAGGAGGGGGAACGTGAGGGTGTCAGATGGGACAGTGGAATGAGAACCCAAAGACACATTTTATGTACTAAGATATTATAGAACATTTTGAAGTGTGAGGGAGCCCAGGTTCTCTCTTTAAAACTTCTTTATGATGAGTCTGTTCAAGGAGGCCTCAATGTTCCTCTCAGCTTTTCTAAACTTTAGACGGTTCTTCAAGCCTCTAGGATCCTTGCCTTCCTTTTTTTAAATAAGTATTTACTTTTAAAAAATTGCAATTTTAAATTCTTCCTTTACATCTTTGAGTTGAAAATCTCATTAAAAGCTTCTTGCCAGTTTTGCAACTCAGAACTGTCTTTCTCAAGGATCTGGGAGTCATCTCTTTGAAAAGAAATAATCAAAAAAGATAGCATCCGTATCTCCCAGTTTCTACGGGAGGATAGGAGCCTAACATTTTCCAAGTTGTAAAACTGCCTCCTGTCCTCAAGATAGGAGAAAATGTACTTTTCCATTGGGTAAGGCCAATAAGCCAACAGATGCCCTAAAATCCCTCCTCCATCCCTAGTCTTAGCTCTTAAAAGCTCTCCAGCCATTTTTTACCAGTGGAGTTAAGACTGAGTTCTGGTGCCCTTTCCATTATTGCGACATCCTTAAAGTCTTCCTTGCCTATGTGATTATGTGTGCTGCAATTTTTTTAAGCCCCAAAGGAATTTGCTTTTTGATAAGAATTCAGTAACAAAAAGTGGGTCTCAGGATGAATCAGTTTACAACATACAGAATTAACATTAAAATGAGATAAGTAACTTTTATAGAAATATTGACCAGAGAATGTCCTTTCAAATGTTTTTCCTCCTAGCATGACAAAAAGTTTTAATTTGTAAAAATTATGTTATGTTTGCTCCTAATGTTTTAAGAACATATTAATTGCATAAACTATACTCCTATATAAACATCTTAAGAATATTTATTTCATAAGATTGACATTAACCGTTGAGTTCCTCTGTTTCTGCAAACGTGATGTTAGTTCACATGCAGTTTTATTTGATGTTACACAACATATATATCAATTGTCACTTTCTTTTCATGTTTCTTTTCTTTTCCTTTTTTTCCGGCTTTATTTTGGTGTAATTGACAAACATTGTATATATTTATAGTGTACTATGTGATGATGCTTTGACACATGCAGACATTGTGAGAGGATTGCCATGATCAAGCTAATTAACATTGCCTTCACTTCACAGAGTTGTCATTTTTTTGCAAAATTTTACAAAATTATTGCAATCTTTGCTTTGACAGTCCAGTGAAAATGCTGGCCCTTGTTTCTTACACACTTTCTTGGACAACAAAAAGTGCTAAACTTACCAGCTGCCTTAGGTTTACCACGGGCCTTCCATGGAAATGAGTCCTGGGGTGGAAATGGTCCCCTTCTGAGGGAGCTTGCTAAAACCACAAACCTCACTCCTTCATTAAAACAAAGCCAAACAAAATTCACACAACGGCATTTTTAACCTGTGTTTGCATAACAATGAGTTTCATTCTTCACTCTGCCTAATTTATTCCCCATAGTGATTCGCCTCAGGCCCCTAGTCCTTGCTCACTCTAATAAATCCGGTGGCTGAAGACAAAGCTTAGTGTTTTTTTGGAATTAGTAACAAAATGCTAACTGTGGTTCTTCTGTAGAGGCCCTGTTTTACAGGGAAATGAGACAACTAGACAAAGCCCTGAACACTTTCCTTATGGAACTTTGTGACTTAGTTAAATTATCATCCCCAAAGCCTTCCAGGTTAGCAATAATTAGACAGCAACTAAGTGACCCCACCATGATAGCTTCTTTGCATAATAATCTAATGCCTGAAACACTCATAGGAGTAATGTATTGTTATCTCTGCTTTGCAGATAAGATAGGGTAGAGAGGTTACCCATCATACTCCAGATTTCACAAGTAAAAAAGTTGGTAGATCTCTATTTCAAAATTCATTTCAGGTGGCTTCAAAATCCGTGAATTTTATATGTCTTGTGCTATTTTCTTACCTGTAAAATTGACAGAATGATAATTGATGTGTAAGTTACATTTCAAGCTTGGAATTCTCAGAGATGTAGTCCTGAAAGAGAGTGTCTTGGACCCAGAGAAGTGTGCAGAATCCAGACTTTTCAATGAAGGCAGTAGAAACAGTTCTCTTTTTTGAGACACTTAAAACCTTTTACCCCACTGGTTCACTCAAGTGCATGTAACGGTACAGATCACTTGGTCCAACTAGAGAACAACTCTCCGCCTCTCCAGTGAGCAGATCCAGGCTTTGCCTCCATGTTTCCACACATTTGTTTTCTAAACCCAGAAAAGTGATATTTACCGTCAATCTGTTCTTGAGATGCTTCTGGGGTATGGCAAAGGAAACGATCCACGATGTCAGGTGTATTCCTACCTCTGCCTGCTTTTCTTTTCTTTGACCTTCCGTAAACAAGCAACTTCGTTTCCCTAAGCCTTCATTTAACTTCTTAAAGAGTGGTGACAATAACACCCATCTTATGGAGATTTTCTAATAATAAGATAGAGTAGAATCTCAGAGATCCTTGAGTTCTCCAGGCTGAATGCATTATATAAAAGTAATTACTTAGTGTGAACAGCTAGGAGGCATTTCATTCTAGTCAGGGGGTGTCTCTGGTATTTGTTTTGGACAAATAAAGCAAGCTTAAAGGAAGCTTGGCTATCACTTTGTTTAATGCTCTTATTTTAAAGATGAAGAACATGCACAATTATGTGATATTATGAAACTGAGTTCAGTTAGGCTAAAAGTCTTTCTCAAAATCCTCAATAATAAATGTTCTGTAATGTAGATATACATACAGTCTACGAAGGCAACCAGTATTTAACTTGCTTGAGGTAGTACCTACTCTTTTGTTTTATAATAACGTTGTGTCTATTTTCCCAAAGAAGTGCTATGAAGAGATTAATTTTAATTATTTTTAATGTCTCTAACTTAAAAATATATACATTATATGGATATAAAATCATTATAACTTTTTTGTATGAGTGCTGATAAAATCAACCAAGACTTTAATAGGACATAACTCCAAACACTTGGATTACCCCTGACACTGTGTTTGCGGTGGGATAAAGCTTTACGTGGTGACACATTCTGCGTGGAATGCTGGCTCCATCTGCTTTCAACATTCCACTTATACTCAAATGTACATAAATTATATACATATATAAATTTAAAATTATGCTCATAAGTTTTAATTGCCCATTTTATACTTATTATCTATGCATCATTGGCTATCTTGCACCACTCTAGGTCTTATTTTCCTAAGTATAAAATAAGCCTACTTGATCAAGACCCTGGGGGTCTGTGTGTGTGTGTGTGTGTGTGTGTGTGTGTGTGTGTGTGTGTACATATGTCATCCTTTGTCCATAGGATTACACTTCATACAAAGTAGGGTCTTGATAAATATGTGTTGTTTGATGATTGATTTGTTTTTCTTTAAATATACTTAACTCACTGACTTGTACAGCAATATTTAATGAATACTACTTTTGTCCAAGTATACAAAAACAGAATCACATACAAGTATACAAAAAAAAAGAATCATATATCCTGATTTTCAAGACTACACAGTTTAGCTGAAGAGCTACGAATCACTTACAAATAGGTAAATGAAAAAAGACAATACATGTGACTCCAGTAGAATTCAGGGAAAGATGTAGACTCCTGCGGGTACAGAATTCTTAGGGGAGATGGGATTTTCAGTGAGCACTGATTGGAACTTAGAGGAAGAACAGAAGGAAGGAGGTCATTCCAAGCTGATGGACTGACTGAGTAAAGGCTGAAGCTGGCTGATTCTGGTGGAGAATCATTTAGAAGTGATTAAATAGAAATTCTGAGAGCTTTGTGAAGTTTAGGTTGGAGACTAGATTGATTTTTAACTTAGCATATTTGTTAAATAATGTATTGATTCACTGCAATTAAAGTTATATCTAATTAATTGCGTA
Organism: Homo sapiens; assembly: GCF_000001405.40. NCBI lineage: Eukaryota > Metazoa > Chordata > Mammalia > Primates > Hominidae > Homo > Homo sapiens. The sequence continues at coordinate 64,119,467 of NC_000018.10, forward strand.
TTGAGTTTCACTAGGCTTAATGTTATAGGACTAGAACAATGAGATGAAATAGACACTGGTGTTTTTACTAAAGAAGGTCTCATAACTGCTAGAACTTCAGTTATTATAGACTTTCTGCCATAGTGACATAAAATTTGTCAACAATGCTTTTTCACATTTTATTTTGATTGAAAATTACTATTATATGATTCCTTATAGTGAAGGAATGGGAGGAGAAGTACCTCTCCCATGTGTTTTCCCAAAGACCTCTATGGTCTCCTCTTGCAGTGGTGAGATGGGTTTTCTTGAAATTCTTTGGCAGTTGGCAAGAAACCGAAAATCCGGATTGTTCTACCTCAAAGACCGATCTGCTCAGATCTTCTTTTCTCTGTGGCATCTTTCTCTTATGAGAGTCTTGGGACACAATTTGGCTTTTGCTTTTGGGTATTCTCATGCAGTCTGTTAGATAGATATTAAAGTTGACAGTGATGCTTCTTGTCCATGTGTATGAAGTAACTAAAAGTTTGGAGAGAACGAACAGCCAATGCCACAAAAAAAACAAAATAAGCTTTGGGTCTAAAGTATTTTGATTTCCTTCTCTCACCATCAATTTTTGAGAAGCACTTGTAACTAATTATTTTTCTTTAAAAATAGATTTATGGCCACCAGAGGGGGCATCTTTCAACAAAGAGACCAGAGTAAATAATAAAAGCTTACCTGTTAAATTTCCCAGCCTGATGTGGAGCATAATTAGCAGAGAAACCAAGCCAATTGCTGTGGGATGTTTTGCAGAACAGATGCTCTTCTTCCATCCTCTCTCTAAGATGGCTCTTCTTTTTTTGTTAGTTTAAAGAGATTCTAAATCTCAATAATAGTTAAGTTTAGAGAAACACTCTGAGTGACACAGCACATATTTTAATTAACTGCTAAAGCTGGTTCAGATTAATGATCTCCTTATCCCTGTGTGGTATGCACACAGTGGTGGATTAAACCTGCCCTTAAACTAGGGTATTTTTTTTTTTAGTTTTATAGCGTTTAGAGAGAAATTCCTGCTTAACATATTAGTCGTCGAAATTGTTGAGTATAATATTTGTTTTGGCGCTAACTTTCTCTTTGCATTTGTGAGATGTCTGGAGGAAATTTCAGATGCTCAAGGAGAGCCAGTTTATTGGTCTGTTTTGTTATGTTCAATGTAGGAAAGTTGTAGCCTTTTCAATCCTCCATTAGCCAGATTCTAGAGAGCAAGGCATGAATGATAGCAATTTAGTTATCACGTTCTATTTCCAGCAGAATTGTTTGTAGTTTAGCTCAAAATATCCATCTTCTTAATTTTAACTGGTTTTGCCAGTTGCCAGTTAAACCAGATTGCAAGTGAAAATGAATATCATCAACACACTTAAATATTTCTGTGCACGGTACAAAGCAGACTGTAGATGATTATAGACTACTGGAAAATGTGTTTCCACAGAAACTTTCTTCTAAATTGCTAGGAGTGTGTTAGACTTTAAGATTACTCATAGGCATGTGCTCAAAAATTTGGTAAACTTTAAAATTTTTTTATTTTACTTTAAAAGTATATTATAAAGAAAGCAATATTCTCTAAGGCAATGAATCATCTATTCCCCTCCAGTATAAAAATGGTACATGGAACATTTACATTATACACAAAAATTACTTTGAATAGCTGTGTGTGATCATTTTAAACAAAGCAAATCACTAAACATTAGGCATGACATTGCTGATCACCTCTTCTTTTTTAAATTTGTATAAATTTATGGGACATATGTGTAATTTTGTTACATGCATAGCTTGGGTGGTGGTGAAGTCAGGGCTTTTAGAGTATCCATCACCCAAATAACGTACGCTGTACCCCAAAACCTCCGTCATCCACCCCCCTCTGTCCCCTTACCTTTTTGAGTCTTCATTGTCCATCATTTGACACTCTACACCTTTGTGTACTCACTATTTAGCTCCCACTTATAAGTAAGAATATATGGTATTTGTCTTTCTGTGTCTGACTTGCTTCACTTAAAATAATGGCCTCTAATTCCATCCATTGTGCTGCAAAAAACATGATTTCATTCTTTTTATGGCTGAATAGTATTCCATTGGGTATATATGCCACATTTTCTTTATCCAGTCATTTGTTGATAAACACTAAGGTTGATTCTGTATCTTTGCTATTGTGACTAGTGCTGCAATAAACATACGGGCACAGGTATTTTTTGATACAATGATTTCTTTTCCTGTGCATAGACACCCAATAACGGGATTGCTGGATAGAATAGTAGTTCTGTTTTTAGTTTTTGAGAAATCACCATGCTGTTTTCCATAGAGGTTGTACTAATTTACGTTCCCAGGAACAGTGTATAAGAGTTCCCTTTTCTCCACAAACTCACCAATATTTGTTATACATTATCTTTTCAATAATAGCCATTCTGACTAGTGTTAAGACGATATTGTAGTTTTACTTTGAACTTCTTTAATAATTAGTGATGTTGAGCATTTTTCATGTCTGTTGGCCATTTTTATGTCTTCTTTTGAGAAATGTCTATTAATGTCTTTTGCCCACTTTTTAATGGGATTACTTCTTTGATTTTTTGTTGAGTTGTTTGAACTTCTTGTAGTTTCTAGGTATGAATCCTCTGTCAGATGAATAGTTCGCAAATATTTTCTCCCATTCTGTAGATTGTCTGTTCACTCTACTGATTATTTCTTTTGTTGTGCAGAAGCTTTTTAGTTTAAGTCTCATTTGTCTATTTTTGTTTTTGTTGCTGGTGCTTTGGGGGTCTTAGTCATGAATTCTTTACCTAGACCAATGTCCAGAAGAGTTTTTCCTAGGTTTTCTTCTAGTGTTTTTTATATAGTTTTAGGACTTATGTTTATGTCTTTGATTCATCTTAAGTTGATTTTTGTATACAGTGAAAGATAGGGGTTCAGTTTCACTTTTCTGCATATGATGATCCAATTTTCCCAGACTATTTATTGAAAAGGTTGTCCTTTCTCTAGTGTATGATCTTGTCTATTTTGTCAAACATCAGTTGGCTATAAAAATGTGGCTTTATTCCTGGGATGTTTATTTTGTTCCACCAATCTATGTGTCTATTTTTATACCAGTACTATACTGTTTTGGTTACTATTGACTTGTAGTAAAATATGAAATCAGGTAATATGATGTCTTCAGCTTTGTTCTTTTTGCTTAGGATTGGTTTGGCAATTTGGGCTCTTTTCGTGTTCCGTATGAATATTATGATTGTTTTTCTAATTCTGTGAAAAATGATGTTGGTATTTTGATAGAGATTACATTAACTCTGTAGATTGCCTTGAGCAGGATTGTCATTTTAATGATATCAATATTAATTCTTCCAATCCATGAGCAGGAGATGTTTTTCCATTTGTTTGTTTTATCTATGATTTCTTTCATCAGCATTTTCTATTTTTCCTTGTAGAAATATTTTACCTTCTTAGTTAAATATATACTTAGATATTTCATTATTTTTTGTAGCTATTGTAAATGGGATTGTCTTCTTGATTTGGTTCTCAGATTGTAATTGGTATATAGAATTAATACTGATTTTTGTACACTGATTTTGCATCCTGCTGAATTCATTTATCAAATCTAGAGATTTTTGGTGGAGTCTTTAGTTTTTCTAGATGTAAGATTATATAATCAGTGAACAGGAATAACTTGACTTCCTTTTATCCAGTTTGGATGCCTTTAATTTCTTTTCCTTGCCTGGTTTATCTGGCTAGGATTTTTAGTACTATGTTGAATAGAAGTGGTGAAAGCGGTTACCTCTTCTTGGTCTTCCTAAGCAACTTCCCTAGTTTATCTCTTCTCTTTTCATCTGGATTGTAGTCATAGCCAAATATGCCACTCTACTTCCACTAGCTCCTTCATAATGAACTTGGAATTATCTTCTGATAATGCACTTCTTTTTTAGGAATATTTAAGACTCATAAATTTCAGAATCAAATCAGACTACTTAATCCAAAAATGGCCTTCCTATGCCACCAGGCCCTCTGAAAATGCCCAGTCTTTTTTTAAAAAAATCACACTGTACCCCTTTCTCTGCTAATAAATTCACATAGCAGCAGTACCTCAATACATATTCTACATGCTTTTCTTCTCACTTACCCCAACCTTCCCCTTTGGCTTATCCTATTTTATTTATTTTTTTTTAAGAATGCTCTTTCCTTTCACATTTCTATACGTTAATGCATTATCATTCAGGGTCCATGTGCTATGATTTGGATGTTTGTCCTCTTCAAACCTCATGTTCCAATTTGATTCCCAAGGTGGCAATGTTGGAAGGCAGGGCCTGGTAGGAGGTATTTGGGTCATGTGGGTGGATTAATTATGAAAAGATTAATGCCCTCTGTCAAGAATGAGGGAGTTCTTGCTGTATTTGTTACTTGAGAGCTGGCTGTTAAAAAGATCCTGACAGCACCCTCCTCCACTTCCTCTGTCCCCATAGGAACCCGCCCATCTCTCACCACGTAATCTCTTGGCACACACTGGCTCCCTTCTGCTTTTGGAGGTGAGGCCCTTACCAGATGCAGGTACCCAGTCTTGAGCTTTCCAGTCACCAGAATCATGAGTTAAATAAACTTATTTTCCTTATAAACTACCCAGTCTCAGGCACTCTGTTATAGCAACTCTAAGAACTACCTCTTCCCAAAAGCCTTCTGAGATATTCCCCTTGCTCCTCACTTATCCACACACCTCAGATTAGTCTTGTACTTCTCCAGGAATGACAGTCACAGTATTTAAGCTCTGCATGGCATGGTCATCCACGGATCAGAACCTAGCTGGTTGAATGTAATGGCTGAATGGCCAGCCTGCAGTTCTGTATCTCTCTCAACTGGTTTTCCTCATGTCCTTAAGGAAGAGTTCACAGACATCTTCCTGACTAAAAGATGACTACTCTGTGGTCCTATAGCACCTGTGTGTGCCTCTGTCATGGCACTAATCACCCTGTGCTAAAATCACACCATGTTATTGTCTCCATGCTCTGCCAGGTAGAACACCTGGCATATCTAGACACTCAGTAAAAGCTTGTTGCCAAACTGATTAAATTTTTTAAAAAATGAATTGAGGCCAAACACAAGTCTTAATATGTCCCAATGGCTCTTCCTAGTAATTGCATTTATAAAATGCTAAGAAAATGTTTGTTGTATTAAATTTGAGCTCTTGATCTCTAATAAAATCTTATTAATCATTTAATAATAACGATGATGATGATACTGCCAAACAATTACATAGCAGTCACTATGTATCAGGCACTGAATTAAGTGCTTTATAGGTGCTTATTTAATCCTCACATCTACCTTTGTGAGGTGGTTGTCTTATTTTTCCTGATTTTTAGAAGAAAACAGAAGCACAGAGAGATTAAATAAACTGTCTAGAATCCTGCATCTCATCAGTGGAATGACCAGGCTTCTAACCTAGGAAGTCTAACACCAAATTCAATATCTTTTTGCTCTGAATTAATTTCAATGAAAGCACTTTTTGATCTGATGAACCTATGGTATATATTCATTGTTTTCTTTTCCTAACCATCCATCATTTCCATTAATTACTAGTACTCTGACACTGCTCACAGTGAGTTGTAGAATATTTTCAATCAAAAGCATGTAAATAACTGTCTTACCACCAACATTCATCCTTGAAATCTTGCTAAGACATGAAATTGTTGCCTCCACACTTAAACTATTTATTTCCTGCTTCTAGTTTTTCATTTGCCTTGTCCTGGTTTTCTAGCTGAGGACAACTTGTAAAAGTCTGTTCCCCCTTCACCCTGCCTTTAGCACTCAGCTTCTCAGTGACTCAGTGATTCCCTGGGCATCTGCTACCACTCATACCCCAGTGCTCCCAGTATCTTTTCCCCTCATCTTAATTTCTCACCCACATTTCAGTTCCAAGTCTCTAAAATAGATACTGGCCTTTCTTTCACAATTAAATAAAAAAAAATCCCTGAAGATTATTACTCTTATCTTAATTCGTATTCTCAAATATTTATCCCTTAATTATACCAGTAGCATTACATGGTTAATCTTTTGAACTAATTATCATTGCAATATGTTTAATGAGATACATTAAGTATGTCGCAATTTTTTTTTACTTAAAAAGGAAAATATATACATACATGTGTATCTTAAATCCATCCATATATGTCTTAAATCTATCTTTCTGTCTCTTAAATTTGTCCTGTTATCCTCCTTTCCTCAATCCTTTTACAGTGAGTCTGATACTTATTACCTTGTGCTATGGTTTGAATGTGTTGCCCCAAAACCATGCAATGAAAACTTAACGCCCAATGCAACAGTGTTGGGAGCTGGGGCCTAATGGGAGGTGATTAGGCATGAATGGATTAATGCCATTATCAGGGGGAGTGGGTTTGTTATTGCAGTAATTATAAAAGGGAGAGTTTGGTTCTTTTCTCTGTCTCACTCTCTTTTGTCCCTCTACTGTGAGATCACACAGAAAGAAAATCCTTCCTGGACACTATTTCCTTGATCTTGGGCTTCTCAGCCTCCAGAACTGTGAGATCACACAGAAAGAAAATCCTTCCTGGACACTGTTTCCTTGATCTTGGGCTTCTCAGCCTCCAGAACCATGAACAAATAAATTTTGATTCATTATAATTTACCCAGTCTGTGATATTTTGTTACCGCAGCACAAGTAGACTGAGCTACCTTGCAATTAGATGGTGATGATAGCTTCTCATATGGCCTCTCCTTCTTGAATCTTCCCTCTGTTCCAATTATCATTCATACAGTTGAAGTAATTATACTAAAACCTTCTTCATAAGGATCATTTCTAGATGATAGCATTATAAGTGATTTCAATTCCTTTATTATTTTCTATATTTTAAAAATTTTCTGCAATGAACATACTTTCTTAAAAAAATTACAGTAATTATATTTTTTTCACAAGAAAAAGAATAGCAGCTATTTTATAAGATACGCTAAGGGACTACTATTTTTTTCTCTAAAATCGAAATAGGCATTATTAGGCCCCTTCTCGGCCATTCGGTTAGACATGCTGACCAACATAGGCTCTCGCTCAGCCTCTATGAACAAGGAGCTGTTCACTGAGATATAGGATTGCTCAGAGCTGCCCTTAATAATTTATTCATTCATCTCCTTCCCTTCTTAGTATGGGAATTCTGAGACTGGCTCATTCATTCCACAAATGTTTATGAGATGCATCTTAATGATCAAATTAATGCTTGAGATTGAGTGATTGAGTGGTGATCAAAGCGTGTCCAGCTGTAGTTTCATGTTGCTTACAGACTTTTCATCTTTACATCTCTCACCCCCAAGTGTAATGTTAAGCACTCAGGAGATCTCTCCAAATAACTACTCTTGATTTAGGATTTTTATCAGTCCACTGTATTAAATTGCCAAAAATTATAATATTCATAGAATTACTTAAACCTCATTGTCTCTAATCAGGTAAGGAAAATATTTCAGACATTAAGCACTTTTGATTGCAGGAAAATTTTTTTCCAACTTTTATTTTAGATTCGGAGGTACATGTGCATGTTTGTTACATGGTCTAGAAAATTTTTTAAATCTTAACTACATATATCCCAGTTACAGATCAATGGAAGAGTAACCTTCCTCCCCGCCCCCTGCCAAGTAACCAATTTTGAAACCAAATAACATGTTAGGTGTCCAAAATAACATCAGAAATAAACAATAATTTATCCTTAATTTTTGCTCCCTCATCTCAATATTTAGGGTCCCTTGTCACTGCTATATTACAGGTATTATAATATACTTTCTATAGTTCTGCTTTCTTTAATACCTGCTTTCTCAGGTTCTGAACATGTGCTTTGTGGCTTAGCCCTGTGGTAAACATTTTACATGTATCACTTATTAACCTCTCACAATAATGACATGAGGTAATTTCATTACCCTTATCTTGCAGATGAAACTCTGAGGCTTTCAGGGACGTGAGGTACGGTGCCAAGGCCACACCACTGGTAAGTGAAATTGACACTGAAGGCTAAAATCTCAATGGCCAAGTCCTTGCCAATGCCCATGTCTCAGTCCAAATAGTCTCATGCCTCCTTGTAGCTTAATGAATTATCAGCCTGGTTTCATCCTGAAAAACCTGGTTTATATGTGTTCTGTCCAGAGATGTGTGTGAACAGAGAGTGCCTATTTTCACACAGTATGCCTGGAATCAGCCTCAGGTCATGGTAAGATAACCAAGGAAGCAACCCCTTTATCAAGTCCCTGGAAGCCAGCCCAATGGACCCAATCTCTGTTCGAACTTCTACCTGCTATGTGGGATGGTTGTCATTAGTAACCCATGTTTTCCCATGTGTGTTTCTGCATTGCTATTCTCATCCAACATCCTTAAATAATAGGGCTGAATTTCTCTCGTGGATTACTCTATTTTCTAAATTTTATTCTCATGTAGAGGGCCCTGAACATGCTAGGAATGAGGAAGTTTGGGTTTTTGTAACTGAGCTAATTTTGGGAGGAGGGAGGTTGATTTCAGTTTTACATGCTGAGCTCTCAAGGTAGAACTAGGTTACTCCAGTAAGAAATCTTTTCCTTCTTTTGGGTTTTTTTTCTTTTTTAAGGTTGCTATCAATGACATCCAATGTCACTGCATGAGACTAATGTAAAGTGTCAGATTAAATCAAATAATGGTGTCTGTCTAATTGTTTTGCAAAATGAACAACCCAAGTCACTTACATTCAATGTAGCTTGACTTTCTAAAGATTTAAATAGAAAAGGTGATTCTCTGGAAGAGTGATATTTGCAAGATTCCTGAGCTACTTGTGCAATGTAGAAAGAGCCTAGCTATTCATCAACTTGGCTTATTTGACCCAAATGAGGTGAATGGAAAAGATATAAATTCTTAGTCTGTGACACCATCACCTGCCACCTGTCACCTGTCACCTCCAGGTCACAATCTTGAACTGCTCTTAACATAAACTGAAAAGGAAGTTGAAAAACCTTTACCTACTGCAAGATGTTATTTTATTTAAAGCTTCACAACTACAGTCTTGGTGGGTGTGTTCAACATGACTGGCAGCTGCCTTTGATTTACCTGGGAGCACTGAAATGAAAATCGCAGCCAGCCATCACCTTAAAATTATTGGGGTGGAGTGCTGGGAGAAATTCTCTGAATTTATGATTTATTTGCTCTTCTGGTCACAGGTAGTATTTCATATCCCACTCTAGACTTACATACACTGCTGCGTGTATGGGCATGGCCATACCAATTGTTAAAATATTAAAATACTTCTATGCCAGTTGATAAATAGTCACTGCATTCAGCCTCCTAAGTAACTCCCTTCCGGTCAAAGAACCTCCCTCAGGATCCCAGGAGATTCCCACAATCCAGCAAATAAAAGAAATAACCCTGACACAGCAAGATTCTTCCGGAACTCTGCACCAATACTGAGGCTTCTGCCATTCTGTTGTTAAATATTTTAAATATTGTCCCTGAAATGAGGAGTGGAGAACCTGAGTGGGCTGTCTTTTACACGGGATCAATTGTAAAAATACTTTTTTATTGGTTGCTTTGGATCTTTTATAAAACTTCAGTGGAAGATATTGTCTATTATGAGTCCATTTTCTCTTATTACAGAATTCATGCGATACATTTTTAAATTTCTTCAAGAGTGCCTTATTCTGGGAATGTAATTTACTTTCCAAGGAAGACAAAAACTAAAAGGCTCTTGTTTCTTTTAATTAGGTAGAAGGAATACATTGCAATGTAGTTTTCTTTTTACTTTGACTTTCTGGAATTCTAGTACTAAAATTAACACCTAGTTGAACAATAAAATTATGCAAGCTATTTGATGTGTCTGTCTTTCCTCTTAAATGACTGATTTGCTAATTTTAAAATTGTATTCTTTTTAATATGATTTAATGTTAGAAGTTGCATTAAAAAATTGGGGGTATGGGGATAGGTTTTTAAAAAATCATACCTAAATGGAGCATGTTCTGTTCTTGGCTGTGCTAAGGGCCTTGGGTACCAAGAGCTGCAGGGATGCCCCAATGCTTCACAGTGTTCTACTGAACAACTTCCATACTTTTGCTGTTATTCCTCTGAAGTTAGAACTGACATTTCTTATTATTAAAATAAAAATAGATTTGAATAAATATTAAAAATCCATTTAATTGTCCATGTTTCCTATTCAGGAATCTTCTGCTGAGGTTTGCAAACCTTTAAAGTTGACCTGGTTAGATATGAGAAAAGGAAATCTGAAAATATCCATTATAATATTATTCTTATTTTACATTTTGCCTTATGTGATATTTACTTAGTTCATGGACAATTGCAATCTTTCCAACTGCTTCTTTTTTGTAGCTTCCTTGTAGCCATTTCACATGAACATGTTTATTTTGTAGAATTGGTAAAGGCAGAAAGAGGTTAAATTCAAAACACTCATTTCGCAAAACAAATTAACTAGAAAAAGAAAAAGGGGCTTAAAGTTAAATGTTGAGAAGACTGCTTGGAGTATATGCCAGTTTTCAATTGTCTGTGCATGTCATTTTCTTTTTTTTTTTTTAATTATACTTTAAGTTCTAGGGTACATGTGCACAACGTGCAGGTTTGTTACATATGTATACATGTGCCATGTTGGTGTGCTGCACCCATTAACTCATCATTTACATTAGATATATCTCCTACAACACTCTCTTTTACCCTATATACCATGGATGATAAGCCAAAATAAATACAAAACTTACTTTAATGCATTCTATGTACCTTCAGTAGTTTGTGCATTTCATAAATTTGGAGATACTATGCTTTTATTTTTGTGCTTCTCATTCTTAGTTCAAGGCTTTATACATAATATGTGCTCAGTGATTGTTTACTCAATTTTATGTATTATGTGCTTAGCACATTGGAGAATAATTAGGTCCCTTTTTCTTACAATTTCTGTGTGTTTTAAATCTCTTATTTTAAGTTCTGCCATTCTGCCAATCAAAAGAATAATCATTATCATCCACCTGTTCTACCTTTTCAGTTACCCAATCAATCAATAATATATTACTTACTGTGCGCCAAACACATTTCCAAAAAAATACATAGCAAAAGAAAACATTTTTTTCCCAATAAATTTTACTTACCTTATGCATTAAAAGATCGATAAGTAAACTTTTTTTACATAATGGACTAACTGAAATAAAAGTTTGAAAAAGGTCTATGGAAACAGAGAGGAGGGATTCATCAGCTCTGTACTAAGAAATTCAGTACAATCTTCACAGAAGGGTTGATATTTGTGCTGTAATTGATGAATTCAGTTGAAAATATTAATATGAGTTTCCTGGTAGACAGAAGTGGAAAGGGCAATGACATTCCAGATTATTGAACCACCTTGTTCAATAATTGCTTGTTTAAGAAAGATTGAGATGTTCATGTTGCATAGGAAGGAGATATGGTAGATAAACTTGGAGAGGTAGGGGAGACGCTATTGTGAAAGACCTTTCATACCATCCTATGAAATGGGGCTTTAGTCTGTAGGTAAAGGACAGCTAACAGAGGTGGTTGGCCATGGATTTAAATTTCAACTGTCAACTTGTGTTGATGTTCACAGACCAATGAAAAGGGGGAGGCATCTCACTTAGATCTTTCTTTGCAGCTTACCTAACTCGTAGACTCCTGTGTTGTGCTATTATGTAGAAGCCCTGCTACAAAAATGTGAGATCTTACAGGTTAAAAGATAGAAATAATACGTTCATCAATTGATATGTGTTACTAAAAGAGTTTCTTTTTAAACAACTTGAATAATATTCATGACTAAACGTTGGAACTACATGCTACCATTTATTTTTAAAATGCGGTATTCATTTCTTTATCATTTTAGATTATAATGGAAACCTTGACTTCTATACACTATGCTGCAAATTTGACTTGTACCTAAAAAGTATTCACGCTTGGCTTATGTGACATCTGTTGAGAAATTTAAATTACCCATTGACAGAGATCATTCAGATAGGAAAAGCTAAATCTACATAGGAAAATTGAAAGGAAGTGAATTGGGCAGCTGCAGGAGAGAAATGATAAATCATCCATTTATGTCAGAGGAAAGTGCCTGCTTCTGTATTGTTGGTATGTCATGTAGTTCAGATTTGAAATACAAAGCCAACAATTTTGTTCTTATATATAGCATCTGTCCATGAAGGGCTCAAACAGCATTTATATAATGGTTTCTCACAATATTTCAGTGGAATAAGGGATAGCCTATGATGGTAATTTATAGATGAGGAGATGGCGGTGATTGCTAGCAAAGTACTAGAAATGTTGTAGCATCACTCGTTAGGGATTTGGTGCAACAAGCAGGCAAACCCGAGAACAAGTCTCCTGTAGGTGGTTGAATTGTGGAAGGCAATGTGCTATGTGAAGATAGCTCCAGAAGTGTCATCAGAAATGGGGACTGGATAATGCCAAGATGGCTCACATTCTTGCACTATTTGAAATAAACATGGAAGAAGTAAATTATCTTCCCCAAATTGAAAAAAGTCTCTAATTTTTGTAGCCTGCTTCTTTGTCCCCTGGATTCAAGGGTGTTCTTTATTTTTCCATTATTGATGTAGTTGCAATAGAAAGTATTTTTATTTTGTTTTATAATAAAAGAATAATGCCAATTTTAAGTAAAATGTAAATTTTTGGCTTAATGTAAATAATTGTTGCATTTATTTACATAAAAACTGAAGGAAGTTGGGAGACTGCCTTATAATTTACCTATATTTGGTAGGAATCAATGAAAGCCTTAGGAAAGAAAAACATCATTTTAAGTGATTTCTCCAAAAGACAGACAGGCAGAATTATTCTAGGGCATTTGCATGAGCAAAGCAATTAGCAGTAGCTCTATTGTTAAATAGATTAAGAGATAATTAATTTTAAACGCTTGAGAATTACTTTATTTTCTCTTGGTTCCTTATGTCTATATGTGTGTGATGATAAAAAGGGGTGCCTCATTATATTAATTATTTGCACATATTCAATAATGATCTGTTTCAAGCGCTCTGCCGAATTCCGTACATACGTCACCTTGTATAAACCTTAGATAATTTCCACTCCCCCCCCGAGTAACTCATGGATACCATAATTGTATTCACCCTTTATAAGAAAAACAAAACACAAAATACAGAGCTTAGTAAAGTTAACTTTAGACCACATTCCCACTGAGTGGCAGATTCTGAATTAGTATGCAGTGTAGCCTGGCTCCATAGTGTATGAGTTTAGCCACAGCTCCATGATTCTCCTGGGCCCAACCTGACCTCTCTGGAGCTGGGAAGAGCAGAGAAGAGAAGGTCTTGGTTCCTACCAGAGGACAAGGGGTGTTTGCTGTGGGCATAGCAGTGCTGGAAAAATGGCTGAGGTGTCATGCCCAGGAAGTGCTGAGGACTCTCTGGGTGGCTTCTGCCTTAGTCTTTTGAGGGTGACACCATCCCAGCATGACTTCACAACCAGAATAAAGTCAGGAAAGATGGAGGGCCTGGCTGTGTGGCCAGCTGTGCTGACAAGCAAAGTCGAGAGAATTAGTGATTCCTCCACATGGTTCCAGGGGAACAGCTGGGACTTCAGACACGATATGGCAGAAGCTCAGCCAGAAGAGCCTCCTGTTGTCACTGTTGCCAATTTTGGGTTGTTTACATCCCTTTGCTCATTACCTGAGAAGCCTCAGAGGGAAGTCTCAGAGCAGTCTCAGAGGTTGGCACTGGTTGCATAGGAGATGAGGTGCCAGTGGAGGATTTTAAGCCATCTGCTAACATTTCTGGCTGTGTGCTATGCTGGCCAATGTAAGGAACAGAGAAGAGAGGACATATAGTTTGGGGAGGAATCTATTGCATTAATTGACTCTAAGTGAATTACAACAAGTACCCAGACCAGAGGTGGATGGAGAAGAGCAGTCAGATTTGGGTGGGAGTTTAGAGTCCTAAATAAATTTTTAGTTTTAAGAGCTGAGAGAAAGACTCTACCTCCAGACTTACTCCTCTCTAATCCATCTTCCACCCTGAGGCCAGAATGATGTTTTTAAAATGTAAGTCATAAGTGACTCCTCATTAAAGTCACCTACAGAATAAAACCCCAGCTGTGAGGAGGCCACAGATAGGCTCCCAGAAACGAATTCCTTTCTATCTTTCTACTCTGACCTCCAACCACAGACATGGAGTGTCCTAAGTGAGCATCTTGCCTTTACTTTGTTTGTCTTGCACAGGCCTATTTCTAGAGCCAGTGATGTTTTTTTCCTTACATACTCCATGGTAAAAATCCTACTTACTTCTTCAGGAGCAGCTTAAATCACACCTGCCTTGGAAACTCTTCCTGATTTTCCCATTTCATAGAACAACAAAAAAGGTCTTTCAACATGTCATTTTCATGGTTTATAACTTAATCTTTCAAAATCCAAATCTATTATCGTTCTTTTCTGGCTGAAAACATTCAGTTTTCCCTTTTCCTAAATGTCAAAGTAGAACTTTACCCTAGATGAAACCAGCTTCATATAAAATAGTAAATACTTGAATAACATAACATTTATTATAGTGTTTTTTAAAAAGTATACATGCATAATAAATATTTGAGAAATATAGTTTTTAAGGTATTAAACATCGGAGGGGCTTCAGACAAAAAGATTTTTAATTTCTTTTGTACCACGCTAGACTCTTAAATTATGGAAGATTAGTTCAATATAAATATATCAAGCATCCTGTGATACTGTAAGAAAAATATCACTCAAAATCACCAAGGTAAATTCGTCACTTTTAGGGCATTCATATATGGAAACCCTGGCAAACAAGAATAGCAGGAAAACAAGGAAGTTGTCTACAGCTGGTGAATGTTATTTGGGGAGGGAAAAAAGTTCTTATTAGCAGGAAAACAGCAGGCAAATCACAGTTTCATAATTATGTCCAGTATTTATATAAACAAATTTTCTTGAACTGATCAAGATTTGTTTTTCTTTATTGAGAAAATATGACTTCTCTGCTTCCCTAGCTGGAGAAGAAAATGCTTTTGTTTTTTTCTGGAGCAATGGTAGGAAAACGCTCAAGCTCAGCATGAGGTCTGACATGCTCTGCATACCTACCTTTTAGTCAATCTTGTTTATTTCGCCCCAAGCTGTTTCTTTGTGAAATGACTCATCATTATTTATCTAAATTGGTTTTAAATGAGAATGTTTAACCAAAAGATCTGATCTGGATATTATGACAGCTGTTATAAAATAGGGGGGTCCAAGTTACGTCATTTTCTTTCTCACAATTTATTTACTTGTCAGATTTATTATTATCATTGTAATATTTTCCCAAAACAAAAGTGTACATGTGAAGTTTTCAGGAAAACTTTTGGACTATGAATTAGGGTAAAATTATGAAAATCAACATCGAGTTATAAATTATGAGGTCTACATTCTGATTCTAGCTCTTACAACAGGAATTGAAACAATCAGGCTAAGCTCTCTGGGCCTGTTTCCTTACTTGTCATGAAGGAGTTAACAGATAATGTCTGCATTCGTTTGCTTGAGCTGCTGTAATAAAGTACCACAAGTTGGGGAACTTGAACAACCAAAGTTTATTGTCTCATGGTTCTGGAAACTGGAAGTCCGAAATCAAGGCATCAGCAGTATCCGTTCCTTTTGACCACTGTGGGGAACCGTGTTCCAGGCCTGTCTCTGGTTCATCTGTGGCTGTCTTGTCCTTGTGTCTTTTCACAACGTGTTCTCTTTGTGTGTCTGTGTCTTTGTCCAAATTACCCCTTTTTATAAGGACACCGGTCATATTAGATTAGGGCCCACCCTAATGACCTCATTTTAATATGAACAGCTTTGTGAAAACCCTGTCTCCAAAATAAGGTAACATCCTAAGGCTCCAGACATTAGGACTCCAGCATGTGGTTTTGGGAGGTGGGCACAGTTTAACCCATAATGACATCCGACTTCTTTCTTTTCAGCTTGAACATTTTGTTAAGGCTATATATGTGCCAGTCAGTAACCCTGAGGTTTTTAGGGACAGAAACACAAATGTACATGGTTTTGGCATAAAGGGAGGAATTTGTTGGCACAATCCAGGAACAGGGAATGACAGAGATGCAGCTCAGGCCCTTCAATGTTGGCAGCGTGCTTTCTCCCTTTGTTCCACTTTGCTTTGTTTCAGCTTTATTTTCTTTTTTATTTTGAGACAGAGTCTCGCTCTGTTGCCCAGGCTGGAGTGCAGTGGTAGGATCTCAGCTCGCTGCAGCCTCCACCTCCCGGGTTCTAGTGATTCTCCTGCCTCAGCCTCCCGAGTAGCTGGGATTACAGGCTGCCACCACCATGCCTGGCAATTTTTTATATTTTTAGTAGAGACAGGTTTCACCATGTTGGCCATGTTGTTCTGGCACTCCTGACCTCCAGGCCTGCCTCGGCTTCCCAAAGTGCTGAGATTAAAGGCATGAGCCACTGTGCCTGGCCTATTTTCTTTCATTATAGATTGGTTTCCCACGTAACAAAAGACTGCTGGCATCTTACAATTCTTCTGAGGGTGGGCATGGGGAGGGACGGACGTGGAGGACTTCATTCAAGTTTGAATAATCAGCAGGGCTTGCATCTAATGGCCCAGCTCCGACCAGGTGCTTACCCAGACTACCCCTTCTGGAGGGGCCTCAGGGAAGAATGTGGCAGTGGTGCCTCCACCTGCTTTCTCAGGAGGATGGTGTTTTAGGAGGTAGGCAGTTCCATAGGCTTTAACTGTAGTAATGCTAGTTAAAAATGTGTTTTCGTCCTTACTGATTGTGTGTGTATGATACAGGACTTGTTTAGGTATCTGCCTTCCAAGTACAGATGAGGGTTTTCCACACTGGAAAAATCTTGGCTTGTTGTATTACTCTGTTCTCATGCTGCCATGAAGAAAACTTGAAACTGGGTAGTTTATAAAGGAAAGAGGTTTAATGGACTCACAGTTCCATATGGCTGGGGAGGCCTCAGGAAACTTATAATCATGGCAGAAGGCACCTCTTCACAGGGCGGCAGAAGAGAGAATGAGAGTGGAGAGAAGGGAGAAGCCCCTTATAAGACCATCAGATCTCATGAGAACTCACTCACTATCGTGAGAACAGCATGGGGCAAACCACCCCCATAATTCAATTATCTCCACCTGGTCCCACCCTTGACACCTGCGGATTATTACAAATCAAGGTGAGATTTGGGTGGGGACACAGAGCCAAACCCTATCAGCTGCAAAGGCTGAAATGAGTGGAAATTAAGTAATAGTCTGTGGAACACAGAGTAGATGGTGGGGCTGTCAGAAGAGACAATATGAAGAAGGAAATTACAAGTTGGGAGCTTAGGAGCCTGGCTTGTGTGTGGCGCAAGTCCTTAGATTCTAGGCCCTGTTGTGCCTTAGGAAGGGAAGTAACGCAGCCTGAGAGGTGGTCCAGGACACAGGTGTAGGGCACGCTGGACTGAAGGACATGCTGGCTTGATCAAAGCTTACGTAAGACATGAAGGATAGTGGTGCTGTTTGGTGCTCACTTGATTTGCCATTGCATTGGGTTGCATAGCGTCCACCTGCACCCCTCCCCAAATCCATGACTACGTGGAACCTATAATGTGACTTATTTGGAGATAGGGTCTTTATAGATGTAATCAAGTTAAAATGCAATCCTATTGGATTCTCATGAGTCTTAATTAGTGACTGGTGTCTTTCTAAGGGAGAGGATAGGGGAATCTGGACACACAGACACAACAAGAGCACCATGTGATGCTGAGGAGGAAACTGGAGTGAGGCAGCCACAGTCCAGGGGACAGCAAGCACTGCTGGCAACCACCAGAAGCTGGAAGAGGCAAAGAAGGATCTTTCGCTAGAGCCTTTGGATGGAGCATGGCCCTGCCAGCACCTTCGTTTTTGACTTCTAGCCTCCAGAACTGTGAGAGAACACATTTCTGTTATTTTAAGCCGCCCAGTTTGTGGCACTTTGTTAGGACAACCCTGGGAAATTGCAACAGATGTGGCACTTCAGTTATGAGCTATAGTCTTTCTGTCTGTCTACTATTATTTGAATTTGATTCACCAACGAATAATATTTTCTTCAAAATGTTTTAAATTATGAGCACATATGTGGACACAGATATCATATGTCAGAGGCTCACGACTTGTTTCAAAAGTAAAGTGTTGCACCACTTTTAAACAACTCAAATCCATAATTAAAATTCCGAAGTTGGGGTTGGTGAGGAGTGATTCTCCTTTGCAAAGCTGTCTTTGGAGTCCTGCTATGTCACACTGAGAGAATTCCTATTTTATATCTATGAGTTGTCAGAAATCCTAAACTCTCATTGTTAAGATCAGTTATACAACGTTTAGAGAGGAACACCTATATGAATTTACTAAAAAGGAATTTATCTGAGAGTTAAACACAAGCCATTAAATAATATACACACACATACACACACACACACACACACACAATATAAATCACTAGTTTTCCTTCTATGAACCACCCCCACCCTTTTTAGGAACTAAACTCCTTAAAGTTTTCTTTGTTTTAGAGTATTGCCTGATTTGGATGAGAAATATTAATTTCCTCAACTGAAATTCTTCAGATTGCCTCTCCAAATGTCAATGCTATTGGGCTTTCCCTGGGAAAACAAAACAAGATTGCTGTCAGGGAAGCAGTTTGCAGATCAGCAGATCAAGTAGATAACAGAATCCAGGATGCTATTATTAGCTATGGAGAAGGCAGTCAGTTTGCAGGTTCCATAAGTGAGGGAAATGGTTGCATTCTGGGAATGAGGAAAGAAATGGAAAATTGATCAGTAAGAAAGATCCGGGCTGCTCTCTCATTACCTCTTTTTTTCCCCACCAAAAAGGAAAAAAATAAAAAAGTCCAGAATTGTGCTGTAGTCTTTCTGTCTGCCTACTATTATTTGAATTTGATTCACCAAAGAATAATATTGTCTTTGTTTAAAATGTTTTAAAGTTGATGATAAATCCTGAGTTCAGGTCAGTGGACACAAGTGAGAAGTAAAAAGTCAAGCACCTTATTATGGAAATGTTATTTACATCACACGCTGCTTTTGCTGTGTTACAGCTTATAGAACAGTTGACAGCCCTTTCTCAAGTTTCTGTGTATTTCTTCACAGTCCATAACAATCTGACTGTTGGTTTGCAATTTCTTTTCTGATGAGATTTTTTTGGCATGTGAAAATGCAGAGCAGCTTTAGTTCTACTCCGGGTTGTTTTCCTTCACCGTTTTTCTCATTTTGGGGGGCCTATTTTTTATTCAGCAGCGGGTTTGGTGCTTTTGTGGTTATTTTCTAACCCTTGGCCATGGCATACTTAGTACTTAATTTCGGACAGAATCTTTTCTGATGCTTGTCAGCTTCTATTTGACTCTCTGTGTTTTCTTAGTATGTAAAACTCAACCACCACTTATTGTTTTTTGAAGATAATGTTGGTCGTGCGCCTGGAACGACTTGAATAAGCTTGCAATAAATGACCCTATCCAAATGAATCAAAGAGTATGTGCGGGGCACAGCCGATAACCAGTGCATGCAGACGGTATCAGTAAAAACTGTCAGCTCCCCAGTAAAAACACCCAGAACCGCCACAGGCAACTCCTCATAATAGAACTTTTGCAGGGAACAGTTTCTTTCCAATGACAATGCTTTTAACAGCCTCCAAACATTCTTCCTCTGCGTGCACTCCACCTCCAATCAAAAACTGAAATTCCAAATCAAGTCTGAAATACTTTTTAGCAAACAGCTCAATTCTTAATCTCCTGAAAATCAAGGAACCAGATCTTTAGTGAAAATACATTCAGAGCAGCAGCCTCTAAACAAGGTTATCTTTACTTTCTTTCCTCAAATCACACTGCTGTGCCTATTCACATAATTAAGGACAAAGTGATGCTAGGTGAGGATACATTCAAATGAAGTCATGCCTGTAATCTGTAGGAAACGGGTACTAGGTATAGCCTGATAAAATCCCTAGGAGAGCCACTTTGGTGCTCCTGGTTTGTGGTTAGATACAGCAGAGCAACCCTGGCAGTTTACTCTTTTTACATGCAGCATTTTATTGGTGCATTTGTTTAATTGAACACATCAGTCCAGCATTGTCTGAAGCGTACATCATATCTTTGGGTGAGGCAAGTTCAGGAGTCTTCCCCTGGAAAAAAACAATGTACATGTGTGTGTATTTTAATCTTGAAAAATCACTGTCAAATAAATATTAAATGGTAAATGAAGACAAAAACCAATAAAGCAAGCAATAGGTAAGGCACAGGCATCCAGTGTAGATCTGCTGTTTATAACCAGTCCCTTCTCTATCAGGATGGATGGGTGCAGGATGGCAGGAAGCGGTCGCAGGTCTAGAAGTTGTCCTTTTAACTTCCTAGAAACAACTTCCAAGAATCTTGAGGCAATCCTTTTGAACATGTTATAGCATGTGGATCCTTTCTTCCCAATCTTCCAATAGCAACCCGTCTTACTCAGAATATAGCTAAAGGCCTTAGGATGACCCTCACATCATGACCCAAAGCCTCCATCCTCCCTCTTGCCCTCTTTCATGCTGTTCCAGTGACACTGACCTTGTTCTTCTTTAAACACACAAAGACTGCTCCCACCTCGGAGACCTTGTATCTGCTATTCCCTCGACTCAGGATGTGTGGCCCACAGACAAGCAGGCTGCCCCTTTTCCCAATTCCCACTTTCTGTGACTCTGCTCATGTATCAGAGAGGCCTTCTCTGACTATCCAATCGGAATTACCTTGCGTTCCTCCTCCTCTTTACTCTCTGCTTTGATTTTCTTTCTTTCTTTTTTTTTGAGACAGAGTCTCACTCTGTCACCCAGGCTGGAGTGCAGTAGTGTGATGTCAGCTCACTGCAACCTCTGCCTCCCTGGTTCAAGTGATTCTCCTGCCTCACCCTCCCAAGTAGCTGGGATTACAGGCACCTGCCACCACACCTGGCTAATTTTTGTGTTTTTAGTTGAGACAGGGTTTCACCATGTTGGCCAGGCTGGTCTCGAACACGTGACCTCAGGTGATCCACCAGCATTGGCCTCCCGAAGTGCTGGGATTACAGGTGTGAGCCACCGCACCCAGCCTGATTTTCTTTAGAGTACTTTTCCCTACATGGTAGAGACCGTCTAAGTAGTTTCCTCTCCATCTCCCCAACTAAAATGAACGCTCCTTGAGGACAAGAGCTTTGTTTTGTTGACTTCTTGATCCTACTGTTTAGAGCAGAGCCTGAGACATCCACGTGGTCAACAGGATTTTGGTGTTACTGCCGTGGTTATGTTATGCGATATATGGCAAGAGAGACTTTGCAGATGGCGTTAAGGTTGCTAATCATCTGACCTTGGGGAGATTATTTTTTCTTATCTGGGTGTGCCTGATATAATCAAATGGGCTTCATTTTCTCAAAAATAGAAAAGGGAGGTAGGAGAGTTCATGGAGAGAGATGTGACCAGGGAAGAAAGACACGGAGAGATGCAGTGTTGCTGGCTTTGCAGGGGAGGAAGGAGAGGCATCAGCTGGGTGTACTTTGGAAGCGGAGAGTGGCCCTCAGCTGTCAGCCAGCAAGGCGATGGGAACCTCAGACCTAGCGCCGCAAGGAACCAAATTCTGCCGATAATCAGCCTGAATGATAAAAAAAAAAAAAAAAAAAAAAAAATGATTCTTCCCTGGAGCCTGAAGAAGAGTGCAGCCTGTGGACACTCTGATTTTTGGCCTGTGAAACTTTAAGAAGCGACTCAACTGAGCCCACCACACCTTTAACCTATAAAAACTGTGAGATAATAAGTTTATGTTGTTTTGAGTATGGACGAATAAAGAAAAAAATAATAAAGCATAAAATAAATCACCTAAGGTATATTTTGGGTTTTCAGATTTGATATCCAGAAAGAACCAAATGATTTCTTAAGCTATCTGCTATTAGATGGAGAAGTACAAAGTAAGGGTGTATGTACATAAGACATACACTCAAAAGCTGTGAAACTGAATAGGTTTTTAAAAAAGGTTACTGTTGAAAACGAGCATGAATTCTCTTTTACTTAAAAGATAATCGTTGTAGAAAAAAGTGAAAATAAAAAAGGGGGAAAAAGTTGTTGGTTAATGTTTAAGTCTCAATTCCATCATTCGCAGGCCCAGTGACTGTATGCAAGTCACCCAAAGTTGAGATAATGATAGTATCTACCTCCCAAGAATGGTAAAGAAACAAAAAGACTGTGTATGTGGTAAAAAAGTCATAAACTATAAGTTATTAAATATGATAACTCAACTCTCTTGTATGTACTGGAACTATTGTCCTTAGAAGAGTTCTTCGATTCAATTCTGATAATTCTGAGATGTTGATTTTTCAGAAGTGCAACTTTTCTCAAAACGCTTTGGTATGATACTCACGCATATGAAACAATGTACTTTAGCATTATATGCATACTTTAAATGAGAATATTCTCACTTCATGATTATGTGAAAATGAGAAGCTAGCTCAAAATATTTATGGCATGTTTAAGGCTGATTAATCTTACGATCTTGAAAACATGATCATTTCACAGTTTCTAAGCTAAAATGGGATGTACATTATTGAGCTATAAAGGTCTTGGAATGAAATTTTCTCCTATATTCATAGTTGTGTAGGAACTAGCATAAGAAATGGCATTTTGCTGGCTGAGCTGCAGCTCAGACGCTGCTGTCTATGTGCACTGGTGAGTGGCGAGTTGGGGTGGCTCAACATTTTCCCCAACAATGTGGATACGTGTTTTAATCAGCATGGGGCTTTCATTTCATAACTGGAAGAAGAGAATGTAGTCTGTCTGGGTATGGAGACTAGGTTATAAAATGTTATGAAATTGAATAGGCTTTTAAAAAAGTTGTTGTTGAAAAAGAATGTAGATTCTCTTTTACCTGGAGAGGGATAGATAGATGCAGTGGAGTGGCTGGCTAGCATCTCCTTCCTTCCTGGCCTGGTGGATCCAGGGTAAGTGAGGAATGAGGGTCCAATGCTGGTGGAATTGTATTTACCAGAGGATTGTGAGCCTCTTGGCACAAGCAAGTAACAAAGTGATACAAAGTCAAAGAGGCAGTTATCCCCACCACTTCTAAATGGGACTCTGGTGCTTGATGAGTCTCTGGAGACCAAATACAAGCATGAATTAGTGTTGCAGGGACCCCCAGGCACTGCTGGTGGGAGCACATCTCAGAGCAGCCCTCATGGAGCATGATACACAAGACTTGGTGAAACAAAATCTGTGTCTTACACCATGGCCACCCGCGCCCTATTCCACTCTTGTATATACACCATGGCCACCTGCGCCCTATTCCACTCCTTGTATATAACCCCAGGAACCTTGTATATAACCCCAGGAACCTTCTCCATGTAGTAGAGAGTAGTTGAAAGCAACTTAGTGTTGAAAACTAGGAGAATGAATAAGTAAAACGAGATGGATGCATGCCATAGAATAACGCCAATCACTCAGAAACAATGGGTTATATGAACATACTGCAACATAGATGAACTTTTAAAATAGTGTTCAATTTGAAAAGTTAGAAACAGAATAGAAACTACAATTCATTATCATTAATGGAAATAAAATCATTGCATATTTTAAAGGATCAAACATACCAAAGCACAAGCAAAGTGGGTGCCATGAGGGGAAGGGGAAGAGAGTGGGAGTTAAAGATGTAAGAGTAAACAGTGACGTCAGCATTATGAAACCAACCAGTAAAATTGGAGCTGAAGAAATGTATCTGGCCTTGGGTTATGTGGTTATAATATAATTTAGTCCTTTATTTAAAAATGATCTACTTGTCCTTATTTTGTCTAATTATGATTCCCTCCATTTGCTTGCCAAATCTGGATGGATTGTAAGAGGTAAACATAAGATTAACAAAGCACCAAGATGACACTAAATACCTGTTGATATCTAGCTGGCAGTCTTGATTTCCTTATATAGTAGTAGATGGCCTAGTATCTGAAAAGCATTGATGGTGTGTGTGTGTGTATATATATATATGTGTATACCAACAATATACATATTATATAGTAGTAGATGGCCTAGTATCTGAAAAGCATTGATGGTGTGTGTGTGTATATATATATGTATACCATCAATATACATATTATGTGTACATATATATGTACACATATTATGTGTACATATATACACATATGTATATGTACATATGTACACATATGTATATGTACATATGTACACATATGTATGTACACGTATTATGTATACATATGTATGTACACGTATTATGTATACATATGTATGTCCACATATTATGCGTACATGTATGTCCACATATTATGCGTACATGTATGTCCACATATTATGCGTACATGTATGTACACATATTATGCGTACATGTATGTACACATATTATGCGTACATGTATGTATACATATATACACAGAGATAATTCTTATGTATGTATACATACATACATACATACATACATATATGTATACATGTATATATACACACACACAGATAATTCTTAATTCAAACATGCCAGAAATTTGGAGAATTTTTACAAATACAGGTGAATTTAAAAGGTAAGAAGTATTCTGTTTCCTGAAACACCACAAATTTCTCCTCTTTGTGAATTACATACAGTGCTTGCTAATTATAGAAGGAAGATTTGCCTCTTTATCAAATTCTTTTTATGCCCTGTTTGGCTTCTTGAGGCCAGCACTGATTGGAAAAGAAGAAACTGGCCTTCTATTAATATCTACCTTGCTTATTGTTTTTCTGTCCCATAAAGAGATTCTTGCAAAGGAAGTTGACTGGAGTTGGTGAATTATTTATGCTCTATAGAATTAGGTTTTGTTGCCAATAGCCTTATTTGTGTTACTTTCTGAGGTAGGCAGAATAATGGCCCTTAAAGATGTTCACATCCTAATCTCTGGAACCTGTGAATATGCTACTTTATATGACAAAGGAGAGTAGGGGCATTAAGATGATGGAATTAAGGAAAAAGCAGGAAAATGCACTTTCCCCTGGAACCTCCACAAGAGAATGCAGTGTTACTGAAACCTTATTTTTTGCCCAGTGAGACCTGTATCAGACATGTAATTTACAGAACTGTACATTATTAATGATTAATTTTTTTTTGAGACGGAATTTTGCTTTTGTTGCCCAGGCTGGAGTGCAATGGTCTGATCTCAGCTCATTGCAACCTCTGCCTCCAAGGTTCAAGTGATTCTCCTGCCTCAGCCTCCTGAGTAGCTGGGATTACAGGTGCCTGCCACCACACACAGTGTAGGGAGACCCCCTGAAACTACTGCTATGGAATAAAAGATGAAATGCTCCTGATTATTGTAAATACAAAATTGCATGCAGGATTGTGTAAAGACAATGCCAGGTTGGACTGCCAGAACGAGCCAGCAGCGCGGGATGTGCTTCCCCCTGCAGAGGGCCTATGAATGGACGTGTAGTCAGGGGGTTTTCACATCACCAAGATTCCTATCCCAGAAAAGCAGATGTTCATACCTCTGGGAGTGGAATGTGACCCTCGTGGAGAGCCTATAAACGGACACATGGGGGTCGCCTGTCCTTATGGATAAGATAGGGCTATAAACGCCCTCATCTTGCCACGGCTCTTCTAGGCCTCTTTAGGGTTAAGGCATACTCCCTTCTGAGAATTTCTGGTCTAACCTGTTGTCTAGCTTCACGTCCTGTTTCCATGGATTGTTTGTAACCAGCTTTTGTTGCAATTGTTACTGCTGATTCATATCTTGCTAATCATAGATTATGGAAAGACTGCGTTTCTGTTTTAAGGCTCTGTTAGAAATTACTGATGCACACACTATATTGTAAATTCTTATCTCTATATACTGTACTTCTACCTACAAATGTACTGTACTTCTACATACAAATGTTATGTTAAAGAATTACTTCATCCCCATGTGACCATCTCACCTCATAATCAAATGACCCTAAATCCCTCACTAACCTACCCCCGCCCTGACTAAACTTAATAATAAATGCTGGTATATCCAGTGCATTGTTGGCACCATGGGACCAGAAGGCGGTGACCCCCCTGGACCCAGCTTTCACTATCTTGTGTGTGTCTATTATTTCTCAACCTGCCGATCTGCCTGGGAACAAAGAGAGAGCCCCATTGCATTGTGGGCTGCTGGCCAGATCCCACAATAACCCAGATAATATTTTTTTGTAGTTTTAGTGGAGACAGGGTTTCAACATGTTGGCCAGGCTGGTCTCAAGCTCCTGACCTCAGGTAATCCACCTGCCTTGGCCTCCCAAAGTGCTGGGATTACAGGCATGAGCCACCGCATCTGGCCAGAACTGTACATTATCAAAACTGTGTTGCTCTAAGCCACTAAGTTTGTGGTAACTTACAGCATTGGAAGAAAATTAATGAAGTCTCTGGGTTTTTGTTGTTATACAGGCATAATCATATGCCTATATAATGATATACCCTCAAAGTTAGGTTAGCAGTACCTATTGACAATATTTCTCTTTTTGTAGGGTCCACTTGTTTTCGAAAATCATTAATTTTTGGACTCACAAGATAGATTGCAGACAAAGCTGTTAGAAAAATGTGGGGTACTTATTAGTCATTCCAAAAAGAAGAAAAAAAGTGAAATATTAATATTTTATGGAAAGAACAAACCACAGGCTATCTTAGTAATTAAAAAAAACTCTGAAAGACAATTATCTTTTTATTTTAAGTTAATTTCAAAGTTTTATTCAGCACTGAGTTAATTGTTTTCAAGATTATCTAGTGGTCGAAATAAGTTATGGTTGGTGCCTGGATTAAGAAAGCTTTTTTAGAATAGTAGTATTAGACAAATATGTCCACCATAGCACAGATTGTTTACAAAGAAAGCTAATTTGTTTAGAGAATGGAATGTCCAAAGATGACAGTGTGACCATCCCAAGAAACAGCTCCCATTATGAATTTTTAAAACTGTAACCGTATTTTATGTAGTTGGACTTTGTATGTGTGTGTGTAAATACGCAATGAAAGCTTATGACCAGTGAATGTTGTTGTAAGAAGTAGCTTAAGTGACCAGCATTCCTTCTAGGTTGAATACCAGGATGTTGTGGCAACCAGAAAAATAGAGATGTGAGAGATTTGATCGACCTGGTGCCCCAACGGTCATCCCCAAGTGAGACAGCCAGACATAACCAGCATACATCACAGAACACCTGACCAGCTCCCACCAGCGGGGCTTCTGTGGGCAAAGAAAGATTTAATTGATCTTTCTTAAGTTTCTGTTAAAGTATCCACTAATGGAGAAGAATTGGAAAGCATTAAGATGCCTACATCTTTCCAGACACTAGAAAGTAGAATGCTGTATTTAAGCAGAGACATGTTTTAACACATGCTGTGGGGGACTGGAGTAATGGAAGTGCTGAGAATTTCTCTAGCAGACTAGGACCTAGGGTAAGAGGGGAGGTTTAAGTGTGTGTGTGTGTTTATTATATTGAACCACTGTTAATAAGTAGTGGATCTCCTGCTGAAAACTAAAGGGGATGCTTTTAGTTCAGCTTCACATATTAGCAAGTCAATTTGTATGTTTTTCAGAATGTTTCTTTTTTTAACAGAATTATTTTCTCATACTACTTTCCCAACGTTTTCTTCTTCAAAAAGTACACATACAAATTGCATAATGGAAAGCTGTATATTTAGTGTAAAAGAATCATAGCATTTACTTGAGGTCCAGTAATTTTGAACACCTTCCCCAATGCCACATGAAAATTTTGGAATATTTAAACATTCTGTGGTTGCCATGGTAGTACAATCTCAGCCTTATTCATTCCCTTCAGAAAATGAAAACTCATAGATATCTTTAAACTAATTGGATACCTTATAAAGATTATAGCAAATGGGTGTGGTATTTTTATGTGGCAACATAAGAATTTTAGCCATCAAACTAGCACTATTCTACAGTAATGTTGAAGGTGGATGAAGTATATCGAATGAGTTTATGTGAGTTAAAGTATTGAATACATTTACATAAATTTGCATGTATGTAACACTTTCCCTAAGAAACTCCACAATGCTATATCTGCTCTATCTTCTGTTTTTAACATTGTGAGTAAATTGGACTCAAAATTTACTGATTTGTACAACTGATATACAAATACTTAACTATATTTCTTGTAACTCATTTCATCTTGTTCACCCCTATTCTGGCTGAAAATGTCTGGCTTTGTCCACCAAGGATGGACAAAGTCCATCTCAGTCTCTCTTGAATTAAAATGTGTCAGCTTGAGTTAATTACTCAGTATTTTAGTTGTTCTCGCCCTTTCTCCCACATTGCACTGGGATGCAAAGGGAAATCTACAGAATATGATGACGTGGATTGATAGGTAGAGGGAGTCTGGGGGAGGGAGCTGCTTAAGTGACTACAGCTGTCATAATTCATAATTGGTTTTCTCATATTGGTCAAGGACCAAGTCTCCTGTGTGAATTCAGCCTGCATCTTGCCCAGGTTGGTGCAGCTGGTTTTGGCCTTTTACAATGAAGTCCTTTTGTCCCTACACTTGGTGACCAGTGAACACCATTCACAATAGCACACATTCTTTCTGGGACATCTGGTAACATCATAGGGAACCATCTCGGATGTACGTTCTTAGATGCTGTGCTGACCATGGGGCCCCTAGGAGACATGGGTTTTCCAGGTCTTTCAAGGGACAAGGGATCTTCCAGGTTGTGTCCAGGGAAGTAAGAAAGAAGCTTCCTATCTAGGATCTCCACCCAACCTCAAATGTTTCTGGAAGTCTTTATTGCAGTCTCTCTTCTGAGATTCAGTTCAGAGGGGAGAGAGGAGTGTAAAGTCTAACCTCATGTCTCTCTCTCTCTCTCTTTCAAGCCTCAGCATCTGAACCTATAGTGACCAGAAGAAATTTCTTCCTCTGGGGTGCAAACTTCCCTTATCTCAGATATCTTTATGTCTTTTCACTAGGACTAACTGTAAAACTATGTTCAGATGTGTAAGCTTTGCTCCTAATAAGAAAAATGCATTTTTTTTTTTTTGCTTGTTATATAATCATCCTACATACCCTTAAGCAAGCCAGGCTTGCAACTCACTGTCTTATAAGGGAATTTAATGATGTCTAATGAGGCCTCCAAAGTGGAACAAGGTTCCCTTTCTCTAGGCTGTCTCCAAAGAAGTGGGGAAGGAAAGCAAGATGGGGGGTTATCTCCAGATTTAGGCTCTTTCTAAAAAGTTGGAAGGAAAAATATCTTTATCTTTCTTGGCTATTCTTTTTCTTAGAGCCACACTTGAGGTTTTCTACATACAGTGGCCATAAGGTGGCTGTTGGTTGATGTGTTTTACTTTCTTTTTTTTCAAAGTTATAAGTAGGGAGAGAGTTTTTTTACAAGTACCTTGTGAAGGGCAGTCTGGTTCCTCTGGTGTGGTCAATCTTAGGCTTTCAGGATGCCTCAGCTGGTTTCAGTGGTCCTGGAATCTGTGTTGGATGCAAGGCAGGCTGGATTTGTACTTGTGCCACTCTGTGAGTCACTGGCCAATCTGAGAAGTAGCACTAGGGAGAAATTAACTCACAAGAAAGGGACCTTGACAGACTAAATTGGAGACAAGTTCACAGGAAAGGGGTGTGGAAATCAGAGTCCATCATTTCCTGGACCAGCTCACAGGTGGGCTTCAGATGGCTGTTGAACTGAAGTGGCAGGAATGTTCTGAGAAGTTAAAGGAACATAGTGCAGATAGCTACATCAGCTAACAAAATATATCAACCATACTCCCCTTCATGGCCACTGGTGGAAGGAATCCATGAGTTGAGTGCCTTGTAAAATGTTTCCATAATCTCTTGGGGAGTGGCAGGAATGAATTTCTCACCATGGTATGGAAAGAGCCATCCACTAAAGACACCATTTGTGAAAAAGCGAGCACCCAATTCACGCCTTAGAGCAGGGAGCCTTTATCTGAAGTCATTGAACTTCTGGGGAAACCATCGATGGCAGCCAGGGTGATTTATCACGCAACCATGTGTGCGTGTGCCTCTGTGCATTTTCTCAGGAGAGATTCTGGGGCTTTCAGCCGATTCTCAAAAGAGTCCCTCACTGCAAAATATCAAGGGCCATTAGATGAATGGAAATGTTGTACTAACAAGTAACATAAAGCTTGATGCATAACCCTTTTCTCTTTCCCAGAAATTCCAGTCAAACAGAGCAATGTCAGTGATCACAAAGTTCATTTCTATTTTCAGGAATTCCTTTTGTGGTAAAACTCATATAAAAATGTCCACTTAAAAGAGAATAACAATAACCAACAACAACAAAAGAGAACAAAGTCTTGTCTTGGGTGTTTTGTGAACACTCTCATAAGGACATTTACTACCAATAAGCAAAGAATGGAGAATATCTTTAAATCACGGACATTCCTTATAGGGTGTCCAGCTTTGGAAATTCATTTGTGAGCCAAGAAGTGTGTGCGTGAGGATGAGCGTGGCTTATGATAAATAACTTACTGTAAAGGGCAAGTTTCAGTTAGGAATTAACGATTCGTCCTCAGGAGGCCTTTATTTACTATTAAAAACCTGAGTGCCTTTTGCTGTTAGCAGGCTGATACAGGGAAATTGATTCTCTTCACAGAATTTCCCGACGGTCCCAATAAGCCATTAAGCGCTCCTGGCCTTACCTTCCTTGGTTTAGTAGCTGCTCTGCCGTGGTCAGCATCGTTCTCTCTGCAGCAATTAGTGGCAATAAGTGGGAGCTCGCACAATTGATGGTGTAAAATGCCTGGACAGTGTGCAAGCAGCAGTTCTGAAATGCTTCACCGAGCAGAGCTCTTGTACTCAATGCCTCCCTCCCATCAGTTTTCCAGGTAGCAGAGCCTAATGAAGGCACACAGCAGGTGGTGCAGGGACCGGAGGATCTCCGGTGCGGAGCTTTCTGTCCTGGTCAGAAGGACCAGACTTTGCTTAACAGGCCTGCTACGGATCCCTTCATCTACCACCCCAACTGATGCAACTCAATTAATCCTGAAGAGGTTTTGAAAAAAAAGAGGCTTTTCCATCTCTCTCTTACAGCATTTTTGATTTCTAGCATTCCTTCTTGATTTTTTTTTTTTTTTGGAATTTCCATCTCTCTGTTTAATTGTCCCCATCTGTTCCTGCAAGTTGTCTACTTTTCCATTAGAATCTCTAGCATATTAATCCTAATTGTTTTAAATTCACAATCTCATAATTCCAACATCCCTGCCTTATGGGATTCTAGTCCTGATGCTTGCACTGTCTCTTTAGGATGGTTTATTATTATTATTATTATACTTTAAGTTCTGGGATACATGTGCAGAATGTGCAGGTTTGTTACATAGGTATACACATGCTATGGTGGTTTGCTGCCCCCATCAACCAGTCATCGACATTAGGTATTTCTCCTGATGTTATCCCTCCCCTAGCCCCCAACCCCCCGACACGCCCTGGTGTGTGATGTTCCCCTCCTTGTGTCCATGTGTTCTCATTGTTCATCTCCCACTTATGAGTGAGAACATGTGGTGTTTAGTTTTCTGTTCCTATGTTAGTTTGCTGAGAATGATGGTTTCCAGCTTCAGGGTTTGTTTGTTTGTTTGTTTGTTTGCTTTTTAGTACACCTTGTGACTTTTTGTTGTTGTGTTGAAAGCCAACATGATGGATGGGGTAAAAGAACCAAATAAGCCTTTCACAATGTGGTGGGAAGGTGCCTGTGGGTGTGTGTTGGGGGTGGGACATTCTATAGTCTTATAATTACATCTCCACTTGTGCCCTGGGCTGTGAACTTCACAAGTGCTTCTCAGTCCCCCTCCTCCACTCCTACCACTTTAAATGGGACAGGGTGGCTTGAGTGGGCTGGAATTGTTTTTTCCCCTTTTCCAACAGCGGGAGGTAGAATTGGGTACTTCCCATTTCCCAGGTCAGTTAGGGTCTGGTTAAAACTTCAATAGTTTAAGGTCTGGTGAAATAGTTTCTCTTGCGGGCAGGCCTTGTTAAGAAGAACAGAATGCTCTGGAATATTTTAAAATGATTATCTTTCCCCTCTCCCTGCCAGAAGCATGAGTAGGATTTTCTTGGATTTTCATTGTAAGGACCTAGAGGAGCTCCCAGAGGTAAAATTTATAAAACTGTGAACCGCCCCCGCCACACCCCCACCCCACCGCTTCTATATTTGGGCTCCCCTGGAGTTTTTGACTCTCAGACTTGTCCACACCAAGCCTCCAGCAATTTGTCAGTTACAATTTGGGTTTGGTGTCTATGGTGGTTTCATGCATGGGTTTCTGCTCTGGTAAGCTATGATTCTGTATATCTGCTTGTCAGTCTCAAATTTTGGGGACTGTGGCTTGCCTTGTGACCTCACTTTTCTGACAGATCTAAGAAGGTTGTTAATTGTTTGGTTTGTTCAGCATTTTACTTGTTGGGGTAGAGTGATGACTTCTAAGCCTCTTACAAGTCCACAGGAAACAAGAAGACTGACTTATTTGGGTACAAAAATTTAATTCATTCATTATATTTTACAAAAACATTTTCGAAACCTTTCTCTGCTATAAAAGGAGCCTCTCTAAGCATTTCCAGTATCCTCATGATTTAATTACTCAGTATATGCAGATGATTCTCTATATTATGTCTCTGACCCTGACTCTCTACTATGCTATATATATTCACATGTTCATCTCGCTACCAGGTTGATATATTTGAATAAGCAAACCTCAGACTCACATGTCCACAACTGCTGTCAATATTTCCTTGTCCTTATTCTGGGATCTTTACTTGCCTCCTGCTCTTCTCATAGCCTCTGTGCTCCCAATCAGTGGTGCTGACATTTACCCAGTTCTCCATGTTAAGAAAATAACAACTTATCTTTCCAGACTGCTAATCTCTCACTGTCCCACATCCAGGCAATGAACAGGACTTGCTGCTTTTACTTCCTGAGGGTTTCTTGGATGCATTTCCCATCTCCACACTATTACCATGGTTTTAGCTTGGGCCACGTGGACTCATTCCTGGATATTGTAAAAATCTCTTAGGTCTCCATACCTTCAAAGTCACTCTTACATAATCTCCTCCACACACTACACAGAGTGTCCTCTCCACAGCTGCACACTGCAGAAGTCACCAAATTTGGTTACTTATTCTTTTCCGTAGTATAATCTCCATTCCACTGTACTGTGTTCCTTTTTAAGATGTTATTGTGTCTCATTAATTAGGACAGCATAGTCTGATTTCCTCCTCATAAAACTAGTAGCAGTTTCTCATTCTTTCTTGGTCCCTAGTCCACACCCCTCTCCTTCAAGTGATTGGTCCTCATTGCAGCCCACCTGTAAATCTGTGTAAGCTGATGGCCTGAATGCCTTCTCAGACTGCACATGCAGGCTTTTGTGCAGCTGCCATTTACACGCTCATGGATCTGAATTATCTTTAGTACGAATGTCTTTGCTGAAATGCAGCTGTGCCTATGACTGGAATTCCAAATACAACATGGCCCAAATTGAGCTCCCCGCTTTGTCCCCAATCCCACTTTTCTTTCTGTTCAAGTATTTCCTGTGGTAGAGTTAGCATTATCAACCACCCACTTGCCCAGGTCAACATACGCAGACCCATACCCAGTCTTCTTTTTACTTTAGCTACAGTAATTCCCTGGGCAATCACCTCTTGTCCCTGTGGTTCTAAATATTATCTAAGTGCTGATAGCTCCAAAACCCCTACCTCCAGCCTGGAATTCTTTCATACATAACTCTCTGCTTAACACCTCTACTTGGTGGGCAAATCATACTTACCATTTTGGTATTCTTTAATACTACTCCGCCATTACTCCTTCCCATCTTGGTTAATGGTACCATCCTCCCATGTCTCTGGCTCAAAACAGAGGAGTCCAACTTGATACCTCTCGTTCTTACTTCTCATACTCATTCTATCAGCCCATCATATCAGCGTTGCATAGCCTGAATTCTAAACCAAACCACTTCTTATCATGTCTCATGCTTCTCCTCTAAGTCATTTGTTTTTACCTGGATTACTGTAGTGATCCCTTGATTTGACCTCCTGATTCTACTCTTATTCCCAATTCCGCCAGTAAAATGCACAGAGAGGCTAAAGAGATTTTTTGAAAAGAAAATATCAACTTCTATCATTTTATTGCTTAAAATCCTCAAATTGCTGCTCATTAAAATTAGATTACAATGCAAATTCATTACCAGGACCTAAAAATCTATGGCTCTGGCTTCTGCCTACTCACTCTCCCTTCCCACTTGTTTACTCTTCTCATTTACCTTTGTTCTCACTCTTGAATAGGTTATGCTTTTTCTGACCTCAGGGACTTGGCATAAGCTTTTGCTGATCCCAGAACACTCTTTTCTAGAGACTTGCATGACCCTTTCACACCATTCAAATCTTCACTCAAATGTCCTGTTTTCAGAAACATATGCCTGACCTACCAACCTAAGGAGGCTTTGCAATCCTTTCCAGCTATTTATTACATCATTATACTGCTCATTTTATTCCTAGCCCTGGCTACCTTCTGAAATAATCTAATTCACTGATTTGTTTAAGCAGTTAGTATCTGCTTCTCACCAGGCCCATCTTCCACTAGTACATAAACTACGTAATAACAGGAATTTTGCCTAACTTCTTCACCATTTTATTTTTAGGCTCTAGAAGCTTGGAGAGCATGTAGCAGATTCTCGTTAAATACTTGTTGAATAAATTTAAAAGTTTACAACTTCATTTTCTTTCTCTTTCAAATCTAATGTGCATTTCATTAAATCCTGTTTTTACATCTCTTATGTATTTCTGACAGTGGCTCACCTCTCCAGCCTCACTGTTCCTAACATAGTTTAGGTCTCCATCATCTCTCCTCTATACTGCTGAAATAACCTTATTTTTCTTGCCCACAGTTATACTTTCTCCAGCCAATTCCTTAAAACTTAACCAGAGTAATCTCTCTATAATGCAAACTTATTGATGTTTTTGTGTAGCTTAAACTATTTCATTGGCTTACCACTGCTTTCAGGATAAAATCTGAACTCCTTTGTATGATTTCCAAGGGGTCCATGATCCAATCCCTGCTTAATCCTTCTCTCTCCCTACCTTGATCTTTGACCTTTCCTGGTTCCTAGAAAAGTGTTCTCTCTTGAATCTGGAGCAGAGAATGCATCTCTTCTCTCCACTCTTCCTTCTCACCTATCTAGTTCTAAATATACTTCAAATCTCACCAGAGCGGGCACCTCCTTCAGAAACTCACCACGGACAAGCCAATGCTGTGCCGAATACTTCTTCCATAAGTGAGCACAAAGAACTTTGTTTCTTCTACCTCAGAAATTAACACTTGGTATTCTAATTATATCTATCCAAAAGAGTTTAGTGGTTGAGAATAGAGACTCTGGTGTTGGACAGAGTGGGTTCACATTACCTGAACAGGCAGCCCTGGCCTCACTGGCCTCTACTCTCCAGAAAACCCTCTAGTCATTTTCACCCCCTTCCTTCCCCTCTATCTTCATGACTCTCAACCCAAGTGTTATGGGACTGGAGTGAGGGGGGTAGGGCGCTTGTGCAGGATATTTATTTCTTGGAGGATGGTGGATAAGAGACCAAGTATAGAGGAGGGTATCTGTGGTGACGAGGGCGGATTTGACTGAAATGTGCTATGTCCAATGAGCGACTGAATGTGCGATGTAATATTAAGGATGGACAGTACTGGTCAATATCCCTGGGGGTTGGGTGTTATGTGGGGGTTAAAGTTGATGTGTTACCTGTATTTTTGAATACCCTGTTTAAGACGTGCCAATCAGCTTGTGTTTTTGCACATATCATGTTGCATCTTTGGGATGTCTAGAATTTTTCTCTTCTATCTTACTGGAATGCTTTCTCTACATTGCTTTCCCATACAACATATTATCTCTCTTTGAAGACTTTTCACATATCTGGGTAAGTCCACACCAGGACTTCGTGGTGCATGCAAATCATCTATTGAAATGCCCATCTTTCTTTACAGGCAAAACCTCTCAAGAGCCAGGACTATGTCTTATTCGTTTTTATATTCATCAGGCTCAGTGCTGAGCACATGCTAAATGTTCATTAAATGCCAGTTGAACAAAGAGGGGAGAGAAAAAGAAAATAACTCGAAGTATAAGGTGCTTTGCCATGTGTTTTTCATGAAAGAAAGAAGGAGATTTAAACAACAGGGAATGAAATTCTGCTTTATCTTTCTTTCATTCTCAAGAAAATACTAGGTTTTCTATCTTTTTTTTTTTTTCCTGAGATGGAGTTTTGCTCTTATCACCCAGGGTGGAGTGCAATGACACAATCTCAGCTCACTGCAACCTCCCCCTCCCAGGTTCAAGCGATTCTCCTTCCTAAGCCTCCCGAGCAGCTGGGATTACAGCCATGCGCCACCATGCCCGGCTAATTTTTGTATTTTTTTAGTAGAGATGGGGTTTCACCATGTTGGCCAGGCTAGTCTTGAACTCCTGACCTCAGGTGTTCCACCCACTTTGGCCTCCCAAAGTGCTGGGATTACAGGCATGAGCCACTGTGCCCAGCCCGAGATTTTCTATTTCTAAATGGATGCAATGAATTCATCTGTAAAAATCATCATGGGTACTTTTCCCTCCTGCACCCCACATGGTAGTTGGACAAGTATTTGTGTTAGTCAGATTAGTCTATAGTATTAGGGACACTTGTCGCCAATATTTATCTTGTGAACAGGCCTGACTGTCTTCCTTCCAGCCTATCTCATCCTCTTCTCTCCATCCTGGTTTCGGTGCATCTCAGATTTGCTGCTCTGCTCTGCCTTTTAGGTGTCCGAGTGTGGAACTCTTCTGACTTTCCTATTTCCATTTTCCAGGTTGCACAGAATACAAAAAGTGGAAGGCTGAATAAAAAACAAGGTACAGACACAGTTCCTCAGAACATTGTTAGAAGTTATAGTTGATTAAAATAGGAAAATATTACTTGTGAAAGATTGTCTACTCTATGGAGAAAAGGTCCAGAATGTGAATTCATAAATAACTAAAATGAATAATCTCATTTCCCATAAGGGACAGATTAAAAAATGGATTTTTTCCCTTAAAACAAGTCAAATTGCAAAGAAGGAAAATAGGACCAATTGTGAATTTAAATGAATGCTCAAACTATTACAATTATAACTGCATTTCTTTAGAAGAGTTAAATATTTCTGAATGATTACAGATTAAGTTTATTTTCAAACCTCTGTTCAGATAATTTATCAAGTAGAAGGTGTCATTTAAATAGGAATTACTATTTCTGTACACTGTACTGAGAGGTTTTTTTTCTTTTTCTTTTTCTTCTTTGGGTTCTGAAATCACACCAGTTGATTCTAGATTGAACTTTCAGAAAAGTTTCTCTAAATGCAAACACCCTTTTAAAATAAAACAGCTGAAAATATGGTTTGAGAGATTGAGCCAGTAAGATAGATATTGTCACCTACCTGGTGTTGTCTTTATTAACTACATTAATAAATGTTTCTCAAATGTAAGGAAACATTGAAAATAAACTGAGACTTAAAATTGTCAGCTCTTAACATCTGGTGGGGATGGGGCTAGCTATATTCTAGAATTCAAAGTTCTGAGCATTCTTAGTCTCGGTAAATATTCAAAATTACATTTTGAAAGAACTGAATACTATTTAAATACAATGAAGTAGAATAATTGGCAAATCATTCATGCCTACACATTTTCTTAAAGAACAAATAATCTACCTTCCTCCACAGTCATCT
Source organism: Homo sapiens (assembly GCF_000001405.40). Classification (NCBI taxonomy): domain Eukaryota; kingdom Metazoa; phylum Chordata; class Mammalia; order Primates; family Hominidae; genus Homo; species Homo sapiens. The sequence goes on from NC_000018.10 coordinate 64,157,115, forward strand.
TCCTATTCAAGAGTTAGAAAAAGTTGTTCTGTACCTCATTTTGCTAAAACTTTGCATGTGAGTAATTATGTCTATCAAACTGTGTACATGTTGTTTCTATAATAAAACCTTGTCTATCTAGGATTAATAGCAAAGATGCCTTAACACGTATGAACGAAGCATGACCTGATATGATTGTTCTCACAACCAGACTGCTTCTAGAAACCTGATTATCAGCTGGTTCATTGAAGTGACTCTATTGATCATGTATACAGAACAAGTGACAACACCTATTCCCAGAGAATCCAGAATGCTTATACTTTAAGTGACTTCAGAGTTAAATTGGGCTGTTTCTTTGTGATCAAATATCCCTGCATTCCTCTTCCATATTCTGTCAAGTCAGTTAGCTTTTCCTGTGCTCTGCTTCTCACATTGTTTTTTTGTGAAATGACACAAAAGGTCTCCATCATCTCCTGCACTTTTGGATTATTAATAATTGTGGGGAAGGAAAGGTCAATACCTAGAGGGCAGACTGGGGCCTCTCAAACCATTCTCAAAGATTCCCTGATCAACCTACAAAGAAACATGCTCTACATTTTAGGATATTCAAAAAATAGTGAAAACTGACTATAATTCTGGATATTTTTGAAACTGCTTTTCTTTTGGAAAATCTTTGGGAAGAGGGGCTTCTCCAGCTGAAGTTCACATTTTAAATATTCATTAAAAAGTTGTCTTCATTTATTGAAGGAAAACTCTTTGCTCCAGGTTTTGGGAAAGAGGGAGGGTGGGAGGTGGTCAGCTGTTCTTACATTTATCTTTGATAAAGCACAGGTCGTTTTCCAGTGGCAAAGTTCTAATGTAAACCACATTGAGCCACGTTGGAGAAATTGAGAAGGAAATGGAAGCAGAGCTCATTTTGCTTTTGTTTTTGCTTTGAGTTCTTCTTAGTACCAAATTATGACCCAATAGGCAAATAGACATTAGTTAATGTACCTTGAAATTTCCACTAATTCTCTTGTGACTTTGGATCCGCTACTTCTTGTTGTATTAAATTCTCTCATAAATACTGTGAGTTGTGACTTATTGACTTTAACTAACAGAAAAGTGAATCTCAGTAAGTCAATGTGGAGTTAGGTGGCTGCTAGATGGCTAAATGGGAGCTGAGACTCAGATCGGGAGTGACTCGGTACCCCCCACAGGCACTGCGTGGCATGCCCTGTGTCTAGGAACTTTTCTGACGGCTTTTGTTTTTGTCATTTTTTTTGTTTTTAAACATCTGTCTAAAAACCATTCCCTGAGTGCCCTGGTTCTGCTGGGTGACAGCTTGCTAGCTTTATAAATGAATCCAAGTGAAGGTGATATTGGGTGCTAATCAGATTATCTGCTATTCCTCTGAGATGATACAACTGAATTTTAATAGAGAAATTCCTCAGATCATTTGTTAATGTGAAAGAGTGGATCTCATGCTGACACTAGAGTCACTTGGCTACCAGATGGAGCAGATATTTTTGGCACATGTATCTATTAATGTCCTTAAAGTTGAACTATGTAGTAGGCAGCTCCTACTTTGGATATTCAAGAGGATTGACCTTAATAATAGTGTTTCTGCTGTTATGTATGAATATGGTCAAAAAGATATATATGTGAATACCAGTCTCTTCCAGTGTAATGTTATAGTTTTATCCCCATTTGTAGGAATTTATTGTCTAATTATTCCTACCGCATATTTGGACAACTGATCAAAAGGACCCCATTCTCTTTACTGACAGCTCCTGTTCAAGTGACCTCACTGCTTTCTGATGACCCCCACTGGCTATGCCACATTTCTGGTGCTGAATGGATGCACAACACGTCCGTACTCATCTGGGCTTCGATGCAGTTGTTCAATTTGAAAAGTAAAGCAGTACTTTAATGGTCCCTTCAGTTCTCACACTCAGTGTTTCAATATTTGTCCTGTTCTACCTGGCTTGTAATCAATCCTAAAACTTCCTCACATTTCCAGATGATGGAATGAACAATCCTGCGTATGGCTTCCAAACTGAAAACTCAGAACTTAAGGCTCTGGTCTGAAGTGGCCACAGTTCATCTCTGGCCTTGACAAGCCATTTGTTGGCCGTGGAACTCATTACTTGAAAGAGATTTGCTACAGCTCCCGTTATGGTGCCTTTAGAAGAAATAAAGATCTCCTGCCTCACTTCCAATACTTCTTTTATGGTAGCACCAGAAATCTTGATTTCATTGGCTTATTTGTGAGAGACCTGACCCATCTCCCAATATGCACTCTGTTCTGGGTCTGATGGATGAAGAGTCAAGGCCCCTGCCTTTTGCTCTCCTGGGTAATAAATGTAGCTTACTGTGTCCACATGCCAGAGATGTAGGTGCCAGCAGGGCAGAGAGGGACACAGGACTTACAGCACAGAGTTCATGCGCTCTGTTTCAGGATAATGCGTTTTTGACTGCCAGGTGTAATCTTCACTCCTCTTTCGTGCAGCCCCCATCTCTCCTCTCACTCCCTGTCCTAGATTTTAAATGGTTATACTTTCCTATGAATCCTCAATTTTTCTTTTGTTTTGGAGCCTAGTACACTGAACATTTCTTCTCATGCATAAAAGATACCCTGGAAACTCCCACCACGGCTGCATAAGTATTTATTTATTTTTTATTTTTTGAGAATCAGGTGCCGAGGTAGTACCTTTAAGAAACAAGCATTTATAGTTTTGTTATATGATTTGGTTCAGTTTTTATCTCCCATACTGTTTGTTTTTCAGGAGCGAAGAGGGAATTAAAAATATTACAGAAAGAGAGCTTCCCTTGGTGGTTAATTTTAGGTATTTTGTGAAGAGATGAATTGGATGGGCTTTTGAAAGGAAATAGAACTAAAAGAAATAGAATAAATCAAATATAGATTAGGTGCTAGAAAATTTGTTGCAAAGATGATCTGAATACTGTTGATCACTAATTTTAAATTAAATGCAATCCTGATATGAAACAGATAATTTAATGATAAAGTTTCTATATTTTGATTTAAGATACCAGTATTTCCCTAGAGTTAAAAACAATCATTTTAATCACTTGGGTAAATTGCCTAAATTGTATATAAATCAGGCAAGTAACAAAACATTTTTGCATTATTTTGCAGTTTTACAAGTTACTTTTCTCCTACATAGCACTAATGTTTTGATTTCAAAAGTTAAAGTGAGGAAATACATGTGCTTTATCATAACATGATAAATTTTAAAAATATATTTTGTTTAGAATATAAGAAACTGAAGAACTACGGCTTTGTTTCTTTATAATTGTATTAGTCTGTGCACACTGCTATAAAGAAATACCTGAGACTGGGTCATTTATAAAGGAAAGAGCTTTAATTGACTCACAGTTCCACATGGCTGGAGGAGGCCTCAGGAAACTTACAATCATGGCTGAAGGCAAAGGGGAAACAAGAACCTTCTTCATATGGTGGCAGGAGAGAGAAGAGTGAGGAGCGAAGTGGCAAGAGCCTCTTATAAAACCATCAGATCTCATGAGAACTCACTCACTATCACAGGAACAGCATCGAGGAAACCACCCCATGATTCAATCACCTCCCATCAGGTCTCTCCCTAGACATGTGGGGATTATGGGGATAATAATTCATGATGAGATTTGGGTGGGGACACAAAGCCTAACAATATCAATAATGAAGAATAGTGTTGGAGTTACTCCTTAGGTAGGCAGTATTGTTGGCCCCTTCTGAAGTGTGCAGTTAAGGAACAGCCTGCAATTCACCCGTAGAGAATTTCTTATGAATGAGAAATCACATTCCAGTTGTTTCCAAATGGAACTATAAAAATATATATGTGATACCAGATGCACAAGTATTATATAATTAGATGAGCTTTTAACATTTTTCGGAGTCAAGTGCTGAGGTTTCATGAAAAAGGTACGTTTCTTTTTTCATGAAAAAGAAACCTTGTGCTAGCTCTGACCAGCCTATTTATAGACAACCTGAATGAAATCTCTAGGTTTTACTTAATGCATCTCTACAAGGTATTTCACATGCTTAACTCCGGATGAACAGCCAAAGTTACCTAAGATCTTGCTGCCAGAAGAATGCAAATTTCCCATCCTACTCCAAAATTGTTTCAAAAGTATTTTTGTCCATAAACCACTGGCCTGTAAGAATACATATCTCAGTCCATCAAGTATGCCAAACCATGTCTGTGTTCTTTCCCTCTTTCCCTTTCCACTTAATAGTTGAGCCATGTTCTTCTGGCTATGGTTTTTCAGAGAGAATAAAAAGTTGGAACAATTATTTGGGATAGACAGCACAAAGATTCTATTTTGACATCTGAAGATTATAGAGTTAAATAAAAACATTGAGATTGGCTGGATTGTTTTCATAAATATTCGACAATATTTATATTTATTTTACAATTGGACCAAAATACAATAGTATGATATAAACATGTTTGTCCCACGCTGCCATTTGTAGCGTGGTGCATTTGCAGATCTGAGTATGAAGAAAGGCACATCAGTCTTAAGCCATGGTGTTACACTGAACTAGATATCTAATGACTTTGAAGCAGTCAAAATAACTTTGAAAACTCCTGGAGGAGAGGTAGAGGATACACCTTCCTAAAGTTAACATCATTCTGTCAGTAGAAATATAATATTGATCAGGCATACTATATTTGATAAAGACTGACAGCTTATAACAAAGCAATTCCATCAATTAATTTATACATAATCACAGGGATACTGAAAGCAAGGATTCTCAGAAATCTGTGAATGTGCTAGATTGAATATCATTATAGACACTACTGGAGAAAATAGGCATGACCTGAAAGTTTTTTAGGCAGATGCTTCTTTGATGGGAGGATTCCTATGATCAATGCTGTATCTTCTGTAGGGAAGGGTTATTTTTAATATGTCTTCTTTAGCTTGAAACACACTTTAGCTCATTCTCTCCCTATAATTTGGAAAGAAGGCAGCTACCATAGCAGTTAATCATGACCGAGCCATAGACTACTTAATCAGGGGGAAAAAAGTCTTCTCCTGATGCAATTTGCTCGCAAAAATTTCAAAGGAAGCAGCCCTGGAGTTACCGAGGGTGAATGAAGTCAGAATCCAATACAATGTAGATGCAATAATTCTCTATTTCGGCACACCTATCCACCAGGTTAATATAGCTGTCATTTGTCACAAAAGGCTTTTGGGAAACCAAATGCAGGATTCTTCCCTTTAGCTAGAAACTTACTTGGCTAGAAGGAAAATTGCTGGGGAGGTTACAGAATAACTAATCTCCATTCTTCCCTCAGAAATGTGCTCACCCTGAATTATCTTGCATTAAAATAGAAGAAAAGAGAGCCCTGAGTATTCAGGTGAGCTACCCTGTCAGTCCTTGGGGTTTGGAATCCTATTAGAGGTGTCTTTATAGTTTCACATTAACTGCAACCGTTTCAAGAGCTCTCCAGAGATTTTCTCCTTACCACTGCTCCCCTCAATCTCCACTCCCCACAATATAACTCATAAATGACTTCTCAAAGTTTTTACATTTCTCAGTCCTCTTTTTTAAAGCATCAGTGAAGGTATTTTTGAAGAATTAATAGGATATTGTATTCCTGGGAGAAAATGACCCAGTCAACTAAACTGGCGAAAATGAAGACTTGTTAAAAAAACCTGGTTTACTTTTCTGAATTAAGAACTGAAGTTGCACTAAGTATGACATTTCTCAACCTCTTTTTGTTATTTCTTGCCCCTTTTTCTGTTTCCTCCACTGGACTCTAAGTTCCATGAGGCAGGAAGAGTGTGTATCCTATTGATTCTTGAATCTCTAGATACACACAGGATTAGTTAATGCCTAAATATTTGTTAAATGATTGAAATAATTAATGAACCCAAGGAATAGGACAAGTAGGAAAAATATTGAGTTTACAGGCATTTAATTCTCTTCCCACTATTTAGGATTCTTGAAATTTGACCAAAGAAACTTATGGAAAAATGCTCGCTCAAATTAGAGGGACTTCTTTCCCCGAGTCAGGCCTAATTTTAAATTATTTTAAAATAAAAACAATGCAGAAATTTCAGCATAACCAAGCCCTGAAGACAAGTCAAAGGTTACATTACTGCCTTCATCTCTGCTTAAAAGCAGTATTGTGCAAAAAAAGCAGATAGCACCATGGTGGCCTCAGCTTTTTGTTTACATAGTTTTAGTCCTTGCTTTGTAAAACAAAATTTGTGGAGACCCTCACGTCACAGCTTTTTCAGTGATAAATATGGGATTTAAAAAAGTAACTAGCATCTGTTCCAAAGAATAAAGGAATTTCAACCCATTTATTATGCAGTCTCAGGACTGAAATCATTAGCTTGATGATATCAAATCATAACTCCATCTCTTCATTGCCACCAGGTTTATGGGCCCTTGTTTGCTGGTTATAACATTAAACAAAATGTTGATACAAAATCTGGCCAACATGGCGAAACCCTTCTCTACTAAAAATACAAAAAATTATCTGGGCGTGGTCGTGTGCACCTTTAATTCCAGATACTTGGGAGGGGGAGGCCTGAGAATAGCTGGACCTCACGAGGCAGAGGTTACAGCAAGGCAGCGAGATTGGGCCACTGTACTCCAGCCTGGATGACAGAGCAAGACTTTGTCTCAAAAAAAAAAAAAAAAAAAAAAAGGTTGAAAAACTTTATCAGACTTTTTTGGGGGAACTTCTCAAATTTCCATATTTGGTATGATGTCATGATAGAATGAAATTTGTTGTTCTGCAAAGATTTATAAACATCGTAGTGTCACTTCCTTGAGGACAATATAATTTTAATCCTTTTTTCCCAGGACAAAGGAAAAAATAATCAAATATATGGTAGATAGTAAGGGTACCTTATGTCTGCAAAAGTCCACATTCTCCTGGAATACTACATCAGCAGTAGCAGGAAGGACACCTTTTACACTTCAGAAATGCAGAGAAATTGCTGTTGGGTAGACAATTGCTGGAGATATATTGAAATAAGCCTTATGATCTCCACTGAGATGAGAGACAAGGTGTCTGAACAGTTAGCGGTGGGGTTCCTGCCACATTCCTGTGAAACTTTATGACTTAGAGGAGTAAAGATAGGCAGAGAGGCAGACAGATGGCTATACAGAGCCAGCTGATGTGTGAGGCAAAATGCTAGGTCTGGAGAAGAGGAGTTGAAGAAGATGATGGCCAGGGGGCTGAGAGGTGTTCATAGACCAACTAGTGAAAGGAGAAAATAATATATATATATATATATATATATATACACACATACACACACACACACACACACACACACATACATATATACATATGAGTATATATTATATTTTATATATATAAAAAGAATATATATGTATTCCTATAGGTATATATTCCTACATGTAATTCCATATATATATATTTCTTTCTCTATATATTCCTCTCTCTCTCTCTATATATATATATGTTCCTCTGTATATATTCTTCTCTCTATATATGTTAATGATTTTCCAACCTTGAAAATCGTACTTTCTTTTGAAAACAAGCTAAACTAACACAAATCTCTCACAATGCATGACCCAAGGGTTTCTGGTTTATCACTCTAGGGGCACGTGACCGTGGCCCTCCTTAAGAATCAAACATTGATATTAACTGATGATTGCAGCGCAGTTGGACCAGTGCTCTAACAGAACTCTGAGCAGAGGGCTTGAGCACACCAAGGAGTAAGAGGTGGTAAGCACTGGCTCCTGTACTGAGGAAACGGACAAAGTGAAGACCACGTTTGAACCCAACTAGGTTCATTCCTCCACGACAAGCTCTGCATTTTGTTTGAGCTTCAGAAACAAGGATGAATAAAGCAAGGTGTGCCAAGGAGGGGACACAATCATACCAACTACCCAGCAAAGTCTTCTGATGTGAGGTAATCCCCATACTGTTGTAAGCAGGTAGCCGAAACCCTCGGAATACCTACTAGGGATTAGTAACAGCAATGCCTCTAGATCCTCAGTTGCAGCAGGACAGCACCCTCATCTGGTTTTGCTGTTTTGGGTCTTAAGCTTCTGGCACAGGGCAAGGCACATGGTAAGCACTCAGTGTTAACATTTGCTGCCGGCATTAAAAAGTGTAGGTCCCATGGGAACATATAAAGGACAACTGAATTATGCTGTGGTGGTTGATTAAAAAACTTAAAATAAATTTATTTCTGGTAAAAATCAACATCAGGCTATAAGAAAAAATATAAGATCCACTTAAATTTTTTATTTTACTCTTTAGGGGAAAATAGCTGTTTTATTCCTGCTATTCCTTCAATGTCTCAGTGCTAGTCTCTCATAGCTTAAAAATTATACTCAAGACCAATGGAAAAAATAAATATATTACCAAAATAATAAAAGCTTTGTGTAAGAAATAATTATAATTTTCTCTGTAAAACTGTCACTTTTTCCTTTTAAAGAAATTTTGTATGTAATATATAATTGGTGTCTAGATATAAATTTAAATCATTTGATATCTCCAAAATATTTTGTTTAGCCCATTAGTAATAATGAGATTTCAATGGTTATATAAACGTACTCACTAAATCCAGACTGTTCTCCACTGGGGGAGCTTTAATTAGATTTTAATAAGAATGGTGAGTTAAATATGACTATTAAGAGACCCTTTATTCTGTATATTAATCATGTGTCAAGATAATAAGATGTGTTTTAGGTATTCCAGTTATGGATAAAGAAAGGGGATGCAGTTTCAACTTAGCTGTTACCAATATTGATGAATTTCTGTTTACTGGTTGGAAAATACATGTTTTCATTGTTTACACATTTCATAATTATCACCAGATGTGCCTTAATAAGAATGGATTATTTCAACTGAGGTAAGTAATTCATTAGCTTGTAAATAAAATGCATATTTGGCAAGCCAAAGAGAAAGCATTAACCAATCTAGAATTGTAGTTTTTTTTCCCCTAACTGCTTACAGATTGCCTAGACATTCAAATCCATAAACCACTCGACACCTCCTGCTGAGGCAAGGCCTTACTAATGCTGAGTAATAGATTGTTCAGCAGCATGGGAAAATACATTAAGGAAAGAAGGGTGATGTTCACGTATTTTTTAAAAAACCCTCCCCCTTCCCTTGCTTTCTTCTGTAGCTTTTAATACAGAGCATTGTAAACTCTTCCTCTGCAGTCCTAGGAAAGGACTTGCTCTGTCTTGAGGGATTATGTCTGTGATACACTAGGGTTATACAGTTAGAAAATTAATGGTGCACAGAACTGTATTTGAAAATAAGAGCACTCCTTTCTTTAAATTAAAATAATTTGGATACTTTTTGATAATTAAATAAATTTGGCTTCATTTTAATATATGATACTTTAAATATTAAACTTGTACTTTGCAAATCTGATGCTATGTCGGATGTTGCAATTGATACTACAGATTTTAAACCATGTTATTTATTTATTTCAGCAAACTTTACTTTTACACTTGTACTATAACAGAACTTTTCTATTTTATTTAGTCAAGTTTAAATTTTCTAACTTTAGATCATTAGAATTTCTAACTTCTAAGAAGACTAAGACATTCTTCTTAATTTTGCTTTAAATATATTAACTACTGTTTGTAATAAAATTGAAAATAATACTATAATGAAATAATGACATTAATTACATGCATTTCAACACACTTATGTACACCATGTTCTACTGGAGATAACTTAGTTGCTTTAAAGGTTAGTTAAGTTGAGGGTTGGGGTTGTGGTGTGAACCAAGTACAGGCTAACAGATAACTTGGTCTAGGCGAGAAAGCCAGCCTCAGTGTCAAAAATATAACAATAGCTTTCTGATTTCTTGTGCATACCTCTATTTGTAAAGAATATTGAGCTTAAAGCAGAAATGCTTTTCATTCTCACTTTCAAATGGCTAAAATTAACCAATAGCTAATGAGAAAAGCACAATAGATGATGTGAACACCAAAACAACAGGCTCAATGGTTCTATCTTTATTTGGTAAAGCAAGGAAATAGCTTATAATAGGGTACTGCCTATTTCTTTCTTGTCATTTATCTATTTTTTATGTGTTTTTGCTTTTGTTATGGTCCAGGGAAGTTAAGATAAATCAGCTATTGTTGTAAGGTTTTTGTTACGATTGATTTTCTGTTGTGTATGAAGCAAATCACACTAAATCAGGTTTCAACTCTTTCAGCAAAGAACAGAAATAATAAGAAAGGCAGAAACTCAACTTTTTTTATTTCTCTAACCATTATAACAAAGTTGATGTTTATTAATTTTTATTGTGGCTTCTTAAAAATATTTGCAATTGTAGCAAATTAAATGTTATGTCATTTAATTTATGACCACTGGGGTCTACCATAGTTAGACAATGAGATCTCCAGGTTAATAAACTCACACAGTTGACATAAAATTTTAAATTCTTTTTAATCTCCAGGTTAAAATCTTCTAGAGGTTTTGTCATCTCTGACTACTGCAACAGCCTCTGGACTGGTCTCCCTGTTGCCAGTCTTGAGTTCCTGCAATTCATTGTCCTCAAAACATTAGGAGTGATATTTAAATGCAAATCAGATCACATCAAAGTTCTGCTCCAAGCCCTCCAGTTGCTTCCATTGTACTTAAAAATATATACATTTCCTTTCAAGACCTCCAAAGCCCTTTATAACCTGGTTCCTGAGAGGTCCCACTACTCTCATCTGATTTTATGCCTCTCTACTCAGTCACAGGGTCAGCTGAATGTTTCATCAAAGCACCAAACTCTTACTTATCCAGGTCTCTTTGTGCTATAGGACAACAGCTACTTTTTATGAGCTTCATTTGGTGAAAGCAGTGTAGAGTAACAGCAAAATCCACCAGGTTACAGTAAAGGGTTGCTTTTAATCCAACTTTAATTATTATACCAGGAAGCCCATGCAGTCATTCAAAAAATTATTTTGTCCCCTTAAATAAAATCATTGCAGTCATTTGAGTTTTATGCCTTTTTAGCATTCAAAAATTTATTTTATGATAGGAACATTATTTGAAAGTTTAAATTCATTGCTATTTCTATCTCCTATGCCTACTTCAAAAAGGTTTTGGATTAGGTTTTATAAATTAAGTCCATTAGAATTTCAGAAAATGTGTTAAATGTAGAGACTTTATCTTTTCTTTCATTAGCAGCTCTGGGTCTGTAGGCACGGCACCATGATATGATAACTACCACCATGTTTAGGCCAGGACTGAAATTTGAGGTTTGCTATCTGTCTATCATCTCTCTCTCTCTCTTTCCCTACGTACCTACCTACCATCTATCTTTGGTCTATCAATCAACTGTCTACTTTTAATATCAAGCAAAAACAATAATGGTCAAGTTTTCAGAACACCAAGTATATAGTTAGAAGAAAAAATGTCCTTTGAACAATGTCACAACCAGTAAAATTGAATATGTCACTGTGTATGCTTTAGTTTTCCACATTAATCTGAAAGAAGCTGATATTTGCCCAGTATCAATCCCTTAGGAAGATCAAGCAATTCCTTCGATAGCATCTGAAATGTTCTGAACACCTCAGCACAAGATGTTCTACAAACACAATGTATTATTATAATCATTGTCTCTATCTATTCTGCACCTAGTAGAGCATACTATTTGCCATCCATCTCATACTGATGTTGTAGGGATTAATGAGATATTATCTATAAGGTACTTAAAGCTCCTTGGAATCAGCAGGTTATGTAAATACAAGGGAATTTGATTATTTTTAACCCAATGTGTTATGTTGCCTCCTAATTGTCCCTTTTCACCCAGAATAGATGCAAATGATTGATCAAATTCACCCTGAGAGAAATAGCAATATAAGATTAAGTTGCTTTGGAAACTGGAATGTATGTGTGTGTGTGTGTGTGTGTGTATTTGAAATGTCATTTGAATTCACTATCTTAGATGAACATGTTTCCATTCTGAGCTATTTTGGTTATACTTAAAGGGATGTGATTATAACTCTCAGATCTTGATCTATGAAGCTAAATGTTTTGTACCACATCTCTATTAGAAAAAAAAAAGTTATAAAGTGAGACATGAAGTCATTTTAGTAGCCTTTGACAAGATTACATGTAATAGCTTTTAGTCAAGATTTTACTAAATCTATAGACACTTTAGAAATAAAAGCCTGAATTGATGTTTCATAAAACCTCATAAATTTTTCCCTTTCTTTTAAAATAAAATTTCTCTTTTTGAAAGAAATTTAATATTCCTCAAACAAAAAACCTACATTTTAAATGAGAAACAGGATGTGGGGAGTATTTGTATGAATCAGAAACAAATTAAATGGTATGTAATGAAGAATTAGAATTAATTCAAGTGCCTATGGTACTGTGCTTTGAAAAATACATATGAAGGATTCTGTGCAACAGACAAGAGCACTGCATCAGTTTCCAGTACCAGTGCGCTCTACTATCTACCCCTCTCTCTTGCTGTCTCATAATCCCTCTGTTTCGCCTTTTATCAATCCTTCCATCCATTGATCTACCCATCTATTCATCCAACCGTCTACTATTTATCCATTCACTTATTCCTCTGTCCATCCATCCATCCATTCTTCCATACATCAATCTGTAAATCTATTCACTCATCTATCATTTATCCACCCATCCATCCATCCATCCATCCATCTGTTCATCCATTCATCCACCTACCCATCAGTATTAGGCAAGGTTCTCTAGAGAAACAGAACCAATAAGAGAGAGAGAGAGAGACAGAGACAGAGACAGAGAGAGATATTAATTTATTATGAGGAATTTATTCACATGATTATAGAGGCTGAGAAGTCTCATGACCTGTCCTCTGCAAGCTGGAGACCTAGGAAAGCTGGTGGTGTTGTTTCAGTCAGAATCTGTAGGCCTGAGAACCAGGAGAGCTGATGGTGTAAATCCCAGTTCAAGGGCAGGAGAAATGGATGTCCCAACTCAGGCAGTCAGGCAGAAAGAACACAAATCCGTCCTTCTTCAGTTTTTTGTTCTATTCAGGTTCTCAATGAATTGGATGATGACCACCTATATTGAGAAGGTCACCAATTAAAATGCTGATCTCAACCAGAAACACCCTCACAGACACACCCAGAAATGATGTTTAATCTGGGCACTCTGTAGCACAGTCTATTGACACACGAAATTAACCGTCACATCATCCACCCATTTATCTATGTATTTCTCTATCTTTAATATATTTTTTATCTATCTATAAATGTTTTCATGCAAATAAAAGCCAGCTGCAGGGCTATTAAGTTTTGTGGACAGGGTGCCTGTGTAACAGCACCACTACTTACTAGCAGGACAACTTCCATAAATTACTCTGTGTACCTCAGTCTCTTTACCTGTAAAAAGGGAATAACCATAGCTCAGCTCATATGGTTGTTGTGAAGGTAAAAAAAAAAAAAAAAAAACTACATGTAAAGCTTCTAAAACAGGGTTTAGCACAGAATAAGCACTCAATGATGTTATCTATTAATAGTAGTGATCATTATTCCCTCCCTAATTCCTTTTAATCTTGCTTTCTTTGTTATTTCATTATAACTCTTATTATTTCCTCCTTCATTCATTCAAAAATATTTATTGAGTAAATACTTGGCATTTATTAATTGAACATTGTATTTTTCTACTGGGTATCTTGAATTTGAATCCAGATGACCTTTTAAATTAATCTAACTATATTGCATTTATTTTTGTTGCTTTGAAGAGGCCACCTATATTAATCCTATTTCTCATCTCTAAAATAGGAATAAGACTGTTTTTCCTGCCTGCCTCACAATTGTGAGGGTCCAACACTATAAAATATATGAGATATTTTGTAAATTATAAAACTCAGTGGAAACATGTGTCTTGTGATTATTTACACACTTCTTGCTTCCACCTTTACTCCATAGGGATGGATTTGCTCAGTTTTACTATCTACTTATGGTGGATGCCTAGCGAATCATCTCCAGTTGCCTATCTGGAAATTGTCATTGGTACCCCCATGTATAGTCTACATTTATATCATTTTCCCTATACGCTAAACTTAATTTCCAAATTCAAAGAACATTCGATTTGCTATCATTGAACTTCCAGTTTCTTTAAGTTGAAAAATCCTGGAGTCAATTCAATGCCACAAAAAAATTGAAAACATCATTCTCCTACTTGAATGACTTCCATAATTCACAGTCACCTACCAATACTTCACGTTGACAGTCAAAGCTTATTATACTATGGATTGTGCTTTAATGTTATAGTCTTAGTTACCAGTACTGCTCTATATGCCCTCTGCATTCCAAGAAGCTGGACAACTTGCATAAGCATGCCTGTGCTTTCTCCTTTCATGAGTTAACTTATTCTTATCCCATTGATACTAAATTCTTTATTAGTTAACAGACAAACTAAGTGAAAAAAAAAGTACTTTAGAAAATATATCACAGAACATATACAGTTAAGAGATTATTTCTAAAAGTTTCTTTTAACTGTCACCTACCTATATGAAACCATTTTTCATCCTCTGCAACATGGTATGCTCTCTTTTCTTCAAAACTCTATGGTACTTTTCTATTTTTTTTAATTTAAGAATTTATTTTACTTTGCAACATAGTTATGTGTACATGTTTTGATATAACTATTGTTCATCAGAGCCGTGTCCTCTCATTTTTGTGGTAAGAATCATAGCATCATATTCACAGTAAGACCTCAATGTAGATATACTTTGGAGACATTGCACATTCAGTTCCAGACCATTGCAATAAAGTGAATATTGCAATAAAGTGAGTCACACATTTTTGGTTTCCTAGTACATATAAAACTTATGTTTACATGATACTTTATGAAGTGTACACAAGCAATATATGTACCTCAATTTAAAAATATTTTATTGCTAAAAGATGCTAATAATCATCTGAGCCTTCAGCTAGTTGTAATCTTTCTGTTGGTGGAAAATCTTGCCACCTCGATGTTGATGGCTGCTGACTGTGGCGGTGGTTTCTAAAGTTTGGAGTTGCTGTGGCAATTTCTTAAAATAAGACAACAATGAAGTTTGCCACATCACTTGACTCTTTTCTTCCATAGAAAATCTTCTACAGAAAACAGCATGTGATGCTGTTTGATAGCATCTTATCCATAGAACCTCTTTCAAAATTGGAGTCAATACTCTCAACCCTGCCACTCCTTTATTAACTTAATTTATGCAATATTCTAAAATCATTTGTTATCGTCTTAACAATGTTCATAGCATCTTCATTAGGAGGTGTATATTCCATCTTAAGACACTGCTACCTCCTCCCATGAATCGTGAATGTTCTTAATGGAATATAAAATGGTAAATCCTCTCCAGATGGTTTTCAGTTTACTTTGCCGACATCCATCAGAGGAATTACTCCCTATGGCAGCTATAGCCTTACAAAATGTATTTCTTAATCAATAAAACTTGAAAGTTGAAATCACTCCTCGATCCAATGGCTGAAGAATGATGTTGTGTTAGCAGGCATGAATATGACATTAATCTCCTTGTACATCTCCATCAGAGCTCTTGGTCAGTTACATTGTTAATGAGTAGTAATGTTTTGAAAGGAATCTTTTCTTCTAAACAGTAGATCTCAAAAGTGGGCATAAAATTTTCAGTAAATCATTGTGTAAACCGATGTGTTGTCATCTAGACTTAGTTGTTCCCTTTAGAAAGCATAGGCAAAGTAGATTTAGCATCATTCTTAAGGACCTTAGGATTTTTGAAATGGTAAGTGAGCACTGGCTTCAAATTAAAGTCACCAACCACATTATCCCCTAACTAGTCAGCCTGTCCTTTGAAATTTAGAAACCAGGCATTGACTTCTCTCTAGCTATGAAAGTTCGAGATGGCATCTTCTTCCAATATAAGGCTGTTTTGCCTACACTGAAAATCTGTTGTTAAGTGTAGCCACCTTCATCAGTGATCTTAGCTAGATCTTCTGGGGATAACTTGCTGCATCTTTTACATCAACACTTGCTGCTTCACATTGTATTTTTATGTTATAAAGATGACTTCTCTCCTTCAACCTCATGAAACAACCTTTGTTGGCTTCCCATTTTTTTCTTGCAACTTCCTTGCCCCTTTCAGCCTTTATAGAACTGAAGATATTGAGAACCTTGCCCTAGATTGGGCTTCAACTTAAGAGGATGTTGTGGCTTGCTTTATTGTCTATTCAGACCACTAAAAGGTTCTCCATATGGCAATCAGGCTGTTTTGCTTTTTCTGTGCATTTACTGGAGTAGCACTTTCAATTGTTTTTCAAGACCTTTTCCTTTGCATTCACAACTTGGCTAACTGTTTGGCACAAGAGGCCTAGCTTTTGGCCTGTCTTAGCTTTTGACATGCTTTCCTTACTAAGTTTAATCACTCTAGATTTTGATTTAAAGTGAGAGATGTGACACTCTTCCTTTCCCTTGAACACTTAGAGGCCATTGTAGGGCTAGTAATTGGCCTAATTTTAATATTATTGTGTCTCAGGGAATAGGGAGGCCCAAGGAGGAGGAGATAAATGAGGAAATGGCTGGTCGGCAGATCAGTCAGAACACACACACTTATTAAGTTTGCCATCTTGTACGGACAAGGTTTGTGACATTCCAAAACAATTATAATAGTAAAATCGAAGGTTGTTGGTCACAGACATAACAATAATGACAAAGTCTGAAATATCATGAGAATTAACGAAGTGTGACACACAGACACAAGGTGAGCACGTTGTTGGAAAAATGGTGCTGATGGACTTGCCCAACACAGTGTTGCCACAAACTTTCAATTCAATTTAATTGTAAAAAGCACAATGTCTGAGAAGTGCAGTGAAGTGAAGCACAATAAAATGAGGTATGCCCGCAGGTACTTCTTAAGTGAAGTTGGGCTGCGTGGGGATATCTCGGTATAATAATTAGGGAAGCAAATGAATAGGTTGTATTTTCTTGGGGATTACATAGTCCAGAAGAGAGTTTCAGCTATTCTCTCTTTGTCCATACCAAGCAATGTACACTGTACATTTTTTCAGTGTAAGCCCTTCATAGCTAATATTGTAGCAGTTTTTTTTCTTTTTTTTTCATGCCTTGATAACTGTGAATGTTTCCAGTTTTGAGACCTCTTATCAATATTCACAAAGCCTGCTATCCTTAGTTTGATCCAATTCAGTCAGAAGACCTTGGATAAAGTTCTGCCTGATTCTACTACTTACTCACTTGTGGCTTTAGGTAGCATCCACATCCACATCTGTTTCTTTATCTATAAACTAGGAGTAATTCTTGCCCTGCCTAACACTGAAACTTGTGTTCATGTATGCCAATACACATAAAAGCACTCTCATTTAAACCCCTCAGCTGATCTACCACCTTCTCATAGCAATTATTTCTTTGTCAGATGCTCAGCTGTAATTAAACCAGTGTGTAGGCTAACTTATACAATCTTTGCTCTGCTGACATTTACAGAATACTGGCTGTATGTGAGCCTTGACCATCTGTGATTTGCTGTCTTTTAAATGAGGGACCTGGAGTTGTATAAGATAAGACCCATGGCCTACGGGAACTCACATAAAGTAAGAGAGACAGACATATCAACAAGTTTAATAAATGTGATAAGTATTTTAGGGAAGTTTATATAGAGTGCTGTGGTGAACAATACAGGGAATTAGAAAAGTTTTTAAAATGAAGATGTTGAACTGGATCTTTGCCACGGCATCCTGCTCTTCTAGATTTTCCTCCACTTTTCCTCCATTAAATCACTTGCATCATATACTACAAATTTCAGCTTTCTCCCAAATCTTCTCAGATTACTGTATCTTCATGTTTTCTAGTGTTTTGTACTCAAATTTTTATTACATTGCATTTCCTTCTAAAGTGGTAGAGTGGGAGTGTTTTTTAGTTATTGAATAGTATAAATCTTATTAGCAGAGACAAAATACTAAATTTATTTTCTACTCTTCCCTCTTACTATTTGGGAAAATAACTGGCATCCTCTGTTGGACCTTTAAATGATGATGCTCTGTCTTCTTTCTGGACTCCCTCTCTCTTTCTCTCTACCCTTACCTGCCAATACTGTGATAATTATCCTTAAATGTATATCTTCAGCCAAGATCTATCTTCTGAGTTACTGATGCTCCTGACTTTACACCTCACCCTGGATGTTTGAAGTCTGCATAAATGACACGGCTCCGATGAGTGAAGGAACACCAGGGTCCGTAGTCTTGTGTCGAATTGGGTACAATGACATGGGCACATGTGGAGTGTTTTTAAGGAGCAGAGAGTTTAATAGGTGAGAAAGAAGGAAGAAGCGCCCCATATAGAGACAGAGGGAGGGGGCTCTAAACCCTAGAGATGAAACCTGGTGTTCAGAAGAAAAGTGGCTGCTTATATGAGGAGGCTGGAGGAGATGGTGTCTGATTGCATAGGGCTCAGGGGATTGGTTGACCAGGAATGTCATTCACGTAGCCCACGACAAAACTGGCCCTCCCACCCTAGCTTTTTAATATGCAAATGCAGGGCGCCATGATGTTCTACACAGGTGGGATATGTGGGGGAAGCCATGTTGCCAGGCACGTGCATGGGCAAGGAAGAAGAAGGCTGGAATCGCCATGTTTGGGTGGAGCCAGTTTCTAATGGCTTGTATTTGCATATCAAAGGTTGCCTGCCCTGCTCTAAGAGCTGGGGCTTTCCTGCTAGACAAGAAACGTTTCTGGGGCTGCTTTAAAAACAACAAAAACGTCCCAAGGACTCCTTTTCCTTTTTATCTGCCTAAAATAATTTCTTAATAACTCCTATAACATTACAAACTGGGTAAAACTAAAAAGAAACATATGTCCTCCCACCACTGTGTGCCCCAGCATGCCCTGGCCAGGAATCTGCTCTCCCTTAAGGTGCTACTTACCAGTAAATGCACGTGATTGCTCCAGAGAGGAGCCTGGGAGACCCCTCTCCTCTCCCGCTCATCCCCTATTTCCAAATACTGACTGTGTCCTATTAAATATATTCTGTTTGCCTCTATTAATCTTATCAACTGCTCTTACTCAAAGCAGTTGATAATGACATCTGTTTAGTTCTCAGACTTGCAAATCAAAACTTAACTATTATATCTGTGTAGTTTTCCTCCTCTGCAGGGAGTCATCAAAGCATTAGAATCAGGTGATCGTATACTTGATAGGCTTACAGGGTGTCAGCAATGGATTTGAGATATACCTAATGGCTATAATCATCTCACTGGCCCGCCAAACTGAAGCAATTAAATATATATGTAAATTTTCCCCCCATATAATCAGTTTTTTACGTGTGTGTTATAACATTGAAAAATTAAAGTCTTAGGTGAAGCATTTTCTGCAGTAATGAAATTTTTCTATTGTAAATGATACATGTCTCTACTTTCTTAAATGAAACATCCTGAACATAATAATTCAATATTTCCTTGAAGAGTCAAAATTGACATTTTGGATATCAGTTATTTTATTATTGTACAATTTTTTTTTTTTTTTTTTGAGATGGAATCTCGCTCTGTTGCCCAGGCTGGAGTGCAGTGGTGTGATCTCGGCTCACTGCAAGCTCCACCTGCTGGGATCATGCCATTCTCCTGCCTCAGCCTCTGGAGTAGCTGGGATTACAGGCACCCACCACCAAGCCCGGCTAATTTTTTGTATTTTTAGTAGAGACGGGGTTTCACTGTGTTAGCCAGGATGGTCTCGATCTCCTGACCTCGTGATCCACCAGTCTCGGCCTCCCAAAGTGCTGGGATTACAGGCATGAGCTACCGCGCCTGGCCTATTGTACAATATGTTGATGCCTTCTGTTTAGTTGTGTAGGCCTATTGCCTGTTCACTAAATGATCATATACACCTATAACTTTAAAGTTTGTGCTTTTATTTTTATCGTTTTTATATCGGACTCAATGTGTCTTTGTAAAATTACATGTTCCTAAAGAGGTGGATCTATCAAGTTTTCTTTACACAGCTCTTAGCACAGAGCTTGCCTAAGTAAGTTAGGGGATTACTTTTAAAGGTAAAAGTATTTGAAGCCATTAAGTTTTATTTATATATTTATTTATTATTTTATTTTATTTTTTGAGATGGAATTTCACTCTGTCACCCAGGCTGGAGTGCAGTGTGGCTCAATCTCAGCTCACTACAACCTCTGCCTCTGGGGCTCCAGGGATTCTCCTGCCTCAGCCTCCTATCTGGGATTACAGGTGCCCACCACCATGCCAGGCTAAGTTTTGTATTTTTAGTAGAGACAGGGTTTCACCATGTTGCCCAGGCTGGTCTGGAAATCCTGACCTCAAGTGATCTGCCCACCTCAGCCTCCCAAAGTGCTGGGATTACAGGCGTGAGCCCCCACACACAACCTAAGCTATGAAGATTTTTTTAAAATTCCATTTTGCGGGAAAAGGAAAATGCTGATCAAGCTAATATAAGTTAATAACTTCATAATTTATCTTTTTTTGTGTATGGAGTTAGATCTTGGGAAATATTTTTTAATCCATAGCATATTTGTACCAATAAAAAAAAGATCTGCAAGGAATAACTTTCCCAATTATAGATAATTTGAAGAATCCTCTTCTACTGATAAGAAAACTGATTTTATGTAGGTTTAAATATATCTGGATGCCACTGCTTTCTCTTCCCATTCCCTTTTCACATACTGTCCTTAACATTTGTCATGGAGAAACAGGTGCATGTTAAAGAGCCCGTTCAAACTGAACACATACACATTTTGCTCCAGGGCAAAGGGGAAAAACAAACACTTATTTCACTGGAAGCAGGATGGCTTGCTGGGATTTCATCCCCTTAGTGCATTGTTGCCCTTCATTTTCTAAAGATAAATACACCAGTGTCCATTGGGTTGGCTTCACGTCTCCAGTTGGCACCTAAACTAACATAATTTCCCTTCTTCATCTTCTTTGTCATCAAGCTACTGAAACCACCATTGCAAATTATAACTGAGACAGTCAAAGAGATCTGATCTAACCAACTCCATCTTGCTTCTGTTTTATTTTATTTATTTATTCTTTTTAGACAGAGTCTCGCTCTGTCGCCCGGGCTGGAGTGCAGTGGCTCAATCTCGGCTCACTGCAACCTCCGCCTCCCAGGTTCCAGCGATTCTCTTGCCTCAGCCTACTGAGTAGCTGGGATTACAGGCACGTGACACCACGCCCAGCTAATTTGTGTATTATTAGTAGAGGGGGGTTTCACCATGTTGGCCAGGCTGGTCTTGAACTCCTGACCTCAGGTGATCCACCCGCCTTGGCCTCCCAAAGTGTTGGGATTACAGGTGTGAGCCACTGCACCCGGCCATCTTGCTTATAACCTCCAAACTGTTCTTGTTCATTCCTTGGCATAGGGTGAATTAACTTTGGGAGGAACTCAGTTTATAGTTTAAAAAAAAGATAGCCCTTTGCCAAAACAAGCCTTGCCTTGAGACTAGAGTGCCTTTGTAAGATTAACAAATTATCCACAACATTAGAAATTATGGTTTAGGAGTCATGTAGCTGGAGGCTACAAGATTCTGACCCTCCTGAAACTGCTCCTAAGATCAGTGCTTGAGATGTTTTGCAGACACTGCACTTGATGGATCAGCTGGCACTGCCCAGACTGATAAACTGGCTCATCAGATCTTGTAGCTCCCACCCAGGAACTGACTCAGCACAAGAAGACCGCTTCAGCTCTCTATGATTTCATCTCTGACCTGACCAATCAGCATACCAGGCTCACTGGCTTCCCCCTACACACCAAGTTGTCCTTAAAAGCTCTGATCCCCAAATGCTTGGGTAATAATTCAAGTAATAATAAAATAATTACTCAAATAATTTGAATAATCAAATAATTATTAATTAAATAAGTAATAATAAAATAATTACTCAAATAATTCGAGTAATAATAAAATAATTACTCAAATAATTCGAGTAATAATAAAATAATTACTCAAATAATTCGAGTAATCAAATAATTACTCAAATAATTTGAATAATAATCAAATAATTATTAATTAAATAAGCAATAATAAAATAATCACTCAAATAATTCGAGTAATAATAAAATAATCACTCAAATAATTCAAGTAATAATAAAACAATTACTCAAATAATTCGAGTAATAATAAAACTTTGGTCTCCCACACAGTCAGCTCTGTGTGAATTATTCTTTCTCTATTGCAATTCCCCTATCTTGAGAAATTACCTCTGCCTAGGCAGCAGGCAAGGTGAACCCACTGGGCAGTTACACTACATGTGAATTAGGATGTGGCGGCCCTGGAAATGGTCTTGCCCCAAGCTTAATAAAGGTGCGTCTCCTTAAGGGTGCACTAATTCTAAATATATCAGTAGGATTGCTGCTTACTGGCCATCTTTCTTGGAACAACCCTAGAAAAAGGGTAGCAGGTTCTCTATATCATGGAGATAAAATTTTCCTGGCTACAGCCACAGCAAGAAAAGCTACAACCCAGTGTAGACTCAGCTTGCTCATCATGTCTTGGTCATCGGATATTCAATCTAAGAGACTTACGTCGGTAAAATAGACAGAGCCACCAGCCAACACATTATACTCCCCATCAGCAGCAGGGGCAAGCTCTGACAGACTGGAAAAAAAATTCAAGCCTCATTTGTCAGGCTCCTTTTACTTCTGACATCCTTTTCCTTCTTCCCACCCCCATCAAACCCATTTCATCTTAGATTTCATTTTTAAAATATGGTTACGACATGAGTGGTTGCAGCAAAAATAACAGGGATTTGAACAAAGAAAACTGACAAAAAGTACCCTGGGACAAGTTTGCCTGAAATATAAATTGTTTTTATGCGCACAGACCAGCTTTCTTGCTGGTCTCGAGCTGTCACTTTGGGTTATTTTTATTGTAGTCACTGAGGATGTTAGCTCAAAAGCAAGCAGCTAAGAATGAATGAAGCAGGGAAGGAGAGTGGCAGTGAAAGTCCCTGGATAGCTCAGAGCCAGCCACACACACAGGGGAGTATTTCCCCAGCTCCCCTAGACCCACACACATGCCTGCTTGCATACACACATGTATAAACATGCCCCACATCCCTACATGGTATATGCGTTCCAAAGTCTCATTTTTCTTTCCTCAAATGTATGAGATAAAGGATCAAAGCCAGAAATTTTCTGAGTTCTCAGCTGTGAACAAAGAGAGAAATCAAAATCTTTTTTCTCTCTGCAAGCTTACTTTGAGTTAAAAGAGATGGATGATGTTCAGCTCTTCACCTAAGTATCATGAACTCTCCTCTTCTGAATTTTCCTCCTCTACCTATTGGTCATCATTAGTGTGCTTTACCATTGACTGCAGGGCAGAGTGGTGCCAAACCTACTCCATTAATCAAGCAACAGATGGAGACTTAAAGCCTATGAAACTGGAAAGCTGGAATTCTTTCTTTCTATCCCCTGAGATTTATGAACAGTACCCAGAGACCAGAGTTATTGAGAGATGATCGTGTACTAATAAGCTTTAGAAATGGTGGCTCTTCCTGTGTGTTTGTGTGTAGTTTGATGTGTTTAAACAGCTGAGCAGAAAACTGACTCTGTATTTTCCAAAGTACTTTGCAAAACATATCTTAAATATAAGCTTTGTTTAACATACCAGTGGTATTCTAATACCAGTGCCTAGTGAACACTCTTCATTCCCTGATGTGCTTTTGAATCTAACTTAGTGCTATAGCTGGGAGTGCCTGTTTAATATTTATGGAGACTCACAATGTGTTAAGTACCAAATGGGGCTGATAAGAGTAAATGTTCAAGGATGACTTCATTTTGTTTAATTCCCAGGAAGCAGGAGTGAAATGTATGCGTCACTGGTTAGGAACATGTCTCAGCAGACATTATTCTATAAGGACATTTGACTGAGGCTAACCAAAGGCTGATAGTAGTCATAGCATCCACCAAAATCAGGTATCCCCATTTCTTTATAAAGGCATAGATCTTAAGTGTACAGCTCTGTGGCTTTTACATGCATATATGCACCTGAGTAACCACACCCAGTGAAGACCGGGAGAGTATTTATCACCATATAAGTTGTCTTATGCCCTTTTCCTGCCACTTCCTCCCACTTCCCATACCTAAACCCTTTCTCAGTTCTATAACTATAGATTTGCTTTGTTGATTTATGAACTTCATATAAATAGAATCAATCAGTATATGGTTATGTGTGTCTGCTTTCATTCACTCAATATGTTTTTAACAACAACAACAAATAATAACATGGGAATTCCTTTATTCCTTTGACCTGCTTCCTATGGGTTCTACTTTTTTTTTTCTTTTTTAGAGACAGGGTTTTACTCTGTCACTCAGGCTGGGGTGCAGTGGTATGAACATAGCTCGCTGCAGGCTCAAACTCCTGGGCTCAAGCGATCCTCCTGCGTCAGCCTTCTGAGTAGCTGGGACTGCAGAAGTTCCACTTTTGTCTCTTATATTGTTTCTGCGTGATCCACGGATTCTCTTCTTTGTCCATGCAGTTTTATGTTCCTACACCCTTCCGCATGCTATATTTCATTTCTTTATTGTTATTTGTAGAAAATATTCGATTTCATGGTCTGCAGTTGCTCCAAGTTGCACTTTATGGCGTCTTGATCAGTTCTTGCATATAGTTGAAATACTGAAGCATCCTCCATCAGCTTTTGATTGCCAGCTCTCAGATACCTAGGGAATGTCTTCATTTCTCGTGGTCCCTTGCCCTGAGGTCGCTCTGTTTCCTGAAAAAAGAATAGGTAGAATTACGTAGATCACATTGTGTCTGCCTAAGGGAAACTACTTCCAAGTTAAGTACTACTTCCATAGTTGAGTGCCACCTAAAAAGTATGTCTACTCCTGTGCAAAAGTCATTTTTAAAAAAATTATATTCTCTCAGTGTGTTGAAATCCACATCCTTCCCATCATTTTTACCTTTGACTTTGCTGTCAGGCCTATTTTGGTGGGTAAACATGCTTGGATGACTTTGTAAGATTTTTGGATAAGCTACAACTGTGCTGAAGAAGTGGGGTGGTAACTAGGTCTTTTGGTGGGTGAGCTGACACTTTGCAATTCACATCAACATCCATCAGATTCTGTGCTCACAGCAACATGCCTCTGTGCAGAATTCAGTTGTGCACCGAGTCTGAAAAGTCGTACCAACTGATACTCCCTGGGGAACCTTCCGATCTGCTTTATGGATATCATGCAAACTTGCTCTCAGGCCTTTGAAATCATCCTGAATTCTAGAACTATCTTTTCTCCACTGCACTAAGAGAAAGGTGCCTTAAGGCTCATGGACTCGTATCACACTATGAATCACCGCTTTGGTGGCCAGTCAAGTAGCAACATCTAAAATGATCCTTGCATACATCTCGGAAGGATAGTCAAGACTCACGTTTATTCAGATGCTCAGTACTTGCACAGGAAATTTTATCTCGCATTTTCTTGACTTTATAAGTATTTCCATGCACATCCTTGTTTATGCTACTTGGATTTAGCCTGGGCTGAACTGTCAAAAGCAATTCAACAAGAAGACCAGCACTCTATCTTTAGCATGAAGAAGTAACAATTGTTAAGCTTTAAAGATAATTTAATGTGCTAAGAGGAAGCAAAGGCAATGGTGTTTGCAATACAAATTCAGTGTAAACATGGTTTTTCATTCCCACCTCTTGGGATAAAGTGGTAGAGATGCTAGAAAACCTGAAGCATGCTTATAGGGTAAATGTCATAACCTGTTCAAAAGCCTTTCAAGAAATACAGAGTGTGATCCCCAGCTTTGGGAAACTCTGGTATCTAAACAGAGTCTCTGATTCTTTTTGTTCTTCCTTTATTTTCTCAGTAACCTCTATCCCTCCCTCCTCCCTCCCTCCCTCTGCCTCTCCCTCCTTCTCTCTCCCTTTCACTCTTCCTCCCTCCTCCTCTCTGCTGCTTTCTTTCTTTTCCTTTCTTCTTCACTTTATTTCTTTCATTATTTGGGTGTACCTAGTGTGTACCAAGTATCTTTCCAGCCTTTGTCAATGATCACATTGTCATTGGTCATAAGACAAAGATCCAGTCCTCATGGAACCTGCTTTTCCCTCTCTTTTCCTTCTTCTGCTTTTTCTCTCTTTCTGATTGATTTCATGCCATGCCATTGAACTAAAACTAGAGTAGCTAGTAGTAGAGATAGAGAAGCTATCTTTCTTGATGTTTACATTTCAAAAAGCTGTTTCCCAGGTCTTTGAGAAAGACATTCTGACAAGAGACTGGGAGAAGATTTCAGAGACAGAGAAAGAATTTGCAATTATACGTTTCCTAAAGTAAATTATATAAGAAAAGAAGGGTCAGGGTCCTATAGTCAGGAAGAAACCTGTCTAAAATTTATTCAAGGTGAAGGACTATTAAGGCTGTATTGGTCAATAGTCATCCATTTAATTTGAGTTCTTGATCTGCTTCCTTAAATGCCTGTTGGTTTCGTGAGGAAGGAATATATCTTTAGTTTCTCCTTTCCCTGGGAGTGGTTGTGCTTTCCTCTCTGCTTACCATCCTCCTGCCCTTCTCGCTTAGTGCACCTTCAGTTTCCCTTAGGAACGCACTCTACATCCTGCCAAGCTCATCTCAAAGGGTCCATGGATTTATCAGTTCATCCCTCACCTGACTTTCTTTGTCAAATAATGTGAAGCAGCCCAATCTCATGACTTCCAGCCTTTAGAGAGTCTGAATTTAGCTTATAGTTTCCTAGAAAACAAAGACCATGTTGTGATTGAGCGCTGATTTGAATAGATAAATGGGTTGGTGAGCCTCCCTTTGCCCCAGCAAAGAAGCACTCATTCCCTGACTCAGTGACAAGTCAGCTGACAATGAGAAATGAAGATAATGGGGATATGTGCCTGTCTAAACAATAGACGGCAGAGCAGTCTGTTCCTAGGCATTCTTTGAAATCTGAATATTCAGTGTGTGCATATGTTAAATGTCAAGTATAATTCACTCAAAATTTCAGCTCCAAAGAAAACAAAAAAGCAAGCGTTGGAATCTACAGGAAACAATGGGGAAGGTAACTTATTGAGGTAAGGAGACTCTGGAAGACTTGAAGTTTGAGGAAAGTAAAAGTGTTAAATGTATAAACAAAGACAAGGCAAGTTCCTATAAACATAAACCAAACTGAGAACAACGTCTAAAGAACCTGTAGAAAAGGATCTTGCAGTGGCCAAGGATCGAAGCCTGTGCAGAAATAAAGTTTAGTTCAACTGAATAGGTCTCAGACCCAGAGATCCTTGTGACCTTCATCATAGAGGAAGCTGTAAATCTGTAGTGTTTTGTGATTCTAAGGAGGAGTTACTTGCCTAATCATGAGGAGAAAAAAAGGAAAAACAATTGACAGAAGCTCATGGAGGAAGTCTACTAACAAAAACTTTAGCTCGTACTGAGGGAAGGGAAGCAGAAAAAGTACGCTTGCAGCACTAGACTCCATTTATCTTATTTAGCAGGAACCTTGAGTTCTCAGGTAGGAGTTCAATGGCTGGGTTAATGGGAGGAACAAATTGTTGATTTATAGTGCATGTGCTTTGCAAAAATAGAATAACTGTTGACCTGTTGTCTTAGTGAGTTCAGGCTGTTTTAACAAAATAGCCATAGGCTGGGTGGCTTAACCCACAGAAATTTATTTCTCACAAGTCTTAGAGGCTGAGAAGTCAGAGATCAAGGCACCAACATGGTCAGTTTTTGGTGAGGGCACTCTTTGTGGCTTTAGATGGCCAGCCACATTCTCAGTGTGTCCTCATATGAGGGAGAGAGAGCAAACTCTAGTTTTTTCTTCTCCTTACATGAACATTAATCCCATCGTGGCGGCCCCAACCTCATGAGCTCATCCGAAATGAATTCCTTTCCAAAGGCACCACTTCCAAATCACATTGAGGGGAGAGCTTCAACACAGGTCTTTTGGAAAGACACACACATTCAGTCCATACCACCTGTTAAAGTAAGCACAATAGGCTAATCTATTGAATTAGGTGGCCGGGGCCCAGGCATTCTCTTGCTGTCAGGAATAAATGGTGGTGGAAACAGTCATTCTTTAATGACGCTTCTTTCTTGTTCATCATGGGTGGGGAGAGGGTTGGGGGTTGCTCAGTTCAGGTCATCACATCTGCTCACATTATGTTGAAACCCTTTTTGCCTTTGATGATGTGTTTCTCGGATATCCCTGTGTAGTTTCTTGACTTTTCAGTGACTCTTAATTATAAAAACAGTGTATCGGCCCAGCACAGTGGCTCACATCTGTAATCCCAGCATTTTGGGAGGCTGAGGTGGGCGGATCACCTCAGGTTGGGAGTTCGAAACCAGGCTGGCCAACATGGCGAAACCCCGTCTCTACTGAAAATACAAAAATTAGCCAGGCATGGTGGTGGGCGCCTGTAATCCCAGCTACTTGAGAGGCTGAGGCATGAGAATCACTTGAACCTGGGAGGCAAAGGTTGCAATGAGCCAAGATTGCGCCACTGCACTCCAACCTGGCGACAGAGTGAACTACGTCTCAAAAAAAAAAAGGTAAAAATAAATAAATAAATACAGTGTATCTTGGCCATGAATATTTACATCCATTCCTTTAAAAACTTTAAACTCAAAGCTTTTGTCCTTTCTCTGCAGAGGTCAGATTTGTGGATCTTGCTGACAGCTGTTGGAAGGTGGTAATGTGGAATTCTCTTCTCTGTCACAGCCATTTGATTGGGATGAAGAGGAGAGAAAAACAAAAATAAATGTATTTGTGCCTCAATACAGTGAGTGCCTGTTCTCTTCTGGGCTGGCTACATTTGCTCTGCCTCTGTGTGATCAGCCCTACTTCGCTGGTGATGAGATGTTTGTCCCCTCTCTCCTGGGTGGGGTTTACTTTTCTAACACTGAGAGGCCAAGCCCTTGCTCCTGGGGTCTTATATTATTCAGCTCTCTTGGGAGCTACTTTTGAGGACTTTGAGCCTCTCTGCCTTTTCTAGGTTTTTTTTTTTTAATCTAAATTAAGCACTCTCTTAGCATTTGCTCTCTACTCTCCATCTTCCCAGACCCTGCCCTCACTCCCTGATGCATCTAGATTGGAGCATGTGCTCTGCCGGTTCTGTGACTCACAATTTTCAGGCAAGAAACAAATGATCTGTTGCTGACACAGTGGGAATAGTTTGGGCACCCGTTCATCTACAAGGAGAGGGAGAAATACTCCTATTTGGTGTTCCATAAACTCTAATATTCACTCAAAATACAAACTCTTGGAATCACCCCAAGACTCTGTAATAGGACCCAGTGGTGGATATTCAGAGGGCTGGAGCAGCAGGACTGTAACAGCTGCTTTGCTAAAACGGCACCTTCAGGAACTGTTGTGAAGATTATGGAATGAGGGATGTTTTGCAACCATACCTCCTTTTATTCTCACCTGTGGTCTCTGGTTGACAATTAATGGAAAATATATCTTATAATATATGGAAAGTATATATTTGTATATATTTTTAAATAATATATGTATATATTTTATAATATATACTATATATGTATATATTTTTATAATGTGTATATATATGAGAATGTGGAAAGTATACATATGTGTATATATAATATACAGAAATATATTTACTATTTTTACTTTAAAGGCAATCTATGCTTCCATGATTATAGCTGGTATATGTAGGGGCTAGAGTGTAAGAATTTTATATTGATAGAAGCATTGTTGCTGTAAATACAAGCTACTATTTTGCTGGTTTAAAGTATTAGTTTCTACACACTCCGTGATGTATTTTTGACAACTTAGACAAATTTCACAGTGAACTTTGAGGACTCTAGATACGAGTGTTTCATGTTTTTCTGTGAGGCATTGATTGATGGCTCCTAAAAATAGAATACTAAGGAGAGGAGATGTCAGAAGTCATCCAGACTAGTCCCCTGCTTTTAAGTGCTTAAATTGAGACTGATTGCAGTCTAAACTTCTCCTTCTTCTTTAAAATCCCTCTATAATGGAGCCCCCACAATCTTCTTTGGTGTTGGTTCACTCGAGCATTTTTTTCTAATATCTAATTCAAATCTTTCCTCCTGTGGTGCAAACTTACTTTTTATTTTTATTTTATTTATTTATTTGCAGTTTTAGCTCACAGTCTATTGCTGCAGCTCTTTGACTTTTCCTTTATATTTGATATCAGTGGGGGATAAAAGTAAACATCTGAATTCCCCTCTGACCTAATATTGTGCCCAGAGGCCTCAGGCAGCTTCTAAACCCTGTGGAAACTCAGGGAGAATGGCAGAGGGCTGGAAGGCCGACGGCTCCCTCGTCCCTCCAGAGCCATGGAAGGAAAAAGGGAAAATTGCATGGGAGGGGAGGAAAAGGGAATAGAAAGAGGCAGAAGGGCACACAAGGAGAAAGCAATGGAGTACGTGAAGTCTGAAGACCCTGTGAAGAGGCTGTCCTGCAGTAAGACCAGCATTTCTTCCCCTTTAGGTAGAAAGTGCTGCCTGGGACCGAAACTACCTGAAACTTCCACAGCACCTCGCTGCCCACACCCCTTCCTAACTCATTGAGTGATATATCCTAATCATCCTTTCCCAAAGAAGAGATACTAGTCGTAGGCAGCCCGTCTGCTGGCCTTTTTCACAGGTAGTGTTACGGACAATGCATGTTTAATGTATGGAGAGCAGAGAGAGAAAAGAATGGGACCTATTGGAGACTGTAGTGGAGAAGCAGGCTGAGTATATGAAGGGGAGGTATGGGGTGAAAGATTAAAATAGGGTTTGAAAGGACAACATCTTTGATATGTGAATATGAGTAAAGAGAACTTATAACTTACAGATCAAATTATTTTTTGGTAGCCTTACCTAGTTTTGGTGATTTAAAAAAGGGTCATTAATATTCTTCTATTGAGTTAATAGAAAGTTTTAACATTGTATTTTTAATATCTTAATACAACTACCTACTTTCTCTCTGGCAAGCTAAGATGCATTTATGTCAGCCCAACATGGAAATGTGATTACATTTGCTTCAAAAAAACCAAAAAAAAACCAAAAAACTCACATGGCTGAATAGTGCTCCATCGTTCTTTTCTTTCCTTTTTTTCTACTTCTCTTTCTTGTGCGTGTGTGTGTGTGTGTGTGTTTCATTCTGCCAATGTTATTTCCTTAATAGAAGGAAAGCTGAATATTAAGAAGAAATGACCATTTCTTCACCATTTAATAGTTTAGAATCATGTATACCTAATGAAAGAACTAAGCTAGATTACTTTCCCTAAAATTGTAACTTTATACCCCAAGTTCTTTTTTTTTTGTATTAAAGATAAAAGAGGCTAGAGCAAGGAACCCCTAGTGTATTAAACTTTTATTATTTCCAGACAAGGCAAAATTACAACTCTGATTTCTATTGCACTAGGGAGAATTTAAGACCTCTATACCTACATTTTTAAAAGGTTAGGAAGAACTGTACACAGCTGACATTTCAGTGTATGATCAAAGTGTTCCTCAATCTTAAATATATATTTTAAATGTGTTAGACACACCATCACCTGCTCACTGTAGCATATAAACTTTCCCACATACCACCTGACATTTCCTGACCGAGTGATTTCATTGTTCAGTGTGTCCTACTTTCTGCTTGTCAAGCTACTCTATTTAGCATGATGTCTGTCTAAGAAGGACCTATTTCACACTGGTAACAGATTATATCTGTGCTTCTCTTTCAGATTCCCTATCATTTTTAGATATTTTAAGTGATTATCATCACCCTTTCTTTGGTGGCCTAAAAGGGGGGCAAGAATCCAATTTTTGCAACATCCTAAGTTTAGCACAACAAATGGCAATATTTTCTGCCATATTGTACCTGGTCTGACAGTGTATTTGAAAATTCTGGGAATTAACTGTGATGTGCAATAACTAGTGGTGCTTTTGTTTCCAAATCAAGTTGTCAAAATCAGCAAGGAGTATCTAAGAGACAGGAAAAAATGCTGTAAGGAAGGAGATCACAAGGTCGTGTGTGTTTTTAAAAATCTATGTAGCCCGGATGATTTTGGGTAAATGCACTAATAATCTCTTTGTGAATTTAAGATATCAAAACAATATGATGGGCTGAGACTGCTGGAGACTTAGATGCATAGAAATCCCACAATTCTTATGGAGTAAGTATCATTTTATATACAGACTTCTTTCTTTTGGTGAAATAATTTTAAAAAATTGTGAAATAATGTAGGCACAAATGTCTTAGGTATTGTTTCTTTTCCAGGGTGAGGTTATTTTGCTTAAATTGCACATGAATTGTTGAACATTATTTCAATGATTTCTATTCTATTTTATGGTAAGTCAAATGATACCTTTTTTTTTTTTTCTTAACTTGTGACAGATAGGCAGCTCAATTGAGGAAGCACCACTAAGAAGAGTGTACTGTTTGTTGGAAAGAATCACTGAGGAAAATAGTGGAAAATCGAGAACCCTAGAGAGGGGCCCATGTGTCATGTGCAGCCACTACTGAGCTCTAAGAAGCCTAGCTTCTCTTTGCTTTCTTCTTTCTCCCTCACCTGGAAGCCCAATGTTCAGTTTAGGAAAAGGGAAATTTACTTCAGCAAACATTTACTAAGGGGCTGCCCTGTAAAAACACAGTTATAGTTTTTATGTGGCTAAGAGACAGTTTACTGAGCTGCAGGCATTATCTACAGAGCCTAAAATCTAGGATATTCCTTATATTTTACATATGCATGTGCAGACATATGCTCATGGGTTATATGCAAACAACCACACATTTGTACTAAAGCATTAAATAAGGTTAATAAAAGAAGAACACACATTCATTTTGCTTTGAAAACGGTCCTAGGTTTATCCTGCTTCTTGTTCCCTGTTTCTAGCAGTGGATTGTGGAATACAAAGACTGGCATCTAATTGTGGGTACAGGAAGCACAAATCCCTCCAAGTGAGTCAATAAAAATGATGATGAGAGGGCCCCCCTCATAATTTTTCTCCTTGTTCGTTGATCCTCTATATTTTAACTTTTGAGGGATATGGAGTCAGTATAATATGGTTTATTTAATCTATACTATGTCTTAAACTGTAGCATCTCAACCCCTCAGGGTATTAACTCTTGAGCTGAGCTGTGAGAGGCCATTCCAATGTTTTTAGAGACCAGCAGCTTCGGCATAATACAGTGTGTATTAGTCCATTCTCACGCTGCTATAAGGACATACCCGAGACTGGGTAATTTATAACGGAAAGAGGTTTAATGGACTCACAGTTCCACATGGCTGGGGATGCCTCACAATCATGGCAGGAGGCAAAGGAGGGGCAAAGGCACATCTTACCTGGTGGCAGGCAAGAGAGCTTGTGCAGGGGAATTGCCCTTTATAAAACCATCGGATCTTGTGAGACTTATTCACTATCATGAGAATAGCACGGGAAGGACCTACCCATGATTCCGTTACCACCCACCAGGTTCCTCCCACAACACGTGGGGATTATGGGAGCTACAATTCAAGATGAGATTTGGGTGGGGACAAAGCCAAACCATATTACAGTGCATAAGAAAACTAAAGGATCACATGTTCATGTGGCCATTATCACTTCTTTGGTATAAAGTGGGCTCTTGGTCTTAGGGTATAATTTGCAGTATCTGATATCAAGAAATCACATAGTTTTTGAGCCCTTGCAGAGACACTGCAGACTTTGGGGGGGCGGGAGGAAAAAAAACCCTAGCAAGAATGCATCAGCATCCCCCTCCAGGGTGGAAGGGGCTCTTGTAATCAATTTGCTACCAAGTGGCTGATTGGTCTCCTTGAGGACTCAAAATTAGTCTCTGCTGATTACAGGTCATATATTCATCAGTGGCAGAGGCTTCGGAGACAGACAGCTCATCTCCATCAAGCCATACATAGCCTCCACACTGCCCCTGTGACGATTCCATCCCTGGGTCCTGGAGTGACTGAGGATAGAGGTCAGCTGATGTCACTGGATGGATAACTTTGTGTTTTCTGATTGTTCAGTTTTCATTTGTGGCAAGTGTTCTCTGGACATTGATGTGAGACCTTAAGATCTACACACTTTGCACCAAACCCCGTGGGTCCATTCAATGGCCTCTTCCACAGGCATCCTTGTCCTTGCTCTTACAATATGCCTCCTTTGATGATGCCTCTCACTTTCCAAAATGTTTGCTTTTGGCCAGGAGTTTGTATATATCCTTACCTCAGACCATTTCTTCCTCTATCCAAAGTTGATGCTAAGAGTACTCCTCCAGACTCTGCCCACAGGGCCGGTTTCCCCTCGCCAGTGTGGTTCAGAGTTACCAGTGGACTTGTAGTTTCACAACTCTCCACTATTGGTCTGATACAGTATTTCAAGCTCACCCTTCTGTGAATAAGGTTCAGAGTGCTTTTCCTCTTTCTATCAGATAGCTGTAGGACACTCTCCCCTCCCCCACCTTCCTGTTGTTTTTTTTTTTTTTTTTTCCACCTGAGGCCATTGAAGTAAACTAAGAGAAAAATGTCAGTTTAAAAGAAGTAGATAATATTTGATTTGGGACACTGGTTTAATGTTTGTACTCTGTGAACCTGCATGGCCCAAATTTAGAAATTTCTATTGTCTGTGACATACTGGTACACCTGCTTTGTCTTGTGATTCTGTGGCTACAACAGGTCCTATCTCATGACAAGCATGTCCTAGTGTACAGTCTCGTAGTGCCCCATGTTTCCATCTGAGTCTGTCAGAACCTGGTGGCACATGCTATGGAGACATTTGTGCATAGTGAATAGTTCCGTGCTGCAGAAGGCGTGGGCTTGCCCTGGAACCCTGGAGTTCTACATTACAACTTTTGTTGTGGGTCTTGACAAAAAACCCCACCTAGTGTCCTTGTCTATCATAGATTCTTCTTGAACCATTGACTCTGCCACATCCCGTAACTCATGCTGGAGGGCCACATGTGGCCATGCTGGTGCCACAGTATGAACCTATTAGGAATCCTTTCTTGGTCTGGATCCTGCTCAAAATTTGCAGCCTTCTGAGTCCTCCAACACATGAGTCAGAGCTCTGTGCCTAAGTAATGTATCTTGTCTTCAAAATCTAAAGATAGTTACCAAGCAATGTGACTCTTAACGGTAATAGGTATACTGTAATTAATTTCCCTTATCCTTGGACATGCCCCCAATCACTGAACCCCTAAAATTCTCATTAATGTAGCAGGCCCAGGATTCTTTAAAGGTCTGTCTTTTATCCTCTGGTGTATCTTCTAGCAAACACAGAGACCCAGAGAGTTTGCTCA
Source organism: Homo sapiens (assembly GCF_000001405.40). Classification (NCBI taxonomy): domain Eukaryota; kingdom Metazoa; phylum Chordata; class Mammalia; order Primates; family Hominidae; genus Homo; species Homo sapiens. The sequence goes on from NC_000018.10 coordinate 64,192,250, forward strand.
CTTTGCTTCATTAACATGATGTCAACAATGCAGTGAACTGCACTGCAAGATACAGAGGCAGTCAAGCTCACTTTACACTGTGTTGTGATAGAGGGCAGAATACACACCAACTATTTTAGCTGAGAGTTTACCCTAAGGGCTTGGTTAAATAAGTAATGCGAACCTGAAAAAGCAAAGGGGAATATGGAATTAACACAGAGTGAATAACTGTAGAATGTGTTACCTCCCGCCTGGCAGAGGGGAAAATGAAAGAAGTGGGAGTTTTAAAACCTACCTGAGAGGTAAGACCCAGACATCTGAAACGGAGTGTTTGCCAGATGGTGCTGGTGTCTCAGGAGCTTGGAGGGGCTCCCACAATGCTGAACTCAGGTCTCTGAGGAGGGTGCTGATGGGCCATGCCTGGTGTCTCTGAGGCTGCTTCTGAGAATGTGGGAAAAAAAACCTGAACATGGGCCAACTGTGCTTCTGGCACAAACCACCGTGGCTACAGTAATTCTGGAAGAACAGTGAGCAAACTGGAAGAAGCAATGCCCCTTCTTCCTACTCTAGCCTTTCAGTCCGTCTTTGTGCCACCTGTTGGGAACCAATGGCAAAGGAGAAATGGGGTTGGAGAATTCCCAATCAAAGCATCAAAAAGCAAAGTGCAGAAGGAAGGGTTCAGAGCCCAGGAGTAATAACTCAATAACTAGCACATCTCACAAAATAGTAAATAAAAGATGAGGCCAAATAAATCTGTCCAATTCTCACAAATCCAGATTCAACTCCCTTGGATCCTTTATAAGCTGAATTTATATAAGTGCCTTCTAGCTTCTGAAATAGGTGAGTGCCTCAATGCGTTCATTCATTCATTCTTTCTTTCTAAAACAGTGATTATTATTATTACTATTATTATTTTGAGACTGAGTCTTGCTCTATTGTCCAGGCTAGAGTGCAGTGATGTGACCTTGGCTCACTGCAACCTCTGCCTCCTGGGTTCAAGCAATTGTCATGCTTCAGCCTCCCGAGTAGCTGGGATTACAGGTGCCTGCCACCACACCCAGCTAATTTTTGTATTTGTAGTAGAGACGGGGTTTCACCATGTCGGCCAGGCTGGTCTTGAACTCCTGACGTCAAATGATCTGCCTGCCTCACCTCCCAAAGTGCTGGGATTACAGGCATGAGCCACTGTGCCCGGCTTCTAAAACAGTTATTGCAGGTCTGTTGCATGCCACACCCTCTGGCTGGTTGCTTTGTCTTCAAGACTGTTTCACACACATATTTCCTTCAGTCCAACTGGAGCGGTCAGAAAGTAGGAGAAAAGGGCAAGGAAAATAATGATGTAGGCCAAGGAAAAGAGTTTCAGTGAGGAAAAGCATGTTGAACAGTTCCAAATGTGGGGCTGGGCACGGTGACTCATGCCAGTAATCCCCACACCTTGGCAGGCTGAGGTGGGAGGATCCCTTAAGGCCAGGAGTTTGAAACCAGCCTGGGCAACATAGCAAGACCCTGTCTCCACAAAAAATTTTAAAATGAGCCAGGTATGGTGGTGTGTGCCTGCAGTCCCAACTACTTGGGAGGCTGAAGCAGGAAGATCTCTTGAGCCCAGGAGTTTGAATCAGCAATGAGTTATGATTTTTTCACTGTATTCCTGACTGGATGACAGAGTAAGACCCTGTCTCTTAAAAAAAAGAAAAGTCAATAACAAATGAGATGAGTTAAATGAATAAAACCATAATCTCTAAAATGACATATCTGTTTCCAGTTAGAGAAGAAAAGAGCAATTTACCATTGTCAAGGTTATAAGACATTTTGAGTTGATAGTTTCTAATAGAAGAAGGCAAATAATTTTTTAAACAGATATAGTTTGCATAAGAAATAACAACATTGTTTGGAGAAAGAATCAGATAAATTCTAATGGGGAGTCTACTAAAATATGCTGTTCATCGGTGCAGAAAAAAATGCAAAACAGCATGTAAATACAGTTGAAAAAGTGAGTGCCTACAGTTTGCTGCTAATTTAGTCATTCTGGGATGCCTAAGAGGCCCTGCTTTGCTTACATGGTGTTTTCTTTCCTCTGCTTTGTTTGACTTATTGTTAATTGTTTTATTTATTTTTACAATTATCTTAATTAAAACATCTTTTATTTACCGTTCCTCCTCGGATCAAGGCAGAGTGTAATTATAAAAACAAACAGTTAAGTATGTGTGGCATAGTGAAGACTAAGATCATGGTGAGAAGCCAGGACTGATTCCACTGATGTGGGAATAGTAGCCTGGAGGAGCCTGGAAGGCCTGATTAATTCAGAACAAACATAGGGCACCCAGGGACACCTCACATTGAGGAAGGCCCTGAAGGCTGGGTTTTATTTTAGATAAAACAGATTCACACTCTGCGGCTTCTCCACAGTTGATTGGAAGACATCTTCTTGTGCAGGCCTCTGTCCAGGGACCACTTTGCTAGCCATCCTTGTTGCAAAACATCTGCCAGGGAGCATGGGGTGCCCTCCTTGAGAACATGGTCTTCCCTTAGTGCAAATAAAAGAAGCATAGAAATAAGCCATTATTTTAGACTGATTCATCAACACTGGGATTACTGGGGACTTTGCACTGCTTATTCTGATGCAATTGATAACCTGTTAAAACACAATGAGCGGTGGACTTGCTACCATTTAATGTCCTGAAATAGTCTATGCCTTTCTGAATCTGATTTGTACCAGACCGTAAATGGAATGAGGCAATGAAAGTTCTGATGCTCTATATTGAGATGGAGTTTAATGTAAAGCTTTCTTATAGCCTCCTGTTGATTTGAAACCTAGGCATTTCCTTCAATGAACTGCATCTTTTTAATGTTGCTAAGAGAAATGTCAAGTTCAATATCACAAAGTAATGAATTCTTTGCTTATCGTGATAGCTTTTAATAGGAACTATGTACCAAAGTGTAAAATCCTTCATGTTGACATGCATTTTAATAGCAGTACATAATTGTTTTAAGACCATTAAGGAATGAATATGGTGGAAAGCCAATTTTCTTTGTAGTAGTTTTACAGATAGGCAGTTATAAAAGTGGATTTCATGAAAAAGGATGTTTGCACAGAGAACTTAAATCATATCATATATGTGTAGAAAACTTAGGAGACAAGAAAAATACAAGCCAAACCATTCAGGAATCACTAGCTCTGCCCTTCAATAAATTCAGAAGTTGCATCGTTTTAAGCCTAGAATTTTAAACTAACACTTTAATGAGCATTAAGCCTAGCCTTTAATTTAAACAATGTCCTATTATGACCATGTTAGTTAACTTTCCTGAGAAGGCACTGCTTCCTGAAATTCAGACCTGGCCTCCCCTTCAACAGCACACATTGGCTCTGATGCCAGGTGGGAACTCCCCGGACTTCAGAGATTTAAATTATATGGAGTGAGAGGCCAGGTCCACGTTTGTGACAGCCCCAAGTCACCCCAACAGCTTTTGCAAATTCTTGAGAAGCTACTTTCTTAGGAACATCTCTGTTGCCACATCTTGAGACTGAACATACTATTTATGTTTTTTCCATGTCCCCAGAAGGTGACAGCCTCGTCACTGGTTTCCGCACCTCTGCTAAAAACTATCTTATCCCGAGCATTTATGGGTTTTATGCTTCCCTGAGGATTAGTGGGATTCACATCATTTATGTTTTTGACTTTTCCCTCTCCATCTTCCATCTTTAACTCCCTTTCTCTATCTCCTTCCACTTCTTTCCAAAAGAAAGAAAGAAAAGAAAGAATGAAAGGTAAAGAAAAGAAAGAAAGCTGGGGTAGGGGGAGAGAGAGAAAGAAAGAAAGGAAAGAAAGAGAAAGAAGGAAAGGAAGGAAGGAAAGAAGGAAGGAAGGAAGGAAAGGAAGGAAAGAAGGAAGGAAGGAAGGAAGGAAGATAGAAGAAAAGAAAAGAAAAGAAAAAAAGATAGTTATGATTATGCCACTGCCCTCCAGCCTGGGCAACAGAGCGAAACTGTCTCTTAAAAAAAAAAAAAAAAGACAAAAACAAATAAGATGAGTTAAATGAATAAATAAGAAAGAAAGGAAAGAAAGAAAAGAAAGGAATTAAGAAATTCCCCTTTTATGCAGGATTATCTGAGTCCTTCTCCAAAAATGTGTTGACAGAGCGTGCATCTCAGCAGTTTTTTCAAGATCTCCCCCAACTAAGGCGTTCCTCTCACTGTAAGAAGTCACTCACCTGCTACTGAGAGACCGACTTTCTCCATTTCTTTACATTTCAAAAGTTTTTACAAATATGATTTCAGGCAGAGTAAAACACTATTCATTTCTTCACCTACCTCTGGGAATGTTTGGACAACAAATTGACGGCCTCAGTGTAGAACCCTCATTCGGTAGCACAGAGAGAGAGATCTATGGATACACACGCCTTGTTGTCAAACTGGGGTTCTGCCCTGACTGAGGAAGTTGCCATCATTTCAGCAGATGGAGATTTGAGTGAATGACTTCACAATGAATGCAAAATACATAGCCCTCCTCGTCTTTGAAGTACAGCAGTGGTTACTGGGTGGAGAGGAGGCGGTAGGTAACGTGATGCTCTTTAGGTGGCTCCGTCATTAGGAGCACATTTTGGACCAGGCACGACATGGAAGCATCTCAGAGAGTAGCAGAATTGTGCTTATGACGCCAAATATTGCTGCATGATGTGGGCTTAATTTTAAATTCCTGTATCACTCCTACTCATTAGTGATAACTCTGGATAGTGTCTTCTTTCTCTCTACTAAAACACTGGGACACCCTTGCCATTCATTCTGCTATATGAAGATAGTGAATGTTTTTCTATTTATGTGTTACAGGTATAAATAAATAAATGTTTTTGTCCTACTTGGCTCTATCTATGTACCAGAAGTTTCAATATAAACAGGATTTGTAGTGTCTAAATTACTTATTGCTAAATTACCTAGAAAATTTCTAAATAAGTCATTCACACTATCAGTCTATTTTTACAAAATAACAAACTTCCACCAACAAACGATGCTGTGCCTTTGTGACTTGTTAGTTTGCTAATTTGGAGGATCTCACTGCCAGATCTTTTATTGTGTTATGAAAATGAGAAAACTTTCTGTAATCCCAGCACTTCGGGAAGCCCAGGCGGGCGGATCAGGAGGTCAGGAGATTGAGACCATCCTGGCTAACATGGTGAAACCCCGTCTCTACTGAAAATACAAAAAATTAGCCGGGCGTGGTGGCGGGCGCCTGTAGTCCCAGTTACTCGGGAGGCTGAGGCAGGAGAATGGCGTGAACCTGGGAGGAGGAGCTTGCAGTGAGCCGAGATCGCGCCACTGCACTCCAGCCTGGGCGACAGAGCGAGACTCCGTCTCAAAAAAAAAAAAAAAAGAGAAAACTTTCATAATGTATATGTTCAAGGATAATTTGGTTGAAATAATTTCTTTAAAAATGTTGTAAGGGCTGGGGGCCGTGGCCTGTTCCTGTTCTGATCCCAACACTTCCCAAGGCCAAAGTGGGAGGATCGCTTGAGCCCAGGAGTTTGAGACCAGCCTGAGCAACACAGCGAGACCTCGTCTCTACAGAAAAATAAAAAAAAATGAGTCTGGCATAGTGGCATGTGAACCCAGCTACTTGGGAGGCTGAGATTGGAAGACTGCTTGAATCCAGGAAGTTGAGGCTGTAGTGAGCTATGATCAGGCCACTGCACTCCAGCCTGGGCAACAGAGTGAGACCCTGTTGCAAAATAAATAAATAAAACAAAATAAAATAAAATAAATAATGATAAAAAATAAAATGTTGTAAGGTATGACCAATATAAATGATAACAACAGAAAACATTTGTGAAAAATGAACAATTTTGGTTTATCCAATATAGTACATAATTCACTGAACTGCTGATAATCGCTTGTTGAGTGGATACATTATTATTCTTTAACAAAACAATTGTACAATGGAAACTATTAATTAAGGCCATTTCTCCAAGCCCTTGAGTTGTGAATACTTATTTTTAAATTTTGGTAAAATTATCTATTTGTGATTTCTTTGTCAAAGAAACAATTCATATAAAGAGATAATTCATTTCACTGTAACAGTTTAGATATTTTTATAAAAGTTTAGGGACACTGGGCAGGGCGTGGTGTCTCATGCCTGTAATCCCAGCACTTTGGGAGGCTAAGGTAGGCAGATCACTTGAGGTCAGGAGTTCAAAAACAGCCTGGCCAAAATGGTGAAACCCTATCTCTACTAAAAATACAAAAATTAGCTGAGTGTGGTGGCATGTGGCTGTAATCCCAACTACTCAGGAGGCTGAGGCAGGAGAATTGCTTGAACCTGGGAGGTTGCAATGAGCTGAGATTGTGCCATTGCACTCCAGCCTGGGTGACAGAGCCAGACCCTCTCTCAATAAATAAATAAATAAATAACTTTAGGGACACTGTAGTCCACTTCAACAAAGGGTTATCCAAAACTTATTATGTATAAATACTGTGGAATTGGGAATAAAAACTCAAAGTTCTGGTTCTAGATCCTTGAGGAATTGCCACCCTGTCTTCTACAATGGTTGAACTAATTTACACTCCCACCAACAGTTTAAAAGCATTTGTATTTCTCCACATCCTCTCCAGCATCTGTTGTTTCCTGGCTTCTTAATGATCATCATTCTAACTGGTGTGAGGTGGTATCTCATTGTAGTTTTGATTTGTATTTCTCTAATGACCAGTGATGATCAGCTTTTTTTCATGTTTGTTGGCTGCATAAATATCTAGTTTTCAGAAGTGTCTATTCATATCCTTCACCCACTTTTTGATGGGTTGTTTGTTTTTTTCTTATAACTTTGTTTAAGTTCCTCTGGAAACCATCATTCTCAGCAAACTGATACAGGAACAGAAAACCAAACACTGCATGTTCTCACTAGTAAGTGGGAATTGATCAATGAGAACACATGGACACAGGGAGGGGAACATCACACAGTGGGGCTTGTTGGGGGGTGGTGGACTAGGGGAGGGATAGCATGTGGAGAAATACCTAATGTAGATGACGGGTTGATGGGTGCAGCAAACCATCATGGCACATGCATACCTATGTAACAAACCTGCACGATTCTGCCCATGTATCCCAAAACTTAAAGTATAATAACAAAAATTCAAAGTGCTGATAGGCTACTGAATAGGCAAACTGAATAGGCAAATGGGTCATGTCACCATTCATATGATGTATAATAATGAAGGCATGCTATAATAATAGCAAACATTCTTAGGTACTTACAGTGTCTCAGACCTTCTTTCTGAATCCTTAATCTGTATTTTTTTTCTTAGCTCATTTAAAACTCAGAAGAACCTCATGAGGTATATACTATTATTGTCCCTATTTTATAGATAAAGAAGATAAAGAAGGTGAGTGACCAAAATTAGCCAAAATCACACAGCTAGCCAGTGGCAGAACCAATACCTGAACCCAGAGTCTTAAGTCTCATCACACTCTGTAGCAACAACGGGAAATGGTTGATTCTGACTAGTAGCATAGGGGAGGAGGGAGGTTTCACAAGTGAGGAGTATTTGATCTATGCTTTGAAGAATGATGACAGTCTTATCCAATGATAAAGGGAGAAAGACTTTTTAAGGTTGTGCAGACCAGTATGAGCAAAAGCACAGATATGTAGAAGTGCCTGATGTATTCAAAGGAGAACTTACAGCTCCATGGTTGTGTGGTTGGAGACAGAAAAAAAGAGGGAAAGGGTTTTTGCAGTTTCAAGTGTTTCTGTCCAGACCAGAAATGATGTGATTTTTTAGTCTATGGATCATTTCAAGTTTAACATATTGGTATTTTTTCTTTCTTTGCATTTCCTTTATAAATACTCATATTTAGCAACATCAATCACATGCAACACATACAGTTTCCCCAAATTTTGCTCTTCTGTCATGTGAAATGATTGAATGCATGGGTATAAACAGATACGGATTGGTAGTATACATGATGAATTTTGCTAAATAAAGTATTATTTTTCTCTAGATGCATATGAGTAAGTTGAAAATACTAGCTTAGAAATGAGCGAACAGGGTAACATACAATGAAATAATTTGCATACTGGGTAAGCCCAGCGTCTTCACTTCATTAGTTTTTAATTAAGCCTCTGTCTGATTAAGTTATCCATCTCTTTTCTACAACCTTTTGCTTATAATTTTTTTCATTTGGTCCTTAGCAGCCTCCAAGAAGGGTGAAAAGCAGTATTGTTTGATTATCCCCTGATATCTTTCTTGTGCCTATCTTCTATTAAGTTTTGCCAAAAATATAATGTAAAAAATATCACAAATGCAATTCCATAAAATAAGTATAGGATGTGTAGAGGACATAGAATGTATAGAAACTGTGATGATAGTGACATGGACCCTTCTAGAGCACCCCAGGTTAAGACACATGCCCCAAGAATGAATGAGAAGCTTTTCTGGGCTTCTGAGCCTGACTCTAATTCTTCTTAAGGACAACCAAAGGAGAGCCTCAGGCTTCTCAACTAAAATGCCAAAAGATGATGGAGACCAGTCTCACAAGCAGAACGCCTGCCCAGGCCCCTGCCCCGGGCCAGGTATTTTGTAGAAGGGGCCTTTCTGGCTCTCTTCTTACTGTGCTCTTCCTGCAGGTCAAGGGGATATGCCTTCTCAGAACCTACTCCATTCTCCTCTGTTAGACACGGTCCAGACCTCCAAATTCTGGACGCAAAGTCTCCAAGCTGGTTTCCATAGCTTGCAGAGGCCTCTCCCCTGCCTGTCATTCAGAGAGCGGGCTGAACTGCTGTTTGCTTATCTTTTGTTCTGAGGAATAGCCAAAGGGTGGCTACTGTGGCAGCTACTAGATGGTGGTGGAAGAAGCTTGCAAGTTACAGTGCATTGTCCACTGGCCCATATACCTGGCCCCTCTTGGTTCAGGCCAGAGTTGACAGCGAGAAGAGAAGATGGAAGTTCTATGGATCCCAGGCTTTTGTTTGCACCCTTGTCCCAGGTGCAAATGTTAGGAATGAGCATGATCAAGACACTGAACCTGAAGAAGCTTAATTTAAGGAAACAATGACTGTGGAGCACCACACCTCACCTCATGTTTCTTCAGAAGTCGAATTTATTCTTTCACTTTTCTTTTACATTTCTTATTTATGGAACAAATATTTATTCAAAACCATTCTGTGAGCTTATGAGATGGCGTGGCAAAAAATATATATAAAAATATGAGATAGAGGAGGAACACTGCGAGGTTGTGGGCTCCTGGTAACCAGGGGAAGATGGGCTTTCAGAAGGACAAAGTGGTCAGCAGAGACATTGTCATGCAGTCTCAGAATATGCAGATTGAAGTGTCCTCAGTGGCTCAGAGGAGGGAAATGATTAGGTCTCTGGCAGGAGAGGTCCCAAGAAATGGCACAGGCAGAAATGAGGTTGGAGTGAATTAAAAAGTGAACAATGGTGAATGAGGGCCTGGAACTGGTGGGTAGAGTTTACTCTTCAGGATTTTTTCAGTGAAGGTTTACAGGAAGATACTGAAGTGGCTGGAATGGGAGTGGGATTAAGGCAGAAAGTTTTTAAAAGGGGGTATGTTTGACTTTGTTCAAAAGAAGCTGAGATCCCAAGGGTTTGGGGCACTGTAAAGTACACTGCATTGCTTATAACACTTGCATTTGTATGAGACTTGAGTCTTGTACAACAGGTTTTATTTCGATAATAAAATGTCTGCCTCCAGGTTTAGCAATAGGGCAATTTCTAGACAGCTAATCAATACGACTGTGCCCCTCCACCCTGCTCTCCTAATTATGTAATTATCCACAGAGCTATTCCAAGAACAACTAGGCTGAGCTCTTTTCTCTCCACATTTAGCTGGTAGAGTTCTATTCCCTAAGTAGACTTATTTGTTCCCTAAATTTTAATTTATTAACTGTTTCACCTGAAAGCAATCACCTTTGCAGTCAATTCCCTAAATAAAACATCTGCCTTTTCAATTCAGACAGCTATAAGTGAAGAAATACACCAGGGGAGGAGAATTATGTTCTCTTTTAGAAAGCAGAGATGTTTACAAAGACACGAATTCTGGCACCAGCTGCCTGGTTTGCATCATGAATGAGCTTGCATGGGTGCCATGAGAAAGTGAGGCCCGTTAGCCTGTTTCCTCCTGCTCGTCTGTGAAGAGTCTGCTTCGGCTCCTGTTTCTTAATCTTGCCTCTTGTATTGACCTTTTACAGAGGTTACTTGAGAACTGCAAGCTCTGAGGTCATTAGTTCTCACAGTGCTTTGTTTTTCTGTAGCATCTATTTGCATGCCATTTGTGGTTTCAACATGCTTTAAAATAATTTCTACGTTGAGGCCCTAAGGTGCCTTTCTTTGAGTTTGTTAGGGAGGCTTCAGAGACGGATGATATTCCTGCTAACTTTTCTGCAAACCTTGTTCTAAGTACAGAAGTCTGAGGGCAAAAGGTGGGTGGACACCTTACACTAGGTAATATTTTTATCTCTCCTAAGAAGTGTGCATGAGACAGACACTGAAGAAGATGAAAATGTACTATTAATGTACTGAGGGTGTTTTTCCTGAAAATTTGAGCCCTTCAGAGGTTTGGTTTTTAGCCATTGCTGGCAAACAAAGTGGTGGAGACCCTAAATAATAGAAACAATTCAGAGTTCTCTGGGTCCTGCCTGTTTCCAAACCTCTTCTGCTTACAGGAGCTCAGCCATGAGCACTATAGAGCTGTTTGTAATTATAATTCCTGAAAAAGGCACAAGTGCAGACCAGGTCTTGAGGCTTCCCCGGGCAGACTTCTTTCACTCTGCCACATGCATATCTGTACTTCGCTTGTCAGAGAAGCGAGCAGGAAACAAAATGAGCCCCTGAAAGGTTGTTCTCTTTCTTGTGACGGAAAAAAAAAAAGATTTCTGTGATGACGAGCCACCCAAGCAGCCCACACAGCATTGCGCAAGGCAAAGAAGAATGGAAATTTTTGTGGAGCAGAGGTGTTTCAGGAAGTACTGGGGAGAAGAGAATAGAAAAATTTATCTGTGCTAAGAAAGGTCTAGATGTGGCCCCTTATCCCGTTAAGCAATGATGGTTTGTAAATCAGCCCAGGACTTTGGAGGATAGAATTCCACAAGGTCACAGGATTCTTTTCACGGAATCAAAAACATTGGCTTTGGAGCATAACTCCACTTAACCCATGCAGAGCAAAAACAAAAAAGCTGCAATTTCATATACCAGAGGTTCCATGAAGTATATATTGGATGTGAAACAAAGCAGCTGGTTCTAGGTATAAAAGCAAAAGGAAGCGAAAAACCAGCGGACTGTGTGTTAATTTACTCTGGAACTGATTAACAACAGGTGCAGATGAAAATCATCACTACCTCCTACAATGTGTTTTATGACTGGAAATTACCAAAAGTTTCAAAATTTCCTTATGGTGGATGCTATGCTTGAGTAAAAAAGTTTTTTTAAAACTTTCATAACATTTTAAGTCTATACAAACAGAGTGTTTAAAGAGCTATGTTACAAAAAGAAAGAGAAATGCTGCAGTCAAATAACTTGGAACAAGGGTCTTTACTTCCTTCCATCAAATTCAGAAAACTCAACAGAGATTTGTAACTTGCGATAGACGACAGAACACAGTTCAACTTAATCGTATTTGTTGTCTTTACCTCACGTTGATTAGTCAGGGACTAGGCAAATTGTTTAGTTAGATAAATATTTGATATCTTTCAGCTTTCTCATCAGCACAGAGAAGGCAATTTACAAAGCATTTCCTGAATGAACCGAGTATATTATATCCCAGTTATTCTTTTATAGTTTCTTTTCAATTAAAGATAATTTTCTTCTTAAGAGGAGACCTATGTTTCTGATTTCTGATTTCCTCCCTCAAAGAGGTGGCTTACACTATTCTATTTCCATATTACCAATTCTGCCTACATCACATTCTTTTCAGAGCTCAGGGCTTGCTTCCTCAGGTGACAATTTCAGAATGCAGCACTATCCTTTTCATTATCTTTCACTTCCATTTCTGCATTAAGAAACAGTACATCTCAATATCCACTTAACGTAACTGGATTGCTTGTAACTCAAAGGATAAAGGGTTGAGTGAATGGATAACCCATTCTCCACGATGTGCTCATTTCACATTGTATGCCTATATCAAAACATCTCATGTACCCCATAAATATATATACCTATCATTTACCCACAAAAATTTAAACAAAACAAAACAAATATCCACTTAGAGTATAAGGAATTGGTTTACCTCTCTGAAGGAATTTTTAAAAAATATATATTCTTTTTGAGATGGAGTTTTGCTCTTTTTGCCTAGGCTGAAGTGCAGTGGCACGATTTCAGCTCACTGCAATCTCTGCCTCCCAGGTTCAAGCAATTCTCCTGCCTCAGCCTCCTGAGTAGCTGGGACTACAGGCACCCGCCACCACGTCCGGCTAATTGTTTGTGTTTTTAGTAGAGACAGGGTTTCATCATGTTGGCCAGGATGGTCTCGAACTCCTGACCGCAGGTGATCCACCTGCCTCAGCCTCCCAAAGTACTGGAATTACAGGTGTGAGCCACTGCACCCAGCCTCTCTGAGGAATTTTGGAGCACAAACTCAAAGACTGAGCCAAGCAGCATTAAAACATGGGGTACAGAAATTTGTCAGTAGCTTTCCAGAAAGTTTTAGTTACTTCACCACTTCCAATTTGCTTTTACCTTCCAGCAAGTCAGATTCCTTCTGCCTTAGCACTGTACTCTCTCCAACCTAGCACTCATAGTACTGAGCGAACATTACATGTTTAATTCCCATCGCCCCACCAGATTCCAGGTTACACAAAGGTACAGGGTCATTTTATTCTTGTTTATTTTGTTATTCACAGTGCCTCGCACATTTTGAAGTGCTTGATAATTTGCTGAATCACAATGAAGCAACTACTCTTCCCAAATTAAAGAAGGACTGTGTACATTTTCCATAGAGTATTAGACCCGGAAGTCTCTAAAAATCATCTTATTGAACTGTATGAAAGTCCTTGTCTGCTAATGCCCACACCTCCATCCTGTCTGGTTTGTTTTTTTGACTCTGTTGAGAGTTTCCCACCATTAACCCATCTCCTGTGTATCATCTTTTTTTGCTTCTTTGCTCATTTGTAATCTTTGATTGTCTGCTGCACACTGGAGCCTAGTCTGGATTTTGTTTCTTCTTTTAAAGAGTTTTGTTTTGCGCTCTGGCAGGTCCTTCATTTACGGCAGATCAGCTCAATTCTCCCAGGACTTGTCGTTAAACTTTGGGATGAGCCCAGGATTGTTTTGTTCTCAGAGGACTACTCCACTTAACAGCTTTGCGCATACCGCTTGCTAACACTGAATGCCTTCTTCATTTTCTTTTTTCAAAACTCAGGTTAAATTATATCTGTTCAATGGTGATCTGTTCCCTGATTATCAATAAAAAATGTAAATAAGGATGCCATGGGGTGTTGTAGAAGGACCATAGGATTTAGATACAAAGGATCTGAGTTTCACTCTTGACTCTACCAATTTCTCACTCAGAATTTTAATCGACTCAGTTATGAAATGGGCAGTGTGTACCTAATCTATTTCTCTCTTAAGATTTAAGTTAGACAATATTAAAATGCAATTTGCATTATAATAATTTATACTAAAATGAAGACTGCTCTGTAAACATTCTTAAGACCTTTTTTCTCTCTTGTATGTATTTTGAATATTCAACAATAATTCAGTCTCCTTGTGGGGAACGTTCAATCTCTCATTGCTTTTTCCTTCTGGAGGTACTGGAGTGTCTAGTACTTTAGAGTAGATAGCCAACAAATTCAATGAACTCACTCATGGGAAATGTCTGAGTTTTAAGTGAACAAATCTCTTCTTAATATTACAGTATCATTATTCTTTGTTATTCATGAAAAGAGTAGAGCACAAAAGCATAGAAAAATCAAATATTTTCTTAAGTGAGACTTGTTTTCTGTTTTTTGATACAATGTTCTGTTACAGAGACTCTGAAATATGAAATCTGGCGAATAATGGGGTTTACTAACTTAATAACATAACATTTTCATACCAGTAGCAGCTTCTGAGTAATCTTATGCTGTGTGTGTGTGTGTGTGTGTGTGTGTGTGTGTGTGTGTGTGTGTGTGTGTGACGAGGAAAAACCACGCCAGGCTAGAATAGAGAATCAATATTGACAAACTGAATTGATTTTGCATTTGACTTCCCACCACTTATTCCATATCTCACCCACTCAATCCATCTAGCTTACTTCTACATTTTGTACCCCAACCTCACCAGCACCTGTGCTTTGTTTCCTTGTGTAGGTCTCAATTATTTGCAGGCAAACATCATTTCCAAGTTGCAAGTTAAAAATCTTCCAGTAACCTAATTGTAACTGGCATAACATATACTCTTCTAGCTGATCTTAATAGTGCTAACGAAATATTAATGCATTTTTTTATTTACTCACAAATGTCATAAATACAATTAATAATTTTGTCTCTTTCAGATATGTATTTGAGGATAACTGGGGTTGATTTCTTGAGTCTGCTTGGTTCAGCAAGTTCGGATTGGCTCAGCTACTGGCCATATCCTCATTTTGTCCTGGTGGGTTAGGAGGGGGTTTTGCTCCCATGGCTCTGTGTCTGTTGAGTGGGGCTCAGGGTTATGCTGTCCCAGTAGCTCAGACCCTAACAGTAGCTGGCCTTAGACCAGCCCACCCACAGTTCAGTCCCTCTCCCACAGTGCCTTGGAGGCTGTATCTGGAGCAATCAAACACAGGAACAGGTTTAACAGCTCTAAGCCTTTTATTCCTGCTGACCCTGTAGGTCAAGCTCTCCTTACCCCACAGAGCCTATTCTCAGTACCTCTCACCCTCACACAACATTACACAAAGGTGTGGGACCCTGCCCACTAGAGACTCCCAGCCCCTCTCCTACCATCATGCTCTTTCATATGAGGTGAGGGCCACTTGGCATAGCCAGCAGGTAGGCTCTGGGGGCAGACCGCCTGCCTGTGAGGTCCCACTCTCGGCCCAACTGGCTGTGTGACCTTGGCCTGAGCCCCAGGTTCTTCATTTGTAATGTACTTATAATATTCCTTCTTATTTCAAAGGAAGGAATTCCTTTGATCTAAGATTTGATGAGTCTGTGCACATACAGTACCTAATACAGTTCCCGGCACACTCAGACCGTGGAATAAATCATAACTGTTTTATTTCTCTTTCCATATTACATGTAGTTATATTTCTCCATGGTCCAGCTTAGTGTGTTCCTGTAATCACTGCTGCTTCCACCTCACAGGCTGAAGTGAACGAGTGAAAACCAAGTCCAGGAGACCTTTTGGGAAACAAAAGCATTACGCTTGAACCGTGGGTGCCACATCTCAATGTTTATAGGCATGGACATAGACGTGGAGAAATAGGGATACAGATTTTTACATCACTTCGGTGAGGCCAGATGTGCACCCTGTCACTTGCAGACTTTTGGGCATGCACAGAATAAAAAGTGAATGTCCTTGCCACTTGAGCTATTTTAATTTGGGCATAGAAGCCTTTTCCTTTTTGGATGTTTTGTCCAGAAATGTCTATTTTCTCACTGGGTGAAGTATATAGTCTTGAAAGTTATTTTTCCAGAAGTGAGCTTAGATTTAGATTTATTCACAATTGTCCCTTCCCTAATTCACTTCATAGCTAAAGGCACAACACTGAGGCAGGCAGATGGTTGACAGACGAGGAGGTTTCTACCGTAAGCACCTTTTGCCTCTGCATTGAGATTTAACACCAAATTGCATGAGGTGGTGTTGTTCCTTTACGAACTATTCATAGTCAAATTATTTCACTACTTTCACTTTCAGTTTCCTTATCTCAAAATGGAATAAATAATGCTGCGGTAGATAGAATAATGCCCAACCCCAAAGATCTCCCCATTCTAATCCCTAGCACCTATGAGTATGTTACCTTATATGGAAAAAGAGGCTTTCCCGATGTAGTTAAATTGAGGATCTTGAGATAAGGAGATCAACCTGGTTTTGCTTGTGGAGCCCACTGTAATCACAAGGGTTTTTATAAAGAAAAGGAAAGACAGAAGAGTGGGAGTGGGAGGAGGAGATGGGATGACAGGAGCAGAGGTCTCAGGGATACAAGGAAGAGGCCATGAGCCCAGAAGTGCAGGCAGCTTCTAGAAGCCAGGAAAGGCAAGGAAACAGATTCTCCCCCAGAGCCTCCAGAAATGAACGTAGCCCAGTTGATACGGTGAATTGGGACTCCTGACCTCCATAGATATAACACATTTGTGTTGTGCACCACTGAGTTTGTGATAATGTTACAGTAGGTAGCTAGTCCTTTATGAGCGGGCAGGAAAGGGCACCACCCCCATCCCCCACCCCCACACACCGGGAGTGTCGGGCGACCATCAGGTGATGGTCAGGAGGTTGTTAACTGTCTCTCTAAAGTAATAATTAGTCACAGCTGGTACCAGGGAAAGGCCCGCCCCTAATAGATAGAAAACACCTGAAACAGGTGATCAGCCGCTTCTGGATAAGATCTCAGGTGTTGGGAGAAGTGACGCAAGACCCTGGAAGAAGGCCAACGTATAAAACCCCAAGTCAAAAGGTCAAGCTGTGCATTTGTCTTTCAAGTTTTCTGCTTTGCTGTCTTCCAAGTGCACCTTCCTTTCATTCCTGCTGTAAAACTTGCCTCAGTCTTTCCTGCCTGATACCCCTCAAGCAAATGCCTCCTTCTTCTGAGGAGGCAAGAATTGAGGTTGCTGCAGACCTGATATGGATTTTCCACCGCTAACATATTTTGGTGCTGTGTGACTCAGGTACGTTCAGCGGCTAACAATAATTTGTTACAATAATTTGTAGCAGTAACAGGAAGTTAATACCATAATGCCTAACTTGAAGTTTGTGGGGAAAATGAGAGGTAGTGTATGTTAAGCATGTAGTAGATGTTCCAGAATAGCATCATCATATTTCCTGTACACACCTGAGCCTGATAATAGAGCTCCCTGGTCTGAATGTAATAGGTACATTTCCAAAAGTAATAATAGCATTAACATGTGCATAGTATTTTATAGTTTATAAATAATGCTACTTCATGGGCATTACTGAATTAGAATATCATAAGCTTTCTGTGGAAATTATGTAAATTAGAACTGTAAAAATAAAATTATTAAATTCAGCATAGAAGTCTAATAAAATTCCCTATTGCACACACGGAGGAACCATGGATTTCAGAGATTTTGACCTCCTGCAGTCATGAAGTAAGTGCTGGAATCTGATCCCAGTGTTCTCAATTCAGGATTCTTTCCTCCCACTGTATTTTGTTGTAAGCCTCATGTTTCTGTTGTTCCTACTTGTGGCTAAAGACTGGCTGATAGCTTCCTTTTCATCTGTACCCCACTTTTTTTGAGACGGTAAAAATTCAAAGAAAAAGAAAATAGTTTCAATTTTCCTTTCTGCTCTCAACTTCATGCCTATATCCTAAACAAACAAAAGTTTCCCTAGTGTTTTCATTCTTTTCTTTCAGATTTTTTTTGACACCTTTCTAAACTTGAAAGTGCCATTCCTTCACTCTCAAGTATCACATACTTGCAGAACACAAAACAGCCAGGGTTAGAGAATTCTGACTTGTGTTCTGTTACTTCCCTGCTTATACACATTTATGGGACAATTCACTCAACCTCGCCAAGTTTAAGCTCCCCCTCTGAAAATCGAATGCATTGCTATATTACTCTGAAATGTTATTTTCAGAATAACAGCTTCAAATGGTTAGAAAGCTTTTAAAACATTCCTCTTCCATTTAAATGCATGCTTCAAACCAGGCTTCCAAATGTCCAGTGACTCAAAAACACCTTTAGGTAATATCCTCAAAGTAAATTCCAGCCATCGATTGACAGAAATGAACTCCTAGGGTGTTGAAATATACATCTACCCTTTATTGCCACATCCACTCAAGCACTTTACAATGTGAAGTCAAATCTGTTAGACTAGCCCTTTGGACATGTTTGTCTTGTTGGATTCAGGATGTATTCATTTCTGGCTGCCAAGGGTGTAGTTTGCTTCTCTTTAGGTTGCTCAGTTTGAACTGGCATCTGTTATGGATACTGTCTGACTAACGAAGCCTTTTTATTTTCTTAAAGCATGATGTGACCCAGGGAAGTACAGGGATGAAAAAAAAAGACAAAGACCAAGATTTCACACCAAAATAAAATTTTAGGCGAATGCATGATGTATTATTTTCATTAGAATTCAGGAACGTGAAGTGTAGATGCTGTGTTCTGTTAATCCTTAAATCAGGTTTTCTGTAGGTTCCATGCATGTAGCCCTGTTGAGCGTCCTGGCTGTGACTTACCAGCTCTGTCCCCTTTCACAGGGAAGACCAGAGGCTTCAGCTCTTTCATGAATTTCCCCTGAGGGATAAAGTGGCTAGTTATGCAGAATAAATTAAACAGCCTGGGAAATAAAAAAAAAGGCTATCACCACTGTGATGATTCCATTTAGTGTGGCAAATTTGATTTCAGAAGCGGCACAGAGGTGTGAAGTCAAAGGTTAATCTGCCACAGACTGAGTCCCTCTACGCAGCAAGTGATAGTTATTGGCTGGGCTTGTCAGAACACTAGGGAAGCACCTGCTGTCTAATGTCTTACCTCATGAACTCTATATTCCTAGACTTCTCAAATATTTAGGGTTCAGGTAGAAGACATCACCCTAAAGAGAAAAAGCCTAGTGAGTATTTGCAGACAGACAGTTGATTATATTAGTCCTAATTGGCAACTGCAAACACTCCTCTATTCTTTTAAATTATATAACATGTTCACATTTTATCCTCATAAAAGATACCTTGAGGTGATGGAATAACCCTGCTGTACAGACAAGGAAACTGAGAATTAGGAACTTTGGACAACTTTCCTGAGATCATTAAGATAAGTAGAAAAGGCTGATAACAGGTTTAGCCCTGACTCTTTTGCCCTGCTTGCTACCAAATAATATCATCATTAAACACGGAAAATAAAAGGTGCCCTGCAATATTTCTCTACCATAAAGAATAATACAATGAAATGTCAAGTTTATCCTTTACTCATGCATTTTCCTTACACATCACAGGTGAAACTAAAAAATAGATGAGACACAACAGTATCTTCCAGCCATTGACACAGGATTTAAACATATATATATTTGAGATAATTTGCAAGGTTTGGATTTAAATCCCTGAAGTGGGGCCTTTGCCTTGTTTACATTGTAATCCCAATTTAATAATAAGCCAATAGAACACCCACAGGTTCTTTCTGATCATAGGAGTGATAATAATTCATTTGATGATCTATACATTCTTGAAAAGCAACATTCAATTTTCCAGGGAAAGCCCAACTTGGGTTAAATGCCAGTTTGAGGGGAAAAAAAATCAGAATATATATTTTCAAATGTGACAATGCTTGTACCTCAAATGCAAGGTATTCTCTCATAGCAACTCAGGGTCCCTGGTGTGCACTAGTGAAGAGAATAGACTCAATTGGTCACACAGTCAGCTCAAGGAGGCATAAGACAATGATAAAGAAAAATATAAAGAACCTTATATGGAAATGTCGCAGAGGCCCCAACACTGAGATAACGAGGAGTCTGGGGAGAAAATATGCTAGCAAACTTAAAACCCAGAGTGCAGCCTTAGGCAATGTGTTTTGAGTGAGGGTGCAGATTCTCAAAAAGTAAAAGGCACTATGAAGTGAAGTTTCAGTCATATGCAAAATCACCTGTCTATATGATCTTTTAGTCATCCATGCATAAAGATAGTATTTGCTCTCAGTACCAGCACTTTGTCCCCAAACAAAGTTATGGGGGTGTGGAAGAGACAGTGAAGAATAAAATATGCCTCTGTCCTCACTTTGCCAGTGAGACCAACAAGCAAAATGATCAGCTATACTGTAACTTTATTGCTGTTTTAACAGAGGCAGAAAGTGTTGTTTATATCCAGAAAAGGGATAATTCTGATTGAGTTGAAAATGACTTATTAACAAGGTAATCTTTGACTTGAAATTTGAGGAAGAATATTATTTTGTAATAGGAAGAAAGAAAAGAAAGGTCATTCCAGAGAGAAAGTGGAATATTTGCAAATATTAGGAGGGTGGCAGGAAATAGCATGTTTGGGCTATATCCTATTTTGGGAGTTCATTGTCCATTTTAAGAATCTGATTAAAAACAGAGACCTCTCCCCAGAAAAATGCACTTATCTACTTCTGAATCAAAATGTAATATATAATTTAATGGGCATTATAGTATTAAGTGAGATTTACCAGTTCTATTGGAATAACATAGTACATATTAAATTAGTCTTCTAATAGTAGTCAGACTCTAGTACTGACTACCATCGGAAATGGACACAATTATTTTGCTCTTTTAAGTCCTCATTTCATCATATAAGACATGTTTACTGCACAATGGCCTTAGATTGAGAGGATACCTTTTAGTCAGAGATTATTTTTCAAATTCAGGGCAATGATTTTTTTCCTCTTCATCAGAGAATTTCTGGTTTTCTTTTTATTCTTCCCTGTTCACTTTGGGCTGTTTGCATTTGTAATATGTGCAAGTGCAGCATCTGTCTCCAAGTGACTTCCTGTGTTCACTATTCATTGAAGCAATGAAGCATTTGAAATGCAAGAACATTTCTCAAAACGTTGTTGCTAGTTAATAATTCTTCATGCTCGGAATATTGCATCTCTTGCACCTTGAGTCTATTAATCTTGAGACTAACACGAGTTACATGGTTCTCATTCTATGCCCTTAAAGAATACAACAGAAAGGAGGTGAGGAAAGAAGGGAATTCAGTCAAGAGTGTCTAATTGGAACCTTTCAGCAAACATTTTTTGGGGTGGTACTAAAGTCAAGAAATAAATAACTTTATTAAAATGATATTTTATTTATTGGATTAAAAACTTTGATATGTCAGACTCAGGAATATAGGTAATAGTCTGAAAAACCAATAAAAGATTATCATTCTAGTAGAAAAATAAAATTGGCCCAAAACCACATAGAAAGATATTTAACCTCAACAGTAGTTGAAAATAATAAAAAATAGTAAATGGAAATGCTATTTTTCACCTAACCGATTCTAAACATGAAAAGTGAAGGATGATAACTAGTACTTTTTAGGAAGGGTGAAACAGAGTATAAATGGGTATAAGTTTTTTGAAGGGCAAATTCGCAAATCATGTCAAAATTATAGGAAAAAATATATATTGACTTAGTAAGACCTCTTTTTAGAATTTATCCTCAGGAAGCATTATATACTTATAAAAATGTTTACACAAAAATATTCTTGTCAAAATTTTAACATATTGAAAATTGGAAACTAAGTTTCCTACAATATGTATTGATTTGCTAAATATGTTACATGGGTTTATACAGTAAAAGTTGCTACAACTATTTCACATGAAATATACATGTGTATTTACTGTCATAGAAAGGAATTTACAGTGTTAATTTTGAAATAGCAACTTGTTAACTGAAAAATATT
The DNA here is from genome assembly GCF_000001405.40 of Homo sapiens. Classification (NCBI taxonomy): domain Eukaryota; kingdom Metazoa; phylum Chordata; class Mammalia; order Primates; family Hominidae; genus Homo; species Homo sapiens. Next base: position 64,213,699 of record NC_000018.10, read on the forward strand.
TTCCTCAAAAATACGAATATAATCTATTTAAAAATTATGTTTTACAAGAAAATGTTTAGAAGTATATATAGCAGAATGTCAATAGTTATCATCTCTGGATGATAGGATTTTAGGTAACCTCGTATTTGCTCATCTACATATTTTCAGCTTTCTAAATGTGTATTTGTGTAATGAGAAACATGGAAAGTATATAACAGGACAACAAAAAAGATACATAGTTTATTTAATATTTTATTAGATAACCTGAGTATAGATACAATTTAACTGTGAATAATTCTAAGTTAATTTTTCTTCACTTGTCATTTGATATTCTTTGTCTTCCCCTGTATCTAAGAGAAATACTATAGTATATTAAGCAAAGTAAAGGAGCAGATGTGGATGAAAAGTCTGTAATAAATTCCATGTGCAGAAGCTATGGAGTACATCTACAATGGTGTGTTGGCCAATTCAGCACTCAATTAACAGAAAATTTGCAATCTGGTCTAAATAAGTGTCCAAATAAAATGGTAATATGCCTTACACTGCCTCATAACTAAAAATGAAATTTCTTAAAAATGATGAATAGAAGGAATCCTTTAAATTTCAACTTTTCTTTCAACTCTCAGTGGGGCCAGAAAATAATTTTAATAACAACACACAGCTAGTATTTCATATAGAAATGGAATCATGCCCTAATTCTGTCATGAAAGGATGCAATGCTTCTGTGGCCCTTTGTCTGGTGAATTGACCAAAATCAGACTTCAATTCGGTCATTTATTCTGGTCAATTCACAAGCATATAATGAATGCCTCTGACATGCACAGTACTGTTTTAGACCCTAAAGGAGGATTGACGTCTTGGTCATAGTCATTGTCAACAAGGAGTTAGGAACTAATTTGAAATTAAGACTTACCTATGAAACAGTGTGTAGTGATAATGAGGTGTATGCCTTTATACTTCTAGACTACTGGTGCAAACACTTAACAAGTGGTCAAGGAAGGAAGTGGGGAGAAGCTTGAGTGAGTCAGGACTCAAAGGATAAACTGGACTTAGAGATATGGAATGGAAGGGGAAAAGCCAGTCCAAAGAGAACATGGTCACGTGAGGAGTGAAACATTTTCTCTTTAAACTATGTCTTAGTTTAGTTCTATGAAAATATATGATGTGGGAGCTCCAAATTTAATGTTGACCAAGCTGGTTTTTCCCTTGGACTGCTGAATTGACAGGTAGAGGAAGGGTATTCAGGGATAAAAAGTAATGTAAATGGTTGACTTTAAGATGAATTACTTACTGTGTTATGTTTTATTCATTCAATAAACGTATTTACTGAATGTCCGACGTGCCCCAGGAATTGCGCTCTGCAGTGGCACTGCAATGGTAAACAGAAGATAGTTCTTTACTCCTGTAAAACTATTAAGAGTATGATTCTGATAAAGCTTTTCATGACTGCATTCATCTTTCACTGCATACATATAAAATGCAGTTTATTCTTAGAACACAGTTTCAGTAAAATAAAAATTAATAAAAATGTATTTTATCTGGTAATGTCTTTCCAATGAGTCCATTAGAGAAATAATAAATATGACTACATATTTTTTGCAAGTCTGTATTTTAGCCGTATAATGTGGTGTGATGGCTCTCAACTATTTTTTTAATAGGCTCCACAGGCTCATAGTGAGAAATATATTTTACATCAGGTCTCAGCACACCCACTTCCCACACACAAACACACACACACAAATAAAACAAAACTTTTATAAGAAATAAAAAAGTGAAATGATAAAGTGTGGGGAAAGATGGACTCTTTAATAAACTGTATTGGGACAACCTGTTATGCATATGGAAAAAAATGAATTTGTCCTTACTTTACCCCACACATAAAAATTAACTCTCATGATATTAGAACTTGCAAAATGAAAAAAAATCAGCACTCTAAGTTAGAGGGAATAAAGAAAAGTGTATGAGTGAACTGAGTTGCAGAAGATTTCTTAACACACGAAAAGACACATCCTAAACCGGAAGTAGAAAAAATGAGCAGCCTTCAAATTAAAACACATAAATAAACAAACTTGAGTATATCAATTGATAAAATGCAAAAAGAAAGGACAAACATGTCCACTGAATAAAACAGTTTTGTCCCCTCCTACAAAATTCATATGTCGAAGCCCTAACCCCAAATATAATGGTATTTGGAGGTGGGGTCTTTGAGGAGTAACTGGGTTTTGATGAGGTTTGGGGCCCCTTGATGGGATTAATGCCCTTATAAGAAAAGGAGACTCCAGAACTTTTCCCTCTCTGCCATGTGAGGAAACAGGGAAAAGGTGGTCCTCCGCAAGTCAGGAAGTGGGTCCTCACAAGAACCAAATCTGCTAGTACCTTGAGTTTAGACTTCAGAACTGTGAGAAATAAATGCCTGTTTTTTAAGCCCTACAATCTATGATATTTTGTTATAGCAACCTGAGCTGACTAATACGTATTGCTTATAACCAGCTAGCATTAAAATGCAAAATATATAAAGATTTCTTCAACTTACAACAGTAGCAACAATAACAAAAGCCTTTCTATAAAAAAAGGAGAAAAAAGATGAACAGGTGATTTACAGAAAATAAACTCACAAAAATGCCAACAAATACATAAAACATTCTCAACTTCACTCACTATTGGGCAAATGAAAGCTAAAACTACAGTAAGATGGCATTTCATAACTATTAGTTTGGTAAAGCCAGTTTGACCATAGAGATATTGCTTAAAATGTGGTATATGTGAACTCTCACACATTGCTGGTGTAAAGATAAATTGTACAAACGGCCCATTTGGGAAGAAATTTGGCCAAATGTAATGCTAGAGATACTCTTGCTTATATCTGTATGTAGACCTATAAAAAACTTTTATTTCGTCATAAAAGCAAAATGTGGGAAACAACCTAAAGGCCTATCGATAGGAGAATGAATAATTAAATAATGGAACATCAAGCCTAGGAACAGTATGCACAAGTTAAAATGAATGAACTAGAGGTATATGCATTATTGAAGGTAAATCCCACAGAATAACTCCAAGTGATAAAAGCAAATCAAGAATACGTAAAGAATAATATTTACATGCATATTTAAAATATGCTTATTGTACTATATTTTATATGAACACCAACATATTTATTATAAATGCATGACAAACCTTAAATCAGGAGATTGGTTACTGCTTATGTGAGAGGACCCTGAGATCATCCTCAAACTTGACGATTTGCTAGAACTCAGAACTCAGTTTTTACACTTATGGTTTATTACACAGAGAGGATACAGATAAAAATGAGCAAAGAGTAAAGGCCTATGAGGAGATGTCCAGGAGAAACTAGGCACAGGCCCCCAGGTGTCCTCTTCCAGTGGAGTCATGTAGATGTGCTTAATTTTCCCGGCTGTAATGTACGACAACACACGTGGAGTGCTGTCAACAGGGAAGTTCACTTGAGCCTTAGTAAGTGCATGAGCCACTGCAGTGATGACCTCAGCTACTCAGATTCCAGCTCCCCAGGTGAAAAACAAGTTCTTACTATAAGTCATATTGTTAGCATCAACTATCTGATCTTACTGGTATACCTGGCTCAAGGCCTCAGGAATAAAAAAAACACTCTTACGAGGAAGAATATGCCAAGGGCTCAGACCTTACCTTCCAAGGAGCTTACTAAGGGCCAGACCTGAAGACAAGTCTTTCTTGAGAGTGTACAGGGTTTGAATTCAGGCCTGTCCAGTTAATCTTTTCCTGCATAAGCTGGAGAGGCTAGAAGGAGGCTGGGAATGGCAAAAAGAACAAAGAGGACTTCAATGTAGAATGCAATTTATTTCTTATACTGGGATGGGTGGGTAAATAAGTGTCCATTATGTAATTCTTTGGACACTTTTATCCTAATTGCATAAAAATATAAAAAGTCAATATACTAGGGGAGTATCACTTCATACAGATTCCTCTAAAAAACAGTTAAGATAAATTAATAAAGGAATTTTTACAAATGATAAAAAAATAGCTACAAAATGCATGTGGCTTTGGCCTGGAAATAGTACACCCTATCAAAGACTAAATTTTCTTAATGAAAACAATGCCAGAGCTTTTTTCATGATATTTTGTTTTTAGAGATGGGGAACAATCTGGACGTTGTTTCCTTATCTGGGTGGTAATCGAGGCTTAGCAATTTCCCACAGCGTTACACAAATCCAGATTATTCCACATTTTGCAAATATGTCTTATTCTTTTTTGCCCTTTGGGTGAGTATTGCTTTTTGTTTTCATTCCATGATCCTCCTTTTGTTGACCGTGACTCCTGCTGCTACTTTAAGACTCATAAACACAACCGTCTCTGTGAAGTGTTCCACTACCACTAACCCAATAACAACTACTAGTGTTTATTGATGCCACAGAGCATTCTAAAGGTTTCCCAAGCACTAAGTACTTGAACTTTCATGATACCCAATGACGTAAGTATGATCCTCATCTTATCAATGAGGGAACTCAGGTACCTAGAAGTAAAGACATTTAGCCAGGGTCACACAATTAGTAAATGAAGAATGAAGGATGGGACCTGGCTGTAGAACCACAGTCTGTGTGTCTAACAAGAAGCTTTGCTGCTCCGTGGCTCTCCTCTCCTTCAGGATTGTGCTTTTACTGTGCCTTGTATGTAACTTCATTGTTGCATTTGTGGATTGATGGATGTCTCCTTCCCCAAGCAATGTTTTTGAGGTCCTACAGAATCTGTATTTCCTAGCAAAGACCCAGTATAGAATAGGAGTTAAAAACATTTAATAAATTACTCATGAGACTATAGAATGTAGATTTTATTAGGATGTATACTTAGGTGTAAAAAACTAATGTATAGGAAATTTCAGAATAGAAATACTGGGAGGAGGAAAAAAAGACCTTTAAATTCCTTTGTTTTATTCATATTTCAGTAAGAATGATAAATGATGAAGCAAAAGTATATAAGCTACTCCTGTGTGTTTATTTGAGTATTTTTCAGGGAAACATATGTCAATGTAGATGTTACAGTAGTGAATGAAAAATCTAGAATTGTGCTTTCATTTTATTTTTCTTAATCAAAGGGATTAATATTTAATCATATTTTGATGTTTATAATCATTCATAATACATATTACAGACTCACATGTGTTCATTTCTGTTCATTTTATAAAGACATACCTGTATCTTTTATTGTCATTAGCAAAGCCATTTTCACATTCTATAGGAAAGAATTACCTATAGATCACCGTAAAAAACAAAACAAAACAAAAAAAACCCAAAAACAGTTTACCAAGTTAGTTCCTCTTCTAAATTGTTGAATTGTATTGATGGTAAGAAGAAGAAATATCTGGTATGCTGTCCGAGCGAGACCTAGTTCCTTTTAACTTACCATGTTTTAAGGGGGTTGCCAAAGAGGGTGCTGGCTTTTGACAAAATAGCCTTTATCCTTATTTCTTAAATTCAACCTCTATAACAATTTACTGCTTCAATATTTTGCTTGTTTTTTCTTTCTTTCACATTAAACATTTTACCTGCTTATATCCTTCAATTTGGGGTTTATTTGACTTCCACGGCCAAGGAAATGACCCTTTCTTACGTTAAATCTTGGCCATAGCAATCCAAGTTAACAAATCCATTTCCAAGCAGATCAGGAGGGGGACATGAATCAAAACAATAAACGTGTGAGGCTGAACCACTGACTTTTATTTTTCTTGTTTTTAGATTCAACACTGTTACAGAAAATAAAAACCCAAGCCCTTGGTATCGAAATTAGTATTGGAAGGAATTTTTTATAATAAAAGTTCCCTGTGAGTAGGTGCATCGAGTTACTGTTCAAAAGGGAACGTTTTCTTTGCATTGTAGCAAGCATATGGAAACCTTCACCAAGGAAATAGATATCATCTTCTATCAGCCCACCCTAAACGAAAGCAAGCAAGCAAGCTTAAAATTGGTAGAAGAGTTGATTTCGCTACATGTTTATGTTAATAGGGTATTTGACTTTTGAATGCTTCATAAACCTTGTTATGCTCTGTGCTATTTGAGGAGTAAAACAGCTGGAACACTGCCAGAAGCCTTAATTGGAATCAGCTTAGCAGGGGCTGACAAGGTTTCCTAGTGTTTAGTTTCAAACTTATTATAAAAATGCAAAATTATGTGCTATTTATTTTCTATTCCTCTTTGGTTTATGCCCGTAAAGGTAAGACTTAGCTGCATTAAGGAATAAACTCATTTCTCTCTTGTCTGCCCCAGGCTAGTACTCAAGAGTCAGGCAGCCTGGGTATTGTCTCTTCTAATTAGCTGTGGCCTCACTTCTTATGCGACAGAGAATGTCATGGGGCTCCTTCCCCCATGCGTTTCGATTATTGGCTAAATGATCGCTCAAATGGCCAATCTGTGGTCGAGTTACTGAGCTGTGTGGTCCATCTGTCACCAATCTAGTGAGTAAGGCCACAGAAATATGTTCAAAAATGGCTTTGGGGGGCTCTTAGTTTTCTCCTACCAAAGGGTCACATTTGCTCTTGGTCAAATATCGCAAGCAGGCTCTTGGTTTTATTTCAAGCTATGAGAAGTAGATAAGTTTTTTGCTTTCTGCCAAACTTTAGAGAAGTCATGCTTTTTATTTTGTTTTTTGGTTGGACTTTTCAGCTTCAATTGGCTCTAGTGTTTCAACTCGTTTATATCCCTTACTATACTGTTGCCTGACATGGACAAAATAGTCCAGTTCCTTTAAAAAAAAAAAAAATCATAGGCCAGGCGCGGTGGCTCACGCCTGTAATCCCAGCACTTTGGGAGGCTGAGGCAGGTGGGTCACGAGGTCAGGAAATCGAGATCATCCTGGCTACAATGGTGAAACCCCGTCTCTACCAAAAATACAAAAAATCAGCTGGGCGTGGTGGCGGGCGCCTGTGGTCCCAGCTACTAGGGAGGCTGAGGCAGGAGAATGGTGTGAACCCGGGAGGCGGAGCTTGCAGGGAGCCGAGATTGCGCCACCGCACTCCAGCCTGAGCGACAGAGCGAGACTCCGTCTCATAAAACAAAACAAAACAAAAACCACATGAAAAACCCCACAAAAACTTAAGTACCTACTATGTGCCAGGCAGTGTGCTGGGTGCTAATGACATCAATAGATGAATAACACATAGTTCCTGTCTCGACATTGTTACAATCTTTTTGGGATGAAACAGAAATTTGATCAGATTATTTAGAATTAGTGATGAGTGAACTGTGAGTCAAAATGTTGTCTGTTCAGCTGGCCCAGAGGCAGCCAACCCCAGCTTTTCAGTAAAAGGTCTGCAAGGACACAGAAAAGGATGCAAACTCAGCCTAAAGCTGAGATAGATAAAACCTAGTGCTAAATTCTGAAAGGAATTTTCTGTTCTTATAAGGAACTGGGTTGAGAAAAGAATGTCTACTTTTTACGTCAAACCACGCACTCTACTTTTGCTCTGTGGGAAAGACATTGCTCTAAAATGAGACAGAGGTGCTTTACTTAATCCTCAGCCTCTCTCCCTAGCTCTGCAAAATGTTGGATGGAAGGGCCACCTGGGCATCCTTGCCTTGTTACTGATCTTAGGAGGAAAGCATTCAGTCTTCTGCCATTAAGTGTTATGTTAGCTGACACACTTTTGTAAATGTTCTTTATCAAGTTGAGAAAGTTCCCTTCTATTCCTAGTTTACTGAGAGTTTTATAAAGTACAGATGTTGGATTTCTGTTAAATTCTTTTGCTACATCTATATAGATCATGAGATTTTCTTTTTTAGTTTTGTTAAATATGATGAGTTACACTGATTGATTTTTGGATGTTAAATCAGCATTGCATTCCTGGGCTAAATCCAGTTGTATGCTTTGGGTTTTATTTATTCTTCTTATTCTGGTTTCTTAAGGTGGTCTTTGATTTGAGATCTTTTCTTTTCTTCTAATATAAGAACCTAATGAATTTCCCTCTAAGTCCTGCTTTAGTGTTGTTCTACACATTTTGATAAGCTATGTTTTCATTTTTGTTAGGCTCGAAGCACTTTCTAGTTTCTTTTCAGCTTTTCACTTTGACCCACAGGTTATTTTGTTTCAAAATATCTGGGAATTTACCAGATGTTTTTATATTATGCATATCCAATTGAATTTCTAATTTAATTCCATTAGTGTCAAAGAACATACTTTGTATGAGTTGAATCCTTCTAAATTTATTAAAAGTTATTTTATGGGCTGGGCACTATGGCTCACGCCTGTAATCCCAGCACTTTGGGAGGCTGAGGCGGGTGGATCACCTGAGGTTGGGAGTTCGAGACCAGCCTGACCAACATGGAGACACCCCATCTCTACTGAAAATACAAAATTAGCCGGGTGTGGTGGTGCATGCCTGTAATCCCAGCTACTTGGGAGGCTGAGGCAGGAGAATGGGGTGAACCAGGGAGCTGAAAGTTGCGATGAGTCGAGATGGTGCCACTGCACTCCAGCCTGAGCAACAAGCGTGAAACTCTGTCTCAACAACAACAAAAAATAAATAAAAAAGTTATTTTAGGCCGGGCGCAGTGGCTCATGCCTGTAATCCCAGCACTTGAGGAGGCCGAGGCAGGTGGATCACGAGGTCAGGAGATCGAGATCATCCTGGCTAACACGGTGAAACCTCGTCTCTACTAAAAATACAAAAAATTAGCTGGTCATGGTGGTGGGCGCCTGTAGTCCCAGCTACTCAGGAGGCTGAGGCAGGAGAATGGTGTGAACCCAGGAGGCGGAGCTTGCAGTGAGCTGAGATTGGGCCACTGCGCTCTAGCCTGGGCGACAGAGCGAGACTGCGTCTCAAAAAAAAAAAAAAAAATATGGTTTATCTTGGTAAACATTCTCTAAGCTCTTTAAAAGAATGTATATTCTATTGTTACTTAGTGGAATGGTCGGTTAGTGTCAATTAGGTCATGATGTTAAGTCTTCCATATTCTTACCGATTTGCTATTCACTTGTTCTATCAATGTTTGAAAGAGAGGTGCTGAAGTCTTTGAAATAATTAATTTTTCTATTCATTCTTGCAGTTCTATCAGTTTTTGCTTCATGTATTTTGAAGCTCTGTTATTAGGTATATAAAGTTAATGACTTTTACATGTTCTTGATGATTTGACTCCTTTATCCATTTGAAAAGACCAGCTTTAGCTCTGGTATGAACTTTTGCTATGCAATTGACTTTTCTGATCTTAATATATGTATTGTAGCCTTTTTTGATTAATGATAGCATTATATATATATATATATATATGTTTTTTTTTTTTCTGTTGTTTGACTTGTAAACTTTTTGGGCTAGAAGAAGAAATCCAAAGGGAAATTAGAAAGTATTTTAAACTTAATGAAAATGAAAATATATCAAAATGTGTGAAGAAGTCTAAAGGAGTACTTAGAGGAAAAATGTGTTAAGTGCCTATATAAACATAAATACCTATATGAATGTAAGGACCATTTTGGGCCTTTATATTTAAATTGAGTTTTTAGGCATTGTGTAAGTGGGTCTTGCTTGTTTATCTAATCTGACAACCTCTGCTTTTGATTGAGATTTATAAATGATTAATATTGAATGTGATTTTTACATGGTTGTAAGTCTACGATATTTTTATTTGCTATTTTTTCACCCATTTTTATTTTCCCTTTTTTTGGCTTTCTTGTGAATGATTTCAATATATAACATAATTCCAATTTATTTTCTTTATTGGCTTCATAATCATATTTCTGTTGCATTTTTTAGCGTTTAAAAGTTTATGGTATGCATCTTGTATTTATAAAGTATGCCTTCGAAAGGTATTATACCACATAATGTATAGTAAAAGACCCTGCAGCAGTGTATGTTTATCTCTTCGCTCATGGATTTCATGTTACTGGTGCCATATGTTTTATTTCTACATATTATAAACCATATTATAAAATAATATGCATTATTATTTATGCCTTTAGTAATCAATTATCTTTTAAAGGAAATCTTTATCTGCTCTTGTAGTCAATGTTCCTTATTTCTTTTTGTAGATCCAAATTTCCATAGTTTCATTTTCCTTTTCAAATGACCTCTTAACTTTTCTTAGAATGCGTATAAGGTAGTGATGAATTCTTTCAGCTTCTGTAAATTTTTAAAAATTTTAATTTGCCTTTATTTTTGAGAGATGTTTTTACTGGATTTACATTGTTTCTGATAAAATTGCTCTCATTCTTATATCAGTTCTTCTGTACCAAAGACTTGTTTTTTTAAATGGTTGCTTGTGAGATTTTATCCTTATGTTTCAGCTTTATTTTATTTTATTTTAGAGATGGGGTTTCACCATATTGCCTAGGCTGGTCTGGAACTCTTAGACTCAAGCACTCCTCCAAGTCTTGGCCTCCCAAAGTGCTGGGATTACAGGTGTCAGCCCAGACCTGGCCTGTTTCAGTATTTTGATTATGCTGTGCCTTGGTGCACTTTGCTTCATGTTTTTGTGCTTGACCTTCACAGATATGTGAATTTATAGTTTTCAGCAAATTTCGAAATATTTTAGCAATTACATTTTCAAATATTTTTTCTCCCATCCCTTCCTCCATCCTGTTTGATTTCAAATACATTTTTATGAAGCCTCTTAAAGTTGTGCCACAGCTTACTCATGTGGTCCTTTTTTTTCCCAGTTAGTTTTCTCTGTTTTATCTTAGACCATTTCCATTGCTATGCCTTCAAATTCATTAATTTTTTTTTTCTGCAGCGTCTTTTCTGCCTTTAATCCCAGTGTATTTTTCATCTCAGACATTATAGTTTTCATCGCTAGAGGTTTGATTTAGATTATTTTAGTATTATCCATGTCACTATTTAACATGTCCCTTCTTTCCCCTTGCTTTTTGAACCCATAAGCTCCTATGGGTTCCCATATCTGCTGTCTTATTGCCAATTACTCCAGATTCCCAATCTGGCCATATCTTCAGTGAATTCCTTGTTTATCCAATAGTCCCCATCTTCTCTTGCCCACTCACAGATGTCATTCTAACAATTTTCTTCTGTCTTTCTCCATCATATATTTTTTACTCTTTAATGGGTGATTCATACCAGCATGAAATCATGTTACTGTTTCTTCCATCTTGAAAGAAAAAAGTTATTTCTTCTCTTTGCAGTGAAACTTAACAAAAGAGCCCATTTTGTATTTTTTTTTTCTCTAAAGCCTTGCCCCTTTTTCTCTTTTGACTGCCCTCCAGTCAGGCTTTTGAACTACCAACTCACAAGAAACTGCTCTTGACAAGGGAATGAATGACTTCCACATTGCTGACTCTAATGGACTCTTCCTGTCTTGCATTTTTCCTGATGCATCAGCCCCATTTCACACCAGCGTTCATTCCTTCTTTCCTGATACATCTTCCTCATTTGGATTTCACGACACTGTGCTTTCTTGATTTTCTTCCTACTCAACCATCACTGTGTCTAATTCGTCTTTTCTGGTTCCTGTAGCCTTTTCCTGACTTCTAATGTTTGTATCCTCCAGGGTCCTTGGTCTTCTTCTTTTCACTCTTTATGCTTACTATCCCTAATTTCATCCAAGGCAACATCTATATTCTGACAAGTCTCCAAAGCTTATGCCCCAACAAAACATCTTACTGAACTCCAATCTCATCTATGCAATGTAGGTCAGTGGTGGAAGGGATAGAGTGGAGCACCTTTGCTTCACACAGTTACTCAGAAACCCAGGCTGATGGAAGCTGCACCATCTGCAAATGAATAAAAAACTGGAGAGTCATGACCTACGTCTTCTGCTTCAGCCCAGAGGTGACATACGTCATATGAATAATCATATCGTCTCACATATCGGCAAGGAGGTTGAAAAATGTGGGAGGATTATGGATATTCAATGAGCACATGATATACTGCTATATCAGAGTATAGGTGATGCTATATTTATACGAAAGATGGTGTGTGGTTCTATATTTATGGGCATCACCCTTAGACAATAGAAAACTGTTTGAATTCATGCTTTGTCTTTTTCTATATTTTCTATTTGTTATAATGAACTAATAATTCATTTGTTATAATGAATTATTTTTGTAATTGGAAAAATGTCAATTTTTGATTCTATAACTGAAAACAAGTGTTATTTGGGTTTGAGTGTGGCAGCCTTCTGTGCAAGTTAGGACTTAAGGAAAGGGATGAGGAAGAGAGAGGCATGGAGGGAATTGAAATAGAATGGACAAACAAGATGGAGAAGATTTACCAGAGAGGGAAATGTGAAAGCCATTGGTAAAAAAAATTTCATGGAAAAGAAACTAATTTTCAGAAGAATCCCTAGCTCAATAAGGGAGGGTGAGGGAAGGAATAAAACAAACTTGAGAGATAGATGTGGGGGCCTCAGCCAGGTGTGGCTTGCCTCCTGGGGAAGGTGTATCATGACAAATGCAAAGAAATTGTTCACTAAAGTGAAGAAGTAGAAATAGAAAGAAAACGGTGGTTACAAAAATGGGGCTGCAGAGATGGGCAGAAAATACTTTACAGAAGCTCAAACATGCTGAGCTGTTATTCCACACTGCAAGGAAAGCCAGGAATTGATATAATCTCAGTATTGCTAAGGAGCAAATATATATGCATGCTGCTGGCCTTAAGAGAGATGTGCTATCCTATAAAGCACTATGTATTTAAGAACAAACCTATGTAAGCAGTGTGAAAAGTGAATTGGTCTTAGGATGATATTTGTATATGCAGAGGGGGATGTAAATGTTATTTGAATTTTTATTTTTTTTATTATACTTTAAGTTTTAGGGTACTTGTGCACAACGTGTAGGTTAGTTACATATGTATACATGTGCCATGTTGGTGTGCTGCCCCCAGCAACTCGTCATTTAACATTAGGTATATTTCCAAATGTTATCCCTCCCCCCTCCCCCCACCCCACAACGGTCCCCGGTGTGTGATGTTTCCCTTCCTGTGTCCATGTGTTCTCATTGTTCAATTCCCACCTATGAGTGAGAACATGTGGTGTTTGGTTTTTTGTCCTTGTGATAGTTTGCTGAGAATGATGGTTTCCAGCGTCATCCATGTCCCTAAAAAGGACATGAACTCATCATTTTTTATGGCTGCATAGTATTCCGTGGTGTAGATGTGCCACATTTTCTTAATCCAGTCTATCATTATTGGACATTTGGGTTGGTTCCAAGTCTTTGCTATTGTGAATAGTGCCGTAAGAAACATACGTGTGCATGTGTCTTTATAGCAGCATGATTTATAATCCTTTGGGTATATACCCAGTAATGGGATTGCTGGGTCAAATGGTATTTCTAGTTCTAGATCCCTGAGGAATCACCACACTGACTTCCACAATGGTTGAATTAGTTTACAGTCCCACCAACAGTGTAAAAGTGTTCCTATTTCTCCACATCCTCTCCAGCACCTGTTGTTTCCTGACTTTTTAATGATTGCCATTCTAACTGGTGTGAGATGGTATCTCATTGTGGTTTTGATTTGCATTTCTCTGATGGCCAGTGATGATGAGCATTTTTTCATGTGTCTTTTGGCTGCATAAATGTCTTCTTTAGAGAAGTGTCTGTTCATATCCTTCGCCCACTTTTTGATGAGGTTGTTTTTTTCTTGTAAATTTGTTTGAGTTCATTGTAGATTCTGGATATTAGCCCTTTGTCAGATGGGTAGATTGCAAAAATTTTCTCCCATTCTCTAGGTTGCCTGTTCACTCTGATGGTAGTTTCTCTTTCTGTGCAGAAGTTCTTCAGTTTAATTACATCCCATTTGTCAATTTTGGCTTCTGTTGCCATTGCTTTTGGTGTTTTAGACATGAAGTCCTTGCCCATGCCTATGTCCTGAATGGTATTGCCTAGGTTTTCTTCTAGGGTTTTTATGGTTTTAGGTCTAACATTTAAGTCTTTAATCCATCTTGAATTAGTTTTTGTGTAAGGTGTAAGGAAGGGATCCAGTTTCAGCTTTCTACATATGGCTAGCCAGTTTTCCCAGCACCATTTATTAAATAGGGAATCGTTTCCCCATTTCTTGTTTTTGTCAGGTTTGTCAAAGATCAGATGGTTGTAGATATGTGGCATTATTTCTGAGGGCTCTGTTCTGTTCCATTAGTCTATATCTCTGTTTTGGTACCAGTACCATGCTGTTTTGGTTACTGTAGACTTGTAGCATAGTTTGAAGTCAGGTAGTGTGATGCCTCCAGCTTTGTTCTTTTTGCTTAGGATGGACTTGGCAATGCGAGCTCTTTTTTGGTTCCATGTGAACTTTAAAGTAGTTTTTTCCAATTCTGTGAAGAAAGTCATTGGTAGCTTGATGGGGAAGGCATTGAATCTATCAATTACCTTGGGCAGTATGGCCATTTTCATGATATTGATTCTTCTTACCCATGAGCATGGAATGTTCTTCCATTTGTTTGTATCCTCTTTTATTTCATTGAGCAGTGGTTTGTAGTTCTTCTTGAAGAGGTCCTTCACATCCCTTGTAAGTTGGATTCCTAGGTACTTTATTCTCTTTGAAGCAATTGTGAATGGGAGTTGACTCATAATTTGGCTCTCTGTTTGTCTGTTATTGGTGTATAAGAATGCTTGTGATTTTTGCACATTGATTTTGTATCCTGAGACTTTGCTGAAGTTGCCTATCAGCTTAAGGAGATTATGGGCTGAGATGATGGGGTTTTCTAGATATACAATCATGTCATCTGCAAACAGGGACAATTTGACTTCCTCTTTTCCTAATTGAATGCCCTTTATTTCCTTCTCCTGCCTGATTGCCCTGGCCAGAACTTCCAACACTATGTGGAATAGGAGTGGTGGGAGAGGGCATCCCTCTCTTGTGCCAGTTTTCAAAGGGAATGCTTCCAGTTTTTGCTCATTCAGTATGATATTGGCTGTGGGTTTGTCACAGATAGCTCTTATTATTTTGAGATACGTCCCATCAATACCTAATTTATTGAGAGTTTTTAGCATGAAGAGTTGTTGAATTTTGTCAAAGGCCTTTTCTGCACCTATTGAGATAATCATATGGTTTTTGTCGTTGGTTCTGTTTATGTGCTGGATTATGTTTATTGATTTGCATATGTTGAACCAGCCTTGCATCCCAGGGATGAAGCCCACTTGATCATGGTGGATAAGCTTTTTAATGTGCTGCTGGATTCAGTTTGCCAGTATTTTATTGAGGATTTTTGCATCGATGTTCATCAGGGATATTGGTCTAAAATTCTCTTTTTTTGTTGTGTCTCTGCCAGGCTTTGGTATCAGGATGATGCTGGCCTCATAAAATGAGTTAGGGAGGATTCCCTCTTTTTCTATTGATTGGAATAGTTTCAGAAGGAATGGTACCAACTCTTCCTTGTACCTCTGGTAGAATTTGGCTGTGAATCCATCTGGTCCTGGACTTTTTTGGGTTGGTAAGCTATTAATTATTGCCTCAATTTCAGAGCCTGTTATTGGTCTATTCAGAGATTCAACTTCTTCCTGGTTTAGTCTTGGGAGGGTGTATGTGTCGAGGTATGTATCCATTTCTTCTAGATTTTCTAGTTTATTTGTGTAGAAGTGTTTATAGTATTCTCTGATGGTAGTTTGTATTTCTGTGGGATCGGTGGTGATATCCCCTTTATCATTTTTTATTGCGTCTATTTGATTCTTCTCTCTTTTCTTCTTTATTAGTCTTGCTAGCGGTCTATCAATTTTGTTGATCCTTTCAAAAAACCAGCTCCTGGATTCATTGATTTTTTTGAAGGGTTTTTTGTGTCTCTATTTCCTTCAGTTCTGCTCTGATCTTAGTTATTTCTTGCCTTCTGCTAGCTTTTGAATGTCTTTGCTCTTGCTTCTCTAGTTCTTTTAATTGTGATGTTAGGGTGTCAATTTTAGATCTTTCCTGCTTTCTCTTGTGGGCATTTAGTGCTGTAAATTTCCCTCTACACACTGCTTTGAATGTGTCCCAGAGATTCTGGTATGTTGTGTCTTTGTTCTCATTGGTTTCAAAGAACATCTTTATTTCTGCCTTCATTTCATTATGTACCCAGTAGTCATTCAGGAGCAGGTTGTTCAGTTTCCACACAGTTGAGCGGTTTTGAGTGAGATTCTTAATCCTGAGTTCTAGTTTGATTGCACTGTGGTCTGAGAGACAGTTCGTTACAATTTCTGTTCTTTTACATTTGCTGAGGAGTGCTTTACTTCCAACTATGTGGTCAATTTTGGTTAAGTGTGGTGTGGTGCTGAGAAGAATGTATATTCTGTTGATTTGGGGTGGAGAGTTCTGTACATGTCTATTAGGTCCGCTTGGTGCAGAGCTGAGTTAATTCCTGGATATCCTTGTTAACTTTCTGTCTCATTGATCTGTCTAATGTTGACAGTGGGGTGTAAGTCTCTTTCTAGGTCTCTAAGGACTTGCAGTATGAATCTGTGTGCTCCTGTATTGGGTGCATTTATATTTAGGATAGTTAGCTCTTCTTGTTGAATTGATCCCTTTACCGTTACGTATGACCTTCTTTTGTCTCTTTTGATCTTTGTTGGTTTAAAGTCTGTTTTATCAGAGACTAGGATTGCAACCCCTGCCTTTTCTTGTTTTCCATTTGCTTGGTAGATCTTTCTCCATCCCTTTATTTTGAGCCTATGTGTGTCTCTGCATGTGAGATGGGTTTCCTGAATACAGCACACTGATGGGTCTTGACTCTTTATCCAATTTGCCAGTCTGTGTCTTTTAATTGGAACATTTAGCCCATTTACATTTAAGGTTAATATAGTTATGTGTGAATTTGATCCTGTCATTATGATGTTAGATGGTAATTTTGCTCATTAGTTGATGCAGTTGCTTCCTAGCCTCGAAGGTCTTTACGATTTGGCATGTTTTTGTAGTGTAACTTTCCATGTTTAGTGCTTCCTTCAGGAGCTCTTTTAGGGCAGACCTGGTGGTGACAAAATCTCTCAGCATTTGCTTGTCTGTAAGGTATTTTATTTCTCCTTCACTTATGAAGCTTAGTTTGGCTGGATATGAAATTCTGGGTTGAAAATTCTTTTCTTTAAGAGTGTTGAATATTGGCCCCCACTCTATTCTGGCTTGTAGAGTTTCTGCCGAGAGATCAGCTGTTAGTCTGATGGGCTTCCCTTTGTGGGTAACCCGACCTTTCTCTCTGGCTACCCTTAACATTTTTTTCCTTCATTTCAACTTTGGTGAATCTGACAATTATGTGTCTTGGAGTTGCTCTTCTCGAGGAGTATCTTTGTGGCGTTCTCTGTATTTCCTGAATCTGAATGTTGGCCTGCCTTGCTAGATTGGGGAAGTTCTCCTGGATAATATCCAGGACCAACTTGGTTCCATTTTCCCTGTCACTTTCAGGTATACCAATCAGACGTACATTTGATCTTTTCACATAGTCCCATATTTCTTGGAGGCTTTGTTCGTTTCTTTTTATTCTTTTTTCTCTAAACTTCTCTTCTCACTTCATTTCATTCATTTGTCTTCTATCACTGATACCTTTCTTCTAGTTGATCAAATCGGCTACTGAGGCTTGTGCGTTCGTCATGTAGTCTCGTGCCTTGGTTTTCAGCTCCATCGGGTCCTTTAAGGACTTCTCTGCATTGGTTATTCTAGTTAGCCATTTGTTTAATTTTTTTTCAAGGTTTTTAACTTCTTTGCCATAGGTTTGAACTTCCTCCTTTAGCTCAGAGTAATTCGATCATCTGAAGCCTTCTTCTCTCAACTTGTCAAAGTCATTCTCCATCCAGCTTTGTTCCGTTGCTGGTGAGGAGCTGCATTCCTTTGGAAGAGGAGAGGCACTCTGAATTTTAGAGTTTCCAGTTTTTCTGCTCTTTTTTTTCCCCCATCTTTGTTGTTTTATCTACCTTTGGTCTTTGATGATGGTGATGTACAGATGGGGTTTTGGTGTGGATGTCCTTTCTGTTTGTTAGTTTCCTTCTAAGAGTCAGGACCCTCAGCTGCAGGTCTGTTGGAGTTTGCTGGAGGTCCACTCCAGACCCTGTTTGCCTGGGTATCAGCAGCGGAGGCTGCAGAACAGCAGATATTGGTGAACAGCAAATGTTGCTGCCTATCGTTCCTCTGGAAGTTTTGCCTAAGAGGAGTACCCGGCTGTGCGAGGTGTCAGTCTGCCCCTACTGGGGGTTGCCTCCCAGTTAGGCTACTCGGGCGTCAGGTACCCACTTGAGGAGGCAGTCTGTCCTTTCTCAGATCTCCAGCTGCATGCTGGGAGAACCACTACTCTCTTCAAAGCTGTCAGACAGGGACATTTAAGTCTGTAGAGGATTCTGCTGCCTTTTGTTTGGCAATGCCCTGCCCCCAGAGGTGGAGTCTACAGAGGCAGGCAGGCCTCCTTGAGCTGTGGTGGGCTCCACCCATTTCGAGCTTCCCAGCTGCTTTGTTTACCTACTCAAGCCTCGGCAATGGTGGACGCCCCTCCCCCAGCCTTGCTGCCGCCTTGCAGTTTGATCTCAGACTGCTGTGCTAGCAATGAGTCAGGCTCTGTGGGCATAGGACCCTCCAAGCCAGGCACGGAATATAATCTCCTGGTGTGCCATGTGCTAAGACCGTTGGAAAAGCACGGTATTAGGATGGGAGTGACCCGATTTTCCAGATGCCATCTGTCACCCCTTTCTTTGACTAGGAAAGGGAATTCCCTGACCCCTTGCACTACCCAGGTGAGGCAATGCCTTGCCCTGCTTTGGCTCATGCTTGGTGTGCTGCACCCACTGTCCTGCACCCACTGTCCGACACTCCCCAGTGAGATGAACCTGGTACCTCAGTTGGAAATGCAGAAATCACCCGTCTTCTGCGTTGCTCACGCTGGGAGTTGTAGCCTGGAGCTGTTCTTATTTGGCCATCTTGGCTCCTATTCCTGTTATTTGAATTTCTAATGCCAGATTTGAAATTGATTCTCCTTGTTGGCAGGAGAAATGACTCCCCCTGTCGTATTCAAGGTGAGGTGCTATGTACTTGTTGACATCCTGAAGTTGAGTAAAGGCCATGTCTTGATGAAAAGATGAACCCTGTTGTCCAATTCAGGACAAAGTTCATTTTATTGGCAATAGTGGATTCTTGAATAAACTTACATTGCTGGAATTCATGATCTTCTATGTGTTCTTTAATAATCTGATAAACATTAAGCTACTGCTACAGGGGCTGCACGTGATTAGGAAAATATCCTTTGTATTTGGCAATTTGAAGATGACTGATGACTCTTTCCAGAGAGTTTCAAAAGATTGATGGGATGAAAGCCTCTTACCTGGATTAACTGAGGAGTAAATAGGAGGAGCGGATGCAGGAATAGCTACCAGACACAGCTCTTTAAAAAAGCTTGACTTCAAAGGGAAAATGGGAGATCTGTGCATTGATGGAACGTGCAAGGCTGTGATGATGTAAACACACATAATCAAAAGGTTTACACATCAGAAATAGACTTCTTATTTTCCTTTAAACTATTCTTTTAAAATGGAACCATTCTTATTGGCCCTGTGTTGAAATATAGATTTTCCTTCAATCAGTGAAAATGATTGAAGGCTAAACCAGCAGAGCTACTGGTAGGCTGGCAGTTTGGTTCTCTTCAAGTTTATATTCTTTCTGTATTTTTCTATATTGTTTTTTATTTTGTTTAAACTTTTAAGTTCAGGGGTACATGTGCAGGTTTGTTACATAGATAAACTTGTGTCATAGGGGTTTGTTGTACAGATTACTTTGTCACTCAGGTATTAAGCCCAGTACCCATTAGTTATTTTTCTTGATCCTCTCTTCCCAGCCTCCACCTTCCAATAGGTACCATCTTTCTGTATTTTTCAACGTATGTTTTATGAAGATCTCTAACAGAGTTGAAGGGAAGCTAGAGAAAAGGAAGTCTTCTGGTGACAGTGCTTTCTTCTATTTTATCAGCAGTTTGTCTCTGGCCCCAAATTTTGCATGCCCACTTGGAGGGAGGGAATTGCTGATCATACTCTCTTCAAAACAGTTTGCTAAACCTCAACTGTTATTAGGTTGGTGCAAAAGTAATTGCGGTTTTGAAAATAACTTCAGCATGTATCTTGAGGATCTTACCTCCATCTCAAGTGCCTCTAGAACATTCTTTCCAACAACCCAGAGTCATCTTCTTGAGAGTCCCTGGTAAATATATTATTCTCATCTAATTACACTTACTGTGAATTTTAGCCCCCGCTTATAGACAGGCCTTCTAGACATCTGAGCATCTAATTTGGGTTGATATCTGCTGTTTCCTCCCCAAAGATGAGGTTTTGCTTACAATATCCAGCCTTTAGATGATTGGATTTTGATTAATGAGCTCCTTTTTAAGGACATATTTCCTCATTCATTTCTCCTATTGCCTCCTCTAGTTTCATATTTTCCAGGATGTTCTAAGATCAAAGGATAAGCTGACTGAGCATGATACATGTCTAGACAGTAATAAAATACAAGATCTACTGATTTCAGTTGCTATGCTTATAGGAGTTACAACCAGACTATAGATGAATGATTAACTACATCAACAGCACAAGAGAAAGCTCTACAGCAAACATGAGGAATTATTCAACTGTCAAGACCTGGTATTAAAGGAGGAAAAAGCCACTTTCAAATTATTCTTACTATAGGAATAAAGAGAAGGAAATAAAACTGAGAACAACGACAACAAAAAAGAATGAAAATGAGATTATTTTCTTCTTTTTCTGAAAACTGTTTTGTTGTTTTTGCCCTTTTAAAGAGCTCAAGCTAAAGGCTTCCTTACTAAGACCTTTGCCTGACATTGCCATTAAAGAAATGGATTATAACAGAGCAGAAAGCACCAGCCCCGGAGGTTCTGTGAAAATGCTGGTCATAGGGAATAGGAATTGGAAGGCAGAGGCTGTTCGTGCTGAATTTATCTTCTCCAATGCAAAGGCTTTCTGCCGCCTCTCCCCTCAAGCCCATGGGAGGAAGCAGTGAAATTCACTGACATAACTGGGCCAGTTGCTTTTTATTTCAAGTATGCTGTGAGGAATACTTGAAAGCAATCATCTGTGCTCAGTAATTGGCTGATAAAGCTCAATATCCTCAGCAATTACAGTCACTGTTCATTCAGGAAATCCTCCATACATCATTTGAAAGCAGGGCAAAATTATAAATTATTATAATACTAACCCATGCAACGCTAGTAGAACATACTTTTATAGTGTTAGGAGCAAAGATTTAGACACTGAATGGAAATTCTAGTCAGAGAAACCACAGGTCATTGCAGTTTCAAGGGGAACTGGGAAGGAGAACTGGTTGAGGAGGCGCAGCCACCATGACCCTGAGTTATTCCCGAAGCAAATTTGCACTCAGGAAAAGTCAGCCAAGAATGTGATCACAGGGGTCATGATGAGATTGACAAAAAGAACAAACCACCATGCATAACTACTGTCTTAGTCTGTTATCTGTTGCTATGAAGGAATACCTGAGGCTGGGTAATTTACAAAGAAAAGAGGTTTATTTGCCTTGCAGGTCTGCAGGCTGTACAAGAAGTATGGTTTCAGCATCTGCTCTGTGAGGGGCTCAGGAAGCTTCTGTTTTCCATTCGTGGTGGAATTCAAAGAGGACCTGGTATATTATATGATGAGGGAGGAAGGCCAGGGAGGTGGTGCCAAGGCTGTTTGTTTATTTATTTATTTTTTTTGAGATGGAGTCTCGCCCTGTCACCCAGGCTGGAGTACAGTGGCCCAATCTCGGCTCAATGCAAGCTCTGCCTCCTGGGTTCATGCCATTCTCCTGCCTCAGCCTTCCGAGTAGCTGGGACTACAGGTGCCTGCCACCACGCCAAGCTAATTTTTTGTATTTTTAGTAGAGACAGAGTTTCACTGTGTTAGCCAGGATGGTCTCGATCTCCTGACCTCGTGATCCACTTGCCTCAGCCTCTCAAAGTGCTGGGATTACAGGCATGAGCCACCACGCCCCGCCCAAGGCTGTTTTTAACTATCACTCTCTCTTGGGAATTAATAGAGGGAGAACTCATCCATTACCACAAGATCAGCACAAAACTGTTTGTGAGGAACCCACCCTCATGACCCAAACACCTCCCACCAGGCTGCACGCCTAACACTCGGGATCAAATTTCAATATGAAATATGAAGGGGACAAATATTCAAACTCTATCACCTACCTGAGGTTAAGACAGTAAAAAAGCATGGTTCTAAACTTGCCTATCAAGCACAGGACTGGAGTGGGAGGGGAGATTGCTAGTGATTGGCCTAAAAACAACTAAACTAACAAACATTAATGGGTAAGTGCCTTCTAAGGAGTAACTGAATATGTGGGCATAAAGCACAGGAATGAAAGGCATTTTATTTCACATAGAGACACATGAAGCAGAGAATTTCGAGCTGGGTAGTATCTAGTTAAACTCCCAACTTTCAAGCTAAATGACTTGTCCAGGGTAATACCACTGACAATCAGACCTGAGTTTTCATTTTCGCTCTGCCACCAGAGATACTACCACCAACAAGAGATGGCAGAGCTGAAATGAAAACAGGTCTGCTTGTTATTCAGTAAGTATTTACACATTCAGTTTTATGGCTACCAGGCTTGATTTATATATCAGCATTTAGTAGGTTCTTCATCCACTTTATTTCTAGGGCTTCTGATCAGTTAGCTGGCATCAACAATTCTTACATGTTAAATCATTATAAACACCATTTTGTCCCTGGTATATCCATCTTATCTTTGGATAAGCTCTGTTTCTTGTTCTCTGCTATTCAGAGAGCAATCTCACTAGCAAAATTACTCTTAGCTTAGCTGTCACCATCACACCTGGCCTGCAGAGAACAGGCATCCCAGAAATGCTTGTGTTCCTTTACTAATATGTTTCCCAATTCATTGATGAAGGGAGTGTACTCTGGGCCCTCTAGGAATTGTATGTGTGTATGTAAGCAGGGGTGAATTGGCATAATATATCTACTCCTACATTCCTCTCTCCCTAAACCTTTAGATTTCCTCCTCTATCTATATTATGCCAGGAATGATCTGGCATCTCAACCCCATTAAATTTAACCCACTGATAAGTCAAAGTTTTATTCAACCAACTAATCGATCTGCCACAAACAGCTCCATCTGCCAAAACGTTAAATCCAGAAACTCTGATAAGTGGTCTGATAAGTCAAACAAATTTGACCAGTAAATATTCTGTCCTCCTGTTTCTAATTGCCCCTGGGATTCATTTCCATCCATATATCCTGGGCTTATACCAATATTAATAAAATAATGTAAATTAGTAAAAGTTTGCAATTCTCTTGCTTTATAATCTATTTTTCCCAGATAAGTATTTGAACTTTCTCTGCTGAAGCATTCTGAAATTTAATCCCAAATATGGTTCCAAAATGGGGTGGACATGTGTGTCTTAAGAAGATTAAGCATCCACCGCAAGATGATGGCCCAAAAGAGGTTATTACAGTGTCTTCAAATAAGGGGAAGCTGGTGTTTGGAAGACTTACCAGTTAAGCCTGCTCCACTGGCAAAGGAAGCCCAAGGGTTGGTTTTGTATTCTCAGCTTTTACTCAGTCTACCCAAACATCACCTTCTCAAATCTCAGGGTTGAAGATCATTGTGAGGATCAAATAAGAGTATGTTTTATGTATGTATGTATCTTTCCTATCAGACTAACCTTTTTAAGTGCAGAGATTATGTATAATTCAATTATGAATCACTCCCTGGCAGATAGAAAGCACTAAATAATTGTTAATTGAATAATGAGATCAAAGAGGTCTATTTCACTTCTAAGTACTTTGGCAAATATCCACTGCTTATTATTCTGGAAATGTCTTCTTTTATATGGTCTGCTGTAGCTCTCACTAATCTCTCGTTTTCTCAGTCTCTCTTGCACAGGCAATGATCCGTGGTGGGGTGGTGAAGGGACATTTATAGTCTACTATAAGACTGAAAGAGCTAACTCTCAGAATAAATTCAGTTCAGGGAGAAAGGGTGTCCCCAACTGGGAAGACATTATTGACTAGTATTTTCTATTTTAGAGTGTTAGAGCACCCTGCTGACTTCAGCTTTGCTCTTTGGCACTGCTGTGATGTTTGTGCCTCAATGCACTAGGTCCATGACAGCTACAATGGATGGTGGCTGCATTTGAATTCCTTATGGAGCTCAAGGGCCTTTTTCATAATCCCTTTAGGCATCTCCATTAACGGTCCATATTGCATACTGTGGGAAGTTAATTTGGATGAGAATCTCTGTGCCCTCTGTAAAGTGTCTGGGAGGAAAACTTGGGGGCCTCTTGTCCTTGGTGGCCTGGTGGTATCTCACTGACAGGGAGTACTGCAGTCTGTCAAATGGAGAAGAGTTTTAGCCAATGAAGTCTAAGACTGTGTAAAGGAAGGAAATATTTTCTAAAGAAACGAGGCATGTCTTGCTAGGAAATCACTCAGGACAAATGTGAGGGATGAGAAAAGGGAGAGTGAATGCCGAACCCAGACACCATTCCCAACCTCATTTTCCTTGCTTATCTGCTAATATGAAATTGGGGACAAAAATGGGACACTTTTAGGGTCTGATGTGTCCCCAAAAATTCATGTGTTGGGAACTTAATCTTCAATGCAAAATTGTTGAGAGATGGATTCGAATGAGAAATATTTAAGTCATGACCTCATGAATGAATTAACTCCCTTATAAAAGGGCTTGACAAGGGAGTTCATTCATGTTTGTTCTTCTGCCTTCTGCCATGTGAGGGATAGTGTTCCTCTCCTCTGGAGGATGTAGCTTTCAAAGTGGCATCTTGGAAACAGAGACTGCAACCCCATCAGACAACGGAACCTGCTAATGCCTTGGTCTTTGACTTCCTACCTTCCAGAACTGTGAGAAAATAAATTTCTCTTTTTTATATTAGGTTTGTACAAAAGTAATCACAGTTTTTGCCATTAAAAGTTTTTTTTTTTTTTGCCATTACTTTTAATGGCAAAAACTGCAATCATTTTTGTACCAACCTAAAAAAATACCTAATCTTGGAGAGTCTGTTATAGTAGCACAAACAGACTAAGAT
This sequence comes from Homo sapiens, assembly GCF_000001405.40. Lineage (NCBI taxonomy): Eukaryota > Metazoa > Chordata > Mammalia > Primates > Hominidae > Homo > Homo sapiens. The sequence goes on from NC_000018.10 coordinate 64,238,613, forward strand.
GTTCACCTTTCACACCTCCATTGCAGTAGGAAGTGGTCTCGAGATGATTTTCTGGCCAAACAGATCTTAGTAGATGTCTTATGGAAGTTTCTAGAAAATATTTACTTTCTTCCTGAGCAACATGAGGGAGCTCTGATTTTCGACGCCCCTGCCAGCCTTCTTCACCAACCCCCTTCTCCATTTCCTGCCTTCAAATTCTGCCATGATGCTTGGAGCAGCAGCCACCACTGTCAGATCATGAGTTAACAAGTGTAAGGAATAAAGGAAATACCAAAGATGATAGAACAGGAGGATGCGAAGAATCTATTATTAACTTTGGGAACAATAGCTCAATTTTAGTAATTATATATCTCTGCCTATATGGTGTTTTTATTTCTTTCTAACAAAAAGAAAGTAAATATTATGTGCTATATGCTCTATTTGCAAGATTTTTATGAAACATTCAACTTCCTTGGACCTCAGTCTTCCAAATTATAAAATGAAAATAATGCCTTCTGCACAACTATAAATCAAGTAGGATACACAAGTAAAATGGCTAGATGAATGTAAATTAGCCTCACAGAAAATTAAATGTATTCTGCGTGAATATAGCAATTTTGGAACACAAGCTTTCTTTATTAATGAGAGAGTGACATTCACATTTAGAAAGCAGGGACTCAGGAGACACTAATTATTATACCCATTCTTTCCACAGACTCACTTTGTAACCTTTAGCAAATCATTTAACCTCTCTGACCTCTGATTTATCACCCGTAAAATTTGAGACAGTAATGATTTTCCTTCCTGCATAATGGGGTTGTTCTGAAGATTAAAGATGGTGAAATATTTGAAAACTTTTCAAAAATATATTGAGGTATGTAAATGTATATTATAAATACATATTTCATTAGAGACATTTAGACATGAGACTGGAATGTTCTCACTTATGTCTGATGTGGAGTTCAAATACTGAACCATTAATTAATAGTTACTTGTCCCTGTGGAAGAACTCTTGTTTATTAGGGATTTATATTTATTTCTGTATTTTAAAATATCTATTCCCAGGCAAAAAGTGGTATTTTAAATTTTAGAATATTCTTTCAGTTTATTTTTATAATTTATTATATGTATTATTCATACAATAATTAATCTATTTATTATTTTGTAATTACTTTCCAGTGATAGAGTAGCATAGGCAGGCCTTAGGAAAATTTGAGAGAATGTATGAAGATAGAAAACTAGGAAGATACTTAACAAAGAAAACATAGGAGCAATTTGATAAAATAAACTTATTTGTCCTGAAAAAAGTCCTACACACATTAACACATTATATTTTAATAACTGTATTAACAAACTGCCTTAAGTGTTATTTTATGAGGAAAAGTCATCTCTTTTTCTGAGGCTAGAACAAGAGCACACACATACACATACACACAATAGAATACAGAGACAGTCAGATGTAGGATAGAATCTACCTACCTATCTGTATCTTATAATAGATATAAACTAGAATACATGAACATACATGTATATGAATTCTAAATTTTATAAGTAAGGTTATGCTACTGAAGATTGAGGAGGTGTTATGAAGTATATTAGATGATTTGATTTCCAAATATATTTGTTTAGACTTGAGGTGACTTTCTTAAGTTTGTTTGACTGTTCTGTGGAATGCTATAGCATGTACACTATTTTCACAAAGTTAGTTTACATTCTAGACTATCTTATATCCATATTTGAGGAGGCTTGCAACCCTTCACAATAATTAATGTTATTTGCAGTGGCTTTCACTGTGGGCTGACAATGTTCCATGAGAGAACTGAAACTTGAAACCCCCCCACCCCTCTCTCTCCCTCTCTCATTTTCCCTCAAGCACTGTCCTTTCCAGATCCAGACGTCTTTCCAGATGTAGCCGCCCTTTCTTCTCACAGAGCTGACAGCCCTTGCTCTGCCCATAAATGTTATTTTTAAACCTTCTCTTGCGCACTGTTACAAGTTTTGATAAGGTCTTGACCACTAGGACAATTACTGGATGCTGCTGCCTGTCTACATTCTTATCAGACTATTTCTAGTAAAGTTTCTACTTTTCTTATTACCTTCCTGTCTGCCTTACACTCAGGGAGCTTTATCATTGTTAAGAGCAAAAAATTGTACTAGATTGAAAAATACCTGTCCTCTCCAAAATCTAATCAAATTTAATCCTTAGAATGTGATTATTACCATTGTTATAAGAACTGCCAGAAAATGACTAAAAATTATAAATTAGAATTCAGACGTTCCACTGGATACCATTTAGCTCATAGTCCTCGACCGTTGCCTTCCTATTCCAAAACAACAACAACAACAAAATAACCCTTAGACATCCATCTGACTCCTTTCTCATGTGATCTGGGTCATCAGATCAAGACCCTATCGTTCACAATTCTGAAACTGTCTGGTCAGTTTTGATGACTACACTAAGCTGCTTGGCTTTTCATTCCAGTTTGATTCCAGCCCCCAAATAGACCAATTCTGAGCTTAAACACGGCTGGAGTTAGCAGCCATCAAGCATTCTTTAAACTCACACAGAAAAACATTGTCTGTCCTTAGTCCGTCACCTTCAAATCTTCCCCCAAAGTAGATGTATGAGGTCGAGTAGTATTCAAATTGCACAAAACAATTTGTTGCCATCTTAATCCCTACCTTATTTAAACTGGGAAATGTTGCTTTGAAACCCCATTCTCGTACATTTTCTAACTTCTCTTAACTTTATTATACCCACCCACTTCAGTCACAAGATCTCTTACCTGAAAGTGGGCAGGAAAATGTGATGAGCTAGGAGGAGGATTACAGATTAAATACTCATGTGAACTTTTAGTTTAGCATATTTCAAAGTCTGTTATTCTCACTGCTGGTGTGGGGGATTATCCTGAACAGCTTCTATAAATGCTACAGGGAATTACGCATGTACGGTCCATCAGTGTTAATGGGTGAATAAACCTTACAGTTTGTTAAGTAATGTAACATCTATTAGGGAAGGGTGAATTGGTTAATGTATGTATTAGGCTCTGAATTTACCTGAGTCAAACCCCTTAATGGGCTACTTATTTTACGCTTTGTGCAAATGAATAATTCAGTCTCAGTGTATGCACCCTCAAGCAAGCAAACTACTTATTAGTGGTATTTGGGAATTGACATAAAATATTCTGTTCAACCTCAAAAGTGACTCTGTTGTCATCTTCAAAACAATTCCAAATAGGACTGATAAAATTCTCTTTATTAATAGAACTGAACAATATAAAACTGGAAAAAAAGCCAAATTTAGATGTGCAGTATTAATTTTACAACTGAAAGCAGTTTGTATAAGCAGCTACAATGAGCCACACATTAGTGATTATTGCTGCTAATTTTGTGGTTTATGGGGCTTAGTTTTAATTTTTATATGCTATCCAGTGAAGTACGTTAGACATTCATATAAGTTACTTTGCATGATACTTATTACAAGGTAGACATAATTTCCTTGGGAATAAACTACTTGATTCTAAAAAGAAAATTATGACCAAGATTTTTAAACTCTAAGACAAAACTCTTTTTTCATTTCTTCTTCAGTGGCAGCAGGAGAGATAAGTTTCCATCATGCATATGCAACTTAATTTCTCACCTCAGTGCTGTTGTGTACATGGAACTTATTTTACTATGCCTGTTTGGGAACATTGGCTATCTTTCCACATTCAGTTGTAAAAGAATGTAACATGATTGAGACTACTTTCCTTTGAGGAAATTAGTTTTTTGACTAAAATCTACTGCTAGCATTTTAAACACAAGCTTTCTTAAGAGCTTTGGATATTAACAGCTAAGTTTAAAACCAGTTCATCATAAAAGGAAACTGCCCCAGAGTTGATGTAATTCTCTCTGAGAGTGGAAGAATATCTTAAACAGACATGCAGAAAACAACCGTCATGGAATGAGATCTCTTTCTTTTCCCTTCTCCTCCTAAAACTCACTGAGAAACAATGAAGAAATCAAGAAATTGAAACAAAGACCCCATATTCTATGAATCCTAGAGATACCTGCAACCCCAATTCATGTATGTTACAGATACACATATTATGTGAAGAGAGAAAGTTGATGATGATGAAACAGTAAATGACTTAGTGAGATGTTAGGAAGATGAAACCTAAATGACTATACAGGGTGATACTGGTGGACTGCAAGTCTGTTTAACCTGCAGAATTCTGAGAAGGCTCAGGAATTAGAGGTGCCACACACCATAAAATGCAGGGAGGCAGGTAGGGGCTGAAAACAAGGAGTTGGTTTAGATGTTGGTCTAAGTATTTTGTCTCCTGGGAGCCCACCCTCACTGCATTTAGGGGATCTCTTCTGTCATCTCCCCAGCAAATATTCTTTTGAATTACAGAAGTTCTAGAAAGAAAATAGGAGAAATGAAAAATTTTTAACACATTATACAAGCAAAATTTTTGAGACTGAAGGACGTTTATTTCTGATAGAAGGGGCTTTCCAAATGCTAGTAAAATAAATTTTAAAGGATACATAGCAATATTTATAATCACAAAATTTCAAAATATGTGAAAATAATCAATGGCCATTAAAAAACAATAACAGTAAAAGCAAACACACAAGCAAAAAAAAAAGGATTTAAGTAAAATAAAAATACTATAGGCCAAGTTAAAGGTAAAGACAAACTGGAAAATACTATTTGCAGTTACCATCACAAAGAACTTACATTCTTAATAAGTGAAGAACTCTTAGAAATACAAAAGCAGAAGCCCACATCTAATAAACCAAAGTGTCTCAGCAGTTAGGTTACAGAAGAGGAAATATAAATAGTACTTAAAATATGAAAAAAGTTTCAGCCTCATTCATGAGATGCAAATTAAGATTTAAATTATATGTATATATGTTTGTGTATATATATATATATACATATGTAAGATTTATGACATATACATATATAATTATATATATGTATAGAAAGATTGGCAAAAATATAAAACATTGATAACTCAATTTGGCAAAGTCATTGGGAAACAGATCCTTATATAAATTTGATTAGCATATAATTATAATCGGCACAACCATTATATATGGACTATTGTATCAAAGTTAGATTTAAAAATACACTGTAACCTATTACTTATTGATTCAATGGCAATGTATGTTTCAGATATACTTGCATACTGGTACAAGATTTGAAACCACAAAAAAATGACAAAGGAAATACACATATAAACAATGACAAAGTTAATACATTTAGTGGAATGATATGTAGCTATAAAAATATGTACTGATATGCAAGATCTTCAAGATAGATTATTAAGTTAAAAATCAAAGAGGTAAGTACCATGTGGAATGTCCTCTTTTTTGTATTAAAAAAGTGGAGAAAAGACATAATTTTACTTGTATTTGCATGAAGAAACTCTAGAAAAATACCAAAAAAGGTATTAAAATTGGCTGTCTTTCTAGGTGATGAATAAGTGAAAGGTGATTTTCACTTATTGTTTTATGATTGTATTTGCACTCTTTGGCTATTTAAATTATGTACAGGTAGTTTTGGGATATAATATAACAAATTTTAAAATTTACTGCTCTTCTTATTTTCTCAAAGTTTAGCTCTTTCATAGTCTTTTAAGTCTGACCTTTTGGCATCTCTTTGAATGTGTTGATAGGAATATAAACTTTATTTTGAGGAAGAGAAAGGGATTGGTTCTGGGGGAGCAGATGACATGGCATGGCATATGTTGGCTGGCATTTCCCTTAGTTGGAGTTGAGTTGGATGGAGATGGCTTTGGAGTGATGCAACACCAACTTTTCATAAAGCAAATAGCTCAAGCTTCCACTGCAGATTTTAAGCAGCTTTTCTGTTAAGATTATGCCCTCCTCAGCTTGAGAATAACTGAGTCATAGGCAAAAAACAAAAGAATCCTGTTCATGCTCAACTTCAGGAGACTCTGAACCCAAGCATTGCAAATGGGGCATCTTCATTTCAAGACTTGTGCCGCGTGTTCACTCCAGCTTGGACACCATGATTGCTCTGACAGATTGGTCACAAACTGATGGCTTTGAGATCATGAAGATTTAACACACTTGTGGTACACAATGGTGCTTTGAGAGTAGGCACCGTCTACAGTGGGGATAGCAGGGCTTCCTAAGAGGAGATCCTCCTCATGGTGGAGCCAGAGTGTAGAGAGAGGGACACAGGAGATGTTGCATGTGACCAGGACAGACTGCTTTGAAAACACATGTAACAACACAGGATTAAGAAGGAGGTGGATTTCAGGGAGTGGGTTAACTTGCATAAGCATAAATGGGCGGGAGAAAAAAAACTGCTGGAAATTAATGTAATCCTCCTCATGTGTCATTTGTATGCTTAGTGATGTTTGGAGAGGGGTGTATAAGGATGGAAAATGTGGAAACATAAATAACCAGTGCTAGGAAACTGGCTAAATAAGCTATCAAATCGTGTTTGCAGGGAATCCTTTATTATGTAGAATAATCTTAACATATTCCTGTGTCATGTATGGCTCCCTAGTTGTAACAACAACAAAAGAATATAATATTCTGATAAAACTTAAGCAGAAATAAATTTATTGGTGAAATATAGAGCAGCTTATGTAATTTAAGGAAAACTTCAGGGAGAGCAGGCACAGAACCACTGAAGAGGTCTCAAGAGGAGGAGGCAATGGATGTCTTAAGTCTGGCACTGTCAGAATGAATCACTTCCAACCAATTTGCATCCTTATTCATTCCAGGAAGAAGGCTTTTTTTGCTTAAATTGCCTCCTAAGAAAACTCTCAGCTAGAGTAGGGCAAGAATCTCTAAAGCTGCACATAAGAGGAAGGGTAGACCCCCAAAGGAAAATTGGGGTAGTGTGTATGCGTGTGTGTGTGACAGAGAGATAGAGATAGAGAGAGAGAGACAGAGAGATAGAGACAGAGAGGGGATGGTGGGGGGGAGAGAGAGAGAGACTACCTTTCTAGCTGTGTGACCTTGAGCAATGACCTTGAGTCACTGTTCTCCAGAGGAACAGAGCCAATAGGATGTCTGTGTATATATATAGAAAGATTTATTTTAGGAACTTGGCTCATACAATTATGGAGGCTGCCAAGTCCACAATTTGCAGGGTGGACCAGTAGGCTGGAGACACAGGTAGGAGCCAATGATGCAGTTCGAGTCTGAAAGCAATGTGCTGGCAGAATTCTTTCCTCCTCCAGGGATTTTTTTTTTTTTTTTTTCAAGCCTCAACTGATTGGATGAGGCCCACTCATATTATGGAGCACAATTTGCTTTACTTAAATTTCGCCCATTTAAATGTTAATCTCATCTAAAAGCACACTCAGAGAAATAAAGTTTGACCTCATATCTGGGAACCTTAGCCCAGCCAAGTTGATCCACAGAATTAACCATTGCAGGTAAATGACTTAACTCCTATGTCTCCCTTCTTGTACCTGTAAATGGTGATTATCATAGCACCCATCTCACAGAGCTGTTGAAATTATTAGACACAGAGCAGTCAGAACAGTGACTTGTCCATGGAAATAGCAATACATATTTTCTGTTTTCTATTGGTATTCTGTAATGAAGATTTAATCCTTTTATAATCAGAAAGTAAATGTTGTTGGTGTCCAGATTGGACCTTTCTGCATGGCCATGGTTACTGAAGTTCTGATGGCCAAACTAGTTTGCAGTGATTTGAGCCTTCTTATCCCTAGCAAACCTAAGGGAAACTTGGGAACAAGCAACACAACATCACAAAGATGTCCATGTCATGGAGGGTCACGTGAATTATGAAAATCTTCTCTCCTTCTGCAATATTTCATCATCCTCCCCTGCTTTGCTCCGTACAGTCATGAGAGGATACCACCTCCTTGACAATAGCAGGGGGAGGATAAGGAGAGGTGTGAGAGGTTGTCATCACTGCAAACTTTGTTCCTGATTCAAATAATTTTGTGTTTGTGAGAATCTTCATCTTTTTCATGAGCTGGTGGCATTTTTGAATCACGGCATTTGCCCAAGACCACTGATCCAGGTACTCATTGCATAAAGGGGTTTGTCCCTGTAGCCAATATTAATAGAATGAACAAAATCTACAGTTACATAAATCTTATATCAAGTAGGGAAATATAAAGTAAAAGGTTAGGTTATTCTTGAGTGGCTTTGCTTAGTCAGTAAGAACAAGCAGACTTGTCATGTTAATACTCAAATACTGAGAGACAAGGGGAAAAATTAGTCAACAGAGCAGTTCCCATCTCAGGCCCTAGCTGTGTAACCAGTGACACACCAGAATTGATCTTGCAATTCTGACCAGTTATTTATCCTCTCCAAAAGCTTCCCAAAGTCTGTTTTTAGAATGAGGTCCCTGAGTTTAGGCCTTTCCACTGGTTCCCCCTTCTATACCTCCCTTCCTTTTCTCCAGTCCCTTCAGTCAGGCACTTACAGCCCCAGACTATGTAAATTGCTCCTCCCAAGGTCAGAAATAGCACCCAACTTTTCAGCAGCATTTTATGTGATTACCACTGCCTCCTATATGGAGTACTCCTTTCCATTCCTGCCCCTGCACTCTCCTTGTTTGTTTTCCTTGTGTTCTTACCGGCTCTTTCTCAGCCACATTTTCTAACTCTTCTTGATTTACTAGGCCATGGTGGGAAAGCCCTGATTCTATTCATACTCTTCTTCTCTTCTCCCTGCATGCTATTAGCACGAATGTGTAAATTGCTAATTAAAAGACAAGAAAGTTCTGAAGTTGACAATCTCATCTGGTCTCATGGCTTAAATATAAACCCTATATCACTGACTCTCAATTTTTTTTTCTCCAATTCTTCCCCTTCTTTCTCGAGCTTAGGCATATATGGGTAAGTACCCACGGACATCCCCACTGGATGGCCTAACACAATTGGCACATCTAAACCGGTCCCAGACCAAGCACCACAATTTCTCACCTACACCCCTGCAATAGCTCTGCATGGACCTCCTGTTTTTCTTTTGTTCTCCTGATTACACTGTCCACATTACAGTCCAAACGATCTGCTAGGGCATAAATCTCTCTGCTTCCTCATTTCCATGCCATTCTATTGAAATTAATACAGATTCCAAACTCCTTTTCATGATCTCAGTGGCCTGGTCCAGATTTCCTTTCTAACTCCATCTCCATCTACCTTCCCTTACCACACTCCAGCTACACTGATCTTTTGATCCACAGATGCACCAACCTCATTCTTTCTCTTTCTTTTCCAAGGCTCTCCGTCTTTGAACTTATTCTTTCCTTTAGAAAACTTTTTCATCTGACAGTTGCTTGCCTGTCAGACATGCTATCCCACGACGATCTATCAAAGCATACAGGTAGACCTTTGTGACACTATTCTTCAAAACATTCACCACTGCTAGAAGTAAGTTATATAGCGTATTTAGCATTTATAGGCTTATTAGGAATAATAAGCCCCTTTCTCCACCAATTAAATCCAAGCTCTACTAGAGTTACCATTTCAAAGGACCACAAATTGGGTGGCTTAAAACAACAGAAATTTATTCTTTCATAGTTCTGGAGGCTTGAAGTCAGAAATCCGTGTGTCAGCAAACCATGCTCCCTCAGAAGGCTCCAAGGAAGCATGCTTTCTTGCCTCTTTCTAGCATCTGGGGATCCTTGGCACCCCGTGGCTTGCAGCTTCACCACCCCAGTCTCTGCTTCTGTCTTCCCACGGCCTTCCTGTCTGTTGGTCTCCAAATCTCTTGCTCCTTATAGTAACATCAGTCATTGGATTTGGGACTCACCCCAACCCAACATGACTTCACCTTAACTTCATCAAGGGTTTAGGAATTGAACATATCTCTTGGAGGCACATAATTCAACCCCTGGGTTGCTGCTGTATACTATGCTGTATACTATGGAGGCACTGCTGTATACTATGTCAGGTGCCTAGAACATAACAATTACTCAATAAGTATTCCTATCTGCCTGAAACACTCTCTCCCTCTCTCTCTGTCCACTGCAAGTATGCGACTATGCAGTTGTATAGTGTGAGGAAATTCGGGAATATTAACCATTTTCTCATTTGCCCCAAGAATACTCTCTGATGGCACTTGAGGCTACAGTGTTTACCCCAAGACAACTTTGCCAGAAATATCTCACTTTTATTATCATTTTCGCATTGCTCTAGTATATCAACGTTGTAAACAAAAGACATCATTCTATTTATACGATTCTGTTTTTAGTAGTGGTATTTCCACTTACAAAATATAGTAATTCTCAATTGCTGAAAATGTCGTATTCTAGAAAACACCATTCCTACGCATGATGTTAACATCGTTCTGGAAGAGTTGTTGGCCGAAGATTCACTTGATGAATCCAATTTTTCCAGAATAGATGATTCTGATGATTCAAACGATTCTGATGTTAATCCTGTTTAGAAATAGCTCCAAGAACAGTTTTTATATCTTATTTTCACGTTGAAAATCAGTCAGATGTGCTTTAACCCCAAAGAGTTTGAGTTGTTTATGTAAAAATAAATGTTGGCATCGAGCTGCACTTTTTTTTTTTCTAAATAGTAAGAAGGGTTAATGATGAGGGGTTGAGATGTTCCAAATGCTTAATCTATATTATGCAGTGTGGCTGAAAACACTGTACGCTGTTTCTGCTCACTCCATCACCCTTACTTTTGTTCATGGGCCCTTCTCTCTGGCGTATTTTTTATTTTATTTTTATTTTTATTTTTTAGAGACAGGGGTCTCACTATGTTGCCCAAACTGGCCTTGATCTTCTGGGCTCAAGCAATCTTCCCACCTCAGCCTCCGAGTCGCTGGGATTGCAGGTACACACCACTACAACTGCTCTTTCTGAATGATTATTCTTCCTGCTACTCCATATTTTTCTACCTTCTAGGCCCCCAAATCAAGTTGTCTTCTGCTTAGGTCTCCGTAATACAAGCTAGGTTTCTGATTCAAACAACAACTGAATATGGTTAATGAAGCCGCCTCTGTTATCGCCCCAACTATTGCCTGTTTTCCTCATTTCTGTGCCACGATTCTTCCTCTGGTGTTTTACACAAACTCTATTCTACATGTGGATTCTGCTTTCTTTGTGTTCTTCTTACTGGTTTCTTCTTTCAGCCTTCCTTGTATTATCTGGCCTCTGGCTGCCACTTATTTTGCTGATGCAGACACACAGACCTCTTTTATCATCTACCCTCTCAGGGATTTACAGTTTACCTCTGGATGTTCCATCAACCCATGAACTTCCACTGCAGCATTTAAAACATATTTTATTATAGAGTTAGGAAAAAATGTGGACAAAGTATTACAGTGTTGGCTTCTAAATGTGATTGTGTGTGATTTTAACTTTTTTTTTTCTTGCAAATCTTTTAAAATATTTTTTCCTCAATGGAATTTTTTATAGCAATCATGGGTTTCACTGTTGGGGGGTTATTTGGGTAATGTCTCATCCCTCTGATCCAGTAGTTACACAAATGGCAGTAACTCATTGAGAAGTAACTCTTCACCGTTTAACAGAAAATGAAAGTAGTATTTGAAACATTAGATAATTTCACAAATATCACACACCTAGAAAGTGGTTGAACCAGGATTAGAACCGATTCTTGTCAATCCTAAAAGTCCATTTATTTTCACTGACTATATTCTCTGTTTAGAAATGTTTCAAGAAAGTGCAGTTTTACATTAGCTGTGTATTTATACACAAATATATATAATTATATATGTATTATATATATGTAGTGCTTAGTAAATATTTAACAGATAGATGTCATTGAACTCATTCTTACTGATATAAAGAGATCACGAATTGTGAGAAATCACCAGATCTTCTTTTCTGTTCAATACCTCATCTATGTTTTCTCCCACAGGAGTTCAAACCTTGTCTCCTAGTTATGAACTTCCAGCCTGAGCCAAACTAGAATCTCCATTGCTCCCTGTGGGTTTCTCCCACGTTGCACCTGTGCTACCCTTTTCCCCTTACTAAATACTCTTGTTCCAAGACGTATCCAGTTCCTAATTTCTATGGTACCCCAACTAGAATTTGACCTTCGAGGCTCTGCTCTCTTAATGGCTCTCACTCTGACACCTCTCATCTCTGAAATTCTGCCATATTTTCTGTGTGTAGTGCCTCTCAGGGACTTGAAAAGTGGCCTCTTATTTTGTCATTCATTGTCTATGTATAGAAATAGCTCATCCTTAATAACTGTGGAAGTATCATTTACTTCTTGGTTTCTCTGGATCCTAACACTTAAAAGACACTAAGTAAGAGTCTAAGGCATTGGACAATGCAGAGAAGTTTTACATATAACACAATGTAGCAGGGCAGTAGGTCAGTAAAGCTGTTATTGTTATTTCTCTTTGTTTTTTGTTTTTTTTTTTTCCTTTCAGCCTGGACAGACTATGACATATATTACACTTCTTTGTATCTTCAGTGTCCCAGCTTGCTGCCTGGAATATAGCAAGTAGTTAATAATACCAATTAAATTTAACTCAATTAAGGACACTTTTTTGGAGAAGGTGAATTTCCAGAGTTGTTTAAATAATACAAAATAACACTTGATAAGTTCTTAGAAAAGGAATGACATTCCAAACATATTGCTTTTTTCTAGCATATTTTTAAAAGGAAATAAAAAGGAGGGAAAAGGTAGAAGCAAGTGCCTGGATGAAAAACCAAGTAACGTAAATTTTAAATTGCCACATAAAGAATTATAGAAACTTTCTATTTCTGCAATAATTTAGTCACATCATTTTGATTTTGCCTTTAGAGCAATCTTGCTGGATTCCTCAATTTATGTTTTCATTTTAAGGATTTTCAAATAGAAATATTGTATCCTCTGAGTTAAGAGATATAAAATGCAAGCATATATCTCAAAGAAAATGCATTATTTTATTCACATAAGTAGAAATCACAGTTCTTTAGATAGCATCTGTCTTACAAGAATGTAGGAAAAAATCACACTACAGGTTTCCAGTTTTATACCTATTTTTTCTTTTTTTTACTGAAAACAGCCTTCTAATTGCTCTGCTAGGATTTATGTAGTAAATAGAGAAAAGCAATTATTTTCAAAGGGTATTTGTTTTCATAGAAGTCATCAAGAAACAAACATTAGTACAGGCATACTTTTACCGAGATTGAAAATATGGGTAGGTTATAATTGCTCAAATGCAGTTTAAGGAAGTTTTGAACAGAAATAGTAAGGAAAACAAGATCAGGCAAAAGCATTAACAAGTCGTAGAAAGCTTGGAAATATACAACACACACACACACACACACACACAACACACACACACACACATATATATATGTGTGTGTATATATATATATATGCACACTACAAGTTATACTAGTGCATAGAACATTGGAAGGAATTGAAGAGGGCCCCAGAAATGAGGACCAGGCTCATATATAGAAAGGATCTGCCCCAGATCAAAAGCAGTCCAAGAAGCACTGGGGCTGAAATCAAAGAGAAAGGAATTCAGAACACTTCTAATTAGTATTCAAAAATACAAGTGTATGTTTTTGTAATGCCTGATAATGATAAGAGCTAAGAGATGATAATTTACTCTTTTTCTTCATTTTATAGATTTTTCCCTCTCCTTTGTGAAATTAGCAGACAAAGCCTAATTATGTGTCCTGTGATGTAAACTTCTTAGGTTGAGAGTTGCATACCATCTCTTTCTACACTTGCACTGCCTAAACTAAGGGTCCAAGGCATAATCATAGCAGTTGTATCTAGCAGTCATTGACTGCTTACCATGCTAGTAATTAGGTACATATATTAACAAACAGTTAGGAGTTGAATTATATCCCCTAAAAAGATTTATTAGATCTATTAGAGTTTTAACCCTTGAACTTCAGGATGCAATCTTATTTGAAAACATGGTTGTTGTGAATGTAATCACTTAAGACGGGGTCATATTGGAATAAGGTATGCCCTTAATTCAAAATGATTAGTGTCTTTATAAGACAGAGACTCAGAGTGAATGACCAAGAGAAGACACAGACACAGGGGCAAACACCAAGGGAAGATGGAGGCAGAGACTGGAGTGATGCGTTCCTAAGCCAAGGAATGCCTGGGACCACTGAAGCTGGAAGAGGCAGGGTATGATCCTCCCCCAGCGGGCTTGGAGGGAGCATGGCCTTGCCAACCACTTGATTTCTGATTTCTACCCTCATAACTGTGAGAGAATACATTTGTGTTGTTCTAAGCCACCCAGTCTGTGGCACATTTTTACAGCAGCTCTAGGAGACTTAGGACACCCAGTTAATCCTTATTATAGCCCATGTGATTATGGTCCTGTTCCTTTCCCATGTAACAGGTAAGGAGGCCAAGTGGCAACAATGCAAAGCAACAAGCCCAGGGTTACAGTGGCAGGACCAAGAACCCATCATAGGGGGCTTGGCTCCAGAATCCATGCTCGTGATGCCATGCTATGTAGGATACTGCAAAACATTTGCTGGTTAAGTGAATTAGTACCTTGATGTATAATATTGCTCTACAGTTCATGGGCATATGCAAAATCACTCCTCAATATATTGTTTTAAATTGCATTTTAAAAACAGTGGAAACAATCAAAATCTTGCAATAAGGTTTATGGTTGCTGCCCCAACCCGTTTCTACCAATTACTCACTAGTCAGACAGTTAGCTTTCATTCAATTCTAATAGGGTGCCTTATGTCTAATTATTTTTTTAAACCTTTATGGGTAGAAACTAAGAAAATGGCTATTTCAGAGCTCTGAGCAGCTGTTCATCTCTGAGAAAGACCATTTCTTTTTTTCTTGAAAAACCGCTGCAAGTATCTAACAAGTCAAAACGAGATACCTAAGACAACCTTTTGCAACTGAGTGGCTAAATTTCCTTTTTGAAAGGAAATAAACGCGTGGGTAGGCTTCAGTAGAGTTCACTGTCTTTGGTTGATGTATCTGTTCATGAGTATTCTAGTTTGGGAAACTGTGTCAGCTGCTTTGCTAGGTGTCCTTAACTCTGATCACACTCTCCAAATAAGAAATTTGCCAGTAACTGCAAAATTATAGGATATTTGCTATCTAATCATCCCTTTAGACCCAGCGAAATGGTCTGCATTGCAGGAGAACCAGTTTCTGGGTTGCAATTCTCCAGTCGGGGCGGAAGGGAGGAACACAGCACTACTTGATCCCTACGGATAAAGTGGCTCCCTGTCATTGCCCAGTTAAGTGGAGAGATACTCTGATGAGCTGGCCTAGTGTTACACTAGCAGCTGGGGAGCATGACCAGAAACAACTTCCAGTATCCTTTTCAAACATCAAATGACTGACTATTCCAGTAGCACTCTGTCCCTCTTGCTCATATTTAAACATTTCAAAACCTAACTACTGTTGAGGCCATAGGAGTCTTAAGCCTTCAAATGAATAATTCTTCCCAGTCCAGAGAAAAGGCCTCTTAGGGAAAGGTTGAAAGAGAAAGTTAAGCTCTACTTTATAAAGGTCAGGGCACTTAAAGCTTTGTCAGGTGCAGACAGATCCTGCCCTTGCCTTTCAGAAAGGCTTGCAGGTGTGATGTCTTTAGTGCAGACTGAGGCTGAGAGGCTTATGGGTTTTATACAAGAGGAAGCTCCTTTGCTTCTTCCTTCGTGCATGAAGACTGCTGACAATGGCTTACGGGCACATATAAACAATGAGGTCAACAATCAGCTTATTAATTAGAGAGAGTATAACCCAATCTAAAGATCAAAACTATTCTTCAGATATCATATGCCAACGCAATTATTCTACACAGAACGGCAGCATCATTATGGAATTTTAATGGCTAGCTAGAGATGTCGGGCAACTCTATTGGTTTTATTGGAACTTATTTTTCTCATTATATAAAATGAGGTGAAATTTTTAAATTCCTGGGATCTTTTTTTGTGAAACTGTGACACACATTGAAAACCCACACAGAAGAGAGGAAGGAGCCCTTCCTTAGAGCCAAGAGTTTCATCATCAAATCTCAGCTTACTGGTTAACTCAGTAACATTGCACAGGTTGTTGAAATTCCAATCCCCAATTTCATCATTTGTAAAATAAAGATATTTATACTGACCTTCAGACCTGTTGTAGCAATAAGCGAAGATAATATATACAAAGCAATTCTATTATACCTGTTGATAACTTTTACCACATTTCCTTTCTCTGTCTACTCATTCTTTCTAAACCCAGGGAGATGGTCCACACTGAGGAATAACCAATTTCTGAGTTGCACTCCTCATTTCTGGCAGAAAATTTTCTATTTTTTAAAGTGCAGTTTTGATTAACTTCTAACATTATGCCTGGCTGACCGCTGGTTTCCACAAACAAGTGGCTGTTTAAAGAATGCAGGAGTAAAGGAATAAATGAACAAATGCTAGCTATGCAAATGTTCTTCCAGCATCTGGCTCTGTCTGTAGCTGGCCATTATGAAAAACCTTCCAAAAGCTGCCATGCTCTAGTAAGATGGATATGACCTAATTATTTGATTAAAGCACCTTTTAAAAAATAAATCTATTCTCTTTTTTTTGAGACAGTGTCTTAGCTCTGTTGCCCACGCTGGAGTGCAGTGGTATGAACATGGTTCACGGCAGCCTTGACCTCCTGGTTTCAAATGATCCTCCCACCTCAGCCTCCTGAGTAGCTGGAGGCTACTCAGGCACATGCCACCATACCTGGCTAATTTTTTTTTGTTATTTTTTTACAGAAACAGGATCTCCCCATGTTGCCCAGGCTGGGCTCGAGCTCCTGGGCTCAAGTAATTCTCCCATCTCGGCCTCCCAATATGCTGGGATTACAGGCATGAGCCACCATCCCCTGCCAAAAATAAAGTTATTCTTTTTAACATGAAACAGTTTACCTTCAGCAATTACACTAACATTTTATCGAATGTACCTCTCATATGAAGTTTATGAAATAAAAATAATTACCCCATTGTAAACTTAAGAGAGTCTCAGAATAATTGAAATTTTTTCCAAGGTGACTTAGGTAGAAATTAGCAAAATCATGACTTATACCTTGGAGCATCTGATTCCAAAGCTACTAATATTGATCAGTACATTATACGGCCTGAAGTTTAATTGGATGGTGCTCACACACTAGTTAGAGAATGAAGCCACAAGCACACGTAACTATAGATAAAAAGAAAAATAAACTAAGGTCTGTGAGACTGCAGAGGAGAGTTGACCCCTACTTGGTAGACTGCCCAGTGATCTTTGCATATTTGCTGGTCTTTACACTTCCTTTGAGAAAATGGCAAATTTTGACAGGGGGATAAGATTTTAGGGAAATGAAGTGCAAATTATGGCATGAAGAATGATATATGTTTATTATCCAGTCATTGGTTTTAGTTGGAACACAGCGTATGATGTTGGGGGTAGCTGGTGAGCAGGCTGGAAAGGAAAATTGTGCCATCTTTTTTATTTTATTTGGAATACAGAGGAATGCTATGTATATTTCATCCAGTGAATGGCATGCTCAGAGCTGGTTTAAGAGGACTGATCTGGTTGAGGTGTGAAAGGTAGAAGGGAGAGAGGAAATGCCAATGGTAAGAAGCCAAGTTAAGAAGCAGTTGAAATAATTCTGATGAAAAGAAAACAAACATTTGTTAAGTACCTGTTAGGGAACAGCACTACACTAGATATTTTAGTCACATCACATTTTTAGTCCTAGCAATAATCTAATGACAACATATTGACTCAGTTGTACAGATGAGGAGACTAGGTCTTGGAGACTGAATGGTCAGATGGTCAGGAGGAACAAACACAATGCTGGAATCTCAGGCTCTCTGACTCTAAAGACCACTGGGTTAAGGAAGGCTTGATTGCCAGTGGCTTGATGCTGCAGCCAATCCGTAGGAAGAACCAGGTGTGAGTGGAGCGTTAGGGACTTCGGGAACATTAAGGACCAATGCCTGGGGCACTACCAGGTTGCTTTTACTGCTTTCTACATGTCAGAGCCTTTTTTTTTTTTGCATCGAAGACCAACTTTCTTAAATAGTCAGTAATCATAGCTACCAGCAACACCAAAATTTTCACATCTAACTTTGTCATCCATTAGAGAAATTTAACAGACAACAACTTTCAAAAAATCTTTTTTTTTAAAAAAAACTCTATGTCACTAAAACTGTTCTGGTATTAGGGAAGAGAAAATCTTGTGTAGAAAGAATGATAATCACATAACCTAGATGTAGTATTCATCTCCAGACCAATGAACTCTAAGCAAGAGAGTATGCTATGATATAAGATGAACACTTTGGTCACACCTAGTTAATAAGGAGTCTTCTTCAAATAAATATGTAGATGGAAACAAGGCTAGTTTCTACCAAAAGAGGCATGGGGCAAACCATTCTATTGGTAGTCACTACATATATTGTCCTTCCATTAAAAAACCCTTTGGGACAGAGCTTCCAGACTTGAATCACAGGATTACCCATAAAAATGGAAGGGAGAAGGCAGATAGAGTGGTCAATAGAGTCTGAATCACAGATATGGCCATAAACATTTCTTAAGGGTCTGGCTTTATAAAAGGGCTTGCTGGTATAAGTCGTACTGATATTAATTAAAATGGATTTCTGCACTGCAATGAAATTCTTGTTTTGATTTTGCTAGTTCACAACGTTATCTTATATAAGCAACAGATAAAAAACCAGTCAATTTTTTAATACCATGATAATTGGCAGTCCTTACATCATCATCTCATAATAAAATGATGACACACATTGCTTTTTTTTTTTTTTTTTTTTGAGACGGAGTCTCGCCCTGTCGCCCGGGCCGGACTGCGGACTGCAGTGGCGCAATCTCGGCTCACTGCAAGCTCCGCCTCCCGGGTTCACTCTATTCTCCTGCCTCAGCCTCCCGAGTAGCTGGGACTACAGGCGCCCGCCACCGTGCCCGGCTAATTTTTTGTATTTTTAGTAGAGACGGGGTTTCACCTTGTTAGCCAGGATGGTCTCGATCTCCTGACCTCATGATCCACCCGCCTCGGCCTCCCAAAGTGCTGGGATTACAGGCGTGAGCCACCGCGCCCGGCCTGCTTTTTTTTTTTAATCATAGATAGGGATTATTTCAGATGCTTTGATAAAAGGCAACATACTTTTCCCTTTTGTTCCCTCAGTATATGTTATTTGGGGATAAGTTTATAAGAGATGATGCAATAAAAATACCAAAACCTATTTATCAGGATAAAATGTGTTACCTAGGCAACCTGAGACTATTTTCAAGATCAATTTTGCGAAAAGTTAGAAAGTTTATTTTTCAGGCTAAAGACCTTTCCATCATGTCTAGTGGATTATTTGATAATTATCTAACATATTTACAGAATTTTACAGGTATTGTATTTTCACATATATCATCCCTTTTGAGATTCATAGCAACTTTCCAAGGTAGCTGGGGAGGGCATTATTATTCTCATCTTGCAGATGATGAAATTGAGGCTCAGATAAACTGATTTTCCAACTTTCACAGTGTATCAGTCATGACTCGTCGTTGCAAAAATCATAACTCATTTCATTATTAGGAAGGAAATAAATGTAAGGACATTTTATAGTTCATGGACTACCTGGGGTGGCTGTAGATTTAAGCTTTATAACTAGGTAGCCAGAACATTTTCCAAATTACATTGAAGAACCACTCCAGAGAAGATGACTCATGTCTCATACCTGTGACACTGAGCAGGAGAAATGCTCCTGGAGGCCTGATCAGTGTTGTCTTGGGAAGCTGAAGGTTTTCGACATCAGCCCCACCGAAGCAATGCATCACCTGCTTCAGCCAGTAAGTTACCTTGCAATCAATGTTCTACGAGTATATGTGAGTGGTAGCCGCCAGATCTCCATTCTTCTAGGGTGACCAACAATCTTAGTGTGTCCAGGACTGTACTGGTTTTAGGGCCGAAAGTCCTAAATTGCAGGAAGTTACTCATTCCTTGGCAGACTGGGATGGTGGTCATCATACTGCACCATAGCTGCAAGAGGACAAGAAGGCAAATTTCTACTACTTGTACAGTAGATAATTCCTTAAAATATACCAGCACTCTCAACCTTACCAGGCTACCAAAACACAATAGCAAATGCCACTACTCAGAAGTGATGAGTGAGCTACTTCTTCTTAAATTGCTAACTAATAGGAGCTTAAAGTATCAGAAAAAAATTAAAATATATTCAGTGGACATCTTTATTTTTTAATCTTCCGGTCAATATAGATGCCATCCACCTGATCTCAGTGATTGATTGGTCCACAGGTGGTCATGATACATCAGGATGATCACAGTTTATCTGGCTTCTACAGGACAGGTTTATATACACATAGAGTGGGCTACATCTGTGTCTCTTACCTTGCCTCCAACAAGGAGGAAAAGAGATGCTTCTTAGTGGGAACTGAATGAGTTCAACATATGGAGGGGAACAGAATCAAAAGCAGAGAGAAAGCGAGAGATGAAGAGAACAACAGAGAGTGAGAAAGAAGGGAGTAAGAGGGAACTGATAATGCTCTGTGAGTTTCTAAGAAGACCTTCTCAGCATATCATGCTAAATTCCTTAATAAAGTACCCTTTTATTTAAAGTGGACTGGCTTTCCAGCTCTTACAATCAATAGAACATGTACTTGCAGGATTTTTATTTTTGCAAGGTTTGATGCTTGCACCCTGGAAAGGCCTGTTGCAGATGCATGCTGCCTGAGTATGGAGCTCTGGGAAAACAGTTAAAATTACTATAGTTAGGGAGAAAAGGCAGACTCCTAGCACACAAAATTATTATCCTTTTTAAAATATGCCTGTGTATGGTTTATTACATCTAGATTTAATTTATTCCCAATTAAGTCATCTTATCACCAGGTTGTTATATATTCCATTTCCTAAATACCTGTATTTGCTTGTTTCTCTATATCTCATATAAAAATATCAACTCCTATTCATAATTCTTTGCATCATTTTCTTCAGCCCACATTCCATTAATATTTTCTGTACAGGAATAACTTTTATGATTAAGATTTGATTCTTACTTTGGGTCCATAATGCCAATGGTTTAATTAATGTCTCTCTTTTGCTATTCAAATTTCCAAGCCTCTATCTTTGGGGCCTCTTTTGTTAGGACTTGCATTTAAGATTTTTTTTTAATGTGCTTTTTCTGGGATGATACAAATGTTTAGTTTTTAAACACTAGAAAGCAAAAACAAGAAAAGATAGAAAATTTTGTTAACAAATACCTGGAATGTCTATTTTCTTTAATCATTTTAAAAGCCTTATAGCAATTCCATGTATATAAGCTGCAGGGTACGCAATACACCAGCAGTCATTCAAGCACCGATTTTGCGAGGAATAAACCATGCCACTCAAGGCTCTGTTCCAGGGAAAGATGCTTACCATCCTCAAGGCTCTGTTCCAGGGAAAGATGTTTACCATCCTGTGAAACCGCACATTTCCAGGGAAGAGGATGAGCAATAGCAGGACCCATGATGCACTGAAGTTCTCCTGGTGGATCAGTCCAGGCCTGCGGGGCATCCCTTGCCTAACCTAGGTCTCAAGGCCCCAGAGGGTGGCTACATGCTTGCCTTGATGCATGCTGCTGATTACCAGACAAAGGAGGAGTAGATAAGTGACAAGGAACTAAAGACCTGCTTGCTTTCCCTGGAACTTGAAGAAACCACTTCCTCAGCTTGTCTACTATTTCTAGCACTTAAAGATGAAGTCGAATGTAAACATAAAGCTGTCGTCATTGTAAAGCCCTTAAGGTGTGTTAAAATTCTGAGTATTAGCAGTATTTTTCCTTCTCAGACGGAATCTCATGTGAAAATATGAATGCAGATTTGACACGTATGTAGAGGATATCAGTGCTCTATCAATAATACTTTCTACATTTTTTGTGTCTTTAATTTATGTATCCTGCAAGGTCTTTCTTAACCCTAAAATCTGACTGAAGCCTCATCCTGTTGCATCTGTTATCAACTGAAAATCAAACCTGTCTGCCTTTCCTTTCTTCCTATCACCACCAAACTGCTTTAAAGAGAAACCTGCATCTGCTCTTTCCGTTCCTGCTTATTACCTTGAAAGTCATACAGCTATCTGGGAATTTCTTTTTCTCTCAAAGAAGAAAAATAAGTAAAGCAATAATATTAAACTTACCAAATATAACGGATCATTAGTTCCCACCCTTTTGCAACTTCCCTTCTACATTGCACATTAATGAGTACCCTGTCATGGGAACTCTCCTTGTTTTGCCTTGATGACATTCTATCTTCCTGATTAAAAAAAAAATAACTCTGTGTATTATCATCCTTCTTTCAACCTTTAAATATAATTCCCTATAGGTCTTATTTTTCCTTGTTTTCATTATTTTCTTCCATGTCTACATCATTTATTTTGGTTATCGTATGCCTCCATTATTGCAAATCTGTCAACCAATCCTAAAATATTTATCTGCAGGCCTAGCCACCCACCAAATTCCGGTTTCACTTCCCCAAACAAACACTCAGGTGAACCTCCAGGTATAAGGCTTGGTGTCAAAAAATGAATTGATTTTCCTAAATCACTCCTACTTAATTTCCTCTCTTTCTGTCTGGGTTACCATCCCACCCCAATTTTCTAGGCACCTGGTTGTGAAACTTCAACATTTTCCCCCTTTATTCCACATATGGGATCAGTTGCCAGGCTAAGTCCATTAGGCTGCCATATACATTCCTCTTATTCTACCCTCTTTTCAATGCTTTCATTCTTTTATTTGCCTCCTGGATTTTTGCCACCAGCCTCCCATTCAGTGATTTTCAAGTGTGAGCTTCAGCAGAAGGTGAGGCGGGAGAGTGGGGTGGGCAAAGCATGTCCCATTAGGAAGTCCTATCAAGATATTGGCAGGGAATGGAGGTATTTGTAATGTGCAGACAAGGTGCTTTATGAGGCTTGGCCATGAAAATGACTCATGCGTTGTTTTCCTACAGAATCTAGGGATACACACAACCCAGGGAGATGATCCACACGGAGAAGGAACATTTTAGATTTTGTTTTCCCTTTATACTTATCCTGTTTTCAGAAACAAAATAGAAAAAGAATATCAGCTTTATTAATATCTAATGTAGGTCTTGACACCGGCCCTCTGCCCTGCTCCTATGTTCCCAGACAATGAATAGGAAGTGTGGAGCTCCTCAAACCTGGGAGATGGGCAGCAGCACCACTGCTTGCTCCTGTGTTAGCCACGTAGTGTGTTATGTTTCAGGTTAGGGAAACACATAAATGAATTTACAGATTATTTATCAAGCTTTAAAAAAAATCGAAAAATAAAATGTTAACACATTCTAGTAAAATTAGAAGGCAATATAAATAAGCACAAGGAAACAAAAGAAATGGCAGAACTGATACTTCTATTTCTAGTATAAGTATTTTGTCACTCATGTTGCAACAGGACATAATGATAATTTAACCAGATCTGACAAGGAATAGACCTCAAACATCTAAATTAACGAGAAGACTATTTGAAATATGGCTATGTTTCCATTTTCAGTGAAGACGAAATTTGCCCTAAGTGTATATTGTGCCTTAAGGTATTAGCTAAAGATAGCATGTAGCTGTCATAATTAGTAAAACATCTAAAAACTGAGTCTAAATTACAGGATTAATTATGTGTGTGTGTATGCACACTGAAAGCAGAAAAGTTTATTGTACCCTCAAAAACGTAATAAATACATGTTTGAAATACTGTTCATTTTCATTTCATCTTTAAATCCTATGCTTAAATAGTATAGTATAAATTAAGTAAATATATTAAAGGCATACTTTAAACTTTCTGTTGAAAGTATGCATGATAAAAAAAAAAAAGTCTGGAGGCAAGGATCCTTCACCAACAGAGACAGGAAAACTTCCCCAGGTAAGCAAATTCATTGCTTAGGTTAGTACACATAATTAAAACATATACTGTGTTACATTTAAAATAATTATTTATTAAATAATATCTTGAATTTTTTGACCAAAATGAACAATTTATTTCAAAAATCTTAATATAGTAAAAGAAAAACAGGAAATGTTTATCCTTGTCAAACTGAGGCATGGGCCATACAATTCTCTGGGAAACATTTAAGGAACAGTATTCTCAATGGTTTTTCAGTCTATGGACTTTCTCCTTTATTCACCTTTCTGTATATTTGTGTGTACTTGTTTATATACAATTCCAAACATTTATTAGTAACTAGGAGTTTTAGCATCAGAAAAAATGCAACGCAAAAGAAAGAAGTGGTGTAAAACTGCTGGAATTGTAAATTTGAATTGAAAATATCAGTATGAACTTATATTTTCTGTTTTAAAAATGTTTGTATTTGCGAACTCTGCCCACTGAACAAGCCAAAAAACAATGACAGGTCCAGGAGCCACAGTCATTGCTACTATCCAGAATGTGGTCTCTCGACTCCCTAGAAAAGTGACTGACTTCAGATCTTAGACATGAAATGTACCAGATGAGCCTAGCATATTTTACTGTACCAACAAATAAGAATGTTGTCAAAGACAAAATCAGAAGGACTCCAAAGATAATGGATTGAAACACAATAAAAACTGTTGTAATCATATACTCAAATGAGACACATGATACTTCAAAAAATCTCTTTGGTAATCTTTGGAAGGTCCTAGAAAACCAACTCCTTATTCTGAAAACTTGTAAATAAAGGGAAAAAAACAAGCTATAATTCAATCTTCCTGTATGTACTGTATCTCAGAATAATAAAAAATTTTTCTGGAAAAGATATTTTTTTAAAGATAGGCTGGCTGTTAGAATATTAATGGAAAAATGAGACCAAGCAATGATTAACAAAGTAAAAAGCCAATGGGGATTTTCTTAGTACATAAATCAAGCTGACAATTCCTAAACCAACTGATTAATCTTAACAAAAGACAGCCATGTGTTTGGTTATGTAGGTACCTCTAGATGTGATTCAAGGAAGTAAACAATACTACTTATGGAATATTCCTTATAAAGCAAACAAGCACACCTGAAATGACATGACAGCAATGTGATCAGCAAAATTTAAAATGAGAAACTTGAGAGGACAAACGTCCGCTTTTCTCAGCAGGCAAATTTCAAGGAAAGAGAAAGAGAAAAAAGAGTAGCAGAAACCATAGATTTAAAATTTAAGAGGCATCTCAACCAAATGCATTCTGTGTCAATCAAACTCTAAGCAAAAAAAAAAAAAAAAAAAAAAGTTGAATTTTGAACATTGATTGGATATTTGATAATATCAAAAAATCATTATTTGTGTGTGTTATAATGACAATGTGGACATTTTTAAAGTCTTTGCCCTTTAGAGATATACACTGAATAGTTTGTGGAATAAAATTAAAAGGTATCTGAGATTTGCCTCAAAATAATCTGGGTTAGGAGACAGTGAGTGTGATTTTAGAAGCAAGATTTACCACTTGTTGATTATTGTTAAAATTTGTTGACTGCTCTATGAGAGTTTATCGTATTATTCCCTCTACTTTTAATATGTTTACTTTTTTGTAATTAAAACTTACACATACAAACAGGTAAAAATGCTAATTTAATGATCATATATATATCTGTGTATATATAAAAATCTAGTTTAAAATATAAATTTTACAAATATAAGTGAAGATCTTAAGACATGCAATTCCAGTTCAATTAAATGACAAGATTTTATGTAGGTACAGTTATGCTTTATCAGTTCTCAGTTCTGTTTGTCATTTTCTTCCTTTGCTGTTAGATTTTCTTTACTGCTCTGCCCTTGCGCTGGAAGATTAGCCCACAGATTTCCAAGCATTCTCTGCATAGATGTGTGTAGAAGGTGTCTTAGATCTAACTTGTTATCTTTCAGGGATTGCAATGCTTCATCTGGGCCCCTGCACAGCTGTGGTGGATCAGACGTCCTTGGTAGTAGGTGCTGATTCAGCTTCATCAATTTTTGGCCTCTGTAGATTTCCCTTACTTTTCTGCAAGCTGGGTACTTGAGAGAAAGTTTGTTATATTTTATTCAACATGGTTAGGTATTTTGCAGTAGAAAAGTTTGCAGATTAATATGCAATATTTCCAGAAACTGAAGACAGTTTCATCTTTCATACAGCTCCCAGATTAACCTTTCTGGAACATAGGCCTGTATAAAATCATGTATTAAACTATCATTTGTTTTGTAATTGCTAACAAAAAGTATTTTAAAATTTACCTAGCTTTCTAATTCCTCCATTATAATTCCCATATCTGTCTATGACTTTATTTTCTACTCATTTTTTGCACTAAGCAAATTTTTTGCATTTTTCACAAATGTCCATTTCTTTGTTCAGTCTCATTCATTCATTGGGGATGCCCATCTCTTCATCTGTACATGATCCAATCTTACAGCTTTCAAAAGTCATTAACTCTTTTACAAAACTATCTCCCGATCTCTCAATAATATCCTCTCTCTTCAGAAACTTCCGTCCTTAGGAATTCATTTCTTTCCTTTTGTGGTACTACATTTTTATGAACATTTTATCTAATTGATATTTATTCTCTAAGCTTCTCATTGCTAGGGCCTTTTTATTATTCACCTTCGCATTCCCTAAATTACAGACCACAGTGAGTTTCACAAAGAGAAGATAATGACTTTCGAAGGTATTAGTAAATATGTTACAAAAAAGAATGTCTGCTACTTTAACAGCTTTATCTTGGAAAGCAAAAGACACCTATGAACTGAGAACACCTGTGTCAACATAAAGTAGATGAAATTGTAAAACACCTTGATCAATATGACTTCTTTACTCTAGGGAACTTTTGCCTAGGAAAGATAAGAATACACCAGCAAATATCTTCATTATTCACTTTGGGAAATTCCTACAGATCAATTTATTGGAGACAGTACTCTTCACCTGGGCAAACAGCTTGCTTATCTAACAGTTTACTTGTCAACACTGGCTTCCTTGTTCTTGTTGCATCCACTTATCTTAAATTATTATATCACAAATTTTGCCCACCCAAACAGTTCCTTGCTTTGAAAGACCTGCCTTGAAATGACCCGAGCACAGATTTCAAAGCCCCATAACAATCCCACTTGGACTTTTCCCTTGTAAGACACCCCTAAGACCCTGTCAATGGTGTTCCTCCTCACTCCTAAATTAAGGCTGTCTGGTGATATTTTGGGGCTTAACATTGTGTGTTATTGCAAAACCAAATAAAAAACACACACCATTTCTCTCAAAACCTAGGATAATTTATTTCTCTCTCTCTCTTCTTTTCTTTATTATTCCCTTTACCTTTCACTTTCCTCTCCTCTCCTTGCTTTGCTTTGCTTTTCTTTCACAAGGTCTTGCTCTGTCTCCCAGGCTGGAGTGCAGTGGAATGACACAACTCACTGCTACCTTGAACTCCTGGGCTTAAGCGATCCTCCCATCTCAGCCTCCCGAGTAGCTGGGACTACAGGCATGCACCACCATGCCCAGCTAATTTTGGTGTTTTTTTCAGAAACGGGTCTCACTATGTTGCCCAGGCTGGCCTTGAACTTCTGGACTCAAGTGATCCTCTAGCCTTAGTTTTCTTTTTTTTTTTTTAATTATACTTTAAGTTCTAGGGTACATGTGCATGATGTGCGGTTAGTTATGTATGTATACATGTGTCATGTTGGTGTGCTGCACCCATTAACTCGTCATTTAATATTAGGTATATCTCCTAATGCTATCCCTCCCCCCTCCCCCTACCCCACAACAGGCCCCAGTGTGTGATGTTCCCCTTCCTGTGTCCATGTGTTCTCATTGTTCAATTCCCACCTATGAATGAGAACATGCGGTGTTTGGTTTTTTGTCCTTGAGATAGTTTGCTGAGAATGATGGTTTCCAGTTTCATCCATGTCCCTACAAAGGACATGAACTCATCATTTTTTATGGCTGCATAGTATTCCATGTTGTATATGTGCCACATTTTCTTAATCCAGTCTATCATTGTTGGACATTTGGCTTGGTTCCAAGTCTTTGCTATTGTGAATAGTGCCGCAAGAAACATACATGTGCATGTGTCTTTATAGTAGAATGATTTATAATCCTTTGGGTATATACCCAGTAATGGGATTGCTGGGTCAAATGGTATTTCTAGTTCAAGGTCCCTGAGGAATCGCCACACTGACTTCCACAATGGTTGAATTAGTTTACAGTCCCACCAACAGTGTAAAAGTGTTCCTGTTTCTCCACATCCTCTCCAGCACCTGTTGTTTCCTGACTTTTTAATGATCGCCATTCTAACTGGTGTGAGATGGTATCTCATTGTGGTTTTGATTTGCATTTCTCTGATGTCCAGTGATCATGAGCATTTTTTCATGTGTCTTTTGGCTGCATAAATGTCTTCTTTAGAGAAGTGTCTGTTCATATCCTTCGCCCACTTTTTGATGGGGTTGTTTGTTTTTTTTGTTGTAAATTTGTTGGAGTTAATTATAGATTCTGGATATTAGCCCTTTGTCAGATGAGTAGGTTGCAAAAATTTTCTTCCATTTTGTAGGTTGCCTGTTCACTTTGATGGTAGTTTCTTTTGCTGTGCAGAAGCTCTTTAGTTTAATTAGATCCCATTTGTCAATTTTGGCTTTTGTTGCCATTGCTTTTGTTGTTTTAAACATGAAGTCCTTGCCCATGCCTATGTCCTGAATGGTATTGCCTAGGTTTTCTTCTAGGGTTTTTATGGTTTTAGGTCTAAAATTTAAGTCTTTAATCCATCTTGAATTAGTTTTTGTGTAAGGTGTAAGGAAGGCATCCAGTTTCATCTTTCTACATATGGCTAGCCAGTTTTCCCAGCACCATTTATTAAATAGGGAATCGTCTCCCCATTTCTTGTTTTTGTCAGGTTTGTCAAAGATCAGATGGTTGTAGATATGTGGCATTATTTCTGAGGCCTCTGTTCTGTTCCATTGGTCTATATATCTGTTTTGGTACCAGTACTATGCTGTTTTGGTTACTGTAGCCTTGTAGTATAGTTTGAAGTCAGGTAGCGTGATGCCTCCAGCTTTGTTCTTTTGCCTTAGGATTGACTTGGCAATGCAGGCTCTTTTTTGGTTCCACATGAACTTTAAAGTGGTTTTTTCCAATTCTGTGAAGAAAGTCATTGGTAGCTTGATGGGGATGGCGTTGAATCTATCAATTACCTTGGGCAGTATGGCCATTTTCACGATATTGATTCTTCCTACCCATGAGCATGGAATGTTCTTCCATTTGTTTGTATCCTCTTTTATTTCATTGAGTAGTGGTTTGTAGTTCTCCTTGAAGAGGTCCTTCACATCCCTTGTAATTGGATTCCTAGGTATTTTATTCTCTTTGAAGCAATTGTGAATGGGAGTTCACTCATGATTTGGCTCTCTGTCTGTTATTGGTGTGTAAGAATGCTTGTGATTTTTGCACGTTGATTTTGTATCCTGAGACTTTGCTGAAGTTGCCTATCAGCTTAAGGAGATTTTGTGCTGAGACAATGGGGTTTTCTCAATATACAATCATGTCATCTGCAAACAGGGACAATTAGACTTCTTTTCCTAATTGAATACCCTTTATTTCCTTCTCCTGCCTGATTGCCCTGGCCAGAACTTCCAACACTATGTTGAATAGGAGTGGTGAGAGAGGGCATCCCTGTCTTGTGCCAGTTTTCAAAGGGAATGCTTCCAGTTTTTGCTCATTCAGTATGATATTGGCTGTGGGTTTGTCATAGATAGCTGTTATTATTTCGAGATACGTCTCATCAATACCTAATTTATTGAGAGTTTTTAGCATAAAGTGTTGTTGAATTTTGTCAAAGGCCTTTTCTGCATCTATTGAGATAATCATATGGTTTTTGTCGTTGGTTCTGTTTATATGCTGAATTACATTTATTGATTTGCGTATGTTGAACCAGCCTTGCATCCCAGGGATGAAGCCCACTTGATCATGGTGGATAAGCTTTTTGATGTGCTGCTGGATTCAGTTTGCCTGTATTTTATTGAGGATTTTTGCATCGATGTTCATCAGGGTTATTGGTCTAAAATTATCTTTCTTTTTGTTGTGTCTCTGCCACAGGCTTAGTCTTTCAAAGTGCTAGGATTACAGGCATGAGCCACTGTGCCTGGCCTAGGATAATGACTTTCTTAAGTTGTCATTCTTCATACTAATCTCAGTGCTTGGAAAATAGTAGATAAAAATTTTTTCTTGAAGGACCACATTTAATATAAGATTTGATGTAAGATTGCCATTTGCAAAGGACCTTTCACATAAAATTCAGCACTTTTTATTCTGCTGGATAACACCAATTTCTTTCTCACTCACTTCACTTATTAGAGGACTGTTGATTTGATTATGATTTTTAGTTCAAAGAGTTACTGTTAAGTTGGAATATTTATTTTTGTCCATTTAAAGTTTACTTGCACTGGAAATCTGGTTGAGGCAACATTGTGATTTTAAAGTCTCTTGTGAAATATAGAGGAATCACTGTGCTCAAATTATGAAAGAAAAAAAGCAAGGACTTCATTTCTATTAGGTTGCAACTCAGAGTTCTGAACTCAACCATGAAAAGGTTTTGGTAAATTGCAAAGCAATCTACAAATATAGTTTTCCTAATTCTAGAATAGGGCATAGTACCTGACACTTAAGAGGAATGCAATAATGTTTATTGAGCAAATGACAGCTCACAGTCTATGATTAGAGGGCTTTAAAAATGTCTCTGAATAATTTAACATCAGTTTACATTTTCACTGTAGTAAAATTGCTAATATCAGATCCTTCCTCAAAAACAAATGTCATCGAAAGGGAAGGAGAGAGAGTAGCCAGGAGTGTGGGCTATGTGACACGTTTTATGGAGCTCAGAGTGGAAAAGGAGAGACTGGGCTGGCAGAGCTCCCACAGACTGTGGTATACACGCTAGTCTACATGAATGGCACCCCAGGGTCATGCAGTGACTGATGTCACTGAAGCCAACTCCTTTGCATTTCAGATGTGAGCTGGTACCTGCCCTGTCAACATGGAGCAATAGCTAAGAAAATTTATTCCCAGTGTGGATTTGCTGGGAGACTTGCAGAATTTTGTGGTAACTCAGGGTGAGCGAGCCTGCTCATTGAGCTTCTTCTGACTACTTGGCATGTCCCTGAAATTTGCAGAACCCTTAAGGGCTGGTGCCCTTTGGGTCATCATGCTGAAAGGAGCATTGCAAAATGCAAAGACAAAGAGCCACTCCACACAGATTTCAGTTGGGAAGGCAAAGTGGCAAATAGACAATATTTAGTCCGTGTACAGAACAAAGTTAGAGCAGATGAACAGAGAAAGAAAGATCCAGTTTTCATGTTAATGCCTTCAATTATAAAGAACAAAAGAAGAGAAATAGTGTTGTAAATTTTTTTTTCCCAAGTGGATTTTTTTTTTTCTGGGTATCTCTTGTCCTTGTTTCTTAAGTTCTTTGTAAAGAGATGATTACAAATGAAATCTATCCTGGTGTGAATGTGTAAGGAGATTACTCAACCAAACACACACATATTTTAAACACAACACTATCCTGCAGCACAATAACATCCCGCCTTGTTTTAAGGAGGGACAATTACATCATAGAAATGATGGGGCATCATCAGTTTTTTGAATCAGGAGAATAAAGGGCATGTCCCAAAAACAATCTTTCTTTTTGATCTGAAGAGGGAAACAGGGACTGACAAATACATGCCTAATATGAGCAGATTAATCTGCAGAAATGTATGAATGGTGCAGATGGTGGTGGACGTCTCAGCTCAAGAGTCACCTGGGGCTCTGCAGGAAAAGTTGCAGAGCTCCTAGCTGCTTATCTGTGGGTGCAGGATAGGGTGCTCTGCCACCAGAAATGTTCATCTCCTTTAACACAAGTGGTGGTATATGATTACATCTGGGGGACAGCTTCATCATAATATGGGTGACAAGTGACAGGAAGACACAGTTAACCGTCACTGACAAGCGTTCAATGAAGCAAAACAGTATGAAACCATTTGAGATATGCTTTATTTTTCTCTGGAAGGTTTCCTCCCACCTTCTGTTCCCAAACAATGCAATCACACCTGTCCTTGGATTATAATTCATTTGGAGAGACCTTCAGGAACACAGGGTGATATGCGATCACTTTCATTTTCTGGAGTGCATAGGACTTTATGGGATTGAAGTCTACAGCAGTTCCCATTAATCACGCAAGCATCCTAAACTATTTCAGAGCTTCAGTGGAATTGTAAAGTCAAATTAATTTAGTTAAAAGATTTTTCTTTATCTTGCAGAAAAGCACCAAGTGTTAAATAAACTACATAGAGCTAAGAAAAGGAGAAGTGAGGTAGTTCTTGAGACAAATAATGGCCTGAAGAAGTGGGGTGATTATGGAGAAGTGGGGTGGAAGGGTGAGGTGGTAGAAAGCATAAGAAATAGAAGAATTGTATCTTGATCCCTTGGGACACTGGATTTGCACCTTGAACTTAGTGGTCCATTGTCACAATAATGAACATGTGTAGAAGCTACCATGTGCTGAGTGAAGTTCTTATCATAACTCCTTCAATTTTGTCTGGGAGAAGGAGAGTTTATTGTACCTATTTCACAGATGAAAAAAGAGGCCTAGGGATCTAAACATCTTGCTCAACATCACAGAGATACTAAGTAGCAAAATCAGCCTTTGAATTCTGGAGTCTGGATCTGAGGTCTGAGCTCTTACCCATAGGCTATGCTGCTGGATTGTAGCAATCAGGACCATGGGGCTCAGGACAGTGGGTGATATTTCCAGATCTGCATTCTAGTTGGGTGTGCTCTAGTCTTTAGGAGGACCTGGGACTTGAATGATGCCAATTGCTAGTCCCCATTTAATGCATGAGGCTTTCCTATGGCTCAGCATTTACTGACTACATATGTGTGTGCTTGTTGTCATCTGCGTTCTGAACAAATGAAGATCCACAAAGGAAGGCTTTCTGTTTTCTTCGCTTCTATTCCGCCAGCACCTGGCACAGTGCCCAGCTGCCCGTGAGCTCTCTCACAGTGTTTGTTGAAGGAATGAAGGGCATCAGTACCTACTGTTGATTGTTCAACTTCCCCAGTGAAGTGTTTTGTATTCTAAACATCTAAAGAAGAAACTAATTTTGGAGCTACACTTTAAACTGATGCTTTTGAAGTTTCTTATTGACAGAGCCCTAGGTTCCAAGCTCATTTTTGGCAGAAAGGACACAAAGAGAAAAGCATGAAGACAAAAAGCCCCACTCCTGATTTGACTGACATTCCCTGCTAAAAATGCTAACCAGCCAGCTGAGTAACTTGAGTCCTTGGTACAGTTCCTAAATGGGTTTGAAAAGGAGCAGACTGACCCTTGTAAATGAGTTTAACTTGCTTTTTCACATGGATAGAAACTGTCAGTTTTCTGTCATCTATGCTGCCTTGAGTAGCTCTTCATCTTCTGTGTCGGGCAGCTCCATTGTTTTTTTGCCCCTGATTTCATACAACTTCAGGAAAGACTTCTCCCTTTCCTTAGAAACACACCACAGTGATGGAACCAAACCCAGGTCCTTCTTCCTCACTTTACCTTTAGCTCATTGCCAAGGTCCTTGTCTTCTCTTTAAAAACCCTTTAATTTTTTTTGAGAAATGGAAAGGCCGAGCCTGCTTTCCAACTGCTTTTGTCTATTTGCCCAGGGCATAACTACTCTCAGGGTTCTTGGGAAAGGTTATCTGGTTGAAAAGGGCAATAACATATTCGGATTGTTGGGAAACCACATGGGAACACCTCTATGAAGGCAAGGCATCTTCTGAAGCAGATCACCATTCCAGGGGCAGGAGTGGATATTAGGTAGGGTCCTTTGTACCCTCAGCTCTCCGTCCTTCTCTTGTTCCAGCCCAGCATGTAGCAGTGTGACTGACAGCTTCCTCTCCCCCACGCTCAGACCTGACCCTGAAGAAGGTGCCAGAAGCCCAAGCCTGAAAACATTAGCTTCTGGTGCCAGAATCAAAGGTCAAGGCACATAGCTTTCTCGCTGTCCAGCTCCCAGTTTTGCTAAGGTGCCCGCTTGGAAGGCACAAAGTACACCAGTGGCATTGCAAAGAGCAAAGGTATATTTCCTCATTCTCTCATCCCCTCTCCCACTCTTTAAAAAAATACTATTATCTGATTATGAACAAAGAACCTTCTCTTTAATGCATCCTACAAATCTCAAAACTAAAGAGATCGCACAATTTTAGATAAGAAAAAAAAATTGATGTTTTCAAGCACAAGGGCTAATAATTACAGTAATTTTCTATTCCTTGGATCTCTGATTGCCAATATCTTCAGATGGCTTCAAATATCATTTTATAGCTTTAGATAGAGCTTCACTGATGCTTTTGAACATTCTAGTAAGTATTGACAATTTATCTTTGAATGGATGACAGTGTTATAGTTTTATTTAAATGGGAGAAAACAAGAGTCATTTTACACTGGCTTTATAGAAAGAGATGAATATTCCAGGCAAACAGTTATGGGGAAATGTGCACAGGAGGGATGATTGTACCCACTGAGGAATAAAGTGCAAATAGCACCATTCCCTCAGAAGGACTCCCACATAAAGGTACAAAAGCAATTATACAATGCAGGTATTTATCCTCTTTATAAACTTAGCGGAAAATAAGAGAAGGCATCACTGTTTAGGAAAGTAATAGAGAAAAGAAAAGCAAACTCCAAATGCTATATGCTGCCTTCAGTCTCTTCAAGAACTTTGCTGTGACCTCCTGTAGAGATTGAGGGCAAGTATAGGTTGACAATTCTGAAGCGGACTCCTTTGGTTGACCTTATCCCATTCACCAGCCAATCAAGCTCCTCAGTGCTTTCCCCTCAAGTTTCTCTGGTTGGTTGATCTGGTTAATAAACTCTCACTTTCTATATTTTCACTAGTAGAAGTGCAACTCTAAAGCTGTATAAATGCACTGCAATTATTTTGTGATGAGTTGCTCCTTGACCTTGGCAGTGACCTTTCCAGATAATATTTTTAAGTGACAGTGACAAATTTGAAGCTTATGCCATTTTCTTTGCTATTGTAAATTATTTTGGGGATCAAGATTGCTAACATTCCTGTGTATTAGTCTCGATTTCTTTTTTTTTTTTTTGCTACCTCTTCCATTTATATTTCAAGTCCTTGAATCCAAAAAACTTTCCTCTCATCCTACTAATGCATAGAGTGTTTTTGTTTTAACCCCTGAGTCGTA
Source organism: Homo sapiens (assembly GCF_000001405.40). Classification (NCBI taxonomy): domain Eukaryota; kingdom Metazoa; phylum Chordata; class Mammalia; order Primates; family Hominidae; genus Homo; species Homo sapiens. The sequence goes on from NC_000018.10 coordinate 64,273,672, forward strand.
CTTTCATGGCAGAATGGTTTTTCACTTTTAAATTCTAGTAATTTTCCACTTCAGACCTGTGTAGCAATCATGTTTTGACTTTTCTCGTTTTTCTCCCCTTCCCCTCCCGTGACAATTCTCTTTCTTCTGTTTAGGTGCATTTGCATGATACCAGCATCCTTATTATTAAGAGTTCATCTGCTCCTGCTGTTTATTCTCCACCTGAAGTTCTAATCCTCTGTTTGTGACAACATAATCATTTCCACAGCAACCAATTGTGAAGTTGCAAAGCAAGGATTAGACTTCAGGTGGGGAATAAGCAACAAGGGGCTGATGAACTCAGAAGAAATAAAAAGAATGCCATTTATATGCAAATCTGCTGAAAGGTGGCGAAGGGGACTGGGGAGGCACTGGGCAAAAAGGAATGAATAATAAAGAAAGAGCATTATTTTAACTAGACTTTAAAAGGCTTTTTTTTTTCTTCTGGAAATTCAGTGGGCCTTTTTCTGCAGCTGCTAGTTGATTGGATCTGTTTATTTCTTTTTTTTTTATTTATTTATTCATTTTTTCATTCACTTTTGGTTTCAGAGACCAGATTTGCCACACTATGCTGTTAAAAGAGGATTTTTTTTTTTGGTGTTAATATCCTAGTGAACATACTTTTCTGAGGATAAATGAAAAGAGTACCTGCTTAGTGAATGCTCCTATTTTAAAAGCAATTTTCAAGAAGAATTTTCTAACCTTTACCTTAAACATGGGGACAGAACATAACAGTGACCACCTCAGCCTTCCTGTTTCAATTTAGGGTAGCAAGACACAAACAGAACCAAGAGACTTCATAAGAAGAAATTGTGAGAGAAACCACAATAAATTGACAAGATTCTAGGAATTTCAGAAGTAAAACAAGGGAGGAGAATATCTGGTTGTTAACACCTCTTCATTCAATTCTAGTCATCTTTTGTTTTGGTTTTTTGAATAATGAGCAAGACTAATTTAGAGTCTTTATTTCCAAGTTTGTTTGAATTCAAAGCTTATACCTCATCACTGATTTCTTAAGTTTTGTAGAATGTTGGAGTAACAAGGGAACATGCAAATAATTTAGCCTAGAAGTTGTATCAAAGAAAAATTGCCCTGGACAGAGTTAAGCAGGCAAGGAAGACTTTATTCAAGTCTATTGCAGTAGGGGAGGGAGACTGACCTTAACTCTGCCGAAACAAAAGGCAAGAAGGGTTTTAAGAGGTGAAGGGAACTTTTGGAAAAGTACTTGAGGACAATAGGGGGTTGGTTGATCAAAAAGATTAGGCTAACTGAACTTGCTAGTTGGTGCTTATTGACAACAAATTTAGAGTCTTAGCCCGCCACAGAGACTGGGAGATAGGGAAGCTATCTCCTTCAGTGATTACGTTTCAAAGGGATAACTCCCAGGTCCTTGAGAAAGATATTTCCAGATTGCAAAACTGCCAAGAGACTTTGAGAATATTTTAAAGAGGCAGAGAAAGAACTTGCAATTCCAAGTTTTCTAAGGTAAATGCTCTAAGGAAAGGGAAATCAAGGCCTAGAATCAGGAAGAAGCCTTTCTAAAGTTCAGGGAAGCTGAAAGGAACTTTAAGTCTGCCTCATCAGTTGCTAGATATGCTGTAGGAGCTCGGGTCCTTACAAGGATGTGGGTGCTGAGTGTTAATGCGCGTCCATGTGAAGAGACCACAAAACAGGCTTTGTGTGAGCCATAAAGCTTTTTAATCACCTGGGTGCAGGTGGACTGAGTCTGAAAAAGGAGTCAGCAAAGGGAGATAAGGGTGGGGCAGTTTTATAGGATTTGGGTAGGTAATAGAAAATTACAGTTAAAGGGGGTTGTTCTCTTGCGGGCAGGGTCAGGGGTCACAAGGTACTCTGTGGGGAGCTCCTGAGACTCATTGTCCAGGAGAAGGAATATCACAAGGTCAATTGATCAATTAGGGTGGGGCAGGAACAAATCACAGTGGTGGAATGTCATCAGTTAAGGCAGGAATTGGCTATTTTCACTTCTTCTGTGGTTCTTCAGTTGCTTCAGGCCATCTGGATGTATACGTGCAGGTCACAGGGGATATGATGGCTTAGCTTGGGCTCAGAAGCCTGACACTGGGGGCCAGGAAGCATAGTGCTAGCCAGCCAGTAAGCTTCTTCCAGCATAACAGGTTTCCAATTGTAACTGTTTTGCATACTCAATTTCCTGTAAGCTTTCTTTTAAAAGGAGTTTTCCTTCCAGAAAAAAAAAAGTTTGGAAACTGCCAGTTAGCTGCTTTTTTTTTTTTTTTTTTTTTTTGCAAGCAAATAAACTAAAGCCGAGAGCAGATTAAATGAAGACAATGTTGAACTTTACTTGAGCCCTGTGATCATGGAAAACTGAAGGTTAAGAAATCTTAGCCTTTTGTGTTCAAGAACCTACTTCATGCAAGAAACCACCACTCCCCATGTGATTTAGATAAGACTCAAGATGCCTTCCTTGTTTACCTATGACAAGGCTAGACACAAACCCTCTAGATTCCTTATTTACTTTATACATGATTGGCTGAACTGTTTTGTTCTTCTGATCCACTGGAGCAAAAGTTTGCTAATTAATTTTTGGCAAATCTTCTTTCTTCCCCCCAGGTTCCTGAGCTTTCCCCGAGTGGGCATGGGCAGCCCCTCCTGCAGGGCCCATATAAGGAGGAGGCTGACTCTGGGGTAAAACATTCTCTGTTCTACTGTCAGCTTGATCCACTTTTCATCTGGTGTATTCTATTTCCTCTCACTGGTTCTTTTTAGCTTTGGTTCCTTCTCCTTATAAAAGAAAAGCTCTTTTCTGCCTAACCTTTGAGACACATGCAGATCACATGGTTGAGGTGCCCTCCTCATTGCAATAGGTTCCCTCCCACTATTGCAATAGTCCCTTCCCTCTCTCAGTCATCCTGTAAGATAAAATCTCTCCTTACTTAAATTTAGATTTGCTTTTTCTTTTTAATATGACAATGACATGTACACATTCAAACTGACTTGCTATAAGTTTTGAATTTGTGGCCTCAAATCCAGTTTGGGGTTTCTTCACTCCCACAGTTTTATCTCTCTAAACTGAATGCAGTGTGGTTGTTACAAAGGAAAAGTCAAGCTTGACAAAAGAGAAAATAGGAAATGTGGTACTAAAGATGTCTTAGGTTAGGTCCCCTCAGAAGCCGACTCTGAGACAAAGATTGATGTGCAACTCATTTATTTGGGAGGTATTCAAGGGAGCACCAGGAAGGAAGTGGGGGAGTGTGACGGGAAGCTATGGGAAGGAAGCCAATCTAGGCTGCATTAGTGAGCAACTTACACAGAAGAAACCAGGGATTCACGCTGCTGGAGGTTGCTGGGGGACAGCGTGAACGTGCCTCTGATTTGGTCCACACAAAGGAAAGGAAGCTGTTATTTATTTAACAATTCCTGTTGTTCAGGAACCCACTTAGTGCAAGAAATCACACTCCCATAGGACTTAGATAGACTCAAGATACCTCCTTTGTTTACCTATGACAAGGCTAGACACAACCCTTTGGGTTCCTTATCTACTTCATAAATGATTGGCTGAACTGTTTGTCCCTGTGATCAACTGGATCATATTCATAATGGTTGAGAAGTGCTCTAAGGAATCTGACATCTTATGACTTCCCTGCATGTGGGCCTAACACATTTCTCTTATATTATTAACATATTATTTAACTTCAATACATGTTGTTTTGAATTGTGGTAAAATACACATAACATTTACCATCTTGACCTTTTTTTTTTTTTTTTTTTTTTGAGACGGAGTCTTGCTCGTTGCCCAGGCTGGAGTGCAGTGGTGCGATCTCAGCTCACTGCAAGCTCCGCCTCCCGGGTTTACGCCATTCTCCTGCCTCAGCCTCCCGAGTAGCTGGGACTACGAGCGCCCGCCACCACACTCGGCTAACTTTTTTTGTATTTTTAGTAGAGACGGGGTTTTATGGTGTTAGCCAGGATGGTCTCGATCTCCTCACCTTGTGATCTGCCCGCGTCAGCATCTTGACCATTTTTATGTGTACAGTTAATAGTGTCAAGTACATTCATGCTACTGTGTAACCAATCTCCAGTACTTTTTCATCTTGTAAAATTTAACCTCCATACCCATTAAACAACAACTGCCCATTTCTACCTATTCCCAGCTCATGGCAACAACCATTCTACCTCCTTTCTCTATGAATTTGACTACTCTGGATACTTCTTATAAGTGGAATTATATTCTATTAGTCTTTTTGTGACTGGCTTACCCTGCAGGGCAGTGGTCTCTTCTCTGGCCCAGGGTGGGTCCAGAAGAGCTGACCAAGAGCTCAGGTCTGGACTCAAGAATGCCCCCCATCCCCACCCCTCAGTGCCTGCTTGGTGCTCTACCCACTATGGCCAAGATGGTATCTAAGGTACAAGATAGAATCTATTTCACTTTTCCCCCTGCTTTTCTACAACAGAAGGAGACTTTCGTTGTAGCCACCACAGCTGTGAATGTCCTGGGTAGCACCTGAAGCTAGCATGTCTCAGAGTCCAAGGTCCACAGCATATTCCCTCGGTATCACTGTTGGGTTATTCATGTCCCAGGGACACTTAAGTCAGCAGGTGATGAATCCTGCCAGGCATCCACTGCGATAGGGCATCCTATCAGAGTACAACGCAATGTACGCCAGTCACTGCAGTCTTCCTCTTCCAAGCACACAGATTTCTCCCAAGCTATGTAGCTGCTGCCAGTGAGTAGGTGAGGGGATGCATAAGCACACCCTTAGCCACCCTGACTGGTGTCTTAGTAGGTCATGTCCCTACCCCTCAACAGTCTACTGGCTCTGTGCTCAACTCACACTAGGACTTCACTAAGAATTGCAGTCCTTGTGGCCTAGACAAAAGAGTCCCTCTGGCTAGAATTGGTCCAAATGATCCCTCTGTGGGTGAACGTCAGCTGAGTATAGCAAGGTTCTGCTTTCCATTGTGACAGGGAAGCATCCTACCCTCCTCAATGTCTCTTTAAGTGATAGGAATTTAAAACCATGTACTGTGATTGCTTACCTGGTTTTTGGTTCTTGGGATGGTACTTTTGGTGTAGAGTTAGTTGTTAAAATGTGGTGTCCCTGTGGTGGGACGTGCAGGGGGACAAACAGTAGTATGGGCTTCTATTTAGCCACCTTACTCCACACCCCCTTTGTAAGATTTTAACACATGTCTTGAGACTTGTGTTATGGCCTAATATGTGTTTTTTCCTAGAGAATGTCCCATGCCCACTTACAAAAATTGTGGGTTGGATGGAGTGTGTCACAGGCATCCCTTAGGTCTGAGTGGTCCACAGTGCTGTTCAGGAGTTCTCTTTCCTTGTGGATGCATGCAGATATAAATAGAGCATTGACAGTATATGCCAGAGCAGGTAACATGGTGAAGTCAGAATGTGGAGACAGTTTCATAATATCCTTTGTGTTTTAGGGACAGTAGTTGAAAAATTTTTATAAAACAGCCACTCAGAGTCATTATTTTCCTTACCTCTGCCTCTGTCTAACTATTAGACTTCCATATATCAAGATATTAAGAAAAAAACCCTGAGTGTAACAAACATCATAAAACCAGAAAATCAGCATTATATATTATTTCTATTTATATCTCTTAAACACTGAAAGCATTTTTCTATATTTTTTAGGCTTAGAGGTATTTGTGACTTCACGTGACAGTGCTGTTCTGGTATCATTTTCTATAGAGAGAATGGAAAGGTCCTTAAGATTTTTTTTGTAGAATAATTGATTTTTTAAAAACACTTTATTTTTGATAGCATGAAAATGTTTTAGTTTCACACTGGTATTGACACATAAATTTTTAGAATTGATATTACATTTAGGAAAATATCTACCATGTTTTTTCAGATATAAGCAGGAAGATTCCAAGGCATTTCAGGCTCTCTTGTTCAAGGACCAACTTTAAATAAGTTGAAATGATGAGACTCCAGGACATTCTGATTGTAGGGCATGTGACAAGTTCCATTGTGGGTGCCACACATCAGGTCATGATGCCAGCAGAGTCTACACAGGTAGCTGTGTTCTTGGAAGTTTTTCCTATTATCCTGAAGCAACTAGCAATCATCTAACCATAAACAAAAGTGGCTGCAAACCATATGAAAATATTGCATATATTCCAAAATAAAAAATCCAGAACTCAATAATCTCATAGTAGATTCCAAAAATTCCTGTGGCTATTACCAATTTACTCAACATGACGAAATGTGTGACAGAGATGAAATTTGTGTGGGAAGAGACATTGGTATAAACTGATGACTTTGGCAGATTAACAAATGACCATGTAAATTCATCATTTGGGCTTTCCCCTGGGGGTTTGGTAGGTAAACATGTAGGTGAGTGGCTTCAGAGCTTAAGCTCCATGAGCTACATGTAAATCTCCTCCTACATTATCTTGACTAATCCAATCCATAAATTTTGATCTAGAATGTCTCAATTTATTTTCTAAATAAACTTACAAACTATCACCTACTGCCCTAGATCCCAGCTGTTTATAAATCCTTGGCTTTGCTTCTCTATTCTGGCAGTTCTCTTAAATTTGGATATGTGCACCTGACCTGGAGGTAGGAAAACACAACTACTGTCCCTAAACTAGTTAACTGTGTGAAATTTGACAAGTTGCCAACAGTTTCTAAGTTGGTGATCTAGTTTGGCTGTGTCCCCACCCAAATCTTATCTTGAATTGTGGCTCCCATAATTCCCACGTGTTGTGGGAGGGACCTGGTGAGAGATAATTGAATCATGGGGGGCAGTTTCCCCCATACTGTTCTCACAATAATGAATAAGTCTCACGAGATTTGATGGTTTTATAAGGGGAAACCACTTTCCCTTGGCTCTCATTCTCTTGTCCGCCACCATATAAGACATGCCTTTTGTCTTCCACCATGATTGTGAGGCCTCCCCAGCCACATGGAATTTTGAGTCAATTAAACTTTTCTTTATAAATTGCCCAGTCTCAGGTATGTCTTTATTGGCAGTGTGAAAACAGACTAATACAGTAAATTGGTACTGGGTAGTGAGGTGCTACTGTAAAGAAACCCAAAAACTGGAACTGGGTAACAGGCAGAAGTTGGAACAATTCGGAGGTCTCAGAAAAAGACAGAAAAATGTGAGAAAGCTTGGAACTTCCCAGAGACTTGTTGAACGGCTTTAACCAAAATATTGATAATGATACGGACAATGAAATCCTGGCTGAGGTGTTCTCTGATGGAGATGAGAAACTTGTTGGGAACTGGAGTAAAGGTGACTCTTGCTATGTTTTAGCAAAGAGACTGTTGGCATTTTGCCCCTGCCCTAGAGATTTGTGAAACTTTGAACTTGAAGGAGATAATTTCAGGTATTTGGCAGAAGAAATTACTGAGCAGCAAAGCACTCAAGATATGATGTGGGTGCTGTTAAAAGCCTTCAGTTTTAAAAGGGAAACAGAGCATAAAAGTTCAGAAAATTCATAGCCTGACGATGTGATAGAAAAGAAAACCCCATTTTCTGAGGAGAAATTCAAGCTGGCTACAGAAATTTGCATAAGTAACAAGGAGCCAAATGTTAATTGCCAAGACAATGGGGAAAATGCCTCCAGGGCATGTCAGAGACCTTTGAGGCAGCCCCTCCCATCACAGGCCCAGAGGCCTAGGAGGAAAAAGTGGTTTTGTGGGCTGGGCCCAGGGCCTCCCTGCTCTGTGCAGCCTAAAGACTTGGTGCCCTATGTCCCAGCTGCTCTAGCCATGGGTAAAATGTGGCCAAGGTACGGCTTGGGCCATGACTTCAGAAGGTACAAGCCCCAGGCCTTGGCAGCTCCCACATGGTGTTGAGCCTATCAGTACACAGAAATCAAGAACTGAGGTTTGAGAACCTCTGCCTAGATTTCAGAGGATGTATGGAAATGCCTGGATGTCTAGGCAGAGGTTTGCTGCAGGTGGGAGGGGGGCAGGTTCTCTATCACATAGAGAACCTCTGCTAGGGCAGTGTGGAAGGGAAATGGTTGGGTGTTTGGTTAGAACTCTCACACAGAGTCCCTACTGGGGCACGGCCTAGTGGAGCTGGGAGAAGAGGGCCACTGTCCTCCAGACCCCAGAATGGTAGATCCAGCGACAGCTTGTACTGTGTGCTTAGAAAAGCTTTAACTGCCCCACTGGACTTGCATGGGGCCTTTACCTCCTTTGTTTTGGCCAATTTCTCTTATTTGGAATGGGTGTATGTATCTAATGCCTGTAACCCCGTCGTATCTAGGAAGTAACTAACTTGCTTTTGTTTTACAGGTTTATTGACAGAAGGGACTTGCCTTGTCTCAAATGAGACTTTGGAATGTGGACTTTTGAGTTAATGCCGAAATGAGTTAAGACTTTGGGGGACTGTTGGGATGGCATGATAGGTTTTGAAATGTGAGGACATATTTCAAATGTGAGGATATTTGGGAGGGGCCAGTAGTGGAATGATATGGTTTGGCTGTGTCCCCACCCAAATCTCATCTTGAATTGTAGCTCCCATAATTCCCATCTGTTGTGGGAGAGAACTGGTGGAAGATAATTGAATGATGGGGGTGGTTTCCCCCATACAGTTCTTGTGGTAGTGTATAAGTCTCACAAGATCTGATGGATTTATAAGGGGAAACCCCTTTTGCTTGGCTCTCATTCTCTTGTCTGCCACCATGTAAGATGTGCCTTTTGTCTTCTGCCATGATTGTGAGGACTCCCCAGCCACATGGAACTGTGAGTCCATTAAACCTCTTTTTCTTTATAAATTACCCAGTCTCAGGCATGTCTTTATCAGCAGCATGAAAATGGATTAATACAGGTGGGAACTTTTTCTTATGAATTTATTTATTCTCAAATTCTAACGTAGTAGCTGTCACACAGTAGGCACTCAGGACATTATATAATTATGTAATGAGCACTTTCTAATATTCTTGGTGATGGGGAATTCGGCACAAAGGGAGACAGTGTCCTTGTCCTCCTGAAGCTTACTTGATGTCATGGGAGGCAGACAGTAGCTCAATATGTAATTTAACAAATATTTAAAAAATTAGTAAATATTAGATAATTACAGCTGTAAGTATTACAAAAGAAAACATAGAAAAGTGGTGAAGAGTAAAGGATGGAGGCAGATAAAAAATCTGTCTTATTGAAACAAACTCAAGTCTAAAACTTTGGAGGTCACTTATAAAATGGAATGTTCAGCCTAAATGAACTCAGAGGTCCTTCCTTGCAATATTATTTCCTGATTCTGTGAAGTAGTGGGGGAAATAGAATTTGTGCTTCTGGAAGATTCTTAGTCATTTTCTTTTAACTAGGATAACTTACCTTATTTTTATGTGAAAAATAATAAGTGTATATATTTAAGGGATACAATGAGATGTTTCAATATATGTATACATTGTGGAATAATTATATCAGCTTATTTAACTTATCCATCACTTCATGCTTATCGTTTTTTGTCATGAAATCATTTAAAATCTACCTGTTTGACAATTCTGAAATATATAATACATTAATATTAACTGTAGTCACCATGCTGTGTAACAGATCTCTGAAACTTATTTGTCTTGTCTAACTAAACTTTGTACCCTTTGATCAACATCTTCCTATTCCCTGCCTCCTCTTCTTCCAGCCTGATAATCACCATTCTACTTTCTACTTCTTTAAGTTTGACTTTTAGATTCCCCACATATAAGTGAGACCATAAAGTATTTGCTTTCTCTGCCAGGCTTATATCTCAGTAATTTTTAATCATTACCTTCAGCCAAAAGGCTGGTACATGGGCCTTGGAAGTATTCTTAATTTTCATGAGTCAAAAGGAAGGAAAGGTAGCAAATACATGTCAATGACTTAATTCTAATCATCTTCTGTCCTATATCTGCCCACTTCTCTTTAAAAAGCACATAGCAGAAAAAGTAAAGAGGAACAGGGGAAATAGGACAAAATGTACTATTTCTGTTGACATTCCCAATAGTGGTAGCTTCCCCAAAGGTAAAAGGAAAAAAAAAAAACAGTCAGGACTTAGACTAAAATCAGCATGCAGAACATATCAAGAATTCCTGAAATCGAATTTTAAAAATCTTACAGAAAAGTAGATAAAGGTATAATAAGGAATTGAAAAGAAATCCAGGGCTGGGTGCAGGGGTTCACGCCTGTAATCCCAGCACTTTGGGAGGCCGAGGCAGGCACATCACCTGAGGTCAGGAGTTCGAGACCAGCCTGACCAATATGGAGAAACCCTGTCTCTACTAAAAATACAAAATTAGCTGGGCGTGGTGGCACATGCCTGTAATCCCAGCTACTCAGGAGGCTGAGGCAAGAGAATCACTTGACCCGGGAGGCAGTGGTGGTGGTGAGCTGAGATCGGGCCATTGCACTCCAGCCTGGGCAACAAGAGTGAAACTCTGTCTCAAAAAAAAAAAAAAAAAGAAAAAAGAAAAGAAATCCAAATCAGTTAATTATAAAATGCCAAACATCATTACAAATCAGAGAAGTGATCATTACAAATACAATTAACTACCAGATCATAAGTGTAAAAGTGAAAAACTTAGAAGAAATCTGACAATCATACACGTGATTGAAGAAGAAATCAAACACTGCTGGGAGCAGGGAGATTTACACAACTGCTTTAAATAATTCTCTAGTAGTTGGAACCTGTAGTTGTGCATAATTTATGGTAACACCTTTTTTTCTAGGACTATAACCCAGAGAAATTCTCACATACTGTACACATGGAAACATGGATACAGAATTTTTAATATGACAGAAATCTGAAGTTACTAAAATCTCCAGCAACAAGAGAATGGGAATACTAAATTTGTGTATTCATGCTACAAACTCTTATAGTGTTTAATATGAGCTATGTGGAAAAATTTTAAAAAACATATCTAATGCTAAGAAAAGAAAAAAAATCCATCAAGTTGCGAGAGAATACCTATAAAATCAAACAATTTATACTAGGTTTTAAACCTTATTTAAGGCTTAAATATGTATGTTTATGTTTATATACACACAAAACAGGAAAGCAAAGATACTAGCCAAATTTAGGAACCAGATCACCTCTAGAAGGGTAAGGAAGTGGAGTGAAATCTGGTAATGTATGGGAACACTTTCTTTCCTAGGAATATAACCCAGAGAAATTCTCACTTACTATATACATGGAAACATGTGTAAAGAATTGTTAGTATAACAAATCTGAAGTTATTAAAATCTCCAGCAACAAGAGAATGGGAATACTAAATTTGTGTATTTTTGTCTTTACACATTACTGGGCTTCATGTATATCTGACATGCACTATTTCCTTACAAAAGAGGAAAAAAGTATAAAAAATGTTGATTTAATAAATCTTGATTGTAAGCACTTGGGTGCTTATTTTGTCTATATTTTCTGTATGCTTGGAATACTTCATAATGAAAAATAGAATGCTGTAAGAAAAGAGTACATTTATCCTCATTGATTTGGTACTCACTGCTGCTGTGAGAGCCTTCCAGAAGCCCTTCTGTGTTACATTTGTACAAAGTATGGTGTAAAGTACTAACTCAGGGCAGGGATTTTCTATAGTAGACAGTAGAGCCATACACTTATCTCTACTTGAAATATATTATTGTTGTAGAGTTTTATTTGTAAAGCAATTAAAAGTTTTTGTTTTCTTAATGCTCAAATTCTTCTGGGGCCACAAAACAGCTAACTCGATTAAAGGTAAAACATCTGCAGCCTTAAGATCAGACCCAAGGCCAAAGCAGGGGTTGGAGGCCACTCATGTAAGAAATCTGGGGATAAAAGTCAAGGGATTTTAGCCTGAATCAGCAACAATAACAGTGTTGTTTTGAAAATAGAGAAGACTTGATCTTATTTTTAGGCAAAAATAACATCAATTCCAAGAAAAGCTCCATCTGTCAGAAGTATGTTTATTAATGCATTAACCAAAAAAATGCTTGGAAAATATTCTTGCCAATAAAAATTTAAATTAAAATATTTACAGAAAAATAAGTGAGAACATGTTTTATTTTTGAAGGAGACAAAGTTCCGTAAGAAAGAGAAACAATTTGTTCACTCTACTTACTTTGCATGCTAATAAATATTGAATTACATAAGTAAATTCCAGTAAAAATAACATAAATCCAAACCTAACATTGTCATTGAAATCAATTTGAGTCAAATATCTGCTTGGACAGCTGGCATATAACGGAATAAACATTTACTTCGAATTGTCACAAGCACATTGGTTTTTATTTAGTTAACTCCTCAATAAGTGATTCAGAAATAAAGTTCCCTTGTGTGGGCCAGCGAGGAAATGGTATGGCACCATGGGGACTGCTGAGGGCACTCTGGGCAGCAATAAAGGCAATTGCAGATGACAGGATGCAGATAGAAAACCCAATCCATATTTTTATGGAAACTAAGTCCCTCAGAAAACAATACTATTTTTGCTTTTGTTATTTTAGCATCTTGTAGAAGATGTATATGTATAACTGTGGTCAATAATAACCACCTTAGTTTCACAGTAAAGATGGCCACATAATAATGTACACATGGCTGGAAAAGGAAAACATTTGGTATGACAACGAGGCTTTTCTCTAAACAATGACAAATCATGGATGTGGTTTTTAAAAATCTTAATTGGGAAATTATTTGCCTAAATGGAACCATTACTTTAGTACAATATATGCAACCATAGAAGAAATAAAAGACCAAAAGGAAAATGGTCTCCTACACTCAGAGTATCAGGGAGGAGGCAATCATTTATTTTACACCCAGCATGTGTGAGGAAATGAGCCAGTTGCTTTATAGGCAGCATCACATTTACTCTTTATGGCAACTATATAAGATGTGTGCTGTTTTCCCTATTTAAAAGTTGAAAAAACTGGAGTGATATCTAATATGCTGTTTAACATCATGTAGTTTGCAAGTAATGGAGCTGTGGAACTGAGAGAGGAAGTCAGGACTAAACCTAAAGCCCACTGTATTAGTCAAGGCTCTCTAGAGGGACAGAACTAACAGGATACATATACAGACAGGAGAGGACTGGCAACGGAGTTCATAATCATACCTATGTGATGAAACCCTATATATATATATAGGGTTAACTTACACAATCACAAGGTCCCACAATAGGCTGTCTGCAAGACGAGAAGCAAGGAGAGCCAGTTCGAGTCCCAAAATTGAAGAACTTGGAGTTCGATGTTTGAGGGCAGGAAGCATCCAGCTTGGGAGATAGATGTAGGCTGGGAGGCTAGGCCAGTCTGGTCTTTTCACAGTTTTCCTGCCTGCTTTAAATTCTAGCCATGCTGGCAGCTGATTAGATGGTGCCCACCCAGTTAAGGGTGGGTTTGCCTTTCCCAGCCCACTGACTCCAATGTTAATCTCCTTTGGCAACACCCTGGCAGACACACCCAGAAACAATACTTTGCATCCTTCAATCCAATCAAGTTGACACTTAGTCCCTGTTCTCACACCTATATGGTCCCTGTTCTCTTCTCCATCTTATTTCTTTTGGTTTTTACTTTGTATAATGTTCAGAATGTATGTACTTTTTTTTTTTTTTTTTTTTTTTTTTTGAGACGGAGTCTCGCTCTGTCGCCCAGGCTGGAGTGCAGTGGCGGGATCTCGGCTCACTGCAAGCTCCGCCTCCCGGGTTCACACCATTCTCCTGCCTCAGCCTCCCAAGTAGCTGGGACTACAGGCGCCCGCCACTACGCCCGGCTAATTTTTTGTATTTTTAGTAGAGACGGGGTTTCACCGTTTTAGCCGGGATGGTCTCGATCTCCTGACCTCGTGATCCGCCCGCCTCAGCCTCCCAAAGTGCTGGGATTACAGGCGTGAGCCACCGCGCCCGGCCCAGAATGTATGTACTTTTAAAAAAACTTTGGTCATAACTTTTAATTACAGGTATGTGGTATTCTCATTGTTATTATTTTTTGAAAGGCTATTTTTTAAAAAAACCATTCAGCATACTCTTAGCCAACAATGGCATTAACTACCTTTGTCATCTTACATGTTTATAAATAATGATTCATGTGTATTTCCTGGATAATGCTTGATAAGCATTGTTTTAAGCTTTTTACATGTATTCTGTGTATTATTTGCAATAACCTTTCAGGTAAATGCTCTTATTTTCTCATTTTACAGATAAGGAAATTGAGGCTCAGTGTTGGCAGGTAACATGTTCAAGATCTTGAAACTAGCAGGTGGCAGAGCTGGGGTTCATCTGTCTCCATGTGCTCAGAGTAAGTATAGCCTGTTTAAATTGCATTGATTTTCACAGTTTTTGTAACTAACAAAGTGGAATATGTTTTTATGTTTAAAAAAAAAACCTGTTGACCGTTTATCATTCCCCCTTAATAACTTGCTTGTTGATATCTGCATCCTTTTTTTTCTGTGTAAAAAATGGCCCCAAATCTCAGCAGCTTAAAATCACAGGCTTTTCTTGTTGCTCATGAATCTGTGGGTTGGCTCGGGTTGAGTGTGTCTAGGCTGGACCTGGTTGTGTGCTTTGTTTTGGACCATGGCCATGGAACACTCCTGCTTCCCTCTGCAGGACGGTGGGTTGGTTGGCACTGGGTCCGGTAAATCTGTCTCATGTGTCTCATCCTCCTTAGCCTGGGGAACTGGATAGGTGTGAAATAAGAAGTATTTTTTATATTGGTCTCTTCCCCCAGATCCTGGCACAGAGCTTCTAAAGCCCTTGTAATTTCCTGGGCTATAGAGATGGAAGGAGAATCTTTTCTTCTAATATTTGGTCTTTGATCCCAATTCCTGACACACAACCACTAAATCCCTTGGTATTTCCTGGGTGATGCAAGTGTCTTATGTTCTAATGAGGTGACTCTTGGTGGGCTCCTGGATGGGAGCTGGTTGCCAGAAAGACCAAGGCAAGACTGGAGGCTTAGAACTTTCAACCCCAGCCCCCATTCTCTAGAGACAGGAGAGGACTGGTGACTGAGTTAATAATCAATCATATCTATGTGATGAAACGCCATAAAAATCTCAAAAGTACAAGGTTCAGAGCACATCCATGTGGCAAACACATCCCTATGCTGGGAGGGTGATGCACCCCAATTCCATGGAGACAGAAGCTCCTGCACTCAGGACCCTTCCAGACCTCACCCTAACATATCTCTTTATCTGAATGTTCATCCATGTCTTAGAACGTTTATGGTACTGTAAAGGAATACATGAGCTGGATAATGTATAAAGAAAAGAGGTTTATTTGGCTTACAGTTCTGTAGGCTGTACAAAAAACACAGCCCCAATATTTGCTTCTGATGAGGGCCTCAAGAAGCTTCCACTCATGGTGAAAGGCGAAGCAGAGCCAGCATGTGCAGAGGTCACATGGCAGAAGAGAGAGAAAGCAAAAGAGAGGGGAGGGTGGTGCCAAAGTCTTATTAACAACCAGCTTTTGGGGAAACTTATAGAGCAAGAACTCACTCACTGCCTCCCTACCCCACCAAGGGAGGGCATTAATCTGTTCATGAGGGATCTGGCCCCCCACCATCATTCACACACCCTATTGGGCACCATTTCTTTTTCTTTTTTTTTCGTTTTTTTTAATCAATAGAACTTTAGATATCTCTTTTTTTTAAATTTTATTATTATTATACTTTAAGTTTTAGGGTACATGTGCACAACGTGTAGGTTTGTTACATATGTATACATGTGCCATGTTGGTGTGCTGCACCCAGCAACTTGTCATTTAGCATTAGGTATACCTCCTAATTCTATCCCTCCCCCCTCCCCCTACCCCAAAACAGTCCCTGGTGTGTGATGTTCCTTCCCCTTCCTGTGTCCATGTGTTCTCATTGTTCAATTCCCACCTATGAGTGAGAACATGTGGTGTTTGGTTTTTTGTCCTTGTGACAGTTTGCTGAGAATGATGGTTTCCAGCTTCCTCCATGTCCCTACAAAGGACATGAACTCATCCTTTTATATGGCTGCATAGTATTCCATGGTGTATATGTGCCACATTTTCTTAATCCAGTCTATCATTGTTGGACATTTGGGTTGGTTCCAAGTCTTTGCTATTGTGAATAGTGCCGCAATAAACATATGTGTGCATGTGTCTTTATAGCAGCATGATTTATATTCCTTTGGGTATATACCCAGTAATGGGATTGCTGGGTCAAATGGTATTTCTAGTTCTAGATCCCTGAGGAATCGCCACACTGATTTCCACAATGGTTGAACTAGTTTACAGTCCTACCAACAGTGTAAAAGTGTTCCTATTTCTCCACATCCTCTCCAGCACCTGTTGTTTCCTGAGTTTTAATGATGGCCATTCTAACTGGTGTGAGATGGTATCTCATCGTGGTTTTGATTTGCATTTCTCTGATGGCCAGTGATGATGAGCATTTTTTCATGTGTTTTTTGGCTGCATAAATGTCTTCTTTTGAGAAGTGTCTGTTCATATCTTTCACCCACTTTTTGATGGGGTTGTTTGTTTTTTTCTTGTAAATTTGTTTGAGTTCATTGTAGATTCTGGATATTAGCCCTTTGTCAGATGAGTAGGTTGCAAAAATTTTCTCCCATTCTGTAGGTTGCCTGTTCACTCTGATGGTAGTTTCTTTTGCTGTGCAGAAGCTCTTTAATTAGATCCCATTTGTCAATTTTGGCTTTTGTTGCCATTGCTTTTGGTGTTTTAGACATGAAGTCCTTGCCCATGCCTATGTCCTGAATGGTATTGCCTAGGTTTTCTTCTAGGGATTTTATGGTTTTAGGTCTAACATTTAAGTCTTTAATCCACCTTGAATTAATTTTTGTATAAGGTGTAAGGAAGGGATCCAGTTTCAGCTTTCTACATATGGCTAGCCAGTTTTCCCAGCACCATTTATTAAATAGGGAATCCTTTCCCCATTTCTTGTTTTTGTCAGGTTTGTCAAAAATCAGATAGTTGTAGATATGTGGCATTATTTCTGAGGGCTCAGTTCTGTTCCATTGGTCTATATCTCTGTTTTGGTACCAGTACTATGCTGTTTTGGTTACTGTAGCCTTGTAGTATAGTTTGAAGTCAGGTAGTGTGATGCCCCCAGCTTTGTTCTTTTTGCTTAGGATTGACTTGGCTATGCGGGCTCTTTTTTGGTTCCATATGAACTTTAAAATAGTTTTTTCCAATTCTGTGAAGAAAGTCATTGGTAGCTTGATGGGGAAGGCATTGAATCTATAAATTACCTTGGGCAGTATGACCATTTTCACCATATTGATTCTTCCTACCTATTAGGCACCATTTCTAACGTTAGGATTTTTTTTCCCTTAAATTTATTTTTACAGAGAGCATCTTGCTTTGTCTCTCAGGCTGGAGTGCAGTGGTGGGATGACAGCTCACTGTAACCTCAAACTGCTAGGCTCAAACAATCCTCCCACTTCAGCCTCCAGAGCAGCTAGGACTACAGAAGCACACCCCCATGCCCAGCTAATTTATTTATTTTTATTATTCTTCTTAGAGACAGAGTCTCACACTGTCACCCAGGCTGGAGTGCACTGGTGTGAACACAGCTCATTGTAGCCCTGACCTCCTGGGCTCAAGTGATCTTCCTGCCTCAGCCCCCCAGTTAGCTGGAACTACAGGTGCATGCTACCATACCTTGCTGTTTTATAGTTTTTTTGTAGAAACGGCGTTTTGCATGTTTCCCAGGCTGGTCTCAAACTCCTGGCCTCAAGTGACCCATCCACCTTTGCCTCCCAAAGCACTGGGATCAGAGAGATGAGCCACTGTGCCTGGCCAGGAATCAAATTTTAACATGAGATATGGATGTGTCAAATATTCGAACCATAGCAAATTGTATCCTTTATCATGTCCTTTACTAAGATAAAAAACTGGTAAAAACAAAAACAAAAAAAAACAAGTGAGTTCTGTGAGCTGCTCTAACAAATTAACTGAACCCAAGAATGGGGTCATGGAAACCTCTGATTTGTTATACAAGTGAGGCAGAGTTGTGGGTAAGCAGGGAACCTACTTCTTGTGATTTGTAGTTGAAATTGTGGCAGAGGGGCAGTCATATGAGATTGAGCCTTTAACCTGTGGGTGTCTGCACAACTCAGATTAGTGTTGGAATTGAATCAAACTGGGACACCCAGTTGGTATCTCAAAATTATTTGATGTGGAGAAAAATCCCCACACATATGGCCACAGAAGTATTCTGCAGCGAATGTTGAACATATAGGAGGGGAAGCTGTTTGTTTTTTCTCTCTATACACCAAGGCATGGTCTACTCATGGCAGTAACAGAAGCAAAATAGAACAGAAGAAACCAAACAAGGCCACTGCGATCAACGCCCCAATAACATATTGTCACTTCTGCCTTTTTTTATTGGCCAAAGCAAGCCACAGAAACAGTCTATAGTGTTCCCCACCTGAGTCTCAGTGCTCATGTGGGAGACTGTTCCTGTTCTGTCTTCAGTCCTGGATGACCAGACCATTTTCTACCTTCTATTCTTTTATTCCTTTTCATTTCAGTTCAGTTCAATTCTGATCAACGTAATTGCATTGAGCCCCTACTATGCACCCCAGCCCACTCTGCAGGGAGCACTGGGAATACAACACACAAAAACAAACTCAGAAGCTTCCCTCTAATATGCCTCGACGGGTCATGGTAATATAATGCAGCCACTGTTATAATCAGAGAGCATGTGGGGTGCAATGGGAACATCCAGATGGGCGCTCAGCACGGGTTGGGAACAGAGCAGCCTTTGGGAAGCGACTTTGTAGAGACTTTAAGGAGTTTGAGTTAGCAAGGTGAAAATAAAAAGTGAAAAGATTTTCTAGGCACAAGAAACTGTGAGTAAAGAAGATGGCCATGGAATAATCTGCAGCATGGCAGGAATGAAAGATAATTCATGATCATTAAAACATGAATCAGAAAATAAATTGGTTACAATGTTCTGTTTCCTCCGTCTTGATGGCCATGAAGAAAAAAACAAAAAAATCCACAAAACCACCCAACCTGAAATGGTTCCATGGGTAACAGGGAGAAAAATATATTATAATATACGACAATAAAAATAATAAAACAACCTTACCCCTTCTCCTCTCTCTGAGGAGTATCCTGACATTCCCCACTTGAAATTCCCCCTTTCTCCTGGTTCTACC
The DNA here is from genome assembly GCF_000001405.40 of Homo sapiens. NCBI lineage: Eukaryota > Metazoa > Chordata > Mammalia > Primates > Hominidae > Homo > Homo sapiens. The sequence goes on from NC_000018.10 coordinate 64,292,748, forward strand.
CTCATTATGTAACAGAGGGCAGTAACCAAGGTGGTGAGAACTGGTAAGAGAGTGAAATCAAGATCCAGGAAGCTTGGAGAAGTAACAAACAGGAAAGCAGCTGGTGTAGATGAGGGCTTTGGAGAGTTTCAGAGGTGGGATGTGGCTGTGAGATAATTAGAGTTCTGAGGAATAACTGCCCTCCATGTGGCAAGGGCAGCCATGGGGCTGGGATTTTCAATGAGGTTTTATGGTATATTATTCATGTCTCCCCTGTCCAACTACTCATTAGAATGTTTTTGTAAGATTACAAAAAAAAAAAAATAGAGTTTTCTTCTAGACTGCTGTTCCTAGTAATACAACTCTTTCTTATATTTCCAGATACATATTTTTGTATATATTTAAAATGATTAGGAGTGGTTGTATGAAAATCTAGTTTCCACATTTTCGCCAAGTAATACTGCTATTCTTTACTACTATGGGAATGTCCATTCAAGAGTCAAGTTCTTTTTCAGAAGTAGGTTAAAAAAAGTTTCCAATAATTTTAGCAAATATTTCTGATTTGTCTTCAAAGTTGATTAAAAGAAATGTATCTAAGTCATCAAAATGCTTTGTACATCAGAACCTAAAAGAGAAGGAAAGACATTCCCCTCCCTATAGATATAAATACCAATCCACATATTTGAGCTCAATTCTGCTTCAATGAACTGAAAATTGCATATACTATGTTGAATTGCATTCGAAGCGTTGAATCATTTTCTCAACATCAATACATCTTCAAAGAAACTGACATGGGAAAAAATCAGACTTTTGAAAGTCATTGAATTTCAATCAGCAATTCATTACACAAATTTCAAATGTGGGAGCAATTATGTCTAAGTTTTCTTGGAATTGAGTTTTATCAGAGAAGTACAAATGATTATATATAGGCTTCAACTATCTCATGGCCTTTAAGGAAACTTAATCCCCGTCTGAAGTATTCATATTTAGTTCTGACTGCTACTCTTCCTGTGGACTTCCTGAAGGAACTATTCCTCCCTCTTCACAGACACAAACCCTTTCACTACTTGTCTGTTCTTCTTAATATTTTAAAGGGAATATGTGATTTATCAGTTGCATGTATTTCAAAGTTAATTTCAATAACATTCCTGTGAAATCTAATAACTACCTTTTTTCCATTTGCTCTTCATATTTGTATAGATTCTGAGAGGAATTGCTGAAAAGGATGGGGACTCTGAGCTACATATGCATAGCATTGATTTCAGTGAGAAAACTACATATTTTTGACCATATGAAAAAAAATCTGTTCTTGAATTTTGATGATATTTGCATAGTTTTTAAATTACCTCTGGCAGAAAAATTATGTCAAAGATGAACCTAAACAAAAGGGTGAGTGGCATGTAATTAAATATCACGTGGGAGTGAAGGATTGTCTAGAAAGTCAGCCCAAACATTTATGGCTTTGTGGGGTATGTGCTAATTTTGTATCTAACCCAGGAATCTCACCACTCCATAAATACTCAAGCTTCTAAAACACACTTTGAACCAGTCATAACATCTTACTGCTCTCCATCAATGATGAGTTAAATAAATTTTTTTACATGTGATCATTTTGTATTTGTGTGAGAGACATGATTTTTTTTTCCTGAAAATTATACTTAAACTTTCCAATTCCCCAAGACAGTCAGAATCCTTGATAATAAAGATAAGACAAAGATAATGATCCAAATAAAATTTTCTGCGAAAAAGAAGATTTAAAATTGAGTGGAAATTTTAGATCAGTCCATGAACAGGTAGAGTATTAATATGTAAGCAAGAGAATTTGGTCCGATCTGAGCATTGTCAGTAACAAATTTTTTAAGTTTTAAGAAGTAATTTAATTATTCCAGAATTTCTCATTTCTTTAAAAAGGAAGCTATCTAATACATGGAGTTCTGCATTTCAAGGAATGAAATTACCTTGCTCAAATAGAGGCATATATATGTAAATATAAAGCATAGTGGAAGTGGAACTTGATGGGCAGTAAGTAAAATGCTAAAAATAAAGGAACGAAAGTGTGTTTTTCAAAGTGAGTTCTAATTTGTTGGATGCCGTCTTTAAATGCTTAAGATACAAAAACAAACTCAAAGGGAAAACAAAAGTAAATTGTGACAGTTATCTTCCATTTTTAAAGATTTTAATTTAACTTTCAAATAACATGAAAACTTTTCCCAGATAATAGTTTATCTTTTTCACAGAAGTTTGATATTGCAGCAATAAGTCTGTGAAAGAAGCTTTTCTATTTGACCAAAAATTAATTTTATTTCCTATGTATCTTTGGCAATAAGAGGACACCTCATGATTTGTGGACATTATGTCATGTGTTTTGTGACGTTTGATAAGAACATGACACTAGGCTTGGTGAACATTTAAGGTAGTTTCCATTCGGATGCATAGCCCACGGGGTGAATTCCTGATGCACAGGGCTAGTGTATGAGATCACCTCAGCAATGTGTAATTAGTGTGTTTCAATAAACAGCATGTCTCCTTGTGAAGCACGGGGAATTGAAAGCACCCATGATTTAAATTATTTATTTCTGCCTTTATTATTTTATTACTATTAGTCTTTTAAAGATATAAATCACAAGTGATTTATATATAAAACCACTCTACTTTTAAATTTTTATTTCTGCTTTTATTATTTGATTACCACTAGTCTTTTAAAAAATATAAAAGTAGAGTGGTCATTTGCATATTCTTAGATTTACTAGTATTATAACGTACTTGCGTCAAGCAAGTTATGTTTCAAGAAAAATGTTCAGGCCGGGTGCAGTGGCTCACGCCTGTAGTCCCAGCACTTTGGGAGGCCGAGGCGGGTGGATCACGAGGTCAGGAGATCGAGATCATCCTGGCTAACACGGTGAAACCCCATCGCTACTAAAAATACAAAAAATTAGCCTCTACTAAAATTACAAAAAATTAGCCGGGCATGGTGGCAGGCACCTGTAGTCCCAGCTACTCGGGAGGCTGAGGCAGAAGAATGGCGTGAACCTGGGAGGTGGAGCTTGCAGTGAGCCGAGATCGCGCCACTGCACTTCAGCCTGGGCGACAGAGGAAGACTCTGTCTCAAAAAAAAAAAAAAAAAAAAAAGAATAAAAATGTTCATTCTATTCTTGAGTGTCTGAAAATACCTCTCTGTTACATTCATGCATGAAAAATCATCTGGCTGGGATAGGATTTTTTACCTCTAAATTGAATGTGTGGTGTGATGGCCTGCTGGCATTATATGTTATAAAGAAGTATTAAGCAACAAATGTTTTGAAAACTGCTGTGGCAGCACTATTGATCTAGATGTAAGAGACTTAGAGCATAGGTAATTTTGAATGCCTGTTTTTTCAAATAAGTTTTTTGGCCAGGCGTGGTGGCTCATGCCTGCAATCCCAGCACTTTGGGAGGCCGAGGCGGGTGAATCACTTGAGGTCAGAAGTTCGAGACCAGCCTGGCCAACATGGTGAAATCCCGTCTCTACGAAAAATACCAAAAAGTTAGTTGGGCATAGTGGCGGGTGCCTGTAATCCCAGCTACTCAGGAGGCTGAGACAGGAGAATCACTTGAACCCGGGAGGCAGAGATTGCTTTGAGCCGAGATGCACCACTGCACTCCAGCCTGGGCAACAAGAGCGAAACTCCATCTCAAAAATAAAATAAGTTTTTCATTTGTTGAATGAAACAGTTGTGCTAAATGATCCCTAAAGAACATTTCAATTTCCAAATTTTATATTTTATGACCATATTTTATGTGGCTCCAGAATGCATTGCAAATCATAGGTATTAAGTAGATGTTTAGTAAATAATGAATAGATATTGAGGAGAAGTTCTTCTTTGGGAAGACCTGTGTTTTGCTCTGCCCATTTGATTGTTGCGTAGAATTATTTTCTTTTGGGGTAGAGAGAGATTACATTGTATTTTCTCTTTCTTTTAAAATTTTATTTCATTGTGGTAAGAACATTTAACATAAGATCTACTCTCCAAGAAGTTAAGTTCATGATACACTATTGTTAACAATAGGTACAATGATCTACAGCAGATCTCTAGAGCTTATTTATCTTGCTTAACTAAAACTTTGTGCCCATTAATTAATAAGTCCTCATTTCCCCCTCTAGCCCTTGGCAACTACCATTCCACACTTTGATTCTATGAATTTGACTATATATGATAATTCCCGTAAGTGGAATCATGCAGTTTGTCCTTCTGTGGCAAGCTTATTTCACTCAGCATGTCCTCAAGGTTCATCATGCTGTTATTATTTCAGAACTCTTTTTGTAAGACTAAATAGTATTTCCTTATGTTTATATACAACATTTTCTTTATCAATTTATCCATGTATGGTTTTTTATACATCTTCGCTATGGTAAATACTGCTGCAATAAATACTGCTGCAATAAATACTGCTGCAAGATCAATTAAGATCTTGGTTTTAATACTTTTAGATAGATGCAAATAAGTAAGATTGCCGGATCATATGGTAGCTCTATTTTTAATTTTTTTGAGGAACATCCATATTATTTTCCACAGGGGCTGCACTATTTTGTATTCCCACCAACGGTGTCCAAGGATTCTAATTTTTGTACATTCTTGTCAACACTTTTTTTCTCTTTTTTTGATAACAGCCATTCTGACATGTGTGAAGTAATATCTCATTGTGTTTTCAATTTGCATTTCCATGATGACTAACGGTGTTTTTCATTTGTCTCCTGGCCATTAGCATGTCTTTAGAAAAATGTCTATATATGTCTTTAGCCCATTTTTTAATTGAGTTATTAACTTTATTATTGACATTATGGGAATTTCTTATATATTTCAAAGATTAACCCCTTATCAGATACATAGTTTTCAAATATTTTCTCCCATTCTGTAGGTTGCTTTTTCAATCTCTTGATTATTTTGCAAATAGCTAAATCAAGCTTGAGAAGCAAGGACAAATCTGAAGGAATTACACTGCCTGATTTCAAACTATAATAGAAATCTATAGTAATCAAAACATTGTGATACTAGCATAGAGATGGACATATGGACCAATGGAACAGGATAAAGAGTGCAGAAATAAACCCACATTTATATGGTGAACTGATCTTCAACAAGGATGCCAAGAATACACAATGGAGAAAGAATAGTCTCTTCAACAAATGGTGTTAGGAAAACTGGATATCCACACGCAGAAGAATGAAATTTGATTCTTATCTTACACCATACACAAAAACTAACTCAAAATGGATTGAAGACTTAAATGTAAAACCTCTACAAGAAAAGCCAGAGAAACACTCTGTGACATTGGTCTTGGCAATAATGTCATAGATATGACACCAAAAGCACAGACAACACAACCAAAATAAGCAGGACTACATCATACTAGAAAGTTTCTGCATGGCAAAGGAAATAATCAACAGAATGCATGGCAGAATTTCATCTTTTAAAATCAAAAGATCATAATCTTGTGCTTTGAAATGCAGGAGCATCAAACTGTATAAGAAATGCATACTGATGTTAAAATATGGGCCAATGTATTTCAATGTATGAGGAATACTTTTGGAAAATTCTTATCAATATTCAGGAGACTTTATTTTTTGATAACATATAGATTAAATTTAAAAAAATGAAATAAAACTGAAAACCACTTGTGTTTTCTCTTCCTCCAACTTATACACTAGATAAGGGCATGTCATTAGGCAGTTGAGGTAAACTCCAATTCTGCCACTTAAAAATAAGACTAACTTCTCTGAACCTTTGTTTCTTCCTCTATGATCTAGAGATAAGAAAACCTGCTTGTGATTAATATACATTCAGATGAAGACTAAAAGGTGGGCGGATCACGAGGTCAGGAGATAGAGACAATCCTGGCTAACACGGTGAAACCCCTTCTCTAGTAAAAATACAAAAAATTAGCCGGGCATGGTGGCGGGCGCCTGTAGTCCCAGCTACTCGGGAGGCTGAGGCAGGAGAATGGTGTGAACCAGGCAGGCGGAGCTTGCAGTGAGCCGAGATCGCGCCACTGCACTCCAGCCTGGGCGACAAAGCGAGACTCCATCTCAAAAAAAAAAAAAAAAAAAGGCAGCATCAGGTAAATATTAGGAATATAAGAGGTACTTAATAATTACATATACAAATTCGGTAAGGGGATAGCAGAGGTATTATCATCAACATCTAATAGATTAAAAAATGGAAATCACAAGTGGTTTTGAGATTTTCAGAAAAAATGTTATAATAATATAAAACCCCGACAATGACTGGAGCACAGGTTTCTTGACTCCAAGGCTCGAATGCTTCATTTTCCTATAAAGTATGGGAGGTTACTGTTGGGTATAGGCCGGTATTTTTAACCTTTATTTGTTCAAATGTGTTCAGATGTCACAAGAGAGATTTTGGCTATCAAATTGAAGTGAAAGTTCAATACTTTTATCATTATAATTGCATTTTATTCTGGAGAGTGTAAAACATACTTATAAAAATAGAATAATCACATATTTGAACTCATAAAGAGCAAGGTCAAAGCAGAATACCAAATATTTTGAGTCAAATATTAACAATATATCAAAAGCTAAGATAAATAGGAGAAATATTTAAAGCAACAAATAATATACAGGAAATTCTTTCATGAATATGCTTCTATATAGAAAATTAAAGTAGATGGCATAAATTTTACATGCTCAACAAAAAAGTAAACCTAAATGGAAATCTTTTATAGCCTACAGATTTTAAAAATAAAGAAGCAACTTAGGTTACATCTAAAAAATAAATAATACACATAAAAGAACAAAGCAAAAAATGTACAAACCTGGCCCAAGGTACTTTGTCTAACAGTAAAAGACTTCATTTTAGAAAATATAAAAATCTCTCTCATTTTTTAAATTCTTGGTTTCTTTGGGATTTTATGTGTAATCTGTTACTAGTTACAAAGTCCCCCCAAACAATGATAATAACAATAATAAAAACCCTTGACGAAAATTATACATTGAAAAATTTTATAAGTACGTACCTCCAATACATATTTTGCTGGGGAGGTAGATTTAAGTTTATATAGCCTGTACATTGTTGTGAACACAAATAACAACAAGGCTGAAGTGAAGCAACAAATCTGTCTTACAAGATCACAAATAAAACATAAACAGTAGGAGGTCTCATAGCTATTTAAGGAACTTCATGGGCTTTGCAAGCCTTTCCACATGAATCGTGGTGTTTTGTCTCCCAAATGCTCTAAAATTATTTTTAAAATGTTGGCAACTTCACAAATGTTTTATTAACAAAATATACTTTAAGTATATGCTATTTTGTGAAGCAGCAATTGGATGACTTTTCTTATAAGCGTCCATAAACAGTTGGAACTTATTGCCAATTAAAGACAGAAAAAGTGCCTGAGTCAAGGATATGATGATGTTACTCACATAGGTACTACTACAAGAGATTAAGTTATATCACTTTGAAAAGCCCATGTGCTAAAGCTATGTTAAATCTGTCAACTGGGCACAGTGTAGAGAGTGAAAAGAATTCTGTGTTAATAGCCTGGGATGCAGGGTCAAATTTTCCTTGGCTGTACTGCCCGTATAACCTTAAGCAGGACGGTTAAGGTTTCAAGGGAACTGTTTTGGTTACCTGAAAGGCAACCCCCCAGATAATCCCTTGAGGTGTCTTTGCTGTTTTGCTCTGTGATTCTATCGTTTTGCTCTCATTTTCCTAGTCTGAAGGATTAGACATTTCCTAACTTAGAAAGCATGGAACATCTGCTGTACACCTTCCTTTGTTTTGTCTTTGGGTTATCTTTCATGTCTGTGAGTAACCAAGTCCAAAGTATTTTATATGTGGAAGAGAGATCTCTATGCCATCTTTTTGGTTCCCAGAAAATGCCTAGGAACCCAGGTGCTGGAAAAAACAAAAATCACATGAAAAGCTATTTTACAATACAGTAAGAATTTCTACTTCAAGTTGGGTTTATGACATGCCAGTCCATAATCTACAAGCAGAGAAGATGATGAAATAAGCCTTACAGATGGATTCTACCAAGAAAACTCTGAAGTTGCCATTGGAAAGCAAAAGATACATTATGAGGCAGGTTCCACAATTATAAATTAGATGGAAACCACTCTTCTCCAGTCTTAGAAAGAACTACAATGTGAGAAGCTCAGATTTATAAATGATCAAGTTTATGAATAAAATATAAAATTTTTGTCCTTTCAAATAGATAGTTATTACACAGCTATAAGCCTTGGTAAACATTTAATTTATTTAATATAAGATTCTTTTAAAAATTTGAAGATGACAAAGATAACTTTAAATTCCTTTAATAATTAGATAATAGAATCTATGAGCTAGAAAAAACTTCATAAAGCATTCTGAAGTACGAATTGATAAATTTTAGAGCTTGTTCAGGTTGTAATATTCATCTTATTTCAAAATTTCCTGCACACCCTCAGTGTTGCTGCTATTGAATAACATTTCAGACTTTTGCCTAATAAAATTTTTTCTTAGCAAGATTTTTGTTCTGCTATTGGGCTCAAATTCTGTATGATCCAGTATGATTAGTTCCTTGTATCTTTATTTAGGTGACTTGCAAAAGAGCTAGTTGATATGTTCTGTGGACCAAACCTTTATAAATCTGAAGACCATAATGAAAATTAATGAAAATAGTGTGCCTTCATGTGTTCCTTACACCTGAATGCAACAAAATGCACATATTTTCCCATTATCCAAGTAGCTTTTTTTTTTTTTTTTTTTGAGACAGAGTCTTGCTCTGTTGCCCAGGCTGGAGTGCAGTGGCACTATCTCAGTTCACTGCAGCCTTCGCCTCCCAGGTTGAAGCAATTCTCCTGCCTCAGCCTTTCGAGTAGCTGGGATTACAGGCACATGCCACCATGCCCAGCTAATTTTTATATTTTTGGTAGAGACGAGTTTTCACCGTGTTGGCCAGGCTGGTCTGGAACTCCTGACCTCAGGTGTTCCTCATGCTTTGGCCTCCCAAAGTGCTGGAATTACAGGTGTGAGCCACCGTGCCCAGCCGCAAGTAGTTCTTGAAGAGAGAAATCGTGCAGAAAAAAAAAAAAAAAGATGACTTTTGAGAGTGAAATGAATGGTTATTGGTCATCAGCTGTTGTAAATGGAGCAAAGGGTGAGAGAAAAATAATAGATTTGCCATTTGACTCATATAAGAATGCAGCTATTGCATATCAGAGAGACATATTACAAAATCAAATCCAAATGTTTGGTAAATATAGAAGGGACATAGTGGCATGGAAGTGTGTTGCTAAGTGAAATTAACTGAGTGTTCAGCACACAGTGCTAAGAATTGGGCTGTGATGTCAGATTGCTTTCACTCAAATCCTTATTCCACTATTTATTAATTATAGAATCTTTGGTAAAATAGTGTAGTCATCCTTTTATCTGAGGTTTAGCTTTCCATGGTTTCAGTTACTTGCAATCAGCATGGTCCTAAAATATTAACTAGAAAATTCTATAAAGAAACATTTTCTAACTTTTAAATTACATTCCATTCTGAGTATTATGATGAAATCTCATACTATCTTGCTCTGTCTTACCCAGGACGCAAATCACTCCTTCATCCAGTATATCCACACCATAGATGCACCCCTTCTGTCAGTCACTTGGTAGTCCTCTGGGTTATCAGATTGACTTGTAGAGCATCACAGTGCTTGTGTTAAAGTAACTCTTATTTTACTTCATAATGGTTCCAAAGTGCAAGAGTGGTGATGCTGGCAAATCGGATATGCCAAGGAGAAGCAGTAAAGTGTTCCTCTAAGTACAAATGTGAGTTCTCAATAGAGAAAAAAAGTTATATGCTGAAGTTGCTAAGATCTATAATAAGAACAAATCGTCTATCGATAATATTGTGAAGAACGAAAAGAAATTTGTGCTAGTTTTGCTGTCACACCTCAAACTGCAAAACTTGTGGCCAAAGTAAGCAATAAGTAGTTAAGATGAAAAAGGGATTCTATTTGTGGGTAGAAGACATGAACAGACAAAAATCTCAATTGATGGCAATGTGTTGCACCAGAAAGCATCGAGCCTTTATGGAAACTTTAGCAAAGGATCCCCTGAAACAAGTGACGCCAAGCCATTTACTGCAAGCAAAGGATGGTTACACTGATTCAGGAATACAGAAGGTCAATAGTAGCCTAATGCTATGTCACAATGCCTGTCATTCACTTCACTTCCTCTCATCACCTAGGCAATACATCACCTCATATCATCCTAAGAAGAAGGATGGGGGTAGTACAATAAGATATTTTAAGAGAGAAAGGCATAGAGAGTAAGAGAGAAACAGAACACATTCGTGTAACTTTTATTGTAGTACATTGTTATAATTGTTCCATTATATTATTTATTGTTAATAACCTCTTGCTGTGCCTAATTTATAAATTAAACTTTAACATAGATATGTATGTATAGGAAAAGACATACATAGGGTTTAGTCGTATCTGTTGTTTCATGCATCCACTGGGGATCTTGGTGCATATTCCCCTCAGATAAGGGGGAAACTACTGTAATATGAATTTTAAGACTCAGTTTCCTTATGTGCATAATGGAGATAATAATATATACCTCATAAATGAGACAACGCATATAAATTGCTTCATACCATGCTGGGCACAAAGTAAAAGCCCAAGAGATATTAGCGTAGCCAAGAACACTCTAAGTGCTTTATCTCATGTATCCTCAGCAATACAGTGAGTTAGGTACTATTGTCATCCTCCCCATATTATCAGTGAGGAAACCAGGCCAGCGAGAGATTAAGAACTTGCTCAAGGTAACAACAATAGCCCTTGGAGGGGTTTAGATTCTAATCCATCATTCTAGGTACATATTTATCATTACTGTGTGGCACACAGAAGCCACATACTCAAATGCCTGCAACAGCCTGTTGATAAGACAAATAACTGAAATAACCAGTACAAGTCAATAGAAAATGGGTGCTTTCACTTTTTACATTTTTTGATACTGTGCTGGTCTGGCAAAGAAATTTCTGAGGCCAAATTTAGTCTGCAGCTTATTTGCAGTCCCTGCACATCCAAGTATCTGAAGGTAAATTTACACCGTGGTTAGGCTGGCGTTTGCATACTAATGGAATGGTTGGTTTTCCTCCATTTCTTGGCCCCTAAGTGTCCATAAGTGTGGAAAATAAAGGAAAGAAAATCTTAGCACTGAGTAAGTGATATGGAACATTCACTTTCCAGGGAGTACTTATTGTCTCTTCTTTAGTAATGAGTGGGATCCTTCTTTATTTTAATATGCTTGATCAACTGTATAACACAGAGGCAGGCATTTTGCAAGTCTTCAAAGGTGGAATGGATGTGTGACTGTTCAAAAATAACTTAATGAGAAGCAGAATGAATAGATTTATTTTTGGAGTGACTGACTGAGGGGTTTTCCCAGTACCTCTGAAAACACATCAAGTTCTAATAGGATTTTAGAGAAAGTTAATTGGAGACTTAGAATCACTGCACTGGATTGTGGACCTTATTCTTCTTTGAGTCATTTTGTGAGTGAAGACAAATTTCTTAACATCTTTGGTCTATTTCCTCAGCTATAATTAAAATGGTCTGAAGAGGATTGTCTTTAGATTTTCTTCGATTCTAAAATGTCTCTATGTCCATGCTTTTACCTTAATCTTCATCCTTTATCAAAATTCACTTTATGGTGACAAGTACACTTTTGGGTGCCTTTGGTATAAATCAAGTTGTGAGAGTTAAAAATTTAGAAGAAATAATTTAAATTGTGACATTTTATCAAGCTTGATCAAATCCTGAAATACATCTGTTCTGAGTGTTGTGTTGTGCTGACTCATTTAAAATATTCTAGGTAAGTAATATGATGTGTAAATATATGGAAAAATTAACCATAATCTGTATTAAAAATGTAGCCTATTTTGTTGATTTATAGAATTATGTTTAAAGACAGGTGGCATGATCTTTTAGGAGTTAAACAACAGATCTACCGCCCACGAATGAATACTGTGCAAAACCCACCAAGTTCAACAGTCCTTACTCTATTCTGTTAGTTCAGTCCTTGAGGTCAAGAACTTGTTTTGCACAGTATTCATCTGAGAGCAGTTGATTTGTTGTTTAGCTCCTAAAAGATCATGCCAACTTTCTTTAAACATTAAAGACAGGTGGCATGATGTACATTTGGTGTGGTGTGTGGTGCTGTACGTTTCCGCTTCTGGAATGACCCTATTTCCTTTCCCACTTAACTAAACGGCTTGCTCAGCTTGCCTAAAGAACTTGGTGGTGCCCGTTTTGAACCAGCCTTCATAGAAGGTGTTAGTTACATCAGAGAACAATGAAGAAGACCTTTTCTGAACTGCAAATAGGCTGCAGCACTGTGGCTATTTGCTAATAAAGGGTTTTAGATTAGTGCTGTTACTAATTTAGTGTGATTATTTTGCACAAGACTTGCTTTCATTGTCAAACACCATCTTACAGCAGTGATATGAGAGTGAGGCATATTGCTGTGAAGTACAGCCACTGAAGGCTAATAATATTTACCGAAGGTTCTGACCATCAAATTGGGTTAAGTCAGTTTAAGACAGTGACAAAATCAAATACATTACCTGGAGAATTCAGAGACGCATATGACCACTTGAGATTAGAATCAAGGGAAATAGAAGCTAGATCTTTCCTTGGGTAGATAAATAAGATAAGCTGCTGTCAATGATATAAAAAGAAGATAAAGAAAGATATACATTAAAGAATTAATGTGAGTATCCTTTTTCCTGACTCATTCAGGGTAGGGTGGGACCCAATGAGGTTGTTGTAATAGATCTGAGCAGGCTGAAATAGAGATATTGTGGCCTTCTATGTTATTCTTAATTTCTTAATTATTCTTGATTAATTTAAATGATATATTTGTGAAGTTAAGTTCTCAATTCATTCATGTATTTAAAAATATATGTTGTGTCCTTTTCTAAGGTCTAGGGATCAGAAATTAATAAAACAGACAAAAATCCCTGACCTCATTGACCATGTACTTTAATATGGCTATGAAGGCAAAACATACATACCTAATATGTTAGATGGTGATGAGTGTTACAGAGAAAAATAAAGCAAAGAGAGAAGGTAGGGAGTGTTGTGGGAAGGGGTAGCTGCACATAGTTTTAAGCAGTATAGTCAGGGAAGAGCTAACTGCTACACTGACATTTGAGCAGAGGTCTGATGAACGTGAGAGAACAAGCTTTGTGAATGAGGGGTGTTCCAAGAAGAAATAGCTTGTGCGCAGTGAAGGCACAGATGAGGAATCTCAGTAGCAAGTCCTGTATAGCTGGAGCTGAGTGAGAGGGGAAGGGTCATAGGAGATTAGGTGGAGATGGGGGACCAAATTGTGTGGAAACTTGTAGATGCTTTTGATGATTTTGGATTTTATTTTGCATGAAAAGGGAACCTATTAGATTATTTTGAGCAGAGGAGTGAGCTATTTCCATTCATATTTAACAAAGGCATTCTGGTTGTTAGATTGTGAATAAATAGATGGAAGGGGGGTAAGGGCAGAAGCAGGGAGATTAGTCTAGGAGCCTGTAGTGGTTCACCTGGAAAATCATGATCATGGTGGCCCAGACCAAGGAGCAATGGAGGGTGTGAGAAAAGGTTGGACACTATGTATATTTAGAGGGCGAAGTTGTGAGGATGGGTTGACAGATTAGATGTGGTCTGTGCAAGAGTGAAAGGAGCTAAAGATGACTCCAAAAGCTGTTGTCAGAGCACATGCAAGGTTGGAATTGCTGTTATGTAAATAAGGAGGAAACTTTAGGAGAATCAGATCTTGGGGGAAGCTCAAGAGCTTAGTTTTCAACATATTAAGTTGGCAGTGCCTAATAGACATGCAATTGGACATACTGAGTAGACAGTTGAGCATACATGACTGGAAATCAGAGAAGAGGTTTGGGATTAAATGATATATATTGATCATGAGCACATAGATGATATTTAAAATGTTACGAAAGTACGTAACTATGATCAGCTTAAGTGTGAATGCAAATAGGAAAAGGAAGAGGCCCCTAAACTGAGACTAGGAGCACCCCAAAAATAAGAGACAAGGAGGAATAAGGATGAGAAATAAGAAAGGTAGCGTGAATATTGTTTCAAGGAGGAAGGAATGATAAATTCCATAATGGTGTCACATGTCATTTCCTTCCTCTTTGATCTTTAAAAGTTAGAGTGGCTCTATTAAAAATATCTTTTGGGAACTGAGATTATCATCTGAAATATTTTGAATATTTGAAACCCAAGGCTCCTTAGTCCATAAGCTAGGTCAGGGAGAAAGAGTTTCTATATTTGTAAAAATGTATTGCATTTGAGGGAGCCATGAAACCTGAACACCTGAGCAACTAAAATATTGGCAATTTCAGATCCTTTTAGTTTTTTCTCCCTTTTCATGGAAGACAGATTTCTACAATATTTACGTGAGGTCAGCTGGATAGATCTATATGCCCTCTGCCAGAGAGCTCTGGAAATTACAGTTTGCTGAGCACCTGGGATGTGGAGTTGACAATCTGACAACTATTGAGAAATGACAAGAAGCCCCGCAATATTAAATGTTTTCCACAGGCACTACCTAAGGGCTGAACATATGTTTCTCTATTGATGAAAACGCATTTGTTTCACCCTTGGATGTAGCCATTTTTTAAATGTTCATTGGTAAGAACTATAAAGAATGTCAATATTTTCATCAAGAATTGGAATGTGAACCGGGAAAAGATGAGGGAGAAAATATCTCATTTTTTCTAGTATTTTATTATGAAAATGTTTCAGTTAAACATTTAAAATTGAAAGAATTTTCCAGTAGAAACCTGTATAGCCACCACCTAGATTTTAACAATGGATTTTTAAGTGTTTTATTACATACTTATACATCCTTCTACACATTCATCAGTTTATCTTGTTTTTTGAAAGCACAAAAAAGTAATATACCTACATCAGTTTTCTCCCAAATACTTTAGTATGTATATGACTAATTACAGGTCAATATTTGCTTATAGTTTTTCTTTTGATTTATATATGAAATGGACAAATCTGAAATGTGTATTGACTGAGTTTTGCAACGCTAACCCGTCAAGCTATAGAACATTGCTGTCACATTACCATCATCTGGATAGTTCTCTTGTGCTCTTTTCCACACATCCTCCACTCCTATTCCAAAAGTAGCCTCTATTCTGATATTTTTTCATCCAAAATAAGTTTAGCCTGTTTTAGAACTTAGTATAAACGGAATCCTGCACTATTTTCTCATTCAGGTAAGGCTTCTTTCATTCAATATGCTGTTGAAAAACATCTTATTTGAAGACAGGATAGCTTTCATAAGGAAGCCAAAAGACTGATTAATTTAACTCTAAATACCCAGTCAAATAAATGGTTCGAGAAAAGGTGCACAGAAATAGGAAGATATGATTTCTTTTGTCTGTAGATTTCAGAGTAATATTTGTGTGTGTATTGCTGTAGGTAAAATCATCTTGAAATACAAATATATATTCTATTTAAGAAGAGCAGGTGAGGAAGAAGGCTGATATATATGGACCATCTAATGAGCACCAGATATTTAACATGTGCTATTTTATTTAAACTTCATACCCCAAAAGAAATATTATCTCCATTTTACACCTGAGCCATGTACTCCCAATTACACTTTGCTGTTTCCCAGAGCTTTCTGCTATTCTGTATTAGGGAAATGAGGACTCCCTGGCTAAGCTGTCATTCTTAGATAGCCTTCCTTGCCTTCTCCTCATTGTTTTCCAGTTGCCTCATTTTCTAGAGTTTTGCTCCAGACTAGGTGGTGACAAGCAGTTAATCACTTAAACTGCCATGGGTTGCTGTTCTGTAAATGTTGTTATCCTACCATTTGCTTCTTATGCTAGATATATTTACTTTGCATAGGTTGGTGCAAAAGTAATTGGGGTTTTACTACTAAAGGTAATAGGAAAACCACAGTTACTTTTGCACCAATCTAAAAAGCAAGCCTGTGGGAGACAATGTCTTTATCTGAAGAAGAAACTCAATGGTCAGAATTGCAGGTGCTTCTTTAGATAGGTGAAAGACATTGAAATAGGCAGGGATTTGTACATTTCTAACAGGTATATTTACTAACCTTATAACACTTTCTAGATTGTTGCTTATGGTTTCTACATGTGTGCTTGTTTCCATATCCATTATTAGGAATTCAGGTATTTGAGACCCAGTTCAAGACTGTAAACAAGAGTTCCAGTAACTTCAGACCTACTCAAGTTGCTTAATTAAAGCCTATGTAGTACCCACATGAACAATATATCCAGGACTTGGTGTTTTTATTCCTTGACTTCCTTAGTTTCTGTAAATTCTTCATTCTACATTCCACCTCCCTCACCTGTGGTCATATCCGTGGTCATCACAATAATTCATAACTTCCAGACCTTGATTTCAAGGATCTCACTCACTGACCACCACCTTCCCCCATTCATCTCTATCTAGTTCCACAAGGCCTTCGAGTTATTGCTCCTAAAACTGTTTTTGTTTTTTTTTTTTTTTCTAGTCATGTTTTACACCCAAGGTTCATACCTTTTTTCCTTGTCCACTCAGGGTACATAGTCCATACTTACAATCACCCTCCACCCTGCTACACTTGTCTGGAAGAAGCCCAACTTTGGTTAAAAAAATAAATAAATAAAGGCAGCCATCCACTTACTTCATGCCACTCTTTCCAGCACCCAGAAAATGATCTAGCAATATCTACTAAGGGATCTATACATATTCGATGAATGAAAATGGATGTATGGTTGAATGTATGTAGTATGTAAGGTTTATCTTGAATCTAATTTTCTCCAGGATATCAAGAACTACTTGGGGCTGGGCGTGGTGGCTCACATCTATAATGCACTTTGGGAGAATGAGGCAGGCGGATTACCTGAGGTCAGGAGTTCCAGACCAGCCTGGCCAACATGGTGAAACCCTGTCCCTACTAAAAATACAAAAATTAGCTTGGTGTGGTGGTGCGTGCCTGTAGTCCCAGCTGCTCGGGAGGCTGAGGCAGAAGATTCTCTTTAACCTGGGAGACAGAGGCTGCAGTGAGCTGAGTCTGTGCCACTGCACTCCAGCCTGGATGACAGAGAGAGACTTCGTCTCAAAAAACAAGACAAAAAAAGAATTACTTGGGATGATATGGGTGAGACTAGATAATATGACGAAGTGAATACCCTTATGGTCTGATTTTTTTGTACACCTTCCAATGGCTGCTCCATTCTACAGAGGTTACCACCAACGGCTCAGAGGTGCAACACATTGGAAGCTTCTAGATACCACCTCTTGGCAGTTGGCAGTTGCCCAGCATCCCAGGGGGCTCCTCTCAGCAGTTTATCTCACTTCTATTGGTAGTAGTTTCTTGGAATATCCTGTGCTGATAATGGTGACAGCTCCAAGAAATTCCTAGTAAAAAACATATGGTGATCCCGGTGTCCATCCAGGATTGCTTCTGTCCTCATAAAGCTTCTGGCTACATTAAATCAGCACAGTTCAGTGTCTCACAAAGGCAGCTCCAGCTTTTTCAAAGGCGGGCTATTTTTAAATATTTGCCTTTCACGAAAATTATTTAATTTCCCCAAAGTGCTATAGATTAAGCAATGAGTCTAGGAGCACAACAAATGCCACATTCCTTATGAGTCTTCTGTCCAATTTTGGTGCAGGGTGATCTCTTGTTCTCTGAAGGAGCTCTTTACAGAACATGATATATGGAGTCCATCACTGCTTTCTGGCACTGTCTAAACTTGGGCATCAAGAGAAGAGCTCACTTTTTCCCCACGTGTTTGCTCATGGGGTTCAGGTACTTGAATTTCATCAATAGTCCTAGATATAGCTAACTCCCTAAAAAGTTAGAAATGCAATTAGAACTGAATTTGTTAGCTCTGGATTAGTTAAAAACATGTATACAATACATTCAAAATGGTCTATGACATGAGAGAAGTTTAAATAGTCTTCCCTACTTTGGACTAGATCAGTTTCCCAGTTTTGCCTGATTAAATAATCACCGGAAATACTTGTTAAAAATCAAAACAAAACAAAATGCAGGAAGTCCGGGCTCATCCCCTAGAGGTTATAATTCGTTAGCTTTGGTGGTATCTGTTTTGGGGATTCTGGGGGTCAGCCCTAATAGCAATAGCAATAGAATGATTCAAATGATCAGCCACATTTGAGACGTTCTAGATAAGAAAATGGGAATGATGTCATTTTGCTTGCTCCTCTAATGTTCTCATACACTTACGCTGTCAGGAGAGCAGAAAAGTCATCCTTTTTTCAGACTTCTTTTTTCTATCTGGAGGCTGAGTGGGCCAAGAAAATTTTAAAAGTGGGCCACCAGAGAATAAATGATTGTCAAATGGTAAAAGATTGCAGAAACTCAATTTCAACCCTAGATAAATGTGAATTCATTACTTATTCATTAAAGATATTAAGGCTTGCATAAATGACTTCAAATCCTATGAATGAAGATAGATAAAGTGCAGTGATCATTGCATAGGATCAATGCTTAATAATGCACACAGTTGTTTAGGGAACATGAAGGACGTCTCTGATGTGGGAAAGTGTAAAGCCTCAATAGTGTCTCTTTTCTGCTAGTCTACATGAGGCTTTCCCCAGAAATCAAATCTCCTCTCCCTCTCCTCCACTGCAATGGAAGGTTTAATGCTGATGGTCCAGTTTTAAAAATGAGACTCTGAGATACAGGCATGATTTGCCCAACAGATTTTTCAGAGACAAATGAGATTTTGAATTGTTATCAAGATAGGAAAGGACACAAAAAATTGGGAGATGTTGAGGTTAATGCAAGTCTTGGACACAATCTGTACTTGCTTTAGATAGGAGTGTTCATGAGTGGTAAAAAGAACAGTAAAAAGAACAACCACCATGCAAAGTGGAGAATCAGGAGGGGTCTGGGCGGAACGCAAACCTCTGCTGGCTCCAAGATCTTTTCTTTTGTGTTACTTACTGCCTTCTACTTAATAATGTGGCAGAGCATTGGAAGCGCAGTCGCATTCCAGACAGTAATCGTTTGTGTGATTAGACTTGGTTTTGTTGTATATATACATAATGCATGATAAAATGCATGTAATATATGCATATTTATATACGTATGTTCATGGCATACATGTATGTATGTATGTATATACATGTTTATAAATGCTATGGTGTGAATTTTTAAGTCCACCCAAAATTTGCCTGTTGAAACCTAATCCCCAGTTTGATAGTATTAAGAAATGGTGCCTTCGGGAAGTGAGAAGGTCATGAGGGCTAACAAAAGAAGCCTGAGGCTCTTTTAAAATAAGCCTGAGGGAGCATGTTTGTCACTCTCACTGTGTGAGGAGGATACAGTAAGAAGGCTTTATCTATGAACCAGGAAACATGTCCTCGCCAGCCACCAAATCTGCCAGCAGTTTGATCTTGAATTTCCCGCTCTCCAGAAATAAAAGAAATACATTTCTTTGTTTATAAGCTACTCCATGTATCGTATTTTTTTTCCAGCAGTCTGAATGGATTAAGACATTGTTTAACATTGTCATAGGGTCAATGAAAGAAACTTTGAACAAGATTAAAGCCTGTTACTCTGCTTTTATATTTTTCAGTTTTTTTTACATTAAATATGTCCATTATCTGATGCTTTCAATCTCTCTCTCTCCTTTATTTGTTTGAGATGGAGTCTCACTCTGTCACCCAGGCTGGAATGCAGTGGTGCAATCTCAGCTCAATGCAACCTCTGCCTCCTGGGTTCAAGCAATCCTCCTGCCTCAGCCTTCTAAGTAACAGGGATTACAAACGTGTGCCACCAAACTCGACTAATTTTTGTATTTTTAATAGAGATGGTGTTTCACCATGTTGGGCAGGCTGCTCTCAAACTCCTGACCTCAGGTGATCTGCCTGCCTGCTGGTATTAACAGGCATGAGCCACCACCCCAGCCAATGCCTTCAATCTCTCTACATTCTTTCCTCACTGTAAGGAGTACAAAATTTGAGGCTAAGTATTTTCCCCTTAGAGTAGTATTTTCATTTTCTTTAGAGACAATATCTTAGCCAAAAGCAGCGAAGCTCTGCAGCCCTTATGCTCAGAGGAGAGAGAGAAAGTTTCTGAGGTAGTATGTTGGTTTTGCTATTGAAAGATAAGGATAAGCAGAGATTCTACTATAGATTCTATGTCTGACGGAAGTATGGAAAGTTATTTAGAAACAATGAACACTGAGATACATAAGGTAGCCCAGAAACCTGTAACAACATGGCAAATTCTTTACTTCACACTTAGATTTTGAATCTGTAAATATTTTCAAACCACAACTTAAGGGCATGTGTGATCGACAGAAAAACGTATAATCTTTGCTTTCATTAGAGAAGAAAGTTACATAAACTTGGGCTTTTATCAGCTTTCTGCATGTTAAGCAAAGTGAAATATTTATGTCAACTGATTTAGATTTTTATCTTAACTCTTAGGCACAGTTAGCATGTTGGTGTTTACTGATTAATAAATTAGATACAAGTTAGTTTAAATCAGGAAAATTGCTCACATATTTATATCACTTTAAATCCTTCACTACCTCACTGTTTTTAGGCAGTGATGGATTAGAAATAGAATAAATGAAATGAAGACTAGAGAAATAGTTTAAAAATATCCTACTACATTGTTATAAATAAAATTGTTATTATATATTAAAATTTTTTGATAGACCTAAGAGCGCTTTCTTTTCTTCAAATGTTAAAGAAAAATCAGGCATTTTGTGGGTCCCTAAAAGTATCGTGGGCCCTTGGCACTGTGATTCCGGGCCTAATGGGTCAGTTTTCCCTGGAAACTCTTAACAATCCGGCACAGCCACTGTGATTTTTTTTTCAGATCTCTTAAACATGGAATGGTATTTCAATAATCAGTTTTGGGGCCTTTTAATGTCTTCTATCCTCCTCAATGGGTGGCAGATTCCACTCAGCTATGGAGACTTGCCTCAGCCTCAGAAAGTATCTTCTTGGTGAAGGAGAATTAGTCACACCAAGACGTTTCCTTGGCAGTTTGTACATAACTTTCTAGAATTGAAGGTAAACATTACCTTATCATTGTAAACACTCTTATAATATTGCTTACCATATTTCCCCCTTGTTAAATAGTCTTATTTTTCAAAGAAATTTACAGAAAAATTGGGCAAAAGGCAAAGAGATTTTCCATATAGCCCCTTGTCTCACACAAGCACAGCCTTCCTCCACTTCACAATTTTGAACCAGAGTGGTATATTTGTTACAATGGATGAACCTACAGTGACATCATTATTACCCAAAGTCCATAGTAGACATTAGGTTCTAGTCTTAATGTTATATATTCTACGGGTTTGGGCAAATGTATAATGACATATATCTACCATTACAGTATCGTAAACAGTTTCACTGCCCTAGAAATCCTCTGTGCTCTGCTGTTCCCTCACCCCATAAGCATCACTGAGCTTTTCAGTGACTTTATGGTTTTACCTTTTCAAGGATGTCATATAGTTGGAATTATACAGTATGTGGCCTTTTCAGATGGACTTCTTTCACTTAGTAATATGTGTTTAATGTTCTATGTCTTTTGATGTCCTGATAGCTCATTTCTTTTTAGGGCGGAATGGTTTTTCATTCTCTGGATTCTTTTATCTACAGAAGAACTCTTGGTTGCTTTCAAATTTTGGCAGCTAAAGCTGCTATGAAGATTTGTGTGCAGGTTTTTCTTTGGACACATTTTCAACCCCTTTAAGTAAATACCAAGGAGTGTGATTGCTGTATGATATGGTAAGAGTATATAAGTTTTGTAAGAAACTACCAGACTGTCTTCCAAAGTAGCTATAGCATTTTGCATTTCCACAATAAATGACTTTCTGTTGTTGCACATCCTACCAGCATTTAGTGTTGTCAGTGTTGAGGATTTTGGCCATTCTAATAGCTGTGTAGTTGTATCTCATTATTGTTTTGATTTGCATTTCTCTAATGACAAATGATATGGAACATCTTTTCATATGCATGTTTACAATTTGTATATCATCTTTGGTGAGTTTCCTGCTAGGTCTTTGGCTCATCTTTTAAATTGTGTTGTTTGTTTTCTTATAGTTGAATTTTAAGTGTTCTTTGCATATTTTGGTTACAATTTCTTTATTAGAATTTGTTTTCGCAAATATTTTCTTCTAGTCTGTGACTTGTCTTTTTTTCTTTTGACATTGCCCTTAGGGGTACAAAAGTTTTGCATTTTAATGAACTCCAGTTTATCAATTAATTTTGTAATGAATTATGCCTTTGATGTTGTATCTAAAAAGCTATCACAATATCCAAGGACATCTAGGTTTTCTCCTATGTTATCTTCTAGAGGTTTTACAGTTATGAGTTTTATATTTAGATCTATGATCCATTTTTACTTAATTTTGGGAAAGGTTGTAAGGTCCATGTCTAGATGATTATTATTATTTGCATGTAGATATCCAGTTCTTCCAAAACATTTTGTTGAAAATATTATTTTTGCTTCATTGTATTGCTTTTGCCTCTTTGTCCATGATGAGTAGAATATATTTATATAATCTTTGTCTATTTCTTGGCTCTCTGTTCTGTTTCATTGATCTATTTGTCTATTCTTTTGCCAATAGCACACTGTCTTGATTACTATAGTTTAAGGTAAGTCTTAAAATAAAGTCAAGTGGTAAGAATCCTCAACTTTCTTCTTTTCTGTTAAAGTTGTGTTGGCTTATCTTTTTCAACCACATGTAAACTTTAGAATCAGTTTGGCATTATAACAAAAATGATGGGATTACATTAAATCTGTAGTTATAGATAAATTTGGGAAAAGATGACATCTTGATAATATTGAGTCCTGTCCATGAACACGAAATATTCTAAGTCTGACAGAAGTGTCACCCATTTATTTAGTCCTTTTTAAATTTATTTCATTAGACTTTGTAGCTTTTCGCGTATAGATTTTGTATATATTTTGTTAGATTTATACCTAAATGTTTATTTGGGTGCTAATATAAATGGCATTTTGTTTCTAATTTCAAATGTTCTTTGGTGATATATAGGAAAGCAATTGAATTTTGCATATTAACCTATTAGTGTTATATCCGAAAACCTTATAATGTTTTTTTCCAGGAGTGTTCTCTTGTTGTTGATGATGATTCTTTTAGACTTTCTACATAGACAATCATGTTGTCTATGAACAACAGAGTTTTAGTTCCTCCTTCCAAATCTGTATATATTTATTTCATTTTCTTATCTTATTGCATTAGCTAGGACTTCCAATATAATGTTGAAAAGCACTTATGAGACGGGATGTCCTTGCCTTGTTCATGATCTTGGAGGGAAAGCTTTTCGTTTCTCACCATTAAGTATAATGCTAACTCCAGGTTATTTGGTAAAAGTTCTCTAGAGAGTAAGGGAAATTTTCCTTTATTCATAGTTTGACAGAGTTTTTGTCATAATGTGTGTTATATTTTGTCAAGTGCTTTTTCTATACCTATTGATATGATCATGTAAATTTTATTTATTGTTGATGTGATAGATTACATTAATTGATTTTTGAATGTTGAACTAGCCTTGCAAACCTAGAATAAATGTCTTTTACTCATGTTGCATAATAATCCTTTTTATACATTGTGGAATTTGATTTGCTAATATTTTGAGTATTTTGGCATGTTTATGAGAAAGATTGGTCTGTAGTTTTTCTTTCTTTTGTGTCTTTATCTGGTTTTCATATTAGGATAATGCTGGCTTCATAAAATGACTTAGGGAGTATTTCCTCTGCTTCTGTCTTCTGAAAGATATTGTAGTGAATTGGTATAATTTTTTTCTTTAAACGTTTGGTGGAATTTACCAGTAAGCCCATCTGAGTTTGCTACTTTCTGCTTTGGAACATTATTCATTATTCATTCACTAACTCTAATAGATGTAGTCTTAGTGAAATTGTCTATCTTCTTGTGTGAGTTCTGGAAGTTTGTGTCTTTAAATAATTGACTTATTTTACCCAGTTATCCAATTTATGTACTTAGAGTTGTTTATAGTATTATTTTATTAGCCTTTTACTATCTATGGGATCTGTAGTGATTTCCCGTCTTCCATTTCTGATACTAATTTGTGTTTCTCTCTTTGTTTTCTTACATGATAGGGGCTTATATATTTCACTGATCTTTTCAAAGAACTAGCTTTCGATTTTGTTCAATTTTTCATTACTTTTCTGTTTTCAGTTTCATTGATTTCTGCTCTAATTTTATGATTTTTTTTTATTCTGCTTACTTTGGATTTAATTTCTCTTCTTTTTCTAGTTTCCTGAAGTGGATGCTTACATGATTGACTTTAGATCTCTGTTCTTTTCTATTTTTTATTTCATTTTAAGTTCCTGGATACATGTGCAGGACTTGTGCCATGGTGTTTTGCTGCACCTATCACCTAGATTGTAAGTCCCGCATGCATTAGCTATTTATCTGGATGTTCTCCCTCCCCCTCCCCTGACAACAGGCCCCAGTATGTGTTGTTCCCCTCCCTGTGTCCATGTGTTCTCATTGTTCAGCTCCTGCTTACAAGTGAGAACATGCAGTGTTTGATTTTCTGTTCCTGTGTTACTTTGCTGAGGATAATGGCTTCCAGCTTCAACCATATCCCTGGAAAGAACATGATCTCATTGTTTTTTATGGCTGCATAGTATTCCTTGGTGAATATGTACCACATTTTCTTTATGCAGTCTGTCACTGATGGCATTTGGGTTGATTTCATGTCTTTGCTATTGTGAATAGTGCTGCAATGAACATATATGTGCATCTATGTTTATAATAGAATGATTTATATTCCTTTAGGTAACACTCCTCTATGAAGAGTAATGGGAATGCTGGGTCAAATGATATTTCTGATTCTAGACCTTTGAGATGTCGCCACACTGTCTTCCACCATGGTTGAACTAATTTACATTTCCACCAACAGTATAAAAACCTTCATATTTCTCCACAGCCTCACCAGGATCTGTTGTTTCTTGACTTTTTAGTAATTGCCATACTGACTGGCATGAGATGGTATATCACGGGTTTTGATGTGCATTTTTCTAATGATCAGTGATGTAATACATGCATTAAATGCTACACATTTTTTTAAGCGCAGCTTTCACTACCTTCCACAAATTTTGACAAGCTACATTTTCATTTTCAGTTAGTTCAAAATGTAGTTTCTATTTCTTTTGAGATTTCCTCTGAGTCCATGTGTTATTGAGAATTGTATAGTTTAATCTTCAAGTACTTTATATATTTTTCACCTATTTTTCTGTTATTGACTAATAGTTTAATTCCATTGTGCTCTGTGATCAAAGATTGTAAAATTTCCAGTCTTTTACATGTTTAAGATGTGTTTCATGGCCAAAAATATGGTCTCTTTTGGTGTATATTCCATGGGTTTTTGAGAAGAATGTGTATTCTGCTGTTATTGGGTAGTCTACAAATGTCAGTTATATACAGTGGATTGATGGTAGTGTTCTGTTGAGCCACGTCCATACTGATTTTCTATCCGTTGGATCTCTCCATTTTTCATAGGGGCGTGTTAAACCTTCTACAATGTGAATTTATCCATTTCTCCATGAAGTTCTGTCACTTTTTACCTTATGTATTTTGGCATTTCATTATTAGGTACATATATGTTGAAGATTGTTATGCCTTCTTGGAGAATTGACTCATTTATCATTATGTGATGCTGCTGTTTATCCCTGATAATTTTCCTTCCCCTGCAGTCTATTCTGTCTGACATTAATATACCTAGTCTTCTTTTGTTCCCCTCTCCTCTCTCTTTTTCTCTTTCTCTATCTTCCTTTTCTTTCTCCCCTCCCTCCCTTCCTCCCTCCCTTCCTGTCTCTCTCCTTCCCTCCCTATCTTTTCTTTCTCCTCCCTATCTCTCCTTCTCCTCCCTCTTTCTCCTTCCTCTCTCTTTCTCCTCCCTCCCTTTCTCCTCCCTCTCTCTCACTCTTTCCTTCTTTCTTCCTTTCCTTTTCTTTTTCTTTCTTTCTCTTTTTTCCTTTCTCTCTCTTTTTCTTTCGTTCTCTCTTTTTTCTTTTCTTTCTTTCTCTTTCTTTCTCTTTCCCTCCCTCTCTCCCTCCCTCACCCTTTCTTTCTTTTTCTTTTTTCTTTCTTTCTTTCTCTCTTTTTCTTTCCTTCTTTCTCTTTACTTTCTTTCTTTTTCTTTTCCTTCCTTCCTTTCTTTCTCTTTCTCTCTCTTTTCTTTTCTTCCTTCCTTCCTCCCTGCCTGCCTGCCTCCCTCCCTCCCTCCATCCCTCCTTCCTTCCTTTCTTTCTTTCTTTCTTTCTTTCCTCTCTTTTTCTTTCTTTCCTCTTTTTTTTTCTTTCCTTTCTCTCTCTCTTTCTGTCATACTTTGGTGACAGAGTTGCTATGCTGCCAAGTTAGCCTTGAACTCCCAGGCTTAAGCCACCCTCCTCAGCCTCCTGAGTAGCTGGAACTACATGTGCCACTATGCCCAATCTGCTTTCTTTTGATTAGTGTTAGCATAGTGTTATTTTTCTCCATCCATCACCTTTAATTTATACATGTCTTTATATTTATAGACAACATATAGTTGGGTCTTGTTCCTTGACCCACTCTGACAATCAATGTCTTTTAGTTAGTGTTTTTAGACTTTTAACATTTAAAGAGGTTATTGATATTGGATTATTATCCATTGTATTTCTTACTGTTTTCTATTTATTCCCTTTGTCCTTTGTTCCTTTGTTCGTTTTCCACTCTTTTTTTTTTTGCCATTTTTTGTTTTAAGTGAGCATTTTAAATGACTCCATTTTCTTTTCTTTCTTAGCATATTATTAATCATGTCTTTTTGGCTTTTTTTTTTTTTTTTTTTTATGGAGTAGCACGGTCTTAGCTCACTGCAACTCCCGCCCCTCAGGTTCAAGTGATTCTCCTGCCTCAGCCTCCAAAGTAGCTGGCACTATAGGCGCCTGCCCCCAAGCCCAGCTAATTTTTGTATTTTTAGTAGAGATGGGGTTTCATCATATTGGCCAGGCTGGTCTCAAACTCCTGACCTTGTGATCTGCCCACCTCGGCCTCCCAAAGTGCTGGGATTACAGGCGTGAGCCACCATGCCCGGCCCTTTTTGGCCTTCTTAATAGCTGCCCTGGAGTTTGCAATATACGTTCACAACTAATTAAAGTCCACTTTCAAATAACACTATACCACTTCACAGGTACCTTATAATAGTATAATAGTACAAATACCTTATAATAACCAAATATTTTAATTCCTCCCTCCCACTCTTTGTATCATTGCTATAATTTATTTCAATTTATACATATGCTATAATCACTGAATACATTGTTACTTTTATTATATTGAACAAACTATTATTTGTTATATCAATTTAAAATTTTAAGAAAGGGGTTTCTTTCCTTTATTCTTTTTCTATTACTTTTTTTTAAACATAAATGCCTATTTATGACATATATAATTTTCCTTCTCTCTGAAAAACTTCTTTTAACACTTTTTGCTGGTATGTCTACTGGCAACAAATTCCCTTAGTTTTTGTTTGACTGAGAAAGTCTTTATATCTTCTTTATTTTTAAAAGATATTTTCACAGGACATAAAATTCTAGATTGGTATTTTTTTTTCTCTCAGTACTTTAAATATTTCACTCCACTTTATTTTCACTTGCATGATTTCTAAGAAGTCAGATGTAATTCTTACCTTTATTCCTCTATAGGTAAGATATTTTTTCTTTTAATTTTTGACTTTTCTATAATTTGTATATAATATGCCTATGTATACACATTCATCCTGCTTGGTGTTCTCCAGACTTCTTGGATCTGTGGTTTGGTGTCTGGCATTAATTTGAGGAAATTCTCAGTCATTATTGTTTCAAATATTCTCTCTTTCCTTCTTTCTTTTTTTTTCCTCTCATTTCTCTTTTCCTTTCTTTCTTTCTCTCTCTCCTTCTCCTTCCTTCCTTCCTTGTTTTTATACACATTATACCTATGTTATGCCTTTTTTTGTCCAACACTTATTTTGGGGTTCCATTTTTTTCAGCTTTTCTTTTATCTTTGCTTTTCAGTTTTGGAAGTTTCTACTGATATATCTATATATCTACACATAGATATATTCTCAAGCTCAGAAATGCTGTATATATAGACATATTCTTTACATGTAGACATACTCTCAAGCTCAGAGATTCTTTTATCAGCTGTGTCCAATTTACTAATAAGCTCATCAAAGGCATTCTTCACCTATGTTACAATGTCTTTTTTTTAATTACTCATTTTCTTTTTGATTCTTTCTTAGAACTTAATCTTTCTTCTTACATTACCCATATGTTTTTACACATTGTCTACTTTTTTCATTTAAGCCCTTAGCATATTAATCATAATTGTGTTACCGGAAAAGGGTCCTGATCCAGAACCCAAGAGGGGTCTCTTGGACCTCACACAAGAAAGAATTCAGGCTGAGTCCATAAAGTGAAAGCAAGTTTAATAAGAAAATAAAGGAATAAAATAATGGCTATTCCATAGGCAGAACAGCAATGTGGGCTGTTAGAGTAATTATAGTTATTTCTTGATTATATGCTAAATGAGGGGTAGATTATTCATGAGTTTTCCAGGAAAGGGGTAGGCAATTTGTGGAACTGAGGGTTTCACCCCCATTTAGACCATATAGAGTAACTTCCTGATGTTGCCATGGCATTTGTAAACTGTCATGAAACTGGCAGGACAGTCTTTTAGCATGCTAATGCATTATGACTGGCAAATAATAAGCAGTGAGGATGACCAGAGGTCACTTTTATCACCATCTTGATTTTGGTGGGTTTTGGTCGGCTTCTTTACCGCGACCTGTTTTAGCATCAAGGTCTTTGTGACCTGTATCTCGTGCCGACCTCCTGTCTCATCGTGTGACTAAAAATGCCTAACCCATTGGGAATGCAGCCCATAAGTCTCAGCCTTATTTTACCCAGCCCCATTCAAGATGGAGTCTCTCTGTTTCGAATGCCTCTGGCAGTTGTTTTAAATTTCCAGTCTGATAATTTCAATATCCCTGACATATTTGAGTCTGGTTCTTGATGCTTGCTCTATCCCTTCAAACTAGGTGTTGTGCTTTTAGTATCTCTTGTGATGTTTTCTTGAAAGTTGGAAATGATGTACTCCTGTAAGTAGGTCTTTGGTGATATGGTAGTAAGGTGAAGGGGGAAGGGGAATATTCTGTAGTCCAATGACTAGGTGTCAGTCTTGTAGTAAGCCTGTGCCCCTGTGCTTTTGCTATGACAGGATAGCTGGAGATGGCTAGTATTGGTTATGTCCCTTCCCCTAGGTCAGTTAGGCTCTGATAAAACCCCAATGGGCTGGACTTTCATAAAATAATTTCTTTCTTTTTTTTGGTAGGCCTTGTTAAAAATAATAGAATGCTTTAGTGTGTTTCTGAATGTATACTTTTTCTCTTCTCCTGTCAGAACTACGAAGGAATTTCTCTCTGATATTCACTGTGAGGACCTGGTAGTGCTCCAGGAAGTAAAACTCATGGAAGTGTGAGGGCCCCTGTGATGGCTAATTTTATGTGCCAGATTGACTGGGCCATTGGGTGCCCACATATTTGGTTGCATATTGTTTGGGGTGTGTTTGGTTGCATATTGTTTGGGGTGTGTCTGTGAGAGTGTTTCTGGATAAAATTAACATTTGAATCAGCAGACTATGCAGAGCAAATTGCCTCCCCGACTCCCTCCTGTGAGTGGCCCTCACCTAATCAGCTGAAGACCTGAATAGAACAAAAACACTGATTAAGAGGGAACTTCTCCTTCCTGACTTCTTGAGCTGGAACATCAGTCTTCTTCTGCCTTTAGTCCTGAACTGAAAGCTTGGCTCTTCTTGGCCCTCATACCTGTGGGCTCAAACTGGAACTTACCCCATTGGCTTTCCTGGTTCTCAAGCTTTCAGACTCAGACTAGAACTACACCATTTGCTCTCCTGAGTCTCCGGTTTGCAGACTGCAGATCTTGGGACTTCTCAGTCTCCATAATCATGCGTGTCCGTTCTTATATTAAATGTATTTATATATGTACATCCTGTCAGTTCTGTTTCTCTGGAGAACCCAGGTTAACACAGCACTGTCCTGGAGTTTTTAACTCTCAGTCTTGTCTATAATGAACCTGTAGCAGTTCATCAATTACAGCCCAAGATTTCCCACACCAGTACTGGCTCCCAAGGAGACTTCTGCCTGTGAGTGTCTGTTTCAGTAAGTTATAATTTTCGATATTCACGTGTCTGTCTTCCAAATTTGAGGGCAGTGATTTGCACTGTGACTTCAGTTCTCTGACAGATCTAAGAATTATTGATTTTGTAATGTTTGTTCAGCTTTTTACTTGTTAGGACAAAATGGTGACTTCCAAGCCCCTCACATGCTAGACCAGCAACCAAAAGACTTCCGTGTCTGTTTTTCAATAGATTTTTTATTTTGGAATACTTTTTGATTTACAGTAAAGTTGCAAAGACAGTACAGAGTTCCCACATACCTATCACCCAGTTTCAGTTCCCCCTACTATTATTATCTTGCATGAATGTGGTACATTTATCAAAACTAAGAAACTAACATTAATTCTTTACTATTAACTAAACTCCAGGTTTTATTCCTGATTTCACCAGTTTTACCCAATAATGTATTTTTTTCCTGTGCCAGAATTTCACATTTTATTTCGTTATTATGTTCCTTAATCTCCTCCAGTCTATGATAGTTTCTCAAGACTTTCCTTGTTTTTCATGACCTCGATGGTTGTGAGGAAGAATTGTCAGGTATTTTGTAAACTGGCCCGTGCTTTGTGCTTGTCTTTTGTCTTTGTTTGTTTTCCTTGAAAAGAATATTGCAGATGTGCAAAGTCTTATTACATCATATCTGGGGTACTACATTAATTTGTTGCTATGCATCTGCATGTTTTTTATCTTCATTGAGGACAGGTCCCTATGTTAAATTAACCATATTTGTATCTCCTTAGCAGGCAGAGCAATGCCTGAAAAGTATTAAGTATCCAGTGATGTATTTTGCACCAACCTAATAACACATTATTCAGCTGTCTCTCTTGCTTGACAAGAAGCCTCTTTAAACTGGAGACTATGTCTTGTTTATTTGTTCCCTTATCTCCTCAGCCTTAAGCTCAGTGCTTAGTGTAAATAAATACTAAATGAATATTTTCAATTTTATGTTAAACTCATTTTTGTAGCTATTTTCAAGGACCTGTTCCATTTAATGTGTTCACACGGAGAAAGTAGTTGGCAAGTCAAAGACTCCTATGCTTTAGCTGATAAGTGGTTGTTTTTTGTGGGAAGTACAAATGAGCCACAAATTAATGCTCTTTTCTGTTTATGTATATCAGTCCAACTTGATATTTGTGTAACAAATACTTACAAAGTTCTTATTTAAGCCCTGTCTCTTAATAGTGCCCTCAGGGTCTGTACTAAGAATTCTTATTCATTAGCTATTAATTTCTTTACTAGCAGACAATCTGAGTGTTCCTGGCTTAAGCTGAACTTGGCCTAGCAATTTATGATGGGGGGAGCTAAAATCATAATAGTGAAGGTGATACAGAAGGACTCCAAATTAAAGAATTGATCAAGATAAATAGGGTTGGCTTGTAGAACAAGGCACAGTCTAAATGCTTTCAATGGAGGAATATTTAAGTAAATTATGAAAAATACATATAATGAGCTATTGAACAATCATTAACATTTTTGTTTAAAAATATTTAATGGCTTCTTTAAGTTTTGGTTTTTAATCAGATGCATAATATCTACCAAAAAAGTTAACACAGACATGTAAAAGTAGAACGTAAAGAATGCCCCAAATTCAACCCACTCTTTTCTCTGTTTGTGTAATCTTTAAGAGACAGACAAGCTGATGTAGTGGCAGAAGAAAGGAATAGACAGAATGAGAATATACTGGTTTCAACAATATTGTTTTGTAGCATTTCATTTTTTGTGTGAGTGATCCACACATTTTTGGATATTGAGTTTTCTCCAAATAATAGATTTTGTTGAAAGTTTAGATGTTTCACAATTTTCAGTCTTAAAAAAGTACAAAACACAATAGTTAAAATCAATTTAAGTTAAAAAAAGTAAAATAAGGTAGCAAGATATTTTTTAAGTGACTAAAATATTTAATCATTTTGATCAGTTTAATATTCTATTTAATACCATAAATTATGAATATCAAAAATCAATGCTTATGGTTCAATATTTTGATTTTAATGTTGGCTCTTTCAATATTTAACATATTAAAAATATCTTATAGTGGGCCAACATTTACACTAGTTAAAAGAACAAGGACTAGGTGTATTTATTTTCAATTCATTATGAGTGTCATTAAATTATTTTTTGTTTCCCCTTTTGCAATTGATTCCTTAAGGTCTTTTCTCTGTATTGTTTTATTTTATAATATTTTCACTTACCTATGACTACCATAAGGTTCTGTAAACAAATAATACTATACTAATACTAATACTAATAATCATTTAGTAGGGTATTTACTAAATGCAAAATACTGGACTTACGGTTTTACAACAACACCTGACATAATCTCTACAATAGTTATTTAGGTGTTATCTATACAATTTTGCTGATGAGAATAATATATTCACTTATGACTATCATAAGGTTCTGTGAACAAATAGTAGTATACTAATACTACTACTAATAAATCACCATTTAGTATGGTACTTACTAAATGCAAAGGACTGGGCTAATGGTTTTACAACAATAGCTGACATAATCTATGCAATGATTACCTGGTCTGGGTATTGTCTGTACCATTTTGCTGATGAGAAAATTGATAGGATAGACTTTCCAAAGGTCAGATCGTAAATGACAGAGGAATTAAAACTGAGGTCTTTAGTTCTACATAGCCCCAGGCTTTTTCACAAGGCTCTCTATACTGACTCCCAAAACGTCTTATTGGAAATGCTTTTTCTGGCTATTATGTCATCTGTTGGGGAAGCCATGTGTCTCAATGTAGTGTGCTATAGATGGTGAATCTAGCTCATGCTTATTTTACCTCTTTCCCATATTTCATCCATTATCTCAACTTTTTATGCTGCTAAGACATCATAATATAGCATATAAACATCGTTCTGGGGATACACAGATCAAGTGAGGCTCCACTATTTAGTAGTACTTGCTTAATAATTTTCACCCTCAAATTCCTACTCTACTACTTTCATAGCTTACATTTCTGAAGACTAAATAAGAAAGGACTCATATGAAGCACCTCACACAGACTTGACACACACTTGTTGAGTACTGCCATAGTTTCCTTCTGTTGCTGTAACAAATTATCACAAACTTAGTGCTTTAAAACAACAGAAATGAAAACCTTACCTTTCTGGAGGTCAGAAGACCAATGTGGATTTCATAGGAGATAAAATCAAGATGTTGGTGTTGCAGAACTTTTCCTTAGCTCAGCTAAAGACGGGGTGCTTGTCTGTCCCACAGACACGAAAATTTCGGCTCGTAGATGGTTTAAAGGGTGAGTAAAGTCGGGTTTTATTGGGTGAAAAGGGAAAAAAAGGGGGGGAAACAGGGATCCTCTGCAAGGCTAGAGTCCCGTGCTCGAGCGCTTCCCACCCGCAGCTTGAATCCCAGATTCCACACAGGAAGAGAAGGGGCCAGGCTCCCCTCTGCAAAGGGCACGAACTTCCCAGGGCTCTACCCCAGTGGGCAGGCTGCTTGGAGTTTTTCTGGGGACCCCCTCCCACCTGGCTGTCTCATCGGTAAGCTCTGTTCCTTCCGGAGGCTGTAGAGGGCTGTCTGTTCCTTGATTTTTCCAGCCTGATTTTCCCTGGGCTTGCGGGCTCTTTCTGCAATGACATTGCTCAAGTTCTGCTTTCATCAAAGCATCTCCTGCTCAGCCTCTTTGTGTCTCTTTTTTCCCTATAAGTACCCTTGTGATTACACTGGTTCGCTCATATAACTCAACCTACACCTCAAGATCCTTAATTTAATCGCATATACAAAATCTTCATATACATATATATGTGTGTGTGTATTTTACTTTTTGCCATGTACGGGAACATAGTCACAGGTTTTGGTAATTAAGGTGTGACTAACTACTTTGGGGACCAGCCACAGTTCTCCTTTTCTCTTCCTCCTAAAGTTCAAGTCAGATGTCATCCTTTTCCATTTTCAAAATTACACACACACACACACACACACACACACACACACACAAATGGCTATGTAGCATCTGCATATAAACCTCAAAACATTTTAGCATAATATTTGAGACCTTCTGTGATTCAGTCCATCCATTCTTTCCTAACTCAACTCTTGATTTTCCCACCCACGATTTCCAGCTTTTCTTCTACCTATATTAGCCTGCATGCTGTTCTCTCAACACCAGCTACCAAGCTCTTGCTTATATTGTTTCCTGAGGCCAGAATTTATCCCTCTCCCCCTGGCCCCACCAACATATATGGCTCAACATTTCCCTTTCTAAAGAAACCTTTTCTGTTGACTCTAGCTGAAAAGAATCACTCACTCCTCAGCATGACACAAGTCTTTTCCCACTCTATTCCTACACTTATTTCATTCTCCTTGGCATAATATGTGTTTCCTGGGCCACTATTGCCTTGGGGAAAAAAATCCTACCTTTACCTTTCAGTAAGACAGCCACAAGACTGTTCATATGGTTCTCTTCCTATTGCAATTTCAGCATCTGCAAGCCCTTTGAAAACTTCTCCCCTGTATTTCTGGAAAACCTATAAGGCTGTCTAATATCTGTTCATTTAAACAGTGTCTACCATCCGTGTAGAATCTACCATTTTCTTTCTCACATTAGCTCTTCAGATCTCTTGTATTGAGATTTCTGAAGATGGTGCAAAGGACCTATGGATATTCCAAAGCAATATACCAAATCCCCTGTCAATGCTGCTCTAGGTATCCTCTCCCTTTTTTTTTTTTTTTTTTTTTTTTGCTACTGTAATAAAATTTTTCAATATCCTTCATTGGCAAAGCCTGTCCACCTTTGTTGTACACTCTCTCTGAAAGCAATACTACCTAAACTTCTCACCTCTGATTCTTGAAAATTCGGGTACCTCATCAAGAATTTGGTACTCTAGCTCTTTCAGTTTTTGTAACAGTTCCTCTGGTCCTACGATTGGTCACACACTCATAAGAAATGGGTTGTATGATCATCTGAATGATCATCCTTGATCTGTGCTCAAAATAATTTGATCCTCAGGCTTTGTTTTCAGATCAATCCGGTATGTTGCAACCCTTTTTTCCCCTGAGATTTCAGTTATTTTGCTTAATGATTTTCAGTCACACATGCAGCTAGATTCCCAGTAGACTTCCTCTCTAGTCTTTGTTATACCCAAACATACATGCATATTGGGGTGCTACCTGTCTGAGGTTACTTTATGACCCATTTTATTATTCTATTCTGATTTATTGTGTATGTGTCTTTCTGCTTGTTATTACAAAAGGTCTTTGAGAGCAGGGCATAGTTTTGGCATCCACCAAGCATTCTTTGTGTCATGTGTTACTCAAACTAGGGGCTAGATAAGTCATTTTTGAATGAATATAATTGGGCCATTTGTAACATAGAAACTTTTCTCCCCATGCAGCTAATATAAGGGTTAACTTCATTGTTGAAGGAGCACAAATAAAGCCTACAACAAATTCAGATAGGCAGCAGATCCTGGAACTCCATCAAAATGTTTCAGGATGTTTATGCAAATCTGCCATTTTCTCTATGCATACACAGGCACACTTAGAGTTGATGTCCCCTGCGAGAACTGGCATTCATCAAGATTTCTAAGCCATTACTTTTTCTATGGACCCTAGCTGATGCTTCCTTCAAAAAATGTGAAAGGCCTGCTAATTTCTTCTAATGAAAAGGCAACAGAGGCATGGAATTTGGAATCAGAAAGGTCATTCGATAGACCATATGAGGGGGTCAAAGCAATAGTACCTAAATAAGTACCCCTAAAATAAGAATGTGAAAACACATTCACCAAGTAATCATTTTCTACTAATAATCCATAATAAATATGGATATTTAACTCCCACTGCAAATGAATTTTAAAATTTAGCAGTCGTCTATTTTGAATTTATTGTACTCTTTTCCAACATGACTGATAAAAATAGTAAATGACAATATAGTTTATAGCAAATTCTTTTTATTTTATTATTGCATCTCCTGAGGATGTGAAAGAAAACAAACAAACAAAAAAACATGGCTAGGGATTTGTGAGAAGGACCAGAAGACAGAGCTTAACAGTGGCATTAAAGTGCCAGAAACCTGAAGACAAGCAGAGGAAGGGAATGATGATTCCGATTTCAGAGGCCCAGCACCAGAGCACAGAGTGGGTTATTATTAAGCATAAGACACCCATCCTCTAATTGGGGCTTCTATAAACACAACACTGGAAGGTGAGATGTAAGATAATATTAGATTAGGGGATATAGGGATGCACTGTGTCAAAACTAGAACCACACTACACTCACTCCCCAACATGGAAACTGTAAGAGGTTAACTGCTACAATTCAGTTTATTTATCAGAGAATCACTCAGCAGAGCAAAACTTTATCCAATAAAATATTATCAATCTATCTCAACCAAGTCTTCTTCTGCATACAATGATCACAGGCACATACTTTGGGGTGGGGCTAGAAGACCCTACCTTAACCTCCAGTGAATGTTTGCTTAGTAGATGTGATATGTATCCTTTCTCTTGCTGCAGACTGCCTGGGTTTTCACTGGAGATTGGATCCCATAGGAGGGCTTTGGTGTAGGTGAGGTTCAGGTCCTGGCCAGAGGGCTGACTTTTTCTTGTTGGAAAGGTAGATGTACAGCATGTAGCCTATAATTGAGACAACTGTCTTCAAACTATTAAAAACTCAGGGTTTTTATTCTTGATGGACCCTAATGTGCTTGTACTACTTTTGCTAGTGCACATGCTGACTCACTCTCACCCTATGGTGATAGGTTTATGTTTATGCAACATGATGTGTTGATCCAGAGATGTATTGGTCTTCACTGGGCAGCTCTATGTGTTGGTCTTGATAGAGTCTATATTAGTTTCCTGCAACTGTTGCGAGAAATCACCATAAATACACGTCTTAAAACTACAGAAATGCATTTCTGTCACAGTTTTGGAATTTCAAAATCAACATGTGGCAAGACTATGCTCCCTCTGAAAGCTCTAGAAAAAAATCCCTCCTTGCCCCTTTAGTGGTGGTGCTCCTGGCAATCATTGGCACTCCTTGGCTTGTAGATGTCTCACTCGAATCTCTTCCTCCATCTTCACATGCTCTTCTTCCCTCTGTGTGTCCCTTCTGTTTCATGTAAGGACACGCGCTATTGGTTTCAGGGTTTACCCTAATTCAGTGTCTCATCTTGATCCCTAATTAATTACATGTGCAAAGATCCTATTTCCAAATAAGGTCACATTTGAGTTTCTGAGTTGACATGAATTTTGAGGAGACACTATTTAACTCACTTCAGCGTACTATGGCCAGAACTGGGACCTAGAATCCAGCTAAAACACTGGGCAAACAGGCATTTCAATATACCCAGAGCCCACAGCATAAGCAACCCACTATTAGCCCAAAGGGCTTCTTGGTGAGAGAATGCCCTCCATCATGATACTACTGCCATCTGCAGGAAAGTGGACAGATCTAGGCGGTCTACACA
The DNA here is from genome assembly GCF_000001405.40 of Homo sapiens. NCBI lineage: Eukaryota > Metazoa > Chordata > Mammalia > Primates > Hominidae > Homo > Homo sapiens. The sequence goes on from NC_000018.10 coordinate 64,330,399, forward strand.
TGGAATGGTTCTCTTAGAGGTAAGTGGCCTACGTTCTTTGCCATCACATGTAGCATCTATGTCTTCAGAACATTCACTTACTTCTCTGGACCCCACCCTTGCTGTGTCCCCTCCCTGGGAATCTGCAGCGACATTTGGGAAGAGAAAATGTTGCAAAAGACTGAAGTTTTTGTGAGTGAGGCAGATGAGATTTCAGACTATCAAGATTAGGGGAGTTGCAAAATATATGACTATATTTTTACTCCTCAACTATTTGGAATGTGAAATGAAGAATCTTTAAGGTATAAATGTTTTGGATAAATCCACCTTTTATCTAAACAACTGCAAGGGAAATTTAAAATGATCACATTCGGCAAATAATTTACACGGACACTTTAGGCAGGGGTAAGGGGTGCCTGAATTGTTTGGATAATAGCCTTATTTCTCCTTTTAAGCTTTGTGGAAGGAAATTTTTTGACATGTTTCATCCTGGAAGTCACTCAATTTCTCAGTGTTTCTTTTATGCAACTGCTCAAGAAAGACTTGGGGAAGCTCAGGAAGCAGGTGGTTTGGAGGTAGAAACGTTACATATTTTGTTTGTTCTAATTATTTGCTTGCGGCATATGGAGAGAGAGAGTCAATTAGGCAGCTAGGATACCGACCACCAAGATCTTTATAGATTCAGACTTGCACTTGCATCCTGATGGGACACAAAACAGGAAGCTATTTGTTTAAGGGATCCTAACATTTTAACTGCCACCACATCTAGCCCCCTCTAGAATGAAAAGCAAGAGCTGTTTAATCGCCCACAGCATCTCTAAACAACAATTAAGAACAGGAAGTGAGAGGCACTGAGTCCAATTCAAACTCCAAAGGCAATAATTAATGAGAAGCAAGGGGCGCTGCTGATTATTGTAATTTCTTTTGGTTCTGATGACTAACATTCGTAGATTGGATATTCACTGTGCATTTCATTATTTATGTCAATGCATAGTGTTGATACACTAAATATGTAGGATCAAGATTGTAAAGTTTTATGCGGTAGAAAATAATATGGATGACTAGTTTATAATCAGTAAGTTGTAGTTTCCTATGAAACATTGACAGAATTAAGTAGAAATAATTTACTTGAATAAAAAAGAACATAATTGGTGAGCAACAGGATGCTGGCAGAGAATTTGTGAAAGCTCTTTTTCACTGAAATCTGAAGTGTTCATTTGCATAGTGAAGTCATGTTGAGAGTTGCATGTGTTCCGCCAAACATGGAGGGCTGTCAGTGGTTCAGGACTCTCCACCATGAACATTTGTCTATGTGTTCAGACCCTCTTGGGTCTAAGCAGAAACTAAGAGGTCCTGGCCCAGCTCTCATAACCTATTTGTTTGTGTAGACTTGACCAGGGTTTTGGTACCAGAAAATCTGTCTATAGCACCAACATCATTAGAGACATGGAACATGCACTTTCAGCAAGTGGCATGTAACACCTCACATACTGAAGGGTTATGATTCTGCTTTACAGCTTATGTATGGAAAATTTTAAAAATCTCAAGCAACATGTTCCTGCTACTCAGACTTTTGAGCTGCAGATTCAGCAACCGCTCAGAGAGTGTTTGGGGGGTTACAAACCAATAGATTAATCCAAAGGGTAGAGGAAAATTGAGATGATATATGTTTTTTGAACCCCAAGCTTGCGTTGGTTTTGGGGTTGAAGCAGATGCTTTGAGTGCCTGGCCGTATTTCCAGGAACCACCCAACTCGCAGCACTCGCGACTCTTGGCCTGGGACCTTGCTCTCATGCCTGCATGCCCCATGCACATGGCAGGTCAACAAGCGAGGATGTAGATCCACTACCTTCACCCTGGCAGCTCTCAACCAGTGACTTGACAGGAGCTGGGAGATGAACACTCTGTAATCCTGCCCTGGGGTAACTTCCAGATGCTTGTCCTTACCGGTTCTTTGAGCTCTCCAGTGGGATTGAGCTTCCGTTGCCCACAGTGGCTATTTAGCTGATATTACAAACTTTGTTGTTGTTCTTCTTTCCCCCGTCTCCCTTCCCTGCTCCTTCCTCAGAGCTCTGTGGAATTACCTCCTGGCGTAAACGACTTGCACTTGAATGCTCAACTCAGACTGTGCTTCTGGGGAGCCCAGTCGCAGACGTATTTTCCCTTTTCCCTTGCCAGGTTCCTAAAGCTAGTTAACTACGAATGGAAGCAACACCCGGTAGTGTGTCCTGGGAGCCTGCTGTGTGCCTCGACTGTGTTAGGAGCTGCACGTAGAGTGTTTCTGACCCTCAGAAGTACTCTACGATGAAACTCAGGAGTCAAGTTCTCAGCACACATCCTTAGCCAATCTCCTTGCATTTCACTTGCCCATATTAAATATTTATATGAGGTGTATTTTGAACAACAACAAGCAACATGAATGCACCAGTTAGCGGGACTTTCTCCTCTGTCATCAAAAGTCTGTGCCCAGGCAGAAATGGGGCTGTCTGTGTAAGGCTCACTTGAGGCCCCAAGTCATTCACTAAAGAGGCAGTTAGGAATCAGAGAGAGCAGGAAACCTCCGGCAAGGCTGGTTCATTAGTGCCTCTGCTGATTAATCAAGACCTGGCTGCCACTTTGTTAAATGCCCGGAGGTGGAGTTGGAGGCAATCAGCCCTGTGGAAGCTGCTTGATTGCTTCTCGAAGTGGCAGTTTGCTTTTGGACACTGGACTTGTTCTTGTCAGATCTGAATTGTGACCTTCAGTAAGAACAATGACCCTGCCTCCAAGTGCGGAGTCTATGGGCATACTATATAAGAGTCTGTTATACAGCCAGTCACACGTGAAGAAATAGCCGCAAAATCCCTGAGTGCAATTATATTTTGGTTTCATAAATGCAGCCCAATTATTGCATTTGTCTTCCTTTTGTATTTAGCTTGAAACAGCCACTCCCACTAAATGTGCCAAATGCTTTATTTTTGTCTCCATTTTTAGAGAGTACATCAGGAAAATGAAGTGAGCTCCCCCTCCCTCCCACAGTAAACAACCACATAACTGTAATAAGAAGCTTTCTGAATAATTTATAATTTGCAAACAAAAGTTCATCTGATTATGCTGAAATGACAGACACTCTGCCTAACAGTGTGTATTATCAAAGAGAGCTTTTTTCTTTTTTCCATTTTGGTGACTGACTATTTACACAAATTGAAGAGAAATAGCTATGTACACTATTACCTTTAAATTATTTTTTAATCTACCTTTTAATCTTTCAAAACTATACAGGAACAATATAATTATTCTCTGCCAATCACTGACAATGGCACATTCAAAAGCATTTTCCTATGCGGATGAACAAAAAAGACATTCAAGATAATGTGCAATTCATTGCTTCTTTTTTCCTAGGAAATGGGTGTTTCCGGGTTTTATATCATCAGTGACTCATGACTATTTTACGCTCTGTTTTCCTTGTTACATGGACAGAAAACATTTAAGACATATGATTTGCTGTGCAGCCACACCACCCCTTCTTGTCTCCTCTTGTCTTGGTGTCAGATGTGAAAATGATGGAGCTCTTATTTGTTTTAAAGCAAAAGTCTTTGATTAAAACTGATGGTTTGGTTGGAGCCACTTTGGGAGCTAATCAGACAATATAGAGAACAGAAACATTAATACTCCTCTCAAATAATGCCGGGGTAAAAATTGTACAATTTGGAGGGAAGTATGAAGTTTGGCTCATAATTTTGGCATTGATGATGAACCCTTTAAGGGGCCCCTCACTTATGTTTAGGTGATGAAATCCCATACTGTGATTGTTCTGAAAGTACAAGTCATGTCTGCACTGTAAACAATAGCTCTCTTACATTTTCAGAAGACCGGTAATTTTTCTTGAGAGAGTTCATTTGTTTTCTCAAATTATCTAGAATAGCAATCTGTCTTCTCCATATTATTATTACTTAATTTCACTTCAGGTTGGTTTTGGTAAATTTCCCTGGAGTTTGCCAAAACTTGGATATTGGGTTAAATAGGTATGCATAGCGTGGATTCATGTCCAACATCTGCTTTTTCAGAACATTCTACTAAAAGCTGGCAGGAATTAAGAATGTTCAAAACTGTACAATATAACATCTCTATCTTCTAGAATTTGAGAATTCTTTTTAAACAACAGAAAATCACTTTCCATAGACCATAGATTCTAACAATCTGCAAAGAGGAAACCTCTTTCAACATACTCTACTGGGCATTTTCCCCCAGGGATAGAGGAGGCTGCAGTGGCAGGTGCACTGCTCTTCATCAGCTCAGAACCCAAGAAAGCTATGGGAAACCTACCAAAGAGAACTGCAGGGTTCATGGTCATCTGAAGCCAGGTTTTTAGAGACATCTGGCCAAGCCTTTAGAATCAAGCATGGATTTAGAAATCATCTGAGAATCCACTGATTCTCATTCTCCAATGGGAAGTTCATCCCAGTACCATATGGGGCCAGCTGAGAATTCTGTCACCACACCAGCACCAGCACCCATCTGTTCTTTCTTATCTGAAGTGGTTAGAAGACGGACATGGGCTAGCTGTGAGATCAGCACCACTCATTGGGATCAGATGTACAGGCGCCCATTATTCCATCATCAGGGACTTTCATTCTTGGCCTGGAACTATTTGGTATCAATATTAAGAAATTCCATTAGACCAACATTTCTCTGGATATATTTTCACTAATATTTTACTTGGAAAGCAGCCACTAGCTCTTTTTAGACTTTTTAACAGTTGTCAGATGATTAAACTTTTCATTCTATAATAACTTAGGGTGGATTTAAACCATGCCATATCTCCTAGTTTCTGAATCATCCCATCTCTCCCCTATTAGCAAATTTAATGGTTAGGAGTAGGCAGACAGCCCACCAAGGACTTCTCAAATAAGAATGTTTAGAAAGGAGACACCTCCACATTTAACAATGGCAAATGCCGTCCCTCTTAGGAATTTGATTTCATTATAAGGAAAAAAATCTTTCCTGCATTGGTGAAAACTGCATAAATAATAATGTATACATTTTATTTGCCTTTACTCTCTCAGGGGCTTTAATTTCTACAGAAAGGAATATCTTTTGAGTCTATCTTAAGTGATGAAACATGTCAAGAAATTCAGAATTATCCCATCTGTAAGAAAATCACCACCCCCCCCCCAAAAAAAAAAAAAAAAAAGCTCAGACTCAAGCCCAGTAGACTTTCCTTTGTCCCTCTGTGTTGGGCATGCCTCAGCCTCCTGAATCAGCCCCTGGAGGGCATTGAGGCTGGCTTGATGTCACTTCTCCAGGGCAACAGATACTCCTGGAAAGAATGGTGTGTTTATAATTTTTATCCTTTTATTATTGTTTAATTACCTTCTGATACAAACAAGTGTCCTTGTGAAGGCTAAAAATAAACAGGATGGAGTTAGGCCAGACACCATCATAGTAAGACTTTTAGAGACAGACATTTCATTCCAAAAATTGAGTCTTGAATATAAAACTCTCTTTTTGGTTATCTAAGCACTAAGTCCACATACACAGGAGTCTATGAGTCTAATGTTTCCTTCATGACTCTTATTCAAAATTAGGGCAATGCTAGAGTATCTATTAAAGATTCAGGGCTTGGATTTTTATTAATGTTTGAGGTTCTTATTTCTGTTGATGAACAACATGAAAAATAAAACAGTGACAAGACAAATAGTGCCAGAGCAAAAGAGAACTCTATATTTTCTAACATTTCTTTTTTCAGTCATTTAACTTTAAATAAAATAGAGCAGAACATCATGTATTTTCCTGAAGGTGGAGGTGAATGGGAAAGGAAATGGTTTTATAGTGATGAAGATGGAAATTTGCAAATCATTTCACATTTAGCTTTTCCTTTTTACATTTGAAGCTTACTCACGGGAAAGGAAAAAAACGTATCGATAGCACTTGGTTCCATAAAGGGGTTGCAAATATATTTGAGAACATGCTCTACCTAGAAAGGAAACCTGGAAGGGGAAGATTGAGGGGGGACAGAGAATCTTTGTGAGAACGAGAGAAGATCGTGTGAATGGCCCCTAGTAAAGCACCTGGCATGTTGTGGAAATTAAGGAGTGTGGTCTCTTTCCCTGAAAGAAGAGAGAAGAAAACAGCTTTCAGGGGTCGGGGCTGGGGTGGGGTCAGAGAAGTTCTTTTTCACTATGGAAGTTAGTGAAAAGATCTCATTCCCCAATAATTTAATCTTTGTCTTTCCTGGCAAAAGTGAAAATCTTTCTGATCAGTCTTCTTGAATAGTGTATTTTGCTATTCTAAAGCATAAATAAGAGAATTTTGTTGCTGACTTTTTTTTTTCATTTCCTTCAGACAATAGTAGTGACGGGTTGAAGAATAGAAAGAACAGAAGGTAATGTGAGAGCGATTAGAATCATATTAAAATAATGATAGCAGCTGTCATTGACTGAGCCCTTATAATACATGGAGTGTTATATGCAGTATTATACTTCTTAGAACAAGTTAAAACTGGGATTATTGCCCTTATTTTGCAAATGCATAAAACCTTCAAAAAAATTCAAGCGCATTGTTAAAGTGATAACAGTGTGCAAGTGGCAGCTAGGATTTTTAACTGGAATCTCTTAAACCCCAAGTCAGTATTATTTGCACGGTGCTTTCCACTTGTCAGTGGTTCATCTCAGCCAGACAGAAAAACAGCTTTAGCCATCGAAATGGAATCAGGACCTTGCTCTCATGCAGTGTTGACCAGAGTGCTCATATCTAGCAGGGTTAGGTCTCCAAAAGGGTTGCTGTCACAACTGGACAGTGGCTGTTGAGAAAAAAATAAGAATGAAGAGGAAGTGGTAACAAAAAGTCCCAGAAGAGGAGAACAGGGCAGGAACGACAAGAGTGAGGAAGTTAGGAGGTGACCTGCCATCAACTGCATATTTTCTGTGGTCCTTCCTAAACTCCTAGTCAGCCCCTTCATTGTTATCAGAGGGTCACAGGAAATGCTCTGTCCCATTCCCTATCTTTTTTTTTTTTTTTTTCCTGAGACAAAGTCTTGCTCTGTCACCCAGGCTGGAGTGCAGTGGCATGATCTTGGCTCACTGCAACCTCTGCCTTCGGATTCAAGCGATTCTCCTGCCTCAGCCTCCTGAGTAGCTGGGACTACAGGTGTGTGCCACCATGCCCAGCTGATTTTTGTATTTTTAGTAGAGATGGGGTTTCACCATGTTGGCCAGGATGGTCTTGATCTCTTGATCTTGTGATCAGCCCTCCTTGGCCTCCAAAAGTGCTTGGATTACAGGCGTGAGCTACCACGCCCAGCCCTCAATCCCTATGTTTTTTAAGGCACCGCCTATTGTTACTTAATAGATATTCTATATTTTGCCCATGAAGAAAGAACAGAATCTAACAGCTATATTATTGACTCTATTTTCTGAGGCAAGTGCACACCCAGTCTCAGTTTTCTAATTCCCTGTTCCCGACCCCAGTAGCTTGAGCAACCCTTGGAACTGTGCAACTGATCTTGGCACAGAACACCAGAAGGTGAGCGCTTGGGGCCATGCACTGGAAGGTGAGGATATTAGTACTGTCTGCCCAGAAAGACAAAACAACCCACAAGTGGGCTTGTTTTATGTAAGACTAAAGCCTCATTCATCTACTGGCCTGCTCAGACCCACCCATTCAGTTTCTCTGGTGGTTTGGAATGGAGTCTCTGTGGGTGCCCTATGGAATTTTGTTGGGGTGACGTGAGTGCTTCCAAAGAGCTGGTTTCTTGAAGCCAAAGTGCTGAAAATGAGGCTAAGAAGGAAATACAGAAGCCTATGGGGGGAGTGTGGGAACATGACCCTCTCTGCCTTGTTAATGCTGCCAATATTTGTGTTAGAGGAGTAACAGGAACAAGCATTTGATCAATAGTCCAGAAAAGCTTGGGGAGGAGAAAGAAAGAGAGGGCAGCTAATTCCCCAAGTCCAGCTGCTGAAAGGGTGTTTGCTTTACCTTAATCAGTGGTGCATCACCAAGGGATTATGAAAACTGCCCAGAGGTGCTTGCCACCACTGTCTATGTTGGATCCCCAGTAGCTACTCCAAAGAAACATGCAGAATAAATACACACTGTGCTTGGTAAGCAAATATAGCTCTAAGTCAAGTCTCCAAACTCATTGTTCCAACCACATGGAACCCTGCTGTAAAGACATTCTGAGGTAGTCACTGGTGTGGACATAAAGGCTAGATTAAATCTAACATACAGATTCAGTAAGTGGGTATCAATTTGTTTACAGATGTATATACATGCTGGTAAATTTATGCATAGATAGGCAAGGTACAACTCACAAATCTACATTCACATTTCCACTGTCATTCTATCCCTGCACAAAGTTCCCTAAGCTCTGTTGTTTCTCAAAACATAGTCACATTTAATTACCACAATATTTGAGATAAATAAACCATTTTAAATTGCACCAATTCTAAACAGTTCTTCACTTTGTCCTATTTTGGGTTGGGAGTTGAATTTAGAATTGCTGTAAAGTCAGCATTGTTTAAGGGATCTGCCTGGGAAGATGTTGGATGCCAGCAGAGAAGAAGCTGGCTGGGAATGAAGAGAGATCCTGGTTCATTCCCTGAGCATGATTATTGATTAAATTTCAAATAGGAAGGGCACCTTTTGTTATCAGCAGAAACAGAAATCTCTCCATAACAAATATGAGGTATTCTCTCCATAACTATACACAGATAATTTGAGGAGGCCCCTTTTATTCTGATTTGACATTAGGACCAGTCATCACTAGTGAAATTAACTACAAGACAAAGTTGGAAGCAATCTTGAATGTTAGGCAGATAAGTTTTAAACACAAAACTCTGATGCTTTTTAATAAGAAAATGATTTTCAACAGTGTTTTTTAATGTTCTATTGCAAAAGAAAGAAAAAAAAGTATAAATCTTAGGGATGATTTGGATGGGACATCTCAGCCTCCCAGCACTCTGTTCTGGAGGAAAAAGGTATGTACACCAGTAGACATGTGATAAAACTATCAGGCATGCTTGAAATAAGTTGATGTCCATAGTTCTATTGGGTAGAAGTGCAAGTATGACATTTTATAAAATAATTTTAATGTAAATTTACATAAAGTTGTTCCAGAGAAAATTAAAAACCAAAGCCATTGAGAAAACTGCCACTCACAACCATGCTATAATAGTAATCTTACCATCTGGACAAGAAGTGCATTGTTTTGTGAGTTTGCAAAAGAGAAGGGAATACATTTACGATAAACATACTAATATGCAATTAAACCCATTATCTTGCTGACATGAGAAGTGCTTGTATATGTGAAAATGACGAATGGCTGTAACTCACAACCTTTGCGCACTTACCCTCGTTTCTGTCAACTGTTCACTGTAATCATGATCAGAATATTAACCACCAGTAGCTACAAATAGGATTTGCCTGAAAATATGATTTTTCTTCTGGAAAAGTTGCTATTCAGTTGCTTTTAGAATACTTTTAAGTTGTATATGTAATTATTTAAAAGCATTTTATGTGTATTTTGTTTTGTCTTTGAGTATTTGCTCAAATAGGGTTCTGTTTCCCTTGAGGGTATTTTTAGTGCTAGAAATATCCTTGAAACTTTTTCTTTTTTGTGTGTGATTTGGTAAAAATTTCCTGTGCTAGCCTGTCACTGCTGTGACCTTTACTATAGTTTGTTGAAGTAAAAAAAAAAATAAAGATTTTATAGATACCAGATTTTTCACCAAGGTTTGAGTCACCAGGTGCCTACATGTCTGAGTATTAAATAACAGTTCAGATTTTGAGGAATCGAATTTGTTCATTATAACTTGTGTGCCCGTCATTATTCTAGGGTTATTCAGGACCTCAGTGTTTGACTTCCAGGCATTTGTATTTATTAGATAGAGCCAAAATACATAAAATAATTAGAAAGCAGTTAAATTTAACTATACCACACTGATTTTAATTTCCAAGAATAACCTAAAAAGAAAGAAAAGTATGGGTAGAAATTAGACTTTGTGGGGGAGAAGGGCCTATTTTCACTCTTGAACTCTGTTATTATTTATTTCTTAGTAACTACCAGGGAAGTTTTACATAAATCTATTTATACATATGCGTTATCCATCATTTGAGTAGGTCAATGATACCACTGGACTGTGAGCTGCTTCAGGCAGAAATTCAGTCTTATTTCTATCCCAAGGTGCTGGTTCAGTGATGGTCACATAGTAAGAATATAATAAATATTTGATGAAAAATGCATGAGTGAATATTAAATACATTGCTTTTTATTTTATATTTGCATTAGTCCATTCTCATGCTGCTAATAAAGGCACATTCAAAATTGGGTAATTTATATAGGAAAGAGGTTTAATTGACTCACAGTTCCACAGGGATAGGGAGGCCTCAGGAAACAATCATGGCAGAAGGGGAAGCAAATACATCCCTCTTCACATGGCAGCAGAAAGAAGAGGAATGAGAGCGCACTGGAGGGGGAAGCCACTTATAAAACCATCAAATCTTGTGACAACTCACTATCCTGGGAACAGCTTGAGCAGCATGAGGGTAACTGCCCCTGTGATTAAATTACCTCCATCTGGTCCCGCCCTTGACACATAGGAATTATTACAATTCAAGATGAGATTTTGGGTAGGGACACAGCCAAACCATATCAATATTCATAATTTTAAACTAAAGTAGTCCATTTATATAGTAAACAAGTCAATAATCACATGCTTCAAAGGAGTGATCTGTGTAGAATAATGCAATTTAAGTTGTTTCTTTCAATTAAACTCTTTATCATAGTCATGGCAGACTATTTTCCAAAGATGTCCTCAACAAGAACTCCTGTCTCACATACTCTTCTCTAGTGTGACCTTGCCATGCCCCCAGCACATGGTTGAGTTTGCTTCTCCATTCCCTGGATCTGGGCAGGCCTTATGACAGCTTTCACCATGTACAGTGAATTGATACTATGACAATTCTGGAGTAACTCTTACCTGGCCTGGGAGCTTCTGCCTCCTGCCTCTTGGAAGCTTGCGGTTGTACCCATAGTAAAACTATCCAGAGTAGTATCCAAAGTAGTATCCAGAGACTACTTCACTGTGAGATGTTTAAGCTGCATGAAGAAGCTCTAGAAAAGGAAGCATTAGATGGAGAGCCAGGCAAAGGGATACTGACACATTAGAGTATGAGTAAAGAATGTATTAGGGTTCTTTAGAGGGACAGGACAAATAGGATAGATGTATATATAAAAGGGAGTTTATTAAGGAATATTGACTCACAAGATCACAAGGTGAAGTCCCACAATAGGTTGTTTGCAAGCTGAGGATCAAGGAAGTCAGTCCGAGTCCCAAAACCTCAAAAGTAGGGAAGCCAACAGGGCAGCATTCAGTCTGTGGCTGAAGGCCTGAGACTAACTGGCAAATCGGTGGTGTAAGTACAAGAGTCCAAAAGCTGAAGAACTTGGAGTCTGATGTTTGAGGGCAGGAAGCATCCAGCAAAGGAGAAAGATGAAGGCCAGAAGACTCAGCAAGTCTAGTCTTTCCATGTTCTTCTGCCTGCTCTATTCTACCTGCACTGGCAGCTGATTAGATGGTTTCCACCCAGATTGAGGGTGGGTCTGCCTCTCTCAGTCCACTGACCCAAGTGTTAATATCCTTTGGCAACACCCTCACAGACACACCCAGGAACAATACTTTGCATCCTTCAATCCAATCAAGTTGACACTCAATATTAACCATCACGAAGAACCTGTTTTGGAAGTCTATCCTTCAGCCCCAGATGCTCTAGATGACACCACATGGATCCCAGACCAATTTCCTAGCTGAAATTTTCCTAAATCCCAACCCCTAAAATCACTAGTAAATTAAAATGGTTAAGACACTAAGTCATACTATATAGTTTGGTACATGGCATTAGATAACAAGAACATTAGTGAAAATTTTATGAACGATGAAATTTAGAAAAAAGAGCAAACTCAAAACCTGGTCTTAGAATTCCAGATTGCATATTGCTTTAACTTTAGCACAATACTTTCTAATAATCCAATCAGATTTGTGTTTTAGTCTTTACAAAGTATTTCCCACATGTTATTTCACTTACTACTCATGCATGCCTTCTCAGATAGCAATTTCCATGATAAAAAATGACGTAACTAAAGTTAAGTGTTTTCCCAAAGGTTTGACAAAGAATAAAGACTAATGCTATTCTAAGTTAAGCCTTTTAACTCCAAAATTTATTTCCATTTCTGTTCATCACAGACATCTTTCTACACTAAGTAAAGAGTGGTGGTTACAATCTAGATTTTGACTCGATTGAGACCTTTCCAGACTGGGTTCAGATTCTGGAAACAATATGCTGGAAGGTCAGATAGTTTCCTACTTGTGTGACCTCGGGCAAGTTACTTATCTTCTTTGTGCCTTATTTTTCACATGTATCGAACACTTACCTTGTGGAGTGATTATAAGGATTTACTGAGATAATACATGTAAAGCTCTGAAAATAATTTGGTACACAAAGAAATAACTTAATAAATATTAGCTATTATTGTTTGAAGACGATCTGACCTACATGGACAGATATGGTGAGGACACATCCATTTCACCAGGATTTGTGGTCACTGAATGTGAAAGTCATCCCCAGTTGAGGAAGGCTGGGGCACTAGGAAATAACCATTGGGTCTCTGAGTTCCTCTCAAAGCCTTGCTGATCTTCATCTACAGACCAAACTTAGTAGACAAGATAAGCACTGAGTTGGGAAGGTAGGCATGGAGTGAGGGCTGCTTAGGTGGAGGAGAGACAGTGGGAAGAGTTAGCAGGCAATTAGAAGGGAAGAAAACGGGCCAAGTGGCAGTGAAAAGAAGAGCCAGGAATTTAGGTAGTTTCTGGAGCAACCAAAGCACCATTTTGGCATAGACAGGAGTATGCATTAGTCTGCTGGATCTGCCATAACAAAATACCACAGGCTGGGTGGCTTAAACAATAGAAATTTATTCCTCAGAAGTGGAATAACCTCCTAAGTTCACATCTTTATTGTTCACAGTTCTGGAGCCTGGAGTCCAAATCAAGCTGTTGGTAGTTTGGTTTCTCGTGAGGATTCTCTCCTTGGCTTGCATATGGCTGTCTTCTCTCTGTGTCCTCACATTCCCTTTTCTCTGTGAGTGTGTACTCTGATACCTTCTTCTAAGTGCACCAATCCTATTGGAATAGGGCCCCATATTTATGACTTTATTTATCTTTAATTATCTCTTTAAAAGCCCTGCCTTTAGGTATTGGAGGTGATGGCTGTATTAGGGTTCTCTAGAGGGAAAAAACTTATCACACACACACATACACACACACACACACACACATATATAGGTGAGTTTATTAAGTATTAACTTACATGATCACAAAGTCCCACAACAGGCAGTCTGTAAGCTGAGGAGCAAGGAGAGCCAGCCAGAGTCCCAAAACTCAAGAACTTGGAGTCTGGTGTTCAAGGGGCAGGAAGCATCCAGCATTGGAGAAAGATGTAGGCTGGGAGGCTAGGCCAGTCTCGCTTTTTTACATTTTCCTGCCTGCTTTATATTTGCTGGAAGCTGATTAGGTTGTGCCCACCCAGATTAAGGGTGGGCTGCCTTTCTCAGCCCTGACTCAAATGTTAATCTCCTTTGCCAACATCCTCACAGACACACCTAGGATCAACACTTTGTATTCTTTGATCCAATCACGTTGACACTCAGTATTAACTATCACATGGCTTCAGTCTATAAATTTTGGGTGATACAATTTAGTCCATAAAGGATACAAAGAGTTCATGCACTGTCTGGTTGACTGGTGACTGTAGCTGTAACTCTCACTTCTCAGGAACATAATTTGGCAGCTTTCTTGTAGGACTCACTTTTTAATGCAGTTCTTGCTCTGATGTACCTCTGGAGCAGAAATTGGCGAAGGGGTGTTCAGATGGAAACAAGCATCTCAACGTTTATTGCTACCACTCACCCCAACATGGACTCTATCTTTCTATTCTTGCCTTTTACAATCACTCACCTTAAACAAGAACTTAATCAAGTAGTCATATAGAGTATGATCAGATCTTTGTATCAATAACTCTCCAGTTTCTGACTGACAGATTTCTACATCCTTAGGATCTCCATCACATAAAAGGAATGCCACATATGGGAAGGTAGATTTGACGTACCTAAAATGCATGTCTGCAAGACATAACCCTTAAGAAAGGCTAATAGTGTGAACTATCTGCAGGCTATTTTTAGAGAGGCATGGGTAAATCTATTACTTTTAAATGGTAATACTGTGAAATCTCCTATTGTGAATTCTTATTCAGTTGAAAAATATATTAATGTACCATCACCTACTAGAGCTTATTGAAATCCCTGTGCCTTGTGGATGAACCCAAATCCCACAAGCAGGTTAAATGCACGTCTTGCATTTGCCATTCTGTGTGCTTTCTGTCCTTGTACCAGCTCATATCAGAAATTGTGGGACTCAGCACTCTGGCTTCCTGCTCTTGACACATGTGCATTGTGTGGGATGCATGTTAAATATCGCCAACAACTTATGACCTAAGTATCTAGAGGTAGTCACGAAAAACACTCACCTCTGTTATTTTACATTTTCTAAAGCACATTGACTCTTAGAAGGAATGTCATATTGTAACCAGATTGCTTTTCTCTATATATAATTTGTTGGAAAACTATGAGGGAAGGCTACTCTGCATTTGTTCCGAAATTTAAACAAAGGTGTGAACCCAGGAGGTTATTCCCCTTCTGAGAAAGGTTAAGGTATCTTCTCCTAACACCAAACCCCTCTTCCCTACTCTGTGGTCGCTAAATTGGATGGCCATTGGATAGTATCTTTTGCTTGGGCTCTCACTTCTACTCTTTATACACTGGCACTTACTCTACTGCCATGTTGAAAAAATGTCTCTAAATATAATTTTAACATGTCTACTGCATAAATACCTGAGCCCATCTTTTGAGAAATGCAAGTGCCTTTAAAATATGTGCAGGTAAATAAAAAAGATAGAGGAAATGAAGAAATATAACTATAAAAGCTAAGGAGCAATTTGCAATCAGCAGCACAAAACAATTTTTATTCCAGCCACACTTCATATTTAGAGTACCTACCTTAAACATGCCACTGCATTCAAATCCAGTGCTTCCAATTTTCTATTTTGAGAGAGAACAAAAGTAAAAAAAAAAAGTGGGGATCCTTTTTTTTTAATCAAAATAACAACAACAATAAACCTCACAGTTAATTCAATTTATTTTAATATACTTCAACTCACATTTATTGAGCACCTAATATCTTCTAGGTATTGCCCTGGTACAGGGAATATGAATATTGACAAGACAGAACAAGGCACCTGACTGCTTGAAGCTTACATTGGTGTGGAAGAGAATACAGATGGAACAACCAATTCTGATATGATGCATGTTAAATTGCAGAGAGTGTTAGGAGCTATGAGAACACAGAAGAGAGGAATTTAACCTATATTCTAAGGGGTAAGGGATACCATCATAGTTCTGGGAATGGATTCATTTGCTGTTGTGTTCATACACCAGGGGATGGAGCTTGGCTTCCCCATGCTCTTAAGTAGTACATATTTGGCAATGTATTTACAGAAGAATACAAGTTTGTGGTTTGTTTCCATTCAGTTTTGAAACCAACTGAATCATATGAAGAATTCTTTCCTCTATCTGGAATGGTCCACCTTTAGCCTAAGATGATATGGGGTTAAGAATCCCCTCCTGTGTGCTTGAGTGGAATGATCTAGGACTTTTCACCCCGCTTCCATGTCTGAGAGACACTTCCTGGCCCAGGGGAGGGTATGTGAGTGAACTTCCCATGGTGCTTTGTCCCATGAAGGATTTACTCCATGAAAGTGCTGATTGGCCAGAACTGGTCTCAAGGCCTCTATATGTTTTCTGAGGCTCTGCTGGTTCCTAGGAATAGCAGTGAATAGAATGGGCCTCTTTTTTTGGTGTCTGTCCTCTCCCTGTCTCTTAAACTCCATTTTGCCAAATTCTTTTCATAATTTTAATATGAAACACAGAGTGAGAAGGTATCTGATTGCCCTAGGTGATTTTCATCCTAGAGGATACTATTCCCGCCTATTAGCCATGGAACATCATCTTTGGATCTGATGGCCATTCCTGACCCAATTACTGGCCATCCCTGAGTAAGGAAAAGCTTCATAATATATTTCCAAACAGGGTGGCTTAATTCCAAAGGGGAAAGCAGACATGATGAATATTATCTTTGTTACAAGAGTGGAAGTACAGAGCTCTTCTCTTATTTCTGATGGCAAAAGACCAATGTTTGCAGGGCTCTGTCTGGTTTACAGCACAGTGCATTGGTGCACCCAAAGAGAGGGACTTTTTAAAGTTTTCAATATATAGGAGTATATATTTTTAATATCTATGCTCTTTTGATGTGCTGTCAGTATCAGGATTAATGTGTATAATGCAACCTTTCAAGAAACTAAGACCCAGTAGAAACATATCTTAACTTTAGCTCACTCACAGGTTATCTCAGAAAAATAACATAAAATATATATGTTCTTTTCAGCCAGAACCACTCAAGCTACTGGTAAATTGTCTTATTATCACGTTATAGTAAAATGTCTAATTAACATAAAAGTATAGCAAATGGTATATGTGCATATTGTATATGGAAAAAGAAAATTTTAGATCATCCAAAGCTTTTATATTTCCTTTAACGTTGCCACTCTCTTGCTTATCACCTAATTATCAGTTCAGAAAAATAAATAACACAAAATTGGTGAACCTTATCCATAGAACCAGAAACAGGAAGTAGAAATTCTTAGGTTTGCTTCTAACACTGAGGAGGGAAGCAGGGGCGAGGGTAAAAGTATTAGGTTGGTGCAAAATAATGGTAAAAGCCTCAATTACTTTTGCACCAAGCTAATACAAATGGAAATTCAAATACTGTATGCATAAATATTCAGAAACTATAAATTAAGCTAACAAAATGTTCAATAAAATATTTTTCACTCTACATTGACAAGCAAACTATCATCATACGTTGAAGGAAGATTCAAATAGAAAATCCCTCAAGTATTTGAAGTTCTTTGCTGAAACACAGTAGTGAAGGAGGGTCAGCCTCTGGCCTCTGCTCCCCCCAGATGGATGGTGCTGCCACCATCTCCTCCTGCCCTCAGCTCCTTTCTGAACCATTGATGTGCCTCAGGCTCTTATGTGTGGACACCCTAGCCTGCATGCCCAATACCCATCCAAATGGCTACTATTTGTCAACATTTTTGATTAAACAAAAATATGACACATTCATAGACAACACAGCCCATTCTAAGAGGGAAGACTTGTCTATACCAGCCTTAGGGCTAAGCTGGGGCAGCTTGAGAAGAGAATTGTAGGGCCCACAGAGTTTGCAGCATGGTTATAAGTGGGATGGGTTCTGTGGACTCTTTGCCCACAGAGAGAGATAGGCGCAACAGGAGGGGAACCAGAGTAGGGCCCTTTGAAGGACCTGGGGCTTGTGTAGGGACACCTGTTGTCTGGGTCTAAGAGCAGTACCCTCTCCACAATCACTGTGTTCTGCAATAATATTAATAGCCACTTTACTCAGTTCCTAATACCCAATAGGTCACTGGATGGGCTCCATTCCTTCTAGTGCTATGTAGAGGCTTAATTTAGGTCTTTCCACTCAAGTAAGGAAACTGCGGCATACTCTGATTTCTGCTACCTAGTACCTTACCAGGTACTTGGAGAAAAGGAACACAAAGATGACACTAAGGGTTCAGTGAGGCCAGTTTTTCTATGTGGAGGAATATGACTGTCTGTCTACATATTGGTAGAAATTGATGTAGACTTAGATGTATTCATGCCTAGAAATATGTGAAAAGTGATTTTTTTTCAGAGGTTGTATCACAGACTCAAGTTTTAGAGTAAGAATTACTGTTTAACAAAATTTCATGCAAAAGAGAATGAAGTCGGGTGAACATAAATGGAAGATGGGCAATTACCACCTTTCATTTCCCTGATTGGCCTTGCTAGAGCTACAGCTTAAGGTCCCCTAACAGAGAAATGAAGTATTAGATTTTCTTATATACATTAAATCGTGAGATAAGCTGATCATGGCAAAATGCTAAAACATTATGGAATCATCTGTGGTGTTAACATTGAATTGTTGATAAGAACAATTTTTAAACAATTTTTAGACTGATGATAACCCCCTGTATTAGTCTGTCCTCATGCTGCTAATAAAGACATACCTGAGACTGGATAATTTATAAAGGAAAGAAGTTTAATTGACTCAGTTCCACATGGCTGGGGAGGTCTTACAATCATGGCGGAAGGTGAATGAGGAGCAAAGTCATGTCTTACATGGCGGCAGTCAAAAAAAAGCTTGTGCAGGGGAACTCATTTATAAAACCATCAGCTCTGGTGAGACTTATTCACTACCATGAAAACAGTATGGGTGAAATCACCTTCATGATTCAATTATCTCCACCTGGCCCCACCCTTGACACGTGGGGATTATTATAATCCAAGAGGGGGATTTGGGTGGGGACACGGCCAAACCATATCACTCCCTTTTAATGCAATCGTGGTATTTGGCTAAGAGGATTAAAATGTAATACGTCATCATTTTGTGGAGACTAATATTTTCTTTCGCAGTCTATCTATGTGACATGTACTTCTGTCTACTATGGAGGCTGATTTTCTTCACTGTTACCAGGTTAAAAGAACAACAAAAAAATAGTTTAACCGATGATTGAGTCCTGAGATCCTGGGCCACTTCGTGTGTTTGTGCTTATCTATAAGGTGGTCTTTCAGCCTAAAGCAAGATGTTTTATTGCAACACTAACTGCTTGTGGATTCCTTTCTCACTGACTACTCTTTTTAGTATTATTTGCTGGCATCTTGTCTTTGAGTGCTTATCTAGCCCTATCTATTTATGTATTATTTATTTTTCCTCCTAGCCAATTTTTTTTGTCCAATCTATTTAAATAGCATTCTACCCACTGCTGACTTTTGAATAGGTATCTCTGGCCCTGATTTGTTCTGTGAGTTCCAAACTCCTCTATGTAACTATCTACTCAACATCTGTACTAGAATAAATAATAGAATATTGAACTCAACATCCAGTCAAGCTTTGGATTCCTACATAGTCCTCAAGCATACTCCTTCTTTCAACTTTCCCAATATTCCCTGAAGTAAAAAGGTAAGAGTCATTTTTTTCCTCCTTCATTTCCCTCATACTCCACATCTAATCCATTGGCAAACTGTGTTAATCTTTTATCAACATCTATGCTGAAGCTGACCATTTATCACCACCAGCCCAGCCGCTATCCTAGATGGGCTACCATGTCTCTCCATGAAAGTGGCCCCCTAGCTGGAATCATTGATTCACTCTTGTCACTTTGCGGTCAACTCTCCCTAAAGCGACAAAAGTGATTGATAAAAACTGTGAGTCATAGCATACCACTTCCCTATAAAACACAAAGCAAAACATAACAACAAAACACGATAAAACTCTCCATGGCTTTCCTTCACCAACAGAATAAACCTGGTTTATTTATCATGACTTGTAAGACCTCATTTGGTTCTCAATCTCATTTCCCATCAATCCTCATTTCTCAATTTGATTCAGCCTTATGATCTTCCAGAAATAGGCCAATTTCACTTGCATGCCAGGGTCTTGGCACTTGCTAGAATGTTCCTTCTCTAGATCTTTAGCTGGCTCACTCCCCTTTGCCATCTTGTCAGAGAGATACTCACTGACCTCCTTAACAGAGTGACCAGCCTTCTTCCCTCTTGAACACTTTACCCTATTTCATATTTCTTTTTTTTTTTTTTTTTTTTGAGACAGAGTTTTGCTCTTATTGCCCAGGCTGGAGTGCAATGGCATGATCTCAGCTCACTGCAACTTCCGCCTACCAGGTTCAAGCGATTCTTCTGCCTCACCCTCCCTAGTAGCTGGGATTACAAGCATGTGCCACCACGCCTGGCTAATTTTGTATTTTTAGTAGAGAGGAGGTTTCTCCATGTTGGTCAGGCTGGTCTCAAACTCCCGACCTCAGGTGATCTGCCTGCCTCGGTCTCCCAAAGTGCTGGGATTACAGGCATGAGCCAACGTGCCCAGCCCCTATTTCATATTTCTGACACCATATTATGTATTTACTTGTTTTCTCTGTCTCCTTTATTAGAATTAGCTTCCATGAGGTCAGGGAAATTATTTTTTTTTTATTACTGTGCTTTCAGGACAAAAGCAGCTTTAATTAATATCTCTTTAACGATGCATGAATAATTTGAACACTCAGGCTGTGTGTATTTTTTCTTCCAGTAAACAAAGATTCCAAACTTTCCACTTAAGTTCTAATCCCTAAAATTTAAATTTTAATTTTAAGTCAGTTTGTTGATTTAATAGTAATTGGTTCTTTCCACAAAGTTTCACAGTATTTAGATGTGTGGTTATTATCTGACATTTTAAAATGATAGCTATAGAGAGTGCTTTTCACCAGATGAAAGGAATTCAACTAATAACAGGTTCTAAGATACAATAATTTCTTAGAAATGTTGCTCTATGAGTTTTGACTAAAGCCAGTGCATTCTCAGTGAACAGACTCCTAAGCTAGATTAAACTGCTCCTACACTGAAGGCATTTCTGAATCACTCTAAAGGGTGAAAATCGTCTTAAGGGCATTTCAAAGAGAAATACTTATTTTCTCACTTTCCTCATTATTTTTCTAACTTTCTCTACTGGGAGAAATACTGTATACTTACAGTTAACAGGAATGTCAAACAATGTATTTAATTTCATTCTAAGCGCGTGGTATATTTATTTACTTTATAGAAAAGAATACATCTCTAAAATTTAAGTTACTCCTACTTGCAAATAATGAACTTAATTTCCCCTGCCCACCTCATCCCTTTTAAGGCAATAGCTTGTAAGCAATTTACCTGTGAGAGGATGCCTGTCTAACTCCTCCCTCAGGTGCACTTAAGGAAGCTAAGGGTCCCAGATAACTCTACCTGGAGCCAAATATACAACTTTGCTACAAAGTTACAAAACTTTTTCACAAAGACTGATTCTGTACATTCAAAGACTCTTCAGAATCACCTGGAGGTTTTGCTAAGGACAGATTGGCAGACCCCACCTGCAGAATTTTAAATTCTATAGGTGCTACAATCTAAAAGGTTCGTGTCCTCTCAAATCTAAAAGGTTTGTGTCCTCTGTGTGTTAAAATTCTAGCTCCCAGGGTGAAGATATTAGGCAGTGCAGCCTTTGGGAGGTGATTAGATCATGAGGGCAGAGGCTTCATGAAGGAGATTAGTGCCCTTATTTGTTTTTTGTTTATTTGTTTATGGATTTTTTTTTTTCATTGAGATGGAGTCTGGCTCTGTCACCCAGGCTGGAGTGCAGTGGCACTATCTCGACTCACTGCAACCTCCGTCTCCCAGGTTCAAGCGATTTTCCTGCTGTCTCAGCCTCCTGAGTAGCTGGGATTACAGGCACCCCCCACTGTGCCCAGATAATTTTTTTTTTTTTTTTTTGTATTTTTAGTAGAGACGACGTTTCACCATATTGGCCAGGCTGGTCTCAAACTCCTCACCTCAGGTGATCCTCCCGCCTCAGCCTCCCAGAGTGCTGGGATTACAGGCCTGAGCCACCGTGTCTGACAGAAGGAGATTAGTGCCCTTAGAAAACAGACCTGAGAAAGGTCACTTTCCCTTTCCCTCATGTGAAGACACATGGAGAAGCTGTCTATGAACGACCCAGTGAATCTACTGGCTCCTTGATACTGGACTTCACAGCTTCCAGAAGTATGAGAAATAAACTTTTTGTTTACAAGCCATCCAACCTATGATATTTTTGTTATAGCAGCCTGAATAGAGTAGACAATAGATCCAAGTCATGCCCTGTGTGCTCCTGGTTGATGGCCTTACTTTGAGAACCACAGCCCTAGGCTACCCTGAAGGCCAAGTTTGCACTGTAACTTTTAGACTAGAAATTAATTTCCTTTTCATTTCCCTGTGAATTAGGATTCCTTAGAAAAAGCTCACAGGGCCCTTTCCCAATTCAGGATCTAGAATAGTGAGTAAAACCTGACCAAGAGAACAGTGTCCTTTCCTGTTCTGATAACCTTAACATTGATTCTGAAAGGTAAGCCTGCTCCCTTTGTGGGTAACCTACTACAAACTGAGGCAAGAAGTTTTCTCATATAAATGTTGACTATCCTGTACACTTAAAATAGTTTGTGGCCTAAAAACCCTAAAGAATGCCACTTTTCCCTACTGTGCCTATTTTATGAGGTGGGGAATAGTAGAAACATCAGGAATTTCAATAGCACAAAAGAGCTACTAATTACTTTTGATTGCTCTGGAAATGTGAGAAGTCACCCACCATAACATTCCTCTTGAGAGCGAGCAGGGTAGAAAGGGGATTTGGGGCCACTGTATGATATAACAGATCTTTTCAGCTCACTAGGGTATGGTAATGCATCGAGTCATAAAGAAGTGGTTGAAAAGTGGAACAGATTTCCACCTCTCTAACTGGGACGTTATCCCACTGTCTAACGCTTGTGAAGGAAGGTGTATCAGTGCGGACATTATCTGCCTCCTGTGTAAGTTCGTTCTGAGCCTACTGGGGAAGAAATTTAGGCCAGATCTACCTTGGGGGAAATCAAGATTCCATTAGAATATCCCTTATGCCAGGAATGGGAGTTAAAAGCATTCCTCTTATGAGGCTTGAGTGAAGTGGAGGTAGAGGGTGCAATCATGTCCAGTACAATTCTAAGTATAAAGGTATATTTTCTTTTTGTACAACAAATGTGCTTTTAAAAATTTGGAAAATGAAATTTTTTCATTTTATTTTTAGTTGACCATAATTGTACATCTATATGGGACACAAAGTGATATTTCAATCATGTATACAATGCGTAATGATTGTATACAATGTATCATGATTATAATGTGTAATGATTGTAATTAACATGTCTACCACTTTGAACATTTATCATTTCTTTGTGTTATGAACGTTCAAAATTCTCTCTTCTAGCTTTTTGAAAATATACATTGTTGTTAACTATATTTACATAACTAAATTATATTTATATAACTAAAATGCTACAGAACACTATAACTCATTCCTCCCATTTGGCTGTAACTTATTGTTAACCAATCTCTCCTTATCCTTCCCTCCTGTCTTTCCAGCTTCTCACAACCACAGTTCTACTCTCCATTTCTATGTGTTCAATTATTTTCTAGCTCCGACATATGAGTGAGAATATATGATATTTATCTCTCTGTAGAAGTATCCATTTTAATGTCAGTAAAAGACATAGAAATAACACGTATTATAAAATGTACAGCTGGAATGATGGCTAAGATAAGAACATTATTTTTGTTTAGGTAAGCTGTGTTCAAGCAAGTTAGACACTTCCATATTAAAATTTTCAGACTTAGAGAACATCATTTAATTAAGTGAATAATTTCGTCAAGTGTGTATCCATCAGAAAACTAAATCATTCATGAGGGGAGTGATGTAGGGTAGAACACCTAAAATTAATGTGATTTTTAAACCTGCCTATCTATACTTTTTTTTGTGAAGTCAATAAATAGGAAAAATAAGTAAGTAAACACGTAAAGAAATGTGGTCACCTAGCACTGTGGCAGAGACTCTAGACTTTATTTACTAATTGTAGCCCCTATCCCTGGTCACTTGCCACTATATAGACGTTGTACATGCCGGATTTATTTTGAGGCGAACGCAATCATTTTGAAATGCCTAGTTTTCAAAGTAAAAATGTGTTCACGTTACAAAACCACTGTAGCAAGACATTTCTATTAAAAATAGTCCTGGTGCTTCTCTTTAATGCTTTGTAGACTGCTGTGTAACTCAGAGGGGCTGTGCGAAGCACATGGAGGCATTAGAGTAATCATTAAAGATCAAGGGATTTCCAATTATCCAGTCACACTTAGTAGACAATAGACTGAGATAAATGAAGCATGACTTGGCAGTTTCATATTCTGAATCAAATATTTTCAAGAGAATAAGAAAAAAAATGCCTGCACCTTATAAAAGATACAGACAATTGTCAATACATTTGAGAAAGAGGCTTATCAAAACTCTCCAGTAATTCTTTATTTCCAATTCTTTAACAGTTAATAGAAGATATTATATAAAATCTCTCCCTGTGATAAAGAATCCAGGGGTATATTTGCAAGACCATTTTCCACATTCTGATTCCAAAGCTGCTATCCCAAAATAAGGTACATTTTAACCCTATCATTGGGAATCCAATAAAGCCTCAATTAACTGAGATTGTGTTTCTTCTGTGCTTAATTTTAGTAGAGAAAATTCCAATACAATTAGCTGTAAAAAAGGATTTTTTTACAAAAGAATAACTTTTCAAGGTATGTCCTGGGGTCAAATAGAGACCAATCTTCTTTATTCTATATATGTACAACTATAACAGTGTACCTCAATCCTGAAGATTCCAAATGATTCCTACAAGGCACAGCAAGATGTTCACTCATCATAGAAAGATTCAATTATGTTTGCTGGACAGCATCTGCTAAGGCATAAAGGGGGAATAATGTGTTTTAGGAATATTTCCAACAGCATTAGAGAAAGAAAAGGTACATGGCTGGGTGGTCTCATTGTTGTAAAGTGGTGAGCACAGTTCATTGCAGAGAAATGCAAAGCTCTCAGGAAATGTTTTAGTTACGTCATATTTAAAATAAAACATCGGTTAGTGTGAGTTAATTGGGACACAGGTAATCTTGGGACACAAGATTGCTTCTAGCTCTGTCTTTTCATTCTATGTATTGTTACCTGATTTTGGAAGACTTCATCGCCTCAGTCTATGAATGAAAAGAGCTTGTTTCAGTTTCTGAAGCCATATTGAATTCTTATCTAGGTTTCTGGCTCACCCATCAACAAGTATCCAGACAGTGGCATTAAGAAAATTGTGCTTGCCAATTTATTCAGATCCAACCAAAATTTATTGCATTCCTACTGTGTGCATGAGCCAAGAACATTTATGTATATTACATAATGTAATCATTCAAAAATCATCTGAAACTTAACATTTTTAAGTCAGAAAATGAATCTTTGAGAAGAAAATTACAAAATAAATGGCAAATTAAGAACATGAAAGTTTTTAAAAAATTGATTACAATTGTGGCATTTGTTTCTCTATACTACTTACTGAAATATGGCATAATGGAACTTAGGCCAAAGAGCCTCATCTCAACCGGGTTTCCTTTCCTGTTTAGTGTCTTTGGCCATTTCTCAATTCTAAAGGCTGAGGACTTCTCTCTTACTCAGCTCAGATAGTACCTAGAATATCCTCCCTGTATTCAGAATCACATCCATAATACATTGAGGTTTTCTGTGGTTCTTACTTTTATGAGCACACCATGGCTGAAACAGCCTTGCTTTAGCCCTTCAGTGCCTGTCAAAGGACGTTTACTGTTGCAGCTCTGCTCATTCCTTTGGTGAGACCTTGGTGCTGATCCACTCTTTTAAAGTGCACCCTTGGGAAAGAAGTTTGAACTGCCTTAGGTAAGTAAATCCTTATGCTCCTCTGGTTCATTGTGCATTCTCATAAATGGAGTCACTATTGTTGAAAGCCTTTTATAAACAGGAATAGTTCTGGAAGTTGATTATGTGAGAATGGTTAAGACAGTATCTCTAACTTCTATGAATGCATATAGAGTGCAAAATAATAACCCATAACTGCAACCTCTTAAGTGATTTACTAAAAGCACATACGGAACACTATAAGAGGCATGATATGATTAATTCTAGTTAATAGAATTTCAAGAAGGGCTTCAGAGAAAAAGTGGCAATTTATTTACTCTTTGAAGAAGTAGTTGCTTTGGCCAGGTAGAAAAGAAGGGACAGAGCTGTGTAAGAAGAAATAATGACAAATTCAGGAGGCCTAATGGGATGATTAGAGGGTTGGCCCATGGATTGGTTTGCAGGATCCTTCATTTCCTTTGATTTGGATCACAATTCAAGTCACTACAGACTGGTTGAGAAAAATCCAAAACCTCTCTTGGGGAATCCCTTGTACTTTGGGCTTGAAGTCACTTGTAGAAGTAGAGTCCTTGGAGCAGCTGGACTTTCTATATTTTTGAGTAGTCAACAGCCATGTCTGTCATTAACTATTTTATATGTACTCTCCACCCAATTCCTGTTACAGAATAGTGAAAAGTGAACATTTATTAAAATAATTAGTATGCAAATAAAGCTAAATTCCCAAATGACTTTGTGAAAAACTCCTATTTTCTTTTTCCATCATTTGTTGTATGTTCCAGTTGGTCACAGTTAAATTCTTGTTGGTTTCTAATTCTACTGATCAATATACCCAAATTTTAAAACATTTTTGGATAGTTTGTGTGTGATATATCCTTTGTATTTCATATTGGAACTGACCATCCATATATTCCAGTCTGTTAAAAGCACAACTTAATCCTACAATGTCTTCCCTTCTTTGAATCAGAGAGGTCCAGGATTATTTACAAAATGTGGTCATGTGGGAGGAATATATGTTGTTCCCTGTTCCAGAATTGCACTTCATTAGGAACAAATGATGACACGTTGCTTGTTGAAAGTAGTTGATTTGTAAATGCCCCGAGTCTTAGTCAGTTCAGACTGCTAAAATGAAGTAGCATAGACTGGATGGCTTATAAACAAAAGAAATTTATTTCTCACAGTTCTGCAGGCTAGAAATCCAAGATCAAGATGACAACATTGTTTGGTTTCTAGCGGGGTGCTCTCGCAGGCTGCAGACTGCCAACTTCTCATTGTGTCTTCCCATGGCAGAAAGAGGGCAAGAGAGTTCTTTGGAGTCCCTATTATAAGGGTCCTAATTTCATTCATGTGGGTGCTTCATGCATGACCTAATTACTTCCCAAAGATATCATTTCATAATATCATCACATTGGGAGATAGGATTTCAACATAGGAATTTTGGGGGTTCACACCCATTCGGACTCTTATACCATGGAAACTATTGTAATTAGAGTTCTTATAAATGGAAGTTTTTTAAAAAAATATGTCTCACTTCATTTAGCATTATTTTCCAGATAATTAACCAGAATAGTATTAATTATATCTAGAATATTCAGAGAAAGAACTTTTTTAAAAATTTCAAATTTTATTGTAGGTTCAGGGTCTACATGTGCAGGTTAGTTACATGTATAGATTTTGTGTTGCTGGGGTTTTAAGTACAAACTATTTGACCACCAAGGGAGTGAGCATAGTACTCAATTGGTAGCTTTTTGACTCTCATCCTCCTCCCACCCCTCCCCCTCAAGTAAGCCTCAGTTATTGTGTCTGTCTTTGTGTTCACGTATACTCAATGTTTAGCTCCCACTTATAATTGAGTACATGTGGTATTTGGTTTTCTGTTTCTGCATTAATTAACTTTGGGATAATGGCCTCCAGCTGTAACCAGGTTGTTGCAAAAGGTAAGATTTCATTCTTTTTAATGGCTATGTAGTATTCTGTGGTATATATGTACAGCACTTTCTTCATCCAATTCACTGCTAATGGACATCTAAGGACATCTAAGGTGTCCATGTTTTTGCTACTGTGTATAGTGTTACAATGAACAACCAAGGGCATGTGTGTTTCTTTGGTAGAATTATTTATATCCCTTTGGATATATACCCAGTGATGGGATTGCTGGATCAAATGGTGATTCTGTATAAGGTTCTTTTAGAAATTTCCAAACTTCTTTCCACAATGTCTACATTAATCTATCTTCTCACTCGCAGTGTATAGGCATTCCCTTTTCTCTGCAACCTCACCAACATCACTTATTTTTGGACTTTTTATAATAGCCATTTTGATTGGTGTGAGATGGTATCTCATTGTGGTTTTGACTTGCATTTCTCTAATGAGTAGTGATACTGGATTTTTTTTTATGTGCTTGTTGGCTGCGTGTATTTTTTTTCTTCTGAGAAGTGTCTGTTAATGTCCTTTGCCCATTTTTTAATGGGGTTGTTTTTTGCTTGTTGATTTGCTTAGATTAATGATAGATTCGGGATATTAGACCTTTGTCAGACACATAGTTGGCAAATATTCCCCCACTGTGTAGATTGTCTGTTTACTCTGTTGATAGTTTCTTTCGCTATGCAGAAGCTCTTTAATTAGGTCCCATGTGTCTGTTTTTGATGCAATTGCTTTTGAGGACTTTGTCATGAAATCATTGCCAAGGCCTGTGTTGAGAAGGGTATTTCCTAGGTTTCTTCTAGGATTTTTGTAGTTTTATGTCCTACATTAAGTATTTAATCCATATTGAGTTGATTTTTGTATATTATATAAAGAAGGGTTCCTGTTTTAACCTTCTGCATAAGGCTAGCCAGTTATCCCAGCACCATTTATTTAATAGAGTGTCCCTTCTCCATTGTTTGTTATTGTCAGCTTTGTCAAAAATCAGATGGCTATAGGTATGCAGCTTTATTCCTGGGCTTTCTAACCTATTCAGTTGGTGTAAATCTCAGTTTTTGTAGCAGTACTACGCTGTTTTGGTTACTGTAGCCTTGTAGTATAGTTTGAAGTCAAGTAATGTAATCTCTCTAGCTTTATTCTTTTTGCTTAGGATTATCTTGGCTATTTAGGCTCTTTTTTAAATATGAATTTGAAAATAGTCTTTTCTAGTTCTGTGAAGAATATTATTGGTAGTTTGATAGGAATAGCATTGAATATTTAAATTGCTTTGGATAGTATAGCAATTATAACAATATTGATTCTTCTAATCCATGAGCATGGAATATTTTACCATTTGTGTTTCCTCTGATGTTTTTCAGCAGTGTTTCATAATTCTCATTGTGGAGCTCTTTCATCTCCCTGATTAGCTGTATTCCTAGGTGATTTATTCTTTTTGTGGCTGTTGTAAATAGGATTGCACTCTTCATCTGTTTCTCAGCTTGGATGTCATTGGTGTATAGAAATGCTGCTGATTTTTGTACATTTATTATGCATTGTGGAACTTTACTGAAGTTGTTTATCAGTTCTAGGAGCCTTTGGGCACACAATAATAGTGGAAGACATCAACACCCCACTGGCAGTGTTAGATAGATTATTGAGGCAGAAAACTAACAAAGATATTTGAGACGTAAACTTGGACGCTTGACAAAATGAACCTAACAGACATCTACAGAATACTCTAAACAACAAAATACACAATCCTTTCATATGCACATAGCACATCTAAAACTGACCACTTACTTGGCAAAAAGCAATTCTCAACAAATTTCAAAAAACCTGAAATTATACCAACCACACCCTCAGAATACAGGACTATAAAAATAGAAATCAACCTGAGAAGATCTATGAAAACAATGCAATTACATGGAAATTAACATGCTCCTGAATGACTCTTGGGTAAACAATGAAATTAAGGCAGAAATTTAAAAGAATTATGTGAAACTAATGAAAACAAAGAAACAGCATGCCAGAATCTTTGGAACACAACTAAAGCAGTGTTAAGGGAAAAATTTATAGTGCCAAATTCCTACACCAAGAAGTTAGAATGACTTCAAATTAACAACCTAACATCACACTTAGAGGAACTAGGAAAAAAACAGGAGAAAACCAACCCCAAAGATAGCAGAAGAAAAGAAATAACCAAAATCAGAGCTGAGCTGAAACAAATGGAGACCAAAAATCCATATAAAAGATCAGTGAAACCAATAGTTGGTTATTTGAAAAAATAAATAAGATTGACAGACCACTAGCTAGATTAATATAGAAAAAAAGAAGATCCAGGTAAACACAATTTGAAATATCAAAGGTAACATATCCACCAACTCCAAAGAAATACAAAAAAGCCCTCAGACATTGTATTAGTCCATTCTCAATCAGCTGTAAAGAACTGCCTGAGGCTGGGTCGTTTATAAAAAAAGATATTTAATTGACTCACAGTTGTGCAGGGCTGGGGAGGCTTAAGAAATTTAAAAATCATGGAGGAAGGGTAAGCAAACACATCTTTCTTCACATGGTGACGGGAAGGAAAAGTGCTGAACAAAGCGGAAAAAGCCTCATATAAAACCATCAGATCTTGTGAGAACTCACTATCATGAGAACAACATGAGGGTAACCAAGCACCATGATTCAATTATCTCCCACCAGTCTTTCCCATGATGCATGGGGATTATGGAAACTACAATTCAAGATGAGATTTGGGTGGGGACATAGCCAAACTGTATCATTCCTCCATGGCACCTCCCAAATCTCAGGTCCTCACATTTCAAAACCAATTATACCTTTCCAACAGTCCTCCAAAGTCTTAGCTCATTCCAGCATTAACTCAAAAGTTCAAGTCCAAAGTCCCAACTGAGATAAGGTAAGTCCTTTCTTCCTATGAGCCTGTAAAATCAAAAGCAAGTTACTTTTTAGATACAATGGGGGTAAAGGCATTGGGTAAATACACCCATTCTAAGTGGGAGAAATTGGCCAAAACAAAGGGGACACTGGTTCCAAGCAAGTCTGAAATCCAATAGGAAAGTCATTAAATCTTAAAGTTCCAAAATGATCTCCTTTGATTCCATGTCTCACATCCAGGTCACACTGATGCAAGAGGTGGGCACCCATGGCCTTGGGCAGCTCCACCCCTGTGGCTTTGCAGGGTACAGCTCCCCTCCCGACAGCTTTCACAGGCTGGTGTTGAGTGTCTCTGGCTTTCCAGGTGCACAGTGTAAGATATGCCTGTGCACAGTGTAAGCTGTACCATTCTGGAGCCTGCAAGACAGTGGCCCTCTTCTCACCACTCTACTAGGCATTGCCCCAGTGGGGACTCTGTGTGGGGGCTCTGACCCCACATTTCCCTTCCATGCTGCTCTAGCAGAGGTTCTCCATGAGGGCTCTACCCATGAATCAAACTTCTGCCTGGACATCCAGGTGTTTTCCATACATCCTCTGAAATCTAGATGGAGGTCCCCAAACCTCAATTCTTGACTTCTGTGCTGCCACAGGATCAACACCATGTGGAAGCTGCCAAGACTTTGGGCTTGCAACTTCTGGAGCAATGGCCTGAGCCGTACCTTGGCCCCTTTTAGCCACGACTGGAGCCGAAGCAGCTGGGTTGCAAGGCACCCTGTCCTGAGGCTGCATAGAGCAGGGGGCCCCAGATCCCAGCCCAGGAAACCATTTTTCTCTCCTAGGCCTCCAGGCCTGTGATGAAAGGGGCTGTCCCAAAAATCTCTGACATGCCCTGGAGACATTTTCCCCATTGTCTTGGTGATTAACATTTGGCTCCTCATTACTTATGCAAATTCCTGCAGCAGCAGCTTGAATTTATCCCCAGAAAATGTTTTTTTTTCCTTTTCTATTGGATCATGAGGCTGCAAATTTTCCAAACTTTTATGATCTGCTTCTTCTTGAATGCTTTGCCAGTTAGATATTTCTTCTGCCAGATACCCCCAATCATCTCTCTCAAGTTCAAAGTTCCACAGATCTCTGAGGCAGGGAAAAATGCCACCAGTCTCTCTGCATAGCAAGAGTGACCTTTACTCCAGTTCTCAACAAGTTCCTCGTCTCCATCTGAGACCACCTCATCCTGGACTTTATTGTCCATATCACTATCAGCATTTTGGTCAAAGCCATTCAACAAGTCTCTAGGAAGTTCCAAACTTTCCCACATCTTCTTATCTTCTTCTGAGCCCTCCAAACTGTTGCAACTTCTGCCTGTTACCCATTTCCAAAGTTGCTTTCACATTTTTAGGTATCTTTACAGCAGTGCCCCACTACCTCAGTATCAATTTACTGCATTAGTCCATTCCCACGCTGCTACGAAGAGCTGTCCAAGACTGTGTAATTTTTAAAGAAAAGAGATTTAATTGGCTCACAGTTCCACAGGGCTTGGGAAGCGTCAGGAAACTTACAATCATGGTGGAAGGGGAAGCAAACAGATCCTTCTTCACATGGTGGCAGGAAGGAGAAGTGCTGAGCAAAGAGGGAAAAAGCCCCTTATTAAACCATCAGATCTCATGAGATCTCACTATCACAAGAACAGCATGGGGATAACTACCCCCATGATTCAATTACTTCCCACTCGGTCACTCCCATGATGTGGGGATTATGGGAACTACAATTCAAGATGAGATTTGGGTGGGGCCACAGCCAAACCATATCAGAGACTATTATGCATACCTCTATGCATGCAAAATTGAATAATTAGGAGACTGGACAAAATCCAGGAAACATAAAACTTTCCAAGATTGACCCAGGAAGAAATTTAAATCCTGAAAAGACCAATAATTAGTTCCAAAATTGAATTAGTAAAAAACAAAACAAAATGAACAAAACAAACAAAACACCTACCAACTAAAAAAAGCCCTGGATCATACTGATTCACAGCTGAATTCTACCAGACATAGAAGAGCTAGTACCAATCCTACTGAAATTGTTCCAAAAATTGATGAGGGACTACTCTCAAATTCATTCTATTAGACCAGCATCATTCTGATACCAAAACTTGGTAAGGACACAAGAAAAAAAGAAAACTTCAGACCAATGTCCCTGATGAACATAGTTGCAAAAATTCTAAACAAAGTACTAGTAATTTGAATCCAGCATCACATCAAAAAACTAATCCACCATGGTCATGTAAGCTTTATTGCTGGGATGCAAATTTAGTTCAACATTCACAAATCAATAAATGGGATTTATCATATAAACAGAACTAAAACCAAAAACTACACACCCATCTCAATAGATGCAGAAAAAGCTTTTGAGAAAATTCAACATCCCTTCATCTTAAAATTCTCAACAAATTAGGCAGCAAAAGAGCATAACTCAAAAAAATAAGAGCCATCTATGACAAACTCACAGACAACATACTAAATGAGCAAAAACTAGAAGAATTCACCTTGAGACCCAGAACAAGACAAGGATTCCCACTATCACAATTACTATCCAACATAGTACTGGAAATCTCAGCCGAAACAATCAGGCAAGTGAAAGAATTAAAAGGTATCCAAATAGGAAGAGAGGGGCTGGGCGCAGTGGCTCATGCCTGTAATCCTAGCACTTTGGGAGTCCAAGGCAGGCAGATGGCTTGAGCTCAGGAGTTCAAGACTGGGTAACATGGTGAAGCCCTGTGTCTGTCTGTCTCTGTCTGTCTGTCTCTCTCTCTCTATGTATATGTGTGTGTGTGTGTGTGTGTGTGTGTGTGTGTGTGTGTGTATATAGTATTTTATATATAGTATTATGTATATATATAGTAGTATATATATATATATTCACACAAACACAAATAGGAAGAGAGGAATGATGTAATCTAGAATAGGAACCATGGAAATAAATAAAATAGGTATCATGTCATCTACAAAGATGACATGATTCCATACCTAGAAAATCAGAGAAAGAACTGTTGCACGTCAATGAAGTTTCCAGAAAGCCAAAGCATGTCTTATGAAAACTGAATGATTTTATTTTCAGCAACTCTATATTTAAAAAACAACAAAACAACTTTTCAAAAATATATCATATGATATGTTGCCTTTTTAGAGTTTGATCATAATTTTGCCTTTCCTTTGTGACTCAGTATTATTGTTATTGATATAAATTATTGTGCAGTCCTCAAATATAGTCGTTGTCATCTATGAAGTTCTGTTTCCCCCCAGATTAAAAGTCTCTGGATTAGGCAGTGGCTCATGCCTGTAATCCCAGCCCTTTGAGAGGCCAAGGCAGGAGTATTGCTTGAGGCCAGGAGCTTCAGACCAGTCCGGGTAAAAAAGTGATATCTCATCTGTACAAAATGTTTTTAAAACTTAGCCAGTTACAGTGGCATGCACCTGTAGTTCTAGCTACTCCAGAGGCTGAGGCTGGAGGATTGCTTACATCTAGGGGTTTGAGGTTGCAGTGAGCTATGATCATGCCACTGCACTCCAGCCTGGGTAACAGGGCGAGACCCCATCTCTAAAAAAATGTTTTGAAAAATGTCATTGGACTTTTATCTCTTTTTGTGTTTACTTGTAATCTGCTAGTTTCTGTCAAGTAAATTTTAATTCATTTCAACTAAAGCCAAAACAACAGACATTTAATAATTACCCCATATATCCTAGTTGCTGGGTTAAAGGCTGAGATTGCTGGAAAAATAAGAAATCCTATATTTCACTATCCTCTGTAACCCTCAGCAAATTATGAGGCAAGATATATTATGTTGTAACTTAAAATCCCCTTTATGATGTTAAATTTGAAAAGCTAGACACAGAAGACAAATACCCAAATACTACATGATTTCACTCACATGTGGAATTAAACAAGCAAACAAAAAACGAAAACAAGAGACCACAGAAGCAGCGAGTAGTGAGTAGGGAAGGAAGAGGATGATGGGGAGAGGTTGGTCAATGGGTCCAAAGTTACAATTAGAGAGGAAGAATAAGTTGTGGGGCTCCATTGTAAAGTAGGGTGAGTGTGGTTAACAGTAAGGCATTGTACATTACAGAATAGCCCAAGGGGAGGCCTTTGAATGTTCTCACCATCAAGAAATGATACATGCATGAAGTGATGAATATGCTAAGTACCCTGATTTGATCATTATACAACATATATATGTATTAATATATTAAATTGTACTTTATAAATATGTAAAATTGTAATGTGCCAATAAAAAATTTTAAAAATCCTCATCTGGGGTGAATTTCTGTTGATCTCGTGAGCAAATTTATAGGCTCCACTATAGCTCTCTTTTCATATGTAGATATTTTTTCTATTATATCTAGGTTCAAAATGTGACTTTTAGGTTAAGTCAAGTCAACTGTTACTATTTTGGCCTGCCCCTAAATGGAGTTTTTTTTTTTTTTTTTTTTTTTTTCCTGTTTGTGTGGGACTTAATGTTATGGTTCTTTCTACGTGAGTTCTCGCAGAGCAAAGGGTAGAAAGTGAACCCCAGTCCTTCCTCCTCTTGTGATACTAGGAAATGATGGCATTGTTAGTGAGTCTCTGAAACATCCTGACAACTACCATGCTGGGAAGGAAGTGGCTAGAATAATGAGTAATAACAACAATGATGACAGTAATAACAGCAGCATGTTATATATCATGATTTTACGTTAAACTCAGATATATTTTAATTCCTTTTATCTGTTATTCTTTTCCCATCATCTGGCAGCATGGCGAGCTCCTGCATGCTGTACTCTATCAGACAGGGCAGAATAAATCTAAAAAAAAGTCAATTAGGTGATTTGAATGGGATTCTCTAGGAGGAGATA
The DNA here is from genome assembly GCF_000001405.40 of Homo sapiens. Classification (NCBI taxonomy): domain Eukaryota; kingdom Metazoa; phylum Chordata; class Mammalia; order Primates; family Hominidae; genus Homo; species Homo sapiens. The sequence goes on from NC_000018.10 coordinate 64,365,560, forward strand.
ACTTTCTGAAAACTCTTTTCCATGCAGTCTGTGACAGCTGTAGTAGAACAGAAATGGCCTGGGCCATATGTAGGCAGAGAGGGCTTCAAACAGCCCACTCCCCATCATGAGTTTCTTGGTTTCTGCAAAAAGGGGAAGATGTACAAAATTGTCCTGTGCTCTCTGGATTCTTTGCCTTCCCATGCCATTCCAGATCCACGCACAACAACAGAAACAAAGAGTATGGATGAGAAAGTGGGTGATGGCATGTTGTTTTAGGGTGTCATTGTTGTGAGGGAGAAGGAACAAGGGAGCCCTGTGGCAGAGGTTGTAGACAGGAGAGCACCTGTGTGGAACAAGTGGTAGTGCATAGATGGTTCTCAGAGGACTGGTACTACCAGGGAGAGCCAACAAGTCAGTGCGTATGGAGGTGGAGGTGGGGAGGGTAGAAGGACGACAGAGCAACAACAAATTGCTTGTGCTTAGACGGTAGACCACAAGATAGACAACTTGGAACATCCACAGTAGAGGCAGAGGCTGATACTCCAGATTAGGTGGGAAAAGTGACACCTCCATGAAGGCTGTGAGGACATAAGAATGGCGCTGAGACCAGAAACCCCACTCTGTCACAATGTCATAATACTCAGTAAGTACTCCTCTAATTCACCAGTATGGAAATTAGCACTGTGGGCAAGAAGAGATTGCAGGTAAAGCAAGAATGGTGGTACAATGGAGCTGAAATTCACACTTGACCACATTTAAGTTCAATAATGACAAAGTGAGATTGAATGAGTGGGCAATGTGGAGTTCTTGGTGCTGTTGCTTTTGACTTGCCAATATTGGAATCCAGTCCGGTGTGCTAGGTTGCACTGATACAAGAAAATAAAGAAGCTCTGAGTTTGCATGCTTGTGTCCACAGGGACCTCTGGAACCTCCTGATCATCTTCTTATGTTAACAGGGATGGCTGGGCCTTTGTTCTTATTTTCCTCACACCCACATGTCCATAGTGTGGGGATTGCAGGCAGTTTTATGACAGTTGCCAAAACCAATCCTGTGGCACTTTTAGGCGTCATCAATGGTATTCATTTTTAACAAAATTACATTGAGCAAAACTGTTTAATTGTGTAATTTATTACAGCGTGACAGTTAATGATCCATGAGCACTGTACAGATGGTGCCTCACCTGCTGAACAAGTGTGGATTATGATACATTTTCAAGAGGAATCAGGCCCAGTTATACTCTTCCACACATTAACAATTTTTCTTCTGAAATAACTAATGGATTCTTGCCAAATTTCCAGTAGCGTGATGTTCACAAATTTGTTGATTTTGATATTATCCTCTTACCTATCCTTTACATTTATTAAGCAGAGTGTTTTAATTTTCTCTTTTGCTTTCGGTCTGCATCAACCACACTGTATCATGTTTGGTCTTACAGAATAAAATACAAGAAATATGATGTCAATGGAGATGCTTGCAGAGATAGTGAGAGCATTTTCTCTTTTTTTTCTGTTCCTTTCTTTTCTTTCTCTTTTTTTTTTTTTTTTTTTGAGACAGAGTCTCGCTCTGTCACCCAGGCTGGAGTGCAGTGGTGTGACCTCAGCTCACTGCAACCGCTGCCTCGTAGGTTCAAGCAATTCTCCTGTCTCAGCCTCCCTAGTAGCTGAGACTGCAGGCAGGTGCCACCAAGCCAGGCTAATTTTTGTACTTTTAGTAGAAACAGGGTTTCACCATATTGCTCAGGCTGTTCTGGATCTCCTGACCTCACGTGATCCACCTGCCTTGGCCTCCCAAAGTGCTGTGATTACAGGTGTGCGCCAATGCGCCTAGCCCTTTTATTTCTTTAATATAGTAGATTAGAAATTCATTTAATACACATGTAGTTTTTAAAATATTGCCTATAAATTATTTTAATAATGGCTTTATTAAGATACAATTCTCATGCCATAAAAAAGTGCACAATTCAGAGGCCTGTGTTCTCTCTACTCTCCGATGACAATCGTTCAATGAATTTATATGTCTTTCGGGATAAAGATAAAAAGCGATAACATGTCCTACAAAGCCCTTAATGATATTGCTCCTGTCTTTCTCTATGACTTTACTATCTTCCCCTGCTAAGCAGAGTGCTTGACATATAATAGATGTACAATAAATATACTGAATGAATGAAGAAATAAATGTCTTCTACAAGACTTATTTTCAAAGCTGGAGCATACTTAAATAATGGGAGAGAAAAATAAGCCACCCTGGAAAGATTTGCTATGGAAAAGAGAGCATTATTTTTCTACATTATTTTTAAATCATCCTCCTTCCACTTGGAGAACTGCTGATCATGAGAGCAGCACAGTGACCTTGTCAGACTCCTGCCTAATTCTTGAACTTCTCTATGAAGCAAGTAAATGAAATCTGTTCCAAAAACTGCTGTTTCTTTTTCTTCTGATACTTGAAAATGTGAATTCACCTTTCTGAGTAGATTTTGATTTGGGGTAAGTTACAAAATGGGCCTTAGATAAAAGTAAGAAAAAGAAAAATGAGGTTCTGGACAAGGCAGTACTAAAATTATTCTATAAATTAATGTAAAGGTACTGTCTTGTTTGGGTATGAAAAATATTTTGGTGTTAATTTGTTTTTTAATTGCGTGAGGCTTGGGAACTGGTATTCGGTGCCCTTGAAGTAGATGGGGATAGTGGAGATGAAGAAATTAGCTTTGCTGAGAGTGATTGCATATGGTAAAAAGGAGACAGGCTACAGAGCACAGAGGAAGGGGACAAAGGGACTTTGAAGTATGGATGAATGATGAGTTTGGAGACAGCGATGGTTGATGTTCTATCCTGATATCGAATTGAATTCTCTTTTGTGACTTCTTCCTTCCTCCCCACCACCTTCTCAGTCTCAGTCTTTAGTAAGGCTCTTTTAACCATTACAAACTAGAGCAAGCCCTGTCTTAACTCTGCCAAGAATAAAGACAGAAGGGACATGATCATAGTTTGAAGCAGAGTAGGACAAGAGAGAGTAGGAGGAGTTTGTGTGATAGACTGAGAAATTACCGAGGAAAAACCTGGAGCAGGAGTTGAAGATTGACTGGGGATGATCAGATTATTTCTGTGATTATCCACTACTCCCAAACACCCAAATCCAAAGAAAAATCACAGAAAAGAATGTTTCTGAAAATAAATGTAGAATGGGTTTTGACATTATTTTATTTGGAAATTAAAGCTAAAACAGAACCCAAATCTCCTGACTTCCATTACAGTAGTTTGCCTGAGGTTGCAAAAGGGTCTAATAAGGAAGATCTGTACTACGCTTTTTGACAACACATTGAAGACACAGATCATAGCACTATGGCTCAAGATTATAATACCAAATATACGCAACAGAGACAGGTGCTACTCATCCTTACACTTCTCCTGCTCTTTCTTTTATTTATTTATTTTTTTAATATGAACGTGTGTCACAATTTCCTGCCACGAGAGAGGCAGCCCTCTTGACACTTTCTTCTGTGGCTCCATTAGCTGCTTCCATCTCACCACTAAGGATGTGGAAGGAGCCATGGAAACTCTCATCCTGGAGCCCACAGGTCCCTTCCTAGGCCTGGCTCACTGTAAAGTATGGGGGTACCATGATTACAAAAGGGGTGTGCTTCTGAGGCCAGGTAGATTTGGTGCCTTCTAGAACTCTATGTGCTCTCACACAGGTGATGAGATACCTGCTGCTTTTCAGAGAACTTGATTGCAATGGCTGGGTGGGAGAGGTATGAACAGAGATGGGTTCGCCCTGGGGGAGAGAATGGACAGAAGTGGGTTCACCCAAGGACCAAGATGGGCTGGCCCTGGAAGAGTGCAGACAGATAAGAGAAGGGCTCCACATGGGGTTTTAGGCCCACAAGGTCTCATGACCTGCCAGGGCCTGGGGCCAGGGACCACTAGGGCTCATGTCCAACTGTGCAGCTGCTCCTGGGGGCCCTTGGCCACTGGCAACCCCTAAGCCACCTCCCCATGATGCGTGGCCTACCCCCCATCCTTTCTTTCTTTCTTTTCTCCCACCACCACAAATTTGCAGTGGAGCTTCCTATATTTGGGAAAATGGCGGGGGTCAGCACAGTCAGAGGGCTAATCCTCGTCCTGGGAAAACCATGGTATCTCCCCTGCCAGGAAAATATTGCTCACTCTTAACTGTCATGGTACACGCAGCAGCCAGGCAGCTGACATAAAGCCACTCTGGTGTCTGCGTCCTCTTGGGGTCTTAGGATTCTCACAGGAACTCACTCTAGCCAAAGTTTTAGCACAACATTTCAGAAGCGGCTATTTTCTGGCCTGGCAGATATGATCCGTGCAGTGTTTTTTTCTAACCATTTTAAGCTCATGGAATGTTTCAGGATGGCCCACTGTGATGATGACTGATGGCTAGTCACTTTTGTAATGGAAACTGGGTCCCCTGTGCACTGGCTTAGCCCCATTAACATTTCTCAACCCTCCGTTGGATAGATTACTGACTCTTTTCATAAGCTTTCTGACCTTGTCTTAAGCTTTACAATCCACGGTGATGAATTTATAGAGTGATTGTGACTATGTATGAGTAGTGTAACAGAGATAAATGGGCATTTGATGTTGACAAAGCGGAGAAAAAAATATTGTTCTCCACACCTTTTGTTAGCAAACACATGATTCACTAGAACTCTTTTTTAGTGATTTATCTATAAATCTTCTTTTCTCACTTAATAAAATGCCTCCCATTGCTCTTCCGAGGCTGACACCATGGCTTTGTAATATATTATTAAAGCCATGTCACGCTCAAGAGGCAGTGAGCTTGGCTTCACAGCAGTGTTATTTTACCTTCTGTTTCTAAAAATGATCAAACAGTTCCAAGGACGTATTAGCTGCTTCTGTATTATTCCCAACAACTTCCTTTGTAAGCAACCAGACCTACCTAATGCTTTGGAAGTGGGTATTTTTCTTTCATAAAGTTCTTATATATTTTCTATGAAGTTTGGGGAAAACTATGAAAAATGAACCACAGGAGTTGAGAAAATAGTTGTTTTTCTTAAAATTATATTCAGAAGAATCATTTTATACAATGTTCTGGACCTAACAGGTTGAATATTATTACTATTATCCTGCGACTCTTTTGCTGGCACACTTGAAAAAGCCATATTCTCTTTTTTAGGGTCCAAAATTAAAGGTATGTTATTTTAATTTCATTTTATTTATTTATTTTTACTTATTCATTTACTTACGTATTTTGAGACAGGGTCTCCTGTTTCTCAGGCTGGAGTGCAGTGGCTCGATTACGGCTCACTGCAGCCTCAACCTCCCAGGCTCAATTGATTCTCCCACATTAGCTTCCTGAGTAGCTGAGACTATGGGCGTGTGCCCCTATCCCCAGCTAATTTTGTATTTCTTGTGGAAAGAGAGTTTCACCATCTTGCCCAGGCTGGTCTCAAACTCTTGGGTTCAAGCCATCAGCCCACCTCAGCCTCCCAAAGGAATCAACACTTTTTTGAAGATCTTCAGGGGTTTCTTACATGCAGCTAAGTTGGACCCACTGAAAAAGGTTTTGAGAGATGCTTAGAGTTTGGGCTCTTGGAGATGTGGAGAAATAGCCATCCAGGGAGGGTGGCAGCAACTCTGAGTTAGGTTTCACAAGAGATTTGGTCAACTTGGGCTGTGTTGTGTGAGGATGATCAGTAAGTAGCAAACAAGGCTAAAAAGAGAGTTTAAAGCCAGATGAGGTTAATATAAAGTCCCTATTAACAATTTTGATGTTTTGTTTCATAAGCAGAAAATATATTCTACATTTTTACATTGGCTAGATGACATAATTAGAGCAGATCCTCAGGAAGATAAATCTGGCAGTAATGAGTTGGATGGAACAGGGAGAAAATAGGTTGGAAATAGGGCCATCAGCTGGGAGACTGCAAAAGTTCATGCAAGTGGTAATGAGGACCTGACCTCAGAAAATAAGGGTTTCATTAGAAAGAAGGAGGCAGGGACATGAGACTTTCTGGTAAACTGGATTGAATAATTCCAGGTAAATTCAAAAATGATATGCAGAAAATAATGAAGAAATTTAAACCATTCTGTCATGCAATGTAAACATGTCATTCGCTCAAAGCCTGTTATCCTAATATTACATGACAGTGTCCTCTGGGTTATTTTCCATTACAAGAAGTTACAGTAGCTGATAAGCCTGTGACTAATTTAAAATATAATTGTTGTTCTGTCTTTCTGCAACACAGTTTGAGTTTCGATCCTTTAAGTAAACAATATAAACAATTATAGTCAAGTTCAATATTAGGAGCCTGATTCCTAGAAACAGAAAAAGGGCTTGAGAAATGTTTCTAGCTATAAAGCAAATTTGATCTTCAAATTGTCATTTTCCATCTATGGTGGCGCAGTCATTGTGAGTGAAGACCTTGTCCCAGGTCCTAGAATGAGTGAGGTTTTCAGATACTGACACAAGTGGAGGATATAAATTAAACAATGAAGACATGTTGGGGACCACCAGGTTAATAGATCACTAGAAATTCATTTGGAGAAGAAATTTCATAAATTTTAGACTGTTAGCCCTGGAAGAGGTTTAAAGATCACTTAGTTAAGTGTATGAGTTTTAGAGTCAAGCCGAAGTGGGTTTCAATTCACAGCTCCTTCTTGTACTAGATGTGTGGCCTTTATTTCACTAGTAGTCATTTTGGTGAGAAGTTTCTCCATGTTACAGATGGAGACACCCCCAGCTCACAGAATCATGGCAATAATTAAATAAATTAATGGTTGCGAGGTGCTTAGCCCAGTATGTAGCAAACACTCAGCATACAACAGCTGTTATTAGAAGTAAGATGAATGCTATGATTCAGGTCTCCTGAACGCGGACTGAGTCCCCCTCCACAGAGTCATGCCCTCTCCTCTTATATTCCCACTTTAAAGTATTCAAGTATTAAAAGTAATGGCAAAAACTGCAATTACATTTGCACCAACCTAATACCTATTCCAGAAGACTTCCATCAATTTTGACATTTATGTTGACATCAGTCTGTGTATCAAATTGTTTCCATCACTGCTAAAACAGGCTATTAAAGTCAACGCTACATAATCAATCATTTAAACAAATATATTGAGTACCTACTCAATGAAAGGAATATGCTTTTTATGATAAATGACGTGCCATCATTAAAAACTTAATTATTACCTATTTCTCCACAAAATATTAATCATCATTGTTATTTTTAACCAGAACTAAGAGGCACTGTTCTGTAATGAAGTGCTCTGGGATTTGAGGTGTGGGTAGAAGTCAGCCCCTCGGGCAAGGACACTATTTGCTGCTATCAGGATTCAGCTGTGGTTTCGATGGAATCATTCAGGTTATTTAGAATAGGTCTTCAGAAACATGCAATTTATTTAAATATCTGAAATTAGTATCTGATTATACACAACTATCACTAATAAGTGATAGAAACAATACAATATCAAAGCAAACTAAGAACTGCATGGGAAGAGGAGGGGAAGAATGTCATGTCAGCAGAATGGCCAGTCGGGGCTGGACTTTGGAGATCACTGCCTTTCATCCTTGTACAATGTGAGGGAGTGAGTGCTGATATTTTTATTGACATTTCTTCAAGGAGAAAACTAATACTCAGATGGAAACTTGCCAGTCTCACAGATAATAAGTGGTAGGTTGGGATTTGAATTCAGATTCATTTGACTCTAAAACATCTATTCTTTGTGTGTTGTATAAACCTTATTATTACAAGATAAAACACAGAGAAAATGATACATAAAGAATTCATCGCTGCTTAAAATTTTATAAGGTGAATACTTTTGCACCCACCACTCAGGTTAAGAAATAGAAGTTTGCCCTATGCTCTAGAAGACCTCCATCTTCAAAAGTAAGCACTATCCTGACATTGATAGTAATCACTCTTTGGATTTCCCTTCCTCCCTCCGTCCCTACCTCCCTCCGTCCCTCCCTCCCTCCGTCCCTCCCTCCCTCCGTCCCTCCCTCCCTTCCTTTCTGCCTTTTTTTTCTTTTTATTCTGAGATAGAGTCTGTCTCTGTTACCCAGGCTGGAGTACAGTGGTACCATTCAATCTCGGCTCACTGCAAACTCTGCCTCCCTGGTTCAAGTGGTTCTCGTGCCTCAGCCTCCTGAGTAGATTTCTGTATGACCTAATTAGCCAAAAGAACATCCCTAAAGAATTGTCCAGTTTTTTTCTTTTAATTTTTAAGCTCCATGTCTTTAAGGTCTCATCTAATATACAGAATCCCTTTTCCTTTCTTTAGCATTTACCTGCTGATGCACCTAGGCTGTTAATCTGTCGTGTTTCCATCAGTCTGGATTTTCTTTTTGCATACTTATGGTGCTTTCAGACTGCTGCTCTGACCTTTCTTTTCTGTCAGTTGGCCACTGAATCCAGAGGCTTGATCAGACTCGGATTGGATCCCTTGGGCAAGGCGTTAGGAGAGTGTATTTTTTCATCAGGATGCTTGTAGTATCTGGGTATTACTTTTATTTCCACATCTATTGATGCTCAATGCCTATGTTATTAATTCACTGGAGGTTACACACAGTGATATTTTATCATTCTTTTTCACTTATTCCCCAAAATAATTTTAAAAGGAGACACCTGCTTTGTATGTGGTTATTCAGTATTATAGTTTATATAGAAAAGGAACAATGAATGCTTGACTTTTTCTTTCATTTATCTAGTTTTAAAATATATTTAATGTTTCAATCAATTGTAATTCTTGTTCCCATTGAAGCTCAAATTGCCTATTCTGCAATCTTGTTGTATCTGGTTTGACGAGATGTTACACACTCTTCCTGTGTGTTTCTCAATATCTGGAATCTGCAATTTCTCAAAGAAGTTCTATTTCTTTTAGTGGGACATGGTATTTCAAGACTGCAGCGTGGGTCTAGAGATGTGAATTACTGCTGGATAGATTATTGTTTCTAAGTGTTTTTAGTGTACAGAAATTGGACATAGTTAAAATAACCTGTGATTCAATAATGATACATCTAATTCAAATGCACAGGGCTGGCGCTTAATTTCTTCTGTTTTACATCTCTATTCCTTATTTTTCACACTGAAAATCTTAATTTTTCAGGTCATAAGAGGACAAAATTATAATGTGCTATGACTGCTTATTTACTCACATTATATACATACAAGTTTCAGAACAATACTATTATTACATTATCACTGATAATGACTACTCAAAATAGATTTATATATTTTATATGCTATTTCATTATCCCCCAACCATATTTAATGGTTATACTATATCTACATCATAATATCATAGTTTCACTGTAATCTATAATCCTTCAGTTTTAACCTCATTCTGTATTGATTATATAAGTAATTATGTAGACCACCAGTCCTTGTGTTGGTGTTTTCTTTACAAGTGTGGTTGCCTAAAACTTGTTTTCTAGTAGATTTCTTAGAAACTGCTCATGAGGAAAAATACTTTTGAATTACTACAAGTTGTATGTGCCACTTGAAATAAAGGGCAATGTCTTATGGATATAAAATAAGTGGTTCATGTTTTCCTTTCTTGAGTATCTGAATTATTTTACCTCACTTTTCTCTGGAATAACATATTGTTGTAAAAAAGAAAAGGCTGATGAAGATATAATTATTTGTCACTTATAAATCACTGCTCTTTTTGTCTGGATTCCAAAAGAATTTTTAAATTTTATCTTTAATTTCAGACAGCTTTTCTATTTTTTTCCCAGAGACTTTTATTATCTGTAGGTTGGATCTTCTTTACCAGTCTTCAATATTTGCCACTCTATCTAGACTCTTTTTTTAAAAAATTTCCTTTGTCTTTATCTTCTCCTCTTAGCACATTTTCTGATATATTTATTTTAATTTTTGTGTTCCTCCTAGTCCTCACTTCTAAAATATATTTCGTGTTTCTAATTTTAGCCTTTCTAATATGTATTATTTCTAATTCTGATGTATATCGTTCTTCCATGTCATGTGTCATTTTATTAACTATTTTAATCTAATTTTTAATTATGCATTACAGTTTTGATTAGCTTTTGAGTAACTTTTCTTGGTTTGTTTTTATTGTTTATAAGGAGAATATTCTGCTCTTAGTTATCTTTTTCTAAGCAACTTCTTTCGGAGTTTTATCTAAATGTTTTTATTTAACTTTTTAATGTGAACTTAGTTTTTCTTAACTTTTTTTAGTGGGATGCTGACGTCAAAGTTCGAATAAGTTTTATAATTTCACTGATCTTTTTGTTTTTAAGATAGTGTTTAAAAATATGCAATTTTTTCTTCTCATGTTTCTAGACCCTGTCAAACTTTACTTCTGACATTTGTTTTTATTAACTTCTGTTTTCCTTATTCTGTTTCAATCTGAATTCACTTCCTACAGTTTCTCTTCACTGTGGATTCCTGTCCTGTCCTGGGAAACCCTGCCAGCATGTTTTCAAGAATATACTTGGTCTCTGCCCCTTAAGACTTTACTCTAGGACTCTTTCATTTACCTGTCTTTGGGAAAGGAAATCTCTCTCCCCCCACTTTTTTTTTTTTTTTTTTTTTTTTTGCTGCTGTTCTCAGATTGGCCTGCTTTTGCTTCCCAATGATATTTATCGGTCATTCAAGGATTCTCTTTTTCCATGGTCTATCTGGGATCCTGCTACTTCTCTGTTTTCCTTCACTGAGATCCTGCTAACATGCAGGGCTTTGATGGTTTATCCCTACCCACTTGCATTTTGGGGTTTCGGTGGATATCTTTGCTTTTAGTTTCAATGAAAATGTTGGTCCTGGGTGTGACTTTGGTACCAGTCCCTCTTTCATTTTATATATAGGGTTTTAGGAGGAGCCAGAGTCTGCATTTTTACTGCTGCCTCCATATTCTTAGAATTCAATTTTCTAAAACTTGGGCTTTTACAATCAAAATGTTACCTTCTTATATAAACAAAATAAAAATAACAGCTCAGATATTTATTGTATGTGTAACTGAATTGGAATGTGAAAAATAAATTTAGGAAATGACATAACGAAGTAAGTTATAATCACCTGGATGCCCCTGATGATCCACACCCATTTTTGCTAGCTAAGGAAAGAACTTCTTCACTGGGCAAGGTGGTACAGTGGAAAGTGTATGATTTTGAAGCCAGAGAGACTGAAGTTTAATTCTTTATTATGATCATTATTTGTTATTATTATTTTGAGATGGAGTCTCACTCGATCACCCAGGCTGGAGTACTGTGGTGCAATTTTGGCTCACAGCAACCTCTGCCTCTCGGGTTCAAGAGATTTCTCTGCTTCAGCCTCCCAAGTAGCTGGGATTACAGGCACACACCACCATGTTGGGCTAATTTATTTTATTTTTAGTAGAGACAGGGTTTCACCATGGGGGCCAGGCTGGTCTTGAACTCCTGACCTCAAGTGATCCACCCACGTTGGCCTCCCAAAGCCCTGGGATTACAGGTGTGAGCCACTGCACCCGGCCTGAAGTTTAATTCTTAATCTGTTATTTAATACCTGTAAAATTACAGGCAAGATATTTAAGCTTTAAATGGATTAATTTTCTTACTTGTGAAATGCAGACACCTACACGTAGCACATTTTGAATAAATTTTTGTTTCTTTCCCCAAACCCTTTACTCTCCAACGCTATGTAAAGATTGAAGCTTTAGCAGATTGAACATTTTGTTTTTAAAGAATTATTTGCTTTACTTTTTGTTTTTTAGTTGGGTTATTTTTCCTCTTTTTCCCTGGTATCAGTTTTGATTTGTCCCTACTTTCTCAATTTAGGAAAATATAAGAAAGGAAGAAAATTAATGCAAAATTTGAAAAGCTATTGCGTAAATTTAAGTGCGCTTCACAGAAGTGTCTCTTTGCACAGACCAGGGCAAACCCGGAAAATGGATTTTCTTTTTTTGTTTTCTCCTTATGCAGATCGCCATATAACGAATTACAAACAATTCAACTTCTGTGAACTGCCAGAACTGGGGGTTGGAGATGCTCAGAAGATAGGCAGCCATGATTAAAAAGATTTGTCAAACACTAACTTTGAACATGCTGTGGTTTGATTTTTTTTAATGCAACTATGAGCAGAAAATAGCATTTTCTCACTCAGTGAAGTCACACGTCTCTTTGTCAATGGAATAGTTGATAAATCAGTGAACACAAAATTAAATGTAAATTGAGCTTTCCATCTGGCCACCGTGACACTCTAATTCAAGCCAAACAACTTGTCTTTAAGGAAGTCTTTCTCTGAAGTACACTAGATTAACAACATTTTTCAGAGTTCTTCCATAGTTCAAGAGAGTATTTTAGGACATTTGAGAAAAAAAAAAATCTAGATAGGACAAAAGAAGAATCTGAAAAGGAAATATCTAGTAACCTTTACTCTGAGACATACAGTGTATTTGTGTTTAAAGAATATGAATAATTCTCCATTACCCATAATATTATTTTTTGCAGTGTTTTTATTTTCCTTATATACAGGCTCTTTTCCCTCCCAGCTTTATTGAAGTAAAATTGACAGATTAAAACTGCTTATATTCAAGATGTACAAGGTGTTGATTTGCTATACACATACATTGTGTAATGATTACCACAATCAAATTAATTAAAACTTCCTTTAGCACACAGCCACTACCTTGTGTGCGTGTGTGTTGTGAACACTTAAGATTTGCTCTGTTAGCAAATTTTAACTAAGAAATACAGTATTATTAACTAAGGTCACTACATTAAGTATGGCTTGTAGGTTTCCAGAGAGAAGACTAAAATGCAACCTTTGTGAAGTAATAAGGAAGTTCTCAGACAATAATTATTTCCATGTACAGTTCTAGAGAAGAGATGGACCGATTTGCGTAAGATGTTCTTTTTTGAAACAGAAGAATGCAAAACCAGCACGAGTTAGAGTCTATAAAATCACACGTGAACGTAGAGTTAGGTTCCAAGATATTTACTAGGGATGAATACTTCTAACAGGAAAGGGAAGAAAAAGAATGGGAAGAGGAAGAATGTGAACTTCTATGCCAACCTGAAATTTCACATTTGTGTTATCAGAAATGTCCTGACCTTTTGTTTCATTCAGTTACCAAATACGGACTGCGACGGGAAAGTGTGACTTTGGGCAAGGTGGCTGTCTGCCGCTAAGGAAGATTCTGAAGGTGCCAAAGCTGCTGGCTGCCTTCTGACTGCACTCCTGTAGTGGGCAAGCAAGTCCTTCCTCAAAAGGGGATCTGTCTTTGCATTTCCATGTTTGCCACAAAAATATCAAATAGTATCACTTGAAATTTGTGAATTGTAAATCCTGACCTAGTGGACATTGTTGAGCAGACCCCAGATTATTATTCTTGTAATAATTAGGGTTTTGTTATGGAAAGGATGGCCAGGACCCCAGAGGAAAACACAAAGAAATAAGGGAGACTCTGGGCTGAGGGACCAAGGTTATTACAGATAGGCTGGGGTTTTGTTTTTGGTAAAGGAGAACTGTTTCTGGTTACACTTATTGGCACATAAAGTTTTTTAAACACAATCAACTGTCAACTATTCTTTATACTATTGTTTTCCTGATTTTAATTTATGTCTCATGTTTAAAATAAATGCATTTTAGCATCAACTTTTCCTAATATTGAAATATTTAGAAATATAATAATATAATTTTTATATTATAATAATCATATTTAGCATTCATACTAAATAATCATATTTACTTTTCCTTTTCTATGCTAAACCTATTGTAATAGTGCAAATTCTGCCAGGCATTGTGTGACAAAGTGCAGTGACACTATCGGTGTCATTGAATTACAGCATAATAAATGAAAGTACAGTTGACCCTTGAACAATGCAGGGTTAGAGGCACTGACCCCTGAACAGTCAAATATCTGTACATAACTTTTGACTACCCCCAAACTTAACAACTAATAGCCTACTGTTGGCCAGAAGCTTTACCAAGAATAAAAATAGGGGATTAACACATATTTTATAGTTACATGTATTCTTACAATAAAGTAAACAAGAAAACAATGTTTTTATGAAAGTCATAAGAGAAAATATGTTTACTACTCAATACATAGAAGTGGATCATTGTAATGGTCTTCATCTTCATGGTGGTCATGTTGAATAGACTGAGAAGGAGGAGGAAGAGGAGGTCTTGGTCTTTCTGTCTTAGGCGTAGCAGAGGCAGATGAAAATCTGCATATAAGTGGATCCATACAGTTCAAACCTATATTGTTCAAGTGTCAACCATACATATTCCAACTTTGGAAGCAATAGCTCTGTATTTTATGAATGAACTTAAGACCTTGGAGAACAATGGTAGTGGCCCATGACTGCATGTACAAGGACCTGGACCAGTGCCCTGCAGTGAATGAGTATCCAGGGGAGAGGACAAGGCTTTAACATCAGTGTGGTTTGTCTGAGAATAGCAAAAACAGTAAAAGGTAACTCAGCCAACACTTCTCTTTCTGTTCCTAGAATTGGAAAGAGGGATGGATCCTTTTGGACTGAGCAAACCCCTGAGATTTTCTGGGCAATTAAAGTGTGTGTGTGAAGAGGTCATCAGGGAAGGAAATATAACTTTTGCTACTAAGGGAAGTTGGTATTCAAACTATAAATTGGATAAATTAAAGAAGTGTATCCATATTTATACAATGAGACTGTGAAGTAGATCACAGCAATTACATATTTAAAGGAGGATGAAAAGTATAGTTAAAGGGTGATTCTTCATCTTCTTCAGAGAAGATACCGTGTTTCAGTTTCCATCTGATTACTTTATATTGGTATACCTTTGGGTAAGTCCCTTTATCTTTTCAGAACTACAGTTTCTGTGCCAAAATAAAACCAAACCACAAAAAAACAGAAGTAGTTGAAGTAGAACTCCTGAATTCTTTCCAATGTTTTAATGTCTGTAGCTCTTTAAAAATTCTGCTAATAATATCCATATATGATTTTAGTCTCCTGTAGGGTGAGAAAATGGACATTTTTTTATTTCTGTAAAAATTAGGAATAAACAAATAAATCTTCCCCAATTCTGCCTTCAATTCCCTGAAACACTGACATAAAATGTGTATAAAAAAGACCATCCTTTAAATCTGTTTTGTCAATTATTTTGCTGTCGTAGGACCAGAACTCTAACAACAGTTAAATGGCAAAGTTGAAATTCAAAACAACAACATACGACAAACAATAAAGCTCACAGGCCCTCATCCCAGAAATCAAACAGATCAGCTTTTTAATCTAGGCAACCGTCAGGTATTTTTAACTGAATGTTGAATAAAGGGAACCCCTCAAAATTCACAGTTACCATCTCTTGTTCACCAAATTTACCAAAGGGAGAATTTTAGGGCTCAGCATTGCATCACTTTTCCATTAAACTTCTAACAGCACCTGTAGTATCAAATCCCCTTTATTCTCTCTCCGCCACGAGTGATTAGTGTTTTCCTGCATTCAACAAATTCCTTGTGACCTTTACCCCATATTTCAGTGTCATTCCTCTCTCAAATGCAACTAGGATATTCTCTTCTAGCACATTTTGATGGACAAGGCAATCCATTCTGTTGTCTAACCTCTATATCAAAGTGACAAAAGATTCAGTGGTTTAACAGCTGGAGAAATTTTCATTACATGAATGAGATTTAGATAACACTTCCATTAACAGTACTTAAGATCAATGTCCCTAAACTACCATTCCCAAATCAAGAGTTTATTGTGTGTTTTAACACTTTAGAGCCACAAAGTGTTTTCTTACTCAAACTGCCTGTAATACAATTTGGGATGAAAGTTATTTAAATAATGTTGAGATCATATATTGTGAACCTCCAGCAAATAGCAGAAGATGCCCTCACCCTCCACTGAAATTATAAAATGAAATAAATACAGTAAAGGTCTTTAAAGGGTGCTCTACGCAAAGGGTGCTCTGTGCAGTTATGCAGCTACCCTAGCTCCCACCTGGTGTTTATGGAATCCACTGTTGGCTTAAAGAAGTGACTTTGATACAGGAGTTAAGAAGAAATTACTTAGGCAGATAGTGAGGGTATGGAAGTCCTTGGTAAGGTTTTCTTTTTAATGAAAAGCAGCCCCAAATTATTTTTCTGTCTAACAAAGGCAGCCTGTAAAATTGAGCTGCAGACATAGATGCTGGCAGTAGTACCAATCATGTTCAAGATGGAGGCTCCATCTTCCCTTCTCTTTGTCACCATGTGTACGGTAAGGCGCAGACAAGATGGCCTGGCTAAGGGAAAGTTCATTTGCATAATAAGATTAGGGTGGGTTGACCAGCCTTCCCTGTGCACTATGTAAATGTCACACCTGATGGAACCAATCTGTGAGCCCAACATAAATCAGACACCGCCTCCTCAAGCTGGACTATAAAATCCGGCGCGTTAGTCACCAGCCAGTGTTTTCCTCTGGGAAGTCCCATCTCTCTCACTAGAGAGAAAGTTGTTTTCCTTTCTATTTCTTTCTCTTTTCTTTGCCTATTAAACCTCCACTCCTAAACTCCTCCTGTGTGTCCTTGTCCTAAATTTTCCTGGTGAGAGACAACGAAACCCGGGTATTTACCCCAGACAACGAGCTGCTTCAACTTGTTCAGTTGAACCATTCTCAGACACTTAGTCTACCAGTCTAATCCCTCTTCTCACTCACCACTCTTTCAAGTAAAAAAAAAAACTAAGCCAGAATTATGACTTCGTTTTAAAATTTTGTCTTCTGACATAGCTCTTCAATAACTCCCATTCACCGAATAAAAATAATTCCTTTAATTTTGAAATTAATATTTCTGTGAATAGATTGTAAATGAGTAGTAGTCCTCAAATGAGTCTGGGACAGATTTTGGCATATAATGGACAATCCTTATTTACTTGTGAAATTGTTAGGATGAAATGCAACTGGTTTTGTGGTAAGTACAAGAAATTAGTGATAGGGTGATACTGGTTTTTGAATTAATTGTCTCAAAGTTTTGTTTTTATAGAATTTAGGATATACCTTCATTTTTGCTTAATTGCTTGAGTAATATGTATGCCAAGATAAATTTTGATTTCACTGATTCTCTTTATTTTAGCTGATATAAAACAAAGTAACTGACAGTAATTTTAAGTCAAACTTCAAGGATTATTAAGACCAGTGGTTACTAATATTATAGAAAGACTACCTAGGAATATCCAACCTAAGACACTCCCATGAAATATATGGAATATTTTGATGTCAAGAAAAAACATTTTCTAAGTTTCCAACATGTTCCCACCTTCAGCAGTAGGAACTCATTTATAGTAGCTGTGAGATATGGGCCTGGAGATCACTCCACTCACCAAATGGGTAAAGTAAGGCAATGGAATGAAGAGTAAAAATCCACTGACAAGTCTTAAAATATATTGAAAAAAATTAGGAATTTGCATAGTTGGAGCACCTGATGGATTCTAAAAAAAGAAGCAGAGGGAGGCATTAGAAAAACATGACTTTATATGCTAATAAAAGGAAGATTAGTTTCTGGGGATACTAGGAAAGAGGGTATATTTCCAATTTTTTTTGGATTGCTTTTACAAACAGTTGATGTAATCTTTATGGCATAAATGTAGACTGTAACTTCAGGTAAAGTTGCATGGAAAAAAAGAAAGGCAGTTGTGTTTCTACTGTCTCCTACTACCTTATACCAAAACTTACCACTTAGTTGTAATATGTGTTTGGTCAAAGGTATGTCTCATGTGTAGAGTTTGACATAGGGTGGAGAGAAATTTGTTGCTCCTTTGTCAGTTAATGAAGTAACTCTCTGGAATTTCCTACACAAATATATGGAGTTACTTCTTAACCCTACTACTTTCAGCACTCTGTGCACATTTGTTATGTTTTTCTAGATTGGATAATTAAACTTTTGTTGTTATTTGATGGAGATAGTAGTCCAATAAAATCAAACCAGAAGAAGCCAACAATTGAAATTTGCTTTAATTTCGTTATTTTTTAAAGTGAGACAATTTGCCAGATGATTTTGATCATAATTTATACTGGAGAACACATTTCCTGTTTTACATCCAGATATAAATATTGGATCATGTTCGCTATTTCAGTCTTTTTCCTTGTGCTGTACAGGCTGCATTTGGTATTCATTTCAGATTCACCTGCTAGACAATCATTTCCCTTTCCCTTACCCTGCAAAATGAATCTTCAAACAGATGGTATGCATGGAAACGAATCTGATACAATACTCTCAGCAATACCACTAAAAAATCACCTGAAAAATATTGTCTCATGTCTCTAGAGTTCCCATTTTAGCAATTATCTAAAATAGTAAACTCATACCAAATACTATATTTTAATTATGACTAAAAGATTTGGAAGATTCTTAGTGAATGCGTATGTAAAGGAAGCTAACAAAGAAATTCACTTTTCCATGTTATATAAAATTTATACCAAATAAATCCTCTGATTCTGCACATTCAGTTTTCTAACTGGCTGTAAGGTATCAGATTTTACCTCTTCCCTGCATCTCTTTACTAGAAGCTGAATATTAGAAAAATAAGCTTAGGCCAATAACGACAATTATTTAGAAAGCTGATTTTTAATTCTGAAAACTATATTTTTTAAAAAGAATAAAATAAACTAGGAAGAAAACTATTTCTAATTTGTCTTAGAAGTGTGAATCATTGACTGATGTTTCTTCTCTAGCTATCCTTAGAAATGCCAAACTCTACATCACTATATCATTACCTAGTGACCTAGATCTATGAGAAGACGTAAGACTAACATGAGCTAATTTCTCTACTTAAAGGGGAGAGGGTAAGCATATGTTTTTGCATTTTTGGCACAGAAAGGTGATGCTGGAAAGCTCTGGTTTTCAGACATTTTCCAAGCAACTTCTCTGCAGCTCCCAATCTGCATGTTTCTACTGTGTGTGTCTCCCTGGTGTGAAATTGATTAGGAGCAGCATGAATCTGTCACTGAGAGTTACAGTGACTGGGATTTAGGGGGACTTCAGCCTATTTTTGTTGATGCTCTACTGTGCCCACACACCCCTTCAAATATGACCCGGGTCTGAAAATGATGTGGTTTGATGTGTCACGATCCTCATGGACAGATGTTTCTTTTTGAGGAAATATGAAGACAATTTTGACCCCCTTGTTATTCTCCAACAAAGAATGAACAGGTCAGAAGATTAACATGCTTCTCAATATGATAGTAAATATCTGCAGAACTATATCTGAAGGAATAACAGAAAATGTAAGAAAACTACTCATCAACAACTTAAGTGGTCAGAGCCATGTCTTTTATTCGCACAACACTAATCCTTTTTAAAACACATCATACTTCAAATTCCTTGAATTTAGGAGCCTTTAAGTATTTCTTCTATCATGTATTATTGTTTATTTGTAAGAATATATGCCGGTGCTTCATGGTAAAGTGGTGAATTAGTTTATATTGCAGTGGCATTGACATCTATTATTGAAAAGCAGTAGATTGTACATTCTAATAGTATCTTCTTGCAACCAAACAAAAATACCCAAATATTCAAATTTAGTTTGATAGTAAATGTACATTAAATTCATATGATTTGGTTAAATAAAATGATTTAATGTCTTCTTAAACATAGGACATGGTAGTATGGTTAGTTTTAGCTAGGAGTTCAAGGAATAGAACAGATTCTTTTACTTTGGAGTAGCCAAAAATACTGAAATGCCATTCTGTATCTTGAGAAAAGGAACTGTTGCATGTTATTTGAAAATAAAAAAGGAGAATAGCCATAATTCATACCTCTTATCCATTAGTGATTTTGTGCATATTAAACCCAATTCAATCAGAGTCTCTGGGTTGGGGTCTGAACATTAATATCCTCTGACAGCTAATCAACCAGGATTCAGAACCATTGATGTAGCTCAAATAACATTTTCTTCTTTTTGCCCCCACTTTTTTTGCTCACTCCTTCAGACTTCACACTGACATAACTTAGCTTCCCCTCTGTGATAATCACATTTTGCAGACAAATCATTTCTGTGGTATTTCTATGACACTGTATTAGAATTGTTTATGCACATGTCATCTTTCTCTTGCTGGACCATAAGGTCATTCAGGTCACAGATAGTCGTTGTTTGTATCTGACATGATATGTTTGCAGATACAATGATTTAGGCACACAAAGGAACAATTATGCATATTAAAATTTATGGAAATCTAATTACATGGTTTAAAAAACGGTGGTTTTAGTTGATGGGAATAGGTTTTTGATAATGAGAAGCTGGTAACTGTGAAAGGAAGACAGGACGTGGTGGAATTACTTTTGCTTACTCGTGATAGTTTTGTCTCAAAGGTTATGGCACTGAAAGTCAGGAAATACTCAGCTAGGCTAAACAGGGTGCCATTCGAATTTACAGATGTCCTATGCAAGAGTGTAAAACAAGAGCCTGCTGTCTAACTTACCTCTTACCTTCATAAAGAGTGGGTGTGGTATGCAGTCAAATGAAGGAGAGAAAAACAATGGGTAAGAGCAAAGACTGGGAAACAATAAAAACGTGCTCAGAGGTCAGACTCTCCAAACACTCCAGTTACTTAGTACTCCATCTTGAAAACTCTGCTCTCCAAGCAAAACCCTCTAGTAACAAACACAAATATAATTCCATCTTCTATTGTCTGCAAGTTCAGAGAAAAGAGCAATGGTGGTGTGAATGTATGTGACTGCTTTCTGGTTCCAGGTGAGAGGAGGGAGATACCTCACCCTGGAAGTATGTTGGAAGTTGTTCTTCATCCTTAGAAGGATGACCAGTTCAGGCACAGCCAGGCCTCATGGGAAATGGAATGGGGGAGATGGTGACATGGGTGCAGATGTCAAGTCTTGTAAAATCAGTTCTGCACAGAAAATTTGCAACATGGGATTATTTCCTATACCGACATTTTCTCTCTACATGGCACCCTCCAGGCGTTCCAAGTGCCTCTTTCCCTCATGCCCCAGATTCTAGTTTCTTATCCAGCTATGAAATTCTCTATTCCAGCAGAGAACAATACTGATCTTGCTGATATCACACAGACCTCTACATCATATGTAGAGGAGCACAGAACTCATAAAATTCTCATTTTCATTAGAAAAAAACAGAAACATGATATAGCACCATTTTTCCTTGCACTGGTTATATCCCATAGATTGCTGTTAATAATACTTTAATGTAGGAGCATTTGCAAGCATGAAGTTTTGTTTTTTTTCTTTTTTCCTCCTCAGCACCTGGTTGTCATTTACTATGTACGTGTAATCTTGGGGAGGTAGAGAGTGGTAATTCACATAAAAGAAATCCTTCAGAATAAGTTAAAATAACTTAATGCTTCATCAGAACTCCAAAGGAAGAGCTTGGTACAGAAAGACCATAGAATACTGCCCCTGTTTTTATTAAGAAATATAGAAAAAGAGCATTAGCAGAAGTGATTTTATGGTATTTTTATGTTAGGCAAATTTTTCTCCAATTTACCATTTAGTCTACAAAGCAATATATTTTATTAAGGTGAACATTCTTTAAATATAATTCTAAACTAAACTCTTTTATTCCTGTAGATGGTTAAAAAAAAGAATTTATATATGTTAGGAGTAAAAAGTGGTTCTTAGAAGATAAACATGGAGGTTTTAATTAATTTAGGAGAAAAGCATATGGTTAATAATTTACTGTAATTATATGGTTTTTGGTTTCCTGAATCCTGTCTTCCACCATTTCAATAAAAAGCAGAATTAATCATAAGGAAAAAATATAATGGTTTCTTGCATTTCCATAGCTAATCTCATCTGTTATCCAAAACCTAGCTTTTATGACCCAGAGCAATAATTTTTATCTACTACAGAAGCTCTAACTATGGATTAACATTGATTTTTTTCCCTTTTTCTCAACTTCCATAGGCCCAGGAAAGTTTATAGCATCAGGAGTTCATGTTCCTTTACTGTACTCTTAAAGTTTCTGTATACTCTGATTATAATTTAGACAGTTATTTACCATGAGCTACTGCCATTTCATATCAGGCAAATGTTCCATTTTTCAGAATATGAGTCTATAAATTTATTTCTACTTTCACTCTTTAACAATAATTTGGAGCTTACATTCTAAATTATAATATTTCTGTGGTTTCTTTATTCCTCCTCATCCTCTTGATTGTCTAAAAGTACGACTATGTCAAGAATATGCCAAAGTACATCGAATGCCTGGACTGTCTTTTCCTTTTTCTTTTCATTCAAAAGAATTGAATTTCCTGGGTGCGTTCCTGATGGGGTGGCTGTGTGTTCCTTTTGCTCCATTACATTCTCTCATTCTCACTCGTATGTTCTCATTTTCCTTCTCTTTCTCCAGCATATTTAGTAGCCAGTTTTTCAGGTGAAAGATGTTCCATTAGCTTCAGAAAATATTCAAATCGGACCGTGGTCACTGTAGTCAGTATATTTCATTTGCTTCCTTTCTCAACCCAGTTAGTTTTGCCTCCATGTCTTTTCTTCAGCTGTTAAATACTAAGTGGGATTGAATTAGAGGGATGGTGCTGAAGAACTCTCGCTAAAGAAACACAAAGATGTGTACCTTCTTTTATTTTTTTAAATAACATGTCCTTGCCACTTATTTACTTTGAATCCATTTTCTAAGTGACACGAGAAAAGAGCAAAGCATAAATCATGAGGTGTGTCTTTATGAAAGATTTGAGCTCTGGAGGGTACAACACCTGCCCTCTGAGGTCAAAGCAGCATCTCGTGCCCTTTGTGCTGTGCTCTCTCCTCTAGCCAGGCCCACGGGGAGGGCAGAGGAAGAGTCACTGCTGCTTTCTCCAGCGGCTGCTCACCTGCTACCGGAGAGAAAAGGTGACCTTGAAATAAGAGTGTGCTATACTTTGAAAGAAATCGTCTAAATAACAGCACAATAAATGAGGGCATTATTCCCATCATGACTGTCTTCAAGGTTTTGCTTTCTGCTTACCATTCTCCCTGACGGTTCTTTTTATTCCCTCCTACATCAAAATTCTCCTCCTTTGCTTCAAATAAGTTAAGGCGATACCTTCTTAGTACTCACGGCTCTGCTGTATTTATAGGAGTGTTGCTGATTTTCCATTTCTATTTTCTGACCACTTTTACCCTTCCTTAATGCCTTTGACCTCACTTTGTGAAATGTACGCCCATGTGAACACACATGTGGGTGTGCACACACACACTTTTATTTACAGTCTAGGAGTATAATCATGGATTTACTTTATTTAAATAACTTTCCATTTCCCTCGTTCATTTGTTATTCACTGTGAAGCTTCCAGCTTTAAGGAATATATATTTCATTCTTTATTTAAAATGCAGAGTTTCAGGGCCGGGCATGGTGGCTCACACCTGTAATCCCAGCACTTTGGGAGGATGAGGTGGATGGATCAATTGAGGTCAGGAGTTCGAGACCAGCCTGGCCAATGTGGTGAAACCCTGTCTCTACTAAAAAGAATACAAAAAATTAGCCGGGTGTGGTGACATGTGCCTGTAGTCCCAGCTACTTGGGAGGCTGAGGCAGGAGAATCACTTGAACCCGGGAGGCTGCAGTGAACAGAGCAGAGATTGCACCAGCGCACTCCAGCCTGGGTGACAGAGTGAGACTCCGTCTCAAAAAAAAAAGAAAAAAAAAAAGGAAAAATTGCAGAATTTCAGATATTAAATTTAGAAAGTAAAGATTTTCAAAGCACACTAAATTGTGCCAAAAATGCAGAAATGCAAGTATGTAAATGGAGTACAGGGCCATGACTAATGTTCATGAACATTTCTCTTTAATGTCCAGTCACAAAAATATTTTTTTTTTGTTTCCTTTTCCTTACCCTTTCCTTTGCACTTTGATTCTAGACTATTCCATGGACAGAGGTTCAGATCCCGACCTGTCTAAATTTTGGCATCTCTTCACCAAACTCTGGAGCCCTAGCGACACCCTGGCTCCGCTTTGATGTCACCGATTGGTTTCTGGTATCTTGTGTGCACTTTTCCAGCATTTGATCCTTGACATTTTCTTCCTTTCCTTTCCTTTCCTTTCCTTTCCTTTCCTTTTTCCTTTCCTTTCCTTTCCTTTCCTTTCCTTTCCTTTCCTTTCCTTTCCTTTCCTTTCCTTTCCTTTCCTTTCCTTTCCTTTCCTTTCCTTTCCTTTCCTTTCCTTTCCTTTCCTTTCCTTTCCTTTTTTTTTTCCTTTTGAGACAGAGTCTCACTCTATTGGCCCAGGCTGGAGGTCTTGGCTCACTGCAACCTGCACCTTCTGGGTTCAAGCAATTCTCCTTCCTCAGCCTCCCAAGGTAGCTGAGATCACAGGCAAGCACCACCATGCCCAGCACATTTTTGTGTCTTTAGTAGAGATGGGGTTTCACTACGCTGGCCAGGCTGGTTTCGAACTCATGACCTCAAATGATCTGCTCACCTTGGCCTCCCAAAGTGCTGGAATTACAGGCATGAGCCACCACACCTGGTTGATCCTTGGCATTTTCTTAGACTGGACTTTGGATTATTCATGAATAGCTTCAGTTGTCCAAAAAGAAAAAAATAACAAATAAACAAAAATAAACACTGAAGGGCTTATTTCTTATATGAAATCTGAGAATAAGAAATCTAGGGTTGGTATGGGAACCTTATGGAGTTTTCAGAGCTACTCATTTTAGTTTCTGCTCTGCCATCCTCAGCATGTCCACAGTGTTGCCACATATTCCAAGAGGGCTGCTTGAAGTTCAGTCATCTCATCAGCCATTCCAGGAAACAGGTACAAAGCAGTAGAGAGGCAAAAAGTACTCCTGGCAGCTGAGTTAATCTTTTTTCAGCAGCCTGCCTGAAGTTCTGTCACATCCACATACATTTCATCTAGAAAGCTGGGATGTCTTGTGGTTGTAGGTCTTCCCTAAGGACAGAAAGGGGAGATTAAATAATAGATGGCAAGAAGAATTCTCTAACCCATTTTCATTTCAGGGCTGACCGATTATGCCACAAGGAAGTAAAGGAATGGGGCTCAGTGAAGGACTGAAATGATTAAAATTTTTTTACTAACAAAGGAAATGAGAAGAGGAGCAGACCCAACTTGGGCTTGCACAGTGGAAATTGTCTTGCATCCACCCTCCGCTATCAATGTGAGAAACAGACTACATGAATTTACTTCCCTCTTGAGACCAAAGTGAGTCTCACAAAGGCCTTTCTTCAGCAACTAAGCCCTTCTGAAATATTGTTTTGTTTCCTTCAAAAGTCTTTAGTTTATGTGGCAGACTTTTCGCTGTCCTCATTTTTCAAGACCAAATCCCTCAATTTTGTCTCATTTCATTTTAATAACTTCACAAAATAACTCATAAGTATCTTATATTAACAGGGATAATATAATTTTAGACCAATCTGAGGGGTATGGACTCTACAGGTTTTAGGCCTATGTCCATCTGATCGTCAAGAACTCCTCTGTTAAGTTCTTTTTTGTAAATGGAGCTGAGCAGTCTTCATTGAGTCATGCATGCATATGAAAGGCTCTGTTCACTGTTTCCTGCCTTGATTTGGAGACTGCTGTCCTGAAATTGGCAGGCTTGCAGATGACACATGTGCAACTTCTGAGCCTCATCCTCATCACTGCCCTCTTGCTTTTTTGGAATGCTCTGTACTAAGTAACCCCTGGTCCTCAAACCAGTAAGAAGGACATCCAGAACACTTTTTTTCTCTGAGACAGGTTCTACTGCTGAAGATAAGCTGAGAGTATTCCAGGACCCCCTAGGTGTTAGTGGTTCTTCACTTTACCTGAATATTTGATTTGTGGGATAAATTCTAGAAATGCTGATTTAAACATCTTCTCTCCACAGTCTCTAGTCTATGTCCTCTTCAACCCCATGAGTTTACCAATAATACCTTGTGAACTTGACCACAGGAATCAAAGTCTGTAGAATGTGACATATGTTGGCAAATGCCAGATGTATCCACGGTAATGTACATGAACCCCTCCCTAGGTAATAAGGTACCTGCTTCTTCCTTTTAAGATACCTAGTCCTGCAAAAAAAAAAAATTCAATCCTAGTCTTCCAGAACTGTGTTTTCAGTCTTAGAGTGCTAATGCCCATGCGGAAATGTACTTACGTTGAGACAACCTTTGCCTCCCTAGGTGTTTTCTTCTAGGAGGATGTGTTTAATTCAATACATGCTTTATGTCTCCTAGGTACACAGTGACACACACCAGTCATGGGGCACAGTTTATTATGAATGACATGTTATAAATAACAGCAAAAATACCAAGGATTACATATATTTTTTTTTGAATAAAATCAATGAGATAAAACCAAATTTGTGTGACTCTTCCATTATGGTCAAGGTGGAATAAGAAAAAAACAGATTTACTCTATTATCTGAAACAACTAACAAGCAGGACAAAATGTGTGAAATGAAGGCTTTCAAGAAACTGGACATCAGGCAAAAAGGCACCATTATCCCTGAGAGAACAGGTGAGAGAGGCAAGAAAGGCAATTTCTGTACTGCCCCAGCTCACTGCCTGGGGAGTTTCTAGGCTGTGCCATAGGGAGGGGCACCCAGGTTAGATCCGTTCTCAGCAGCCAGACCTGAAACCTCATAATTCATGGGACATTGGGTAAGGTACTCAGGAGTGTCATGCCTTTGTAAAGGGTAATTTAACCCCAGACCAAATTCCGCTTAGACCCCATCTAGCAAAACTTAAGAGCGAGACCTGAAAGGGTCAACATGTTTTTAAGTAACTTAATCATGTCTCAAAAGAAAGCACAAGATTTTTAGTAATACAAAAATATGCAGAACCTCCCCAACAAGATAAAATTCACGAAGTCTGGTAAACAAGCACAAATTGTTGGACATGCAAAGATGCAGAAAAACACTATTCATAATGAAGAGAAAAATCCATCAATCACAATGGGCCCAGAAATGACCCATGATAAAATTAGTAGACAACAACATTTAAACAGTGATTATGAATGTATTCCATATGTTCTGGAAGCTAGAGGAAAGATTGAACATGTTAACTACAAATGTGGAATTTTAAGAAGATCTAAATGCAGTTTTCAGAGATGAAAGCTGTAATGTCAAGGACAAAAAAATACATTGATAGCATTAACAGTGGATCAACATCAGAAGAAAAATAAATGAAATTTAAGAAATAGCAGCAGATGCTTTTCAAAATGAAAACATAGCAAAAAAAAAAAAAAAAGAAGACTAAAAATAACTACCAAAGCATCAATGAACAAAGAAACAACTGAAGAAGCCAATATATGTGTAATTGGACTCTCCAAAGTGGGAGGGAAAGAAAAAAAAAACTAAATAAACAATGTCTGAAAATTTTCAATATATAATTAAAACTAAACCCACAGATCAGTATCCGTTATAATGAAATTGCTTAAAACAGTGAAAGAGAGAAAATCTTTAGAGCAGCTGCAGGGCAGAGAGAGCACGTGAAATACCAAGCAGCAAAAATAAGAATGACAAGCAAATTTCTCATTGGGAACAATACAAGTGAGAAGAGAGTGTAGCAACATCCTTAAAGTAATGAAAGGAAAAAAAAAACTCCTCTTTTAATCTAGAATTTATTATTGAAACTCTATAATAAATCTTTGTGAAAATATCTTTGAAACACGAAGTGAAATAAAAACTTTTTTTTTCAGATATCCAAAATCTGAAAGAAGTTTTCACTGGTAAAGATTGTCTGCTTGGCCAAACTTTAGACAGACTTCTGAATCTTCTCCTAGGCACATCTGTGAACTTCCTTGTAAAATACAGTTTTAGCAAAGAACCTGTCTAATTAAGTTTGACAAGAACTCCCACCTTTGATATCTGATCACAGTCAATATCTGATCAAGTTTCTGATCCTCCACCATCTCCCGAGGAATGTATAAAATAACCCTAGCCTGTCTTTAGCAAGAATCCTGTTAGGTCAATCCTGTTAGCCAGAATTCTCCTTACGCCTGATGTTTCCTCTCAGTAATTTGCTAGCCATTGGTCCTCACCCTGCTCCTTGACTGTAAATTGCTGCTTTCCCATGTTGTATTTGGAGATGATCACAGTCTCTCTCTTCTTGCAAGACCTTGTTGCAGTGGTCTCTATACCCATCACAGTGGTCCCAAGTAAAGTCTTTCTTACTATGCTTTCACAAGTGTCACTGGAAAATATTTTCTTTAACATCACACTATATGAGTTTTTAAAGAAATTTCTTCCAACAAAAATAAAATGATACAGCATGCAAATCTAGATCTATAGAAAAGAATAAAGATTTTTTTATAGATCTAGGTCTATATTATCTATAACTATACTGATAAATATTAAAACTTAAAATTATTTAAACTCAATAAAAGACAATGGTCTGTTTAAAGTAAAAATCATAACAATACATTTTGTGGTTTATGCCATATATAAAAGAAAAATGTATAACCACAATAGTACACAAGCCAAAAGATGAGAAAAGGAACTATACTACTATAAATTTCTTATACTATAAATAAAATAGTATAATATAATTTGGAGGTTAGCTGGGATCAATTAAGATGTATACTATAAGCCCAAAGGTAATGACTAAAATAATACAACAAAGAATTATGCTAAATGAACAAAAAAGATAAAATTATAAAGAAATATATGATTGAACCAAAGAAGGACAAAAAGTAAAAGGGAAAAAGGAACTATGGAACAAATTAAAAACAAATAAGATATTAGAGATAGTACATATAAGTTCAAATGGATCAATAATTACACCAAATGTAAATGATCTAAATATCCCAACTGAGTTGCAGAATTGGTCAGATTACATTAAAAAGTAAGACCCAACTATATACTGTTTTGAAGAAACCCGCTTTAAATATAAAGACAGAAAAGTTTAAAAGTAAAACGATGAAAAATGAGAGACTACACACAAAATATACACTAAAGAGAAGAAAGTTGGAGTGGCTATTTTAGTAGTAGATAAAGTAGATTTCGGGGTGAAGGATATCTCAAAGGAAAAAGGGAATCATTAGTTATTGATAAGCAGGTCAGTTCCTCAAAATACGATAAAAATCATAAAATGTATGTATTTAGTAAGAATGTCAAAAATTGTGAAGCAAAAACTGACAATTTTCAGGACAAATAGACATATCAACAATAAGAGTAGATTAAGCTGCTCTCTTTCAAAAAGTTCCAGGAAAAAAGACTTCAGCAATTATATAAAGGGCTTGAACAATACTATTTACCAACTTACCAAATCAATATTTATATACTACTCCACCAACCACAATAAAACACATTTTTTTTTTCAAATGTGCACTGATAATTTACCAATGTAGGCCACATTCTTGAACACAGTCTCAAGTAATTTTTAAAAATTCAGTTCCTATAAGATATATTGTCTTATCACAATGTTATTAACTTCAAGATCAAATATAGAAAAATATTTGGATTATATCCATACATTTGAGAACTAAATAGGATACTTATCCATAACTTATGAGTCAATTAAGAACTCCAAGATAAATTAAAAAGTATTGTGAAATAAAGGAAAATGGATATTTAATATTTTAAAACTCATTGAATGCAACTAAAGAAAAATGTATGACCACATGCTTCTGAAGCTTCAATTGCAACTAAAACATTATTTAGAGAAAAATGTCCAGTACTAAACACTTATACTAGGACAAAGATATGCCAGTCAATTCAGATTCTACCCTACAATATTAAATATGGAAGAGCAAATGACACCCAAAGTAAGCAAAAGAAAGGAAACAATAAACAACAACAACAAAAGTAGAAAATAGAGAAAAAATGGTGAAACCAAAGCCAGTTCTGTGAGAAAGTCAATAAAATTAATAAACCTCTAGCTAGGGTGATCAGAAAAAAAAGATAAAAGACACAAACTACCAATATCAGGAGACACTGGTTATGTGATTTGGGCATTTTACTCTATGGCCTTTAGCTTAGAGAAATGAACGTGCTAGGTACACACAAAGACTGTCCATGCATACTTACAGCAGGTTTATTTGAAATAACCACTGGAAATAAACCAAGTGTCCATCGACAGATTGGTGGATAAACACATTATATCAATTCAAGAAAATAAAGCGAGATCAAAAAGAGTGCAGATTGTATAATTTCATCTATAAAATTCTAGTAGAATATACAGACTAATCAATGGTTAGCAAATACGGGTAAAGGGATGCAAGGCAGTGTGCAGGGAGGGAGGACTCACAATGGTCCAAGAAGACATTTGTGGGGTGATGATGGATCTTATTGCTATGATGGTTCTATGGGCGTAAATATATGTGGATTTTATTGTATGTATGCCAGTGACACCTCAATATACCTGATAATATGAAATATGTGACTTTTGAGTCCTAATTTTCTTTTCTAAGTTGGGAGAGAGGATTTAGTTGGATTTCAGAAAATGATGGGCAGTCCTGTATAGCTTTTGTTACCACATTCATTCTTTGTTATAGAATCTCCCTGGCAAAGAGTTGAACTTCTGCAGGCTCAGGTCCTGATCTCTTTAGGGTGGCTTTTATATTCACCCTTCACCTGAAAACTTCTTTTGCCCAAACTGTGAAAATGGTTTACTGATCAGATTAATTTCATTTCTTTTAAATTTGGCTGAAATATTTCTACCAGTTTGTTTTCTAGACAGTTGTTTTACCTTGTCCTACTACTTTGCCTTTTACTTATGGAGGAGAATTTATTGTTAGTTTCCACTGTTTTATTCTCTTCCTCCCTTGACCCCTTCTTTTCTTCTCTGTGCCCCTTTTCCTGCCTTAAATTTCTACTTCCTTTTTTCTATAGAATATACCTATATACCTTTTTATTTATTTCAATTTGGCTATAGCTTTTTATTTTTATTGTTAGCTCTTCAAAAAGCTTTTTTCAAAAATAATATTTGAAAACATCAATTTGTCATTAACCAGGTATGTCTTATGTGTGTATTTTTTTTTCATATCAGCACTCTCTTCAGAATTGATGCCTAAAAATGGTCCCTTTTTAATTTTACCCCCTGCTGAAAAATATCATCTCTGTGGTTAAAAAATACTTTTGAGCATGTTATGGTTTGGCTGTGTCCCCACCCAAATCTCAACTTGACTTGTATCTCCCAGAATGCCCACATGTTGACCCAGGGGGAGGTAATTGAATCATGGGGACCAGTCTTTCACATGTTACTCTCGAGATAGTTAACAAGTCTCAAAAAATCTGTTGGTTTTATCAGGGGTTTCCACTTTTGCTTCTTTCTCATTTGCTCTTGCCACTGTCATGTAAGAAATGCCTTTTGCCTCCTGCCATGATTCTGAGGCCTCCTCAGTCATGTGGAACTGTAAGTCCAACTAAACCTCTTTTTCTTCCCAGTCTCAGGTATTTATTTATCAGCAGCATGAAAACAGACTAACACAGAGCACATATATGCTTCATATATACACTCTTGTGAAGTAGAGATAACTAAGCTACAAGTGGGTGCTTCTTCTTTTGTCAAATATGCTGGGATTTTGGTTGGACAGTTTATTTTAAAATTCCCCTGCCATAGTCACTTTATATTTCAATTATCCCATCATACCCAGCATTCTGTATCTTCTTTATTGACATATGGAATTGAAGGATGTCATTGTCCATTTCTAATTTCTTATTTCTGATATATATGCATTTTTTTCTTATTTTGAGTTATTACTACAAGGTTAAATAGCAGCTTATGTCTTTCCCCAAATAGATTTTTTTAAAAGAAATAATAAACATTTATTCTTGTAGCTTGAGTCATATTATTTATCCTGTGTATACAGATCATTATAAAAATGCCTCCCCAAGTTCTCTCCACAAAATTTATCATTATAATTTTCACAAAATGAAGTCCAACATGTATATTTGCTGCCTTAGCCTTTAAGTTGATCCTGGTAATACATCAGTTTTGACTGGTTTCATGGCTGTTTGCTATTTGTTTTCCCTCTGCTTTTTATTTTCACTTAAAAATTAAAAGAATGAATGGGCCCAGTAATGCAAACCATAAATTCTGGAGACGTTCTTAAGCCATGAAGTCCTTTTTGAACAAGTTTTTTTGACAAATCCTTGGACACTTGTTTCTGTTCTTGAGACTAGGGATATTTTCCCTTATATTTAGGAATGGTAATATCTACTGATAGTATTTTTCCTGGAATTCAGATAGAATGGTCACATGATGTTTCTTCAGAAATAAAAAAGTTAATATTCATCTTCACATAAGTAAACAAAAAAACACCTTACATTTACTATGTAAATCCCAATGGTAACTGCAAGAATGTATATATTATTAAAATATCTGAAAGAAAACAGAATGAGAGGAAAATAGCTTCTTGCCAATACATATTAAAGAGATTGAAGAATTGGAGATCAATGAAAATTCTTGGTGTCTAAATGCATAAGCTATCACTGAGATTCATCAGACACTAATTAGGTTGGTTCAGTAGAAGATGGATGTGATGGTCCATTCTGTCACTGCAGGAATAGGAGACCCAAAGGTCCTCAGGGAAGAGTGGGGCTACGCTGATCAACAGCCGCAGGCTGTGGTATCATGTGGTCTCTGATAACTAAGGAACATCACGCTGTTGAAGATTTGGAGAGGGGCAGTGTATGCTTAATTAGGACAGTAGAACATTTAATTTGCAGTCATCTTATTTAATATAGAAATCTCTAAACTGGGAGTGACAATGACATGTTGTGAAGTCCCCTCTGCTTCTTGCGTGAATCTAGGGAAGTCTGTTAACATCAGTTTCCCCCACTCATAAAATGGTGCGTGTGTGTGTGTGTGTGCACATGTATGTGTGTATGTGTGTATGTTTCAATCAGGTTACAGGAAACCACCATAGACAGAAACCTGTTTGAACTCATGGTAGAAATAGAAAAGTTCAAGGGCATACAGTAACCTAGCTTCACCTCTCTATGCTTTGAAACCCGTTTGTGAAGTCATCCATGTATTCAATAAATACTGAGTGGCCCACAATGTGCCTGGCATGGTGGACATAGATGTGAACATCACTGCCTTTGTAGATTTCATATACTTTCTCTTTGTTTCCCTTGCTATGAAGGATATGGACTTGCAGACAGGAAGACCTGAAACTGTTGCACTCATTTCTGTCATCCTCTTTTTCTAGCACAGTACACAAAACACATGTGTGAAATGCATGAACTTATAAATGAACAAAAGTGAGAGCAACAGAGCATTGTCCCACCTTCTCCACTTGTCCTGACTCCTGAAGACTTTGAATCAATATAGGTTTTTCTTTTCTCTTTACTGCTTCTGCTCTTCCAGTTCCAGTTATGCTCCCTGAACACAGCCATACATAAACATGTTGTAAGAGGGTCTGTTGCTTTAAAAAGTAGGGACAAATTTTTTTTTCCAGAGCTGTTGTGTAGTCCCTTAACTCTCAGTGACTCTTATTTCCCTAGCCACCAATAGTGATTTGGTCTTTCCATGGTTTTTAATATATTTTTCCATCTCCCTGGAGCACTATGAGAATTACCTTCTTTTATGTCTGATTCTGTAAAAGGCACCTTCAAGGTCCAAGGAGGAAAAGTGCTGTGCATAATACTAGTAATCTCATCATGATGCATCATAGGAATATTGTAAGGAATAATTGAACACTATCTGTGAAATATGGGACTCTCCTCAGAGGACAGGTGCTCTGTAGTTTTCTTCTGTGTAACTAAGCTTTCTGACTCATAAACAAAAAGTGTCTCCTATCCTACAGTCTCCTATCCTATCCTACAGTCGTTTTTTAAAATTTGCACATGTTATGTCTCTGGGCCTTGAAAGATAACTGCAATAAGAACAAAAGTAGGAAAACTTTTATTTAAATGCTAGTCAAATGAATTTTAGTTTCAGTTATGTAGCAGAAAGCACGCTGATGTGGAAATTAGGGCTTACAGGCTATAATCTCCTTTCTGTGCCTGGATTGTTGTATCCCTTTAGAAGAGTGGTAGAACTATATGAACAGGAAGAACATCTGGTGTGAAGCCATGATAAGAAGTAGACCTCCCTTCCCTTTCCCACCCTAAACTTTTTTGACTCTGGTTCCCCCCAACCCTCCCATCTGGAGTTTCTTGGGACAGAGATCATGCTTGTTTTACATTTTTTTTTTCCTAGTTATAAGCATGGTGTCAGGCAAATGGTAGGCCCTCAATAAACATTTGTGAATGAATGTCTTACAAAATATAAGCCATAATCAAGAGTTGGGTAACAATATTTAGATGCAGCAATTCCAAAGCTTGACATCAGAGACAGCACTTACTGTTCAAAGACGACTGAGAAGTTGATATCCTTAAGAGATTCTCTTGGGAAAGGAACAAAAACTGTCAGACTATGTCATATGGGCCAACTCTGAACAGATGCTGTGCTGAGGGATTTGGGAAAGAGCCCCATGAATTACATTCTAAAATTAAGTGTGCAAGATTGTATGTATTTTTGGCTGACGAGTGGAAATGGTTTGGTAGAGTTGATCCTGCTGCTGTGTTTGAGTGAACCCAACTAGAAGCTGTCTGAGTCCTTAGCACGCAGAAGGTTGAGGGCCAAGGGAGCTTGGTACCACCCTGCTCATCAGCGGGTTAACTGGAGTGCCGTTTCAAGATCATCTATAAAAGATCACTGCAACTTGGAGCCTGAACATAGTGTCCAGCATTGTTTTGGGATCCCTTAGAAAGCAAAATGTTGACGTTTATTAGGTTGGTGCCAAAGTAATTGTGGTTTTTGTCATTGAAAGTAATAGTAAAAACCATAATTACTTTGGCACCAACCTAAGAGGTAACATTAGATTAGGAAATAACGTTTTAGTCTTCTGGATGCAAACTCTAAGTAAGATTAAACAAAATAACAGCAAGTAAGACAAAACAACAAAATAGATTTCACAGATGAGAATCTATATGCTTTTATTTCCAATTATATTTCTTATTTCTAAATTTCCTTCCTGTTCTAAGGGAATTATCATTGAAATATTGTGATTGAAAGAAAGATTTGTTTGGAGAACATTTTTAGAAAATCCAAAAAGATTTTGGATTTTAAGAAATCCAAAACTGAGTGTTCTAGGCATAGTGCAAAGCATTTATGACAATAAAATATCTGGAGTAGAAGAAAGAACAAAAATCTGCTTGACAAGCATGTTTCGAAAAAGGAGGGATAAGTTCAGATATGACTAGAAAAAGATGGCTTTAGTGTGTTCTTAAAGATAGATGCCTGGACTCCATCTTGAAAAGTTCTGAATCAGAAAGTCTGTCTTTTGTCTGTTCTTCTTTTTATAGGTGTTTTCAAATATAAACAGCTGCCACGCCCAAGTAATGTTGCTAATATCCCATGAGAAGCTTCTCAGGTGTAGGCAAACCATACTTGGCTTAAACACTATAAGCATCTTGCCCCATCCCTATGCCTGCCTGGAACATTGCCTTGGTTAGAGGTGTGAATAGAGAGAATGTATGCTGTTCACAGCTAATTAGTGTGCTTTAATTTAGGTTTTCCTTTCTGTTCCATTTCATAAACCCTGACCTTTATCATAACTAACATCCCTCTCTTGCTTTCTCCAAAGTTCCCCAATTGTGAAAGTATTTAAATTCTTTCTGTTATTTAAAAATAGCATGTTCATGTAATCATTTTAGAGTAAATCTTAATAGAGTTTAAGAGATGATTTTTGCCTTTATTAAAGAGCATGCAGGTGCCTTAATTTGCTTTTTTAAGTAAGAATAATCTAAAACATTAGAATTCATAGACATGTGGAAAGGTAAGCATTTTAATACAGTGACAGAATACATTTAATCAGGTAAAGGAATCTAATGAATAAGGGGAAATGCATCAAAATATCAGTTATTGACCCTTGGTAAATGAGAATTCAGGGTGGGTGATATTTTCTATGATATTTTATGACTCTAGTTGGTTTTTAATATTGCAAGTGAATGATAACTTCTGCCACTGCTTTGTCTTTAAAACACTTCAGAAGAATCACTGTATATCAATGGGAGGCTACAGCATGATATAGCTGCATAAAACATATGCTAGTGCAAAGATGCTAAAGAGAATCATTTGTTTTCCTAATAGCTCTATTTCAGCAGACCATGGCCTTACCCAGAAATGCCCTGTTAGCAAAGCTGTCATTCTACAATGATCTCTGGATGCAAGAACGATAATAGAGCACAGGCTTCTGCATTTATTGTAGAATATCATTTTTCCTTTATTTTTGAAAGAATTCATAATTTGTATTCTATTTTCCTTTGGCTAGAATAGACTAAAGTTTGATTCAAGGTAAAAACTCATCCAAGTAGGGAATTATACACTGGAGAAATATTTACAAGATGCACTGTAATCTTTCTAGCTAGAGTACATTAGATTTTCTTCTTATATCCAGGCACTTGAAATTGATACACTGAATATTTTCTTTTCCCCAGGTCACAGTATAAGAATAATATCATTTAGTTTACAAATTATACCTTGGGAGCCAAACTTTATGTAGTACCAAACTAAAGATAGGTTGATAGTGTTTTGGCAATTTACAGACCAAACATCTTCAAAGCCCTTGGGCCTGCAGGAATAATGAGGAGGATGTGATTAAATGGCAGTCCCCTGCTTGAAATCTTTCTGCAGCTTCCCATCATCTTGGATTTAGTTCAGACTCTTCACCATGGCCCACGAGGCCCTAAGGGATCCTGGCCTACACTCTCTCTCAGACTTTATCTTGTATGATTCTTCCTTTTTACTATATTCCAAGTATGCTTGCCTTCTTAATGTCCTTAACACATCAGTCTCATTCCTCCCTTGTGGAATTTGCCCATGCTGTTTCCCCCTCTGAAATGATTTTTTCATAGAGTGTTTACTTAGTTTGATTCTTTTTAATAGTCACACTTCAGTTTAAATGTTTTCACCTTTGAGAGGTTTTGTGATCACCATTCCAGAGTAGGCTCCCAGACACTGAATTATCTTGCCCTACATTTTTTTTTTAAATAACAATTACAACTACATTTTATATTTGTTTACTGTTTCTCACCCCCTCACTAGAAGGTAAGCTCTGTGAGATCAGGTTCCCTGCTTGTCTCATTGCTATACCTGAGACAGTACCTTGTGATAATGGGCACTTACTCTTTGCTTGTTGAATGAAGCAGTGAATGCATAAGTGAGATTCAATCTAAGGACAAAATAGAGCAAATGGAAGTTGATCTCTCTCTCTCTCTCTCTATTTCTTTCTCTCTCTCTTTCTGTGTGTCTCTCAATTTGCTCATGCTTTAATTTTACATTTAAATTCCATGGCAGGCAATATCAAAGGGTAGTTTCAAGTTTCAATTTCCTTCAAGCAAAAAAATTTTATAGTTAAAGCACGATTTGGATATTTTTCTACATTCCTAGAGCTAGCACTCAGGGACTTGGACCTATTTGCAGCAAAGATTGATTAAGTTTCCAAAAGTCTGGCATTTAACAGGAGTTTCCACATTGGTTCTATAAATCTACTGACCTAGAAAAGGTCTTTTAAATTTCTCATGAACACTACCAGACTGTTGCAATGTCAAAGAGATGAAGTAAATATCAGTAATCCAAGAAGTCTGATGCAAAATGGTGCCAACATGAGACTCTGCCATTACATATTTGTCCTTATTTCTTCTTTGGCCTAAACAGTTTGTTTAAGATTCAAAGTTTTTCAACTTCTTTCAGTTTATGTTGTTCTTCCAAATGGTAACCAATGACATCTTGACCTCATTATAAAATAGTTCCGTAGGGGAAATATGAATGAATGAAGGGATGGATAAACAAACAATTTTAAAACATCAATGATGCTGATGAAAAGAATGGGTAATATATTGAGTTATGCTATTTACTGTAATATAATTTCCCTACTGGCCATGCTTAGTTGCTATTTTAATATTATATTTAACTTAAGGGTCAAAGGAAAAGCAATAACAGGAAATAAAAAAATGCTTATATCTTTATAATAAAAAATTATATCAAAATTGTGGCATGAAGCTAAAGAAGAACCTAGAGGGAAAAAAAGCTAAGGATACTGATATTAGAAAACTAAATAGGTCAGATAAAGCAGATAAATATCTACCTTCAGAGGCAAAGGCTAAATAAAGGAATACATCCAAAGGAAATAAAAAGACATTAAATATTAAGGTAGAAAATAAATTAATAAAATTCAAAAAGCTTATTATGTTAAAGTTTGGTATTTGAACCAATATTAATATAAGCATTGATAAAACTTTATTAAAACTAAAAAAATGGAAAACTTGAAAGGAAAATATTAGAAATGAAAATGGGGACACATAACCACAGATATACAAAGAGTAAGAAGATAGTAAGAAAACACTGTAAAACATTTATGACAATAAGTTTGAAAATTTAAACAAAATAGAAAATTCCAAGCAGAGCAAAATTGTCTAATTTTGTTCTGTTTGCAATGCTTCTGAAATGTTCTACATGAATGAAGTGTTGTATTTGATAGGGGCACTCTATTTCCAGTTCATCCTTCTGAAAAACTGACCTTTTTATTCATCTCATCTTGTTCACCTTTAGGAGGGATATAGGAAGTAGTCAAGTAGCCTTCAGCTGCAAGATTCGTTTTTGGTGACTCACCAAGTGACTCTTTTGCCAAAGACATCTATGTTATTGACCTATCTCAAGGACTACATTGTCATCAAAGAAATCAATTTATTGGAGTTAGTAAATCGATTAAAATGCAAACATCCAGTAAAAATGTCTTCAGTATGCAGATTTTTCCATTAATGATGAATAATGAATTAGTTAATACCTAAAAGGCAACTAAAGGTGGCAGAAAAAAGTTTGATGGGGTGGAAACATGCATGTACAGTATAAAGTGAGATCTGGGAACAAGAGGATCTGAGAATGAGAAGAGCTGAGATGAAAGAGGAAATGAACAAAAGGCCCCTAAGTCAGCATTTGAGCACATGTGGTGCCTGGGAGTTTTGGGCTGAGGGTGAAATTAAGCAAGAAAGAATAGCAAAGAAAAATGTGCCTTTTATACTTTGTCTAGGGGCAGATGTGATACAGTGTTTTATTGGAAGGAGAACTAAACTAAAAGTCAAAAGAATTGACTGTTTTTTAGTTGCTGTGGGTTCTGCCTAAGACACTTGGCCTCTCCATAAAGTAATGTTATTTATATAGGAATCCTCTAGGTCTCTCCTTGTTCTGACATTTTGTTTCTATACATTTTACTGCCACTTGCCTAGCCATATGTAAAGCTACTACTTTCCCAGTTATCTCTTCACTAACAACAAAGCTTCTAATTTTCAAGTATCTATATCTCTTATTTCATTGATTTTGAAGTTACACACTCTCCTGTCCTTAAACTGTGGAGCTAAAGGATGTCAACTCGTCATTATTTTTATGGCTATGCTGCCTGTTTGAGTCACTTGTTAGCATTTATGTGTTATCATAAGCACATTAGAGTCAACAATTAATCCTCAAAACAGCTCTTCCAGAGAGGCCCACAAAAGATTTTATAAATACTATTGAAATTCATCTCGTGCCTCCATAGGAAAGTATGCAAGTGATTTTCTGACTGTATAAATATGATTCCATGTCAAGTTTCAACTTAATAAATGGGGCATAGTCAATAGCACGCGTACTAATTAAGCTTCTGTTCTTTAGTATTATTGTGATATATAATTGTTTATTAGCCTCAATAAGATGCTCTGCCAGAATGAGAACTGTCAATTTTGTAAAATTTATTGGCAGGATCTTAGAACCTGGATGGAAAAAGTAAGAGTACAATATAATTGACAGATACTTGTGAAATTTGAGCACATTATCTCTTATTCTCAGGTACAAATGGAGGTAACAAATTAAGTGGAATTCAGTCTAACAAGGAAGAGCTCTCAGCCAATGAGAGCAGTAAAACATGATGTAAATGGATGAGTAAGTGAAACCTTAGCTGAAATTCCATCTTTGGAATGAACAGATGTTGCTTGAACATATATCCTGTCGCGTACTTTCATGCTGGCTCATTTCCTATGGAGAATTCTAAACATATCAACAACATACTGTTTCTATGGGGCTCCCACGTAGATGGCAAAATTACCAAATATTTCTTATTAAAGTTATTTTCTGTGAATGGGTGTTAAAAATCTCATTTGTTTGTGTTCCTCATGCCTACGTTTTTTTCTCTGAGAGAACCCTACAAAGCAGCAAGAGATCACTGAGTAGTGCACTGTGAAGAAATCGTGGGCAGAAAATGAAAAAAA
This sequence comes from Homo sapiens, assembly GCF_000001405.40. Taxonomy (NCBI): domain Eukaryota; kingdom Metazoa; phylum Chordata; class Mammalia; order Primates; family Hominidae; genus Homo; species Homo sapiens. The sequence continues at coordinate 64,405,626 of NC_000018.10, forward strand.
AAGAAACAAAGATAAATCCTATCCACTTCTCATTTCTGCACACACTTTTCTGCCCTGTGGAAGTTAACTGTGGTGTAGACTAGACTAGTCCTCTGTGCCTGGGCTTCAGCTCATATCTGTTTCTGAGCTTGTGCCATTAAAGAAAGTAGGATTTTTGGCTCACTGCATTGGTGTGAGGATGTGAGATAGTGCATAGGAAGGTGCTTATCAAATTGTAAGGTGTGACAAAGTGTTTGCTATACCTTATTGAAACAATCAAACCTGAGGTAATTGGTATTACCATCTCTTGAAACTTCACATATGGTTGCATTTTAACTATAACAATCAAACTACAAATGAAAATTCTGAGTAATTGAATAGTTTTGATATTTAGTACACGTGTATGACCATGTCTACACACACACACACACACACACACACACACACACCCTGAACTCTCAGTAATATACTACAGATTTCATAATATAGTACAAATGAAGCGACCTGTTATTTCTAGATTTAGGATGTCATGAAGGTAGGATAGAAGAAAGAAAATTTTCTCAGTTGGGCCAGGTGACAGTGTGGCTGTCATGAGGCTCAATTGACTCAGAATGCTGTGAAATAGCGTGGTCCTGTCTGGGTGGCACCATATTACATATCAGCCAATGCTGCATCCCTAAACTTAGTGCAACTGTAAAGCCAGCATTTTGCTTTCTACCCTGACAGCAGGTCAGGTCATGCAACATTTCAGTGAAAGCAAAGAAAAAAAGTTTGACAGTGCTAAATGTATTTTTAGATAGTCCCTTAATTGGTCATGCAAAATAATACCCTCCTTTGCCCCATACAAGGCTGATGGGTCAGTATTGAAATAATAGGGTAAAATTATTATGAAAAGAGATTATTTAACAGAACAGATCATGCTTCTTGTCTTGGGGCCTTCAGTTAACAAAAGTTCTCTCTCTCTTTAACCTACTTTAATTCACCTCCCTTAGATGACAGCTTTTTTTTTTTTCCAAATGAGCTAGCAGAAATACAGCCTCAAGGTTACGAATTAATTCAAGTCAAAACAGAAATGATGTGAAACAAAAGATAGTTTCAAAAGCCTGCAAATGTATTAAGTAACATAGAATTCTGTGCAACTAGAATGTATAATATCCTAAATATGAAGGAAAACTCATAATGCACTGTGAAAATCAGTTTGGATAGAGCAAGTCTGACTTATTCATGGAGATATAAATACAATACAATAAAATAAAATACATACAAATAAATACAATAGATGTCTTCAAGATTGTGTAACTATGTCCATACAACTGTCTATGACTCAAATTTTAAAAAAAAGAACCCAGGTTCACAAGAATCTGTAGGTGCTGTAAGATTTAATTCTGGATTGTGAAAGTTCCTTTATACCTTAGATTGTCAACAAAAGTTCCAGTGGTTTATTATATATCATAGCAGAAAGCCATCTTTTTCCAGATTGTTTTGTGTTCAAATAGCAATATTTCTGGCCCTCTAGGAATGACATGTTGTTTGGATTACTGAGCCAGAGAAGCCGCTGGACCATTGAGATTTAGTAGGCAATATGTTTGCCAGCCTTTTTGAAAATTGGAATGTTATTTTTGAACTTTATCGAAGAACATGCTGCATCTCTAAGGTGGGCATTATAAAATTAGTGAACATGTGGTTATCTCTCATTTATTTGTTTGCTACTGAACTAGAAGGTCAAAAATCCACCTTTAAGAGAATATTATTTCTCACACGACTTTCTTGTTTAATGGTATTATTTATATGGATAATAATAAACCTGCTGAATATTCACATTCAATTAAACACACACACACACACACACACACACACACACACACACATTCATACGCATACATAAACTCTCTGGACTACTGTTTTCATCCAAGTAAAGAAATGTCACAAATACAAATATTGAGTTTGATATGCATCTGTTACCATAGAAATGCTTATTTGTGCTAATTAAGATACTTTACCTTGATTAAAAGAATTAGTGGTTCTAGCACATGAAAAGTGGACTGGATTTGTTTTAGATTGATTTGGATGTCACCAGTCTTGCATTTTACAGTGTGCACCTCTCTTTGTGTGCACCTCTCTGTGTTTGCACACAGAATTTGAACCTGTTGCATAAAAACATTTGCTTAGAGTGCTGTGCTAACAAGATCATTGATCTATTTTTGTGTAGGGCAATTAGCTTCATTCCACTCGAAAGCCACACATTGCACCCCTGGTCATGATCTCTACCTTGTAAATGTTTGTCATGTGTCACAGGACAAATCTGGAGACAGAAGCAGTCTGGGTCAGCACAATTTCTTGATAGGAAAAACAACTCAAGGACATTTCTGCTGGTAGTAGGTTGGAGGACGTAGCATGTGAAAGCCAGAAGTGAAATTACAGACAGTTTCTTCCAGCCCACTCAAAGATATCATCTTTGAAAATGAAGACCAGTTCATAATATGCTGAACACAGTGGCTCATGCCTATAATCCCAGCACTATGGGAAGCCAAGGCGGGCAGATCACTTGAGGCCAGGAGTTAGATACCAGCCTGGCCACCATGGTGAAACTCCGTCTTTACTAAAAATATAAAAATTAGCCGGGTGTGGTGGCAGGCGCCTGTAGTTCCAGCTACTCAGGAGGCTGAGGCAGGAGAATCACTTGAACCTAGGAATCGGAGGTTGCAGTGAGCTGGGATCGTGCCACTGCACTCCAGCCTGGGTGACAAAATGTGACTCTGTCTCAGGAAAGAAAGGAAAAACAAACAAAAAACTTATAATATGCAGCTGCGCAGATGCAATGTTATAATAGATACGTAATAGATCTCATATCTTTAAGTCTAATGTGCTACTCACCCTGCAGACACTGATGTTTCTGGGAGGGTAACCGCTTCAAGTTGGCTTAACTATGGGAATATTTGGGACATAGCTCAAGTTTCCTATTTTTGAGGAAGCATTACAACAAATATATTGCTAGGTCTGTTCTTGCTTTGATTGGTCTATGAAAGTAATAGAAACCTATTTTTGGAAAGCCATAATGTCACATAATCCTTGTGATTATTGTGTGTCATAATAGTAATATAATACAAATCTTTTGCAATGTCAATGTTAAAACACATATTAAAGCATTTGCAGTTTCATATTTTCATTGAACATAGTATTATGTAGAGTAAACAAAACAAAATATATTTTAGGCAATACATGCATATTAAATACTACCAAATTTTATTTTTTCGAAGAAGACGTCTCCAAATTGTAAAAATTTTCATATCACTTTTCCTCTGTTCCCCCAAAACTGTGGTGGTGTCTGTAGTATAATTGAATAAAAGTAAAAGATTCAATTACTATGAAATGCTACACATAGCAAGGCTTATTCTAGACAAAGTAGAACAATTTATTGTACATTTAAATGTCCTTATTTACCATTTAAATTATGCCTAGTTTAGTTTAATACTAAACTAAATGGGTTTAATATTGTGAAAATGCTGAGAATCAGAGATAAATTTGGTTAGTTCATGACCTCTAGGGATAAGTAAAACCTGTGCCCCTCGTGTGGAGAAGGTGAAAAAGATGTAGGAAATATCCTCTGTAGTTTGAATGATGACCCATGAAAAGTAGTGTCCATAATTCCAGAACCTGTGAACATGAAAGATTTGCAAAACGTATCGTTGCAGATGTAACTACTTTAAGGGTCTTGAGATGAGCTCTGAGTGGGCTCTAAATCCAGTAACAAGTGTCCTCATAAGGAAAAGAAGAGGAGACATAGATACAGAGAGACCATGTGAAAATAGAGACAGATATTGAGGTTACGTGAGCACAAGTGAAGGAACATCTGGAGCTACCAGAAGCTGGAAGAGGCAAAGAAGGATTTTCCCTCAAAGGCTCTGGCAGAAATAGGGCTCTGCCTGCACCTTGATTTAGAACTTCTGGCTTCCAGAACTCAGAGAGGGTACATTTCTGCTGTTTGCAGCCATTGTTTGTGTTATTTGTCATGGCATCTTTATGGAACTAGCATACCCCTTCTCTTAACTTTCAAACTAATTGAGGCCTTCTGTCAGCTGAAGGAAAGCCTTTAGAGTTCAAAGATGGGGCCCTCTGGTGGTGAAATTTAAGAGACTCTCTAGGGCAGGATTTTTTTTTTTTTTTTTAATTTAAGTTTTAGGGTACATGTGCACAATGTGCAGGTTAGTTACATATGTATACATGTGTCTAGGGCAGGATTTTATACTTGGTTCTATTCAGGGATGTGGTCCCTGAATAGAACATGGAGGTAACTGATGTTTTCACCCACTTGGAAAGTCTCCTCTGTCGACTTGTTGGATTATGGGGCCTTGGTAACATTGACAATGGCAGTAGTAATAATGATAATGTATTATTAAGTAGAGAGCTCATCATACATGCTGGGTATTATTCTGAGACCTCACAATAATCTTATGAGATGGTTGCTATTATTTTTATTGATGAGAAAAATGAGTAATAGAGGGGTTAAGTAAATTTTTCAATGTCAATAGCTAGACAGAGAGCTTGTGCTTATGGTGGCTACTCTATGCTTTCTTGAATGACTTAAAAAAATTTCCTCTTATCTAATTTTATTCTCCTCCTTTGCACCTGCTCATTCTTTTATGAATATGCGTACGTGTTTCTCTTTAAAACAAAATAAAAACCAACTCTCCCAGCCCCCAAATCTCTCACTAGTTGTCACCTTATATCAAGACTATATTAAAAAATAACGAACAGTTAATATCTCCCCAACTATTCAACTGTGGACTAGGTTGAATCATATGACATTGCTGATAATGGACTGATTTTGATGTATAGAATGGCAATCTTATCTGGTTCAGTCAAATGCTTTTCAACCCAATGCAGTCAGCTTCCTACTTTTACCACTCTGAATGTACTCTTTAAAGGTGGACAGGTCATGTCCCACTTACAAAAATGCAGTAGTTACTTTTCATCCCTCTTTTTATTAAAAATAGTTAAAACTAGTAATAGCAGGTAATATTTGCTGGGTGCTTTTTATATAATCAGGACAAGACTAAGCATTTCAGCCCTTGGAAGAGAGACGGCATCCTTTCCTCAATTAAAAGAAGATGGAACTGAAGCTTGGAGAGGTTGCATAAGTTGTTCTCCATACCGGGCAAAGCTGGAATTCAAAGGCTGTTTCATTTCACTATGAAACTCTTGATGGCTATGATATAACACTCTCTAGCTTTTGACACGATTGAGCATTCTCTTCCTGAACACTGTTTTTCTTTCCTGACGTCTGTGAGACTACACTGTTCTCCTTTGACCTCAGGTCGCCTTCCTTTGTTTTGCTGACTCTTATAAGTCTCTGCCTAACTTTTTAAGTGTTCTTTCTAAAGGTTTTGTTTTTGACCCTTTTCTTATTTCACCTTATCTCTTCTCACCTTTTTTTTTTAACTTTATGCACTCATCCTGCGGTTTCAATTATCACTTGTAAACTGTTGACTCTCACATCTCCACCCAGAATTCTTCTCTGAGCCTCAGATGTAATTCACTGTTAGGGCTAACAGTTGAATAGCTTAGGCTGCTCGCTGCTCAAAAACACACATCTATTCACACCCTACACTTCTCCAAACCTAATTTTTTTATTCTCTATTTTGACTGAAATAGTCCCATTGAAGAATCGTGCAAGCTGGGATCAGTTCAGTTATTTCCCCTTCTCTACTTCACCACAAATGATAGTTACTAAGCTTTATACCTATTGCCTCCATAATAATGCTTCAATCTGTTTCCCTTGCTATTGTTTGAGCTCCCTGAAGCTGCTGTCTGATCTTTGCAACAGTCTTTGGACTAGTCTTTCTGTTCCTGTGGTTTCACTTTGAGTGACCTTCCCTGACTTAGGTGGCCTGCCATGGAAAGCTCTATTGGAAGAGCTGTTTTAGGTGGCGCAGCTCTTACCTAGTTCAAAGCAGCTAGGTCTGCTGTGTTTTGTGCCTCCCACAGAATATCTGATGTTTCATTAATATTTGTTGATTAAATACGTGAATTCCCATTTTCTTTGTCAATTTATAAGGCTCTTCAACATATTATTTAAAAAGATGTCATTTTCACAATAAATTTTGGAGTAGGAATACAAACCCATCTTTATTTTATAGATAAGGATAAGTGGTTTTCCCAGTTATGAAGTGAATTGCAGAAATAGAATTAAGCCCAGATTTTTCTGATTCATAATTAGATTCTCTTAAATCTCTGTCAGAAAAAACCCCAGATCTATTTCTGCTCTACACCCCTACAAATAACCCGTTCTCTGATTTGTTAGAGTTTATTAGTAAAAGCCACTGTGTAATGCTACCGGTATTAATATGTATCTGTAATTAGGTGTCACCTTGGAGGTTTCTGGGTCACCAACTACTCATATCAAGCCCCTAAAGTCCTCAGGCATTTTTTGATTAGAGTCTTTTTTTTTTTTTTACTATAATTTTATGGACATAAACTAGAACATAAGTTTAGTTTCCAGAAGTATCCCAGATCATTAAGGCGTGTTCAACATCAATGCTTACATTTATTAGTAGGGGTATTAAGAATGGAATTGCATATTCATTTCACATGGCTGAGAAAGAACTCAGTCACAAGAAATTTAGGTTATGACGTTTGTTTTTCTGTTTCAACTCTCTATTGGCATTTTGCTCTTTGATTCCTGCTGCTAATTCTATTCTAGGCCTGCAAGATTATTCTGTGCCCATCCCATTTATGGACTGCAAACTTACTTGATTCCTGATAGCAGAGTTGAGATATAGGTAAAAGCCATTTTCAAAATGAGCTTTATTAAATATTAAATAATATAATATCAAATATATTTTATGACATTCTTATGCATTTGTTTATATATAATATAAATGTACACAAGTATATTTTAATATATTTGTGTATGTATATTTTATAAATATAAATATTGTTTTGTATATTATAAAAGATACATATAAATATGTATAAATATAAACGGATAAATTTATATATGTATATAAATTTATATATGTTGAAATAAATTATATACATATAAATATATTTCATAATATACATGTTAAGTGTATCAAATAAGAAATACAGAAAATAGAAATACATGATAGCATTTTCCTATCAGAATGAGTAAGAAGTAATTTATCTTAATGTAAAAGGTAGGATTTAGAGTAGATTATGATTCTGTCAATTAAAGAACACATGACTTTGGACAATTTGGTTAACTCTGTATGCCTGTTTTCCTTTGTCATTAGAAATAACCATCTTTTTAGTGACGGACTACTTTTTATCATTAGAAAGTATTATAGAGCTGTGGTGAGGACTGCTATAATAATTAATTTAAAGCCCCTACCTTAGTTCCTGGTATATGCATAATAATAATTATGTTAATGGAAAAAAAAACAAATTCTGTAAAACATTTTAAAGAGGTTTATTCTGAGCCAATATGAGTGACCACGGCCCAGCAAAGATAGTCTGGAACAGTCCTGAGGGAGTGTCCCTAAGGAGTTCTGGTTAGAGTTTGGTTTTATACATTTTAGCAAGACAAAAACGGTGGGTAAAATTACAAATCAATCCGTAGAAGGTATACATTGGTCCAGTCTAAAGAGGCGGTATATCTTGAAGAGGAAGCTTATAGATCATAGGTGGATTCAAAGATTTTCTGACTGGCAGTAGTTTGGAAGCGTTAAGCTTTGACTAAAGACTTAAAAGTCAGTAGCAAGGATCAAGATAAGGGGGTTATGGAGAAAAAGACTCGCTATGCAGATGAAGCCTCAGAGGTGGCAGCCCTCAGACAGAATAGATGGTAAAATACCTCTTTAAAGATGCCAGATTCTCAGCCGGGCGCGGTGGCTCACGCCTGTAATCCTAGCACTTTGGGAGGCCGAGGCGGGCGGATCACGAGGTCAAGAGATGGAGACCATCCTGGCCAACATCGTGAAACCCCTCAGTCTCTACTAAAAATGCAAAAATTAGCTGGGCACGCACCTGTAATCCCAGCTGCTGGAGAGACTGGGGCAGGAGAATCGCTTGAACCCGAGAGGCGGAGCTTGCAGTGAGACGAGATCCCGCCACCGCACACCAGCCTGGCGACAGAGCAAGGCTCTGCGTCAGAAAAAAAAAAAAGAAAAGATGTCAGATTCTCAGTTCATTTCTCCTAGGTCTGGGAAAGGCCTAGAAAGGGAAGGCTTGGCCTTCTACATTAATGGAGAGAGTTTTCAGATGCAAATTTCCGCCATAAAAATGACTTTGCAGGGCCTTTTCAGAATGTGTTGAAGAAATACAATTTGGGGTAAAATATTCCGATTTTCCTTCAGGATCTGCTATCTGTCATGTGATGCTGTGCCAGAGTAAGGTTGGAAAGTAAACCATGTAATATTAAAAACCTTGTTTAACAAGCTTTTATGGTTTGTAGTGTTTGGCTCAACCCTTGCCTTGCATAGTCTTGGGTCTTGATTACAATTTTGTATCTCATATCGAGCCCCTAAAATCCTCAGGCATTTTTTTGATCAGTCTTTTTTTTTTTATAACCTATCATTTTATGGACATAAACTAGAACATAAGTTTAGTTTCCAGAAGTATCCCAGATCATTAAGGCGTGTTCAACATCAGTGTTTACATTTATTAGTAGGAGTATCAAGACTGCCACAAAGAGTCTATTTTGTGAGTCTTAAAATCTCTGTTTTAATATTAATGCTGGTCAGTTATGCTCAAACTCCAAAAGACAGAGTATAGTGAGGCGTGTCTGACCTGCCTGTCTGTCATGGCTGAGAATTAAGTTGTTTAGGTTTTTCGGGGGTCCCCTTGGCTGGGAGTAGATCTGGTCAGTCAGCTGTGGGGCCTAGGATTTTATTTTTCATTTGTAATTACTGTATTGGTAGGAGACTGACAAGAATGTGAAGAGCTCAGAAACTGATGAACTAAAATGACAGAAACAAAGACATTGAATAAATATGGCTAAACCTTGGGGCTAACTTTTCAATAAGCAAAGCCATCATACATGGAAATGGTTTTTATAATACAGTGGGTAGCCAATAGCTGGAAGGGTTTAGGTAGGGGCATTATTATGATTGTGGGAAGTGGAACTACAGAGAAAATTCTTTTAATCAGGTGGATAGATTAGTAAGATGACATTTTGAGATTCCTTTCAAGCCCAATATTATTTGATTTTAAAGCTGAGATCCTCACTACCTGGGGTAACAGTTAAGTCTCTTAGTGATTGGTGTCAGCGTGTGATTGAATGTAACATCCTCTCAGAGTCTTAATGGAGAACAGATTTAACCAGAGTTGGGGAGAGCTCAGTGGAGCTGGGGGATTACTCCACAGAGTAACCAAGATGAAGGTATCCATCAGAAGGAGGCCCTTCGTTCCTTAGAGAGGGGTGGTAAAAGTTGCTGAAAACTAACTTTGCCTAATTTGCTTGGGTGAGCCTTTGTTTTGTCCCAGTTACATTTAATTAGAATATCTAAATTAGTCATGGTGCTTGAGAAATCTCAGCTTTTGAAATATAATCGTTGGTAAGTGTTGTCTCTATACGCTATTTCCTATCTCCTAGTAGCCCTTTATTTTTTTCTCTTTGCTGAAAGAGAATCTGCTATTTTAGCAATTTGATGAGATTTTCAAATTTCAGAAGGTTATGGAAGTTCAGGAATCTGTAATTTAGATTGAGAAAGTGCAAGGAGAACAGGCAGTTGAGTTTTCTCACATTTAGGGTCAGTTCGCTTTATGGTGATTGCAAAATGAAGACTGGTTTTGAAGCAGCCACCAGGGCCCTCTGTGGAATTCTGAGTAGACCTCGTTCAATAAAAGCCAGCTAAGTCCATTGGGACTCTTAGGCAATCTATTATTTGTCCATAGATGAAAGTTGGTGGACAGTTAGCTGTGGACTAACTTTAAGGTGAGTCTACTCACATTTGAAAGGGAGTACTGGGCATATTTATTGAGCACCTATTATGATATTATGTGCTAGTTCAAAAAGACACTTTGGTGTGAAAGTTTCCTTATTAAAATTTTATTTGATTGTTAGTAGTGGTATTACATAACATAACATAAAATTTACCATCTTTAAATTTTTTAAGTGTACAGCTCAATATTGTTAAGTACATTTGCGTAGTTGTGTAACCAATTTCCGGAACTCTTTTCCATCTTGAAAAATGAATATTCTATAAGCATTAAACAGTAACTCCCAATTTCCTACCCCCGACCAGGCCCTAGCAAGCACCACTCTATTTTTTGTCTTTATGAATTTGTCTACTCTAAGTACTTCGTATGCATGGAATCATACAGTATTTGCCTTTTTGACTAGTTTCCCTTGGTGTCATGTCCTCAGGGTTCATCCATGTTGCTGCATGTGTCAGAATTTCTTTCCGTCTTCAGGCTGAATAGTACTCCGTTGTATGTATATACCACATTTGGTCTATTCATTTGTCTGTCGATGGACACGTAGACTGCTTCTTCCTTTTGGCAACTGTGATAACCCTGCTATGGACATGGATGTGCAAATAACAAGGTTAGTCTTAGACACACGTGGACAGAAAAGCTTATTGTGCAATTTCATAAAAAGAACATGAAAAGAACTTTCATGAAACACCACTGATGGGACTTTTCGTAAGATGTCTTATTTCACTCAATCCCCACCTCAACTTTAAGAGGTAGTGTGTTAGTCTTATGAGAGGAAGCAGTTTGTGTGTGTGTTTGTGTATGTGTGTGCACACGTGTGTTTTTTGGGGGAGTGATAAATAGTATCTTGAGTCACATTGCCTGGATTTCCATTTCATCTCCACTACTTACCATCTGTGTGAACTTAGGAAAATTACTTAACTTCTGTGTCTCAGTTTTCTCATGGGAATGATAACTGTTTAGAGTATTAAATCAGCTTATGCATGTAAATATTTCAAAACAGTATCTATACTAAGCACTCATTGATATTCATTATTATTATGAGATTTCCTTCCTTCTTGTCTTCCTTCCTCTTTCCCCCACTAATTCTCTCCCTCTCTCTTTTGCTTTTTTTCTTGTACAAGTGAAGAACTTGAAGCCTAAATGACATGGTTTGGTGAAGATCATGTAGTTATTGATTGACAAAACCAGGATTTGAATTAAGCTTTTATGAGTCTAATGAGAAAGCTCTTTCTGGAATTTCATTGCTCCTTCTCCTGGTTAACAAATAATAAAGCTCACTTTGAAATCCAAATTATTGCGTGTGGACTTAATTAATTGGTATGTTATTTAGTAAATGTTTATTGAGTATCTACTATGTGTCAGTCACTATGTTAAGTATAGGGAATGCCTTTGTAGACTAGGAAAAAGCAAGCGAATATCTTAAATAATAGGGTGTAAGAAAGAAAAATAAATCAAGTAAGAAGCAATTCCAGAAATATATGAGATTTAAAAGAGTTAAAAGCCCCTTATTATAGGGAAAGTCTTACTAAGTTTTAGGTAATTGTTATAAGAGCTGGTTTTCCTTGCATCACAAAAACACATCTGTGTATTTTGATCTTGTTTCCATTCTTACCACCTCCTCCCCTCAACTCAACACTACTTCAATGTTTGAAAGAAAATAATTTGCACAATCATTGCTTCTGGTTGCTCAGAGCTTTGTCTCATGGTGAGAGGTGATAAATGGAGAACAGTGAGAAGGAAAACAATTCTTTTCTAAACTTTGCTCTTCCCTTAACCCTTCAATGCCCAACGCTGCTTAATTCACCAACTAGCACCTACCCTACTAACTTAAATTCCCAGGGCAAATCCCCAAAGCCTCACTTTATTTGTATTTTCTTTACTAAGCAAGGAGCTTGCCAGCTTGAGGTGCCTGTGTGATATGTAAATGATACCCTGAATTGTTTTTTATATTCCACTTGGCACTGGAAAGGCAGTTTCAGGACTGTCATCTTTGCTGAAAGATATCAAACCTCATATGTCAAGGAAGATTCTCAATTTTAATTCCAAAAAGCTGGATATTTGCTTCCTAGCTCTGCTGATTTACATCAGTTTGTTTGATTTATCTGCAATGATGTAAAGGCCGCTGCTGCTTTTTTCACCTTACAGAATCTGAGGTTAATGAGTCTTCAAGGACATAAGTACTTGAAGATGTTCTGTGTGTAGTTGAAGCTGTGGAAGCTCAAGTGCATAGAACACTAATGTAGCAAATTTGGTGATGGGAACTTGGTGGGGACATGCCTGGTAAGGTAAAATGAAGAAGTTAACAGCTTCATCTCTCTTTTCTACTGAAGTCTGGAGGGAGAGCTCTGCTATACAGAACTCTAAATCAGAAAATGTCCTCCCTTGTGAAAAAGGGAACCCCAATCTGGGTTAGGGTCCCGAGAAATTCTCTTGCAGATGTGATTCCTGGGCTGTCTTAGCCTAGTTCCCATGCCTGGGACCCAATCGTGCTTTTTGGCCTTTGCAAACATGGAGTCCCACACTTTTTAGGAAGATGATCTTGGAAAAGGAAAGGCAGTCCAAGTTGGACCTGCTGCAGGAAGGCTATAATGACTCCCATCTCTCTTGAAACTCCCTATATGCATAGGCTACATATACATAGGCTAATCTTTCCAGATATAATAATTCCTCATGACAGGAATTCCTGGGCTACCTTAGCCTGGTTCCCATGCCCGGGACCCATTTGTGCTGGTTGGCCTTTGCAACCATGGAGTCCCACACTCTTTAGGAAGATGATCTTGGAAAAGGAAAGGCACTCCAAATTGGACCTGCTGCAGGAAGGCTGTAATGACTCCCATCGCTCTTGAAACTCCTTTTAGACTTCTCCTTTCCAAAGTGGGGCATGTGGTTGGTACCCAAATAACTTTCAATTCTCAATAAACTGGGCCTAAACAGTTGCATCTCCTACTAGGCCTTTTCCTTGTCTCAGAACTGCATCTGGCTTTTGCCTTTGCACCAGTCACTGAGGACTTATTTAACTACAACTTTGAGGTCATCAGACCAAGGGCAATGTTCTTTAAAGGCTTTCTTGAAAGTTCCTCTGAGGCTGCTGTGAAGAATCTCTTCTTGCAACACACATTGACCTATCTCGTCTGGCACATACATTATATGGGGAATACAGGCACTCTTTGTGTAGCTGTCTGGTGGTGTAAGGGCCTGTAGTGAAAACCTTCTAAATCCACTAAAATTAGGGGCAATGTCTTTACACCTCTAAGAGAGTTTCTTAGATGGAGAAGACAAACACTCATGATGTGGCATTAAGGCGACAAAATATGTAAAAGGTCTTGTATTAGTCTGTTCTCTCATTGCTACAAAGAAATACCTGAGACTGGGTAATTTATAATGAAAAGAGGTTTAATTGGCTTACGGTTCCTTAGGGTGTACAGGGAGCATGGCAGCATCTGCTTCTGGAGGGGCCTCAGGTAACTTTCACTCATGGCAGAAGGCAAAGTGGGAGAAGGTACCTTGCATGACAGGGGCAGGACCAAGAAAGAGGAGGCAGATGCTGCATACTTTTAAACAAACAGATCTTGTAAGAACTCTATCACTAGAACAGCACTAGGGAGATGGTACTAAACCATTAGAAGCCTCGCCCATGATCCAATCATCTCCCACCAGGCCCCACTTCCAGCATTGGGGATTACATTTCAACATGAGATTGGGGTGGGGACACAGATCCAACCCATATCAGGTCTCTAATATCAGAGAGACTAACATCTCGCATTGCAGGTGTCGTCCTTGCCTACCTCTAATTGTGTGAATCTTTCCTTAGAGCTGTTGGTGATGTTGCAAGACTGCTTGGGGATATTGCCACAGGGTCTTTCACCATGGTTAACTGTTTCCAATGGTGGCCTTGTACATGGATAGAACAGACAAGAGATCTTGGGGCAAATGTGGTGAACCACTTATCTCCAACACATATAAAAGATTATTTTCATAAATACCATATATTACATGTTGATAGCAGGCTTGTGGGTGCACATTGATTATATATACCCCCTCTGTGTCTCAGAAGATCCTTAAAATAAAAATTAGCAGGACTAACATTTTTTAAAAATTATATCATTCAAAACATTGGTAATTGAACAATTTTAAAACATTTTCTGAATTCTTCACAGATGAATGTGATTTCACTATAATTGTTGAGAAATATTGGTGAGAGGAACACTTATTTTTCTTCTAAGAGCCAAGAATTAGGACATAGATTTGGTATGTGTGTGTGTGTGTGTGTGTGTGTGTGTGTGTGTGGCATTTAGGTGTTTTTTGTTTGTTTTTTGAGATGGCATCTCACTCTGTTACCCAGGCTGGAGCATAGTGGCACAATCTCAGCTCCTCAGCTCACTGCACTTCCGCCTCCCAGGTTCAAGTGATTCTCCTGCCTCAGCCTCCCAAGTAGCTGGGATTACAGGCACCCGTCCCCACACCTGGCTAATTTTTGTATTTTTAGTAGAGATGGGGGTTTCACTATGTTGGCTAGGCTGGTGAACTCCTGACCTCAAGTGATCTACCTGCCTCGGCCTCTCAGAATGCTGGGATTACAGGCCTGAACCACTGTGCCTGGCTGGTATGTTGTTTTCAAAGTTAGGAACAAATGCTAGGTGGGAGTATAGTCCAACTGAATTTAATATATATAGACGTGCTCTAGAATTGATGGTCACTCTGGTCTTCTTGCATTGGTATCCGGACATACAAAAATAAAACTCTTCAATCTGGAAAACAGAATATTTATAGCTATAGTTGCATCCAGAGGGGCTGCTGCTGTTTAAGATTTTAGCCTCAAATTCAAAGTTAATATGAAGTCATTTCAAAAAAAGAACTGCTGTGAAGATCCGCTGCACTCCCAGGTGGTCATTTCTAAAAAGCCAGCAGCAATACTGCTTTAAGACTGTGCTTCAGGAACTCATGAGTTATTTCTTCCCTCCCCTGCTGGTGGAGGCTGTAGAATGCCCAGTGGGTCCTCTGTTTGGACAGCGGAGAATGGTTGCTCTGAAAAGAGCTATGAGAGCCACATGCACTCCTGGGCTGGGGTTGGTCACCGGGAATCACTGTCCAGAGTTTAGTGCCATTTGTAGGCAACACCAGGAAATCAAGAACACATAGTTGTTCCTTATGGGGTTTATCCTCTGTGGTTTATTTAACTACATCATAGATAAATAGCTGGATAGATACACACACAAAACACACACACATACATATGTATGTATATACATGATTTAGTCAAAAACATAATATGTAGTTGAGCTAAATTATATAATTATATATAACATATATAATGATTTTGTATATATTATATATTATTTAAAATGATTGTACACATATTATTTTTCAGCTTGACCATTATAGAGACCCAAACTGAACTCAGTGCTTTATCAGTTGTCTGACCAATGACCAATACTTTCTTTCAAAGCAGTACTTCTGTTGTTGCAGCCAAGCCTCATATTTGTTTAAAAATAATAGTACCATATTACTGATGCCAACTGGGATTCTATATGAGTTCTGGGTCTTATACAATATATTCACAATTTTACACCATCCTTAGGATTCTCTGATATAAATATCTTACTCTTTCTTTGACAAACACTTCGTATATAGCAAACAATTTGTACATATAACTTGACAAGTTAACACTTAAGGAGCCAAAGAGTAAGGATTCACTTGGCTTAGCCTGCCTGATGTCCAGTTGTAAGTTATACCTTCTAATTTCCCTGATTTATCACCAAGGTAATCAGCAAATGTCTACCACCATAACAAAGTGTTAGCCTCATGCTGTCAACTACCTAGAGCAATAAAGGAAGGACTGAGATCATTTATTGAGAAAGCAGGTATCAGATGGAGCTGGAGTAACTAAAAAAGTTCATGACAAGCAAGCCCCAGGTGATCAGAAGGGGTGAAGCTTCTGAGCAAATTTGATAGAGAAAAATGAGAGTATTCACTCAGTAAGCCTTGCACCCAAATGGCCTTTGCGAACTCCCAGAAACTTTACAGTTAGGACTGAATTTATTGCTATAAGCATAGAAGGTGGTGTGAATGATATTATTTGCATATTTAAAAAGGATAAAGCCAGAAACCTGTAACCTTTGTCATAGATATTTGGTTTATGAGGTGACGTGGCTGGAATAAGATGCTGGACACTCACTGGCTTTATCTAAAGATTATATGGCCAGTGACTTGGCAAGAAAAGTAAAAACATACCTATAGCAGATGTTAAAAAAAACTCAAATGCCTGCAGTGGCCAGCAGGCCATATAAGTGTATAAACTGAATCAGGTCTATAAAAAGCAACAGCAGAAGCTTGATAATAAATGGATGCTGGCCTCAGCCTCAGTAGGAAGGTGGTAGTAGCTAGTATTGAGGACCCCCTGGAGTGCACAGCCCTCCTCCTCCTTCTAAAGGGGCAGCTTCTCCAACAGAGTGGTCCCTTGCGGGAAAGAAAACCTGTCATGGCTAGCCATTTAAACTTTTCAGTTGAGCCAAAAATCCAGATTTTTATGTGATTTATCAATAATTATCAGTTGTTGTCAACTGATTTAATTTTAAAAAAGAGAGAAAAAAGAAAAAAACAGTTAAAAAAAAAAAAAAAGCTATGAAAAATATGCCCCATGGGAAGAGCATATAACTCTTCGGTCATTTGCACTTGGCTTCCGGGGATCCAGATTGCCCTCTCGATCAGAGCGAGCACACGTGCATCCTCCAGGCCCAGGTAAGGCTGAGTGAGAAGAACTAGAGAGCCAAACAGTGGCAAGATGTGGCTGGGTATTTGAAGGAGAATTAATAGGCATTGGAATTGAACATTGCCCCTATATAATTTTCTTTAGATCTAGCCCAGATGGCTATAGATTACTATATTAATAAACTAAATAAACCATGAAAGTCAATCATTTCCAACCATCTACACTGCCACTTAAATGCTCAAGGAGAAAACAAATTTTGAGCTGGGAGTAAAGGTGAGTGATCACTTACTGGGTATGAACACCTTCATTCCTTTTATCAGAGCATTTGTCTAGCAATAAAGAGAATGCTTTTCCTTTTTTTTTTAAGTTTAGGGGTACATATGTAGGGTTGTTGTATATGTAAAGTTGTGTCATGGGGTTATGTTGTATAGATTGTTTTGTCACCCAGGTGTTAAGCCTAGTACCCATTACTTATTTTTCCTGATCCTCTCCTTCCTCCCACCCTCCACTCTCCAGTAGCCCCTGTGTCTGCTGTTCTCCTCTATGTGTTCTTGTGAAGAGAATGCTTCTCTAGCACGAGTTCAATATGATGTAAGTTCTGCTGCCCATTATTGATAAAACTATTTTTCTTTAAAGAGTATCCAGAGATACCTTTTGGTTTAATTTGTCTCTCTTGTATCTTGCTTTTCTCTCTAACTCTGGCTACCCTCACTTCAAGCTGGGAATTTGAACTGGATCGGCTAAATACTTTATCAGTAGGAAGAAAACTCTCTTTACAGACTGAAAATCATTCTGCACAGAAGCACATATGCGCATACTCACACACACACAGATGCCTTCAAGTGAGGATGCCTGAAGTAATTAAAGGTAATGTGTATCAAGCGTTAATTACAAAATCACTGTGCTCTTCTGAATTGTACACAATTATCAGAGAAGCAGCACAAATATCATCATGCCACAAGGCTGCATTTCCTACCATGAGCTTTAACAATTTATTTTCAGAACTTCACTTATCCATTAGTTATGCATGCATCTCTACACATTCCCTATATGCCTGGATTATTAGGTATACGCCATATCATGAAGGCTGTGAAAGTGATTACAAGAAAGTCAAAGATACCCAGATAGGATCTTTCCTCAGAACCATTTACTTATGCACATTCACCCACATTTGTAAACATAATATTGCAGCAAAAGGCTTGGGCTCCAGTCATTCAGAGTAGCCACACTGCCCAGGAATATATAACTTTATGTACTTTTTTTTTTTATCATGGAACATAAGGGACTATTCATTCTGTAAATCCAGATCTTGTAATTTCAGTGTCTGATATAAGTCAGACTACTGGAAAGAAAGAAATTTAATTAAAATTAGAAAGGAAAAAAAAAAACCTTTTATGATTCTTCCAGTCCTACATTTTTTATTATCAGATGCTTTGGCACTGTTTGTTCCAGGTGCTAGAAGGATGAGTGACACTGACAATCTGAAACATTTGTTAGTGAATTGATAGATGTTTGAAGTACATCTCCATTGCTGAAGAAAGGATCCTGAATCTGGGATCTCAACCTAAAATGGATACACCTTCCTGGCCTCTATCTAAACTTTCAGGGCTGTTTCACAGGGAACTAAATAATAAATATTTAATAAATGATTGTGTTTGGCATAACTGGATTGAGTGTCCTCAAAGAAAACTAATATTTTAGGATCTAGGAAATATACAACAGCAGAAATGGAAATAGAAAATACTACATATAATTTAAAAAGACAAGAATATTTGAGGTTTTGAATGGCTCTTGGATACTTGTCATCTGACCTAAAGCTTCCACATAATTATTGTTAGGTATTCATTGCAACAGATTTCACATGTACAAAACATCTTTATAGGTAAATACAAAAAAGTGAAACTCAGTGTTTACTGGTATTCCACCCCAGTGGCTCTCAAACTGTATGTGCATCAGAATCATCTGAAAGCCTTATTTAAGCACCACTAATCTTTGGGTTCTACCTCCACAATTTCTGATTCAATAGGTCTGGGGTGGCATAGAGAATTTCAATTTTGGGGGGAGGTTCCAAGATAGCCAAATAGGAACAGCTCCAGACTACAGCTCCCAGGGTGAGTAACGCAGAAGATGGGTGATTTCTGCATTTCCAACTGAGGTAACAGGTTCATCTCACTGGGTCTTGTCAGACAGTGGGTGCAGGAGAGTGGGTGCAGCCCACAGACTATGAGCCGAAGCAGGGCGAGGCATCGCCTCACCTGGGAAGCGCAAGGGGTCAGGGAATTCCCTTTCCTAGCCAAGGGAAGCTGTGACAGACGGCACCTGGAAAATTGGGTCACTCCAACCCTGATACTGCACTTTTCCAAGAGTCTTAGCAAAGGGCACACCAGGAGGTTATATCCCGCACCTGGCTCGGAGGGTCCCATGCCCACAGAGCCTTGCTCACTGCTAGCACAGCAGTCTGAGATCGAACTGCAAGGTGGCAGTGGGGCTGGGGGAGGGGCACCCACCATTGCTGAGGCTTGAGTAGGTAAACAAAGTGGCTGGGAAGCTCGAACTGGGTGGAGTCCACCGCAGCTCAAGGAGGCCTGCCTGCCTCTGTAGACTCCACCTCTGGGGGCAGGGCATAGCTGAACAAAAGGCAGCAGAAACTTTTGCAGACTTAAACATCCCTGTCTGACAGCTTTGAAGAGAGTACTGGTTCTCCCAGCATGGAGTTTGAGATCTGAGAACGGACAGACTGCCTCCTCAAGTGGGTCCCTGACCGCCGAGTAGACTGACTGGGAGGCACCTCCCAGTAGGGGCCAACTGACACATCATACGGCCAGGTACCCCTCTGAGACGAAGCTTCCAGAGGAACGACCAGGAAGCAACATTTGCCATTCTGCAATATTTGCGGTTCTGCAGCCTCTGCAGGTGATACCCAGGCAAACAGGGCCTGGAGTGGACCTCCAGCAAACTCCAACAGACCTGCAGGTGAGGGTCCTGACTATTAGAAGGAAAACTAAGAAACAGAAAAGACATCCACACCAAAACCCCATCTGTACGTCACCATCATCAAAGACCAAAGGTAGATAAAACCACAAAGATGGGGAGAAACCAGAGCAGAAAAGCTGAAAATTCTAAAAATCAGAGCATCTCTTCTCCTCCAAAGGAACGCAGCTTCTTGCCAGCAACGGAATAAAGCTGGACGGAGAATGACTTTGACGAGTTGAGAGAAGAAGGCTTCAGAAGATTGGCAATAACAAACTTCTCCGAGCTAAAGGAGGATGTTTAAACCCATCGCAAAGAAGCTAAAAACCTTAAAAAAAGATTGGATGAATGGCTAACTAGAATCAACAGCATAGAGAAGACATTAAATTACCTGATGGAGCTGAAAACCATGCCACGAGAACTATGTGACGCATGCAGAAGCTTCAGTTAGCCGATTCGATCAACTGGAAGAAAGGGAATCAGTGATTGAAGATCAAGTGAATGAAATGCAGCGAGAAGAGAAGTTTAGAGAAAAAAGAGTAAAAAGAAATAAAGCCTTCAAGAAATATGGGACTATGTGAAAAGACCAAATCTACGTCTGACTGGTGTACCTGAAAGTGATGGGGAGAATGGAATCAAGTTGGAAAACACTCTGCAGGGTATTATCCAGGAGAACTTCCCCAACCTAGCAAGGCAGGCCAACATTCAAATTTAGGAAATACAGAGAACACCACAAAGATACTCCTCGAGAAGAGCAACTCCAAGACACATAATTGTCAGATTCACCAAAGTTGAAATGAAGGAAAAAATGTTAAGGGTCGCCAGAGAGAAAGGTTGGGTTACCCACAAAGGGAAGCCCATCAGACTAACAGCAGATCTCTTGGCAGAAACTCTACAAGTCAGAAGAGAGTGGGGGCCAATATTCAACATTCTTAAAGAAAAGAATTTTCAACCCAGAATTTCATATCAAGCCAAACTAAGCTTCATAAGTGAAGGAGACATAAAATCCTTTACAGACAAGCAAATGCTGAGAGGTTGTGTCACCACCAGGCCTGTCTCAAAAGAGCTCCTGAAGGAAGCACTAAACATGGAAAGGAATGACTGATACCAGCCACTGCAAAAACATGCCAAATTGTAAAGACCATTGATGCTAAGAAGAAACTGCATCAACTAATGAGCAAAATAACCAGCTAACATCATAATGACAGGATCAAATTCACACGTAACAATATTAACCTTAAATGTAAATGGGCTAAATGCTCCTATTAAAAGACACAGAGTGGCAAATTGGTTAAAGAGTCAAGACCCATTAGTGTGCTGTATTCAGGAGACCCATCTCCCGTGCAGAGACACACATAGGTTCAAAATAAAGGGATGGAGGAAGACCTACCGAGCAAATGGAAAACAAAAAAAAGCAGGGGTTGCAATCCTAGTCTCTGATGAAACAGACTTTAAACCAACAAATATCAAAAGAGACAAAGAAGGCCACTACATAATGATAAAGGGATCAATTCAACAAGAAGAGCTAACTATCCTAAATATATATGCACCCGATACAGGAGCACCCAGATTCATAAAGCAAGTCCTTAGAGGCCTACAAAGAGACTTAGACTCCCACACAATAATAATGGGAGACTTTAACACCCCACTGTCAACATTACACAGATCCATGAGACAGAGTTAACAAGGATATCCAGGAATTGAACTCAGTTCTGCACCAAGTGGACCTAATAGACATCTACAAAACTCTCCACCCCAAATCAACAGAATATATATACTTCTCAGCACCACATCACACTTATTCCAAAATTGACCACATAGCTGGAAGTAAAGCTCTCCTCAGCAAATGTAACAAACAGAAATTATAACAAACTGTCTCTCAGACCACAGTGCAATCATACTAGAACTCAGGATTAAGAAACTCACTCAAAACTGCTCTACTACATGGAAACTGAACAACCTGCTCCTGAGTGACTACTGGGTACATAATGAAATGAAGGCAGAAATAAAGATGTTCTTTCAAAGCAATGAGAACAAAGACTCAACATACCAGAATCTCTGGCACACATTTAAAGCAGGGTGTAGAGGGAAATTTAGAGCACTAAATGCCCAGAAGAGAAAGCAGGAAAGATCTGAAATTGACACTCTAACATCACAATTAGAAGAACTAGAGAAGCAAGAGCAAACACATTCAAAAGCTAGCAGAAGGCAAGAAATAAATAAGATCAGAGCAGAACTGAAGGAGATAGAGACTCTTCAAAACTCTTCAAAAAATCAATAAATCCAGGAGCTGTTTTTTTGAAAAGATCAACAAAATTGATAGACTGCTAGCAAGACTAATAAAGAAGAAAAGAGAGAAGAATCAAATAGACGCAATAAAAAATGATAAAGGGGATATCACCACCGATCCCACAGAAATACAAACTACCATCAGAGAATATTATAAACACCTCTACGCAAATAAACTAGAAAATCTAGAAGAAATGGATAAATACCTCGACGCATACACCCTCCCAAGACTAAACCAGAAAGAAGTTGAATCCCTGAATAGACCAATAACAGGCACTGAAATTTAGGCAATAATTAAGAGCCTACCAAAAAAAGTCCAGGACCAGACGGATTCATAGTCAAATTCTACCAGAGGTACAAAGAGGAGCTGGTACCATTCCTTCTGAAACTATTCCAATCAATAGAAAAAGAGGGAATCATCCCTAACTCATTTTATGAGGCCAGCATCGTCCTGATACCAAAGCCTGGCAGAGACACAACAAAAAAAGAGAATTTTAGACCAATAACCCTGATGAACATCAATGCAAACATCCTCAATAAAATACTGGCAAACCGAATCCAGCTGCACATCAAAAAGCTTATCCACCATGATCAAGTGGGCTTCATCCGTGGGATACAAGGCTGTTTCAACATACACAAATCAGTAAATGTAATCCATCACATAAACAGAACCAAAGACATGATTATCTCAATAGATGCAGAAAAGGCCTTCAACAAAATTCAACAGCCCTTCACGCTAAAAACTCTCAATAAACTAGGTATTGATGGGATGTATCTCAAAATAATGAAGGCTATTTATGACAAACCCACAGCCAATATCATACTGAATGGGCAAAACTGGCAGCATTCCCTTTGAAAACTGGCACAAGACAGGGATGACCTCTGTCACCACCCCTATTCAACATAACATTGGAAGTTCTGGCCAGGGCAATCAGGCAGGAGAAAGAAATAAATGGTATTCACATAGGAAAAGAGGAAGTCAAATTGTCCCTGTTTGCAGATGACATGATTGTATATTTAGAAAACCCCATCATCTCTGCCCAAAATCTCCTTAAGCTGATAAGCAACTTCAGCAAAGTCTCAGGATACAAAATCAATGTGCAAAAATCACAAGCATTCCTATACACCAATAACAGACAAACAGAGAGCCAAATCATGGGAGAACTTCCATTCACAATTGCTTCAAAGAGGATAAAATACCTAGGAATCCAACTTACAAGGGATGTGAAGGACCTCTTCAAGGAGAACTACAAACCACTGCCAACGAAATAAAAGAGGACACAAACAAATGGAAGAACATTCCATGCTCATGGATAGGAAGAAACAACATTGTGAAAATGGCCATACTGCCCAAAGTAATTTATAGATTCAATGCCATCCCCATCAAGCTACCAATGACTTTCTTCACAGAATTGGAAAAATCTACTTTAAAGTTCATATGGAACCAAAAAAGAGCCTGCATTGCTAAGACAATCCTAAGCCAAAAGAACAAAGCTAGAGGCATCATGCTACCTGACTTCAAACTACACTACAAGGCTACGGTAACCAAAACAGCGTGGTACTTATACCAAAACAGAGATATAGACCAATGGAACAGAACAGAGCCCTCAGAAATAATACCATACATCTACACCCATCTGATCTTTGACAAACCTGACAAAAACAAGAAACGGGGAAAGGATTCCCTATTTAATAAATGGTTCTGGGAAAACTGGCTAGCTATATGTAGAAAGCTGAAACTGGATCTGTTCCTTACACCTTATACAAAAATTAATTCAAGATGGATTAAAGACTTAAATGTCAGACCTAAAACCATAAAAACCCTAGAAGAAAACCTAGGCAATACCATTCAGGACATAGGCATGGGCAAGGACTTCATGTCTAAAACACCAAAAGCAATAGCAACAAAAGCCAAAATTGACAAATGGGATGTAATTAAACTGAAGAACTTCTGCACAGAAAGAGAAACTACCATCAGAGTGAACAGGCAACCTAGAGAATGGGAGAAAATTTTTGCAATCTACCCATCTGACAAAGGGCTAATATCCAGAAACTACAAAGAACTTAAACAAATTTACAAGAAAAAATCAAACAACTCCATCAAAAAGTGGGCAAAGGATATGAATAGGCACTTCTCAAAAGAAGACATTTATGCAGCCAAGAGACACATGGAAAAATGCTCATCATCACTGGCCATCAGAGAAATGCAAATCAAAACCACAATGAGATACCATCTCACACCAGCTAGAATGGCCATCATTAAAAAGTCAGGAAACAACAGGTGCTGGAGAGGATGTGGAGAAATAGGAACACTTTTGCACTGTTGGTGGGAGTGTAAACTATTTCAACCATTGTGGAAGACAGTGTGGCGATTGCTCAGGGATCTAGAACTAGAAATACTATTTGACCCAGTCATCCCATTATTGGGTGTATACCCAAAGGATTATAAATCATGCTGCTATAAAGACACATGCACACGTATGTTTATTGCTGCACTATTCACAATAGCAAAGACTTGGAACTAACCCAAATGTCCAACAATGATAAACTGGATTAAGAAAATGTGGCACCATGGAATACTATGCAGCCATAAAAAAGGATGAGTTCATGTCCTTTGTAGGGACATGGATGAAGCTGGAAACCATCATTCTGAGCAAACTATCGCAAGGACGGAAAACCAAACACCGCATGTTCTCACTCATAGGTGGGAATTGAACAATGAGAACACTTGGACAGAGAGTGAGGTACACCACACACCAGGGCCTGTTGTGGGGTGGGGGGACGGGGGAGGGATAGCATTAGGAGATATACCTAATGTAAATAACGAATTAATGGGTGCAGCACACCAACATGTCACATATATACATATGTAACAAACCTGCACGTTGTGCACATGTACCCTAGAACGTAAAGTATAATTAAAAAGAAAAAAGAGAATTTCAATTTTAATTAGGTTACTCATTGAAATGGTTTGGCTGTGTCCCCACCCAAATCTCATCTTGAATTATAGTTCCTATAATGCTAATGTGTCATGGGAGGGACCTGGTGGGAGGTAGTTGAATCATGGGGGCAGATTTCCCCATGCTGTTCTCATGAGAGTAAGTTCTCACAAGATCTGATGGTTAAATAAGTGGCTTCTCCCTTCTCTGGCTCTCATTCTTCTCCTTCCTGATACCATGTGAAGAAGGACTTGTTTGCTTCCCTTCTTGCCATGATTATGAGTCTCCTGAGGCCTCCCCAGCCAAGCCAAACTGTGAGTCAATTAAAGCTCTTTCCTTTATAAATTACCCAGTCTCAGGTACGTCTTTATTAGCAGTGTAAGAATGGACTAATACACTGGTGATGCTGATGCTGCTGTTGAGAGACTACAATGGGAAAATCACTGCTTTACAACATATGCTCCATCACATGAAGGGTAAAATCTCTCTTGTTTATGCTGGTCCCATAGTTAGTGTTCAACAAGCAGATAATAAATGAATAGTACTGCTGAAAGCCATCAAAATGCTTGCGAACTTTTATTACATATAATTTTAAATGAGCCACCCTAGAGTAGGAAATCATCCGTACTTTGGTTACAAAAACAGTTGACAAGCTCAGATGCTTCCATTAAAGTAAAATATTGTTTTTTACCTTATTAACCAAATGTATTACTAATAGATTTTTTATTATGTTTTCAGCATTTCTATAAATTTTGCTACATTTAATTTTTGCTCTCCATTTAAAGTTATATTTCAGAGCTTCTGCTTTTCCCATTCCAACAGGGGGTTGGGCATTGAGATTTTTTGCAGAAACGTCTCATGTCAATATTCTTATTACTGTACGGTACAGTGGCATTAAGTAGATTCACATTGTTGTCCAGCCATCATCATCATTCATGCCCAGAATGTTTTCATCTTCTCAAACCGA
The DNA here is from genome assembly GCF_000001405.40 of Homo sapiens. Taxonomy (NCBI): domain Eukaryota; kingdom Metazoa; phylum Chordata; class Mammalia; order Primates; family Hominidae; genus Homo; species Homo sapiens. Next base: position 64,431,379 of record NC_000018.10, read on the forward strand.
AACTCTAAATCTATTAAACAACTCATCATTTCTTCTCCCTGGCAACCACCATTCTACTTTCTGATTTTATGAGTTTGATTATACTAGCCACCTGCTAGAAGTTGGACCATACAGTATTTGTTCTTTTGTAACTGGCTTATTTCACTTTATGTAATGTCTTCAAGTTTCATCCATAGTGTAGCATGTGCCAAAATTTCTTTTCTTTTTAAGGCTGAGTACTATTCCATTGTGGATATATAGGCCACATTTTGTTTATTCATTCGTCCATCAATGGACATCTGGGCTATTTCTACCTTTGCTTATTACGAATAGTGCTTCTTTGAACATTGACATGCAAATGGTGTTTCACCATATTGTCTTCCACGGCGGTTACATTATTTTGCATTTATTTTATTTTTTAACTTGATTTTTCTCTTTCCCACTCAGCTATAATTGCCATTTAAGACTGTATCTCTGTGACTACTTCCAATAACAGGATCAAAGAAGCTACAGTAAAATTTACTGACTAAATAAGTAAATAAACCATATCATGTGTAAAATCCAATGTATCTGATTGTATGTTTTTAAATTTCCTTAAGATTTTGTAAAGTTAATTTATTTCTGAAATTTATTGTTGAAGAGGCATCAAATATGAGACCAGTTAGATCTATGTCCTCCAAAACAAGCTTGCTTTTTGTTTCATTTTTATACTTAATGCTTGTAGGGTTTTGTTGTTACACTTTTAATTTAAAAAGTTGTCAAGACCAAGTCTTGAGAGGGATTTTGTTTTATTAATTTTGTCTCAAATACAATTTTATCTTACGCTGAATTAGTCCATTTTTAAATTCAGGTGGTTTCCAGTTATGGCTTTGATTACTCCTTCATCTAATTATTCTGTTTTATTTTAGGAAGAATGTTTAGAAACATGAGATTCAATATCTCATATCTCACTTCTATATACACTACCTTCTTCCTTATTCTATTCAACATAATATGCTTTGATGCTGCAATTTGGGAAAACTTTTAGGGGTTGTCACATATGTTTGTGTTAAATAGTTTGTATTGAAAGGGTAGTGGTTGGCTTATGAAATGATTTCTCTAAATACTACTTTAAAGTCTCTCACTAAAGTCAATGTTTTTGGGATTTCATGGAAAATGGTGACATACAATACTCTAAGAATTGGCCCTTCCACTGAAGCAATCAGTAAGGTAGCATAAATGACAGAATCGAGTTTTTTTTTTAAACTCTGTATTCTAATCAAATACTTATAGTAACCAGGAGAGCACTTAATAAAGAGGCTGCAAAACTATAATAGGCCAGGCGCGGTGGCTCATGCCTGTAATCCTAGCACTTTGGGAGGCCAAGGCCATCTCTACTAAAAATACAAAAATTAGTCAGGTGTGGTGGTGGGTGCCTGTAGTCCCAGCTACTAAGGAGGCTGAGGCAGAAGAATAGCTTGAACATGGGAGGCAGAGGCTGCAGTGAGCCAACATCTCACCATTGCACTCCAGCCTGGGTGACAGAGCATGACTCCATCCCCAAAAAACAAAAACAAACAAACAAAAACTATAATAAAAGAATGTTGTGGCACTGTCACTCACCTGCCTACCATTGCCCATTTTCCTCCAGTTTGTCATTGACTACAGGGTTATCAGTCCGTATTTGTGACGCAGCTTTCTGGTGCTAGGGTAATGCAATACAAACCTTTTTGTAAAAAAAAAAGATGTGAATTTTGATCTGTTTCTTGCTTCCCTGAGGGGCCAGCACAGAGGCTTTCCTTCTTTCAGCCCAACCTTCACTCCCACAAGCCTGAGCAGCTTTCTAGGGGGCATATGTCAGCAGCAGTTAAAAACATACTATCTGTGGGCAAGGAATTGCAGAACAACAAGAAAAGGGAAAAAAAGAAAGGCTGCTGAGGAGTATTCTTGGGGCAGTAATAGCTTTGAAGGGCTACCAAGTGCAGTATGTATGCTTAAGGTCTAATGCATGCACAGAAAAGGCCCGAGAAGCCTTAGATTAACATGTGTAGCTACTCTTTGGACCACACACAAGCAGATGAAGGCTATGGGAGCTTTCAGGCAACCTAGGTAAGTACTGAAGGCATGTCCCAGTTCAATGGCAACTTTCAGAGAATAGGGTAGTTCACTGTTCCTCTTCTTTTTGGCACCAGATATTTAAGAAAGTCTCTGTCAAGTCAATGGCTGGCTGCTGATATGACAGAAGACAGATTTTAGTGACCACACATGATAAGAAATACAGTATTTGCAAAAATAATTTGGGAAAGTCACTTTATGAAGTGCCACTGCAGCTCTCAACAAACAGCAGCAGCAAACCATGGGGAGGAAGAAGGATCTGCTTTCCAGATATAATATTAAAAATGACCAGTCTTCAATAAAAACATAAGATATTCAAAGAAACAGGAAAATATGGCCTGTTAACAGGAAATAAAATGACAGAAGTTGTCTCTGAAGAAGCCCAGACATTGGACTGACTAGACAAAGACTAAATCCATTATCTTAAAATGCTCAAAGAATGATGAGAACCATGGACAAGGAACTAAAGGAAATAAGAAGAATGGTATACAAACAAATAGGGACTATCAATACACAGGTAAAGTTGTATAAAGGAACCAAATAGAAATTCTGGAGCTAAAAAGTGCCACACCTAAAAAGAAAACAAATACACTACAGGGCTTCAGCAATGGTGTAGAGCAGGCAAAAGAAAGAATTAAGAGACTCAAAGAAGGGACAATCCAGTCAGCTGAGCAGAAAGAAAAAATTAATGCAAATAATGAAAAGACCTTAAGGGACCCAAGGATACCAACAGGTACACCAACATACACACTAACAGAGTCCCATAAGGAGAAGACAGAGAAAAGATCAGGAAGACTTGAAGGAAGAATGTCCCCAAACTTCCCTAATTTGAAGAAAGACATGTGTCTACACATCTAAGAAGTTCACCAAATGCTTGTAGGATAAACCCAAAGAGATCCAAACCAGTACTCATTATACTCAAACTTTCAAAAGAAAAAGAAAAGGAGAGAATCTGAAAAAGCAACAAGAAAGAAGGGAATCATCATATACAATGGATCCTTCACAAGACTAACAGCTAATTTTGTAACAGGAAATATGGGGGCCAGAAGGTGGTACACTGGGGGGTAGTGTCATATTTAAAGGGCTGAAAGAATAACACTGCTAAGACTTGTATCAGGAAAAACCATACTTAAAAACTGAAGGAGAAATTAAGACATTCCTAGATAAACAAAGTTGAAGGGGTTTGTTGCAAGAAGACTTGTCTTATCAGAAATGTTCAAAGAAGTTCTTCAAGCTTGTAGTTCTCAAACTACAAGACAGTAAATCAAAGCTCTACAAAGAAAAACATAGGCCAGTAAAAAAGCCAGCATTACTAAATTTTTGACTTTTAACTCTTCTTTGTGTTTAGAAAGTGATATAAAAGAAAAATGCATAAAACAATAATTGTAAATTTATGTAAATGAACTTGCAATCTTTAAAGATGCAATTTGTGACAATAACAGCAACATAAAATGTGAAAGTGTAGCTGCATAGGGACAGAGCTTTTCTTATGTTATTGAAGCTAAATTAGTTTCAATTCAAATTCAGTTTTTACAAATGTATGTGATTGATTATAATCCCCAGGGTAGCCACTAAGGAAATAATTAATTAATATATGAGAAGTGAATACAACTAGTACATGTATGTATTATGTAGAAAATATTTACGTAATACAAAAGAAGTCAGGAAATGAGGAGCAAAGATCTAAGACATATAGAAAACACCATAATGGCAGAAATAAGTAAGTCCTTCTTTATCAGTAGGTATATTAATTTTATTGTAAAAAGTGTTCCTCTCTATGTAAATTTTATCCATTTTTGGGTATCCAGATAAAGTCTTACCTCCTTCTTTAATTTTTTCAAACATTAGATAAAATTTCTCTTACATATAGGAAGAAAAAAGGTTTGAAGATTACTTTGGTTATTTCATTAAAGAAAACTAAACCTCAGTTTCCTCAATATTATATAGAAAATCTAATGAGAACCATTATTTAAAAAGTCATACTTTTTGCACCTCTCCTTTCTGTACTCCATAATTATTTTATATCTGTTTGTCTTTCTTTTTCCATAAACATGGACTTATATTATTTTTATAGGCATATAATTATTCATACAGAGCATTTAGTATAGCATATTATAATACTTAATCAAACTTAGAAATCTGAAAGACTTTTAAGTTCTGGCTCTGACACCTGTTATAAATTTTGAAGATGAAAAAAGTTCATCTCAATTAGCCTTAACTTCTTCATTTATAAAATGGCAATAATATTACTTATCTCATGTGTTTCAAGTGATAATTCAAAGATACAATAATAAATGTAAAGTACTTAATAGTTATAAATAACAAATGGTTTATATTATTAGTACCATATTCACCTTAGTTAAATATTTCTTGCTCTTGATTGAAGGATTATTTATATTTTAGTAATCTATATTAGTTTTTACATAGTATCTGGAATATTTGTAATGGATTAAACTGTGTATCTGTTGTTATTTTTTAAAAAATCTGTATGTAGATACATCACTGATCTTTATTGCCAGGTCTGTCTGCTTGACGTCTCCAAAACAGACATCATGATTTCTCTTATTTCCCAACATTTCCTTTCCCATTCTATTCACTTAGTTTCTCAAAAATAAAATCAATCCTTCATCCCTGTCTTTTTCTCACACCGTACATTCATCCTCAGCTGATCCTGTGTTTTATTCAAAAAACTTACTCCAGAACCTATCACTGTTCCTATCTTGACCAAAGGTGCTTCCTGTTGCAGCACTTATACTGTGGGCCAGGAGGAAAAAGCAGGAAGAAATACAAACTTCTGTATTGAGATCACTTATCTTGGGATCTACAAAGAAAAACATTAGAGGCCTAATCTAAGGGAGGTAACACCAGATAGGATACGGGAGCACAGTTTCACCATTTACTCACAGAACACAATTGAGGAAGTTAATTGCCTATCTAGTCTCTGTTGACTCCTTCATTCTATTTCCTTGTTCTGTTTTCCCTTCATTCCACTCTCCTACCTTCCTATTACCTCTATTTACTTTTCATTTACTCTGCCTGTAGGTCATCTTTTAGTATATTACTTGAACTTTTATAACAACAGAAATTACCTAAATCACACAATTTTACATTTTTCCAATTGCTCAGGACCTACATTCAAAAGACCAAATGAGGCCGGGCGTGGTGGCTCACGCCTGTAATCCCAGCACTTTGGGAGGCCGAGGCGAGTGGATCACGAGGTCAAGAGATTGAGACCATCCTGGCCAACATGGTGAAACCCGTCTCTACTAAAAATACAAAAAATTAGCAGGGCGTGGTGGCGGGCGCCCGTAGTCCCTGCTACTTGGGAGGCTGAGGCAGGAGAATGGCTTGAACCCGGCAGGCGGAGCTTACAGTGAGCCGAGATCGCGCCACTGCACTCCAGCCTGGGCGACAGAGCAAAACTCCGTCTCAGAAAAAAAAAAAAAAAAAAAAAGACCAAATGACCACACTCTGCTGTATTGGTTTGAGAAGCCTGTATTTAGTAGCTGAACAGCTTCCTTTATATTTATTTATTCCAAAAAAATTCTCTAAACTTTGGGAAAATTAGTTAAGAAAGACCTCTCAGTGAGCAGTAGACTGTCAAACATAGACTCCTCTACTGACACTTTGTTTTTTTTAATTGGGGTAAGATATGACACAGGTATGAAAAGTAACCATTGCCAAAGTGAACTAATGAATATATTAATATTTATAAGGTGATCATTAAAGCATTAACTTTAATTTGAATGATAATGCTGTGGGCAGACTTGACACTGTATTCATTTCCATATACAAACTTGATCCCTGTAAAAAACATTACCCATACTCACTCCCTCTTCAACTGAGCATGATGAACAAAGGCCTTTCCTAGTCATGCTGGAACATGATCTTGAATTGATTGCACTGTGGGAAGACAGTCTTGCTTTTATATATTACCATTGTTTGCCTAATACCCAGGACATAAAAAAGAGATTTAGAGAAATATACACTGCACTTTGACTATAACATGCTTGTTGAAAATCCTCATCTCCGAAAATGTTTCAAATAATGAAGAAAATTGAGGCTTTTATGATATAAGGCAATTCATTTTAGAAATACACAACAGAAGTGCTAAAATAACTGAAGTGTTATTTAATTATTGGTAGACTGATATTATGTATCACTATAATAGCTGTTGCATGTTGCATAGTTATTTTAAATTACTGGTGGTACAAACACATTTTTATGGGCACATAAAAAAGTAAATTCCTTGTACCAGGCTTTATGAAAACTAGTATTATTCTATCCTTATATAGTTTTGAACTGCATTGGAAAACAATTGTATGTGTTTATTCAGGGTAATATTTCTTTTTTTTCATTGGATTTGATTATAAACTCTTTCATGGCCAGTTGTTTTGATAAGAATACTGTGTAGCTAAGATCCAAGCATACTGTTTTTAATACATATTATTCACCATTAAAATCCAGAAGATGATTTCTAACTTGTTTGTAGTTGTGAACATTAAGTATTTTCACATATATAAAGTGTCTAGCAGTGCTTGAACACAGAAGTTGCTAACAAATATCACTCATTGTTATTATTGCTACTATTACTACTAGTATATTCTGTGTTAATATTTTATGCTTCGAGTTTTAACCTTTTTCTCTTTATTTAGAATGAGCTACATTTCATTTCAGGCTACTTTAAGGCAGAGACCCTCTGTTTTGTATTTTATCTGGTACCTAGGACAATGCTGAGCACATTGAAAGTGTTCAATTTAATTTAGATCATCAGACATTCATAAAATATTAGATTTGGCTATCGTGTGTTTAAAAGAAAGCCTAAGCTTCATTAGGGAGCCCCAGGCTGTACAGTGGTTTCCTCTCTTGTTTTGCCAATGTGATCCGTTGGTTAGAGTAAAAAAGCAAGGATTAAGCCATTTCTGTGGTTATTTTGTAACATCCTGGATCCTCTTTCCAGCTTCACCTTACGTGCTTGACAGAGTCTCCAGCCCCAGTGCCGTATTACAGAACCTTGCTTTCTGTGCTCCTCTTCTGAGGCTAGAATAAATTTCTAGAGTGATAGTCACACTTTCTAAATTAAATAGAGCTTCATTGCAACTCAGCAACTGTAATAACAGCAAAATGGCAGAAAGGATTTCTTCTCCATGAGTTCTTGTCCTTCAGAGTCTAGGAAAGCACTAGGCCATAACAGAGTAGGAGACAGGTATTGCAAGAGTACTAATTTGGACCATATGAATGTTGTATAGTGAGGGCATTGCAATAATGGTGATAACAATGTCTATTAATTATTAACATTTCCCAGGCATTTTGAGATGCATATTGTCTAGTTCATTGTCATAATTACTCCTTGTAAGATGGATATTATTATACTATTATGTCCATCTTACAGATGTTGAAATTCAATTCAGAAAGGTTAAATCACATTCCCAAAGTCATATGGCTACTTAAAAGGCAAAGTTGAGATTTATAGCACAAGAAGTTTGAATTTCAAAGTTTATTTTTTTCCACTCTGCTATGCTACACATTTATTTTAGGTTGTTATTTAATACTTTTGTACCTTTTTATGTCTTTAATTTTATAACCTCAGTTGCATTCCTAATCACACACTCGGCGATTGACTTAAACTTCACTTTATCTTGAAATTCAGAAGAATAAGTTGTAATCTTTTTTCCTTTCCTCTATGTATGTATGTATGTATGTATGTATCTACCTACCTATCTAATCTATCATCTATCTGTAATTTCTTTATGTCGTCTTACAAAAATAAATACCCCTCATTTCTCAAACTAAGTCTTCTGCTTCTGCTTTTGCCTATACCACCTCGCCAGCTTTTGGACTTTATTTTCTAAGAATAAAAGCCATTCTAGTTTCCTACATGAATATACATTTCTGTTATGTTAACAACAGACATATCTAATTCTTCCATACTGAGTAAGAGGATGTGAAAGACAACACTTGAGTGCTGTCCTCAATTATAACCTTGGTTTGATTACTCTTTTAAAATTCAATAGTATTGACTTTTATAGTTTGAAAAATTCACATCTGTACTGAATTTTACAGATTGAAAATCCTCACCTCATTTGATCCACACCTCATTTCAGACTTTCTACAATCATCTCCAGCTAAGTGTCTTAAATTCAATTCATGCTTATTTTTTCTCCTATGGCCTAAAATGGCTAAAACCACTTTTCCCAGTGATCAGAAACCTTTGAGTCATCTTGTTCTTTTTTTCTTCATAGATACACTATTTTATTTTCCACCAAATAATTTTAATTCTGAAATGTCTCTTTGTCTCTCAGTTTCCATGATTATTTTCTTTTTTGAGGCAAGGTCTGGCTCTGTCTCCCAGGCTGAAGTGCAGTAGCACGACCTTGGCTTACTGCAAACTCTGCCTCTGAGGCTCAAGCCATCCTCCCACCTCAGCCTCCTGAGTCGCTGGGACCACAGGCACGCACCACCACGCCTGACTAATTTTTGTATTTTTAGTGGAGATGGGGTTTTGCCATGTTGCCCAGGCTGGTCTTGAACTCCCAGGCTCAAGCGATCCATCTGCCCTGGCCTCCCAAAGTGCTGGGCCTATGGGTGTGAGCCACCTCACCCAGGCGAGAATTTAATTAACTAAGGGTTTTATTATAATTTAGAAAATCGTTTTAGGAACCACCAAACTCATTCCTCTGGCCCATTTTCCACATTTCACAAATGTGATCTCATTCTGCTGCTTACCTTTAGCTCTAACTTCTTGATCTCATTTTCTCTCTTGACCTTCTCTGGATTCCCCACCTACCTTACTCTTTCTACACCAAACTTTGCCTTTTCCCAGAAAATATCTTGCCCTTCCATGAATGCATAACTTGCCTCATATTTTTCTTTTCTGTTGTGATGTTCATCTTCTTTCTACATTTGTTGAAGTTGTCAATCATTCTCCAATTTATGTCAAATATCACCTTCTTACTAAATCATTTCCTGATCTGCCAGGTAGAATTCAAATTTTTCTCCACTATGATTCTATAGAAATTTGCACATAGACTCTTCATAGTTATAGCAATGTTTTGTTGTCATTTTATTATGAAACTTAGAATTAAAGCTCTACAAAGTCTAAAAAGAATGAAAATTTTCTTATTTTGTTTCCCAAGAACATAAGCATGAGTCAAATTACATACTTGATACTCAGTATTTACCATTAACTTATCTAGAAGTCCTGAACCTGGGAATCAGTCATCTTTTACAATTTTTTAAACTATAAAAGCATTTTTATAGTGATAAGTACTTTTTGCATTTCCTAGCTTCTCACTTTGAAGCACAAATGGGAGATATTATAGGCTTTATTATTATTATTTTAAGAGCTGGGATCTCACTATGTTTTCTAGACTGGACTCAACTCCTAGACTCAATTGATCCTCCTGGCTCAGCCTCCTGAGTAGGTGGGACTACAGGTGCATGCAACCACATGGAGCTTAAGTGTATTTTAATTCTACCTTCATTATTTGACATCTTCGAGGGATGATTTCATCACTTGATATCTAGAAATCTGGTTGTGCTGAGAATTAAATGTGATGGCATAAGTGACCTGTTTTACAGAACCTGACTGATATGTGATGCTTTGTGATCTTAACTTTCTTCTTTCACTGACTCATTCATTCAAAGTCCAATTTCACATCACTATTCTATGATTCTCCCTTTTGAAGTTGCCCTACTATTCTCAGTCAGAAATTCAGATTTTCTGTCTTTATTTTCCAATGCTTCATATTTGATCATTTAAAATTTGATTCTAGTCCCATAAAAGGCATATTCCATGAATTACTCTAAAATTTTTGTAGCAATTTTACTAGCACTCCATATACACCAGAAATCAATAACATTTTCAGGATTGATTAGCACTCCTGGAAGATGACATCATGTGCTGACTTTCCCTGGGCAGATCAGAAGCAATTAAGAGTACATGAGGCAGTGTCTTTGTTCTCTCTCCAGCACCTACACTACCCTAACCTCCGAGTTTATACTCCTAGCCTGGAACTCGGTTTGAAAGAAAGAGAATGAGGCAATAGACTTAAGGAAAATTACTTTTATTTTAAAATATTAACCTGTTAGCAACATGTTTGGGCACTTACTTATTTATTTATTTTTAGAAAATGTATTGAAAATGGTTGAGATTTTACTCCTAGGCCAGGTGCAGTGGCTTATGCCTGTAATTCCAGCACTTTGGGAGACCGAGGCAGGTGGATCACCTGAGGTCAGGAGTTCAAGGCTAGCCTGGCCAACATGGTGAAAACCCATCTCTACTAAAAATACAAAAATTAGCCAGGCATGGCGGTGCATGCCTAAAGCCCCAGTTACTTGGGAGGCTGAGGCAGGAGAATCACTTGAACCCAGGAGGCAGAAGTTGCAGTGAGCCAAGATCATGCCCCTGTACTCCAGCCAGGGCAATGGAGTGAGACTCCATCTCCAAAAAAAAAAAAAAAAAAAAAAAAAAAAGATTTTATTCCTTAATTTTTTTTTGGCAAGGTAGCTATTTATTTCACTGAAATATTTATTTCAACCCTAAATTCAAACAGAAAAATAGGTTTGTACACATCAAGTGTACTGAATGAAAATAAATGCGCATGCAATCTAATAGTGATAAGTAATTTTTGTTTATTCTTTTACTCTTGTTAGTGGTGGAATGTATTTCAGTTACTCCAGGTTACTGGCAGCATATCCATATGAGTCCACAGCACCTTCAGCCCTTGCCTCCCCAAAAGAAAGAATTCGACGGAGGGGCATGAAGCAGGAAACGAGACCTAGGCAAGTTCCAAAGCAGGAAAGGAGGTTTATTTTAAAAGATTTTAGAATAGGAAAGAAAGGAAAATTTGCTTGGGAGAGATCCAAGTGGGAGCCTGAAGGTCAAAGAGAGAAAAAGGAAAGACGGCCAAAAGCCCTTTTATTCAATCTTGATCCTGGGACTTCATAGGCTCGCCTCTTTTCCCATGATTCTTCCCCTAGGATGCGCTTTCTGCTGTGCAGTGCTTTCCTTACCCTTTGGAAATGGGCAGCGCAGTGTGTTTAGGGAGTGTTACATGCCTGCCCATCTGAGGCTTTTTTCCTTTTTCTGTGTGCCCCCAGAACCTCATACTTCCCCATTTTGCCTCTTAACGTGCATGCCCAAGAAGCTGCTCCTCCCTGGGGTCTGCGTTCAATTAACACGAATGTTAACAGGTGTGGACCATCAGGAGATTTGTCTCTCCCTGACTGCCCAATTATTATTTTTAGAGCGGCAATGCTAATTGCCGAAATATCACCTGACGCTCATAGTGGGTGCAGGGAGAGCTCTCTCCTGTGTGCTCGTGCCTGTCTACCTACCTGCAACACTCTTAAGAAAATTTGAATCTAAGACAAATGTCAAAATAAGTCATTTGTATTAAACATGTTGTAGTGCGTAAGTTTGAAGGAAAAGTCAATAGGTTAAAATATGGTGGACTTAGTGTGTGTGTGTGCGAGTATCTGTGTGTTTTAACTTAACCAGAAGGTAAATTCTTAAGTATTATCTTAAATAATAATGATAGCTATAGTTTACTGAGTGTTCATCAGTTACTTTAAATTTACTTCCCTGTTTAATTCTAATGAAAACCCTCTTCAGTAAGTGCTGTCATTATCCTCCTTTTATAGACAAGGCATGAGATTAAAAACTTGCCCAAGGTCACGGAGCTTATAAGTGGTGACACAGAACCTTGAACTCAGGTTTGCCTCAAAGTCTGTGCTTACATGAGCATTGTGCTTTTCGTACTATGGACTTAAATTTGAATCTGCCCAAGGTACTTAGTATTAGTAGCCTTTTGATCTACCTATACTTCACTCACCTAAGCTTTATATAGACAGAGGCAACTAAAAACAAACAAACAAAGAAAAAACCAGACTGTTAGGTGCCAAATTTTTAATTTGGCTCATGCCTCATTTATCAAAATGAAGCGAATCACAGTTTCAAATAATGAAACTTGAAATAATGTTAGAGATGATGCTTGGGCTCTCAGTTTATTCCACCATCTAAATTATAATAGAGTTGAAATGTCATCACAGATGGTTAGGGCTGAAAGGGCCATGGATATCATGTAGTTCAGCCCCCTAATTTTATAGAAGAGGAAATTGAGGCCCACAGAGGTTAAATGACTTGCTAAATGACTTGCAATGAACAATAGCAGAAGAATTGCTATTGCAAATATGTAGTATTTCAGGTTTATTATAGGTTTTTGTGGGCTTGCTTGAGAATACAACTGCTGTTTATATCATTGCTTTTGCAAGAAAGTATATGGTAAGTACAAAAACCCACTACAACCTCATCCAAAGGAATGAAATAAGAACCAAGGAGATGAGGCAAGCATAGAGTAGTGGTATATAGAAAATAAACAGGGAAGTTCAGGAATGTGATTCATTCTTCAAGAGAGCCTCCCCTGGAGAGAGAAAGGAAATGTATGATTATCAAGAGTAACTTATGTGCTAAAGCCAGTGTGAAGCACACTGTTTTTTTTGTTTTGTTTTTTTTTTTTTCCAATTACTGAATACTTGAATTAAAAAAGAAAAATGGCCTGGACTTGACATTGCTCTTGGGAGAAAAATAGATAACTATATAACATACATTTTTTTTTAAAGAAATGAAATTCCTGTGAATATTCTAGGCTTTTTGGAGCAAAAAAGAATATTAGTCCAAATGAATTTACTGACTCATTTTACAATTTGATTTATAGTGAGTGCTTTACCATATATAAGGTACTAATGCATTTGGATGTGTAGGAAGGAAAAATGTTTTTCTCTCTACTCTTGCTTAGTGAGTCTTAGCTGGGACCTCTTGTTGCAAAATATGAGACAAAAGATTAATGAGAGAAAAACAAAGAATGTTAGTAGCATGTATACGTCATTATATATGAGAGATACCCGGAGAAATGAGTACATCTCAAAGAGGTGGCTTTGAACTCAGGCTTAAATATGATTCTTTGATACATTTGTTGAAATAGGAAAGAAGGATGTGGGGCTGGAAAAGGGGAAGTGACCAGGAAAAGCAAACAAGGGTCAAGTTTGTCATGCAGATTTCAGACAGCACCTATTCTCTCTTGATTGAGTTTTTAGTGAATGGGAGTCATCCTTCTCTTTCTGGTACAGAAAGGTAGACACTCTTATGAATAGATATTTTTTAATAGATGTAAATTTCCCTTGTAAAAGTTTGACTTTTTCTTTTCAGAGCTTTTTCTTTGTCTATGTCTCGAAAGAGACATATTTTAGGATGGCATATTCTAATCTCCTAGAGTTGTAGATTATACCATAGACTCAGTTTTTCTTGATTTTTAAGTTTTTAGGTCTTGCTCTATTAATTTAAGCCATTATTTATAATTTCATACTCATTTTCACTTGAACAAGTTCATCTTTAGCTAAGGAACACAGAAATTAATTGTTTAGGCTCTTGCTACTCTTAACACTTACAGCATTAATGGGAGGAAGGAGAGAACCACAGGAAAACGAAACCACCAGAGCACATCCAGGCATACAGGTGATGTGGTGAGTGTTCATAATCCAAACAAGGATGTGAATGGCCCAAAGGAGACTGCCTGTGCCCTGACCTCTTCCCCCACAAAGCCATAAGCAGGAAATGTTCTGTGCTGCTTTCCCGAGACCCATAATGACTCCTGTGTCTGCCTCCCCTGCTGCAGGTAATGGCTCACCCATGCAATTACCTTCTTTTGTCTTCTCTGAGTTCAAGAGAAATTATTTGAACCTCTTTGCAGGGGGCATCTGAAGCTGAAGTTATTTTTAGGGAGAAATAATTTTTTTCATGTAAGATGCAGAAGTTGTTACTCCTCAGGCTACTGAGAGAAAAATGAAAGGCACTTGGAGTCTTTTTAAAAGCCGGATTCTGATGTTTAGCTTGATCAAAGAGAAACTTGGGAAAGGAGGGGAAGTAGAGGATAGAACAGAATATACGGCACTATGTTCTTTGAAGGCACTGCCATTACATTTCTGATCTTTGAACTCAGCAAATTATTTCATGAGGACGAACTGAATTCCGTGCATTTGTGAAGCTAATAACCAGATAGCTTGAGCAATATGTACCAACCTTATGAACAAGAAGGCAGGCTACACTTCCTAACGTGATTAATACAGACACCTATGTTTATACTTGCAAATACATTGAATCACCCTTAAAACACTTTCTGGTGTTCATGGAGTCAAAATGATAGCTTTTGGAGGAGCATCTAGGAGTTCTTCTAGCCTTTATACTGTCTTAATGGCATAGTATTATCATTAAACGCTCAACCCTGCAGTCTACTTGCCTGTGTCTCACTTCTAATATCTCTATACTGGCTGTGAAAGTTGAGGGAAATTCTTTTGTTTTTTGGAGCCAGAGTCTTGCTCTGTCGCCCAGGCTGGAGTGCAGTGGCATGATCTCAGCTCATTGCAACCTCCGCCTGCCAGATTCAAGTGATTCTCCTACCTCAGCCTCCTGAGTGGCTGGGATTACAGGTGCCCGCCACCATGCCCCGCTAATTTTTGATTTTTAGTAGAGACGGGGTTTCACCATGTTAACCAGGCTGGTCTGGAACTCCTGACCTCAAGTGATCCTCCCGCCTCGGCCTCCCAAAATGCTGGGATTACAGGCATGAGCCACCGCACCCAGCCTGGGAAATTCTTTAACTTCTCTGTGCTGACTTACTTCAAAAACAATGGCTAATAAAATAAAATAAGTAGAATTAGGGCTGATTTTGAGAGGTTGCTGTGAAGACTAAGTGATATAAGTGTCTGCCTTATTGCAAATTTTCAGTAAATATTAGATGTTATTATTCATTACACTCTATAGGAAGATGATTTTCTTTTTTGATTGACTTTCATTTTTCAATAGTGTGCCCATAAGGCTGTTCAACACTTACTTCAAAGATACTCAGCTGAACACACAATTTCAACTATAATTCCACACTAAATCACATACAAGTAGTGCTTTATATCTAATAGACATTCTGGTTACCAAGGTTTGCTTGACACACCACAATGACTCTTGTTAACTAAGAGAAAACCAGTTCCTCCCTTCACTGTTCCTTCTAATACGAAGAGGTGAGAAAAGAAAGAAAGAAAGAAAAAAAACAGATAAGTTTTGGTATAGAAGCAGGTTACTTGTGGGCTTGTCCTTATTGCCCATCTGTCAGTGAGAACCACCATAAAGTTTTTCAGCACCTCGTATTGATCTCAATTACATCCTGATTGTTTCCTAAGTTTATCTTACCTGGAGCAATAGAGACTAGAAATCCATCACATTTTATTACCTTGACTATGGAGACACCCACAAGATACAATTTCAAAGCAATGTGCACGATGTCAGGTATTTCATAGTGCAATTTTTTTCCATGGGGAAAGAAATGGCTGTGAGAACCAGGACATATTTTAATCCTTCTCACCTTCATTTTCACGCTTGCCTTGGCTGTTACATACTTTTTATCTGCTAATATGTTAATGTATGTTTTGCTTCTCTCTTTTCTCTTTAAGTGGCTTTGCCAACACAATAAACACTGACAAGATTCATAAGCAGTGTGGTAAGTATTTGAAGAAAAAGGAAGGATTTTTTATTCTGGTGTTAACCATTTATTAAGAGGGAAAGATGATATTTTCATTGCATTTAAAGTATTTGAACCAATTTTGATTAAAATCTATAATTTGGGGAGAATGGTATGATTTGTCCAATTTGTTCACAGTCTGTTAAACAGGTTGCATATGACTTTGATTTATCAAAGCTTAAGGCAGTCATATTTAATGCAATATTAAATTTGATTATAGGAAATAGTGTTGAAAAGTCTCAAAATAGATACATTCAAACAATATGGCCTATAAAACATCTTTTGAAATATTCTATGGTAAATTTTGATCTATGGGCATTAAGTTTTGTATTACAGGGGCGTTTTTAGTAGTATTATAGCCACGTTAAATTTATTATAATTTTTTTTTTTTTTTGAGACAGAGTCTCTCTTTGTCACCCAGGCTGGAGTGCAGTGGCGTGATCTCGGCTCACTGCAAGCTCCACCTCCCGGGTTCACGCCATTCTCCTGCCTCAGCCTCCCCAGTAGCTGGGACTACAGGCGCCCGCCACCATGCCCGGCTAATTTTTTGTATTTTTTAGTAGAGATGGGGTTTCACCGTGTTAGCCAGCATGGTCTCAATCTCCTGACCTCGTGATCCTCCCAAAGTGCTGGGATTACAGGCGTGAGCCACTGCACCTGGCCTAAATTTATTATAACTTTTAAGTGAAACTTGGTTTGACCTAAATTTTACTCTACTTATTTATATTCTCTATTCCCTAGCTTAAATTTGACTTTTGGTTATGTTCATAAATTGTATTCAATCTCAGAGGAAGAAGATTTTCTACCATTTAGGTAGAAGTACATACTTAAGATAATATGCTACAGAGTCTGAAAGCAATTCCAGGAGAGGCAGCCCAATAACTTTTTGGTCAATGATGACATTACTAAAATGACGGAATAACTTCTGAAGGTGACCTTTGTGCTAAAGAGGCAAAAGTCACTTGAGCATGTATGTTTTGGCAGAGTTGTTAAAAATATCAGTGTCAGTGCACCTACATCTCCCAAAATCCCTTTATAACACAATAATCTGTTTTTAAAATGAGATAGGTCTTAGAGTTCGAGGAAGTAAAATTGTTATTGTTTAGGCAACAAATTTCCAGTGAAAATGGAACTTTCACTAACAACACATCATGTAAAATTTTATTTTTGAGTTTTCAGGGCCAGATAAAATGTTTACTAAACAGGAAAATACCAAGAACACGATCTAAGGCAATGTTTGGGGGATGGAGAAACAAACATTAATTCTTCTGGGAAAGCAACTTTAATTTTTCCAAACTTCCTCTTCCCTCTTTAAACTGTATTGCAACCTGTACAAACCTCTCTTTTACCACTTACCTCAAAGTAGTTAAATTATTCATGTAAGTTCCTGCCCCTCCTACTCAAATCTGGGGGCTTTCAGGACACCAATCGTGTCTTATTCATTATGGTATTTGCAGAATCTTACACAATGTCCAGCCCAAATTAGATCCTTCATAAATACTTATAAATAAATGAATAAATAATTTCTTGAAATTAAGCTGTGGAAACCTATTTACTTTTATCTCTAAAGAGAGAAAGGTAATAAAATTATATCATGGATGGAATATGGGAAACAATATTGTGGTATTTTCTTTGTTGTAAAGTTATCATATGCCACAAAGTTCTTTGAAATTAAATGATTAACATCTGCAAGAAAGAGTGCCCTGCCTCTGAGATGAAGTAAATTGCCCAATAGCTCACAGGAAGTTTGACAGGGAAAATGAAATAATACATACAAAAATCTTGCAGATCTCCAACTTTAGTTTTGACGTGTAAAAACCTTAACAGTCACTACTCCTATGTTTAAAACAAGTAAAAGCTAAATAAACTGAAAAATCGGTGACTTTTTTATTCTATCAGAAAACTGAGATTTTAAGACAAGACACTGCCCCCAAATCTGAAGAAACAGGTGAATTAAGAAAATTAAAGCCAAGATCTTCTTTCCTGAAGCAGATTCTGCTGGAACTGCACACTTTTAGGAAAACTGAAATGATAATTTGTACAAAGTACTAGTAGCTGTATATGGACAAGCTTGAGGATAAGAAACCCTGGGGAGCTGAAGTTTTAGGGAAACCGCACACTTCGATGACTTTTTATGTGAACACCACCAGGGTCTAGTGGTAAAGATCGCAGTAATATTCTCTCATGGACCTTGTTGGAGACATAGAATAGAAATCATTGAAAAATATTCCCAAAGTGTTTTCTGTAACAAAGCCTATGTGCAGGGGAGAAACACTTTACTAAAGCTTCATCCCCACTGGGAATGAGTGTCATACTCACTCTAGGTCCCACCAGCTTTCCTGCCCACCAAAGAGAGAACGAGCTACACCATTGGACAAGCACTTGTGAAAGTCGCAGGTCTGAGACACAGGCTCACTAAAAAGTGAAATTTAATTAGAAGGTTACAGAAAAGTTCCCCTCTCTCACACAGTATCGCCAAACAGGGTTCAAGTATGGTAAGTGTGGATTAAAGAAAGACACAGACTCTGTTTGAGGAGAAGTAATGAAGGAAGACTAAAGTCAAGAGGTAAAACAAAAACCAAAAAATTTATAATACAGAAAGTTGAAATTGCTGACACAGCTACATCAAACATTAAAGACAGCTCAACTCCTAGTCAGGTTGGTATAAATCCTCACACTCAAGGCCTATTTACTTCAGTTCTCAACACTCAATAAGATGACCAGATTTCAACAAAAAATTTAGAAAGAATGTCAACAGACAAGAAAAAAAAATAGTCTGCAAAGATAAAACAAACATCAGAAACAGACTCAGCTATAACATACATTTTGGAAGTATTAGGTTGAGATTTAAAAATAACTATGATTAATATGTTAAGGGCTTTACTGGAAAAAGTATACACATGAATACATGTGTAATATAAGCAAAGGAAAATTCTAGAAATAAAACATACTGCAATAGAAATGAAGAATGCCTTCAATGGGTACACTGTCAGACACAACATGGCCAAGGAGAGATTACAGATATGGAAATAGAAACTCCCCAATTAAAATACAAAAAGAAATAAGAGATTAATAAAAGGGAAAAAAATCAAATATTCAAAAACATTGTGACAATTTCAAAATTTGTAAATATGTTTAATTGGGATTCTCTTATAGAAGGAAAGGAAAAATAGAAGAGAGAATAAGTTATTTAATAATAGCTGAGAACACTCTAAAATTAAGGATGAAACTGAATAACAGATCCAGGAAGCTCAAAAAACATCAAGAAGGCTAAATACCACACACTACATGCAGGCATGTCATATTCAAACTACAGAAAATCAAAAAGAGAAAATTTTGAAAGAAGCTGGCATATGCATGGGAAGGTATTATATATTAAAATATTATATGGTAAATTTTTATCTACAGGCATTAAGTTTTCCATTAGTGGGGAATATAAATATATAAATATATCCCTCTAATAGAAAATATATATTTATATTTATATACCCCTCTAATAGAAAAATTAATGCCCATAGATCAAAATTTACCATATAATATTTCAAAAGATTTTTTTATGAGCCATATTATTTGAATTTATCTGTTTTGACACTTTTAAACACTATTTCCTATAATGATAAATCATATTTAATATTTCATTAAAGGTGACTGCCTTAAGCTTTGATAAATCAAAGTCATATGCAATCTTAACAGATTGTAAACAAATTGGACAGATCATACCATTCCCCCAAATTATAGATTTTAATCAAAATTGGTTCAAATACTTAAAAATGCAATGAAAATACCATCTTTCCCTCTTGATAATTGGTTAACATTAGAATAAAATTGTAGAGAAATAATAATGAGAATTACAAGGGACTTCTCATCAAAAACCATGTGTGTGTGTCTGTTCACACTGATGTAACACAAATATCATAAACAGTGGCTTATAAGCAACAACTACTTATTTCTCATAGTTCTAGAGTCTGGAAAGTGCAAGATCAAGATGCAGACAAATCTGGTGTCTAGTGAGACCTGTTCCTCATAGATTTTGGCTTCTCATTGTGTCCTCACAGGGTGGAAAAGGACAAATAAGCTCCCTTGGGCCTTCTTTATAAGGGCACTAATCCTATTCGTGAGCGCTTTTTCTTTTCTTTTTCTTTTTCTTTTCTTTTCTTTTATTATTATTATACTTTAAGTTTTAGGGTACATGTGCACAATGTGCAGGTTTGTTACATATGTATACATGTGCCATGTTGGTGTGCTGCACCCATTAACTCGTCATTTAGCATTAGGTATATCTCCTGATGCTATCCCTCCCCCTTCCCCCCTCCCCCCACCCCACAACAGTCCCTGGAGTGTGATGTTCCCCTTCCTGTGTCCATGTGTTCTCATTGTTCAATTCCCACCTATGAGTGAGAACATGCGGTGTTTGGTTTTTTGTCCTTGTGATAGTTTGCTGAGAATGATGGTTTCCAGTTTCATCCATGTCCCTACAAAGGACATGAACTCTTCATTTTTTATGGCTGCATAGTATTCCATGATATATATGTGCCACATTTTCTTAATCCAGTCTATGATTGATGGACATTTGGCTTGGTTCCAAGTCTTTGCTATTGTGAATAGTGCCACAAGAAACATACATGTGCATGTGTCTTTATAGCAGCATGATTTATAATCCTTTGGGTATATACCCAGTAATGGGATGGCTGGGTCAAATGGTATTTCTAATTCTAGATCCCTGAGGAATCGCCACACTGACTTCCACAATGGTTGAACTAGTTTACAGTCCCACCAACAGTATAAAAGTGTTCCTATTTCTCCACATCCTCTCCAGTACTTGTTGTTTCCTGACTTTTTAATGATTGCCATTCTAACTGGTGTGAGATGGTATCTCATTGTAGTTTTGATTTGCATTTCTCTGATGGCCAGTGATGATGAGCATTTTTTCATGTGTTTTTTGGCTGCATAAATGTCTTCTTTTGAGAAGTGTCTGTTCATATCCTTTGCCCACTTTTTGATGGGGTTGTTTGTTTGTTTCTTGTAAATTTGTTTGAATTCATTGTAGATTCTGGATATAAGCCCTTTGTCAGATGAGTAGGTTGCAAAAATTTTCTCCCATTTTGTAGGTTGCCTGTTCACTCTGATGGTAGTTTCTTTTGTTGTGCAGAAGCTCTTTAGTTTAATTAGATCCCATTTGTCAATTTTGGCTTTTGTTGCCATTGCTTTTGGTGTTTTAGACATGAAGTCCTTGCCCATGCCTATGTCCTGAATGGTATTGCCTAGGTTTTCTTCTAGGGATTTTATGGTTTTAGGTCTAACATTTAAGTCTTTAATCCATCTTGAATTAATTTTTGTATAAGGTGTAAGGAAGGGATCCAGTTTCAGTTTTCTACATATGGCTAGCCAGTTTTCCCAGCACCATTTATTAAATAGGGAATCCTTTCCCCATTGCTTGTGTTTGTCAGGTTTGTCAAAGATCAGATGGTTGTAGATATGTGGCATTCTTTCTGAGGGCTCTGTTCTGTTCCATTGATCTATATCTCTGTTTTTGTACCAGTGCCATGCTGTTTTGGTTACTGTAGCCTTGTAGTATAATTTGAAGTCAGGTAGCATGATGTCTCCGGCTTTGTTCTTTTGGCTTAGGATTGACTTGGCGATGCGGGCTCTTTTTTGGTTCCATATGAACTTTAAAGTAGTTTTTCCAATTCTGTGAAGAAAGTCATTGGTAGCTTGATGGGGATGGCATTGAATCTATCAATTACCTTGGGCAGTATGGCCATTTTCACGATATTGATTCTTCCTACCCATGAGCATGGCATGTTCTTCCATTTGTTTGTATCCTCTTTTATTTCATTGAGCAGTGGTTTGTAGTTCTCCTTGAAGAGGTCCTTCACATCCCTTGTAAGTTGGATTCCTAGGTATTTTATTCTCTTTGAAGCAATTGTGAATGGGAGTTCACTCATGATTTGGCTCTCTGTTTGTCTGTTATTGGTGTATAAGAATGCTTGTGATTTTTGCACATTGATTTTGTATCCTGAGACATTGCTGAAGTTGCTTATCAGCTTAAGGAGATTTTGGGCTGAGACAATGGGGTTTTCTAGATATACAATCCTGTCATCTTCAAACAGGGACAATTTGACTTCCTCTTTTCCTAATTGAATACCCTTTATTTCCTTCTCCTGCCTAATTGCCCTGGCCAGAACTTCCAACACTACGTTGAACAGGAGTGGTGAGAGAGGGCATCCCTGTCTTGTGCCGGTTTTCAAAGGGAATGCTTCTAGTTTTTACCCATTCAGTATGATATTGGCTGTGGGTTTGTCATAGGTAGCTCTTATTATTTTGAGATACATCCCTTCAATACCTAATTTATTGAGAGTTTTTAGCATGAAAGGTTGTTGAATTTTGTCAAAGTCCTTTTCTGCATCTATTGAGATAATCGTGGTTTTTGTCTTTTGTTCTGTGTATATGCTGGATTACATTTATTGATTTGCATATGTTGAACCAGCCTTGCATCCCAGGGATGAAGCCCACTTGATCATGGTGGATAAGCTTTTTAATGTGCTGCTGGATTCGGTTTGCCAGTATTTTATTGAGGATTTTTGCATCAATG
Organism: Homo sapiens; assembly: GCF_000001405.40. Lineage (NCBI taxonomy): Eukaryota > Metazoa > Chordata > Mammalia > Primates > Hominidae > Homo > Homo sapiens. The sequence goes on from NC_000018.10 coordinate 64,453,612, forward strand.
TTCATCAAGGGTATTGGTCTAAAATTCTCTTTTTTTGTTGTATCTCTGCCAGGCTTTGGTATCAGGATGATGCTGGCCTCATAAAATGAGTTAGGGAAGATTCCCTCTTTTTCTATTGATTGGAATAGTTTCAGAAGGAATGGTACCAACTCCTCCTTGTACCTCTAGTAGAATTCCGCTGTGAATCCATCTGGTCCTGGGCTTTTTTCAGTTGGTAAGCTATTGATTATTGCCACAATTTCAGAGCCTGTTATTGGTCTATTCAGAGATTCAACTTCTTCCTGGTTTAGTCTTGGGAGGGTGTATGTGTCAAGGAATTTATCCATTTCTTCTAGATTTTCTAGTTTATTTGTGTGGAGGTGTTTATAATATTCTCTGATGGTAGTTTGTATTTCTGTGGGATCGGTGGTGATATCCCCTTTATCATTTTTTATTGCATCCATTTGATTCTTCTCTCTTTTCTTCTTTATTAGTCTTGCTAGCGGTCTATCGATTTTGTTGATCTCTTCAAAAAAGCGGCTCCTGGATTCATTAAGTTTTTGAAGGGTTTTTTGTGTCTCTATTTCCTTCGGTTCTGCTCTGATTTTAGTTATTTCTTGCCTTTTGTTAGCTTTTGAATGTGTTTGCTCTTGCTTTTCTAGTTCTTTTAATTGTGACGTTAGGGTGTCAATTTTGGATCTTTCTTGCTTTCTCTTGTGGGCATTTAGTGCTATAAATTTCTCGTGAGGGCTTTTTCCTAATATCTAGATACTTCCCAAAGGCCCCATCTCTTAATCCACAACATTGGGTATTAACATGTGAATGCTGGGGGGAAACAACTTTCAACCCATTCTACCATCATGCAAGCAAAGACAGTTGAGTGAAACGTTTAAAGGATATAAAGGAAAAAATAGTAAACAGCAACCTAGAATTATATATACAGCAAGATTATCTGTCAAAAGTTGAGAAATACTCTCTCTGAAAAACAAAATCTGAGAAAATTCATCACTAGCAGGTCCGCCTTGTAAGAAATGTTAAAAGAAAATTTTCAGAGAAGGAAACAGATATAGGACAGAAACTCAGATCAACAAAATGAAGTGTCATACAAGAGAGAAATGAGGCATAAATAAAATAAAATATTTCATTTTGTATTTTTAATTGATGTAAAGAATAATTGCTTGCAATAAGAATAGCAACAATATATTAGACAATGAAACCATATGGATAAGTGAAATGAATGAGAGCAATGTCTCAAGGAATAGGAAGGAAAAATCAGGAATACTCTACTTTGGGATTCCTATACTACTCTTCAATTAGTATACTATGATTTCAAAGTAGAGATAGATTTGTTAAAAATGTATGTTGAAGGAATACAACTTACAATGGATGTGAAAAACCTCTTCAAGGAGAACTACAAACCACTGTTCAAGGAAATCAGAGAGGACATAAACAAATGGAAAAAAAAATTCCATGCTCATGGATAGGAGGTATCAATATCGTGAAAATGGCCATACTACCAAAAGTAATGTATAGATTCAATGCTGTTCCCATCAAGCTGCCATTGACTTTCCTTGCAGAATTAGAAAAATCTACTTTAAGTTTCATATGGAACCAAAAAAGAGACCATATAGTCAAGACGATCCTAAGGAAAACAAATAAAGCTGGAGGCCTCATGCTACCTGACTTCAAATTATACTACAAGGCTACAGTAACCAAAACAGCATGGTACTGGTAACCAAACAGATATGTAGATCAATGGAGCAGAACAGATACCTCTGAAATAACACCACATATCTGCAACCATCTAATCTTTGACAAACCTGACAAAAACAAGCAATGGGGAAAGAATCTCCTATTCAATAAATGGTGCTGTGAAAACTAGCTAGCCATATTCAGAAAACAGAAGACAGTGTGGTGATTCCTTAAGGATCTAGAACCAGAAATACCAAAAATTATAAATCATTCTACTATAAAGACACATGCAATATTTTTCCATTTGTTCGTATCCTCTCTTACTTCCTTCAGCAGTGGTTTGCAGTTCTCCTTGAAGAGGTCCTTCACATCCCTTATAAGTTGTATTCCTAGGTACTTTATTCTCTTTGTAGCATTTGTGAATGGGAGTTCACTCGTGATTTGGCTGTCTGATTGTCTATTATTGGTGTATAGAAATGCTTGTGATTTTTGCACATTGATTTTGTATCCTGAGATTTTGCTGAAGTTGTTTATCAGCTAAAGGAGTTTTTGGGCTGAGATGATGGGGTTTTCTAAATATACAATCACGTCATCTGCAAACAGAGACAATTTGAATTCCTCTCTTCCTATTTGAATACGCTTTTTTTTTTTCTCTTGCCTGATTACCCTGGCCAGAACTTCCAATATTATGTTGAATAGGAGTGATGAGAGAGGACATTCTTGTCTTGTGCTGGTTTTCAAAGGGAATGCTTCCAGCTTTTGCCCATTCAGTATGATATTGGCTATTGGTTTGTCATAAATAGCTCTTATTATTTTGAGATATATTCCATCAACAACTAGTTTATTGACAGTTTTTAGCATGAAGCACTGTTGAATTTTGTTGAAGGCCTTTTCTGGATCTATTGAGATTATCATGTGTTTTTTGTCTTTGGTTCTGTTTATGTTATGGATTACGTTTATTGATTTGTGTATGTTGAACCAGCCTTGCATCCTATGGATGCTCATTGATAGGAAGAATCAATATTGTAAAAATGATCATACTGCCCAAAGTAATTTACAGAATCAATGCTATTCCCATCAAGCTACCATTGACTTTCTTCACAGAACTGGAAAAATTTACTTTAAATTTCATATGGAACCAAAAAATCCTGTAAAGCCAAGACAATCCTAAGCAAAAAGAACAAAGCAGGAAGCATCATGCTACCTAACTTCAAACTATACTACAAGGCTACCGTAACCAAAACACCATGGTACTGGTTCCAAAACAGATATATAGACCAATGGAATAGAACTGTGGCATCAGAAATAACACTGCATATCTACAACCATCTGATCTTTGACAAACCTGACAGAAACAACAATGGGGGAAAGGATTTCCTATTTAATAAATGGTGCTGGGAAAACTGACTAGTCATATGCAGAAAATAGAAACTGGACCCCTTCCTTACACCTTATACAAAAATTAACTCAAGATGGATTAAAGACTTAAACATAAAACATAAAACTATAAAAACCCTAGAAGAAAACCTAGGCAATACCATTCAGGACCTAGGCATGGGCAAAGACTTCATGACTAAAACACCAAGAGCAATTTCAACAGAAGCCAAAATTGATAAATGATATATAATCAAATTAAAGAGCTTCTGCACAGCAAAAAAAAAATATCATCAGAGTGAACAGGCAACCTAGAGAATGGGAGAAAATGTTTGCAATCTATCCATCTGACAAAGGGCTAATATCCAGAATCTACAAGGAACTTAAATAAATTTACAAGAAAAAAACAACCCCATCAAAAAGTGGGCAAAGGATATGAACAGACACTTCTCAAAAGAAAACATTTATGTGGCCAACAAACATATGAAAAAAAAAGCTCATCATCACTGGTCATTAGAGAAATGCAAATCAAAACCACAATGAGATACCATCTCACGCCAGTTAGAATGGCGATCATTAAAAAGTCTGGAAACAACAGATACTGGCGAGGATGTGGAGAAATAGGAATGCTTTTACACTGTTGGTGGGAGTAGAAATTAGTTCAACCATTGTGGAAGACAGTGTGGTAATTCCTTAAGGATCTAGAACCAGAAATACCAGCAGGCGCAGTGGCTCACACCTGTAATCCCAGCACTTTGGGAGGCTGAGGTGGGCGGATCACCTGAGGTCAGGAGTTCCAGACCAGCCTGGACAACAAGAAACTCCATCTCTACTAAAAGCAGAAAAATTAGCTGGGCCGGTGGCAGGCGCCTGTAATCCCAGCTACTCAGTAGGCTGAGGCGGGAGAATAGCTTGAACCCAGGAGGCGGAGGTTGCAGTGAGCTGAGATCGCGTCACTGCACTCCAGACTGGGCGACAAGAGCGAGACTCCATCTCAAAAAAAAAAAAAAAAAAAAAAAAACTGGAAATACGATTTGACCCAGCAATCCCATTACTGGGTATATACTCAAAGGAATATAAATCATGCTGCTGTAAAGACACATGCACATGTATGCTTATTGCAGCACTATTTACAATAGCAAAGACTTGGAACCAACCCAAATTACCATCAGTGATAGACTGGATAAAGAAAATGTGGCATATATACACCATGGATTACCACACAGTCATAAAAAAAACAATGAGTTCATGTCCTTTTCAGGGACATAGATGAAGCTGGAAACCATCATCCTCAGCAAACTAATACAAGAACGGAAAACCAAACACCACATGTTCTCACTCATAAGTGGGAGTTGAACAATGAGAACACATGGACACAGGGAGGGGAACATCACACACTGGGGCCTGTCAGGTGGTGTGGGGAAAGGGGAGGGGGAGTATTAGGACAAATATCTAATGCATGAGGGGCCTAAAACCTAGATGACAGGTTGACAGGTGCACTTGAACAATAAGAACACATGGACACAGAGAGGGGAACATCACACATAAGGGTCTGTTGGGGGAGGGGGGAAAGGGGAGGGAGAGCATTAGGACAAATACCTAATGTATGTGGGGCCTAAAACCTAAATGATAGGTTGGTTGGTTGCAGCAAACCACCATGGCACATGTATACCTATGTAACAAACCTGCATGTTCTGCACATGTATCCCAGAACTTAGAAGAAACGAAAAGAAAAAAGACTAATGTACATGTATGTTTATTACAGCACTATTTACAATAGCAAAGACTTGGAACCAGCACAAATGTCTGTCAATGATAGATTGGATAAAGAAAATGTGGTACATATACACCATGGCATACTAGGCAGCCATGAAAAAGAATGAGTTCATGTCCTTTGCAGGGACATGGATGAAGCTAGATGCCATCTTTCTCAACAAACTGTCACAGGAACAGAAAACCAAACACTGCATATTCTCACTCATAAGTAGGAGTTGAGCAATGAGAACACCTGGACACAGGGAGGGGAACATCACACACCGGGGCCTGTCAGGGGTCGGGGGAAAGGGTAGGGAGAGTATTAGGACAAATACCGAATGCATGCAGGGCTTAAAACTTAGATAATGTTGATAGGTGCAGCAAAACACCATGGCACATGTATACCTATGTAACAAACCCGCACGTTCTGCACATGTATCCCAGAACATGTATCCCACATGTATTTGTTAAAGTAAAAAAAAAAACGTACGCTGAGAACTCTACAGTGACAACTAAAAATATTTTTAAAAGTGTAAATGGTATGACAAAAGAGGAAATAAAGTGGAATCATACAAAGTACTCAATTAAAACCAGAGTAAGCAGAAAAAGAGGAAAGAAAGAACAAATGCAACAAATAGAAACCTGCTATGAATATAGTTGATATTAATCCAACTACATCCATAATCACTTTAAATGTGATTGGAATAAATTCTCCAGTTTAAAGATGAGAGATTATCAGAATGGAGTAAACAAACAAAAAAACAGGACCCGAGTATATGTTGTAGTTAATATGTTGTCTGCACAAACCCACTTTAAATAGGTACAAGTAAATATATGGTACAAATAAGCTCAAATAGGTACAAGTAAATATATGGAGAGAGATATACAATGGGCTTACACAAATCAAAAGAAAGAGTAGCTATATTAATTTAAGACAAAGTAGACTTCAGAACAAGAAAAATTATAAAGGATAAAGAAGTATCATATATAATGATAAAGGGTCAATTTTATGAGCAGACAAATTGACTAAATGTGTGTAGAACAAGTGACAGTGTCAAAATATGTGAAAAAATAGTACAACTGAAGGAAGGAATATACAAATCCACCCTTATAGTTGGAAACTTACCTCTCTCAGTAATGAACAGATTAAGCAGGCAGAAAATTAGAAAGAATATAGTTGATTTGAACAGCACTAAAAATCATTTTGATCGAATTACCATTTTTAAAATACTAATGTGTAGAAGAATATATATTCTTCTCAAAACATTCACCAAGATAGGCTTCATTCTCAGCCATAAAAACACATTATAGCAAATTTATGAATAAAAATTATAAAATTTATGTCCTCAAACCACAATGTAACTAAACTAGAAATCAATAACAGAAAGTTAATTAGAAAATCCCCAAATATCAGAAAATTATACAATGCATTTTTAATTTCTAACACATAGATCAAAGGGGAAGTTTCAATAGTGGAGATAAGTTTGGAGATTTCTCAAAGAACTAACAGTTGAACTACCATTTGACCCAGCAATCCTGTTATTGGGTATATACTCAAAGGAAAAGAAATCATTCTACCCAAAACACACATACACCTGTATGTGCAATGCAGCATTGCACAATAGCAAAGACATTGAACCAACTTAGGTACCCATCAATGGCGTATTGGATAAACAAAATGTGGTACATGTACACCCTGAGCTACTACACACCCATAAAAAAGAATGAAATCATGTTCTTTGCTACAACATGGGTGCAACTGGAGGCCATTATCCTAAGTGAACTAACACAGAAACAACCAAATATTTCATGTTTTCACTTATCAGTAGGAGCTAAACCTTGGACACACATGGATAGTAGGATGGGAATAATTGACACTGAGGAATACAAGAGTGGGAAGGTACAGAGTGGGGCAAGTGTTGAAAAACTATTGGATACTATGCTCACTTCCTTGGTGATATATTTAATTGTACTCCAAACACCAGCATCATGCAATATACCATGTAACACACCTGCACATGTATCCCTAGAATCTAAAATACAAGTTAAAAATAATAATAATTTAAACTAAATAAAAATTAATATACAACTTTTAATTTTTGAGATGTTAAAATGGAGGTTTTAGAGAAATGTATAGCATTATATGAATGTATTGGAGAAGCATAAAGATCTAAATAATAATCTAAGCTTCTACCTTGGGAAACTGGAGAAAGACGAGACATTTAAGTATAAAATGAGCAGAAGAGAACAAATACTATTTAGAGCAAAAATTAGTGAAATTGAAAACAGGAAAACAGAGAAAAATCAATAAAATCAAGTTGCCTGTTTGAACAGATAAGTAATTCTAAATCTCTAGTCAGGCTAATGAAATAAAGAGATAAGATACCAATTACTAATAACAGAAATGAAAACAGAGTAATAGCTATTGATTCGATGGACATTAAAAGATAATAAAAAAGCATGTTACTAACAGCTCTAAGTTCACAAATTTGATAACAGGACAGATTCTCTGAAAAACATGAAACTCATACAAGGAGAAATTGATTATCTAAATAGGTCAATAATTATTGAATGAATTGAATCAATAACATAGACCTTACATACTTCATAAAATTGACTCAAAATTGATCATAGCCTTCAATTAAAACAAAGAAATTATAAACTTCTATAATAAAACACAGGAAAATATGTGACCTTGAGTTTGGTGATATATTTTCGTATATAATAACAAAACCAAAATCCATAAAATTAAAAATATATATATTTTTAATTTTAATATATGTATAAGTTGAACTTTATTAAAATTAAAAATTTTTGGTCTGAAAAATACACTGAAAGAGAATGAAAAGAGAAGGGACACATTGGGAGAAAATGTTTGAAAAAGACGTATCTGATAAAGAACTTTTATCCAAAATGTACAAAGACCACTTTAAACTCAATATTATAAACAAAAACCCAGTTACGAAATGAGCCTAAGATCTGAACAGACACTGTACCAGAGAAGATATATAGAAGGCAATAAACACGTAAAAACATGCTTATGAGCATGCATCATGAGATAATTGCAAATGAAAGCAGCAACAAAATACACATTTATTAGAAGGGTAAAAATTCAATAACTGACAATGGCAGTTGCTGGCAAGGATGTGGAATAAAGGAGCTCTCCTTTATTGCTGGTGGGAATGCAAAGTGGTACAGCCACTGGGAGGACAGTTCAACAGTATCTTACAACAAATAAACCTAGGCTTATCTTACTAAACAATCCAGCAATCACTCTCCTAGGTATTTGCCCAACTGACTAAAAAACTTGTGTTCACACAAAAAACTACACAGGATTGTTATAGCAGTTTTATTCATAATTGCTCCAAACTGGCTGTAACCAAGGTATCCATCAACAGATGAATGGATAAACAAACTGGCTCATCAGTTCAAGGAGGTGCCTAAGAAAGCCACAGACTCTATGATTTCAATGATCATACATTCTGGAAACAGTAACACTATAAAAATGATTAAAGAATTAGAGGTTGACAAGGCTTCAAGTAGTGTGGGGGTGGGGGGAAGACTATACATATAGCTCAGGGAATTTTTGAGGGTGATGTACCTATTCAGTATGATACTGTTATGTTGATGTGTGCTACTATACATTTCTCAGTAGCTATAGAATTTTACAGCATAAGGAGTGCGCCTTAATGTATGCAAAATTAAAAAACAAGATCACAGGATGAAATGCAGAGTGTGATAAAATGAAACAATCTAATTGTATAAGAAACATTTAAAATGACTTCACTGAAGGAGGTGGGGTGAAAGAGTGAATTATATCCTCCCCAAAAAGAAATGTTGAAGTCCTAACCCCACTAACGCAGAAAGGGATATTATTCGGATAATTGCAGGTGCAATTAGCAAATGTTACATCATGCTGAAGTAGGGTGTGTAATCCAGTGTAATTAGTGTCCTTCTAAGAAGATGGCCCTGTAAAGATAGATGCAGGGGAAATGCCATGTGGAGATGAGGATTGTAAGAACGCGTTTATAAGTCAAAGTTTACCAAAGCTTACCAACAAACCATCAGAGCTTAGAAGAGTCAAAGAAGGGTTCTCCTACTGGTTTCAGAGGGAGTATGGCCCCACTGATACCTTGATTTTGGACTGCTAGACTCTAGAATTGCATGTCAATACATTTCTGTTGTTTTAAGCCATCTAGCTTGTGGCACTTTGTTATAGCAGTCCTAGGAATTATTATACTCCTCCAAACCCACAAATGCAGTGTAATAGTGTGATAAACATTAGACAAACCCAACTGAGGGACATTCTACAAAATGTTTGAATAGTGTTACTAAAAACTAGCAAGGTCACCAAAGGCAGTGAAGATCTTAGACACTGTCAAAACCAAGAGCAGTCCGTGAGAATTTGTAACAACGAAATGTAATGTTGTATTCTGGGTAGGATTCTGGAACAGAAAAAAATACATTAAGTAAAGCAATGGAAATTGAAATCAAATATAAATGTTATTTGATAGTAATGTGTTGATATTGGTCCATTAATTGTGGCAAATTTACTATGTTAATGTAAGTTATGTATTTATATAAGAAACTAGGTATGGAGTATGTGGGAACTGTATTATCTTCATAATATTTTGTCTGTCTAAAACTATACTAAAATAAAAAGTTTGTTAAAAGAAACTAAAAACATTAATAGCCTAAACACTTTAAACAGGACAGTGGAAAACAGGAGAGATTGTAGACGAGATCAGCTGCATGTCCTGATGTGTTCGGCAGCTCCCTGGTTCCATGTTTCGCTAAGGAGGAATTGCCTTCTTCTGTATTTTGAATCTCCCTTTTGAAGATTCACAGCATATGTTAGCATAAAAGGTCCCCAAGAAGTCCCACATAATCAGTGACACTCGATTTTACTCAGCATTTCCAGCTTTAATTGTTCATTTTTGTTAATGCCTGCATAACTGGATCTTCAGATGTACTTGGTTAAAAGTTAACTCTTGGTTAGATTTTGTGATTTAAGAGCCACAACCAGGATACCATTCCAGTTTAGTCAGATTCCACCATTAAGCTTGAGGAGTTGGAATAGGGCGTGACCTCAGGAGGGGTGACGGTGCACAGTAAGAGTGAGCCTGCCAGTCTAACGTGGAATGACTGAGTTCCTCTGTCTGACTGCAGAAACCTACTAGTGTCTATCCCAGTTCATCTGTAAATTTTATCCATGGTGACTGTGCTGGAGGTGTGAACGGAGTGAGTCAATAAGTCCTGGGGAGGCCTGTACACTGGATATGAAGAGCTGGGGGTCCCTGAGACTGAGTCAAGGAAGTGAAAGACTGAGTCCTCTTTTCCAGGGTTGAGACAGTAGTCTTTTATCTGTTATTGCAGCCCCTGGGGAAATGAGGCTCCTAAAATCTTTATGCAGACCATGAATGAGCATTGCGTAGACTCAACAAAATACTTCACAGAACTATGTATTTTTTACCATGTGTACAAGTGGCTGAAGTAAATTGAATGAATTAATTTAATTAACTCATTTATAAATGCCACTGCATATACACTAGGTCTCTCAATCATCACATATTTTCTCAATTAACGTGCATTAAAACAGTGCTAAAATATTGGAGACCTCTAAAAGTTTAGCCATTCTCAAAATTACTGGATCTAGATCAAAATGGGTAGAATGAAACTTATATAAACATCATGAATGAAGCTCACTGGCTGTTATTCATGGTATCCAGTCAATATACTAATTGACTAATTGTCAATATTTGAGAACAAATAAAGAGGTGTCAGATATTATGGTATTGTATAGTGAGTTTTGAAATTAATTTTCACCAAGCAACCATTTCCCCAACAAAAAGATAAAGAGTTTGAAGTGTTGGGCTTTATAGGCTGACAGCTTTTCATCTCTCTAGAAGGCAATATTTTTTATTTGCTAGCCATATATAGTTATATATTATGTTATTAACCCCATCTGTTAAATGGGTTAATACTCCTTTCCTTATATATTACACATATTGGAAGTTGTATAGATATTAGTGGTGTAGCATTCCAGCAAAATAGTAGGCATTCTTTATGATTTTTTTTACCATTGTTTTAATTGATATAGTTTTGATCGTTCTAGTATAATCATGTGAAAAATAATTTTAGTAGGAGTGTTGTAATAAATAAGACATAAACAGGCACAGTAAAGCTAAAAAATCACCATAAACCTGAGATGATAAAGAATTAAGAAGGTGACAATTACCTGGATTGGATGAGACATGATATAGCACTAAATTTTCTTTCTCCAAATTGCTAAGCTTTATGCTCCTCTTTGTTCTTCATTGTTTGGGTAAAGGAGTAAGAATGAACTAAGTGTAGAACTGCTTTCTTGAAATGTAGTTATTGAGAAAATTAAATTATGCCTGAATGTCTAATAAAAGCATCTATTTCATTCCTTCGGTTATTGATTAAGCACCTACTAAGTATCAGGTCGTGTTCTAAGCTCTGGAGACAGAGCTGCAGACTAAGTGGATAAAGCTTATGCAGAGCTTACATTTAACCAGGAGAAGAGACAGTAACATGTGTAGGTATATAATCAAATAATGCTTTAAAAAATAAGCAGGATGATGAAGTCACAAAATAATGGTACAGGGGGAGAGACTTTTTAAAATAGTACTGTCAGAAAGGTGTTTTGGGAAGGGAAGGGGAGTAGCCACACTTAGGAAGGAGTATTTCAGATAGCCAGTAAAAGTACAAAGGCCTTTTATAAGGGCAAGCTCATTGTGTCTTGGGAAGAGCAAGAAGATCAGCAAGGCTGGAGTGGAGTGAGGGAGGGCAGACTTGTACAAAATGCAATAAAAGAAAGTCCCAGGAACACGATCACATATATGCATCTTCAAAATCATAGTAGGGCTTTTTAAAAAATAGGCTTTATTTTTACAGCAGTTTTAGGTTCACAGCAAAATTGAGCTGAAGCTACAGAGATTTCCTATATACTCCCTGCCTCCACACATGCATAGCTTCTCCTATTATCAACATCCTCTACCAGAGTGGTACATTTGTTAACAATTGATGAACCTCATCATAGATATTTTGAGTTTATTCTTATTGAGATAGGAAACCACAGGGAATGTGATCAGCTAAGTGACATGATCTGATTCACTACCCTGGCTGTTGTGTGGAGAGCAGACTGTGGCAGTGAAACTAGCAAGATTGGAAGGAGGAAAATTCATTTGAAAGTTACTGAAAATTGGAAGAGAAAGATAAGGGCTAATTGGATTACAATATTAGTGTTGTAGAAAATAGTAAGTGGTTATGTCAGGATTTACTTTGAATGTAGAGATGACAGTGCTTAGCTAATGGATCTGATGTGGAATGTGGAAAAAAAAGAGGAGTAAGGATGACTCAAGGATTTTACGTATGCATTGAAAGATACTTGAATATACAGACATCTTTATACATGTCAGTCAATCTGAACATTTCATCTCTAACACAGCAGTGATCAATACATGGAAGATCGCAGGTCCTAACATGTTGTTGTTTAACTCCATGAGGATTGGAAATACGTCTGCTGTGTTCATTGCAGTCCCAAACCTTAGGATAGTTCCCAGAACATGGTGAGCTTTAAACAAATTGCTTAAATAAATTAATGAAAATTACTAATAAGAAACAGGGTTGAATAACTCATTACGGGTTGAATACGCATGACTCTTAAATTAAAAGGGCTTGATTTGAAGTTTGAAAGGCATTTTGTGAAAAATAATTTACTAATGAGTGTTCTCCAAAATCTCTGGCTAAAAACCATGCATTTATTAAGGCACTGGATAAGCCTCACTGCTTTGAACCACTGGTGACTTTAATCAATTTGATTTTAGAACATGTCACATGTGTGAAATACGTATGAATTCATTTTAGTTTAAAATTTTGGTTTTGGAATCTTTACTTTCCAACTCAAACTGGCATAATTAACCTAACATTACCTTTTCATCAGCATAGACTTCAGTTTTATATTACTTTGACCTTACCCTTCAAATTCCACTGCACTTTCTAACTGCCTTTTAAAAATTATTAATAACCTTTGGAGGCCTCTGTCGTCTGTCTACCCATTTTTCTTTCACTCTATTCCCATTTATTCTGCTTTCCATTTATCTTTTGTGTTTGTTTCTCACTCCCTTAAATATACATGTCTACATTTCCAGTAATTTTTTATAAGTTCCTTTTTGTTCCTCAAATGTTTAGTCTTCCAAATATGTAGTTTTATCCAGTTTAATTCATCAAATTCCTCAATTTTTAGAATCTACTGATGTCATCTTACAAATAATATAAGATGAAGATGGATAGAATACCTATACATTTGTCAACCTTCTCTTCTCCCTTAGTACATGCATTACTGATTTCACATTTATGTTTCATCTGCATATGGAGTTATTAATTCCAAGAACATAAGGAGAAAGATTCATCCTGTCCTTACTGCTCAGAGTTGTGGAGAGTGGTGGCCCTGAGAATGAGAAGTTTGGATTTTTTATTTCAGTGAGCATAGTTCACAGAGGATTGCAGCCTCTGTAAGTTCAGTGGTGGCTTCCTTCAGCAGGCCAGGGCCAGCAGTTGAAGAGGCAATCATAGAGTTGGGCTTGATGCCCTCCCCCACAAAGTGATTGAAACAAGATGGAAGCTCTTAACTACCAGAATTCAAGAGGCCTTAGTTACCTGGAATACCAAGAGGGGTAGCCAGGGAATTAGACCTGCATGGTATTGTGGGATGGTTAATAGATCATGATGTTCTCGGGTATAAAATTAGTAGAAAATCATCAAGGGTACTGCTTAATATTTATTTATTTATTTTTCAAGAAGAGCAAGAGTAGAGAAGCATGAGGCTGAGCTTCATCATCCCAATGAAAAAAATTAAAAATTTATGACTCCTTCTTTATCCTCAGACCAGAATCAATTTTCAGATCTAGAATTCATTGCCAAAAGAGGCAACTGGGTCCCTAGGAGGAAAAACCTTCAAGAGTGATGTTTTCCTCTCAGTTATCCCTCAAGGGCCCTAAGACTTTTATGTTGGCAATTATATCCTAGAGAAAAAGGATTAACCAGACATTTGGGGCATTTGGCATTAACAAATTGATTATTGATTATAAAACTTGTTTAGAAAAGTGGGGACCTGGAGTTCCATATCATCATCATGAACCCCTTTCTGTTAGATTGGAGGCCTGTGGGTTAAAGTCCACTGACAGTGGGTCCAGTACATCTGCAAACCCACCTACAGGTCATCTCCCCAGTCCCTGGAGGTGATATACTTGGCATTTGATGTACCCATCATGTTGGTTCCCTAACTTGACAGATAAGTTATTGGAGTTGAAAGATCAAGTGTAAATTTCTAAAACTGCATAATTCCCTTCACCTCCCATCCTCCGCCAAGCCAAGACAGTAAGCAAAAATCAACACTGTATCTATTAAAAACATAAATGGCGCAGGGGTGTTAGTTCCTGTCATATCTCCATTTAATTGTAGACTGCTACAGACTTAACCAAGGAGAAGCCCTGATCACAGCTGCTTTACCAGATGTAGTATCATTGCCAGGGGAGAGTAATAAGGCCTCAGGTACACAGTTTGTTGCCACTCATTTGGTGAACATGTTCTTTTGCATTCCGATTTCAAAAAAGAATATCAGAAACAGTTTGCATTTAAATGGGACATCCAACTATATTCACTTAAAGTTTTGTCTCAGGGCTATGTTAACTTTCCACCCCTTCCAAAGAGCTCTGTAGCACTTGTACATCCCATGGGACATCACACAGATTCATTACATTGACAATATCATGCTGATTGTACAGGGTAAGCAAGAGGTGATAAGCACGCTGGAGGCATTGCTAAGACAGTTTCTCTACAGAGGGTACAAGATAAATGAAGTTTCAGGAACCAGCACAGTAAAGTGTTAAGATATTCAGTCATTAGGACCATGCCAAAAATACTATCCAAATAAAAGAAAAAACGCTGCAGATTCCATCCTCACCGCAAAGAGAGAAGAAGAGAAGCATGCAGCATCTTTGGGCTCTTAAGACAGCATATTCCATACACTACTCCAGCCCATCTTCCCAGTGATATAGAAGGCTACCAACTCTCTAAGATACCCAGCAGACATAGACTCTGTATCAGGTGTTTGTAGGTCATTGCTACGATCTGAATGTTGTGCCCCCAAATGTCAAATGTTGCAACCTAATCCCCAATGTGGTGATATTAAGAGGTGAAGTCTTTGGAAGGCGTTTTGGTCTTCAGGCAGGAGACCTCATGAATGGAATGAATGCCCTTATAAAAGAAGCCTGAGGGAGCTTGTTTGACCCTTTCATCTTGTGAGGATGAAGGGCAAAGTTGCCATCTGTGAGAAAGCAGGTCCTCACCAGATACCAGATCTACTGGTGATTTCATTTTGGACTTCCTGGTCTCTAGAACTGTAAGAGATAAATCTATGTTCTTTATAAACCACCCAGGTTATGGTAATATGTTATAGCAACCTAAATAGACTAAGACAGTCATGGTGTCATCAGGCCTGAAATAGACAGTATAATCAAGCTGACCCTATATTGTTGAAGATGTCATCGGTGTGAAAAGGTGCTGTGTGAAGTTTATGTCAAGCACCAGTGAGAGAGTCACAACACAGCTGCTTCATATTCTAGAGCAAGACCATGACTTTCATAACAGAGATTATATATCCTTGGGAAATGCATTTTGGAATGTTACTGGGCCCAGGTGGAGATGGGCAGCAAGTATTATTTTCCTTGGGACAGCAAGTATTATTCAGAACTACCTCTTAGGATCTGAGTTCTATTAGGCCTGAAAATCATAGAGTTGGACTGGACTAGTAGAAGTTCATTATAATTTGAAATGTTAGATCTGGGATTGAGCATGAGCATGTCAGAGAGTTAGAGCATACTGCTGGAGCACGTAGACCAGAGGCTCCATATCACCCTAATAGTTGCCCTCGTGCCCCTTCCCTGGCTCACATCCATGGCAGGAGGGCCCTGTACAACCAGCTGAAAAAGAAGGGAAAAATCCGAGTTTGGATTGTGAGTGGGTTAGCTTGGTGCATGAGTGTGAACCAAAAACAAATAGTGTCTGAGTTACAACCACTCAGGGGTGACCCTAAAAAGACATTGGAGAGAAAAAAAATGTCCTTATAGGTAGAGCTATGAACAGTGCACCTGGTCATCCCTGTGTGTGGGAAGAGAAGAGGACTGAGGTGATGATATATACAGATCCCTAGACATTGGCTCAGCTGTCTGTTCAAGGGCTCAGGAGAACAAAAATGAGTAGAAGAGCAGAGAAAGAATGTCTGGCATAGAGACACATGGACAGGTGTTTGGGAATGATATGAAGTGTGTGAAGCCTTTTATATTACACACTAACATTCAGCAGAAAACACCTACCACAGAAAAGGCCCTGAAAAACTAAACAGACAAAAGTAACCCAGTCGTCATTAGCTGGCCTTTGTCACTGGCCCCTACAGAATTGGTGTGAAGATCACGCAAGTGAAGTGATCGTGTTGGCAGAGACAGAGGCTACGTATGGGCCCAACTCCAATTTTTCCGCAATGGATACCAACACTAATCCTCTAACAGGGCAAGACTCCCTAAAGAGAAAACAATGGCTATTTAGGTTCCTATACAGAGTATTTTTCATCTTAGAAAAAAAATAGTCATTAGTCCTTACAAGATAGATACTATTCCAGGTAGAGGTTTGCCTTTCCTGCCCAATGATCCTCAGGAAGCACACTGTCCAGAAATTTTCAGAATATTCGATACACAGTTATGAAATCCTACAGAGCATAGCATCTGACAAGGGGATCCACTTCACAGCCTAATAAGTGTGTGAGTAGGCTCATGCTAGATATGGAACACTGCACCATGGCCAGTGGTCACAGGATACACTGGTCATTTCACATATTAAGCCATCTGGATGTACCCAGCCTCATAGAATGCTGAAATGATCTTCTAACAACTCAGCTGAAACGCCAGCTCAGAGGCAGCACTCCAAAAGAATAGGTTTCATTTTTTTTTTAGGAAGCAATTTATATATTAAATCCAACATTTCCATATAGTGTGATGTTCTCAATAGGGTTCAGGGACCAAGAGATGTGAACAGAAGCAGCCCCACTCAGAAAGGGTACATCAAAAGTCTTATTGAACATCAAGTTATGGTTGCCAACAAGACACTTTACACTCGTTGTGTCAAGGCACCAGCAGTCAAGAAAAATGTTACACAACTGAGAGAAGCAACTGCTTCAGATCCACGAGAGGAGACAGAGCATTTGTGAATGTGAGCAGGTCAGAATACATGTTGAACTCAGTAGATTCACCTTGGCTCCAACCAGTATGCACTTGCCTCATAATAATTGTGAATAGATTTGAGACTAAGAGAGGTGTGCTTACCAGCATCCTCATTTCAGATGCAAAATATCAGATGCCAAGTTTGTGGGTAAAACTTAGAATCTTTGCATGTGCAAGGATGTCATTGCACTATCACTTTTGATGGCCAGGAGTTAGGAGCAATTGGGGATCTCACCCTTGTTAAGGTAAGAGAAAGGAAAAATATGCTGCATGTATACCATGGAGCCATATGCAAAAATTCAAAGAGGCAGAGGATTGGCTAAACATGAAATAACATGCATAGACCTTAAAAATAGTGTTTATTAGAAAAAGTAAAGAAAATAAGGAGACATTCAAGATAATATATTAATGATGATTAAAGGCATATGCCCACCAAAAGACAATGCACATTTTGAAAGAATATATACATTCACACCACATTAGAATATTAGAATGACATTCTGCCTTTTGGGAAATTTGGAGGAGAATAGGTATTTAGGCATTAAAGAAAACAAACAAACAAAAAAATCCTAAAACTGGTTAGACAGGAAAAATCACAACAAAAGCATAGATGCTCTTCAATTTGTGATTGGATTATATTCCAGTTAACCCACTGAAGTTGAAAATATCGGAAATCAAAAATACTTTTAATGTATCCAGTGTAGCAAACATCATAGCTTAGCCTAGCCTACCTTAAATGTGCTCAGAACACTTACATTAGCCTACACTTGGGCAAAACCATCCAACACCAACCTATTTTAAGTTGAATGTCTTACGCAAGTTTACCCTCATGATCATGCAGCTGACTGGAAGCTGCAGCTCACTGCCTCTGCCCAGCATCACAGGCCTAGGAAAAGACCAAAGTTCAAAATTCAAAAATCCAAGTGTAAGTTTCTAATAAATGCATATTATTTTTGCACCATCCTAACATCAAAAATTTGTAATTTAAACTATTGTAAACCAGGAAGCATCTGTAGTGCCCACCAAGTACTTTCTAGCCATCATCTTTTCATGTATCCAACACTCCCCTCCACCTCAATGAATGCTACTTCTAAAGCATCCTTTATTCCAACACTTGCAACATTTAAATTCATGGTAGATTTCAGGTGCCTGGCAGTCCTAGACATTGCCGTATATTTTCCAGATGATGAGCTCTGAATTTAGGCAATGATTCTCCATCCTGCTTCATTAACTGCTTCCCATCCACATTGCTTTCCCTCAGATGGTTGACTTGTCACTTGGCTTTGGTTTTCTGCTTTGGTTTCCTTTTATTCTCTCAGTCTTAACCTGGTAACTTTCCAGTTCTTGCTTAGTTGCATAGAATGTATTATTTATACATAAGTCCAAGAGAAAAATTCATTTTTTCACAAAAAGGAGCTTTCTGAGAGTAATCTCCCATCACTAGTGATTTTTTTAAATTTTGTTTTGGCTTGGTTTTCAGGGATTTGAGCTATAATCATTTATGAGAAAAATAGCTCATTGAGAGAAGATAATATTGCTGTTCTGTAAATATATTATAAACATTGTCCACAAATCATGAATTTTACTGAAACATAAACAGCGTAGCTCCCATAGAAAACAGCCCACAGGACCTAACCACTTGGACAGGGATTCCATCATCACAGCATTATAGGCTTTTTTTTTCAAAAAAAACTATGACCTGGAGTCACTTTAGGTGTGTGATGTTCCCCTCTTGCTCAGTTAGAAAAACAGAATACAGCCTCTAAAAGAATGTATCCTTAAGGACAAAACATCAGATTCAATACTTAACTATTAGCCAATTGACAATGACCTGAGAGGCCTAATAGCAACTAGGCTGCTGTCATTTTTCTTGACTGAACATAAGAATTCATATTTTGTTCTGAATCAATGGATTTCATTTACTACATTTGGTATTAAATGGTAACAAAGAACAAAGAACACTACAAAGTGTTCTAATTTATATTGAGTACTTGCTGTGTACCCAGCACGGCTTCACGTGCTTTGTATGTATTAACTCATGAAATCCTTCAAACACAGTCACGAGACAGACACAATGGTGAACCTTACTTTGTCATTAAGGAAACACAGAGGGAAACTTCAGGTAAATTATTCAAGTTTAAAGAAGAATAAGCAGAACTGGAGGTTGAACTCAGGCCTTCTTGCTCTGAACTTTTGTTCTTCACCCGCAGTGGAAACTCCCTCCCCCAAATTCTTTCAAGTTGTTGTAATTTTACCACCGTTGTTTGTGTTGGAAATGTGTGAACAGTGGACTGAGGAATTATTTTTCTTATGTGAATAAAAAAGTAATGCTCTCTTCAAGTCTTATAGAATTAGAAAAGAGGTTTTGGGGTTTGTTGTTATTGTTGTTGTTGTTATTTGTTTTTGTTTTGAGATAGAGGCTCTCTCTGTTGCCCAGGCTGGAGTGTGGTGGTGTGATCTTGTGATCTTGATTCATTGCAAGCTCCCTCTCCCAGATTCAAGCAATTCTCCTGCCTCAGCCTCCCGAGTAGCTAGGACTATAGGCATGTGCCACTACGTTTGGCTAGTTTTTGTATTTTTTTTTTTTAATTTTAAAATGGAAACTAATTCTTTTTTTTTTTAGTAGAGGTGGGGTTTCATCATGATGGCCAGGCTAGTCTCTAATTCCTGACCTCAAATGATCGACTTCCCTTAGCCTCCAAACTTGCTGGGATTATAAGCGTGAGCCACCGTGCCGTTTTTTTTGTTTGTTTGTTTTTGTTCTTAATAGCAGGACATCTAAGAATTCCAGTACTCAGTTTCAGACCAAAGCAGACACCTGAAATCACTGAGGTTTTAGTCCATGGTGCTTACTTTTTTTGATATTGACATTATCTGCATGTTTAAAAATATGCATAAAATTATGGTTATGTGCATGTAAGTAAGGGTCAGATAAATAAGGGATAGAGAATGAAGTATTCACTAGCTTTGTAATAGGTTTTTAACTGAAGCTTAAAACTCCAAGCCTCAGTTATTAAAAGTTGTTTTAATGAGTATATGAGTGCCTACTTTAGGATATTTGTATAAGCATTAAACTAAAGCATGTTTAGTGATTAGCAGAGTGCTTGGATGTTAACCAAAATGCAACGCTAGCATTATTATTATTTATTAGATTAATATTCCTCCCATGAGAATTGATTGAGGCTTTATATTTGTTTATTTTTTTCTTTTCCTTTTTGATGATCTTAGAAGTGTTCTGTTTTGAGTCATTTCTGCTTATTTATACTAGCAAGCTCTCCAGGAAATGGACTTTGCTGCATCAACTTTAGCCATGGCATCCTAATTTAACTCAATAACAGCTAGAGTGGATACTAGAATTTTTAGTGAAATGGTGCTATGTCCTGAGGAGGGTGGAAGACAAAATATCCAATATCTAAGGGGGACAGTTAGAATAGTAACATACATTTCTGTAATACGACCTGTCTAGTGGAAGAGATGGATAGCAAATTGTTAGCTCCTTTCCTAATGCTCCTTCCTTCTTCAGTCTTGATTCATCATCCAGAAATAGTCTCATCATTTTCAACCAATGGGGTAAGAATGAAAGAGAACATATTTCAAGGTTTTCTAACTTTTAAAACACAGATATTGAGATTACATGGATTAAAATGGCTACATTTGCAAGAATGGCTTATTTTATGAATTACACAGGCTGGGAGATACTTGTCTGGAAAACGAAGCTACTGATCTTTTAAGAGGAGGCTCTTGGCAATCTGCCTTCACTCTATTTTGCTCTGAGTTAACCGACACTTTCTACTTACTCTCTGCTATCTGCTGACTATCTGGGAAAAGCCTGGCTTTTCCTCTAAATTGAAAGCAGATCTCTGATCTTGAAAGTAGAAAACACTTAAAATAAAAAAAAGAAACAAACAAATAACAATACATAACACCTCACTTCCTCATTTTGACAAGTTAAAGTTATTTTAAAATCCTCTAGTCATTCTCACTGCAAGACACAAAATTTTAGGTAAGAAACAGGAATATTGCTTCAAAGTAAAAAAACAAATGTCCTAAAATAATATCATTATATATTTCTAGAATCGTTATTGAGTGGATTATCCTCTCTACCATCAATGCAGTTGTGAATAAATCTATCCGAATATTCCAAAGTCGAGATTGTTCTTAAAAAAAAAAAATTCAAGCACTTGAAGAAGGCTATGAGTGCTTTCATGCCGTGCAGACAGTGGGGCCATGTGTGTACTCTAAAGCACGTGGCTGTGTTTGCTGCAGACAGATTGCAACAGTCTGACTCTGAGGGCGCTTCCATCAAGGCCATCATTTTTGATGTAGATTGGTAATTACCCAGCATGCTGTCTTGAATTCAGTCTCAAGCTGTTTGTATTCCTTTTTACTAATTCCACCAAATATTTTCGTATCTTAAATTGCATTAACAGTAGAGAGGCTGTTAGAGTGCCAAAGTACATTTTGAATTATTAAATTGATTTATATCTTCATTATTTCTTAACAATTATTAAGGATAAAGAGAAGAGAATCTTCTCTCAAGAATTCCTGTGCCCACAGGGAAAGGTTCATAGTTCATCTCATCCTCAGGTAAGTTTTATAAGTTGTTGATTCTGCATTTTAGATTAGCTCATTCATTCATTCATTTATTCAATTATTCAATAAATAATACATTTGTTAATGTGTTCTGTGAGCCATACATTGGAGGTTTGGCAAAAATGCAATAAACCTCGTTCCTTTTCTTAAGGAACTTTTACTTGGAATGACTTCCTCATCTCAGCTCACAGATTTCTCCTGTTTCCTCACTTGGTCAACTTCTCCAGACCCTTTAATTTGTATACAAATACTCCCTGCTCTGTGAATCTTTTCCTGATTTCATCCTAAAACTTGGTAGCTCTTGTTTTCTATCTACTTCAATGTGCAAATGTCCATTATAACAATTACTTTAGGGCAGTGGTTTTCAGAGAGCAGTCCTTAGACCAGCAGCATCAGCATCTTGTGGGAACTGGTTTGATGTGAATTACTGGGCTGCTTCCTAGGCCTGCTAAATCAGACACTGGGGCTTGGGCCCAGCAGTCTACATTTTTACAAACCCTATGGTGATTCTGATGCAAAATAGAAGCTGAAAAAAATACTACTTTCGTGTATTGCAATTTCAAATTGCTGTGTCTGTCTTTCCACTAAATTGTAAAAAACTTGAATGCAGGGATGATGTCTTTTCACCTTGAAAAACTGAAGTACTGAATACAGTAATTTGTTGAAAAATCAATTAAAACCTCATTATGAGGCTTTATTCTTTTAGATTAGTATTCTTTTCCTCCAGAAACCTCAACTGATATACACATGTACCAAGGAGACATATTATTGAGGTAGAAGGAGTACAACCCATTAGCAATCATTAACACCTAATGGAGTGTGAGGCACCATGGTTTATTAGACAGTTGTTGAGTTAATTAGCAATCAAACTCTGATTCTAGTACTTTAGCCAGAGAAAATTAACCACCCTTTTTGAGTCTTGATTTTCTTACCTGTAAAACACCAATCATAACAAATAAATCACAGGATATCCATGAACATAAGATGGAAAAATGTATGAATAAAATCCCAGTAGTATATATTGTTAGTCACAGAGTTCTGGTTCCTCTGAGAATCTTGAATTCTCTGTTGAAGAAGAGGATCTTATTTTCTATTTTCAGCTTCTTTGCTCAATATTTCAGGACATAAACCTACCTACCAGTTGCCTTGAATGGGGAAGCTATGCAAGATACATTTCTGAGACAGGATGTTGTAGTTGGCCTTAAGAAGAAGGAATTAGAATAGATATCAAGAAAAAAAAATAAGGTAGTACAACAGATTCAATATGTCTGAGAGTTATAGATAATGTGATTGAATGTGTTCAGATGGGTAGCAAATACAAAAATAGTGCTGGGTTTAAGGCCCTTCATGTTGCACACCAGTAAAGACGGATACACACAGTTTTAAAAGAAAGATAAATTTGTGTGTGTGTGTGTGTGTGTATGTTCTTCTCTATTTCAAGGCTGTTTAGCAGGAGAATAGCGTCTTCTTCAATTGCAAAATTAATGTAAAATTTGCCATAGAAAATCAAAATTGCAATAGCTTATCATTTTGAGCATACTACTTAGTTGCTATACTAAATTTTACAGATCTTTTCTCTCATTTCAGAGCTAGCTGCATAATTTGTAGGACCCCATGCAAAATAAAAATGAGGAGCACTTTGTCAAAAAATAGTGAAAGATCGCTATTAAAGATACTAAAATGAAAAAGGTTTTCCTAACTTCTAGACTCTGTCTAGGTTTTCCGTGATGTTTTCAAAAATTTGCTATTTAATGTCATTGTAAGCTAAAGAAAAACTAAGCTTTTAAATTATTGGTGAATTTTGCTTTTCATATTCATATTGTGTGATGTCCATTTAACTCATCTATAAAATTACTGCAGTTACACAACATGTACTTTTTTTTAGCTTGTGCACGCGTATACCCTTTGTTCTTATCATAACAGTAGAAATGCTACACAAAACTAACTCACCTGTTCTATTTCATCTCCTTGGTAAAGTAAGTGCACAGTCTGCCAATACTCTGTCTTTGGTTACTGGTGAGTAAGTACTGAAAGTAATAAGAACTGTATGTGGCTCTTCCCTTTCGCCTTATGTTCTCTTTTTCAGCCTAAGTAACACCAGTCAGAGAGATATAATAAGGTTCCTTGGTCAGTTGGGGCTTTTTGGAACACATTGACTTCTTTCTGTGTTTTAAATAAGTTCTGTTTCTAATGGAAGGTGTGGCTTTTTGGATTGTCGTTTTCCCCACCTAGTCATGGATGTAACATGCTTACTCTGTACTCACCTTGAGTCTTCCTGGCCTCCCATGAACCACAGGTCACCAGAAGTGTGTGCTCATGGGGCATTGCAAACGCTATATGAGAATGAGGTGTCACAGAACAGTCTCCATGCATGTTATGTGTATGTCCCTCTGCTCACATGTATCCATCATCACCCCATTGCACTTTGCTTACAAAACAAGTTCAAAAGTAAAATTTATAAGAATTTTAATACGGCAAGAGAGAAGTTTTGAACCATATTTGCAGTCCTTCGAGAATGGGGCCCTGAGCAACTGCTCGGGTCCCATGTCAAGGAAGCCATCCCTGTCTCATTTCATCAGGAAGTAGTGTGGCTGTGCCAGCCTATTAGGTAAGCACAGCTGCATTTCCACTGTATAAATTAGGACACAAAGGCACAGTTGGAAACTCATGGATGGGGATTTGATTTCAGACAGCCAGGCTCCAGAGCCCATGTTTTTAACCACTATTTTCTATATTGAGGTGGCACAATTTTTAGCATTTGCTGTATTATGTACCAGGTATTGTTCCAAGGACTTTATGAATATTAACTGATTAAATCCTCACAACAACTCTGTTAGGTGTTAGACTATTATGCCCAATTTACAAATGAATAACCCAAAGTTCAAATAATATCAATGTATACCCAGCTCATAAGTAGTGGAAGTAGATTCAAACCCAGGCAATTGGCTCTGAAGCCCTTTCTTATTACCAAGCTAATTCTCCACAGGATTGTTTGCTGCAGGCAGAAATATTGCCATAAAGCAGGTATTCAACACAATTATTTTTTTCTTTATTCATTAAATTCCTTTTTAGAAAATAAATACTTTTCATGAGCTTGCTGAATAAAACAAAAGTGAAGACTGTAAAAAGCACCACTTATCTGTGTATAGGATATTGCTAGTAGATGGCAGGAGCATTGAGTTGTGATTAATTCTTGACTGGATTAACAGAGTAGTTGGTGGGTCCTGAGTGCTATAGGGAAAAGACAAAGGTAGAAAAATAGCAACAATTCCTGTTACTTTCATGCCTTGTGCAAAAGATTAAGCCCTTTTATTTATTTACTTATTTATGTATTTATTTGAGATGGAGTCTCACATTATTGCCCAGGCTGGAGTGCAATGCCATGATCTTGGCTCACTGCAACCTTTGCCTCTCTGGTTCAACTGATTCTCCTGGCTCAGCCTTCCAAGTAGCTGGGATTACAGGTGCCTGCCACCACGCTTGGCTAATTTCTTGTCTTCTTAGTAGAGACAGGGTTTCACTATGTTGGCCAGGCTGGTCTCGAACTCCTGACTTCCACCTGCCTCAGCCTCCCAAAGTGCTGGGATTACAGGCGTTAGCCACCACGCCTGGCCAGCCCTTATTTTTCAGTGGTACATCACAAAGGTTGCAGACTTTGCAGAACTGGGAAGTTTTTATAAGGGAGAAAGAAAAACGATGCAACTCTATTCCCCCCAGTATAACATGACAAGTTTCATACATAGGGGCCTGTTAAAAACCCTTTTGTACAAAGGAATTCTCAGAAGAGCTTCTGGTAAATTACAGTTTTCATTTTCAAACACTAATAAACATGATTGTATCTAATTGCAGACTAGAAGAAACCTCCAGTAATTTTCTTTAGCAATATTGTGTCAGATAGTCAAACTGGAAATAATCAATTATGTTATTCTAAGCTATATTTATAATAATTGCTACATCTCCTGCACACAAATATTACATTTTTCCCTTCTGATTTTGCTCTTTAAACTACATCGCTGAACTCAAAATTTTGCTAACTTAACTACTATAGATTTAAAATGACAGTAATTTCATTTGGGAGATTGAATCTTAATATTCCAGATCTCAGTATTTTCGGTAATTAGACAAAGTCTTTATCTTAATACAATGGTAATTAGGAATGGTCATATTGTCTCTGATTTTCTCTGACAAACTCAATTATATATTAATCTAGATCCAAAGATATGATTTACTTTACATAACAGATGAACTGAGTTGCAAAATTAAGCTAAAATAAAAAGATGCACAATGAGTGTTTTGGAAAAATGTATAAATGAATCAACTCACTGGCAAATATAAATGTTGTCATTATGTAATATTTTACATAATGAATTTTCATCTTACAAAATGGTAGTTTCATGTAAAATTAGCTCAACTTTTATTCATTAATTTTCAATAAGACAATCAATGTCAATATGTGACTCCTTTGATTCACATTTTCGTCTGTTCGTTACCTGCTTTGGAATCAAAGAATCAGATTCCATTTTTATAATATCAGCTTTAATTTCTACATTGCAACTGTAGATCCCAAACTTAGCTTTGTTATGCTACTGTGAACCGTTTGAACACGTCATGATCTCAAATTTATAATAATGAAAAATACAGAACACTAATCTGCTTAAAAACAATTCATATCTTTCCAATTTACCAAAATCTATCATTTCTAAGGGCAACATTTTATTGAATCACTCTTTATGTTCTATGTGTATATATGTATGTATATATTGATAAGAGATACAATCTTCCCAAGCTTTTTGAATTTCTAATTTAAAATAGTGTGAATTTGTGAAATTTTCTTCATTCTTTCCTAAGCCTTCATAAGAACAAAAATAATGGGGCTGTGGTGTAAAAGACACCAGCCCGCAGAAGATTTCAACAGGTACCTAGAACACAGAAAGTGGATGGATACCTGTAAAAGCATAAAAGGGAGTACAGGCAATCACTCAGAATAAACAGAAACACCCTCAGTGGGAGGAGCTGAACTCTCTGATGAAACTTTCCTGGGTGTTTTTCTGCTAAAGCTTCAGCAAACTTTCTCAAGACACTCCCATAATAAGCAAATGTCATTTTTCTTTGACCCTTAAGAAAGTGTTGCCATGACCTTTGCTCCTGATGGTCCATTTTGCTTTGACTGGGCCACTTCCTCCTCTTGGTAGCTATTGGATTGACTGTGTGCTGTCTTCAAGATTATACTGGTAAAACCGTATTCCATCTCCTGTTATAATTCTTCAAAGAAATTCTTGAGGATCTTGATCCCACTTGTTTAAAATTTCCCAAAAACAAAATCACAAATGAAAAAGGAGTTATCACAATGAGTACCACAGAAAATAAAAGTATAATTAGAGATTACTATGAACAATTTATATGCCAATAAAATAAAAAACCTAGAGGAAATTGATAAATTCCTAGACACATACACCCTATTAAGATTGAACCAAGAAGAAATAGAAAGCCTAAACAGAGTAATAACAAGTAATAAGATTGACTCAGTCTTCCCCCCAAAAAATCCAGTACCAGATGCCTTTACCACTGCATTCTATTGAACCTTTAAAGAAGAAACAACTGGCCGGGCGCAGTGGCTCACACCTGTAATCCCAGCACTTTGGGAGGCCGAAACGGGTGGATCACGAAGTCAGGAGAGCGAGACTATCCTGGCTAACACGGTGAAACCCCGTCTCTACTAAAAATACAAAAAATTGAGCCAGGCATGGTGGTGGGCGCCTGTAGTCCCAGCTACTCGGGAGGCTGAGGCAAGAGAATAGCGTGAACCCGAGAGGCGGAGGTTGCGCTGAGCCAAGATTGGGACACTGCACTGCAGCCTGGGCGACAGAGGGAGACTCTGTCTCCAAAAAAAAAAAAAAAAAAAAAAAAAAAAAAGTCCTTCATATATACAGACATATATGCATATATGCATATATACATATATACACATACACTTATATGGTAGTGTGTAAGAGTGAGAAAGCAAATGTGTAAAAATGTTGTTAATTGGTGAATTGGATTGAAGGATAACCTGGAGATATTTTTTGCTATTCTTGCAACACTTCCGTAAGTTTGAAATTACTTCAATTTAAAAAGGGAAAAATATCACAGGCATAGGTAGTTTCCTTAATTGTCTGAAAATACCAGACACTGTCAGGTTTACTACATTAAACATAACAAAAAATGGAAAGAAGGGGATAGGAGAAGTATACCTAATTATCTTCTGTGATGGAGTCATTTCCAATTGATGACCTGACATGGAGAGACGCAAGCAGGAACTAGAGGAGCAGCTAGCTACATACGGAAGACTCCAGGCAGTGGGACTGTGAGTGAGGAAGGTTAGAGCAGAAGCCGACACTTTCCATTTTGAATTCTTCTGTACTGTGTTTAATTTAGTAGTTTCAAAATATGTGTGTGTGTTGCTTGAATAGAAAACAAAATGGCCAAAACATTCCCACTATCATACAATAATATGTGAGGAGTACAGGGATCTCCCTGCAATGGTCTCAGCCTACAGTAAAAGGCGTCATACTTTTTAACACCAGGACGACTTGTCAGTTCCATCAGAAAAGTAGTCCAAGGTGGGAAAAATTTAGTCAAATAGGGAATTAGATGTCATTGGGTTTTTTTACTTGTAATTTTGCTGGTCAGTTAGTCAGAGATAATCCTGGGAAGAATTGTGCAGTCAATAAGAGTCCTTATTCATTTTTAAAATTTGTCATTGTTCTTTTCCTTCTCCTTTAAAGCATCTCACCCCTCCCCCTCCTTCTGGAATCCAAGTATTCAAGGGCGTCACCTCTTTCTTTTTTTTCTCTGGTTGTATTTTTCAGATCACTCGTCTCTGCTCTATCTTATTATTCATGACAGCTACTCTCACTAAAACATCTTCCTCCCAGCTAATTCCTACTTCTGTCCCTAAAACTTTAAATCCTTTGATGTATGTAATAGATACTTTATTTTATTTTATTTTTCAATAGCTTTAGTGGTGGTACAAGTGTTTTTTCGTTATATAGATGAATTGTATAGTAGTAAAGTCAGGGATTTCAGTGCACCTGTCACCCGAGCAGTGTACATTGTACAAAATAGGTAGTTTTTTTTCATTCCTCATTCCCTTCCACTGTCCCCCTTTCTGAGTCTCCAATGTCCATACACTACTCTGTATGCCTTTGCATACCCGTAGCTTAGCTCCCACTTACAAGTGAGAACATGCAGTGTGTGGTTTTTGATTCCTGAGTTACTTCATTTAGAATAATTGGCCTTCAGTTCCATCCAAGTTGCTGCAAAAGACATTATTTCATTCTTTTTTATGGCTGAGTAGTATTCCATGATGTGTGTGTGTGTGTGTGTGTGTGTGTATGTTGCATTTACTTTATCCATTCATCAGTTATCAGTTGGTGGGCATTTAGGTTGACTCCGTATCTTTCCAACTGTGAATAGTCCTGTGATAAACATATGGGTGCAGGTGTCTTTTTGATATAACGATTTTTTTTCCTTTGGGTGGATACCCAGTAGTGAGGTTGCTGGATCAAAAAGTAGATCTATTTTACTTCTCTGAGGAATTGCCATACAGTTTTTCATAGAGGCTGTACTAATTTACATTCCCATTAGCAGTGTATAAGTGATCCCTGTTCACCACATCCATGACAACATGTATTGTTTTTTGACTTTTTAAAAATGGCCATTTTGGTTGGGGTAAGATAGCATCTCATTATGGTTTTAATGTGCATTCTGTGATGATTAGTGACGTTGAGCATATTTTCATATGTTTGGTGGCCATTTGTATATCTTCTTTTGAGAAATGTCTATTTATGTCTTTTGCCGACTCTTTAAGGAGATTATTTGTTTGTTTTTCCTTGCTAACTTGAGTTCCTTTTAAATTCTGGATAATAGTCCTTTGTCAGATGCATAGCTTGCAAATATTGTCACCCATTCTGTAGGTTATCTGTTTACTGTGATAATTATTTTGTTGTGCAGAAGCTTTTAGTTTAATTAGGTCCCATTTATTTCATTTTGTTTTTGTTGCAGTTGCTCTTGGGGTCTTATTAATAAATTCATTGTCTAGGCAAATGTCCAGAAGAGGTTTTCCTATGTTTCCTTCTAGAATTTTTATGGTTTCAGGTCTTGGACTTAAGTATTTAATTCATCTTGAGTTAATTTTTGTGTATGGTGGGAGATAGAGATCCAGTTTCCTTCTAGTACCTGTGGTTATCCAATTTTGCCAGCACTATTTATTGAGTAGGGTGCCTTTTCCTCAGTTTAGGTTTTGGCATGCTTTGTTGAAGATGAGTTGGTTATAAGTATTTGGCTTTATTTCTGGGTTCTCTATTCTGTAATATTGTCTTATGTGTCTATTTTTATACCAGTACCATGATGGTTTGGTTACTATAGCCTTGCAGCACAATTTGAAATCAGGTAACGTGATGTCTCTGGATTTGTTCCTTTTGCTTAGGATTGTGTTGGGCATTCAGGCTCTTTTTTGGTTCTATATGAATTTTAGGTTTGCTTTCGCTAATTCTATAAAAGTTATGGGATGTTGATAGGAATTTCACTGGATCTGTAGATTGCTTTGGGCAGTATGGTCATTTTCCTGATATTGATTCTTCCAATCCATGAGCATGGGATGTATTTCCATTTGTTTGTGTCATCTATGATTTCTTTCAGCAATGTTTTGAAGTTCTTTATAGACCTTTCACCTCCTTGGTTAAGTAGATTACTAGGTATTTGATTTTTTTTTGTAGCTCTTATAATAAAAAATGACTGAGTTCTTAATTTGATTCTCAACTTGTTTGTTGCTGGTGTATAGCAGTGCTACTAAATTGTGTACCTTGAGTTTGTAATCTGAGACTTTACTGAATTCATTTTTGGAAGAGTCTTTAGAGCTTTCTAGTATAAGATAATATCATTGGTGGAGACAATTGACTTGCTATTTTCCAATTTGGATGCCCTTTATTTCTTTCTCTTGCCTGATTGTTCTGGCTAGGACTTTCTGTACTATGTTGAACAGAAGTGGTGTAAGTAGGCATCCTTGTTTTAATAACAATATATTCTACTTTTGAAAAATACTGTAAGAGTAGATTTTAGGTGATCTCACCAGAAAAAATGATATCTACTTGGTAACTCATATGTTAGTTAGCTCAATTTAATCATTTAATAGCATCTATATATCTCAAAACATTACATTGGGAATTATAAATATATACAATTTTACTTGTCATTTTAAAATGAAGTAAAATGTTAAAAAAGACTGCCCTAGAAGAGAAGATTCAGTATAAATAGAGGGCCAAGATACAAATTGTACTTATATATGCATAATAGCTAATTGCAATAGCTTCTCCTTTAAATTGTTACATGTGAATAGTTGGTTCACTAGAGAAGAGTTAGCTATTATTTAAATGTGTCAAATACTGGGTTCTCTCTCTCATTTTATTGAAAGTCTATTTGGCTCAGTTATTATGAGTATGTTTTACTTTCTCAAATATGTTTTACTTTCTTCTTTCAACTTCAAAAATTTAAGAGATCTGATTAGTACAGAAGTTGTCTTCAGATCATTAGAGAATCCTTACTGGCAATGATAAAGCAAGACCCATTTTGACATAACAACACTGAATCAATCATTTTCTAGTACCTTACCAGTTGGCCTCCCCATTGCTTCCTTCCTGGCTGTTACAGGTGGGTTTGTAAAACAACCTTCTTCCAAATTCTACTATTGATTGAATGTAATTTGCTGAGAAGCAAAATCATAATAACAATAATAAAAATAATTAACTAAACTAAAACCCTTCATATTTAGACTTTGCTTTTGACTTAGACTTACACAGCATCTTTCTGTAGTCCATTGAACATGTATGGTATATATTTTCTTGTCATAATCACTAATGTGTGTTGGAGCAAGAGGGTACAAAAGGAAAAAAAGGGTAAGAGTATTTTACATTTTTAAAATTCAATAGTGTGTATATATAAATAGAAATTCAATTAGTGTGATATACTAATAGAAAAGTCCACAAGTGATCATTGTATAGATCAATGACTTTTCAAAACCAAACATATCCTTGTAACCAACACCTGTACCAAGAAACAGAGGCTTCTACCTGCTCTCTCCCAGTTGTTACATCCTCCCTAAAGCAAAAAGTTTCATTGACTTGTAACATCATAAAATAGTTTTTCCTGTCTTTGAACCTTACAGAAATAGAATCACAGGGTATATAGTCATGCTTGTCTGCTTTCTTTCACTCAACAATGTGTTTGTGAGACCATATTTATATTTATGAAAAAAATACAATGTTTATGGAACCAGGTTATTTTATACATTCATCTTCATCAATTGACTCTGTATAAAGGTACCACAATATTATGTTAGTGCATCTATAAACATTCTTCTTTATATCTTATGGCTAATAGATACACACAATGCGTGTGGAAATGTGTGCAGAAGTAAAATCTGTGTTATCAGGTGTATTACGTAGGTTCAGCTTGAGTAGTGAATACCAAAGTCTGGTCCAAAATCATTGACCAATTTCCATATCCCCATAGTGTAATAGTGTATAATAGTTCTAATTCCACTTTCTTGCCAAAATTTACTATTGGTTGTCTTTGTCATTTAAGTTATTCTGGTGGGAACACAGTAGCAATTAACTTGATTTTAATTTGTACTTTTCTGGTTACTAATGAAATTGAGCACATTTTCATGTATTTATTGACCATTTAGATATCTGTTTCTGTGAAGTGCAATCTATTAATTGTGTTGTCTGATTTTTTGGTTTTGATTTGGAGTTTTTAATATATACTGAATATACATTCTTTGTTGTCTGTAATTACAGTAAATCTCTTATTCCACCTCGGGCTTGCTTTTAAAATTCTTTTAAAATTTTAGTGGTGTCATTGATGGAGAGAGTCTGTTAGTATTAATACATTATACCTTATATCTCTTTAAATTAATGATTAGTGCCTTTTGTATCTAGTTTAATAAATCATTCTCTAAGCACAGGCACTTTTTAGTACTCTTTTCTAATATCTTTCGACTTTTTCATTTTCATATTTTTAAAATTCCAGTGATCTTTGGTTTAGTGTGAGGTAGGTAACAATATGATATTCAGTTACCCTAGCACCAATTATTAAAAAGACCATCCTTTCCTAGCCACGTGAAAAGGTCACCTTTGTCATTGAAAAACTATTCAGATATATGTAGGTTTTTCTTTTCCTAACTGTCTACTCTTCCATTATTCGATTTGTCAACACTTTCAATAGTATCACATGGTCTTAATTACAGCGGTTTTATTATAATTTTGGACATGTGGTATTGTATGTTCTCCTCTTTTTATTCATGCTTGGCTTTTCTAATCTTAGTCATTAGACCTTTCATTACAATTTAAATTGTCAACATTTACAATAAGAAAAAAACTGCTACAACTTTGAGTGTCACTGAATTGAATCTGCATATTAATTGGGGAGAATTGACATCTTGAAAATTTTGAGTCATCATGTTCATACACATAAAATGTCTTTCCCTTGATTTATATCTTCTTTCATTTCTCTTAATATTTTAAAACGTTGTTTCATTATGGATTTCTTACAGATCACTTGCTAGACTTACTCCTAAATATTTCATGGTTATTGCTGCAATGCAAATGATAATTCCATGTTTAATTTTACTTTTGATATGATCGTTTTAATTTTATTAGGAATACATTTGATTGTAAATATTGTCCTATATTTAACCACCTTGCTAAATTCACTTGTCAGGTAATATATCAGTAAGTATCTTGGATTTTTTGGTACACAAACATGTAATCTGTAGATAAGGAGTGCTTTATTTGCTTCACTATCCTTATAAATTCTACTTTTGTTTTTACCTTATTTTACAGACTAAGATGTCCAAAATAATGCTGAATAAAAGTGACAAAAAGGCTTTTACTGCTCACAGAGACAAATTATTTAAGTATTTTATCATCAGTTTGTTTTAGGTAATTGTTTTATAGATGCTTTTCAATAAATAAGGACATTTTCTTCCATTTCTAATTTGATAGGAGTTCTCATCATTTACTTATGCTGAATTTTTTTAATGCCTTTTCTTCGTTATAGAATTCATTATATGATTTTCCTCTCTATTTTTGACAATGTGGTGAATTATAATTAAGAATATTGAAATATAAAGCCATCTTTGCATTCCTCATATAAGTCCAAATTTATAGTAATGTATATTTTTCTATATCAATTTTTTTATTTCCAAATATTTCATTTAGTTTGCAAGTACTCATGAGACAGATTGTCCTATAATTTATCTTTCTTGTAATATCATGGCAATTTTGCTTCCAAGTTTGTGCTTAACTCATAACAGAAGAAAATTGTTTTTGTGTTTCTTTTCTGAAGGAATT
Source organism: Homo sapiens (assembly GCF_000001405.40). Taxonomy (NCBI): domain Eukaryota; kingdom Metazoa; phylum Chordata; class Mammalia; order Primates; family Hominidae; genus Homo; species Homo sapiens. The sequence continues at coordinate 64,487,693 of NC_000018.10, forward strand.
TATGTACGATTATTATTATTCCTTTTTAAATACTTAAAAGGATTTACTGGTGAAGCAATACAGAGCTAATAATTTCTCCATGGGAAATATTTTATTACAGATTAAATGTTTTTAATAGATCTTGGGTTTAACATTTTTTCTTTTTCACGTGTTTTTAAATATGTATTTTTATAGGAATTAGCTTATTTCATTTACAATTCAAATTTATAAGCAGAGTGGTTAATAATGTCCTCTGATTTTTATAATAACTGAGGTCTGTAATGAGTCTTTAGTTTTGAAATTGTATGTCATTTTGTGTTAAACATCAGTACTTTAAAATGTTCTATTTTGATCACTACATTTACATCTAACAATGTGCTTAGGGCCATTTGTGCAACATGGGAGCCTAGGGAAGGTGAACTACTGTCCTGTGAGATGATACATATCATCACAGACTCTTACTTGAATGAAGCACCTAATGAAATTGCATGATTATGAATTGAAAATGTTGCTTTTACTATTATTCTGAAATAAGGAGAATAAATCAACATTGAATATGAACTATAATTTATAATTCACTTGTAATTAAATCTAAGTACTTAGAAAAACAACAACAAGCATTCTTAACTAAAAACTGTAATCTTTTATTTACATTTTTTACATTTTCTGAGTGTGCACCACTTATCAGAAATGGTGTGGGGTGTTAGAGACTCAAAAAGACACAATGAAAACATGGTCACTATGCAGCGTATCTATTAATGTGGACATTTTAGATGAAACTTTCAGCTTTTTGTCTTCTCTGGTAAGATAAGGGGGAAAATACTCCACAGACTTTGAGGCAGGTGATTCTGGGTACATGGCAGAGTGGGAAGCACTAGAAATCAGTCTCCTCACCCAAACAACAATTTCACTGACAGACTCTCCCGTGTAACTATTTTGGAATTCTGGAGTTCATTGAAAGCTTGCAAATCCCCTGGGATGGCTTGGCTGGTAAATTGTAGCATAAGTCAATTTCAATTTAGAGATGATTTGAAGAAATAATGGTTTTGTGGGATGAATAGAGGTCTGGAGACAGATGGTGGTGATGGTTGCACAACAATATGAGTATATGTAGTATCACTGAATGATGCACTTAAAAATGGTTAAGATGGTAAGTTTATAATATATGTATTTCATCACAATTTTTAAAATTGAAAAAAATGGCCCAGAATAAATAGCTGACTCAGTTATTTCTTTTTCTATTTGAGGACATGATTTTAATGCTTATAATTCAACTTTTAGCCATGGAGAAAAATATTAGATGATATGCTATATTACCAATATCACCTAATTTGAAACATCAGAGAACATTCATTATTGATATAAAAGTTAATGCTTTCAAAACAAATAGGAAGAAAGAAGTACTAAAATCTCAAGTCATTGATTATGATACCATATATAATTGATTCTAAAATCATGCTTGTTCATATTTTATGATTTCTCAAAACAAGATTTACAATAAGTGTCATCTTAAAATCGGTGTTTTTTTCAGTGGCGTAATTTACATTGTCTAAAATGGGTGAAACTAGAGATTTGTTCTTGGTGGTGTCTATAGATAATTGCAACCACCCTTTGATTGATCTTCACATAAGAGCACCCTTCCCATTGATCTTCACATAAGAGCAAGAAGGTGCCAGCATCAGAATCTTCAAAACGTGCGTCAATGGCTTGGAAGAAAATATCACAGATAATAGTGGGACATTCTTTTAAGAAATGCTACATCACCGATGTTCTTAAGGTCAAAAACAAACTTTAATGACTGTCAAAAACAGATTCTGAATACATTTATTTAGAATGAAAAGTATTTTAGAAAACCTTTAATAAATTTATTTACATACATTTTTATATTACATAAATTCTGGTATGTTACATAATAAAATGTTTAAGTCTAAAATTATGTTTCATTAAAATAAGTGATGAAAGCATTTTGTAACAGTTTAACAGGTAGTGACGTTTTCTTAATGGTACAAAATACAGTGATGTATCTTACAACTGATGCATTTGTGGCTTCAATGAAGTATGGCATAAAAAACACACATCCCTAAAATGCAATATAAAGAGAAGATATGGATAAAATGAGGGATATTATAAAAATATTTATATAAATGTACATATATACATGTAAAGTAATAATTTATAATTTTTAGAAAAATATATTATAGAGTCATTTATTAACTATATTTTATGACTCATTGAAAAGATAAGAACAAGAGAAAAACATTTGAATGGTCTTATTTCAAAAGTCAGCATTTGAATATACTCTAAAAATATCCTTTTATCTCCTTTAAATCATTTTTGTGCATATTAGGAGAAATTTATATCTGGAGAAAAATATAAAACTTGTAAATATGTCATTTTATAAAGAGGCACTAAATATTTTAATCTGTTTCATATCTGTTGGCAATAGATACAAGTAATATTAACAAAAGAAGATGTTAATAAAACTTTCTGTCATTAGGTTAAGCTGTACTAAGCTCTGAAAGAAAATATCTCCATGTTTTTCATGCTGTTTTTTATGACCCTTGTGGTACAGTAAGATGCTTGTTTCTAAGCAGCAGTGTTAAACAGAATAAGAGTAATTATTATTGACACGTAATTACCTATAATGTATTGGGTTCAAATGAAGAGGAGCATTTTAATCTTCACATGAAGCGATTGATGTGTTTAGCTCCCATTTGTGTTAATGGCAAGCATTCCCATGAATCTCAGTGTCAACAGAAGAGAAATGTACTCTAAAGGATGCTCATCAGAAATTCAAGCTGTTTTATTTAGCAGAAAGAACAGAGCTTCCTGAGAAATATCTATTTTTTAAATGAAAAGCAATTTCTACTCCATAGAGCATAACCAAAGACTCCCCGCCCTTCCGAATATCTCCCATGTACTGTTTTCGACTAAAGAGGATCTGATTCCTTTCAGGCTTTTTGTGATTTGAAGTAAAATTTCTTTTTGAAGAAATAAATGATTTGTGCAGAATTTTTTTCAAATAATGTGCTTGGTGAAGACTCCAAAATCTTCTATTAAATATATATAAAACGGAGATATGGACACAGCATTATCTTTACATCCAAGAAAACCATTTCCTCTTTTCCTCCATTTGTTTTCTGATGGAAATAAAAGACTAATTACTTTCCCCACATTCAGATGAGGCTGTAAGATCACAGGCATTAGGATAAAAAATGTGAGTTTCCAGATGTCCTCCTTGATATAATTTTCATAAAATCAAATTTTCACTCATGGTATTTTCTATGGTAAAAGCAATAAAACATCAATAATGCAGAAAAAGCCATATCCAAGTTGACTTAGTCTCCAATTCAAGCAAATATTAAAATAAAACAGCTTGATTCATTTTAATTATTTACTACTATTTGAATAATCTTCAAATATAAAAATGACACTAAAACAACATTCTATCTTGGGATCCTTTAGGGAACCATTTTTGAATAGATTAAAATTATTTGTAATAAACATGTAGTTTGCCTGTAAGTAAAACAAAGCTTTTAAAGTATCCCCAAATATTGGCAAATTAAATTGTGGCATATTTAAGCAACGAAATACTAAAAAATAATGTTGTAAAAGAATATTTAATATCTTGGGAAAAGATTTATACCCTTAATTGAAGGAGAGTACAAGTTAATGTATAAAATAGAGCCTTAAATATGTAACATCAGTACACATATTTATATAATTATTTCTGTCATTGGGACTATAGAGAGACTTATAAAGGGGGACAACTGAAAATACAACAAACTGTTAAAAGTTCCTATTGTGGCATGGTGGGATTACAGGTAATTTCTATTTTGTTTTCATGCTTTTTTGTAGTATATAAACATCATACAATTAGTAGCTACTACTACTACTACTACTGTAATCAATCATATAAAAGAGTGCCTTAAAATAATCTAGTGCAGGCAAAGTACAGACTGAAATATTACTTACAAATATAATATATGAATATATAATATATAATATAATATATACTGTATATATTATATAATATAATATATACTGTATATATTATATATATTATAAAATTTTATATATATATATATGTGTGTGTGTGTATTTTTTTTTTTTTTTTTTGAGATGGAGTCTCGCTCTGTCACCCAGGCTAGAGTGCAGTGGCATGATCTCGGCTCACTGCAACCTCCACCTCCCAGGTTCAAGCGATTCTCCTGTCTCAGCCTCCTGAGTAGCTGGGATTACAGGCACGTGCCACCACGCCCAGGTAATTTTTGTATTTTTAGTAGAGATGGGGTTTCACCATGTTGGCGAGGCTGATCTCAAACTCCTGACCTTGTGATCTGCCTGCCTCAGCCTCCCAAAGTGCTGGGATTAGAGGCGTGAGCCACCGCACCCAGCCACAAATATAATTTTACTGGTATAATTTTATCAAGTATAGAAGAAACTTAGTTTTTATATATTGTAATTCTCATCCAAATGATCATGTTTCAATTAATCAACCTTCAAATAAAGTTGCAATATTACTGCTTTGTTTTTGAATTTAAGTTTCCAGTTAATATTAGGTAACTTAATTGCATTATATAATATTAGATATAAGTCTCCAAATGTTTTGAGAAATATAAATATAAGCTTTGAAAACTCTTTGAAGTAAGCCATGCTGCTCACCTATTTATTAAGCAGTCCAAATGGAAGGACAGAGATTAATTGATTTCTTCCTAAGATTAGATGGTGAGTTTAGCTTGCAAGGATATCTTGTTTTTCTTCCCTTTGGGAGATGTTTTCAGCTGATTAGTGAAACTACAATATCAACATAATAGCTTCTGTCAGAAAGCTTGATGAAATCTTTTTCAAAGACTTAAGGTACATATCTTTATTATCTTTGCAAGTCTATTCTGAGAATATGATACTAGACTAGGCATAACAATAATTGTTAGGAGATTTTTTTGACTTTGGGTTGGCTAGAAAATTTGCTTATTTAAATTATGAAATGTTATACTCTTCCAATAATTTCTTAAATATATATTTGAAACATGCATAAATGAAAATAGAAAATTATGTTTGCAGCGGCTACTAGCCAGTAGCAAATCTCTTAGCTTAAGAAAAGAGAAACATTGAGGATTGAGAGGATAGATTCATATCTCAAAGGAATTAAATAAGATTAAAAAGAAAGGTAGGACAATAAATATTTCAAGTAATTCTAATAATGCCAAGTGAAGAAAAATATGTAACTGAAATTTGAATTTTTTCCACATCACTATTTTAATTCTGGATCACGTGAAATTGTGATAAGAAGGAAAATTTTACACAGAGTCAGATTTATTCATCAAAATGATGAGAGAAGGGCAGAGTCGTGGAGAAAACAGTTGTGCTAAACTCTAGGACAAATATCTAAAAGAGCTTCAGATGAATTTTAGATATAATATTGTGGAAAAAAAATGCTGGAGCAGAAATTGGGAGATGGACTAATGATATATATCTGCAATGCTGTCTTTGGAACTAATTTTTTCTTGCCTATGAAATAGTGGTTAGAACTATTTTCCATTTGTAATGATATAATTGCATAAAATAATCATTGTCTTTTGTTTTGCTACATGTAACTCAGGAGTAAATTTGCCCTGTGTTGAAAATTGTATACTGGATACATTTTAGATTGTCTTTCCTTAAAGATTCATTGTAACATGTAGCATGAGGCAAAATGGATCTTCAGTTCGATTTACTATCACAGGATAAAACTATTTCTCACTCAGTGCTATGTGGGTTTGGGAAAGACCTCGTAGTGAGCCAAAATCTTTTCTACAAGACTGATGTGTTGTCATATGGCTTAATGAAAAAAGTATTCTTTTGTGTCATAATTTCAAAGGCCAGGAAATTCATGAACAATTAAAATACGAAGATGACATAATTATAATATACATTCCAATGGGGAATAATATTTTCTTGTCAGAGAAAATGATCCTATTTTATCAAAACTGCCATGAGTTCTGTTCATTTCAAGTTATGCTTATTGGTTGACTTTTATATACCACACAATATGTTGGTTTGGAAGACACAAGAGTTAGTTCACTATCAAATAAAGAGGAACACACAAGGTGCATCGACTATGTGCATTTATCTCTTCTGTCTACCAGAACATCAATGAAATGGACACAGAAAATGGGGTTGAAGGCAATAGTGGATAGAACATCTGAACAAGTTTGACAGATAGGAGTCAGAGGAGAATTAACTGTGGAACAGAAGACAGCACTGCAGAGGGGCACGTTAACCAGAATCAGCAAAGTTTCACGTTGAGGACTCCAGGCACAGTTGAAGACAGGGCTGAACTCCAAGAATGAAAATAGGAAGATTAAGAGAAACTTCACATACTGAATTCTGATACTTCCAGCTAGCCAAGTCCCCCACAGAGGTTCAAATATTATTCTTTGAGTCTGTGCTATAAAGACTTCTTTAAGGTGAGAATGACAAATCTGCACGGCGGGTCCTTCTACAGAATTTCTAATCATGTTTTTAGGGGTCTTGTTCCTATATATGTATAAACAGCAAAACTATCATCAAACTTGCGGAAAAAACTTCTATAATGGAAGAGAATAGTAAAGTACAAACAAACACAAACAGAAACAAGGTTTGTGACGAGAAAAAGTTATTTCAGAGAGCAGACGAAAGAACATTTAAAAATATAATTGGTAACTTCAGATAGGCAAAGATATTATATCCTGAAAATAAGGATTAAAAAGAGCGATTAAAGAACAAGATGGGAAAAATCAGAAATGTTAAATGACAAGGACTCAAGAGGTTTAACAAACAAAATGAAGTCAATATTTTAAAACAAAGAAATAATGTTTTTAAAAAAGAAAAATAGCAGAGGGAAGGCATGAAAAATATAAGGCTTATTTAATCTTTAAGTCTTCTAAATCTACGGTTTACTTAATGGGAATTAGAAAAAACTGATACAACAGAAGCAGAAGGGAAAGAATTATAAATAAAAAAAACCACAAACAAGTTTTGCCTTGGTTTAATCCCCTCTTCTGTGAACCATATCCTTCAATGGTACATAAAAGGTAATTGTTAAGTCCTTGTTTTTGTTAGAAAGTGTCTTTCTTCTACTCACAGTTGATTGATGAAATTTTAGGTTTAGATGTCTAGGTCATAGATAATTTCCCTCAGAATTTTAAATGCTTGTTCCAACAGTCTTCTATTATTGAGTGTTACTGTTGGGGGGGGAAATAGAGGATGCAAAAACGGAGTTCAATAAGGAAGAGAGGGAGCAGAAATTCCCATAGTGAAAGCTGTCCACAGGCTTTTATAGAAAACAGGCTAGTTGGAACCAGGTGGACAGAGAGCTGAGGGAGGGAGCTCAGGGTGGTCTCCTGTGAGAGAGGAAGACGGGGTATTTTGTGAATAACAATCTTCAGAAAAAAATCATTGTTGAAGACTGACACATCTGCTGGTGGTTTTAAGAAAAAAGAAACAACCTACACAAACAAACAACATAATAAAAATAACTGGTATAAGAGTAGATTGTAAGTGTTTGCACCACAAAACGATAACCTTGTGAGAGAATGCGTAACTTAATTAGCTAGATGTAGCCATTCCACAATGTGTGTATGTTCACGTACATATATTTCAAAACATCATGTTGTACACAATAAATGCATACATTTTTATCTGTCAATTTAAAAATAACAAAACATAATAAAATAATTGGTATGAACTTCTTGAAAAACAAAAAGTTATGTGAGAGAAGGAACATGAAAAAATATGTTTGTTTTCTGAAAGAGGGGTGGGACTTTTTGGAAGAGGAATAGATAGTAAGCAAAGCAGATAAAATTATTATTAACTACAGGTAAAATAACAGAAGTTGTATATGGATAGCAAGAATATGATCATGGAAAATGACTTCATTTTGACTGGGCACGGTGGCTCATGCCTGTAATCCTAGCACCCAGGTAAGAATTGCTTGAGGCCAGTAGTTTGAGACCAGCTTGGGTAACACACTGAGAACTTGTCTCTACAAAAAAACAAACAAACACTAAAAACTAGCCTGTACGGTGATGCAGGCCTGAAGTCCCAGCTAATCAGGAGGCTGAGGCAGGAGGATCCCTTAAGCCCAGTTTAAAGCTGCAGTGAGCTATAATCAGATTACACCACTGCACTCCAGCCTGGGTGACAGAGTGAGACCCTTTCTCTTAAGACATTAATAAATAAATAACTTCATTCAGCATGGGCACCATTTGCATAGTCATAAATTATAAAAACATACTTGGTTTAGTAAAGATTTATGATATAAAAATATTAGAAAAAGAATCAAGGAAGTGTATGGGGTTATATTTAACACAGATAAATTCTCAACTACAAGAAACTTAGGAGATATTATCTGAGTTTCATAAACAAAGAAATGTCAGCATATGCATATTATTTAGAAAAAAAAACAAAAGAATTTGCTGCCTCTGGGTATCAGACTTGGGGATTAAGGAGGATGGAAAAGAAAACTACTATTTTTTATATGATACATTCAGTGCTTTAAAAATATATACCTCCAGAGCTAACAAAGTTAACTTGCAATAAAATAAGCAAATTTTATTTTCATGTATGTATGTATGTATGTTTTCAGTATAAATTACATGATTCAAGAATTGCAGGGATATACACTAAAAAAAAGCTAAACAGAAGGGTGTGCTTAGTATCTGGAAACCCCTATCGTAGCAGAGCAGACATTATTGAAAGCATTGAAAAAAGATGGTGACGGTACACAATTTATATTTTAGCTTCTGTAGTCTTTTATTATGGAAGCACTCACTGCTTTGACTTCTACGATATGTCATTCTCATGGTATCACTTTTCTCAAGTGCTTTTCCAGCTCTTTATTGCTATTCTCCATCTAAACTTTAATACTGAAGTCTCTCACATTTTAGTACTAAATGCTTTTTTTACTTTTAAATTTTTGTTTTTTTTTTTTTTAATTTTACATTCAGGGGATTCGTGGGCAAGTTGGTTACAAAGGTATATTACACGATGCTGAGATTTGAGCTTCTATTAATCCTCTCACCCGGATAGTGAACATAGTTCCCAAGAAAAAGTTTTTCAGCCCTTTATCCCCTATTTCCCTTCCCCCTTTGGAAGTCTTTAGTTTCTATCGTTCCCATCTTTATGTCTGTCCATACCCAATATTTAGTTCCTACATATTTGTTTTTCTGTTTCTGCATTTGTTTTTCTGTTTCTGCATTAATTTGCTTAGGATAATGGCCCCCAGCTGCATCCATGTTGCTTCAAAGGACTTGATTTCATTTTTTAATGGCTGTGTAATATTGTATGGTGTATATGTACCACATTTTCTTTAAGCCACTACTGATGGGCACAAATTTGGTTTCATGTTTCGGCCATTGTGAACAGTGCTGTGATAAACATATCACGCAAGTGAAGGTGTCTGTTTGGTAGAACAATTTATTTTTGGGGATACATACCCAGTAATAAGACTGCTAGGTCCTAAAAACTTTTCTCTTGTCATTCCAAGCCCTTTTTTGAACTCATTACATTGACACTTAGAACATTAAGGAATAGTTATGCTGTGAACTGACCAGTGATATCTCCAGTTCAGACCTCTCTTCTAGGTTTATTTGACATCTTTATGTGAATGTATCTAAGGTATCTCACTATTGTCATGTCCAAAACTGAACTCATGCCATTTAGCCCACCACCAAGTTTTCTTCAGAGGTTTCAGTTCTTAGTGAATGCCGCCTCTACCACATTGTACTTCGAGCAAAAAAGTGGGAATTTTCTTTGAGAAATAATTTTCCCTTTCTTTCTGTAATGACTCTGTCACTGTTGATTTTCCATTTGAAATATCTCTTCAGTGGATGTATTTAGTCTATTTCATGCTGCTGATAAAGACATACCCAAGACTGGGTAATTTATAAAGAAAAAGAGGTTTAATAGACTCACAGTTCCATGTGGCTGGGGAGGCCTCACAATTATGGTGAAAGGTGAAAGGCACGTCTTACATGGTGGTGGCAAGAGAGAATGAGAGAGAAGTGAAAGCAGAAACCCCTTATAAAACCATCATATGTTGTGAGACTTATTCACTACCCAAGAACAGTATGGTGGAAACCGTCCCCATAATTCAATTATCCCCTACTGGGTCCCTCCCACAACACATGGGAATTATGTGAGCTACAATTCAAGATGAGATTTGGGTGGGGACACAGCCAAATCATATCAGATAGATATCAAAAATAGATATCTTTTCCCTATATCTACTTGCCTTGCCTTATTTCAAGTGTAGATAAATACAAAAGCTAAGTGTTTCACTTGAAATCAAAACTGACTAGAATAAGAACAGTGGAGCAGGAAGGTGATTTAGGAGTTAAAGGAAAGTGGGCAGGCCTTGAAATCACCATTGAGGCCCGGCGCATTGGCTCACGCCTGTAATCCTAGCACTTTGGGAGGCTGAAGTGGGCAGATTGCCTGAGCTCAGGAGTTCGAAACCAGTCTGGGCAACACGGTGAAACCCTGTCTCTACTAAAAATATTTAAAAATTAGCCAGGTGTGGTGTCGTGCGCCTGTAGTCCCAGCTACTCAGGAGACTGAGGCAGGAGAATTGCTGGAACCGGGGAGACGGAGGTTGCAGTGAGCCGAGATCGTGCCACTGCACTCCAGCCTGGGCGACAGAGCAAGACTCCATCTCCAGAAAAAAAAAAAAAAAATAGAAATCACCATTGAGGAGAATACACCAAATTGCATATTAAGTCTGAAGCTTTTATATGTTCCAGATTCTTACAGATTCTTACAAATATTCTTCAAGTTGTTTGCAGTACCTTCTTCAATGTGTGTCCTCAAAGCAATATTCAATGTTATTAAAATTGTTTCTAACTTACTGGAAGTAACTGCAATAAGATGAGTCATATAATTAGACATCCAATTTGTTTTGTTTTCTGCCGATTATAATGATAATAGAATATATAATAACAAGTTCTGAATATTAAAATATATTTCTTATTTAGCTCACGACTCTATATGTAGATGAAAATTCACTTTCAAAAGCAAATGTCATTCCCCAAACAATTTTTTTTTTAAAAATAGGAGACCGTTGTTGCGATAGAGAAATTAGTGCTCCCACGCTGAATTGTGAGAATACCTTATTTTCACGGAGAATATCCAAGTCTACAAGGGAAAAAGAGATTTCTGACATACTTAAAATGTCTAGTGTCAGTATACTCTCCACTAGTTCTACTTGCCTGAAATTAAAATATGGCAGAACAGGAGAACAAAAGTGTTTGGGACGCTTGTCACTTTCACTGACCCTCTTCTCTTTCATGTAATCTACTCCCCAAGAACTGAGAAGCGGAATTCATAGTAGTAGCAGGATGAAAAGATAGCTCAAAGGAAGGGAAAAAAATCAATAGAAAAAATCAATGTGAAAGTTGTAAAAGCTATACCAATTAGCTCTCTAATATATGGCCTTTTGAAGTGCCAAAGAGCATTTTTAAGTGCGACTTTTTATTTTTATTCGAATAGACTCACTGCTAATGGTACGGAAGCAATCATGTGAAACCAAAAAGAGACTAAACCCCAAAAAGAGCCTTCAAAAGCTAAAGGAGTATTTATAGTCTATACGTTGGGTCTTTCATATTCACATCTTGTTTTTCTTGCTTCCTCTCGGCCACCTTCAATATTTGTGAACATAAGAACTTGCAGAGTGTGTTTCAATCTCTTAAATAGAGCAAAAGAACAGAAGAGATACCGTAATTTGTACCTCTATGTGATATTTTGGGAATACATTTATTGTTTTACTTAAACATATTATCATTAAGGAGTTTAAATTCACAAAAAGAGGTCTTTTGGTGGTAGAAATAATGAGACTGAATATTTTATTTTAAAAATCTCATTTGGATTCTCTGATTTTTTTATGCAAAGTGTAATACAAATATTGAAGGCTATATTGTTCTTCGTTCACTGTAAACCTTTCATTCTCGCAATTAAACCCTTACAAAGAAGATGAGAAAGATGAAAGAAATTGATCTTGGGATAATAAATTACAATCAGTTTTAAGTAATATTAACTCTTACCTATGTAGTTCTTTTTGTAACCCAACACTGTTCTGGTGTTTGTTACCTTGTCAATTCTTCTAATCTTTATAATTGCACGTCAGCCTGGGCAACTGAGCAAAACTCCATCTCAAAAATGAAAATAAATAAATAAATAAATACATAAATAAATAAAATATGAGGTAAAACTCAGAACTGAAAGGACAAGTAGAAAACACACTGTTATAGTTGAAATTCAGCACATCTTTCTTAGGAATATATAAAGAACAAGGGCAGAAAATCAGTAAGGTATAAATGATGTGAATAGCACTATGAATCCGATTGATTTAATTGATATTTAAAACACTTTCATCCTACAAAAATAAAATACACATTTTTTTGAAGCTCACATGGAACATTCACCAAGACCGACCAAATTTTCAACCATCAAACACACCATAATAAATTTAAAAGAGTCAAAGTTATATCATGATTGTTCTGAAAGCACAATGAAACTATACCAAAAAATTAATAACAGAAAGATAGCTGGGAAGTCTTCAGATATTGGGAAATTAAGCCATCCACTTTTAAGTGGCAAATGACCAAATGAGGAAGTATCAAGAGAAATGAAAAATATTTTGAGCTAAGTAAAAGTGAAAAATAAAACAAAAATTTGAGGAATGCAGTGAAAGCAGTGTCTAGAGGAAAATCTATAGCCTTAAATGTATGTATTAGAAAAGTAAATTAAATAATAAAATTAGTAACTAAGCAAGCAACAATCTTCAGGAACTAGGGAAGGAAGAACAATTTAAGCATAAATCAAGTAGAAGAAAATAAGCCATACAAAGAGAGTAATCAGTAAAACTGAAATCAGGAAAACAATAGAGAGAGCATGTAAGCAAGCAAGAGCTGTTTCTTTGAGAAAAATCAACTAAATTAGTGGATCTATAGTCTGAGTAACACAGAAAAAAATGAGATTAATCATAATTTAAAAATACAGAATAGGATGGGTCATTTCTACTAATCCCACGTACATTATGCCCACAAATTTGATAACAGGTGAGCTGAATCAGTTCTGAAAAACATACAGTACCATATCTCACATAAAGAGAAAGAGATTATCTGTAGGGTCTTATGTCTCTTAAAGAAATTAAAACTATATCATAAACTTCAAAGAAACCATCAATCTCAGGTAGTTTCACTTCTGAAACATATTGAGGAAGAAATAGTTTCTTCCAAATAGTACAATACAAAAAGGTGAATAAAAAGCATAGCTTTAAAGTGAAGAAATTGGACAAATTCGATCTCAGATCAAGTATTAGTAACAGTGGTATGTTGATATTATGTTCCTTTGATATGATACAATGAAAATGACATAACTGTGGTTTCCTCCTAAAAACCCATGACCCCAGGTTGATCATAAGAAAAACACCATCTGACCCTAACTGAGAGAGATTCTATAGTATACCTTAAAATTGTCAAGTTTATCAAAAGCAAGAAATTTCTGAGAAACCATGACACCAGAAGAGGAGCCTGGACATCATCACCAAATGTAATGTGCTGTCTTAGATAAGCCCTGGTGAAAACTAAGGTCAAAATAAAGTATGAACTTTAGTTGATAATAAGGTATCAATGCTGGTTCATTAATTGTGGCAAATGTGCTGTTTTAATATTAATATAAGCTTTTGGTAATAGGGAAAACAGAGCATTGAGTATAAGGAAGTCTAATTTTTACAATTTTCTCTAAATCTAAAGCAATTCTAAAATATTATTTGTTAGCATTATTTACAAAACACTTAAGGAAAATTGTATTTTAGTAGAGGCTATATCTTCAAAAATGAATGTGTGTGAATACTGTAAATAAAAAATGTTATTTAAGACAACATAATTATCTAGAAAGAGTATATATTATGCATGAGAATGAAATTATCCATGTCACTTCTGGCTCTAACTACTTTATTTGCTTAAATAGTGCCCTTCAATAATGTATTAGTAGAGATTATTAAAAATTAATATTATTTTTTAAAAAAGAAAACCAATGATTTTATAACTATTCTTTAAGCCATTGAAATGAGATTCCCAGATTTCTATTGAACCCCAGCTGGGTCTTGGAACTTGATGTCTCAAAAATTCCTTACACAGTAGCAGAATGGAAACAATCACATTAAATAAGATCATATTACTTTTTTTTTTAAACATTTACTGGCAATTCCTTTAATAAGTCTTTTCTAAAGAAGTCATGGTTTTATTTTAATGGGCATATGAAAAGATGAGAAGGAATCTGACTCCTATTAGCTGGATTTTATAAGTAATAAGGAAATAATTAATAGTGGCCTGATCCTTGATTGTATATTTTACATAATTTCATACCCCTGGGAAATCAAGCCATTCCAGATCTATGGCACACTTATTGGTTCCTTACATTTTGTCTCTTATAATATACATATCAATAGCCAGATAGCTGATTCTCATATCAAATAGGACAAAAGGACAACACTAAGCAGAAATAAGACCACTCTAACTTGTCCCATGTAGTAGTTATTCCAGATTTTCCTCATTGTAACTCTATTTTGACAAGTCATTTTGTCTTACCTGCAGCTGTGTTTACATATCAGTAAAGTGTGCATAATCATAGTACCTAACTCATACTTATTTGGGAGTATTAAATTTTATAATAGATAAAAAGCACCTCATATGCAGTACGTTCTCAATAACTGTCAAACACTGATATTTCTTTTTGTTGATCAGGGGAATTACTGAAAACATTATTGATGAAAACACAAAGTTGAGTTCAAAATAAATGATTTACCAACTCAAGATAAACAACAACAACGACAACAAAACCAACCACAATGGATGGAGAGCTGAAAATACTGTCTTCAAGAGGGGTTTCACACACATAGTAATTTCTTAGCATAAGGTTGCCATCTTTTCTTTTACTCCTTATCCTTCTTAAAGTGTATTTCTTAATGAGGAGAAAGCAATACAATTAGGCTATCTTTGTCAAAATAGGTTGGAATGCTTTATAAATCAATCCCCAAATATCAGCGACTTAATACAATGAGGTTTATTACCCATCAGGTTGAATGTCTTTGAAGGTTGGCTGCTTGCCTTTGATTTGCTAAACTGAGTCATGTGGGATACCTAATTTCAATGGAATAAGGATGTGCAAGTCCATAAGGTGTTAAAAAAATCAGAAATATTTGGTAAATATCTCTAATGATATGATTTGGTGCAACCCTTTCAACTTCTTTTCTCCTTTATGTATATCTACATACATTTCTTACATATATGTATGGTTAAAATTAAGATCACACATTATAAACAAAAAATTTATATCCATTTTTAATTTAACAATTTATGGGTTTTAATTGCCCATGTCATTAAATGCAAATGGAAATGTGATTTTAATCAAATTTTATGATATGGGTATCACAGAATATATTTAGATCCTGTAATATTATTAGACATATAATTTGCTTTCAACTGTTTCTATTTTAAACAACTCATGATGAAAATTTTCAGAAATACCCTTGCACTTTCCTTGAATTTCTAGATATGTAATTTCTGGGTCAAATTTATGTGATATTAAGGAATCTGGATGAAATAATATAAATAGTCTTCCAGAATGGTTATTCAGCACTATGTGAGAATACCTATTCAGTGCAATCTTGTCAACGTTAATAATAAGAGGTTAAATATCTTTGCAGATTTGGTTGGTAGAAAATGTTGACTCATTAATTTAATCTCCTTCAACTCATGTTTACTGAGGTTTACTAATTGCCAGATGCTCTTTTAGTCATTGAAGATATAGAAATAAATGAATTGTTTGCTTTAATGAGCTCACAGTTTAGTTGTGATGACAAACAACAAACAAACAAAAATACTAAATGTAGCTATCTCTCTATATAGCTATACATATAGTATATGTATACATAAATACATATACACACCTATGTATAATAATACAGTACATGTAATCAATGGGTTAAGAATATTATACGATCCACCAAGTTAAGAGAAAAGTGAAGAAGGGGCATGCTATTTTGTGTAGATTGATCAGAGAAAGACTCTTTGATAAGGTAACATATGAAAAATGACCAAAATGAGAATGAGGTAAAGAAGGTATGAATGCAGGTATTTGGGGTTTGATCTCTCCAGGCAGAATAAACAACAAGTGCAAATAGAGATGTGAAATGCTTGAAAATTGAGTGGAAGAGAAGGCATTGGCAATTAGAGCAGTATTAGTAAGGGGATGGCATCACATTGGGCAAGGGAGGTGGTGTGGTTGGATGGGAGCCCCTGAAAATTACTTAAGGCTCTATATGCTCTGACAAGGTGATATGGTTTGGATCTGTGTCCCCACACAAATTTCATGTTAAATTGTAATCGTCAGTGTTGGAGGTTGGGCCTGATGGGTCGTGATTGGATCATGAGGGTGATTTGTAATTGTTTAGCACCATCTCTGTACAGTTGTTCTTGCGATATGATTCTCAGGAGATCTGGTGGTTTAAAAGTGTGCAGCACCTCCCCACTTTCTCTCTTCCTCCTGCTCTGGTCATGTAAGACCTGCCTGCTTTTCCTTCTTTTTCTACTATAATTGTAAGTTTTCTTAGATGTCCCCAGAAGCAGAAGCCTGTATAGCCTGCAGAACCATGAGCCAACTAAACCTCTTTTCTTTATGTAAGTGCAAGAATAGACTAATACAGAAAATTGGTATTGAGAAGTGGGACATTGCTACAAAGATACCTGAAAATGTGAAAGTGCCTTTGGAACTGGGTATTGGGAGAAGTTGGAAGAATGTGGAGGGCTCAGAAGCATACAGGAAAATGAGGGAAAATTTGGAACTTACTAGAGCCTTGTTGAATGGTTATGAACAAAATGCTGACCGTTATATGGACAGTGAAGTCTAGGCTGAAGAGGTCTTAGATGGAAATGAGAAACTTATTAGGAACTGAAGCAATGGTCATTTTTGTTATGCATTATCAAAGTGGTAGGCTGCATTGTGCCACTGCTTTAGGGATCCTTGGAAGTTTGAACTTGGAGTGATGTTTTAGGGTATCTGGTAGAAAAAATTTCTAAGCAGCAAAACATTAAAGAGGTAGGCTGGCTGCTTCTAAAATGCTATTCTCATACACATGAGCAAAGAATTACCTGACATTGGAACTTATATTTAAAAGGGAAGCAGAGTGTAAAAGTTTGAAAAATTTGCAGCCTGGCCATGTGATAGGAAAAAAAAAGCGCATTTTCAGGGGAAGGATTAAAGAAGTCTGCAGGAATTAGCATAACTAAAAGACAAATGCTGATAACCAAGACAATGGGGAGGCCTCAAAGGCATTTCAGAGATCTCTATGGCAGACCCTCCCATCACAGGCCCAGAGGCCTAATAGGGAAAAATGGTTTTGTGGGCAAGGACCCGGGCCTTGTTGCCTTGTGCAGCCTCAGGTCACTGCTTTCCATGTTCCAGCCATTCCAGCTTCCCCTCATGGCTAAAAGGGCCCCAGGTATAGCACTGGTAGCTACTTCAGAGGGTGAACGCCATAAACCTTGGTGATTTTGACATGCTTTTAAGCCTGTGTGTGTGCAGAGTGTAAGAGTTGAGGCTTTGGAGCCTCTGGCTAGATTTTAGATTTATGGAAAAGCCTGGATATCCAGGCAGAAGCCTGCTGCAGGGCAGGAACTCTCATGAGAACCTGTACTAGGGCAGTGCAGAGGGGAAATGTGAGCTTGGAGTCCCCACACAGAGTCCCCACTGGGGCACTTGTTAGTGTTGCTGTGAGAAGAGGGCTTTTGTGCTACAATTTCAAGAAGGGTAGATCCACCAGCAACCTGGACACTGCACCTGGAAGAGCCATAGGCACTCAATGCCAGTGCATGAGAGCAGCTATGGGGGCTGACCCCTGCAAAGCCACAGGGTGGAGCTTCCCAAGGCTTTGGGAGCTTATCCCTTGCATCAGTGTGCCCTGGATGTGAGACATGAAGTCAAAGGAGATTATTTTGGAGCTTTAAGATTTAACCACTGCCCTACTACGTTTTGGGATTGCATGGGGCCTATAGCCCCTTTCTTTTGGCCAATTACTCCCTTTTAGAAGAGGAGTATTTATTCAATGCCTATACCTCCATCATATTTTGAAAGTCACTAACTTGTTTTTGATTTTACAGGCTCATAGGATCTGTCTATCTGTGTTCCCATGCATAACTCATGTTGAATTGTAATCCCCAATGTTGGAAGTGGGGTCTGATGGGAGGTAATTGGATCATAGGGGCATTTTCTAATGGTTTAGCACCATCCCCCAGTGTTGTTTCCATGATAGAGTTCTCATGAGATCTGGGTATTTAAAACTGTGTGCACTCCCTGCCCCCCATCCCTGCTCCAGCCATGTAAGATGTACCTGCCTCCCTTTTGCCTTCTGACACGATTGTGAGTCTCTTGGGGCCTCCCAGCTATGCTTTCTGTACAGTTTGTGGAACCATGAGCCAACTACACCTCTTTTCTTCGGAAAGTACTCAGTCTCAGGCATATCTTCATAGCAGTGCAAGAATGGACTAATACATAAGGACTTCAATTTTTATTGAAAAAAAAGAACGACGCAGATTTCAAGGAGAGAAATGACATGGTCTGAATTGCATTTCTTTCATTTTAGTGGCAATGGAGAATTTTTCATATGTATATTGGGTTTCTGCATTTCTGCATTTTAAAGACATTATTTCCACTGTACTTACAATTTTTTCCATTTTTATATTTGCCTTATCATTTTTTATTTTGTGCAAATTCAAGTCTATACATTTTTCCATTTTTATTACTTCTAATATGTTTGTTTCAGTATAATTTAACTATGCACTTTTTAAAAATTTTTACAAAAGGAATTGCTTTTAATCTTCATATAATAAATAGATGTCTTTATAATTCAGAAGCAGAGCATTGCAGACAAAAATCACTCAAAATCGTACAACTACAAAATGATGACCATGAAGATATTAATACATAATCTTTTTGACAGATATTGCTTCTAATCTTAAAATGATTTATCAAATTTAAAATTTTTATATAATTTTTTGAGATACAAAAACTTGTATATGTTATATCTATATAATTTGGTAAGTTTGGAGAAAAATATGGTTGTGAAGTCCTTACTTCAATTTATGCCATAAGCCTATCCATCGCCTCCATAATTTTATGAGTTTGACTATATTTACCATATAATTGGTATTATGTAGGATTTGTCCTTCTGTGTCTGGTTTATTTCACTTAGCAAAATGTGCTCCAGGTACATTCATATTGTTTCAAATGGCAGGAGTCCCTACTTTTTAAGGCTGAGTAATATTCTGTCATATGTATGCACCACATATTAAAAATCCATTCATCCTTTGGCACACATTTATGTTGCTTCCATGTCTTGGCTATTTGAATAGTGTTACAATAAATGTGAGAGTGCAGATATTTTTTCAAGATCCTGATTCTATTTCTTTTGGATATATATCAGGAAGTAGAATTCCTGAAACCTATGATTGTTCTATTTTCAGTTTTACAAAGCTCCAAGCTATTTTTATAATGGCTGAACTGAGTTATAATCCCACCAAGAGTGTGTAATGATTCCCTTTTCTCCACAACCTCACCAGCATCTTTTCCTTTTTCAATTTTAATTTATTTAAACCATTTTACCACTGGGATCACGTGTTAATGACTGGAGTAGCCAACTGGTAGTGTGAGTATTACTTTGTTCATAATGGTCATAATTAGACCATCAGATTATTTGTGAGGAGAGTTCATATAATTCGATTTTGTTACCAAATAAATTGTTGCTATTGCTGCAGAACAATTAGAAATACTTTACATATCTGATTGAAGCTACTTTAGACACATTTGCCATTTTTGTGCTGGTTTTATATCCTAATATGTGGGGCAAGCACAGGCTCCACTGCTTTTCTCTTCTTCTTCTTCCTTTTTTTTTTTTTTTTTTTGAGATGGAGTGTCACTTTTTTGCCCAGGCTGGAGTACAGTGGCACCATCTTGACTCACTGCAACCTCTGGAGGCCTCCCACACTCAAGCAAGTCTTGTGCCTCAGCCTCCTGAGTAGCTGGAACTACAGGCGCATGCCACCATGCCCGGGTAATTTTTGGGTAATTTTTGTATTTTTAGTAGAGACTGGGTTTTTCCATGTTGGCCAGGCTGGTCTCGAACTCCTGACCTCAAGTGATCCACTTGCCTCAGCCTCTCAAAGTTCTGAGATTACAAGTGGGAGCCACCATAAGAGAGCCTGGCCCTCTTCTTGATTATCTTAGGAATTATTACTTTGTTTTATTATTTTGATTTTTAAAATGTTGCTTTATTATTTTGATTTTTAAAAACCCACTATGTTGAAAGAAGATTTCATTGATTTTTATAATTTGGGGTCAACTGAATCTTCCTTCCCAGAATCATGATACATGTCTTTATTTACTGAAACTTTTTTTGTTTTTAAAAGTTTTAAAATTAACATACAATTATAGTGCATATTTTTGTAGTACATAGTGATGTTGTGATACATAAAATGTATAGTATTCAGATCAGGGTAATTGGCAAATTCATCCTCACAAACATCATTTCTTTCTGGTTCTAGCTATTTGAAACTGTATGTTATTGTTAATTATAGTCTTTTATGTTCTACAGGGAGATGTTGTATTCTCTAGTCATCTATTTTTCATATTTTGCTTTACATTTTCTTAAAGTAGCATACGTACATGCATTTACAAGTGTATATTTTACTTTTCATTTTGTTTTTAAATGGTAACCACTTTCATTTGAAAAAGGCTTTCTTTTTATTTTTAATTTTATTTTTGGTGTATAACCTACTACCTTATTAAATATCATTGGCAAATAATCATCATTTTTACTCTCTAATATTTATTTATTCAATGTACCAGTTAGGCTTAGAGAAGAATGTTGACTAACTGCTGTGTCTGCAGATAGCCTTGTCTTATTCTTTTCTTAAGAAGGCATGTTTTCTTTCTGTTTTACAGAAATACTCTTTGTCATGTTAAGAAAAGGGGTATATTTTTCTAGTATATTAATACATCTTATTAAAGGATGATTAATTTTATTGTTACTTTTTAGCATCTATTGAAATAAATCATCTACCTTTCATTTTGTTATCTTAAAAGATAATGATGATGACACTTTGCTGATTTCAAGCAATCTCTGAAATTTTAATAAACTCTTTGGTGCCATGTTGTATTAGTCATATGGGTTGCATATGCTAGTATTTTATTTGATATAAAAATGTTGCATCTATGGCAACATTTTTCTTCGTTCTGTAACAATATAAACAGCACCAGAATCACTTTTCTTTAGTGCAGGACTTTCATCAAGTAAAATTCTTGGTTAGAGTTCTTTGACAGCAATTGTTTGATAATTGATCAGTTATAGCTCTCTTTTGTTTCCTTACTTTCTTTGAAAATAGTGGTAATTTATATTTTCATATATTTTAAAAAGTTTTTTAGCTTGTGGATATTTCCTAGTATAATGTTTTACAACAGGGTTCCCTTTATTTTTTAAAAAGTTTCCTCCAAATCCTTGAATATATTGCATTTCTTGACTTTGTTATATTTAGTAATTTCTCTTGTATACATCCTTGTTTAGACATTTTTAGGGCTTCGACTATGTTAATAACAATTTTAGTAACAGTTATTCCTTCATTCTATCAATGTAATTTCTTTATTTTGTTTTGTAGTCTCAGCTTATCATCATCCACATCTTTTATTCTTTTAAATTTCTTAATTCTTGATTTAAATGCATTATTTTCATTTATCTTCAGCAACAGAAGCCTTTAAATACTTAAATTTTAAGTTGAGGACAGTAGCATAAGTTTTGAGATATATTTTATTAACCTTCCTTTCATAATTTCTTAGTCTATGGTGTATTTTTGGCAATGGAATTTTCAAAAGAAAATACTAAATTTCTCATGTGTTTAGATTTAGAAGTTGTGCTTTTGTTTGTAATTTTTACTATTGTTGACTTGTGGTCAGAGAGTTTGGCCTTAAAAAATTTTATGTTAAAAATCAATTTTCGTCGAGTTCAATATGTGTGTTTGTATGTGTATGGTAAAGTATTATTAATTTTTATACATAACACACAGCATTTCACATCCTCACCTTCTCTTCAGGTGAAAGAGGTTGTATATATTATATATATACATATATACATATATAATATATATCATATATACATATATAATATATACATATGTACATATACATATATAATATATACATATATGTATATATATTATATACAAACATACTCATGTGTGTGTATACATGTATGTATAGGTATATATATAGTATGTGTGTGTATCTTAAATACTTTAATTATAATATTTAGATGTTTTATGCCATTCACACTTATTGAATCTCATACTACATTAGGTGGTAAATTATCTTCTGTAGAAGAATATAAAATATTCACACAAAATATTGCATATAAATTCAAAGAGTTCCCCAGAAAGCCCCTCTGAAAGAAAATAATGAATTCCTTTATTCCTATGTCCATTGGCCACTGTTAAAAACATCTCCCCTATATGTTATATTATGATATCTGTTTAAGCAGCCAAATCCAGAAATGAAAAGGTATTTAAATTTCCCATTATGATTAAGATTCATCAATCTCTTTTCATTTTTCTAATAATTCAGGCATATATACATTGATATTATATTGGATGTTACACAAAAATATATTACTGACATACTGTGCCTTCTCTAGGACTAGTACCTGGTATCAGTAACCAGTAACCCTCTTTGTTCTGTTTAGGATTTCCTTATATCCATTTACTCATGTTAATTTACACTGTTCATTTCCTGTAACTTTTAATGAATCTGAGTAGTGTTTTGCTTGAGACTGTGGGATATTTCATGAATACTCACAGAATATATAAATAATTTTATCTACTCATTTCTAGCATGCAACTTTGATTTCTGTATCTTTATCTTATTGCATTAAACTATATTTACATAATATTGTTAAGTATTAGAAGAAGGCATCCCTTTAATTGTTCTTTTTTTTTAAATGAGCTTGCTTTATGTTTTACAGGGAGTTTAACAGTAACTGTTACTTTAAAATAAGTTTTCTTCATCATGTTAAAATTATTCCTATACATTTAGCTTTATAGTATTTTAAAAATCAAGAATAGTTATTTAGCCTCTCCTAACAATTTTTTTCTTTGCTTTCCTCTTATTTTTTCAAGTCATCAACTCTGATCAAGGGTATTACTGCACTTTGACTTTTCAATTTACAAATAGAGCAACTACTTTATTTCTCTCCCCTTGCCTCCTTTTCACAAATATACAGCAATCACTGCTACCAAATGGAAACAAAGCTAACCCACTGCACTTCCATTATCAGCAATTTCTGGTTCCCACAATTCCATACTAGTCACGGTAGAACGGTTTATTACTCAGAAACAACACTGCAGTTGACACTGATGTTAAATATGAATGAAGGAGTGATTGGTTTGAGAGCATGGAGTTATGTTTGATAACCCACAAAACCCTTTCTGGTGCAGCATAGGAGAAAACAATGCAGTCTCTGGATATTTCCTAAAGATGCTGAACGATCGTGACTGGCTAACGAAACAGGCTTTTTTTGCTCTTAATAAACTTTTCTGTATGAAGAATTTATTAAGTTAGGCATATGAACAAAGTACATAATGAAATCTCTAGGTGTTTGGGTTTAAAAGTTATTCTTTATGTTATTCCATGTTTTGATTTTTTTTATTTTTTAAATATTTATAATAAATTATCATTTGGAAGACTTAATGGTAAGAAAAAACAATTTCTTCAAGCATATAATGAAGTTGTCCTTACATAATTTTAACCGTGTGGAATGTGACTAGTGTCACTTTTAAGATTATGGTTTACATTCATTCCAGATAAAGGAATAGTTTTCAAAATGGCATTTCAAATAAAAAAGTAATTGCTAGATTGTAAATCTTTTGCTGGTAAAGACTTAAGAGAGTTTAATGTCTTTTTAAAAAATCATATGTAGAATAATGCTTTCTATTTAAAAAACTCAATTTATAATTATTGACTTATTTCTCTTCATTTTGCTAAAAACTGATGAATTCTAGGGGAAAGAAACTATTTTTAATCACCTTTCGGCTTATCTTTTTGGTTTTCTATAAGTTTCTGGTGCCCTTAATGCAAATAACCAATAAAAAATAAAGAAATACTTTAGGCCAAAATATTTATGGATGTAATGTTAATTACTGTTCAGTTCACTGTCTTTTAGTAACTTGAAAATGTTTGGTATATGATAAACACAGTTTTTTGAATGACTGGTGTATTTGTGTCAGAGAACAAAATATCCTGAGAAATTTCTGCCCCCACATTGATTCATTCTGAGATGTAAAGCTAAGGTGGCTTATTGTCTATTAGGCACTATAGGTATATAGGTCTGTAAGGTAAGACCCACTTACCTTAGTCTAGGCAGGGGAGAGAGCAGACAAGCCGCTGAGCACTAAGGGTTTTAAAAGCAGGATGCAGACAGACATTTGTGCTACATTACTCTGAAGTTTATAAGCTATGGGAAAGAATCAATCAACGTTTAAAGTTTTATTTCAAGTTTTTTTCCAGCTAAGATTGTTTGTTATGGACTCTAAGCCTGTCCTGAAATAGCTTGCCCTGCTCTTCCACAAGTGTTGTTGAGCATTGGCACTGTGGGTAAAAGTAATGTCTACAGTGATGTTGTAAAATACGAAGATACTTTATCCAAGAAGTATATACAACTAGGATTAGATTTTAAGATTCAACATTTGAGGAAATATTATCCTGTTGTCAATTATCTTCATAAACCACGGCACCTTTTATATTTGTCAGGTTAGTTCCTTGCAACGAAATTGTGCAAATAAAGGAAGGAAAGTAAGAATTGCAGAGCTGAAATTTAAATTTAGGCATCTTTGATGCGAAATAGGATCCTTCTACTGCTTGATACTATAATGGAGAAACTAAAAACTTTATTTATAAATATAAACAGCTTTTCTTCTTCCAGGAATTTTCATTTTTATTAGAATTTTTTAAAACCTGGGATTGCTAAAAAACATTTATTTTTTTCTGCCTCTGAGTAGTATCTGGTGAATGCAGACATCAGCATTATTATCCACAAAGAGACAGAAAAGTGTATAGGTAACACAAAGCCCTGAGTACCTGCCAGTGAGTGAACTCTCCAGAGCTTTCATCTGGCCGTATTCCAGGTATTTCTGGTTACTGCTTACTCTCCATCCCACAGCAGTGGCATATGTTTAATGATGTAGTTTAGACCATTAACTTTCTTAGCAAGTATTGCAGTTATCAAAATTAAAATCTTCATCAAGTGTCAATAGAGTTGCTCAAATATTAGCCTTCACCAATTTTATTTTTCTTAAAAATTAAACCTTACAATTATTGCTACTACTACAATTCATTGAGTGCCTATTGGTGCCAAACACTTTATAAATTCATAAAAATACAATCAGAAGTGAGTTTTATAATCCCCAGTTTTACAGATGAGAGAACTGAAGCTCAGAGGTCAAATCATTGCTGATAGTGTTTTGGCACAAATTCGAATCTCAGTATGCCTGTTGTCGTAGCCTATATTCTTCTCACTATACTTTGTTGCTGTTAAACTAAATAAATAAAATTCAGGCATCAGGAGAGGAATGCAATTATTTAGGCAGGCATCTAGTAATATAAATACCTTTCATTTGCTCTTCACAGTCTCTTCTCTGTAAAATCTCATTTAATTCACTAACTGTGTAAGAGCAAAGACCACGACTAAAAGAAAGGAACGTGCAGGAATATGGAGTGAAAAAAAAAATGCCTGCTTTATATGGAATCACTAAAGGAAAGACAGGTCACATTGCCAGCTGGTGCTATGCTGTCTGTCATCAGGTTTGACAATATAGTGTAAACATGGGGTCTGTGACACTGAACAAGTAGGGAACACCTTATTACCTCCAAAAATAGCACAAATGCCAAGCAACTTTAACTGGCTTAGTCTCAGGAAATTTCTTCATTGCCTACGAATGTAAGGTTACAGTAAATTACTTAGAAACTTAAGGCTTGAGTGTATCAAAAAACTCAGCTTTTCTGCATTATTTTGATGATGGTTGAGTATTACTTCAAATTAGATTTGCTACATTGTTGAGTTAAAATTCTCTGAAGAGTCCTTAATATGAAATCAGGTGAAGAATTATGAAAACTAAACATAATATTCTATTAAATGAGGAGAGGAACTATACATGCAAAGGAACTTGCCACGTTCCTTTGATTTTAGAATGAAGAAACTATTTCTCAGGCAAAGTTTGTCTACCAACATTCATTCTGTAGGGAATACTTGAAATGAAATTATAAATCTGCAAGCAGAGATTTTATTATAGTGAAAAACCTTACAGAATCTTAACCACAAAAGCCAAATGCTGCAAAGGCTGTGATGAATACCAGGTCTATACAGTTCTTAAGTAATTAGTACAACAAAGAGAAGAAAAAATTAATTAAGGATAATTTCATGTTCATTCATGTTGATTTCTTACTAAAAGGATAATATTTTCTTTTTATAAAATTAATTTTGATAATTCTCCCTGAGATATTTTATATTACAAAACAACTTTAAAGAAATATTCTGACTTTGCAAAACTTTTTCATTTAAAATAGAGTTTTTTTTTTTCCCAGAGAAAATTCAGCTTTACCAATCCTGTGATATTTTCTTCTAAAAGAGGAAAAGGTGTTTATATAATATCCATTTCCTCTCGCCTATTATCCATATGTCTTCTACCTAAGCTGACTGCAACTTATTTGGCAAAGCAATGTTTTTCTAACTTTAGCAGTGGGAGCCTATGTTTAAATGAAATTGTGTATAGAGATCTGATATGTAATGCAAGTGGAAAGTCAGCTGGTGGGTTGAACATAAAGTTGGGAATGGGGGGAGATCTGACTTTGCGTTGCTTTTGCCCATTCCTTCTCAATGACCCAAGGAAGGCTCCATGAAAACCCTAGGGATCTTCCGACATAGTCTGAAACCATTGGAATAAATCACCCAGCCATATTGTTGACTGGATTGGATTTGTTTAGGTTCTCTTCCATTTCATTTTCAGCTGTTAAATGCCTATTCATGTTTCCAAATTTCTCACACGTATTTTTCTTCAGGAATAACAACAACCATAAAAAAATTATTTTTTTCTGTTACAAGGTTAACTGCAAGTTTCAAAACTTTTTGGCAAAATATAATCATAAAAGTGTGGGTTATTTTATGAAAAAAATATTGTAGCAAGATAATGGATCAGTCAGGGTTCTCCAGGTGTCAGGTGTTTGAAGGTGATGTAAAAAGATTCAAAAGGCTCAACAGAACTCACTTGTCTATCTGCCTGCAACCCCCAAGAGGCCAAACTCCTAATGAAGCTCTGAGTGTCTGCAAGATTTATGGTATTCTTAGGTCTAAATTATCCTCTGAGCTAGCTTCAGATACCAGAGACTGGTTCCCTGGACTGGGCTATAGTACACTCCAAACCTCCAAGCACACCTGTCCTTGAATTCTGTTGGGGATGTCTTCTGTAGCTCAGGCAATAAGAATAGGTAATAGGTATCCAATCCTTATTGGAGTCAAGCCCTGCTATAAATGCTTTCTATGCATCAACTCCTTTATTCCTTATAACAGCCCTTTAAAGAAAGTTCTATTACTATTCAACTTTTGCAGATGTGATAAACAAAACATAGAATAGTTAAGTGGTCCACAGTCACACAGATAATAAAGATAGAGTTGAGACTGAAGCTCAGGTAGTTAAGCAAGAGACTTCATCTTAGATCAAGAATATTTTACAGGGCATCCCATAGCTTGAGGATATATCACCATTGCATTATGCCACCTTCAGGGAAGCTGCATAGATACCCAAGCAAGGAAGTGTGCTTAGCTAAATTAAATCTACCGTAAGTAGCTCAAGAGAAGTAAGTGTAAACAATGTAATCTAAAAGTATAGCTAAGCTACGCAAAGATATATTTTTTAATGTTTCTAAAGAACATTTTTTCTTAAATTGTGTTGACGCCAACATGATAAGAAGTGGATTATCCAAGTGGAATTTAAAAGTGTGAACATCTTAGTATAGTGCTTTTAAACATTTTAAACAGTTTATTTTGCTCTATCTTCAGAATCACTGACTTCCAAATGTCTTTAATTTCCAATTTCAGTAAGACTATATGCTTTTTTCTCAAGTTAAAACCGCATGATAACTCATGTGATTAGTCAGTTACTCATTGAGATATAATCTGTGCCACATAGTTTTGGCTTTAAAATAGAATTGACCAATGTAAGTGACAGACTGACACTGATGACCAAGTGTGTCTGTTTTCTGTTATACATATCTAGACTGAATGGCTATTATACATTAATTCATACACAAGATTGAGGTTATTCTCAGGGTCTGTGTAATGAGAAATTACACAACTCATTTTACATAAATATACTCAATTAACTTCTAAATTTATAGTTATTATTTTGGATATTCTGACCTTTTGTACTTAACAAAACCGGTGTTACTTTTGATAATTCTCAGCTTGTTATAGGAAAAAAAAACTTTGTCCTTAATTAGACTCATACAGAGCTTATATTATAAAAAGAAAAAAAAACTAAATATCTTTTACTTGTATTAAATTAAGTGTAAAAACCCTTTTAAGTATATTATCTTGTATACCAGCTTTAATAAATTTAGAAGATTAATGACATTACTTCTTGAGCAAATTTAGAAAGAATCAGATTCTTTTCCAGAATATGTTATAGTACGTCCCATAGCTACCAGGTATGTCACAAATTACATTCTTTCACATCTTATTTTCAAATAAGAGGGTGATCTATATTGAAAATCCATTGTAATCCTGCTACATTGCATTTTAACTGAACTCTACAAAATACAATCAGGAAAGGTCTCTGATGATCATCTAGTCACATATAATGAACAGCCATGTTTTACAACTCCAGGGTGCACCCATTGTGGAAGTGTCTAAGAAAATGGTGTTCCCTGGGGCACAAATATCACGCTGTTCATGGTGTCTCCTGTGGTTGTGAACTAAGAGGTCTTGTGAATACCTTGTGTACTGTAAGAATTCCACCTGCAACCTCCCTGACAGGTGCTTATTCAGCCTTTTTTGGCCACCCAGAGCGTCTCTTCTTGTTTCCCTTTTCTTAGAACAATCGTGACCTTACATCTTTGTATGTGTAGAGTCTCATCTGTCTTTAGGTCTTCACTCAAATATCATTTTCTCAGAGAAATCTCCTAATAAGTGAACGAGTAAAAGAAAATTCAAGCAGCTCTAGTGACAATGGCATGTTATCCCGTGGGTTCATCATCTCATTGTTGGGCAGCTGTAATTGTTGAAACACTCACTATAGAGAAGTCCATTTATATGTTTGCTAGCACTGCCATAACAATATGTTACAGACTATGAAGCTGAAAAAAAGTAAAATTTACTTTCTCAAAGTTTTGGAAGCTGGAAGTTCTACATCAAGGTGTCAGCAGCTTTGGTTTCTCCTAAGACCTCTCTCCTTGGCTTGCAGATGGACACCTTCTCACTGCTTTCTGACAGGTCTTTCCTCTATGTGTGCCCATCCTGATGTCACTCTGGGTGTCCCAATCTCTTCTTCTCCTTCTCCTCCTCCTCCTTCTTCTTCTTTTTGAGACAGAATCTTGCTCTGTCACCAGGCCAGAGTGCAATGGCACGATATCGACTCATTGCAACCTCTGCCTCCTGGGTTCAAGAGGTTCTCCTGCCTCAGCCTCCCAAGTAGCTGGGACTGCAGACATGCACCACCATACCCAGCTATTGTTTGTATTTTTAGTAGAGACAGGGTTTCACCATGTTGGCCAGGATGGTCTCGATCTCTTGGCCTCATGATCCGCCTGCCTTGGCCTCCCAAAGTGCTGGAATTACAGGCATGAGCCACCATGCCTGGCCACCCAATCCCCTCTTCTTATGAGGATGTCATATTGGTTTAGGGCCCACCCTGATGGATTTATTTTAGCCTAATCACCTCTTCAACCCTTTCTCATTTGGAAAAAAGATAAAGAAAATGCAGCTCACTGCCAGCGCTTATTAATTTTACAAACACTCTCTTTGAGGCTGAAGAAAATCTGACTGATTTTCAATGTGAAAACACAATATAAAAACTGCTAACTGAGTTGTTTCTAAACAGAACTAACATCAGAATTGTCTGAATCATCAGAATCATCTATTTCAGAAAAATCAGATTCATCAAATGAATCTTCGGCCAACAACTGTTCTAAAATGATGTTAATATCACACATAGGAATGCCATGTTTTCTAGGATTTGACATTTTCAGTGATCAAGAATTACTATATTTTGTAAATGGGAATACCACTACTAAAAACAGAGTGCTATAAACAGAATAATGTTTTCTGTTTCCAAAGTCGACATACTAGAGTGATGTGAAAATAATAACAACATCAAGGTATTTCGTGGCAAAGTTATCTTGAGGTAAACATTGCTGCTGAAGCATCGCTGGTGAGTATTCTCAGGGAAAATGGGAAAAGGTTTCATAAACCTATCTCCAAATGCAGTCACATTCTGGAACTTCAACATCTGTCTTTTGGGTTACACAGTTTAGTACATAACTCCTATCTTTGCCTAAAGGCTTCTGGCTGCTTTCCGGATTCCCACAGCTTACCACCCCCTTCTATCTCAACACTTTTCTTTGCAGTATTATCTCATGCCCTTGGCCATATTACATAAGACTTAACTGATCTTATGTGAAAAAGCATGGTAATTTACTATGGCAGATGAGATAATATGGCTCTGAGATTTCCTATTTCAGGGAGCATGAGTGACCAACAGCTTCAGCCACAGTGCTCTAAACCCTTCACTGCATCTGCACCACAGTGAAAATTCTCTTAAGTGCTCCCAGCCAGTGACTGAGTGCAGCACAGGGACTAAGGCAGGCTATTTCCTATAGGAAATAGGATTCCTCTGGTGGAGACTTTGGCATGGGGACCCCCCATTAGTCTTGTCAAACTCTTAGAATCACACTGCAGTCTAAGACCCTCCTTCCTTTCCTTCTCCTTCACAGGGGTCAGATATACACATTAGGCTGATAGTTTCCCATCCTTCTCTGGCTCCCTCATTTACCCTTGCAGGCATTTCTCCCAAAAATACGCTGCACATCTAATCATTTTGACCTCTTCTTCTTGGAGAGACCTAGTCATATTGCTTGTACATGTGTAAATAAGGAAGTCTTCTCTCTTTAGAGACTATAACTTAAACTAAAAAAAAAAAAAAAAATCAAAGGTGGAAATTCTAGCTGACAATTGAGAATATGTATTTTAGAAAAGCTAAATCCCATTGAAATAATGCAAAACTTAATACAAGAATAACAAATTTAAAAAGAGTATTTCATATTTCTAAAAAAATTACACATTTTAAAATATAAAATTTTCTGTTCAAAAAATTTATTCTGAGCACAAGGATATTTTATCCCTCTTTATACTTAGAATAAATATAATTTCCTGTATGAAAGTCATCATCAAACAAAAACAGATCATCATCAGGAGTCCAAAGGGATAAGACCAACACATTGAGGAAGGATAGACCCTCTATTTGATGTCTCCGTAACTATTTCAGCAAGGGCAAAATGGGACCTACTCTCAAACAATCACAGCCTAGCTTCCACTGTCAACTTTGAGACCAGCCAGAACTAATCTCATTAAGCTCATTATCTGTTTATGTCAATCACCACAAGGAGTCCCAGGATTCTAGGTTCCCTCACTGTACACACGTTAATCACTCTACATTATTGCATATCCTTTATTATGTCCCTTTCTTCCATTCTCTTTAATCCCTAAAACCTCTCTAGTGAGCCCTCTGGAATTTATGGTCCATCATACATAAAACCTTCATGATCTCTTCTCTAAAAATTACCTTCAACTCACTCTAAATGAAACTTAAATCTCCTTTAATGATGCTATTGCCTCTGCAGGCACTTGGTTGGAAGCTGTTTTGTTTTACACTGGGCCCACCTTTTCATAAGTGTCCTCTTTGTTCCTCACTGCCAGTTTCATTCTGTAATCTCTCCGTGGTCTTAAGTGTCTATAACATTGATTAAAATGTCATTACCAGTTTGTCCACACATTGATCACTCAATGAATTTTCTCCAACACCAATGGTCTCATCAGATTTCTTCAAACTCACTGGAACACACAATTCTCAGGGCCTTAGGGCTTTCTATTCTCTCCCTTGATAACATGCTTTTGAACATTTGCCTAGCTTGACCTGCTCTATCAACTTAATTTTAAAATCAAATTTCAAAGAAAGCTACCCTGACTACAATATATAAAATTGTCATCACTCTTTACTGTATTTCTTCTACTCCAGGTTTCTCATTTTTTCCTAATGGCAATAGTTTTCGTCTGCATCTTCTATCAAGAATTTAAGCTTCAGATACATGGATCATGTTCTTCACTGTTGTATAACCAGGGTCTGCTGTAAACTAGGTACTTGCTATGGTGACCTTTCCCAAGTCATATATTGGAACATAATACCCAATGTGACAGTATTAAGAGGTGGGGCCTTTGGGTAGTGAGTAGGTCATGGGCAGAAGCTTTCATGAATGGAAATAATGCTCTTATAAGAGGGGTTAAATGGAGCTACATTGCCTCTTCCATCATGTGAGGATACAGCAATAAGGCACCATATTTGAAGCACAGAACAAGCCCTCATTAGACACTGAACCTGCTGGTGGCTTGATCTTGGACTTCCCAGCCTCTAGAACTGTGAGCAATATATTTCTGTTGTTTATAAATGACCCAGCCTAAGGTATTTTGCTTTAGCAGCATGAACAAGCTAAGAAAATATTTAATAAATATTTACTGAATGAATGTAATAAGTTGAATTTATTGCAACTATAATCTTCCTCTCAAATCAGAGAAAAATAATGGGTAAATGACATTGCTTTCTGTTTCATTCAACATATTTTTATCAGTTTCTTCAGTTATGTGCATGGTTCTCTGCTTATAACACTCACGTGAATAAAACAAAATTTTATAGCTTGAACATTCCCTTTCTAGCTATACAAACACAAATGTATACAGATAGTAATAATTATAGAGGTAAAGATTATTTATGCATAGATTTCAGTTTTCTCTAGCAACTATGTGGAAGATAGTTTTGAGAGGAACAAAATCAGAGACAGGTAAAGCAATTAGGAATGTGCACAGTCATGAAGGTGAGATGAATTGATTAGTAGTGATGGATAGGAACAGACAAATAGAACATATTTAAGTGGTAAAATTAGGAAAAAATGATTTTTAACTTTATTTCCTCTATCTTTAAAAAATAGGAAAGTATATCTAATAAGGAGATATTAGAGCAGTCAGTTGCAAGGGGAAAATAAAAAATTAACACTTTATTGACTTAATTTTGATGTGACACCAAGAAGACACCTAGAAAAATATCTCCAGAAATATTGATCTGAATATAAAGCTTAATATACAGGTCTAGTATAGAGAAATTAATTTGAGAGTGTTCAATATGCACAGGAGTAAATGAGATAGCCGAGTATAACATAAAGACAGAACAATAATGAAACAAAGAAAAACACTCTAAGAATAAGAACTTAGAACATTTACTGAAAGGATACTCATTTAAGAGAGATAATAAAATGTTGGAAGCAAGGGAGAAGAACAGGAGGAGATGAGGGAGGTGAAGGAGGAAGAATTTAACAGTGTAGTGCATAGTGTGGTACATATTAGAAGTAAAGAGTGAGATTAGATAGTGTCAAGAATGAAAAAGGAAGCAAAATTCCCAAAAGCACTAGAGAAGCTCAGTAGAATAAGAAATAAAATCCAAAATACATAAGAAACTCCAACTGAATAGTAAAACAAAAGCAAATGAAAAACAAAAACCCTGATTTAAAAATGGGTAAAGGAGCTTTATAAACATTTCTCCAAAGAAGAAACACAAATGACCAACAGATACATGAAGAGGTGCTCAACATCACTAGTCATCAGGAAAATGCAAATCACAACCACAATGAGTTATCACCTCACAGCTGTTAGGATGGATGTTATATATACAGAGATGTTAGAATGGATGTCTTTACATATATATGTGTATGTATATGTATATATGTGTGTGTGTATATATATATATGTATATATATATATATATATATACAAGTGTTGTGAGGGAGGGAACCTTTGTACACTGTTGGTGGTTATGTTAATTGGTACAACCATTATGAAAAATAGTGTGGAGTTTCCTAAAAAACAAAACATAGAATTAGCATATGATCCAGAAATCCCACATCCTGATATATACATATATCACCAAAAAATGAAATCAGTATCTCAAAACATATCTATACTCCCTTGTTCACTGAGGAATTATTCACGACATCCAAGATAGAAAAATAATGAGAATTTAGTATATACATGGAAAGAAATATCATTTACCCTTAAAAAAGGAAATCCTATCATTTGCAACATCATG
The DNA here is from genome assembly GCF_000001405.40 of Homo sapiens. Taxonomy (NCBI): domain Eukaryota; kingdom Metazoa; phylum Chordata; class Mammalia; order Primates; family Hominidae; genus Homo; species Homo sapiens. Next base: position 64,522,186 of record NC_000018.10, read on the forward strand.
GATGCACCTTGATGAGATCACGCTAAATGAATTCAGTTGGAAACAGAAAGACGAAGACTGCAGGATCACATTTCTATGTAGAGTTTTTAGGAGTCAAACCCAAAGAAGTAGGAAACAGAATGGCGGCCCCCAGGGTCTAAGGAAAGGAGGAAAACAGGAAGTGTTGATCAAAGGATACAAAGCTTTAGTCATGCAAAATAAATAAGTTCCAGAGATTACTGTATAACAGAAGGTGTATGGTTAACAAAGCTGTGTTGTTGTTTTCTGTTTCTTTTTTTTTTTTTTTTTTGCTAGGAGGGTAGATCTTATATTAAGTGCTTTTACTACAAAAGGAAAAAAATGCAACAAAACAAAAACAGGGAAACAAAAATAACCCAAGTGGGGCAGGAGTAAATTTTTTGAGGTGAGAGATAAGTGTATGACATTGTGATGATGATTTCATGGGTGTATACTTACCAAAAATGACATCAAGTTGCATAAAATAAACATATACAGTTTTCTGTATGTCAATCAAAGGTTGATAAAGAGGAAGACAATTTAAAAGAGAATTACTATTGGACTTAATATTAGGAGACCACCAATGGCTATCACAGAGTTTCAGGAGCACAGAGAGAAGCAGAATGCAGGGCACTGCACATTGAATGTGAGGTAAAGCTGTTAAGGACATGACAATAACACTTTGATTCCAGATGAAAGTGGGAGTGGGAAATGGGGCAGTAGTTGGATGGGTATTAGGTAGGTAGGAGATGGTTGCGTTCATTTGAGGCAAATAAAAGGAAGTAGAAAGGGGGATGCTGAAAGTACAGTAGAAAGAGTAATTAACAGACGATGCAATGTTCTGGAAGCAATAGTGAGGAGTGGGATACAGAGCTGAATTAAAAGGTGTAAGAGAGAAGACAGGAAGACAGGACAGTCGTGAGGGTAGATGTGGATGTAGATTAGCTTGTAGGAAAGGTTCTGGATAGTTTATGTAAATTCACAGTCTCATTTTGTTTTCCAGGCTGGAGTGCAGTGGCGCGATCTCGTCTCACTGCAACCTCCGCCTCCTGGGTTCAAGTGATTCTCCTGCCTCAGCCTCCTAAGTAGCTAGGATTACAGGTGGGCACCACCACACCCAGCTGTTTTTTCTATTTTTAGTAGAGATGGGGTTTTGCTATGTTGGCCAGGCTGGTCTCGAACTCCTGACCTCAGGTGATCTGCCCACCTCAGCTTCCCAAAGTGCTGGGATTACACCACTGCCCCCGGCCATTTCTTAAAAACTAAGGGAGGTAAGGTTTGCTGCTGATAATTGTAGGCAGGGGTTTTGAATACTAAGCATAAGATATCTGTGTATTATTGGAATACTCATAAAGGAGGATGAAAGAAAAGGATGTACTAGAGCAAATAATCAGAATCAAGCCACAGATTTCTTGGGGCACCAAGTTTTACAGTGGTATAATATTCTATGATAATCACCAGCCATCCCCATGTGTAAATGGTTAGGTGGGCTTTAATTCTGAGTTGCAGTTTGGCTAGAAAAGTAGAGTAAAATAAAAATCACAAGGTAACTGAGATACCTGAGGGGGAAGAAGTAGATGATCAGTGATATGGTTTGGGTTTGTGTCCCTGCCCAAATTTCATGTCTAATTGTAAACCCCAATGTTGGAGGCAGGACCTTGGTGGGATTTGATTGGATCATGGGAGTGAATTTCCTTTTGCTGTTCTCATGATGGTGAGTGAGTTCTCACGAGATCTGGTTGTTTAAAGGTGTGTAGCACCTTCCCCTTCACTCTCTTCTTCTCTGTCCTTGTGAAGATGTGCCTGCTTCCCCTTCACCTTCTGCCATGATTGTAAGTTTCCTGAGGCTTCCCCTGCCATTCTTCCTGTACAGTTTACAGAATCATGAGCCAATTAAACCTCTTTTCTTTATAAATTACCAGTTTCAGATATATCTTTATAGCAGTGTGAATGGACTAATGAAGTGAGTCATGTAGTCTCTGTGGGACTGAGAAGGAAGAGAGTCCAGCAGGAGTTGATAGATCAGAAGAACATAGAAAAGTCAAGAATCTTTGCATTTCTTTAAATCAAAGAGTAGAAATGATGTGAGTTACATTACAGGAAAGCTGGACGGATGGGAATATAATATCAGAGAGGTTATTGAAGTAGAATCTCTCAAACATATTAGTTTCAGATGATTTCACTCTCAAAAAATTATTTGATATGGAAAGGGGTAAATATTGTGATCGTTAATGATGTTCAAGAATTTGAGACTAGACAAGATTTTGGAACCAAAGGAAAATATTAAAATATCCTTGTTTAGTTTTAAAATAAGTAATCTGTCAGAGAAATAACTTGTCTGTGGTCCCACAGCTACTATGTGGAGGAATTACAAGTATTTGTGGTGGAATTAGGAACAGAATTAAGATTCTTTTGACAAATAGATTAGTTTTTTTGTTATTATTACCTCTGTTACCTAATATTGGAGAGTGTATTAATATCTTCTTTTTGTCCCCGAAAATGAGGAATCAATTGCTTAAGGTAGCAGTGAAACTTTTGTCAACAATATGTCTCAGAACAAATGATAAGCAATGGTAAAAAATAAAATGTTGCATGTCTTTTGCTCATGAAACTATATCCGTCATTAATAAAATGAGCTCTCCCTCTCTCAGTGTTTGCATATACACCTTATAGAGGAGGGGTGGTAGAAGACATGTTAACATTTGGATGGAATTTATTATTGTCTTTTATTATTTTCACATACTAGTCAAGAAAGATATCTTATAAATATATTATAAAAAATGATCTTTACCTTTGCATATTGAATTGTATTATTTTTCTAGTGTTGATGCAAATATTTTTGCTAAGTCTCCTATGTTGAATCAAAGGTATTCTAGAAGTCCAGAGTTTGCATGCTGATGTGCTGATTATTGTCTCTTGTAAAAAGAAACATCTACTTTAGAGGCAGTGTTAAGTGATGCTGTGCACACATTTGCATGTATTATTAACACTTTGACAACAGGGGCCGGTGTCTGTGGTGAAGGTAGAACAGGTGCCACAACCCACTGAGCTGACTCTTACCATGGTTTCTAGTTAGATTTCAAAAGATGAAGAAAATTGCATCCTCACCTCCCAAATAAGGTAATTCTTGGGCACATGTCAAATGACTGTGAATAATTCTATGAAATCAATTGTCACATGAATTGAGTTCAGCACATCTTTCCTTTTTTTTTTTTAGGTAGGGAGGCACTCTTTTCATAGAAACCATAAAAATAGTGTGATGAAATTTACTGAGTCAATCAGACAGTTTGAGTGATTCAGTTAAGCTCTGATCCTATTATTAGATACCTAATACATACAGAAAACACAACAGAAGGCCAGGCACGGTGGCTCACGCCTGTAATCCCAGCAGTTTGGGAGGCTGAGGTGGGTGGATCACTAGGTCAGGAGTTTGGAACCAGCCTGCACAACATGGTGAAACCCCGTCTCTACTAAAAACACAAAAATTAGCTGGGCGTGGTGGTGTGTGCCTGTAGTCCCAGCCACTCAGGAGGCTGAGGCAGGAGAATCGCTTGAACCCAGGAGGCCGATGTTGCAGTGAGCCGAGATCACGCCATTGCACTCCAGCCTGGGTGACAGCGACAGACCAAGACTGCATCTCAAGAAAAAAACAAACAAACAAACAAACAAAAGCATACAATACAAAATAACCCTAAGTCACAGAAATACTTGTAATGATTTACATTAACACTTTTTAAGTACTATATTCATTTGTTAGCTATTTAAGGCAAAGGCATATGCACTTAGGAAAGTATATGAGGTAGTTGAGAACTCAGCTTGATATGAGACTAAGAATTTGGAAAGTCTGTTCTAGGTGGAGGGAGTATGGAGGTGTAAGAAAGGGAAAAAACAACTAATTTTGAATTATTGGAACATAAATTGTAGAAGTAGAGATAGAGGCAATGCTACATTAAATTGGAGAGGTAGGCAGAAACTAGATCCTGAAGCAATACTGATTAGGTAAAGTCACAACAGAAATCAGTCAAGGAGGAGAGAAGATGCAAATATCATTATGCACAAAAGCTAAAGTAAATATTGTAATTCATCATAACATTTTTTCAATATTATAGGAATTGTAATGAAAATACAGTCATCCTTCAGTATTGCTGGGGGATTGGTTCCAGGGCCTCCCTTGGATACCCAAACTGGAAGATGCTCAAGCTACTGATATAAAATGGCATAATATTTGCACATTCTCCCAAGTACTTTCAAGTATTTCTAGATTACTTATAACACATAATATAAATGCGATGTAAATAATTGTTACAGTGTATTGTTTAGAACATATAAACAAGAAGAAAATCTATACATGTTTAGCATAGATGCAATTTTTAAAAATTGATTTTTGATCCACAATTGGTTGAATCCATGGATGAGGAACCCAGGTACAAGAAGGGCCAGTTGTATTACTTTACCTAATCTGGTTAAATTATTTCCATTGTCCAAAAAATAAAATATATACACATATATTTTAAGAGACATAGTACTTAAAATAAAATTGTGTGGCCTCTTCTCAGTTCTTCACCTATTGGTTACTTTTTAGTATTTTCCAGTATTAAGTATTATTGCCATTGTAACTTTAATTTGCGATAAAAATATAGTCTACTTATGTCCTGAAAGCTTACCTCAAGCCTTTTTTTCTAGCCCAACCTAATATTACTCCTGCCCTTTCTTGAATTATATTCAGTAAATAAGTCTATTAACTGCTTCTGTAAGCTTACTCTGAGTTTCTGTGACTATCCCTGCCCCACTCCCAACACACTTTTCTTCATAAAGACATCCCCGTCCTTTTATTTCCACTTGCCAGAACCTACTCAAGTTCGTCTCTGGAAAAGTGCTACTCATCACATGAAGCTCTAATTAAGCAGGGAGAATTGGCCTCTACTTTTGCTCCCACAGATGTGGTTAAACCTTTATTCGAATACAAGGATTGTTTCTTTCTTAAATTATATATAAACCACCCAAACCTTTGTACAAGGTGCTGTTATTCAAAAGAAAGCTAGGCGTTGGCTACTGTTACTTCTCCAACATCATCCTCCTTGTTTGGTTCTGACCTCTGCAACCCTCTTCCTCTCATAGACAGGATGGTTCACCTCCACCAGAATTACAGTCTAATCCCAGTGCTCAGGACTAGTTCTGAACAAAGCAGCCTTTAGGCCTAATCGATTTAAAGATCAAACCCATTTATACTAGCCACTGATATATTCTATTTTCTACTAAAACTCCATGAACCTTTTTACCAGTTACTCTACATGGTTACCTAGTGGATCATTCCTCTATTATCTCATGATTGACTATTCTGTCAGTTTTTATGGTCTGAAATATTATATTTAAGTCCTTCAGTCTCTACCCAAGACACTGATTATTGGAGTGGGTAGACATTAAGTGTTCAATAAATGTCTTTGGAGTGAATGAATGAATGAATGAAGTACATGCAGAAATCAGTGAATGAATTGTTAAGACTTGAGGAATCATGTACTGATTGCCACTGTCCAGGGAATTACACTCAAAAGAGAGGCCACTCCTTAGTTTCATACCATTTGTCCCACTGTGCAGCTTTCTTTCTGATCAGGGGTATGTTGTTGCTAAGGAATGGACTTGCCAAAGTAAATCCTGCCCTCTCTGTGTGATAAAGAAAAGGAAGAGAGAGTCCTTTGATGAATAATGTATCTAATATTCAATAATGATACTAATTACAAGTATCAACATTGCAATATACACTTTTTTTTTTTTTTTTTTTTTTTTTTGAGACGGAGTCTTGCTCTGTCGCCCAGGCTGGAGTGCAGTGGCGCGATCTCGGCTCACTGCAAGCTCCGCCTCCCGGGTTCGTGCCATTCTCCTGCCTCAGCCTCCCGAGTAGCTGGGACTACAGGCGCCCGCTACCACGCCCGGCTAATTTTTTGTATTTTTAGTAGAGACGGGGTTTCACCGTGTTAGCCAGGATGGTCTCGATCTCCTGACCTCGTGATCCGCCCGCCTCGGCCTCCCAAAGTGCTGGGATTACAGGCGTGAGCCACCGCGCCCGGCCGCAATATACACTTTTTAAAGCAGTAAGAAAACCTCAAGGTTACTCACACTTCATCCTTTGTACAGAAGAGTCTCTTAAAAATAAGAAAGGTTGAGTTATTTGCCGAAGTTTCGTGGTAAATTGCAGCAGAATTGAGAAGACAGCCTTGATTTCCTATCTCACCATCCAGTGCTGTTTCCATTATAAGCACATTTACATCATGGCCTTAACAATGAAGTGAGCTAATATGACTTAATCTTCATATTTCTTGACTAGTGATTACATTTTTACTTATTGCTGTATCACAAAGTTGCCAAGAAGCTTTATAAAAAAATGGCACAAACTGTGATTTTATGATACATCAGTCTTTTCTTGATATCGACTAGGCTGAAGATGACATTTTTTTTTTGGCCAACTTTTCTAATCTGCCAAATAGCTTTTTAAAAGCAATAAATATAAAGTAAAATTTCAAAGCAAATGCTCACTCAATTCTCAAGGCAACAATTTAGAAAAGGAAAGCAACAGAAATGTCAGGAGGAGCCTCTAAGAGGTCATGTGGCCTTGGATGGAACTTTGCACTCTCTCAGATCCCTCCAGGAAGGAAAGCCATTTGTGCTGGCCGCGCTGGGGCGGAGCAGTCCCTGAGAGTCAGGTGCAGAGCTGCTTGGGATGTGCTCTCCACCCTTTTCCTCCCCAGGAGACTTCTTAGAGCACTTGGAGCAATAAAAGAAGGAATCAATTCAACTCTCCTGCTTGTGGAACAGATTAGGAGATATGGACTTGTGTAAAATACTTTAATTTTCACATTGCTAGAATTTATTATTATATTGAAGGCTGTTGTATTAGTTTGTAAGGGCTGCCACAGCTAAGTATCAAACTGGGTGGCTTAGGCAGACAAAATCTATTTCCTCACAGCTCTGGAGGCTAAGCTTAAGATCAAGGTGTCAGCAGGGTTTCTTCTGAAGCTTGGCTCATAGAGTGTCATCTTCTCTTTGTCTCCACACAGCCTTCCCTCAGTATCTCCCTGTGTCCTCATCACCTTTTCTTATAAGGACATCAGTCATATTGGATTAGGACCCACACACATGACCTCATGTTATCTTAATTACCCCTTTGAGATCCTGTTTCCAAACACAGCCACATTATGAGGTAATGAAGGTTAGGGCCTCAATATAGGAATTTTGGAGGAACACAATTCTTTAACAAATGTCTTTTGCTAGAGATCCAACTTCCAACATGAAGTAAAGAAAATGTGGGGCCATGATTTGAGGATGCTTTTTGGGAATATGACAATTCTATATAAAGTGCCAACCAGGCCTCTGCTTTTCTGTTGGCAGAAAACCTGGAAGACAGTTCTGAATTGAGCCCCTGGTTAGGTAGCTTGCAGTTAGATTCCAGGACCCTAACACTGAAAACTGACACTTGTTTGTTATTTCCATAACTTAAAGTCTATGTTAAACAACATTCTTGCTTATAGTTAGGGTGGGCTTATGTCAGTGACAGAAGCTTGATTCAAGTGCTCATTTATAATAAAACATCAGCTATTTATTTTTTGATGACTAGTTTATTATGGTATATTAGTCAGGGTTCTCTAAAGGGCCAGAACTAATAGGATAGATATATACATGAAGAGAAGTTTATTAAGGAGTATTCACTCACACAATCAGAAGGTGAACTTCCACAATATACTGTCTGCAAGTTGAGGAGCAAGGAAGCAAATCTGAGTCCCAAAACCTCAAAAGTACAGAAGCCAATAGTGCAGCGTTCAATCTATTGCTAAAGGCCCAAGAGCCCCTGGTAAACCATTGGTGTAAGTCCAGGAGTCCAAAAGATGGAGAACTTGAAGTCAAATGTTTGAAGGCAGGAAGTACCCAGCACGGGAGAAAGACGAAGGCCAGAAGACTCAGCAAGTTTAGTCTTCCCACATTCTTCTGCCTGCTTTATTCTACCTGCACTGGCAGTTGATTAGATGGTGCCCACCCAGATTGAGGGTGGGTCTGCCTTTCCCAGCCCACTGATTCAAATGTTAATCTCTTTTGGCAACACCCTCACAGACACACCCAGGATCAATACTTTGCATCCTTAAATCCAATCTGGTTGACACTCAATATTAACCATGACAAGTCCACCCCTTGTGAACTTGAACCCGTACACATCTCCTGGAATCATATATAATATTCAAATAAAGACAATAATGAAGTTCATAATTATGCCTAACATAATACAACTATCTTTCATACAACCAGAAGTGTACTAACCCTTAACATAAATACTACTTCATGAAGTTAACAACACTTAAATCCTGACATGAAGTCAATAACTCTTATGTCACATGATAAAGGAAAAAGGAAATAAAATGAAGATATTTTATTAATACAAGTGTATACATTCACGAACGTGTTCTTAACAAAATAAGAAGGAAATACTCATCACAATTAGTCCTCGTTTCTGCAACTGGTCATGTGGTTGTCGCTGGTATTGATGACTACCTTCTTCTACTTTCTGTAGAAGTACATTCTGTGTTTCCTTTGCCTTCAGCAAGCACCTCAGCAGGTTGTAGTTTTTTACCTGGTGAAGTGACCCAAACCTTCATTCACGAAGGGTCTGGTCCATTTGCAGTCCTGCCTGGATTGGGTTGTTGTAGTTTCCCATTGATCTTAATCACAGAGCATGGTAATACTAACAGACACACTAATGGGTGTCTTGTATTCCATGCGTACTCTTCCTTACCTCCATTATGGAGTAGTACACAGATTTCATCTGGTAGTCTGGGTAAATCACCCCAGCAAATACTGTAACTCTCTTCTAACCTGTTGGCTTAGAGGTAGGAGAAGCCAAAAGTGGCCAGATGGCAACCTTAACTTCCAGTTTAATGGAATCATTGTTGTATATCCTGGTGGCAGCATTCCTGTCTCTGGAACTAAGACCTTTAAGCCAGCAGAATGTAATGTCATGGGAACATGAAGCAAGAATTTTGCTAGTGCGTCATTAGGGGTGATGATGAATGGTGCCACTTCCACTTCCATCACTTGATTCCTGGACCTGTGAATCCTGGTTATGGGAGAAAGAGTACCATATTTTGGATGCTGATTTAGAGCATACAAAGATTTCTGGAGAACTTTGCCCCAGCTCTGCAAAGTATTGTCACCTAGTTAGCATTAGAATTGTGACTTCAAAAGGCCATTCCACAGTTCTATCAATCCAGCTGCTTCATGATGGTGGGAAACATGGTAAGACCAGTGAATTCCATGAGCATGAACCCACTGCCACACTTCTTTAGCTGTGAAGTAAGTGCCTTGGTCAGAGGAAATGCTGTGTGGAATACCATGACAGATAAACCATTCTGTGAGTTCATGGGTGGTAGTCTTGGGAGAAGTATTGCATACAAAATAGGCAAACCCATATCCAGAGTAAGTGTCCATTCCAGTGAAGACAAACTGCTGCCCTTTCCATGATGGAAGAGGTCCAGTATAATTAACCTGCCACCAATTAGCTGGCTGATCACCCTGAGGAATGGTCCCATATCAAACGCTCAGTGTTAGTCTCTGCTGCTGGCAAATTGGGCACTCAGCAATGGCTGTAGCCAAGTTAGCCTTGATGAGTGGAGTTAGCCTTGATGAGTTCATGTTGCTGAGCCCATGCATAACTTCCATTCTTGCCACCATGACCACTTTGTTGATGGGCCCATTGGGCAATGATAGGGGTGGCCGAGGAAAAAGGGTTAGTGGTGTCCACAGAATGAGTCATCCTATCCACTTTATTATTAAAATCCTCCTCTGACGAGGTCACACTTTGGTGAGCACTCACATGGGATACAAATATATTCACAGTTTTTGACCACTCAGAGAGGTCTATCTGCATACCTCTTCCCCAAATTTCTTTGCCACCAATTTTCCAATCGTGCTTTTTCCATGTCCCTGACCATCCAGCCAAACCACTGGCTACAGCCCATGAATCAGTGTATAATCACACATCTGGCCATTTCTCCTTCCAAGCAAAGTGCATAACCTGGTGCACTGCTCAAAGTTCTGCCCACTGGGAAGATTTACCTTTGCTACTGTCCTTCAGGGATGTCCTAGAAAGGGGCTGTGGTGCTGCAGCTGTCCACTTCTAGGTGGTACCATCATATCTGGTATCATGTATAAACACCTGTAAACCAGGTTCTGGTATTGTGCAGAACCGTCAGTAAACCAGGCCCTAGTCTTCTCTTCCTGTGTCAATTAATTATAGAGATCTCCCCATGAGGTCATTGGTGCAGGCTGTGGGAGGGAAGGCAGGATAGCAGGAGTGGAAGTCATGGGCATTTGAGCCACTTTCTCATATAACTTACTTGTGCCTTCTGGACCACGTATATACCATTTCCATTTGATGATGGAATGCTGTTGTGCATGCTCAACTTAATGGCTAGATGAGTCAGAAAGCACCCAGTTCATGATAGGCAGTTCAGGTTGCATGGTGACTTGATGATCCACAGTTAAACATTCAGTTTCTACCAAAGCCCAGTGACATGGTTTGGCTGTGTCCCCACTGAAATCTCATCTTGAATTGTAGCTCCCATAATCCCTATGTGCCATGGGAGGGACCCAGTGGGAGGTAACTGAATCATGGGTATGGGTTTTTCCCATGCTGTTCTTGTGATAGTGAATAAGTCTCATGAGATCCAATGGTTTTATAAAGGGCAGTTTCCCTGCACATGCTCTCTTGCCTGCCACTATGTAAGATGTGCCTTTGTTACTCCTTTGCCTTCCACCATGATTTTGAAGGCCCCAGCCATGTGGAACTGTGAGTTCATTAAACTTATTTTTCTTTATAAATTACCTAGTCTTGGGTATTTCTTATAGCAGTGTGAGAATGAACTAATACAGTAAATTGGCACTAGTAGAGTGGGGTACTGCTATTAAGATACCCAAAAATGTGGAAGCATCTTTGGAACTGGGTAACAAGTAGAGGTTAGAACAGTTTGGAGGGCTTAGGAGTAGACAAGAAGATGTGGAAAAGTTTGGAACTTCCTTGAGAATTGTTAAACAGTTTTGACCAAAAAGTCCAGGCTGAGGCGGTCTCAGATGGAGATGAGAAACTTATTGGGAACTGGAGCAAAGGTGATTCTTGCTATGCTTTAGCAAAAAGACTGGTGGCACTTTGCCCCTGCCCTAGAGATCTGTGGAACTTTGAACTTGGGAGAGATGATTTAGGGCATCTGGTGAAAGAAATTTCTAAGTAGCAAAGTATTCAAGATGGGACTTGGGCGCTCTTGAAAGCATTCAGTTGTATTGATTCACAAGGATACAATTTGGAATGGCTTAGGTTTGAAAGGGAAGCAGAGCATAAAAGTTCAGAAAATGTGCAGCCTGATGATGCAATAGAAAAGTAAAATCCATTTTCTGAGGAATAATTCAAGCTGGCTACAAAAATTTGCATATGTAACGAGGAACCAAATGTTAATCACCAAGACAATGGGGAAAATGACTCCAGAGCATGTCAGAGGTCTTCACAGCAGCCTATGCCATCACAAGCCAGGAGGACTAGAAGGGAAACTGGTTTCATGGTCCAGGCCCAGGGCCTTGCTGCATTGTGCAGTGTTAGGTCTTGGTGCCCTGAATCCCAGCCATGGCTAAAAGGGGCCAATGTACAGCTCAGGTCATAGCTTCAGAGAGTGTAAACCCAATGTCTTGGTGACTTACACTTGGTATTGGGCCTGCAGGTGTACAGAAGTCAAGAATTCAGGTTTGGGAACCACTGCCTAGATTTCAGAAAAATGTGTGGAAATGCCTGGATGTCCAGGCAGAGGTGTGCTGCAGGGATGGAGTCCCCCTGGAGAACCTCTGCTAGGGCAGTGTGGAAGGGAAATTTGGGGAGGGAGCCTCCACACAGAGTCCCCACGAGGGCACTGCCTTGTGGAGCTGTGAGAAGTGGGCCACTGTCCTCCAGACCCCAGAATGGTAGATCCACTGACAGCTTGTACCATGCACCTGGAAAAGCCACGGGCATTTAATGCCAATCCATGAAAGCAGCCAGGAGGGGGGCTGTGCCCTGAAAAGCCACAGGAGCAGAGCTGCCCATGACCACGGGAACTAACCTCTTGTATCAATGTGACCTGGAGTCAAAGGAAATTATTTTGGAGCTTTAAGATTTCACTGCCCAAGTAGATTTTGAACTAAATGGGGCCTGTATCCCCTTTGTTTTGGCCAATTTTTCCCATTGGGAATGTGTGTATTTACCTGATATCTGTACCCACATTGTATCTAGGAAGTAACTAACTTGCTTTTGATATTACAGCCTCACAGGCAGAAGGGACTTTCCTTGCCTCAGATGAGACTTTGGACTTGGACTTTTGAGTTAATAATGCAATGAGTTAAGAACTTGGGGAACTGTTGGAAAGGCATGATTGGTTTTGAAATATACGGACATGAAATTTGGGAGAGGTCAGGGGCAGAATGATATGGTTTGGCTCTGTGTCCCCACCCAAATATCACCTTGAATTGTAGCTCTCATAATCCCCATGTGTTGTGGGAAGGACCTGGTTGGAGGTAATTTTCTCATGGGGGAAGGTTTTTTTGCATGCTGTTCTCATGATGGAGAATAAGTCTCAAGAGATCTGATAGTTCTATAAAGGGCAGTTCCCCTGCACATGCTTTCTTGCCCGCTGCCATGTAAGATGTACGTTTGCTCTTCCTTTGCCTTCTGCCATGACTTTGAGGCCTCCTTAGCCATGTGGAACTGTGAGTTCATTAAACCTCCTTTTCTTTGTAAATTACCCAGTATTGGATATTTCTTATAGCAGCATGAGAACTGACTAATATACCCAGTAACATGCCAAGAGCTGTCTCTCAAAAGAAGAGTATCTCTCTGTGGAAGATGGAGGGCCTTGCTCCAAAATCCTAGAGGCCTCTGCTGTGAGTCACTTATGGGGGCCTGCCAAAGGCTCCAAACAACATCCATACCTGCCTCTCACACTGCAAGCACCATTGGATCTGCTGGATCATATGGCCCAAGTGGCAGAACAGCTTGCACAGCAGCCTGAACCTGTTGCAGAGCCTTCTCCTGTTCTGGACCCCACTCAAAACTGGTAGCCTTTTGGGTCACTTATTAAATGGGCTGGAGTAACACACCCAAATGAGGAATATGTTGCCTCCAGAATCCAAATAGACCGAGTAGGAGTTGTGCTTCTTTCTTGATTTTAAGAGGGGCCAAATGCAGCAACTTATCCTTCACCTTAAAAGGAATATCTTGGCAGGTCCCATGCCACTGGTCCCCTAGAAATTTTACTGACATAGAAGTTCCCTGAATTTTAGTTAAATTTATTTCCCATCACCTGGCACACAAATGTCTCACCAATAAGTGCACAGTGTTTGCTGCTTCTTTCTCATGGATCCAATCAGCATAATGTTGTCAATGTAGTGGACCAATGTAATATTTTGTGGAAGGGAAAAGAGATCAAGATCTCTGTGAACAGGATTATGACACAAAGCTGGAGAGTTGATATACCCCCGAGGTAGGGCAGTGAAGGTACATTGCTAGCCTTGCCAGATGAAGGCAAATTGCTTCTGGTGGGCCTTATGGAATGGAGAAAAAGGAATGGAGAAAATGGCATTTGACAAATCAATGGCTGCATACCAGGTACCAGGAGATGTGTTAGTTTGTTTAAGCAATAAAACCACATCTAGTACAGCAGCTGCAATTGGAGTAACTACTTGGTTAAGCTTACCATAATCCACTGTCATTATTAAAGATCCATCTTTCTTCTGCACGGGCCAAATAGGAAAGTTGAACGGGGTTGTGATGGGAATCACCACCCCTGCATCTTTCAAGTCCTTGATGGTGGCACTAATCTCTACAGTCTCTCTGGGAATGCAATATTGTTCTTAATTTACTATTTTTCTAGGTAGAGGCAGCTCTAATGGCTTCCATTTGGCCTTTTCCACCATAATAGTCCTCACCTTACCAATCAGAGAGCCAGTGTGGGGAATCTGCCTGCTGCTGTGTATGTCTATGCCAATTATGTATTCTGGCACTCAGTGCCCTCAGCCTCATCAGGGTCCTCCCACACATCCCCCATTCCAAGTTGCAGGGTCCCGTATTTTTTCCAATTAATGCCCTCACTTTAACAGTAGACACACCTGGTGAGGCCAAGCGTGTACGTTTTGTTGCAGGTCAGCCACTAGCATGATAAGAGCTTGTGTCTGATATTCCACAATTTCAGCCCTTTGTCTACAGGAGATAAGATTCTCACCCAGGGGAATCTTTTAGAAGATTTGAGGCTCAGTATGTGCTCTGGAGCTGGGAATTAGAATCCCCGAGCACATCATTTTCTTTCATCACTTTGTCCAGCAAACATAGAAGCAACAAACCAACTTCATTATGTTCCATGGTTTTCCACATATGGTCAAAGATATCATGTGTAGAGTCACTAAACTCCTTGCCTCTCATAAGCAGTGAATCAGGAGTATCAAATATATTTATTTTGCATAACTCTCTCAACAATTCATGCAAAGGGCTATCAATGTTCTCCATACTATTAGAAAGTAGAGTCCTTATCATTTTTGGGCCTAATAATATTAAGCAGTCAACTCTTGAAACCCTCAAAGCAACTAAAAAATCCATCCTTAAAATTCTGTTCCTCTCAAAGCACTTCTGGTACCAAAATCTGTTTTAGTCAGGGTTCTCTAGAGGGAACAGAACTAATAGGATAGTTTATTAAGGAGTATACTCCTTAATAAACTCCCTTAGAGTAATAGTATAGTAAAAGTGTGAGAAGACATTACTTTGTAATGTTAAATGTATTAAAAAGAGAAAACATGACTTCCTTCTTTTTATGCCTATGTAATATTCCACTACGTATGTGTACTACGTTTTCTTTATCCAATCCACTGTTGATGGGCACCTGGGTCGATTCCATGTCTTTTCTATTGTGAATAGTTTTGTGGTGAACATATGGTGCATGCATCTTTTTGGTAGAATGATTTCATTTTCCTTTGGAAATAGATGAAGCTGAGAACTCCAAAGTCCCCAATTCACCTGATTCTCTGTCAACAGGAGAGCCAGTTCATGTACACTCATCTGAATAAATTAGTTTTCTATATAGGCACACTGCTTATATGAAATGCACACAGTGTTTTTTTGAAGGGCATTGCACTGAGTAATAATTAAAATGACCACTGGGTTGTATTGCTGTTTTATCTCATGTTCTTTTCTAACAGCGTATTTATTTTTACTGCAGTTTCTACTTTTGTTTCCACGACCCTTGGTGTCACTTTTCTCTCCTACAGCACTTCTAATATTGCTGATATAAATCATTTTCTC